>NC_000001.11:199434587-200684587 GCF_000001405.40 Homo sapiens
CTTGACTGTTTGAGATTATGTAAAAAAAACTCAAGAAAAAATAATTTGAAAGAAACATATATGCAAGGAGGACGTGCTTCCCAGGACAGACAATAGAAGCATGTTACTAAGGGCCTCCAATGTGGTCTCAGTATCAGGATACAGCTGTGTGACTGTAAACAAAGGAATTTCAAAGGGTTCCTGGACAGTGATGGCTAAAATTATTCATCTAGAAGCAGGTGGATTAAAAAGAAGAAACATTGTTAACTCCTAATATGGAAACTAAATATAAGGGTCCAAGAGAATGAGAGTGAAAGAACTACAGAAAGAAAGCTCAAATGTGCATGGCAATGCTAATAAATTAGTAAGATAGCCTCAGGCCTTTTGCCAAGAAAACTGCCAACACGATGGCTCAAATTGTCATGAGACATGTTTAGTAGCATGTCAAAAAAGTCAAATTTCGCTCCGCTTATCTAGCAGAGAACAAGAATATATATAAATATATACATATATATATATTTATTTATTTTTAAATGCTCCATTGCAATCTAGTTCATAGGTTATATGAAACTTGGTATTTTTCACACATCGTCTATTTTCTAGTATACTACTAAGCTTTTTCCAGCTCATCAAAAAGGGAATTTAATTAACTGAAAAACAAGTAAAACCTACTGTTCAATCCCTGTTTGAAAGGGGTCACAGAATGTCTCCCAATTAAAAAGAGAGGAGTCCAGATTAGTCTGTTGTCACTTTTGCACCCCTCGATGCACATTTTGAATGTAAATTTTTGAACAGTTAAGACAGACTTTACCACATACAAGCCAGTCTAACTGGAAATTATGGTAGGATAACACCTCATGAATACCGTAGGTATTAATGGTTCCCATCAGTTTAAGCTTTGCAAATACTGTGTCTGTTCCTGACAGATAATGATTTTATTCCTCTTCTGCCCCTAATTTTCATTATAGGCATTTTATGAACTATCATTCATTCACTTATTCAACTAATATTTATTGAGTGTTTATCATGTGCGAGGCCCTCTGAGAGACCCTTGATTATTGCTGCTCAGTGTAAACTTTGGAAGAATGTAAACCACACACAAACCTAAAATGTCGCAAATTTTTGAACATGTAGAAGCTGCTGAATTAATGTCACCATTGGGGTAAAAAATCCTAAGGATGATTATTGTTTTCTCATAAAATCTGTATCTTATATCTTAAATTATAAGCTTCTGGGAGACAAGTATTGAATCTAGTTTGTTCTCATATTTTCTCCTACATATCACCCCACATAGAAGGCCATCAGTATTTTATACAGATATTGACTCAGCAAAGTATTCATTTATTAGAGCAAAGTATTCATTTATTAGACCAAAATGCAAAATGTTTATAAGAGTATGATTCAAAAAAACATTGTGTATAGTCAGCTATATCATTCATTTATTCATTTATCCATTTCATTTCTACGACACTTTTTATTGAGATTCTACTGTGTGTCAAGAATAATACCAAACGCTGAGGCTAAAACAGTACATAAAATAGACATGGGCTCTGCAATCTCAGGGAGATTGTATTCTTCTGAAGTAGAAAGTAAACAAATATACAAACAATTACACGTGATAAGCGCAAAGAATGGAACTGAAGAGGTACTACTATAGAGAATAATGAGGTTACCTTAGATTAGACATAGAAGATCTCTCTGAGGAGGTGATATTTAATCTGAGAACTGACAGAATTAATGAATGTTAGCTACTTTTGCATGTGCAAAGGCTCGAGGCAGAGAAAGAACTTGGCAATATCTCACGTACTGAGTTGAACATCGTCTCCCCAAATTCACATCTGCCTAGAACCTCAGAATAATGTGACCTTAATTGAAAATAGTCTTTGTAGATATCATCAAGCTAAAATAAGGTCACACTGGATTACGGTGGGCCTTAAACCAATGACTGGTATCTTTATAAGGAAAGGGAGATTTGGACATAGACACACAGGGAAAGCAGTCATTTGACTGTGGAGGCAGAGGCTAGAGTGATGCTGCCATGAGCAAAGAAGCAATAGGAGCCACAGGTAGCTGGAAGACACAAGGAAGGATTCTCCTCTAGACCATCCCAAGGGAGCATGACCCTGCCAACTTCTTGATTTTGGACCCCTAGCCTCCTAAACTGAGAGAGAATAAACTTCTGTTGTTTTAAGCCAAACTAGAGTTTATGGTAATTTGATATAGTATTCCTAAGGAACTAACACACCTAAGAAATATCAGAAGGCTAAAATCAATGAGTAAGAGAACCTTTCTTTGCCAAGGCTGCTAATCTGAGTGATGGTAATGTCTTGCATCTTTCAATAAAATTCAATAAGAAAGAGGAAACTTCAGTTAAAGAATACAGATAGGGAAGGAAATATGTTTTTGCTACTTCCTAAATACCTTCTGCTCATCACTCCTTGCTTATTCATGGTGACAATTTCACCCACTGTAAAGGCCATCACTGGGGTGAAGCCTGTAAGCCGGAGCAGATTGTGCCTTCTCCCAGCAGGCATTTTGACCCAAGAGATATGCTAACAGAGGCCATTACTCCAAGAGCTTAGGGTCTGACCAGAGTACTGAGTAGTTTCTAAGAGATGGATAATCCCAAACCATAGTACAAGTTTGGACAATCATTTGAAAAGATTTGACTTTGCTTATTAGCCCAAGTTAACAACAACAACAAAACTAAAACACTCAGATAAATCCCAAGCCTGGAACCCAAAGACCTGTGATAAAAACTCATATTTCCAAACTTGCACTTTTGTGCCTCTTTTTAGAGGCATCTTCTCAGTGCTCATCTCTAATGTGGTAGCAGAGAACAATTAAAAATCGACAAGAAGATAAAATGGTAGAATCCAGCTTGGTAAATTTTTGCTTTCTCACATTAGCAGAATGTGTTATATCCTATGGAGTTGCAAATTTTTTAGTGTTATTTTTATTTGAATGTGTCTATTTTCCTTCTATCAGACAGGTGGTTTGGCAGTGTTTGCATTGAACATTTATCCCAGCTCTCCAGACTATGAGGAGCTAGGTTGAATCTGATCAAGATGAGTGACCATCACATTGAGATGAATGCCACTTTAGATAGCTTTGGTTTTTTTTCTCTTCCTTGGGAAGGAATAAGCATCTCTTGTAGATAGCAAAATTGCATAAAGCTACATGAAAAGCTTTTGAAATTCTATATGTTAAGGAAAGAATGTATCTGGATCATAAATAGCCAGGAGTTACATCATTAGACATGTATTATTTTTGCCTTCCCAACATCCATTCCCACTTTTCTGATTCTATATTACAGAGTACATTCATTCCTTATTTTTAGCCTATGTCATTTGGAATGGTACTCACTCCACCTTAGGATCCAGACATCAGCACAAAAACCAGACTCAGTCAAAAAGAACACTATGACTAGTTCAGAGATGGAGAGAATCATTAAAATCCAATAAAGATGCATTGCAAGTTTGCTTATAATGTTGTATTGGCTAAGCAACTAATTTTCCTGCCTTATTGTCCTGAAAAATTCCTAATCTTTCGAAACCAAATTTAGATGTCACCTCCTTTGTAAAACCTTCCCTGCTTCCTTATTGCATTGTTAATCACCCCCTTCTGCTTAATTTCCTTACCTACTTACAGAAGTTATTCTTATTTATTGAGTACCTACAATGTTCCAAGCACTATGTTAGGCACCAGAGATTCAAGGAAAAATAAGTTATGGTTACTGCTTTTGAAGAATTTATAAACAATTTGAGGGAAAAGAAAATAAACTGGCAATTGCAATGTAACATAAAACATTGTGTGATAGAGTGTACATTTAAAAAAAAATTCCAACTAATTTCAAGGTGGCAATTGACAGCGGGACTACATTTTATAGTTATAATTCATTAAGTGATCAATGTATGTGTTATGAGAAACAAGCCACATTTGCATAAACCAGTGAGTTAGAGAGGCTGAGTAGAGAAACCTCTGCTAAGATGAGGTCTCAGAGCTCAGAGATAAATCAAATGATCATATTTATTTCTCATATTTTTTTAGAAAAATAAAGTGATCGCATAAAGGCAGACCACATTTGAATCAACACAAAGGAGGAAAGATACTACCAAAACCGTGTAAGACATACAAGGTTTTAAAAGTGAAATAGAAATGAACATAACACACTGAATTCAACAACACATTAAAAAGATTATTCATCACAACCAAGTGGGATTTATCCCAGGGATGCAAGGATGATTCAACATAATGCAAATCAATCAGTGTGATGCATCATATCAACAGAATGAAGGACAAAAGCTATATGATCATTTCAATAGATGCTGAAGAAGCATTTGATAAAATTTGCCATCCCTTCATGAAAAAACCTCTCAAAAAACTGAGTATAGAAGGAATATACCTCAATATAATAAAAGCCATATACAACAGACACACAGCTAATATCATACTTAATTGGAAAAAACTAAAAGCCTTTCCTCTAAGATCTAGAACACGACAAGAAGGCCACTTTTACCACTGTTAATCAACATAGTACTGGAAGTCCTAGCTAGAGAAATCAGACAGGTGAAAGAAAAAAAAAAAAAAAGGACATCCAAGTTGGAAAGGAAGAAGTCAAATTATCCCTTCTGAGGTCAACATGATCTTATATTTGGAAAAACCTAAAGACTCCACCAGAAAACCTATTAGAACTGATGAACAAATTCAGAAAAGTTGCTGGTTACAAAATCAACATATAAAAATCAGTAACATTTCTTTATGTGAACAGCAAACAATCTGAAAAAGAAATCAAGAAAGTAACCCCATTTGCAATAGCTAGGAATCAACTTAACCAAAGCAGAAGATCTCTGCAATAAAAACAATAAAATATTGATGCAAGAAACTGAAGAGGACACAAAAAATGGAAAGATATTTCACTTTCATGGATTGGAAGAATCAATATTGTTAAAATGTCCATATTACTCAGAACAATCTACAGATTCAACACAATCCTTATCAAAGTACCCATGACATTCTTCACATAAATAGAAAAAAAAATCCTGAAATTTATATGGAAACACAAAAGACCCAGAATAGCCAAAGCCATCCTGAGCAAAAAGAACAAAACTGGAGGGATTACATTACCTGACTTCAAATTTTACTACAGAGCTAAAGTAAACAAAATAGCATGGCACTGGTATAAAAAGAGACACATTAACCAGTGGAACAGAATAAACAATCAGAAACAAATTTATATATCTAAAGTGAATTCATTTTTCATAAAGGTGCCAAGAACACACATAGGAAAAGAACTGTCTCTTCAATAAAGGGTGCTGGGAAAACAGGATATACATATGCAGAAGAATGAAAGTAGACCCGTCTCTCACCATATACAAAAATCGAATCGAAATGGATTAAAAACTTAAATCTAAGACCTCAAACTATAAAGCCACTAAAAGAAAATGTTGGAGAAACTTTCCAGGACATTGGAGTAGGCAAATATTTCTTGAGCAATACCCCACAAGCACAGGAAACCAAAGCAAATGTGAACAAATGGGATCACATCTAGTTAAAAAGCTTCTGAACAGCAAATGAAACCATCAACAAGGGAAAGAGACAACCCACAGGATGGGAGAAAATATTTGCAGACTCTCCATCTGACAAGGGATTAATAACTAGAATATGTAACAAGCTCAAACAACTCTATAGAAAAAAAAATCTAAAAATAAGATTTAAAAACAGGCAAAAGATCAGAATAGACATTTCTCAGAAGTAGACATATAAATGGCAAACAGATATGTGAAAAGTTTATCAGCATCATTGATCATCAGAGAAATGCACATCAAAATTACAATTAGATGTCATCTCATCCCAGTTAAAATGGCTTGTATCTAAAATAGAGACAATAACAAATGTCAGTGAGGATGTGGAGAAAAGGAAATGTTGTACATTGTTGGTGGGAATGTAAAATAGTACAACCACTATGGAGAACAGTTTAGAGATTCCTCAAACATATTAATAGAACTACCATATGACCCACCATCCCCACTGCTACATATATACCTGGAAGAAAAGAAATCAGTATATCAAAGAGATATCTGCATGGCCATGTTTCTTGTAGCACTATTCACAATAACCAAGATTCAGAAGCAACCCATGTCCATCAACAGATGAATGGATGAAGAAAATATGTTACATATAGACAATGCAGTATTATTCAACCATTAAAAAAACGTGATCCTGTCATTTGCACAGCAACATGGATGGAACTGGAGGTCATTATGTTAAGTAAAATAAACTAGGCACAGAAAGACAAGGTTTGCATGTTCTCATTTATTTGTGGAATCTATAAATTAAAATGACTGAACCCATGGAGATAGAGCATAGAATGATGGCTACCAAAGGCTGGGAAGGGTAGTGAGTGGGGAGTTAGGGTGAGGGGGAATAGAATAACATCTAGTATATGATAGCACAACAGAGTGACTATATTCAACAACAATTTAATTGTGCATTTTAAAATAACTAAACAAATATAATTGGATTGTTTGCAAAACAAACGACAAATGCTTGGAGTGATTAATATATTATTTGCTCTAATGTAATTATTATACATTGTATGCCATATCAAAATATCCCAAACTCCCCCATAAATATATACACCTACTATGTACCCACAAATATATGTAGAGAAAAAACATACAAAGGAGATTTAATGTATATAAAGTGGCTATTCCTAAGGAAGAAAACAAAAATCCTGAGACAGAAAAGATATTTGAAGAAAGTTTAGAACATTGAATAATTAACAGATATATATTCGAATAAATTTATTAGACTACAAAGAGAACAAAAGGAGTAAAAAAAGGAAGAAGGAGAAAGAGAAAGAGAGGAAGAGATGGAAGGAGGAACCCTCTACTTTTCATCACTCTGCTATAATTGCTTCTTACTGACGGTAACTGCTTCAAAATCTCTCAAAGAAACTTTCACGTGGTTAAAATAATGTTAATAATGAGCGTGTAAGATTGAGATCTTGCACTCTAAATGCAATTAGTATTGCACATGAGTATATTAATAGTGCAACTATTGACATTATTCATTCATAGTATGAGCAATTCATGTATAATATTTTTGTAGACAGTCTTTCTAGAAAACCTCTATACTCTAAGATGGTGAGTAGCATGAAATGCATTACCTGGGCATCTCAATCCTCCCTCATGTAACAGATTTTTCTTGATGCTTTCAAAAGAAGAAAATCATGTTTGCCATTCCTTGGCCAGCAAAAAAAGTCTGTAATAACTAAGGATAAACCTGAATATTATTCACCAGTCTACATATTTGTTGGTGCACTTGCAGATAGCTGCTCTTGAATACTATAGATACTAAGGGGAATAACTGAATTAGGTTAAGTGAGGGATTTCGAAATTACCACCCATATAGTGGGGTGTCCTTATTAAAAGTACTCCCACCACCCACTAAGAGAAATGCTGTCTCCAGTAGTTCTTTCTGCATAAAGCTACTAGGGCCTCTGTCATATGCAAAAAGAAAAACCAGCCCTGCATCTCCATGAAAATTTATTGTCAGGAACTCATGGTAGACCCCAAGGTACTAAAATATAACAGTAAGCAAACATTTTTAAAATTAATTTATTTTTCTTTACTTCTTCAAAAAAAATGGAATACATGTGCAGAACATGCAGGTTTGTTACAAAGGGATATGTGTGCCATGGTGGTTTGCTGTACCTATTGACCTGTCCTCTACGTTCCCTCCCCTCACCCCCTAACCCCCAACAGGCCCTGCTGTGTGTTGTTCCCCTCTCTGTGTCCATGTGATCTCAATGTTCAACTCTCACTAATGAGTGAGAACATGCAGCGTTTGTTCTTCTGTTCTTGTGTTAGTTTACTGAGGATGATGGCTGCCAGCTTCATCCGTGTCCTGGCAAAAGACAGGACCTCATTTCTTTGTATGGCTGCATAGTATTCCACGGTGTATATGTACCACATTTTCTTTATCCAGTCTATCATTGATGGGCATTTGGGTTGGTTCTACGTCTTTGGTATTGTAAATAGTGCTGCAATAAACATATGTGTGCATGTGTCTTTATAGTAGACTGACGTATATTCCTTTGGGCATATACGGAGTAATGGGATTGCTGGGTCAAATGGTATTTCTGGTTCTAGATCCTTGAGGAATTGCTATACTGTCTTCCACAGTGGTTGAACTAATTTACATTCCCACCAACAGTGTAAAAGCATTCCTGTTTCTCCACAGCCTCACCAGCATCTATTGTTTCCTGACTTTTTAATAATCACCATTCTGACTGGCGTGAAATGGTATCTCATTGTGGTTTTGATTTGCATTTCTCTGATCAGTGATGTTGAGCTTTTTTTCATAAGTTTGTTGGCTGCATAAATGTCTTCTTTTAAGGAGTGTCTGCTCATGTCCTTTGCCCACTTTTTGATGGTGTTGTTTGCTTTTTTCTTGTAAACATGTTTAAATTCTTTATAAATTATGGATATTAGACCTTTGCCAGATGGGTAGATTGCAAAAATTTTCTCCCATTCTGTAGGTTGTCTATTCACGCTGATGATAGTTTTGTTTGCTGTGCAGAAGCTCTTTCAGTTTAATTAGATCCCATTTGCAAATTTTGACTTTTGTTGCAATTGCTTTTGGCGTTTTTGTCATGAAGTCTTTGCCCATCTCTGTTTTCTGAATGGTATTGCCTAGGTTTTCTTCTGGGGTTTTTATGGTTTTGGGCTTTACATTTAAGTCTTTAATCCATCTTGCGTTAACTTTTGCATCAGGTGTAAGGAAGGGGTCCAGTTTCTGTTTTCTGCATATGGCTAGCCACTTTTCCCAGCACCATTTACTGAATAGGAGATCCTTTCCACATTGCTTGTTTCTGTCAGGATTGTCAATGTTGTAGACGGTTGTAGATGTATGGTGTTATTTCTGAGGTCTCTCTTCTGCTCCATTGGTCTTATATGCCTGTTTTGGTACCAGTACCATGCTGTTTGGGTTACTGTAACCTTGTAGTATAGTTTGAAGCCAGGTAACATGATGCCTCCAGCTTTGTTCTTTTTGCTTACGGTTGTCTTGGCTATATGGGGTATTCTTTGATTCCATATGAAATTTAAAATAGTTTTTTCTAATACTGTGAAGAATGCCAATGGTAGTTTGATGGGAATAGTATTGAATCTATAAATTACTTTGGACAGTATTGCCATTTTCACGATATTGATTCTTCCTATCCATGAGGATGGAATATTTTTCCATTTGTTTGTGTCCTCTCTTATTTCCTTGAGCAGTGGTTTGTAATTCTCCTTGAAGAGGTTCTTCACATACATTGTTAGTTGTATTCCTAGGTATTTTATTTTCTTTGTAGCAATTGTGAATGGGAGTTCATTCATAATTTGGCTCTCTGTTTGCCTATTATTAGTGTGATTTTTGCAAACTGATTTTGTATCCTGAGACTTTGCTGAAGTTGCTTATCAGTTCAAGAAGTTTTTGGGCTGAGATGATGGGGTTTTCTAAATATAAAATCATGTCGTCTGCAAACAGAGACAACTTGACTTCCTCTCTTACTATTTGAATACCCTTTCTTTCTTTCTTTTGCTGATTGCCCTGGCCAGAACTTTCAATACTATGTTGAATAGGAGTGGTGAGAGAGGGCATCCTTGTCTTGTACCAGTTTTCAAAGGAAATGCTTCCAGCTTTTGCCCATACAATATGATATTGGCTTTGGGTTTGCCATAAATAGCTCTTATCATTTTGAGATATGTTCCATCAATACTTAGTTTATTGAGAGTTTTTAACATGAAGGGATGTTGAATTTTATCAAAGCCCTTTTCTGCATCTATTGAGATAATCATGTGGTTTTTGTCTTTGGTTCTGTTTGTGATAGATTACATTCACTGATTTGTGTATGTTGAACCAGCCTTGCATCCCAGGGATGAAACTGACTTGATCGTGATGGATAACTTTTTTGATGTGCTGTTGGATTCAGTTTGCCAGTATTTTATTGAGGATTTTCACATCTATGTTCATCAGGGATGTTGGCCTGAAATTTCATTGTTGTTGTCGTGTCTCTTCTGGGTTTTGGTATAAGGATGATGCTGGCTTCATGAAATGAGTTAGAGAGGAATCCTCCTTTTCAATTGTTTGGAATAGTTTCAGAAGTAATGGTACCAGCTCCTCTGTGCATTTCTGGTAGAATTCAGCTGTGAACCTGTCTGGTCCTGGGCTTTTATTTGGTTGGTAGGCTATTAATTACTGCCTCAATTTCAGAGCTTGTATTTGGTCTATTCAGGGATTCAACTTCTTCCTGGTTTAGTCTTGGTAGGGTGTATGCATCCAGGAATTTATCCATTTCTTCTAGATTTTCTAGTTTGTGTAGAGGTGTTTATAGTATTCTCTGATGGTAGTTTGTATTTCTGTGGGGTCAGTGGTAATATCTCCTTTAGCATTTTTTATTGTATCTATTTGATTCTTCTCTTCTTTATTAGTCTAGCTAGTAGTCTATCTATTTTGTTAATTTTTTTCAAAAAAAAACAGCTCCTGGATTCATTGATTTTTTGGAGGGTTTTCGTGTTTCTATCTCCTTCAATTCTTCTCTGATCTTAGTTATTTCTTGTCTTCTGCTAGCTTTTGGATTAGTTTGCTCTTGTCTCTCTAGCTCTTTTAATTGTGATGTTAGAGTGTTGATTTCAGATCTTTCTAGTTTTCTGATGTGGTCATTTAATGCTATAAATTTCCCTCTTAACATTGCTTTAGCTGTGTCCCAGAGATTCTGGTACATTGTCTCTGCGTTCTCATTGGTTTCAAATAACTTCTTGATTTCTGCCTTAATTTCATCATTTACCCAGCCAGGAGTTATTCAGGGGCAGGTTGTTCAATTTTCATGAAATTGTGTGGTTTTGAGTGAGTTTCTTAATCCTGAGTTCTAATTTGATTGCACTATGGTCTGAGAGACTGTTTGTTATGATTTCAGTTCTTTTGCATTTGCTGAGGAGTATTTTACTTCCAATTATGTGGTTGATTTTATAATAAGTGCCATGTGACACTGAGAAGAATGTATATTCTGTTGATTTGGGATAGAGAGTTCTGTAGACATCTACTAGGTCCACTTGATCCAGAGCTGAGTTCAAGTCCTGAATATCCTTGTTAATTTTCTGTTTCATTGATCTGTCTAATACTGACAGTGGAGTGTTAAAGTCTTCCACTACTATTGCGTGGGAGTCTAAGCCTCTTTGTAGGTCTCTAAGCACTTGTTTTATGAATCTGGGTGGTCCTGTATTGGGTACATATATATTTAGAATAGTTAGCTCTTCTGGTTGAATTGTTCCCTTTACCATTATATAATGCCCTTCTTTGTCTTTTTTGATCTTTGTTGGTTTAAAGTCTCCTTTGTCAGAGACTAGAATTGCAACCCCTGCTTTTTTTTGCTTTACATTTTCTTGGTAAATTTTCCTCCATCCCTTTATCTTGACCATCTGTGTGTCTTTGCATGTAAGATGGGTCTCCTGAATATAGCACACCGAAGAGTTTTTACTCCTTATCTAATTTGCCAGTCTGTGTCTTTTAATTGAGGCATTTAGCCCATTTACATTTAAGGTTAGTATTTTTATGTGTGAATTTGATCCTGTCATTATGATGCCATTTGGTTATTTTGCTCACTAGTTGATGCAGTTTCTTGGTAGTGTCATTGGTCTTTATATTTTGGTGTGTTTTTGCAGTGGCTGGTACCGGTTTTTGCTTTCCATATTTAGTGCTTCTTTCAGGAGCTCTTGCAGGGCAGGCCTGGTGGTAACGGAATCCCTCAGCATTTGCCTGTCTGGAAAGGATTTTATTTCTCCTTCACTTATGAAGCTTAGTTTGGGTGGATATGAAATTCTAGGTTGAAAACTTTTTTTTTAAGAATGTTGAATATTGGCCCCCAATCTCTTCTGGCTTGCAGAGTTTCTTCTGAGAGGTCCACTCTTAGTCTGAAGGGCTTCCCTTTGTAGATGACCTGGCCTTTCTCTCTGGCTGCCTTTAACAGTTTTTCCTACATTTTGACCTTGGAGAATCTGATGATCATGTGTCTTGGGGTTGATCTTCTTGTGGAGTATCTTAATGGTGTTCTCTGTATTTCCGGAATTTGCATGTGGGCCTGTCTTGCTAGGTTGGGAAAGTTCTCTTGTGTTTTCCAGCTTGTTTCCATTCTCCCCGTCTCCTTCTGGTACTCCAATCAGTCGTAGGTTCCGTCTTTTTTATGAAGTCCCATATTTCTTGGAGACTTTGTTCATTCCTTTTCATTCTTTTTTCTCTATTCTTGTCTGCATGTCTTATTTCAGTAAGGTGGTCTTCAAACTCTGATACCCTTTCCTACGCTTGGTTGATTTGGCTATTGGTACTTGTGTATACTTTACAAAGTTCTTGTGCTGTGTTTTTCACCTCCATCAGGTCATTTATGTTTCTCTCTAAACTGGTTATTCTAGTTAGCATTTCCTCTAACTTTTTATCAAAGTTCTTAGCTTCTTTACACTGGGTTAGAACATGCTCCTTTAGCTCACTGTAGTTTTTTATTACCCATCTTCCAAAGCCTACTTCTGTCAATTAATCCATCTGATCCTTTGTCCAGTTCTGCACCCTTGATGGAGACACATAGCAACCATCAGAGGAGAAGAGGCACTCTGGCCTTTTGGGCTTTCAGCATTTTTTCATTGATTCTTTCTTATCTTTGTGAGTGTGTCTAGTTTCAGCCTTTGAGGCTGCTGGCCCTTGGACGGGGTTTTTGTAGGCACCTTTTCGTTGTTGTTGCTGCTGTTGATACCATTGTTGTCATTTTCTGCTTTTCTTTCGATAGTCACGTCCCCCTTCTGTAGGGCTGCTGCAGTTTGCTGGGGGTTCACTTCAGACCCTAATTATCTGATTTTCTCCCATGCCTGAAGTTGTCACTCAAGGAGGCTGGAGAGCAGCAAAGATGGGTGCCCGCTCTTTCTTCTGGGACCTCTGATCTCAAGATGCACCAACCTGATGCCAGTAGGATCACTCCTGTATAGGGTGTCTGACAAATGGAGGGTCTCACCCAGTTGGGTGGCATGGGGAGCAGGACCTGTTTAACAAAGCACTTTGTCCCTTGCTGGAGAGGGTGTGTTTCGCTGGGGAGAAACCCACTCATCTGGGCTGCCCAGATTCCTCAGAACTACCAGGGGGAGAGGCTAATCTGCTGGTCCACAGAGACTGCAACCACCCCTCCCACTAGGGGCTCAGGCCCAGGGGGATCCGAATTCTGTCCCTGAGCTCTGGCTGTAGTTACTGGAGATCCTGCAGGGAAACTCCACCCACTGAGGAAGAATGGGTTCATGTTAGGCCTGAAGTGATGCTGCAGACTGCAACAGCCAGTGTATTGGGCTGTGAGGACAAATCTTGGGACCAAGCCATCCAGCCCCCCTGGCTCCAGCAGGGGAAAAGCACGGCCTGGAGCTATCAAAATGGGTGCCGCCCTTCCCCTGCCCAGGAAGCTTAGTGTGTTAGGCAGTTGCAAGTCCCAGTGCTGACTGCTGCCCCTCCCCAAGGAGTTCAAACTGCTTAGACAGCAGGCAGCTCCAGCTGGTGCTCGCCATCCCTCCCCCCGGGAGTTCAGTAAGGCTTAGGCAGATTCCAGCTGAGAGGCTGTAAGCATCTGTGCATTCCAGGGTTGGGACACTGGGCCCTGGTGGCATGGGTTTACAAGTGGGATCTTCCAATCCATCAGTTGCACAGTTCCATGGAAAAAGCACAGTTTCCCTGGATGGGTATCACGCTTACTCATGGCCTCCCTTGGCTGTGGGGAGGGGGATCCCCTTTCCCATGTGGCTCTCAGGTGGGCCACCACACCTCACTGCTCTTCCTTCTCTCCATGGGTCACGCTAGCCTTCTAGTCAATTTTGATGAGAGAACCTGGACACCTTGGTGAAGGATTCACATGCTTATTATGGAATCTCCGAACACTGCTGCTTCCAGTTGGTCCAGCAAACATTTTTGCAATAAGAACGATTATAAACATAAGCAAAACAAAGGTTCCCCCCAACCCTTTCTCCTATAACTTTTCTCCAGATCTCAAAAGGAATACTTAAATCTAGCAAAACTCAGATTCATCCAAATTAATTTTACTCCAAAGGGACATAAGTTCAATTAAGCAAGTGATTATTAGGACTTGTTGTGCTGTGGGTCACTGGGGAAAATTACTAAAGTTGAGCGATAAAAGGAATGTTCTGACTTCAGGTTGGCCTGGAATTTTAAAATTCCATTCCCAAGAAACTCAGCGCTGCATTCTTACTGAACTATTTACTGAATCAATATGGCTGGTTAATATTTTCCTTAGTAAGGAGAAATTCAATACTGAAAAAAATCCACTCAGAAGACTTTAATTGAAATGAGGTGGACAAAGTTAGATCACAATCCACAGGAACATGGAGGAGAGCTATGCAAATCAGCCTGAGGTTTTCAGAATGTGTTCCTAGATGAGAAAACGTCTCATGAACTGAGTTCTTTACGACGGGGTAAGGCAATGTTGGATAGGAGAAAGACTACTTTATACTAAGAAAATAAAAATAGCAAGGAAGGGTGACATAAATAGCCTGGCATTTTTGAAAAACCATGTTATTCAGTAAGAAGGTACTCAAAAGATAAGTAAGACTTAGCTAGGGAAAATGTGGAGGGAAGAGCATTTTAGGCAAGAAAAACAGAGTGTGGGAAGACCCTGGGGAAAGAAGGAACCAGGCACATTCGCAGACCTGAAAGAGGCCATTGTGGTGGGAGCACACTGAGCATGGTTGGGAGCAAGCTGAGGTCAGAGTGAATAACGAGGAGGGGCTCACCCACGCAGGGTCTCATGGGCATGTTAAAGATTGTATTTTGTCCTTAGTTCACAGAGATGCTATCTGGGTTGTACAGAGGAGTGATATTTTGAAGTGATTTTACTGGATACTATGTGGAAAATGAATTATGAGAAGGCAAGAATGACCACAGAAAGAACAATAGCAAGAATTTTCATTTGCCCCAGGAAGATATGATCATGATTTAGGCCAAGTTTGTGGTCTAGAGCTTGAAGGAAGATAAATGAATATGAATGATAAAATATAAGAGAACTTGAGTAATGGCTTGAATAAAAAGGATAAATTTATTCTATAGTTGTGGGAGATATTTGGGGAATTTTAAGATTTTAAGCAAGGATGTAGCTTTATCTGACTGTTTAAAAACAGCGTGGAAGACTGGAAGAAGAAAGGTAGTTTGGAATCAACAAAATCAGTCAATGAGAAAGAGAAAGAGGTTGTAATGATAGAAAATCTGTCGAAGAAGAAAACCCAGTGCCTAGTGACTCACTACAATTAGTGCCAATGGAGAATGGAATCTAGAATGAACAGATCTTTGTCTTGAGTTACTAGATGGAGAGTTGTGACTTTTACTGATGTAGAAACTACAAGAGGAGACAGAAAGTTGGGGGAATAAACAAACACATTTACCTTAACATGTGCTGAGTGTGTGGTGCCTGTGGGATATCCAAGGGGTTATATAGAGGGCTTTGGGGCTTGGGAGGAAAGTCTAGACATGCCAAAGAGAATCACAGTTACCAATGTATAGGTGGTATTTGAAGTCATACATTTGGATAATTGCTCAGTAAGAATATTTTGAACAGTTAAGATTCTAAACCCCTTCTCTCTCTGTTGTTGTTGTTGTTGTTGTTTTGAATATACTAGAAGCATAAGGCATATGTCCCTCACCACCAGTCCTTTCCTCCTCGATGATTTTGATCATGGCACCATGTTCATTCAAGGGAATGTAAGAGAGGGCAAAGGCAATAACCAAACAAAATAAAGCCCATATAATTTTTTATAGTCTTCATCTCACTCCCGAATTACTGAAAGCTACCAATATACGTTATTAAATATATGCATACCTGAGAAAACCAAAAATTGTCTAAAATAGTGGCCACCACACAGTAGGCTCTCAAAAAACATATGTTGAAAGTTTTCCATTGACCAGAACAACAGAAGACACTAAATGAAATTGACATAGAAAATAGCTGAAAAGAAAGAAGGCACACTAGGAAAGATGATGCTAAGGAGGCCCAAAGAAGAGATTAAAAACTCAAGAAAAAAATGTCAAAAATCTATGAGTGCATTTATCACACTCAATTTCATTTACTTCTCTCTTCTCTAGTTTAACAGATCTTAGGCTTTCATTCACCAAAATGCATAAGAATCACTTGGACAACTATTTCTGAGCTGCAAGGTAAGCAGGATGAACTGCAGGTTTGCCCTACAAGTCAGTCTTCTATTATTGCTACCGCTTTATCTATCACTCAAAACAAGTGTTAGAATGCCAGTGAATGAAAATGATTTCATTTTAGGGATTAATTATTGATAATAGCAAACCATCCCCTAACTCTTCTTAAAAGACAAATATTAGTAACAAATTATGTAAGACAAATCCCACAAATGATCACAATATCACATAATACGTAACTGTGGGGAGATGAGATTGAGAGTTGCTGAACTGGACTGTGAGCTCCTTTGAAGTTTTGCATTCTCAGCACCTGGCATATGGTAGGCACTCAATAAATGTTCAGTGACATAGAGCAAATTGAATTTCCAAACTGGGGAGCCATGGTTTTCTCTTCCTTTTGTCTTTATGAATGCTGATGGCATGTCTTGCCTTTGGCTGGCTACTACCTACTCATTCTCAAAGACTGTGTTTAGGTATTATTTCCAAAACCTTCCCTCAGCCTCCCACTCCTCTTCTACTCCCCTGCACTACACCCCCCACCACCACCATCTTTGGGCTGCATTAGATGCCCCTTGTTCACACAGCTGAAGCAATTGTGCATCCATCCTTTATGACACTGGCAATATCTGGAGACATTTTTGATTGTCAAAACTTGGGGGTGGGGAGAAGAGGCACTACTGGTATCTAGTGGGCAGAGGCCAGAGGTGCTTCTAAACATCCTACAATGCACAAGACAGCCCCCCACAGTAAAGAATTGTTCAGCTTAAATGGTCGATAAAGCTAAGGTAGGCGGGGCGCGGTGGCTCACACCTGTAATCTCAGCACTTTGAGAGGCCAAGGCTGGTGGATCAACTGAGGTCAGGAGTTCAAGACCAGCTGAACAAAATGGTGAAACCCCGTCTCTACTAAAAATACAAAAAAAAAAAAAAAAATAGCCAGGCATGGTGGCAGGCACCTGTAATTCCAGCTACTCAGGAAGCTGAGGCAGGAGAATCCCTTGAACCTGGGAGGTGGATGTTACAGTGAGCCAAGATCATACTATTGCACTCCAGTCTGGGCAACAAGAGTGAAACTTCATATCAAAAACAATAAATAAAATAAAGCTAAAGTAGAGAATCCCTGTGCTAAAGCATTCTTTTTCTCTCCTTGTGTTTATTGCATTATATTATAGTTTTTTGTATCTACACAATATGCCTTACAAGGTAAAGAAATTTTATCCACTTTATTCAAATATCTGGCACCACAGATGGCACTGCACTTACAAACCAAGGATCAGGAACTTACTGTGTTGCTGGAGCCTTTTGTTTATTTCTAGGGTCTGGCCTAGAAATTAAAATATGATAGATATTCAGTGAATTATGTAATATATATTACTAACTTCTTGACCACTTGAAATTCATCTTTTATCTTCTAGCCCATTCCCGTAATCTTGGAGAAATTTACCAGCTTCTTTGTTATCTTGATGTTTCTAATTAGAATCTGTTGTATGTGAATGTGGGGTTTTTATTTCTTAAGACTATATATACAATTTTGAAAGTAAACTTTTCCTAAGCTTTAATTCTTGGTGTACTATACCACTAGCATTTCTCCATTCTATAAAGTATCACTTTCTCTCCTTCATTGGCTTTCTATCTTTGTTCTAGTTTTCCAGATATAGTAAAATAGGCCACAAAAGCTATGGTAATTATATTGCCCAGTAGTTTTCACTGGGGAAAGATTTTTGAAAGCCTAAATTCGTCTTCAGTTATGGCCACTGGTTCTTCCTTATGTGCATGTTTCTTTACCTGCTGGAAGTACTTGCACAGGTTACTTAGGCATAGTTTGTTTTAAAGAAAGACATGGTATCTTATTCCATCATTAGTTTTGTGTTTAAATGCTTAATGAATTTGCTTTACATTCTTTGTTCAGCTGGCAATGTCTGAGGCCCCCTCAAAGGATAATGTGAGTTCCCCTGAACAATCTGGGCAACAGATGTCAACCAGGGAGAAGATGCTGGCAGTAGGGTTCCCGGGAGTTGAACATCTGCCTGACCTCCTACTGGGCTCTTCTAATGCTGCAGCCTAAGGTACTTACATTCCCTAACCTTAGTGGCTCCACTGTTAAAGCAAGCATGATATTTACTACTCCCTGGTCTTCTAAAAAAGGAAGATCATGGCATAGCAGTATTAACAAGGACTTTGGAGTCCAAAGACCTGCTTTAAGACTCAATGCTGTTATTCTTTAGCCACGTGACCAGAAACATTTTAAAATCCATTTTCCTTACATCTAAGCAAAAGATATATCTACTTCAGATGCTTAATGAATTAATGCATACAAATATTTAGCAAAGGATGGGACTCATGTTAGGTATTCAGTACATGAAAGTACCTTACTTTCCTGTAATTTTATTCTATGTCATTCCATAACAGTTACTAGAATTCAAGCATATGACTTACTTTGAAATCCTTTTGTTTTTTAATGAAAGAGTGATAAGTGCATTGAATCACAGCAACAAATTTTATTCTCTGCATGAGGAAATGCAAAAGGTAGCAATAAGGCACAGTGTGGATTTTCTTGGTGCAGCTTTGGAAATGGTAATAGATCTCAATGAGCCTCTCTGATAAAGTATTCCCAGGTAACTTTCTCTTGAGTTAGCAGCATGCTAGCCTTGCGTTTTTTCGGATTTTCATGTGGCTGTCTCTCTTGTCCCAATCACAGGGACCAGAGATTTCAGCCAGTTAATATGTTGCATACTGTGAAGTAGATGCTATTGTAAATTAAGGCAATATATGAGAATACACTAGAAGCATATAGAAATCATTTGACTGTTTTTTACATTTCCACACTTTTTTGCATAATTACCTAGAGGACACCTTCCAAATCTCCTCAATAGTCTGTCACAAATCACCTCAAGCTGCACATCATAACAGCTGAGTCCTGAGAAATACTTGAAAAGCAAAGCAACTCTGAGACTCTCCAGTGGCTCCATCCTACTCGTTTTCTTTTTCCACAGACTAGATTTTGTGCCTGGGTGATCACTTTTCCTTTAGTAAGAAGTAAATTGTATTTCAGCTGCTGCTGTTAGATGTTTGGAACTCCACAGCATCTTTGATTGCTGAGACATCGTACACTGCATATAGAGCCAGCTTTAATGACGTGTTCATGGGAAATTAGTCTGCCTCATCAGGCACTGACATTCATCACAACTGCTCTGGTAATGGGAGTTGCTGATTTGTTTGCCAAGTAGATGGTTTCTCTGAGATCAATGTTCAAATGGAGCATTATTAGTACTAATAATATGCTGAAGTCTGTGCTATAAAGCCCTTCAAGTATTCAATTATTCTTTTCTTAAAATCTGACAAATGCTTCCAAGCTTCAACAACTGGTATTTTTAACTAGGAGCTTAGCTGTGGTAACTTTTTAAATTTTTTAAATGATGTCAATTTGAGAATTATCTTCTCAGCAGATCCAATATCATTTCCATTCAAAGCAAATGCCTAAAATTCATTTAAAAGCAAAACATTCAGAGGCCTTTTGCATTCCTGTGTCCACTCTTGCCTGTTCCTCTGTCAAGAATATTTACCATTTCTCAGATACCACTAAGAACATTAAAATTCAGATTTAAAAAGATAATAAATCATATCACGCAAGTTGAGGAAACCCCAACTATCCTTTGTGTTGATCCCAAAGAAATCATCGTACATTTTGATTTATAACAAATAGACATATCTTATAAGATTTTAGAAAGTTGCTTATGGCAATGAGCATGTATCTAATAATAAATATGGCAAGTGCAATTCTCAGCCCACTAACCCAGAAGTGTGAGAAGTATATCTTCCTTTCTTTTTCTGTCACTGAATTTGTTTCTAATTTAAAACCTCATTTGCCCCTGTTTTTTTTAATTTCAATCCTGGGTCTTTCACATGGGATCAAAACTTTGGGAGGGGGAGATCTAATCTGGTCCTTGGTGTCAGGATTGTTATGCTGGTATCTACTATGGCAGCTTCATCTCCTCTGCTCCCTCCTGGGACGTGTAGGTCTGAGTTGTGCTGTCTTGCAGGCCTAACCCCATGGCCCCATGGGGTTTTTCCCTCATGATTTTGGTGCCCCTCCTTTGGACATGGGCATCGTTTTCTTGCTCCTAGATGACACTAGGCATGAAAATTATGTGGAATTAAAATGCTGTTGACTTGTAAGTCACCCATGAGCGTATGTATGACTGACCTTGTTCTGTCTCTTGTAGCAGGCTGCAGGGGCACAGGTTTCTGCTACTATTGGCTCTGAAAAACTGTCAAAGATGTCTGCATTTCTCTCTAATCCCTAGGACTCACAACCAAGGTGGAGAGTAGTACACAGGACCCCTTTACATAAACCAGTAGACTTAAAGCTCTCCTGGTTTCTCTTCTAAGGCGCTTCCCACACCCATCTGGGAAAAGTGACATTTGTCTCTAGGCAGGAAGCCCTGCTCTGAGTCCTTCATATGCATTTTTTGAATCTGTTATTTTGGCCCTGTGTCCCCTTGTGGCCTCTGCTTTCAGCAATAAAAAAGGAAGAAATGGTTCTTTTTTCTTCACTTGCTTCATAAAACCCCTTTCTAAAGCATTTAAAGTTTAATGGCCAAGTGCTCAAACTGGAGAAGGGTTAAGTAGCGTAAGGAAACATAGGAATAAAACTTTGTTCCAAATTTCATAATACTGTCACACTGCACTCAATATTATTGAGTTCCAAATCTGTTACACTAAGTATTAACAAAATTTCAGGGGAGCTCCCTAAACTATTTATAGAACACTTTGTTTTCAGCATATAACCAATATTGAAAGCAATGAGTAAAGGGAATCCTAAATATACACGTCTCCTAGGGCTTTACTCTAAATGACTTTGAAATTTTCGGACTCTGAAAATTAATTTTCCCAAATCAGGTCCCTTGAAAAGTAGTCTCTACAAATAGAAGGCAGAAGGATGATGAAGATAAGCAGGAGAAGAAAAATACATAAATTGGCCAGAGACCAAACTATATTTGGCTTCTTGGATTTCAACATTGATTTTATTTTATTTTCCCAAATATTATAAACATCATGAGATCCTATAAACCATAACAAGCAGATAGACTGCCTTACTGTACCCCATTTTATATTCTCTTTTCTCTGCAGGCAATAGTCATCTTCATTAACAGCTCTTTGTCTTCCAAGTATTTGTTTTTTGAATCATTTTTTCTGGCTGAATGAGTTGTTTTTTTCTGAGCTTCCCAAATACTGTGTTGAATTGTTAGAATTAACAACATGTTGTATTCATTTGATTAGGTGTTTTACCTTTGTATTACCAATGCTTGGCATAGCATTTGGATGTTCATAACATGTTAAATATGGGGAGAGGAGAGAAGACGAAGAGGTAGGTAGGTTAGAGTTAACCTTTTCAAGGTACAGTTGGGCCATAAGGTCCATTGATTTCTTCAGTCAGTCAGTTATCCAAAAATACTTATTGAGCAACTACTATATGCTAAGCACAATTTTAAGCATTAGGTTTAATAAAGTGAATGAAATAAAATCCCCACTGAGCTTTCTAAAAGGAAATGAAGACAATAAACAAACTATATATATATATATACACAAATATAGAATATCAGGTTATAATCAGCAGTCTGAAAAAAATAAAGCAAATAGAAAAATAGAGTGGGTTCCAGATTGGGAGGGTATTCTTTTATAGAGAGAGCAGTTAGAGAGGTCCAACCACCTCAGATAAGGCCCTATTTGAGCAAAGAACTAAAGAAATAGGAAAACAAACAATGAGATACCAGGGATAGAAGGGAAAGGGGAACATTTCATGCAGAGGGAACAGTAAGTACAAGGGCACTGGGGAAAGGCAGTATTCAGTACACTTCAGAAACAGCAAAATGAGGCAGTAAGGGTAAGCAAGAAGGATGGTAGGGAATTAACCCAAGAGGTCTTTTATGTCAGTATTTTTAGTCTATGACAAAGATTTTGGATTGTATTCTGAATGAGATGAGAATTCAGCAGAGGATTTTGGAACATAAGATTGGTGTGATCTGATTTATGTTTTTAAAAGATCATTCTGAATGCTGTAGTAGAAAAGCCTGGGAGTAAGGAGGAGAGCAGGAACACTGGTTAGCAGGTTATTGCAATAGTCTGGATGACAGATGATGGTGGCTTAGGCCACGGTTGGAGAAGTGGAAGGATTCTGAATATATTTAGAAGACAGACCCAACAGAATTTCCTAATGGAATGATATGGTTTGTTAGACAAAAATCTGCATTAGGGAATGTTTTTTAGATTTGAGAGTTGACCAGCTCAGTAAATGGTACTGCCATTTCCTGAGAAGAGGAATACAGAGGAAAGAGCTAGTGTGAGGCAGGAAGGGAACAGAGGAATCAAGAGCTGTGCTCTGAACAAGTCTACTTTGAGATGTCTGTTTGACACATGCAGGTAGAGATGTGGAGTAGGGCGATAAAACAAGAGTCAGCAGTGGAGGGGAGAATGTGAGGCTGGACATACGAACTTGGAAGTCAGCAGCCTATAAATATTTGTTTAAATCACAGAAATGGGTGAGATTACATAGTTAGTATAGACAGAGGCAGAGGACTGAGCTCTGGGCACTCCAATGTTTAGTCAAAATAAGTAAAAAAGAGGTTGAAGAAAAAGAGGTGATCCTCTATCACGAATGTCCTTTGCTGTGATATACTCCTCTACCTCTTATGTTGAGGGCAGAAAGGTGTCTTCTACCTCTTCCATCCAGGAGCTATGATGTGCTCCTCTACTTCTGCTGTTCAGGTAGGCGAGATTTTAGGGTGGCATGGTCAGTTGCATCAAATGCAGTCAAATGGCAGGTTAGGAGAAGGAATGAAGATTATGGATTGAATTTGGCAATGAGGTGGTCATTCAAGACATTGACATAGTCAATTTTAGTAGAGTAGTGGGACTAAAGTGAAGGAATAGCAGAAACATAAAGAGGAAATACATAACTCTTTATGGAAGATTGGCTATAAAAAGAGTGGGAAAATAAGGTGCAGTGAAACATGGATTTGGGCAGAAAAAGTGATAATTATAACTTTTAATTTTGAAATGACACTAGCCTTACAAGATGTTGCAAAAGTATTACAGAGATCCCACATGCCCTTCACTCAGCCTCATGGTAATGTGAAAGATTTAACAATAAGATATATTACATTTTTGTTTTCTTATGAGAACTACTCAGTGTATTAGAGAAAATGGATAGTATAGAATAGACTACAACCATGAGGACATTTTGTAGGTGAAGGAATAAGGTCCTGTCAGGCTATTTCTATTTCTTCACATGCTCAGCTTCTTATTTAGTAGAGAAATGAGGGCCTATCTGGTGAGAACTCATACATTTTCCCACCAATAGACACCATATACAGCATATCTTTCCACTAGGAACAGTCATGTTCATATTTCAGTCAAACTCTTCCACTTCTGCACCAAATCTTATCCCTCAGTTTGGAAATTATTGTTGCATGTAACTTTGTGTCCCTGCACGATCATAGGTGGCAGCTGTGGCTGTAGTAGATGAAATTCAGAACATCTGGGGCATTCTATGGAGGAGAAAGAAACAAGCTTCTGGAAGCAGCAACATAGAAGAACATTAATTCTCTCCCCACCCAGTCTCACCTACAGGTAGGTAAGAGAGGAAAGAAATCATTTTTCTGCCATAGCAGTGTCCTCAAGGAGCAATCAGGCTTTAGTATGAGAAGGTAAGGATACTTTCACAGAAGAGGGTGAGGATATAGGGATTTTACTCATGAAAAGTCATGTCTTTCATAGGAATAATAAAAGGGTTCAGAGATGGCTGGGCGTGGTACCTCATGCCTGTAATCCCAGCACTTTGGGAGGCTGAGGCGGGCAGATCACTTGAGGCCAGAAGTTTGAGACCAGCCTGGCCAACATAGTGAAACCCTGTCTGTACTAAAAATACAACAGTTAACTGGGCATGGTGGTACGTGCCTGTAGTCCCAGCTACTCAGGAGGCTGAAGCAGGAGAATCACTTGAATTCAGGAGGAAGAGGCTGCAGTGAGCCGAGATCATGCCATTGCACTCCAGCCTGGGTGACAGAGCAAGACTCCGCCTCAAAGAAAAAACAAAACAAAACAAAAACAAAAAAAACACACCAGCTCAGAAAGTCAAAGGGTTTAAGATTGAGATAGATTAGGGAGAGTATAGAAACTTACTGGGGAGAATCTAGGCCAAAGATATGATCTGGGAATCTTGGGCTTCATGTAAAGATTGAAATAACTTAGGATAAGAGGAATAATAAGATTAATACTGATTGTATCTTGAGATAAGAGGGAAAATCAAATCTAATTATAACCTCCTTCCAAGGACTAAATATTTTTGGCAACCTAAGTGAGAAAGTGGAAACGCCAATGGGGTGAAAATGGGGTCAGTCAAAATGGGTTGCCTTTGTCCATCTTGGCCCAACTTTGCAAATGTGAATATGGAAGATACATAAGGGGTGGACAAAGAGAATTTAGTGTATGTCAAAATAGAAATCACTGCTACCCTTCATAAAAAACTATTTATTCTGAATAAGTGGATTCAGAATTTCTCTCATGTTTTGGCCTGAGATGAACTAGAGCTTACTGTTTTGTAGTATTTGAAGATAAGGTTTGCTCAGCATATTATTAGTACAAATAATATTGCAGATGTTTAACTTAGAAGAATTCTTTCAGGGACATTTGCACATGAATGTGTTAAATTGATCCTGTTAGTTACAAATGAGTCATTTCATTTGTTATAAATATATGGTATGAGGGCATTTTCACACAGTAAAATCCTGTTTATAATACATTCCAAAAATGCATGCCTCTATAAATGTATAAATTCATGCTTATTCTAGTAGGAAATGTTTTTCCCAATTTTGTCTCAACACTAGAAAACTTAATTTTGTGCCCAGTTACATAATCTTAGATAACAGTAGCATCTACTCCTGCTTCCTTTATAGTCTTCGTTCTATTGAATACTTAAATGTTCAATTTTATAATCATCTATTAACCTGTAAACCACCTCCAGACGATTTCAAAGAAGAGGGAAGCAGCATGGTTTAGTATCAAAAAATCCTACAATGGAAATCTCTCTGATTCTGCCATTAACTAGCTATCAGACCTCCATCAAATCACTTTACCAAATTAGATATAAGTTACTTACAGGGATTGAACTAAATAATCCTTTGAAGTTTCTTTCAAATCTAAATTCTATGATCATTAAATCTTAAATTATCAATAAGCCTAATTTTTGTGTGTTTTAACATGAAAATTTCTACATGAAATTTCTCATTATCATATTAAAAACTGATCTAAGCTCAACAATTTAAATTAATAAGCACTTATTGTTTTGTTTTGTTTGTTGTTGTTGTTTCTAGAGACAGAGTCTCGCTGTGTTGCCAAGGCTGGTCACAAACTCCTGGGCTGAAGTGATCCTGCCACCTCGGGCTCCTGTGTAGCTTGGACTAAAGGTGTACACCACCGTGTCCAGCAAACATTTATTTAATAATTTAATGGCACATTAATGGGACTTATTAAAAGTGAATGGTATACAAAGACAGACATTGACTATCATTATACTATCTTCTTTATTACGTGGGCCTTTTTAAATATCTTTCTAATTGAAAAATAAATGCATATTGATTATTGAAAATTTACAAAATAAACTAAAGACAAAAATATTACCACCAATTCCAACAATCATTAATTATATATAACATATATAGTATTAATATATTAACTAATATATATATAATTAATATAATATATATTTATGTATTATCTATATATAAAGTATGTGTTTTATAAATATATAAGTATATTATAAATGTGCATTAATAAATGTATATTTATTTATATATTCATAGAAAAGAGGCAAGTGTGTATATTCATAGAAAAGATATCAAAATATATAGAATATTCTCCTTTTTGTGAATATACAAATAAATTGTTAGTCCTACTTATGCTAGTTGAGGAATATATTGTTTCTTAAGCTGTTTTATTCCCCCTTAGATATTAAACATTTCAATATTATTAGAAGTACATATTTTTGAAAAGATAATTTTAATTTTTACCTGTAGCCATTATGCAGTAACTGTTACTGAATTTTCTTCATAGAAAATGATTAGAAAACTGGACTAAACATGAAACAACAGTTTATAGGCATCAAACAAGCACCACACGTCTAAAAGAGGAGAGAGAAGCGTGAGTCCTAATACTGCCCTGGCTTCCTGTTTGTAAGCACTTTCTAGACTACAGTGCAAAAATGCAAAGCCCAGGCAGAACATGTCTCATGTAGCAGAAGACACAGAAATCAGAGTTTGGGGAAGTCAACACGGCTGGAATTTAAAAGGCAGAGTGCCAGAAAAGAGATATACAAAGAAATAAAGAAATACAGAACTATGCATAGAGTTGAGGCTTTGGCTGAACACTAAGCTGAGCATGAATAAGGAGAGAGACTCCATGAGTTTGAACAAGGAACTACCAGGGAAGTAACAACCACTGGGAGTTGCTGAAACAGGACTGGAAGTTGTTTCAATTCTGACCAAAATGAAAACTACTTAATTAAATCCCAGTGCATTTAGTAAAGACTCCAAAAAGAAAATCTTAGTAGGGCTAAACTAGATCTAATGTACAGACTGCTATAGAACCTTCCTAACAGAGCTAAAAAATAAGCTTTGAAAATTAGATGGACCTGTAAGTAATGTAATGTAACTGCCTTCCAAACAAACAAGAAACATCTAGCTCTTTAAAAGAGAAAAATATCCATATCATCAACAATATAGTATTTATAATGTCTAGCATTTGACCAAAAACTATCAGACATGTGAAGAAAATAGGACTCATTTTAAACAGAAGAAAAATATCAGTCACTAGAAATACACCCAAATATAATGAAAGTAAACAATTTTTAGAAGTAGTTTCAAGGACTTAAAGAAAAAGATAAACATAATGAGACGGAAAAAGAAATATTAAAAAAAAAACAGAAAGAACCACTAGAGCTAAAAAAAAAAAAAGTAGTACTCAAAAAACATACTGGATAGAATTAATAGGAGATTAGACATTTCAGAAGAAAATGTCAGTTAATTTGGAGATGTTGCAATAGAAACTATCCAAACTGAGGCACATAGAATAAAAGGTGAACTGGAGAAAATTAACAGAGATTTCATGAGCTCTGGAACAACATCAAGTGGTCTGAATTTACTTATTCATAACAGGAATAAAAGAGAGGACATCACTACAGATATTATAGACATTTAAAGGTTAACAGATATTGTGAACAAATGTATGCCAATAAGTTTGACAACTTAAATAAAATAAACAGATTTGTTGAAAGACACTAATTATCAAAACTGACAAATAGGACATAGAAACTTTGAACAGATCCACATCTATGAGGGAAACTGAATTTGTAATATAAACTTTCCTTCAAGTTAAGTCCTGATCCAGGTAGACTGTCTGAATTCTATCAAACATTTACATAGTACACAGATCTTTCACAAACCCTTTCAGAAATCAGAAGAGAATAAAACATTCTCAACTTATTTGCCCTGAAAAACAGAGTGAAAAATTAGAAAAAAATAAAATTAGGAGTAGACATCTGCAAAATGGCAGAATAGGAGGTAACCCTCTCACATCCCCAAACAACAACAAAACTTTTGCACTTATCCACAGACAAAGGTCTCTCTGCTGGAGCCTTAGGATTCAGATTGGAAGTTGTGAAATCTTAGTGGAGCCCAAGATCTAAAAGTGTCATTTTGAGAATGCAGACTGACACCCAGTTGGCTGATCTACCAATTACGCTCCTTGGTTCAAGTCTGAAAACAGCCTCATTTCCCAAAGGGCTTGGCTACAGCCCCATATGGCCTTCAGCATGCAACAAAACCATCAGCCAAGCTGTCCAGGAGAAACTGCACACACTAGTACCTTGTGGAGAGGCTTATCTGTCCACTGACATCAGGGTCAGCAGTGAATGTGAAAGTTCCCCTGTAGCTTGACCCCAACCCCCTCAGCTGAGGTCCCAGCTCAGAACTGCTAATATAAGGACCTAGAGGGAAATATGACCATATCTCTCAGCTCAAGAGTCTGAGCCTCCATGATGGGCTTGCCAACATCTGTCCCATAACAGATCTTGAGCATGCCTTGTCTTAGTTCCAGTCCTTCCTGCTGCAGTGGGGAAACAATCCTATCTGTGCACAAGCATGCTGGAAAATTCATACCCACACCCATCTAAGCCAACAATATTGGCTCACCACTGTCATCTCACAGAATATCCCAAGGAAGCCCAGTCTCAGCTTTGGCCCTCCCACAGCAGTTGGATAACTGTACCATCTGTTTAAGAACCTGCTGGGAGAAACATGCGCCTCTGAGCCAATGAAACTGGGCTCTCCAACCTCCATCCCACAGCAGATTTTGAGGTGGCCTAGTCTCAATTCTGGCTCCACTTATGCTAGTTGAGAAACGACCCCTCCTGTATAGAAATTTACTGGGAAACACACGCTTGTCTGAGTCAATGAGACAGGCTTGCCAGCAGCCATCACATAGCAGGTCTTGAGGGGTCCTAGTCTCAGCTTTGGACCCTCCTGTTACAGTCAAGGAAATACCCCTACTTGTGCAGGGTCCTGCTGGGAGACAAATACCCATTTGAACCAACAAGATGGGCTCACCAGCCTCCATCCCACACAAGATCCTGAGGGGGTGCAGTCTCAACTCCATCCCCTCTGCTGCAGTCAGGGATCTATCACCTGCATAGGGCCTGCTGGGAGGCACATGTGTCTGGGCCAACAGGACACTCTTCTGGGGGCAGCTCCATGACCAGCTTTTCCACACAGCCCCAGTACGCTCTTTGGGTCTTCCCTAGGTACATTCAGGCCAGAGAGCCACATCAACCTTGGAGCTCTCACAAGACTCACAGCAAGCCTGGGATTAGAGCACCCTCTAGTGCTAAGACAACTGCAGTTATCACATGCTCAGAAAACACAGTTATTACAGGCTCAGAGATCTGCTTGGAATCTCTGGAAAGCCTCTGAATAAGGACTGATATAAACAAAGCCAGACTGTAAAGAATGGAATAAATACCTAATCCTTCAATGTGCAGACATTCTCACATGTCTGCAAACATCAGAAATATCCAGGGACTATGACCTCACCAAATGAAAAAAATAAAGCACCAGTGACTAATCCAAAGTGATAGAGATCTCTCAAATAAAATAGCTGTTTTAAGGAAGCTCAATGAACTTCAGTAAAACTCAAAGAAACAATTCATGAATTTTTCAGATAAAATTAACAAAGAGATTGAAATAAAACAAAAACAGAAATTGTGGAGTTGAAATACATAATGGATGAAATGAAATGAAAAGTACAATAGAGAGCATCAACAGCAGACAAAAGAATCAATGAGCTTGAAGTCAGGCTATTTGAAAATACATAGAGAAGAAAAGAGAATAAAAAGTAATAAAGAAGGTTTATGGGATCCATGAGACAACATTAGAAGAGCATATAGTCAGGAAGAGAAAGCTGGAAAAGTAAAGGTGTAAAAAGCTAAATCAAAGAATTAATACCAGATAACTTTCCAAACCTAGATAAATCTATAGATATTCAGGTATAAAAAGGTCAATGGTCACCAATTAGATTGAACCCTGTATTAGCTCATTCTCACACTGCTATGAAGAAGTATCCAAGACTGAGTAATTTATAAAGAAAAGAGGTTTAATTGACTCACAGTTCCACATAGCTGCGGAGGCCTCAGGAAACTTGCAATCATGGCAGAAGGCACCTCTTCACAGGGTGGCAGGAGAGACAATGAGTGCAAGAGTATTAATAAACTTAATAGATACATTTAACATTTAATGGTAACTGCCATAAGCTTGTTTAGGAGCAAACTTTCTAAACTACTAGAGAAAATAGCTGTTACTGTAACGCAGGTGTGGAGTGGTTATATTAGTCTGTTCTCACACTTCTATAAAGAACTGCCCGAGACTGGGTAATTTATAAGGAAAAGTTTAATTGACTCACACTTCTGCATGGCTGGGGAGGCCTCAGGAAACAATCATGGCAGAAGGGGAAGCAAGCGTATCTTACATGGTGACAGGCAAGAGAGAGTGCATGAAGGAGGAACTGTCAAACACTTATAAAACCATCAGATCTTGTGAAACTCACTCACTATCACAAAAACAACATGGCGGAAATTGTTCCCATGATCCACCTACCTCCCACCACGTTCTTCCCTTAACACCTGAGGATTATGGGGATTAAAATTCAAAATGAGATTTGAATCATGGCACACGTTGCTATACCAAAACACTTTAACAAGAAAGAGCACCATAGATTTATTTAATCAAAGTTTTACATGACATGAGAGCATTCAGACTTGAAGACCCAGAGACCTAAAGTAAACTATCCATTTTTATGCTTTAGGTTCAATGAAGCATGGACAGTGTGTAGAAATGTGACGAAAGGGTATGAGCTAATGCTAATAGACAGTGCAGAAACTTAGCAAGGCTGGATTTTTCTTGGCCTTTCTGTGGAGCATTTTTTTCCTCCTGGGTTTAGGGCAGGACCCCTTCTGAAATAGGGGTTTTATAACCTCTATCAAACCATGTAGTTCAGAGAATTTCTTTATGGCCAGTTCTTACAAAGAAAGGTAGGCGAAAGTTACAGAAATATTTTTAGATTTACGGCTGGCTTTGGGGGGAAGGGGTTCTGGTTTCTATGACTGACACTGGTGAAGAGGAATTCTAGTATCTATGGCTAGCCTCAGGGGAGAATGAAGGAAGAGAGACAGGAGGGCAGGACAAGGTCAGAGGAAAACTTGGCCTCTAAGGCTGCTTCTGAGGCCTTTACTTTGTGGTATCATTTCCTGAGCCCCAACAGTAACCATACACAGAAAAAAGTGGGAGGGAGTGGAAGCATAGGAAAGCACATGAAAAGTGTGAAAGTGTAATAGATCAGTAATTCACATATTTAAAGATACTTAAGCGATATCTCTATACAATGTTAACAAGAGACACACCATATAGCAATAGAAGTTAGAACTAAAAGAACAAATCAGCAAATAGTAATAAATCATATAGCATTATTAATATGGTATAAAATAAAACCAATGCAGAAAGCTAGATCTTATCACATTTCATAAATTGTATCATTTACCACAATACAAATCTTGAATCTTTAATGGTTTTCTTTTGAATATACCTTATTTGCTTATTATTTATAATTCTCTTAAATACAGTAAAAAGAAAAAAGCATAATACAAATAAAGCATGGCATACAAGGCCATTAAATAGTTCACAGCGTGTTTCCCTAAATCTCATTCAGCCTTAAACTTCCACTTGGAGGATACCAACATTCCACTTTAAATGTCTATATTTTAGGACAAGCATTCCTCCCCTTCTTTAGGGGTACAGTCTAAAGAAAGGCATGCCCATTTCACCCCCAACAGATCTCTTAGCACCTCAGTCTCTGTGTCTTCATAAAAATTTAAGATGATTTCAGTTTTTTCCAAGAACAATAGGTAGTTAACTATGATTTCATCTCATATATAGAGTGTGAGCGTATGTGTACACGCACACATACACACACACACAGAGATATATATGTGTTTGAGCTGGACATGAGAAGCTAACAGCATAATTGGGAATGAGGGGAAAGATAGGTTATAGATATTACCTAGACTATTAACAAACTTAATAGGAACATTTAACATTTAATGGTATGTGTGTGTGTGTGTGTGTGTGTGTGTGTGTGTATATACATATATAATATGTATATATATAAAATATGTATATATGTATATATATAAAATATGTATATATGTATATATATAAAATATGTATATATAATATGTATATATATAGTGTATCACGTATATATCATATATATGAGATGTTTCTGCTAATGTAATATATATACTCCAAAAAGAATTATGTTCTAAAATATCTGACACTGAACACAATAGTGTTCCAGAGAAAAATAGGGTTGAGGGCGATCCATCAAAACTTCTGAAACTTTTTATTCAGAGTACTACCATAAATAATAGCATCTTAAAAATATTCAAGCATAGTTAAAAAAGAAACATGTTAAATCCTAAAAAAAAAAAAATTATTGAATATAGGACTTTATCTTTGGGAGAGGAAAAAGAAAGGTAGAACAAGGGAGGACAATAGGGAATGACTAAAGCTGCAAAGTTCTGGAGATGAGGGCAAAATGTATTTCTAAGAGCACCCAGCCTCACTGAACCATGAGGAAGACTGGAGGTGAATCCAGTACCACGACCTTGACAGCTGCTAAGCAGGCTGAAATGTATATTTGAGGTTCAGCTGCTGTTGCTTGGCAAAACCTAAGCAGTTATCTGCTGGGGAAAAATTACATATAAGCCAATGTGCCTTCTATGTCAAAATAACATCATTCCTTATTTATGAGTCATATTAATCAATTTGCATTAGAGAAACACTTGTTATGGCAAAACAGACTTTATTCATTGTCGTGACAAATGACTGTAACATTATTGCTTTGGAAAAACACACCCATATAAATTTTCCAAAGCAATAATAAGGCAAAACTGCCAACCACTCCTACAAAGCATAAAATTCAGAAACAAGTAACCAGAATCAAGTAATCAGAATAACAAAAACAAGAAATGCTTCTCTTTTCACTATGCATCTTGATAGTCAATAACTTATGACTCATTTAAAAAAGATAGTTCCTAAAAGCTATTAATAGCATATGGAGGAAAAAATCTAATGTATACAAAAATGAAATATGAATGAGAACCCATTTTTTATAAAGCTAAATTAATATTATTTAAAGAATTATCTTCTGCGTGTAGATGAACTAGACACAATTTACCTGGGATAGCTTAAGTTACTATATGTTTTCACTTAAAATGTATTGTGGTTTTAATAAATTACATGATAATCCTATTTATGAGGGTTTTTTATACTTTACACTATTATAGTCTATTGTTTTTCTTTAAAGTAGTTCAACATAAGTAGTATGTATTTGTATGTAAATTATCTTTAATCTACATCCTAACAGAGGACCTATCAAGATTATTAGTTAGTATATGAAACATCCTAATCAAGAGTCTACACCACAGGTGTACTTAGTTTACACTTGGCATAGAAATCAGCACTACAGGGGTGCTAGGGCAATTATTTAAATATAAACTAAATGAGAGGGCTTGTTAATTAAATAAAAGTTGATAGAAGTAATTGGTAAACTGAGCAATGTTCAAGATATATGGTTGTCTAGGAAGATTATACAGGTACCTACATCTTTGCATGAACAAAGTATAAGAATCTGGCAAGCTCAACAACCTAGATGTAAAGAAAAAAAATTGGTCTTGTTTTATTCCACAGAAGAGAAGGTGGGGTTGCATGATTTAGCTAGAAAAGATTCACTGCTCCTAACAACATCATATTGCTTCCACCTGGAGTGACCTTTTATGGCAAGTGCTTATCAGGATGCCTAAGAGGCCAGAAAGCAAGGACTTTTCCCACTTCCTAGAGCAGGCTTTATGATTATTTTTGCACCTGTTTGCTAATAAATGTTTCCATACATACAAGTTCATCCTCAGACTTTTCATTCATCATAACATCATAACAGGTAGTGAGGTGACAGACAAGGAGGCACAGTCTCCATGTTTCTAATTGTTACAGGCTACCAACGTTTATCACAAGAACCTCATAACTATGAAAGATTAAATTGGCGTAGGGTTTTCAACATGAGATTTTTTTTTTCAAATAAATATGAAAGTAGAGTTTTTTGTTTTTGCTTGTTTTGCTTCAGTAAAATGAAAAGTAGTAAAATTATATGTCTGATTCATTTGTATTTTATTTGTTGTGTATTCATAGAGGATGAATTTCATTCTTTTGGACTAGTAAAATAGAAACCACTGATCCAAAATGTCCATAAAATTATAGAGGATGAGAACTGTCATAGTTTGAGTTGCTGTAACAGAATACCATAAACTAGATAGATTACATAAATTACTTTCTCACAGAAAAAAAATATTAAATTTAAATTTATTTCTTTTAGAAAGAAATGTATTTCTTCCCTAGAGGCTGAGATGTCCAACATCAAGGAGGCGGCAGATTCAGTGTCTGATGAGGGCACACTTCCTGGTTTGTAGACAGCCATCTTCTCACTGCATCCTTACATGTCAGAGGGGTAAAAGATCTCTCTGGGGTATCTTTTATAAGGAAACTAATGCCTTTCATATGGGCTCTGTGTTCATGACCTAATTGCCACCCAAATGTCCCACCTCCTAATATCATCACATGAAGGAGTAGGTTTTGACATAGCAATTTTGGGGCACATAAACACTCAGCCTATAGCAGGAACATAGTAAAAAAAAAAAAAAAAAGGAAAAGAAAAATCAGCCATATTTGGTGGATGAAAGTAAAGTTCATATGTGGTGAATTACATATTAATCTTAAATTTTACAGACTGTGAGACGGTCATTGTCATTGATAGTAAATTGAAGAAGAGAAACTGTCTTGGGCAGTGTCTTAGTCTGTTCCTGCTGCTATAACAAAATACCTCAGACTGGGTAATTTATAAGGCACAGAAAATTATTTCTCACAGTTCTGGGGGCTGGGAAGTATAAGATATAGGCACTGGCAGGTTCAGTATCTAGTGAGGGTCTGGTTACTCTTCCAAGATGGCTGCTTGTTACTGCATCCTCACATGACAGAGGGCAAATGGACAAAATGAGTGATTTTTCTCTCCCTCAAGCCTTTTATAATGGCACTAGTTCCATTCACACGGGTAGAGTTCTCACTACCTAATCACTTCCTAAAGTCCTGCCTCTTAAAAATATTGGGTCTCACCAACAGTGTAAAAGTGTTCCTATTTCTCCACATCCTCTCCAGCACCTGTTGTTTCCTGACTTTTTAATGATTGCCATTCTAACTGGTGTGAGATGATATCTCATAGTGGTTTTGATTTGCATTTCTCTGATGGCCAGTGATGATGAGCATTTCTTCATGTGTTTTTTGGCTGCATAAATGTCTTCTTTTGAGAAGTGTCTGTTCATGTCCTTCGCCCACTTTTTGATGGGGTTGTTTGTTTTTTTCTTGTAAATTTGTTTGAGTTCATTGTAGATTCTGGATATTAGCCCTTTGTCAGATGAGTAGGTTGCAAAAATTTTCTCCCATGTTGTGGGTTGCCTGTTCACTCTGATGGTAGTTTCTTTTGCTGTGCAGAAGCTCTTTAGTTTAATTAGATCCCATTTGTCAATTTTGTCTTTTGTTGCCATTGCTTTTGGTGTTTTGGACATGAAGTCCTTGCCCATGCCTATGTCCTGAATGGTAATGCCTAGGTTTTCTTCTAGGGTTTTTATGGTTTTAGGTTTAACGTTTAAATCTTTAATCCATCTTGAATTGATTTTTGTATAAGGTGTAAGGAAGGGATCCAGTTTCAGCTTTCTACATATGGCTAGCCAGTTTTCCCAGCACCATTTATTAAATAGGGAATCCTTTCCCCATTGCTTGTTTTTCTCAGGTTTGTCAAAGATCAGATAGTTGTAGATATGCGGCATTATTTCTGAGGGCTCTGTTCTGTTCCATTGATCTATATCTCTGTTTTGGCACCAGTACCATGCTGTTTTGGTTACTGTAGCCTTGTAGTATAGTTTGAAGTCAGGTAGTGTGATGCCTCCAGCACTGTTGGTGGGACTGTAAACTAGTTCAACCATTGTGGAAGTCAGTGTGGCGATTCCTCAGGGATCTAGAACTAGAAATACCATTTGACCCAGCCATCCCATTACTGGGTATATACCCAAATGAGTATAAATCATGCTGCTATAAAGACACATGCACACGTATGTTTATTGCGGCACTATTCACAATAGCAAAGACTTGGAACCAACCCAAATGTCCAACAATGATAGACTGGATTAAGAAAATGTGGCACATATACACCATGGAATACTATGCAGCCATAAAAAATGATGAGTTCATATCCTTTGTAGGGACATGGATGAAATTGGAAACCATCATTCTCAGTAAACTATCGCAAGAACAAAAAACCAAACACCGCATATTCTCACTCATAGGTGGGAATTGAACAATGAGATCACATGGACACAGGAAGGGGAATATCACACTCTGGGGACTGTGGTGGGGTCGGGGGAGGGGGGAGGGATAGCATTGGGAGATATACCTAATGCTAGATGACACGTTAGTGGGTGCAGCGCACCAGCATGGCACATGTATACATATGTAACTAACCTGCACAATGTGCACATGTACCCTAAAACTTAGAGTATAATAAAAAAAAATAAATAAATAAATAAATAAAAAAAAAAAAAAAAAAAAAAAAAATATTGGGTCTCAGTTCCCAGCATGAATTTTGGAGGAAAACAAAAATTCAAACCAAAGCAAGAATTCATTTTTGCTATGTTGAATTTAAGTCAATTGTAAGTTGTTCTGCTGAAAAGTATAATAATTATTAGAGCACAAGTGAGGTCAAAGCTGCATTTTATTAAGCAACTATTACTGAGCCCTTGCATGTGCCAAGAAAAGGTAAGAAACTGGGTACACAGTGGTGAAAAGACAGATATAGTTCCCACCCTTACAGAGGTTATAATTTGAGATAATAGTCTAGGATAAGCACTTGCTAATTACATTTCAAGAATGTGTCAAATGTCACAGAAAAGTCAAGGTAAAAATTAAGACAGAGAATAGCACCAAATTTGGCAATATTAAAGTCTTAAGTGACCTTAAGAAAGCAATTTCATCAGAATGATGAAAATAGAAACATGATTATAGGTGGTTAAGGAAGGAGTAGAAAAGAGCAGATTAATGCAGTCATGGACCACATGATAAACATTTCAATCAATGATGGACAGCATATAAATGGTGATTTCATAAGATTATAATATTGTATTTTTACTGTACCTTTTCCATGTTTAGATATGTTTAGATACACAAATACCATTGTGTTCCAATTGCCTACAGTATTCAGTACAGTAACATGTTGTACAGGTTTGTAGCAATAGTCTATACCATACAGCATAAGTGTATACTAGGCTACACCATATAGACTTGTGGAAGTACCGCTATGATGTTTGCATAATGATGAAATCGCCTAATGATGCCATTTCTCAGAACATGTCCTTGTTAAGTGATGCATGACTATAGATGCATCATTAATGTCCTCAAAAATAAAGAGTTGTTATGAAGGAAATGCTGATTGCTTGTTCTCTTATGTTCATAAAGAATAAAATAGGGAAAAACGTTGATTTTAACTAGACCAAGGCAGGCTTTTCATGGCCATGTGAAATAATTAACATAACAGTAGTATTCTCAAAGGCCCATCATAAAAGTAGGGAAATATAGAAATCCTTGTCTTCCAGGTTTGCATAAAGAAAACAGAAGATTGTCCTAAAATGTTCTAAAAATTGTGCAAGACTCAGGATCATATATCTCTCAAGCTATTTGGCCTGGATCCAGAGAATGAAGAAGTTAAGGTTTGAGCCCAGATAACAGGGGATAATGGTTCAGTTGGAGAAATAGGGAAACCAAAAAAAAGGATTAAGGAGGAGATGCAGAGGAAGGAGTGAATGAGTTGAAGCTGAAAGGCGGAGTTGAGGTGCAGATGGACTATTCATATTGACTCTTAATAATCAAAGCTTTTCTTTGATTATGTTCTAAGTGCTCACAAATCTTTGCTAATTTTTATTCTGTAGTTTTTCTGAAAATCAGCAACCTCTTCCTAATTCATTTTCTAAAGTGGTTTTGCAATTCCATCTCCAGGTTTTTTCAGGACTCTGTATATAATTTGTGTGGGCCTGGAGTCTTGAATTCATTTAAAACAACTATGTCTCTTTCAATCTTCTCTTCCATCTTGAGCTTTAATTCCCTCTTACTGATTTTTACTTTTTTAAAGAGATAGCAAGTTCAGAGTAATTCAGTTTGGCCTTTACCCCTTGTCATTTAGTTCAAATTAGTAACACTGTAGTGTTTCATTTTAGACTCTATTTTAGTTTGGAAATCAGATTATCAGATAGGATTTTGAATGGTCCTATTATGGGAGGGTTTACTGTAAAAGACTTTCCGTATAAATTGCAACTTCATGTCATTTAATTATTATTTTAGCTAACAGACTAGGAATGGAGTGTTTTCACAGCCACTGGTTACCCAATAAATGAGCCAACCTATGGCCCTTTCTGGGTGGGAGAGATCCACTCTGATAGTATCATCCTTGTTTTCTATAATTAAAAGAATAAAGGCGTCTTATTATAAGAAAACACAAGACGTCTTTGAAATGCCTGACTTCTAATGTTTCTAGAAATTCAATCCATTGAGATGCTTTTCTCCAAATTGAAGAAAAATAGAACTGCTCCCAGACTGAGGTTTTGGTGTGCCAAGTTTCAGCCTACAGTAGATATTTTTGTGGCAAACTTACGAATCTCCGAAAATAAGAATACGTGTAGAACTGCTGACACAGATTCGTTTATGGTGCTGCTTCTGGCACTGGTAGAATTTTATCCAAGGGCCAAAGATGGGCCCAAGTTTCTTGGTCTCAGGGAAAAATAGGCCTAACATTCAAACAAAAAAAGTGCCCTTATTAGTTAATCCAGTTTCTTAACTTATGTGTTAGTAAATTTGCTCATGAATGCAGTGTTTCCTAAAATCACTTCTAAGTGATTTCTTCTAAACCAACTTTTGCAGGGGTTCCTCCAAAGCCAACTTTTCAAAACAAGACTTTTCAAGGAATTATGATATTTTGAAATCATGATATTAAAAAAATCACTAAAGAAATCCAACTTTGCCTGCTTTGTTTAGAAATGGAGTAAAAGTATAGAAACGAAGTAAATGTCTTAATCGTAACACTGCTGTTTTTTCTCCCTGATTTTCTATTCCTGGGAAAGTAGGTGACTTAGTCCAGAAAATAGCAAATAAGAATTAACATTATGAGAGTCATACAAGCTTTGATCTGGACAACTTTTTATTTGACCAAATAATTTTAGTACTAAGAAAAGGACCTAAGACTTGGAAATTTCACCCTCTATGAACCAAAAGAAAAGCATTAAACTACAGGATGCACAAACTTTTAAATTTAAAAATAGAAGTCAGAAGCCTGCATATGATAATTTAATTATAACTCATACAAAGGACTTATTTATGCAGAACATTTCATGATTTATAAAATATGAATCTTAATTCATGAAGAAATACACCATTACAAACCTTAATTTGAAGTTACGTTAGATGTCATTTAAAATATTGTGCTATATGTCAGTTTTCTATGGCTGTTGTAACAAGTTACCATAAAATACTGTTGTAACAAGTTACCACAAAATGTGGATTAAAAAGCACATGATTATTATCCTACAGATCTAGAGATCAGAGGTACAAGATGGGTCTCACCAGGCTAAAATCAAGGTGTCAGCAGGAGTTCGTGCCATTCTGGAGGCCTGGGGGGTCCACTGCTTGCTCTTTCTAGCTTCCGGAAGCTGACCATATTCCTTGGCTCATGGCCCCTTTTTCCATCTTCAAAACCATCAAATGGGTCAAGTACTTCTCGTATCATATCACTCGGATCTCTTCTGCCTCCCCCTTCTACATTTCAGGACTCTGTGATTATATCACGCCCAGGTGGACAATCTGCCTGTTTTAAGTTCATCTGATTAGCAATCTTAATTCCATCTGCTACCTCAAAATAACATATTCACAGTTTCCAGAGATTGGAATGTGGACATCTTCGGAAGGCCGTTATTCTTTCCATACAGTTTTTGGTTCACATAAACCAAAGAAAAAATACATTTGTAAGAATTTCCATGACCAAAACTGCCTTTTATCATCCAAATTTTTGCTTCCATTAGGAATATCTGGGGAGGGAGAATTTTTTAAACCTTCACCTAGAGGATCCTTTGGTAGATTTTCACAGATAGAGCTAAAACTGACTAAGTAAATACTGTCATGAAGCTACCAATTGCATTATTAACATGAGTGATTTAGTCATGTAAAGAGAAGACATGTCTACATTGATAGACTTTTTCTGCTGTATATGTTTCCTGCTTTTCAGAATCTAAGCAGGACTAGATTCTACTCATTTCCTTCCAGAACATTAAATGTCTTTAATTCAACAGACTGCATGAAAATAAAATTAAAATATTAATTTTACTAAAATTAAATAAAAATAAAAGTTAAATTTAAATGTTAAATAAAATTAAAATATTAAAATGCAAAATGACACAAAAATATAATAGAGAAAGAGTCAATAATAACGATTTCTAGCCATAGAAGCTTGGTTTGTACACGTTAAGAAATATTACAAAGCCAGATGAATCCTGAATTTTTTCACTTTATACTTGGACTTTGGTTTTTCAGCACTTAGTGTTTATAAGGATTCCAAGCACCAAGAATGACAGGCAGAGCCCCAGATACTCAAAATACTGCCTAAATTCTGCTACATCACCTCTGAATCACCCATCTTGCTCAGAGACATTGTTCTCACACTCCCAAGAGGCTCTCTACTTTGAACATCCCTTTTCTCCACCAGCAGGAAAGTTTCCTTTAAATCTAGGATTTCTTGGCTGCATTGTCTGTCTTAAGAGTAAAGAATTGGATAGAAGTGTTATATAGGTTCCAAAAGCAGAGAAGAAATCACCTATTTGAAAATTCATCCTATCCTTAACCCTAATGTTAAATGCCATTAATTAGCATTCTAGCTCTCTTATTTGGTTGGTATTAAGAACTTAGATGTTGCTGTAATGAGATGCAGGATAAAGTACCTGCCATTTTATATTATACATCACAATACTCCCTTTCATTAAGTCAGGTAATCAATTACTGACTTCTGTTTAGCTTAAAGTTCTTTAAGTCCTCTGTTACTTGACTTCTGTAGCTTCAAATAGGACTCTTACTTATGATTGCCTCATGAATACATTATAAAGAATGTCACCCATAATTTTATGCATCTTGTCCTTATTTTCTATACTGATAAATATATACATTTATAGTATAATTTTAATAATAATAAGAGTGAGTGGAATGCCTAGCTAAGCATGGCTTAAGTGGTACATGGATTAGAAAAAGTACATAAAAAGCAAATCAGTATCTTATTGTTAAAGGAGATAGAGCCTCATCCTTGAAAAATAGTAAAACTTCCTCTTTTAGACAAAACTAAAAATAGAAAAGAGAGGGCATTAAGGAGATAGCTGGAACGTGCCACTAGAGCACTCAATATTATACTGCCTCTTCTTTGAAACTTTATTCCTTTCTTTATCACCATTTACCTCAGACAGCCAGGTGGACAGAGTAAAACAAACAAACAAACAAAAAACAAAAAAAAAAAACCCTGTAATTAATTTATGTTTGAAGACTAGAAAAGCAAGTAAACCAATTCTCTATTGATTTATCATATTTGAAATTCCTACTGGTACTAACTGTCATGTGCACTCAAAAGCCAATTACATCCCAAAGGGATGAAGAGAGTCAGGTAAGAACTTTACAAAGGTCCTTTTCTCAATGGTTGTGCTAATGCTGGGACTGGTGCTGCATTCAGGCATAATGTTGTGCATGAAGTACAAAACCAAGGACAGCAGTTCACAAAGTGTTTGCCTTACAAATTTATTTTAAAAGTGGCTCCCTATTAAAAGGGTCCTGTGGTCAAAATATTTAGAAAAGGCTCCATACCATAGCACACTTATAGCACTTACTTCTAATCTACTTATCTGGCAGTCTTACTGTACTAAATGGCAACTCCACTCTTCCTGTTGCTTAAGCAAAAATCCTTGGAGCTATCTCAAGTCCTTCTCTCATACCCCCATCCAATCCAATGTCAAATACTTCCAATCTATTCTCAAAATATATCCAAAATGTGGCTAATTCTTTGCTCTAAAATACTGCTACTCTGGTGCAAGCTACAATCATATTTCAACAGTATTATTTCGTAGTCTTCTAATTAGTCTCTTTGCTTTCACCTTGTGATCTGTTAAAATGTAAGTCAAATAATTTCAATTTACCATTCAGAACCTTCCAGTGTCTTCTAGTTTAACTCAGAGTAATTTCTCAAACACTTATTCTGTTCTATATGGTCCTACATGATCTGTTCCTTAGTGATATTTCTGACCATTACTCTTGTTCATTGCATCCATACTGGCCCCAATTTTGTTTCTCAAACCTGTCAATTATATTCCTAATTCAAAGTCATGGCAAATGTTTTTCTCTCCCCTTGAACACTTTCTGCAGTGAGACGCATGGTTTCTTCCTTGACTTTATTCAGGCCTCAGTTTAAATACAATATGATCAGTGAGATCTGCGCAACCAAACCCATAAAAGAAATCATTCACCAACTATATGACCATATCTGTTTGATCTACTTACTCACTGTTATATCCTTTGTGTTTAAAAGAGTAGAGACTTGATAAATATTTATGAGTTCAAACAGAAACTTCCAAAAGTAATCCTAAAATTTAAAGAATTGGGAAGAAACATAACTCATGTGTTACCAAGCATAATCTGCTAAAGGACTTAATTTTCTATGTGAACAGACAAGAATATTTGCTCAAAAATCTAGGAAAACTAGAGAGGAAGAACTTCTTGAGTATGGCAGAATAACTCAGTTATCAAAGCCTCCTCAATCTCTGGGTTTTCATTCCTGCTTCACCATTAAACAACTCCCTGGATTTGGCCAAGTCACCGACAACATTTTTGAGGCTTATTTACCCCATGTTGGTAGCCTACCATCTTCTAGAGAAGCAGAGACAGGCACCCTGGGGAATAAGCAATGCCACATGAATTTGTTAAGGCACTGTGGCAGGGAGGAGAAGCAGAGGTTTAAAATATAAGCCAGCAATTAGAAAATAAATGTGAGCATAGTTGTTTATTTCCTGAAGTCAGTGCTTATAAATCATAATACATGTGGAAGAATAAGTTATAAAATAGAAGTATATGTTTATATGTGTTGATGCCAAGGGGAATATAAAAATATAATTTTACGTAGCTCAACATTTAAATTTAGGAGAGTATCTTCAAACAAGAGGGAATATTTATTAACCTACAAGATGTCTCTTGGGCCTAAACCAACATTCTCTGGTATGTTTCCTAGTTCAAGTGCATATTAAACCCCTGGAGTTTAGTTCAGCATTGAGTAGACTTCCAAAGTTCTGTGTTTTCTGTTACTAATTTTAATGAACACTAACGGCTTGTATGCATTTAGTGTTGGAATGCCACACTGTTTTGGGGGTCTGAAGATTCTGACTTCTGAAGACACTTATGCCAGAGAATGCTTCCATAATCTCCATATTTTAGCAGAAATATTGCGTAGTACCATTCCTTTGTTTTTGCACACATAAAGTCATCAGAGTGGCTCTTAGACACAAAATAAAACTCAGAGCACTGCTGAGCCAAAGGCAGAATAAAAGGTCAACAATCAAGAATGATCCTAACCTCAATATTTCAAAAATGGATATTCTACAAGTACACAGTATGTTATTTGCTTTTTAGTAAAGAAAACATTCTGAAAAAACAACTCAGCTATTCTTAGAATTCTGGCCCAAAAAGCTGGATCTTAAAATGCATTTTGTAGTAGAAAACAGGAATAATTGCTAGAAAAGTGACATCTAAAAATGTTACAAATTGAATTTCAAAGCCTCTAGCAGCCAGAGGTCCCAGATACATTCTTGGTATCCTCCAACTTTATCTCTCTCTCTCTCTCTCTCTCTTTCTCTCTCTCTCTCTCTCTCTATATATATATAGTGTATATATATACTATATATATACTATATATATAGTGTATATATATACTATATATATACTATATATATAGTGTATATATATACTATATATATACTATATATATAGTGTATATATATACTATATATATAGTATATAGTATATATAGTAATATATATATATAGTATATATATACACTATATATAGTATATATAGTATATATATATTGTGTATATAGTATATATATAGTGTATATATAGTATATATATATTGTATATATAGTATATATATTGTGTATATATAGTATATATATAGTATATATAGTATATATAGTATATATATAGTATATATATACTATATATATAGTATATATATATTGTATATATATACTATATATATAGTATATATATATTGTATATATATACACACACACACCCCATACCATAGATCTGTAACACACATACACACACACACACACCATAGACAGAGACACACCCAGACACACACACCATACCACAGATCTGTAACATATAATTATCGTTCTTTCTACCTCACAAAAATTGGCAAAGTTTAATGAAAATCAATGCAAGGCATTTTGAAAATGATTCAACACTATACAGATGTAAACTATTATCATCCTCCTGTGCTGTGTCAGTTTCAGCATCATTACCAAGAGAAAGGGCACATTTGAGTTGAATTAGTTAGATGTTTTTTTATGAACAGAAATCACAGAATCTTAGTGCTAGAAGCTAATTCAAATATCATTTTATCTAACCTTCAACCCATTTAAGGAATTGTCCTCTACTACTTCTCTGACAAAGGTCACTCAACCTCAGCTTAAATAATTCCAGTGATGGGCAATTTGGTGTTTTTTTAAGACCATTTATCCCATTAATGGAAATACAAATTTTCTTCTTATATTGAATTTTAAAAATCTTCTCCAAAATTTCTGCTATAATCAGACACACAGCTTAGAAACATTTCTCCCTCTTCTATCTGGCAGTGCTTCAAATATTTTATAAAATTTGTTATGCCTCATCTTTTATATTTATTCAGCAATGCTATGTTGAAGCACTGGGCTAAGCGTCAAGAATTAAGGCCTAATCAGAGCTAATGCCTGTCCTCAAGTAGTGTGCAAGTCATGGTCTAGCCTTCCAAAAGTAATGAGACAGAAAGTACAGTAGGCATTTCAAGCAGATGGGATTTAATATAGGGAATGGATTATCAAGGATTAAAGGCTAAAAGGTTGGGGTGCTGAGGTAACCAGTCATTGGTATCTACCAGAAGGGCTGAGATAACTCAGATGTTAGTAATTACAAGAAGCAGGGGTCAACATGAAGAGGTGGAGCTGAGCTGGTGCTCAGCTTCCCTGGGAAAGGTTGCTATATTGCTAGTGCTTCGACCACCAGAGGGGTAGCTAGCTGGCCTGGAACTCTGAGTGGGTATGGCACAACTGGTAACAAGGGTGCAAAAGAAGCTGGAGTCTAAAGCCAAAGTTGTCCTTAACTGCCTGAGAGAAGCTGACAGGGTTCAGCACAGGAGTAAATTTTTCTCTCTATCTTCTCTCCTTCCCAACTGCCATCAGTGACTACCAGTCATGGAAATAAGCCAGAAAGAGATCGGTCTAAAAAACATAATTTACTGAATCTCAATCCCAGCATCATGGAGTAAAGTATGTAAGAGTAATCTTGATGCTGAGATATAACAGATAGATAACCTGCAAAATCTACACTTTTGGGCATTCAGTATCCACACGCATTTTCCAAACTTTATTGAAGCCTCCATACAGAAAGGACAACTTCATGCATCTTCCTAACAAGATGCACACGTTCTTCATAAAAACAAAAGCTTTCTCATCTCAAAAAGAGAAGACACGAAGTTCCATGAGTGACCATACCTATCTCTGGACAATGTTATTCTTCTTCTAATTCACTCATACCCTTGCCTGAATATTCTGTAACACAAAGACTAAGTTTGCCACTGAAAACAACTACTACATAAGATAATAAGGGAAAGATTAATAAAAGGGAAATTTAGTTAATATATATGAAGTATCATGAAGAAAATATGCTTAGTTGCTACAGGCTTCAATTCCGCATCTGGTCCCGACAGCATAGGTGATATTCATACCTTCTTCGTTCTTCCCCCATCCCGTGTCCCCTTTGCCCTCAGCTAGTCAGGATTCTGTATCTGTTAGAGTGACATACAACTTCATCTGGGAAGGACTTATCTGCAGCTCTGCTTTTGTTGTGTTGATCAAGTTTTCTGTCAAATTTTACTACCAAAAAAAAGTGAAACAGTTAAGAGGCCCCCAAGATCTCTTGGGATCTAGATATAGTGCCTATCTTGCTGTGACAACTCAGTTTCAGTCTAAGTTTAACCCTTAATAATTAGAATCAATAACCCCAACCAGCAGATACATTCCATTCTTTGCCTATGATTTCAGTGGCATAAGCAGCCCAATATGGTCAGACAGCAGTCTCAACTCCCAACTCAATGGAATACGGTTATTGAGTCTTATGGTAGAAGCCTTCTCTACGATACTAAGATTTCTCAATCATTACAGCCCAGCCCAAAGTTGCAATATTAGGAAGCCCAAATTTTGAATGGTGCATTCCCTGTAATAAAAAGAGATGCTTCTCTGACTTCTGTTGATTTTCAGATCTAAGTATTCTTTATTGGTTGCTTGTTCAAAGCATACGCTATGAAATAATGCTCCAACCTTGTAAGGATTTCTCCCAGTTGACATATTAACTGAATCTTCTATTAGTCAAACTATTACTAGGTGGTCAGGTATGTATTAACGTTAGTAAATTTCTTAAGAATTAATATCTTGCTATTACTTATTTTTCTGTTAAATGAGTGTCTTGGTTAGAAGCAATGTTGTTTTGAATACCATGATGGTGAATTAGAATTTCATTAATTCTATGGGCAGTTGCACTGGCCAAAAACAAAAAAAATAAAAAACAAAAACAAACAACAACAACAACAAAAACACTGCTAGCATGCTAGCAGGAAAGAAAAATCTACTCAGAATACTCATTTCAGAAAGAAGTTGCTTGCTCCTGCATGATGGAAGATGCTCAGCTTGCCACCAGCTGGCTGCCTGTTCTTCTCAGAGAATGGTCCAGATAAAGCGTTAAGCACTGGTCTATGGTGTAGGCTGGGTAGGCCCTTGGCAGTGACAGTATTTATATCAGCCTTTATGAAGGGATATTCTTGTTGTTAAATACATATATAAACTTCATTCCTCCTACAAAGGCTTGGGACTGTGGGGAAGAAGGCTTACTGCCATCCACAGAATGCATCACAAGTCTGTAGCAACACCATAATCAACTAGTCAACGTGAAGACTCTAAAGGTCAAAAGTTCTGATCACCATGTCATCCTGCTTTCCATATTGTCCATGCACCACCTTGTTCCTGGTAACTAAAAGCTGTCACATTGATCTTGGGCTCTTCAGGCCCTATGATCCCTATTAAAATTAGAAAGCCCATCTCAAAATCAGCTTTTTCCCTCTGCTGTCACCAGGCTACAGAGGACAGCCACTGCACAGCCTTTCAAAGATGCTGGTGCCCCCTCTCTAGCACCTTTCTCAGTGACTTCATGAAGTTGGTTCTCTCAGGGGATTTATTTAGGAGGGGGCAGTGAGATACGTAGTATGAGTAAATGAGAGGCTGTACATGATAAATATTCTCCAACGTCCTTAAATTTTTGGATTCTTTGTTACATTATGTTTATTATTTAGTATTTGTGAGCATAAGCATCGAAGTTCAGTTTCTGATCATCCTTACTCCAGGCTGTAATAGCCAAGACCAAGGGTTGGCAAACTATAGTCCATGGACCAGATATGCCCACTGCCTATTTAAAGTTTTATTGGAACATAGCCATGTTCTTTTGTTTACATTTTATCTATGGCAGCTTTCATACTACTAATGCAGACTTGAGTAGTGACAGATTTCTAAATAAATTAAATATATATTTATACATATATAAACTTATCTAAATGTATATGTGTGTATGTGTATATGTGTGTATATTCATCCAGCAATGTGTTCCAAAGGAAATCAGCATGCTCTGGCCGATTGCTTGGAAGACCCAAGGACTTAACTCCTGTCATATCAAGGGGTGATCAGACCCTGACAGCCTGATTCATGAGTGCCGAAACATACACAAGACAGGCTCAGACATCAGAATGCTAACTTATTGATTTACAGTGAGAAATTCCTGTCACAGAGACCAGAAGTATGGATGGCCATATGCTCAGCACATGCTTCCCTGCCGTCAAGCTGTAGGAAAAGCCAAAACCTAATAAGAAATCACTTTATTGATTTTATGAAAAATCATCGTCAAGCAGGACTTAAATACCCATAGCTATATAATTACTGCTTTTTCCATGTAGGTAAACTTGTATGGGGGTCAGAAGGCTGTTTGGCAAACATGAAAACAGAATGCAGGAAGTGAGAATTGACTGTTTAATGGCATCACGCTATCTGGATATGCTCATCATATCATAAAGGTGACTTTGTAAGTGGAGAAAAAATAACTGAAGGTCAATGCTGACAACTCTCTACATTATCTCTACCTTAAGGAGAAGAGAACCTTAGCAGTTGAGACCAGAATTAAAGTCTGATATTCCTTTCTCTATACCTCTACAAATGATCAACTTTCATTTTATTGAAATTGTGTCTTTTTAGGTGTGTTGGTTATGCAGCCCACATAACCTCTTATCTCTTTTGGATGTTTCCTATCTCAATTCTCTTGTACTACATGGCAATCTTATATTGTATACTCAGAGAAAAATCTATTTCATATTTATGATATTTTTTATATACATGTGCTTTGGGGATTGGATACAATAATTTAGGTAAAGTACCTAGTATAATGCTGAGGACATAGCAGGTGCTCAATAAGTGAAAATAGTATAATATACTGGAAGTGGCAGATATGAATGTAATTAACAGGTATGTTATACTATAAAAGTGCTGTGAACAAAGTGCTATGGGAACACATAAGTGAAATAGTCCCAGGAACTTTACCTGTTCAACATATGCAGCTGTAAATCACTTCCTTAGTGCCTTTGTCATCTTTCTCTGACTATATTCCAGAGAATAAATACCAAACTTCATGTGGGGCCCAGAATTTAACACTATACCTTAGAATATAGTTCAGTTCATGCTAAGTACAGTATAAACCTCATCTCTCTGTTAATTCTCACTAAGCCAAGCATCATTACTGCTGAAATTGAGCTTGTGGTCACCCAAACCCTGTAGTTTTTGTTAGGTAAATTTTTTCATACCAAGTGTCTCCAATCCTGGTCTTGTAGGGCTGAGTGAAAACAAAACCAAAAATAAATCCAAAACAGTACACTCAGTTGAAATTATATTTTCTTCTAAACCATGGATATTCTATTTTCCTTCTTATGTCATAGTGCCGCGGTTTATACTTTGAGCTAGAAAATTGAAAGTCACAACCATATCTGCAACATCGACAAACACTGTTGGTTCTTCCGAAATTTCCCCATATCTGACTTCTTCCTTTTACACCTACTACTTCATTTGTTTAGTTTTATTTAACAAATGCATAATTCTTATTCAGTGCCATGCCCTGTTCTAAACACTTTAAAAATACTAACTCATTTTATTCTCCTAACAACCCTATGAAGAGTAATCCTATTATCCTCAAAGCATGGAGAAGCTAGGTAATTCTCCCAATGTTGCAAATCTAACATGTAGTTACAAACCCAGGCAGTCTGGCTCCCAGATGTGAGCTGTGCCCACCGTGCTGTATGGCTCAGTTTCCCATTATCCTTACCCTAAGCTAATACAATAGCCTACCTACTAATCTCTCTGTCTTCAGCATGGCCTCTCCCCATTTGAACTTGTCATCTACATTGTAGACAAAGCTACATTTCTAAACCACAGATACATGTATATAATTCCTGAGCTTAAAACCCTGAGATACCTCCCTAGAGATCGGAGATAAGTTCTTTATTATGAGGAATAGTCTGCAATAATTGGCAGAACATTCATGGCTGTTCGCAACTTGTCTTCAAACTTCTGGTCTAGCCTTATCTACTACTTTCCCACTAGTCCCTTAATGGACTCTCTCATTCAACCATATTAGATACTGAATGTTATTGCCTAAATATATAAGCAGCTACTGCTCATAACATGTCTACACACATACACACACAAATATATATATATATATAACATGTACACCCATACTTACGGAATTCTCATCATACAGCGAATCTCCGATCAAATGCCCTTGATATAATTTACAGAATTACACTTCATGCATAGTAAATTACTCATACCTTTAGGTTTCCATACCACTTTGTTTCTTCTACAAAAATGACATTTCAAATATTGTCATATACTCTGTTATATACAAATCTATCTCTCCAACTGGATTGTAAAATTTTTGAGACTAGGAGTCGGGTTCTACCCATTTTGTATTCTTAATATTTAGCATATTTGGGACTTAAAACATTAAGTTTAAAAAATTGAGCTTAAATTTAATAAATAATATTTTTAAATAATTTAAGCAAAATATTTATTCTAATTTTTAAAAATATTTACTTGTGGATACCTGAGTGTTTTTGTGTCATATATACATAGTAGAATATTAAGAATGATTTATTCAATGAGATAAAATTATAGGTTATATCATGTTTGCTCTATAACTCTTCTGTGTATTGTAACTTTTCTATTAAGATTTTTAATTTTAAAAAAGTGTTGTTTTCATATCCCAAATTTTATTTTGGTGACTCTGGCCATATTTCAAGCCCGATATGATCTTTTAAAATATTTATACTGCTTATCAAACTTCTGTCTCTAATTAAAATTTAGAACATGAAATTCCTGTGGTCCCATGGTAACCACAAAAAAGCCTGGACAAAATAGAAACAGTACTTTTCTATGGAAATAGCAAAGAAGAGGATGCAATGAATCTTTGTTAAACTGAATTTCAGAAAAAAATAGCCCTTCATAGTGAGGAGAGAGCTTCAGCATCTTCTGAACCTGAGAGCAGGTTCCAGGTCTCAGTATAGGTGGATGGATGGTAGAATAAACCACATAGAAACAAAGAGATTGAAGAAAATGAAGAGAAATCAGCTGAGCCTTAGATGACAGTGTGGGCTGGTGACATTTTTTAGAATCTGGAAGAGTGGCAAATGTAAAAATAAATCATGTGGCCCAGTAAGTCTCTTTCCCTAACCAAACACTGAATTTTGCCATGAAAGGAACAATAAAGGGTATTCTTTAAAGTAGAGAGAAATAGCAATGGTCCCAGACATCCTCAAAATTCTTCTATTATAGAAACCTGCTGGAGTTGAAACCAGGGTGAACAAAAAAAGGGAAAAAAAAGCTAATATTTGGTTGTCTCTTAGGTCAAATATTGTCTTGGTTAACGGAAGATGCAGGTGAAGCTACAAAAGTTTAGCTTGGACAAATCACTTACTTCTATCTAAATTAAAGCTCAGACTCAAACTTACTCTAGTAGCCCCTTACCCCAACCCCTAGACAGAGGAAATAACTTGCATTATTTTACAAGTAAATAAAGCAATAAAAACTAAATTATATAGCAATCTCCATCATCATTTTATACACAACCTCCATAATGTAATAAAAAATTATAAGACATACAAAGAAAATGTGACTCACAATCAAGAAAAAACATAGCAATTAGAAGAAAACCCACAGTTAACCCAGTTAAGGGCATTAGCAATTATTTTAAAACCAATTTTCTAAATATGGTAAAGAATCTGCAGAAAAATACATATATAACAAATAAAAAGATATGGTATTTCAGAAGAGATATGAGAACTATATAAAATAAACAAAAGACATTATAATATTTAAAATCCAAAGTTTACCCAATGGTCTTAATATCAGATTGGACATTATGGCAGAAAAGATCACTAGATTTGAATACAGGTCAATAGAAATTATTCAAACTGAAGCAGAGAGAAAAGGAAATGGTTGAAGAAAATAAACAGAGCATCAGTAATACATGAGACAATATCAAGCCACCTAACATATTCGTAACTGCCATCCCAGAAGGAGAATAAAGGTGGAATGAGGAAGAAAAAATTACTTGAAGAAATATTAGGCAAAAGCTTTCCAAATTTAACATAAAACATCAACCCACAAATTCAAGAAATTTAATAAACCTCATCTTGGACTAATGCAAAAAGATAACTCATCTAGGCACATCATAATCAAGTTTTTGAAAACAAGATATAAAGAATCAGTTTTAAAAGAATACAAAGATAAAAACACATTAACTCCAGGTGTACAATGATAAAAATGAGTATTAACTTCTCATCAGAAAACAATAAGTACTAACTTCTCATCAGAAAAAAAAAAAAGCAAGCTAGAAGACAATAAAACATCATCTTGAGTGTCAAAGAAAGAAAGCAATTGTCTTAGTAAGCTTGGGCCACTACAACAGTTACCATGGACTGGATGGCTTAAAAAAACAGATGTTTATTTCTCACAGTTCTGGAGGCTGGACGTCCAAGATAAGGCTGGCGGTATGGTTGGGTTTTGGTGAGGGCCCTCTTCCAGGTCAGATAGCTGACTTCTTGTATCCTCACATAGCAGAAAGAAAATAAGCTAACTCTCTGATCTTTTCTCATAAGGGGACTAATCCCATTCATGAGGCCTCTACCCTCATAACTTAATCACCTCCCAAAGAATTCATCTCCAAATAGCATCACATTGGAAATTAAATTTTAATATATAGATTTTAGGGAGATATAACATTTTGTCCATAACAGTTATGTCAACCTAGAATTTTATATCCAGCAGAAATATTCTTCAAAATAAAGGTGACATAAATACATTTTAAAATCAAGAAAACTTTAGAGAATTCATTGCCAGCCAAAATGATGCATAGTACAAATTATCTAATAAAGAACTTATATCTAAAATAAATAATCCCTCAGCAAACGGTCAAAGGACTTAAACAAACACTTACTTTTAAAAAGAAGTGGGTAAAGTGGCTCATACCTATAATCCCAGCTACTTGGGAGGCTGACGTGGGAGAATTACTTAAGGCCCAGTGTTTAAGACCAGCCTGGGCAACATAGCAAGACCCTGTCTCTAGAAAGCTTTTTAAAAAATAGCCAAGCAAGATGGCAGTGCCTGTATTCCCATCTACTTGGGAGGCAGAGGAGAGAGGATCACTAGAGCTGAGGAATTTGAGGCTGCAGTGAGCTATGATCATGCCACTGCACTCTAGCCTGGGTGACAGAGCAAGACCCTGTCTCAAGAAAAACAGACCTAAAATAGGTATTAAATAAATGATAAAGTGTATTTTAGCATTAATTATCAGAAAAAAGCAAATTAAAACCACAACAAGAAACATTATACCCACTAGAATGTCTAAATTTAAGAAAACTGACAATACAAAATTTTGGTAAGGATACAGAGCAACTGGGGTTTTCAAATATTGCTGGTAGGGGTGTTGTCAAGTTTCTTATAGAGTGAAACATGCACGTGCCCCAGCAATTTTATCCCTGGAGACATAAAAATATATGTGCACAAAAAAAATCGTATATGGAGTATTATTTTTAAAAGCCAAAAAATGAAAACAAATTTAGCATCCAGCAGCAGGAAAACAGATAAATAAAAATCATAATAGAATAGTTTTGGCAATAAAAATGATCAACTGAACACAGAATAATGTGGATAAATCTCAAAAAAATTAGTTAAGAAAAAGAATCCAAACACAAAAGAGAGTACACACTTTTTTTTTTATTCTTGCACCGTTCAAGAACAGGCAAAACTAATTTATGATAGTGGAAATCACCAAAGTAGCTGATTCTTAGTTTAAGAATTGAATAAGAAGGGGCACAAGGGAAAAAACCTTTTGTGTAATGAAAGCACTCTATATTTTAATTGTACTTTTGTCAAAGCTAATCAACGGGTATATTTTAAATGTGCCCATGTTCACTGTACATATACCTCAACAAGTAAATATTAATCTCTACTGATGAATAAAGACAACTGTCTTCAAGCATACTAGTTATGTCTCTCAAGGTTTGTGCCTCCTACAAAGTATTCAAATAAATTCCATTGCAGTTGGTAAAGTTCCAGAATGAGATGTGGCTAAGCACCGTACCTTTTTGTTTACCACTAGAGGTTAACCTCCAGCAGGTCATCAATATTAATCAACATGTTTTAATGTACAGTTACTATATTAATCTCAAATTCAACATTCTTAGGTGTAGGCTGAAAACTCTCAATCATGCCTAGTTCCGTTAGGAAATCGTTTCCATTCAAAATCTGCCCCTCTCCCTCTCTAGTTGTGACACCAAGTAGAGCTGTAATACCTTTCCTTTATAAACTCAAAGTTGGACCATTGTTCCAGGTCTAGCTAATAAAAGCACTTAATTTCTCTGTCCTAGTGATTATTCTAGCATGGGCAGGTGACTCAGTCTCGACCAACAGTGTTTTTTCTCAGAATCATCTTATCTAGAGTTAAAGAAAAAGGGACTGTTTCTAAGTATATTTCTGGAAGAATATAAATTAAAGGCTGCTAGCAGTCTTCTTTTTTACTATATCAGGAAAGTATATAGTAAGGCAATATAAAGTCAAGTGATAGCAAACATATGAAAGAAGGAGAGTTCTCTTTGCATTGAAGTTCCAATTTCCTAACTAGCTTACTATGAGAAGAACCAACTTGGTTTCCTGAGCCATAAAAATCTCCATTCTGCTACACTACCTTGAACTAGATTTCTGTCTCTTGCAGTTTAAAGAATCCAGACTATCATTTCATATTATCATTGAGATAATGAAACACTTTTATATATAGTAGTGAAAAAAAATCAAGAAAACTTTGATCAAGGTGTTTTAACAGCTTGAAAACATTTTTAAAAATTTAGTATAACCTCTATTAGAATCTATTAATCTCTACTTCTTTTGCTCTGTTTGAAAAGAATTTATTTAGCATTCTATTATAAAATAGCAATGGATATTAATGTCAAGCCCAATAACAAGTCATTTTCAATGTCTTCCTTTCAAACAACTGGGAATTCTGAGAAAACGGCAGTGACAGCGTTATTTTTTAATGTTGCCAAATCACTCATCAAAACAGACAGATTAATGAGAGTAACAGGGCCAAAAATTAAATAAATAACTTCCACAACTAAACTGGCATGTTATCTCAACAAACCCCAAATATGAGTTGGGTGGGGTATGGGCAGGGCATGACCCATATAAATACTATATGGGTATGCATAAAGAAAAGGGAAGTAATGAGGTATCTGACATATTTGAAAACGGGAAAACATGAAAATAGCCAAAGCTACACACTAGAAATCGTGACAGGCCAATTTTAGAACAGCAGCTGAAAACGTGAGATGTTTTGTGAGTAAGGTGTGCAGAAATGAAAGCAGTGTAGGCCCTATCTATGATGTCCCAAAACTAACTATTCAAATCTCTCTTCCTGGACAAAGTGCTACAGTGAGGAGAAAATCAGGAACAAAATACAAATTGACCAGGACATAGAAAAAGAAATTTGTTAGTCAGGTAGGGCTGCCATAACAAAATACCACAGACTGAGTGGCTGAAATAACATTACTTTCTCACAGTTCTGAAAGCTAGAAATCCAAGATCAAAGTGCCAGAAAATTTGGTTTCTGGTGACTGCACTCTTCCTGGTTTACAAACAGCCATCTTCTCGCTGTGTCTTCACATTCCTCCTTGTGTTTATGAAGGGAGAGGGATCTCTACTGTCTCTTCCTCTTCTAAGGACCCAGTCCTGTTGGAGTAAGGCCCACCCTATGACCTCACTTAACCCTCATTATCTTCTTATAGTCCCCATCTTCAAATCAGCCACATTGAAAATTAAGGCTTCAACATATGAATTTGGAGAAAGGAGGAGACAAAATTCAGTCCATTACCAGGTAGCAAAGAAAATAGAGGTTCTATGTAAAAGTGGAGAGATGTATTATACAAAGACAAGAAACCTCTAGAGGTACAGAATCACATTTTTTAACACTTCATAAGCATAACATAATACAATTTCACAGTGATAAAGTTGAAATGGCTGTCCTGACCCATCCCCTTCCTTCTAAAATTTAGGAAGTAAAAATAAAAAACAGAAAGTAATTGTGGCTGAATCCCAAACAATATCACCACAATTAAAAGATAATAAAGAACAAGATAACAATTTTACAAGAAGAAAAAAACACCACAAAGGCATGTCTGTGAAACAGACAACAAGTGTAAACTAACACTTCAAAATCAGCCAAAGGAAATTAAGAAAATAATACAAAATATGAAAATAAATATATAAATCAGAATTAAAAATAAATAAGGAATGATATCTGGTTTCAGGTCCAATATACAAAGAGCTTCAAAGTCATCACTCACACTCACACACAAAAAAATAATGAACAAACTAAAAATCAATGACTTTTCTTAGATTCATCAGAGAATTGAGGTCACAAGGCAAAATGCCAAACCAAAATCTGGAAAGGCATGTGAATACAGAGAATCAAGCTGAGATCAGATTACCTGAAGCAGAAGCTGCATGAGTCAGTAATTGACAGAAACAGTTAAATAGTTATTTTTATGAATTGCTGGAGGAAGAATGTGGATTAGCATGAGAGATAAAAACACTTGGGAGCTAGTTTTAGGGGGACTTCCACACTTGAGGGAGGTTTACTTCCAGAAACACAACTATGTTCTCATGGCTAAAATCAGAGAAAAATCCTGTCCTGTTTCTAGTAGGAGAAAGGAAAATGTAACCACTTAGAAATATACCCAGAGTATTTTCCATAACAAAGGACTGCCTTCCAGGGGAAACTACTTTACCAGAACCTTGCCTACCTGTAGAAAAGTCAATTGGCTAGCTCAAATCCTCTCTAGCCTTCCAGTCTCTCATAAAGGGAGGAGGCAGAAAGGCCAAGAAGTATTTCTGAAGGTCAGAGCCCAATCACTCAGTCTCGCTAAGTAACAGAGATTAAATCGTAAGGTTGTAGAATACTTTCTGCCTCCACCAATTTGCCACTATATTGATAGGGTTCCAGTATGACAGCAGATTCCAACTGAAAGACCTGTAGGACACAGACTCTATTTAAGAAGTTCTTAGGCAAACCCAAAGACAATAGAGGAGAAAATAAAATGAGAAAACAAGAAATACCTACTCTTCTGGCACCTATAGTTATAGCAAACAGGAAGTATAGCTCAACTCCTAGCAATATCCATATAAAATCAAAACCTAATTACCTGTTTCTATCATTTCCAGCTTTCAAAACAAAAAAAAAGGCACATAACACATAGTCTAAAGAGAACAGAAAAACATTAGAACCAGACTTAGATTTGACATCGATTTTGGAATTATCACAGAATTTAAACTGTGATTAACATAATATGAGCTCTGATGGAAAAAGTAGACAACACTCAAGGAGGAATGTAGAGTGTAAGCAGAACTTCACATTAAAAAGAACAGTTAAAGGTGCTACAAATAAAAAACACTGTAACAATAATGAAGAATGTTTTGCTGGACTCACCAGTAGACTGGAAATAGTAAAGGAAGGAATAACTGAGCTTGAAAATAATATCAAGAGAAGTTCAAAATTAAATGTAAAGGAAAAATAATTTGTTTAATAGAACATAACATTCAAGAACTCTGGGACAATTACAAAAATGTAACACACATATGATTGGAATATGACAAAGAAAAGAAAATGAGAAGTAAGCAAAAGAAATATTTCAAGCAATATGGCAGATATTTACTATTATAGTTGGTGTCCTCAATACAGTTTTGATAAATCTAATATGCAGAAAATCAGTAAGAATACAGTTGATCTTCACAGCACCATCAATCAACTGGACCCAACAGCAGAATATATTAATAAATCATTAAACACACCAAGACACAACATATTCTGGGCCATAAAAAAGTCTTTTAAATTTTTAAGGAATAAAAATAATGCAACCACGCTCTCATACCACAATGTTAAACTAGAAAACAGTAACAGAAACAGGAAAAATCACAAAATATTTGGATATTCTTAATAACACATTCTGAATAACACATTCAGCAAAAAAGTTTCAAAAAAAGTTTTTAAATATTTTGAACTAAATGAAATAAAACATCAAAAAATGTGATATCCAGTGGAAGCAGTGCTTCAAGGTAAATCTACAGCATTGAAGGTATATGCTACCAAAGAAGATAGATCTAAATCAATAATCTAAACTTATACCTTAAGAAACTAAAGAAAGAAGAGCAACATAAACCTAAAGCAAGCAGAAGAAAAGAAAGAAATCAAGCAGAAATCAATGAAATTTAAAACAGAAAATTAATATTTAAAAAATCAACCAAATCAAAAACTGGCATTTTGAAAAGATGAATAAAATCTATAAACCTCTAGCCAGACAAACCAAGAAAAATAAGACACAAATTACTGAAATATAAAATGAAAGAGGGACATCACCACTGGTTTCATGGACATTAAAAGAATAATAAAGGATATTATGAAAAACTCTGTACCCACACATTTTGATAACTTAGATGAAACAGACTAACTTTTTGAAAGATACAAACTAACCAAACTCATAAAGGAGAAATAGGTCTTCTGAATAATCCTGTATCTGTGAAATAAATTAAGTCAATATTAATAAACCTGTAAAATTAAGTCACCAGGACCAGATAACATCACGGTGAATTCTACCAAATATTTGAGAAAGAAATGACAAAAATTCTCTAGAATTGTTTCTAGAAAATAGAAGCAGAAAGATTACCTTCTAACCCACTATATGAGGCCATCATTATCAAAATACCAAAACCAGATAAAGATATTACAAGGACAGTAACAAGACAATATCTCTCATAAAAATAGATGTAAAAATCATCAACAATTTATTTATCCAGTGTATCACTGATGGGCATTTAGGTTGGTTCCCAGTCTTTGCTCTTGTAAACAGTGCTGCAATAAACATATGTGTGCATATGCCTTCATAATAGAATGATTTAAAAGGGAGGGAGAGCATTGGGTCAAACACCTAATGCATGTAGGGCTTAAAACCTAGATGATGGGTTGATGGGTGCAGCAAACCACCATGGCCCCAAGCCACCACCCAGCCTGGGGAGGAACAGTTAAAACCAAGGTCTCCTAAGCACATTTAGGACAATACCCATCCCCATGCTACAGACAGCTGTGAAACTGGGGACTAGCCTACCTAACCCATCACAGCTATCAACAACACCAACACAAACCACTTGGATCCCAGTGGGTTGCTCTACCATCACTACTGCCATTACCCACATTATACCAGCTGCCAAGGGGCCTGAGAACCTTCCCATATACCCGGCTCACTGCTCTCAATACTAGCTTCTAAGCAAAACACCCAAAGGCCCAAGAAATGGCTCTCCAGGACCCACTAACACTGGTGCCAGCATAATTTCTTCTGGCTACCAAAAACAGGCACATTCAGCTGCTACCACCATGGCCCAAAGAATGGTTCGGTTGGTGTCCAAGTCCCCAAAAAACCTTCAGCACAGCCTCAATTAATAACCATAACCTAAGCCATCAAGGAGATCACAAACACCACTGACCCTGTGTACTGCCAAAGAAGACATACAAAAATCACACTACCACAGATACCCAAAGTCAAAGCCAAAGTGTCATACTAAACCAACAACAGTTACACATCTTCAGGAAAAAACTCTTCCCTACAGAGGCAATTTCACAAAATTGGAACAAGCATCTACTTCAACAGATGCACAGATATCAATGGAAGGACACAGAAAATGTGAACAAGCAAGAAAATGACATCACAAAAGAATCACAATTGTCCAACAATAGATCCCAATCAAAAAGAATTCCTCAAAATACTAGAAAAAAAATTAAGATATTGATTTTTTAAAACCTCAATGAAATGCGATAGAAATCTGCAAACCAATACAAAGAAATCAGAAAATCAATTTAGTAAATGAATGAGAAATTTACCAAGAAGATAGATATCTTGAAAAAAAAATAATAAATGGCTGGGCACAATGACTCATACCTGTAATTCCAGGACTTTGGGAGGCCAAGGCAGGCAGAATGCTTGAGCTCAGGAATTTGAGACCAGCCTGGGTAACATGGCAAAACCCTGTCTCCACAAAAAAAAAAAAAAAAATAGAAAAGTTATTTGGTTGTGGTAGAATGCGCCAGTAGTTACAGCTACTTGGGAGGCTGAGTGGGGAGGATGGCTTATGTACATCTAGGAGGTAAAGGTTGCAATGAGCTGAGATTGTGCCACTACACTCCAGCCTGGGCAACAGAGTCAGACCTTGTCTCAAACATAAAATAAAATAAAATAAAAATTAATTAAATAAATTTTAAAAATTAAAAAATTCTGGAGCTAAAAAATTCATTGAAAGTAAGGCAAAATACATTCAAAAGTTTCAATACTGGACTAGGCCAAGCAGAAGAAGGAATCTTAGAACTTGAAGATAGGTCTTTTAATTCAGTCAGATAAAAATAAGAAAAGAATAAAGAATTAGGCCAGGCATGGTGGGTCACACCTGTAATCCCAGCATTTTGGGAGGCCGAGGCAGGCAGATCACGAGTTCAGGAGTTTGAGACCAGCCTGGCCAACATAGTGAAACCCCATCTCTACTAAAAATACAAAGAATTAGCTGGGCATGGTGGTGGGTGCCTGTAATCCCAGCTACTTGGGAGTCTGAGGCAAAAGAATCACTTGAACCTGGGAGGAGGAGGTTGCAGTGAGCCGAGATTGAGCCATTGCACTCCAGCCCGGGCCACAGTGTGAGGCTCCATCTCAAAAAAAGAAAAAAAAAAGAAAGAATGAATGAACAAAGCCTTCAAGATGTTTGGGAGTACACAGATTGCACTTACAAATTATTCGTATTCCTAAGGGAGAAGATAAGTCAAATAGGTTCCTGAAAACCTATTTCAGGAAATAATCAGGAAAAACTTCCCAAGTCTAGCAAAAGTGTTAGACATCAGGATACAGGAGACCCAGTGATCCCCAGAAAATACACTGTAAAAAGAATTTTACCATAGCATATTATGTTCAGACTATCTAAAATCAATGTGAAAGAAAGAATTTTACAACGAGCAAGAGTAAAGCATCTGGTCACCTATAAAGGAAACCCCATCTGAGTAACAGCAGACTTTTCAATAGAAACCTTATACGCGAGAAGAGAATGGAATGGCATTTTTGAAGTGCTGAAAGAAAAAAAACTGTCAGCTAAGAATGTTATATCCTACCAGAATAAACTTCATAAATGAAGAAGAAATAGTCTTCCCCTTACAAGCAAATGCTGAGAGAATTTGTCATTACCAGACCAGTTCTATAGGAGATGCTTGCTCATACATGTCTTAAATATGGAAACAAGAGGTCAATATTCACCATCGTGAAAATATAAAACTCATAGGTCTTACAAAACAATTACACAAAGGAGGAAGAGCCAGGAGTCAAATGACATCATGATACAATTTTATCAAACCATAAAGACAAAAAGAGAAAAATAAACAAAGAATTTATAAAATGGCCTGAAAACAATTAACAATATAACAAGAAAAGAGCCTCACATATCAACTTTGAATGTAAATGGATTAAATGATCCATTTAAAATATATAGATTGGCAAAATGGATAAAAAGCATGGTCCTTATAAGAAACTCATCTTGCATATAAGACATCTATAGGCCGGGCGCGGCAGCTCATGCCTGTAATCCCAGCACTTTGGGAGGCCGAGGCAGGCAGATCACGAGGTCAGGAGATCGAGACCATCCTGGCTAACACGGTGAAACCCCGTCTCTACTAAAAATACAAAAAAATTAGCCAGGCGCGGTGGTGGGCGCCTGTAGTCCCAGCTACTCGGGAGGCTGAGGCAGGAGAATGGCATGAACCCAGAAGGCGGAGCTTGCAGTGCGCTGAGATCGCACCACTGCACTCCAGCCTAGGAGACACAGTGAGACTCCGTTCCAAAAAAAAAAAAAAAAGACATCTATAGACTGAAAGTAAAAGGGTGGAAAAAGATATTCCATGCAAAGGGAAAACAAAAGTGAGCAGGGGTAGCTATCTTTATATCAGATAAAATAGGCTTTAAATCAAAAATAATAAAAAAGATAAAAAAGGTAATTATGTAATTATAAAGAAATCAATTCAGCAAGATAATATAACAATCCTAAATATATATGCACCCAACGTCAGAGTACCCAAATTCACAAAGCAAATTTTAGTAGACTTAAAGAAAGAGATAGTCAGCAATACAATAATAGTGGGAGACTTAAACACCCCACTCACACCACTAGACAGATGATTAAGGTAGAAAATTAACAAAGAAACATTAGACTTAATTTGTGCTTTAGACTATACAGGCTTAACAGACATTTATAGAACATTTTACTCAACAACTACAGAATATATATTCTTTTCATCAGCACATGGAACATTCGCCAAGATAGACCACATGTTAGGCCACAAAATAAGTCTTAACAAATTTTTTAAAACTAAAAATTATATCAAATATCTTCTTAGACCACAGTGGAATAAAACTAGAAATCAATACCAAGAGTAACTTTGGACAGTGTAAAAATACATAAAAGCGAAACAACATTCCCCTGAAGGATGACTGGGTCAACAAGAAAATTAAAATGGAAATTTAAAAATTTTTTTAATGAATAAAAATAAAAACACAACATATCAAAACCTGAGGGATACAGCAAAAGTGGTGCTAAGAGGAAAGTCAATAGCATTAAATGCCTACATCAAAAAGTAGAAAGATAACACATTAACAATGTAACGTCACACCTCAAGGAACTAGGAAAACAAGAACAAACAAAACCCAAAGTTAGCAGAAGAAAAGAAATAACAAAGATTAGAGCAGAACTAAATGAGAGATCAAAAAACAACATGAAGGATCAACAAAATGAGAAGACGATTCTTTGACAAGATAAATAAAATTGATAAATACTAGCTAGACTGACCAAGAAAAAAGAAGATCCAAATAAACATAGTCAAAAATGAAAAAGGAGATATTACAACTAATACCATAGAAATACAAAAGATCATCAGAGACTATTATGAACAATACAACTAATAACACAGAAATACAAAAGATCATCAGAAACTATTATGAACAACTGTGCACATACAAACTAGAAAGACTAGACAAAATGAATATATTCCTGGAAAGATACAACCTCCTGAGATTGAACCAGCAAGAAACAGAACTCCTAAACAGACCAACAATGAGTAGCAAAATTGAATCAGTAATAAAAAAATCTCCCAGGAAAAAAAAAACAAAAACTCAGGACCGGATAGATTCACAGAAAAAGAAGAACTAGGCCGGGAGCAGTGGCTCATGCCTGTTATCCCAGCAATTTGGGAGGCTGAGGCGGGTGGATCACGAGGTCAGGAGTTCAAGACCAGTCTGGCCAAGATGGCGAAACCCCATCTCTACTAAAAAGACAAAAAAAAAAAAAAAATTAGCCGAGCATGGTGGTGGGCGCCTGTAACCCCAGCTACTCAGGAGGCTGAGGCAGAGAATTGCTTGAACCCAGGAGGCAGTGGTTGCAGTGAGCCAAGATCATGCCACTGTACTCCAGGCTGGGCAACAAAGCAGACTCTGTTTCAAAAAAAAAAGAAGAAGAAGAAGGAGAAGAACTAATACCAGTCCTTCTACAACTATTTCTAAAAATCCAGGAGAAATTCACCCTAACTCATTCTATGATGCCAGTATCACCCTGATACCAAAACAAGACAGGACACAACAAAACAGGAAAACTACAAACCAGTATTCCTGATGAATATAGATGTAAAAATCCTCAATAAAATACTAGTATATTGAATCCAACAGTACATCAAAAAGACAATACATCATGGCCAAGTGGTATTTATCCTAGGAATGCAAGAATGATTCAATATATGCAAATCAATAAATGTGATACATCGCATAAGCAGAGTTAAGGACAAAAACCATATAATCATCTCAATAGATGCAGGGAAAGCACTGGATGAAATTTAGCATGTCTTCATGATAAAAATCCTCAACAAACTAGGCATAGAAGAAACCTATTTCAACATAATGAAGACCATATACCACAAACTCACAACCAACATCATACTTAATGGGGAAAAGTGTAAAGCATTCTCTCTAAGAACTAGGTAAGACAAGGCTGGGTGGGGTGGCTCATGCCTGTAATCCCAGCACTTTGGGAGGCCAAGGTAAGTGGATCACCTGAGGTCAGGAGTTTGAGACCAGCCTGGCCAACATGGTGAAACCCCATCTCTACTAAAAATCCAAAAATTAGTCGGATGTGGTGATGGGTGCCTGTTATCCCAGCTACTCAGGAGGCTGAGGCAGGAGAATCACTTGAACCTGGGAGGCAGAGATTGCAGTGAGCCGAGATTGTGCCACTGCACTCCAGCCTGGGTAACAGAGCAAGACTCTATCTCAAAAAAAAAAAAAAAAGAACTAGACAAGAGAAAGATGCCCACTTTCACAACTCTTATTCAACATAGTACTGGAAATCCCCACCAGGGCAATCAAGCAAGAGAAAAAAATAAAAGGCACTCAAATTAGAAAAGAGGAAGTCAAGTTATCCCTGTGCCCTAATGATATGATCTTACATAAAACCTTAAAGAGTCCACCAAAAAACTCTTAGATTTGATAAATGAAATCAGTAAAGGTTCAGGATACAAAATCAATGTGCAGAAATCAGTAGCATTTTTATACAGCAATAATGATCTAGCTGAGGACTAAAGAAGGCAATCCCATTTATAATCACCACACACACATACAAATACCTAGGAATACATTTAACCAAGTGTGTGTAATTTTCTACACAGAAAATTACAAAACACAGATAAAAGAAATTGTAGATGGCACAAACAAATGGAAAAGACATCCTATGGCCTTGGATCAGAAGAATTAATATAGTTAAAATGACCATACTGCCCAAAGCAATCTACAGGTTCAATGCAATCTCTATCAAAATACCAACATTATTTTCACAGAATTAGAAAAAACAATTCTAAAGTTTATATGGAACCAAAAAAGAGCCCAAACAGCCAAAGCAATCCTAAGCAAAAAGAACAAAGTTGGAGGTATCACATTCCCTGACTTCAAATTATACTATAAGACTACAGTAACCAAAATAGCATGGTACTGGGATAGAAATAGACACATAGATCAGTGGAACAGAATAGAGATCCCAGAAATAAAGCCACATACTTACAGCCAACTGATCTTTGACAAAGTCGATAATAACAAACAATGGGGAAAAGACACCCTTTTCAATAAAGGCTGCTGGAAAAATTGGATGGCCATATGCAGAAGAATAAAAATGGACCCCATATATTACTATATACAAAAATCAATTCAAGATGGGTTAAAGACTTGAATATAAGAACTGAAACTATAAAAATACTAGAAGAAAACCTAGGAAAATTATTCTAGACATTGGTTTAGGCCAAAAAAAAAATCTATCACTACGAACTCAAAAGCACAGGTAACAAAAACAAAAATAGACAAATGGGACTTAACTAAACTAAAAGTCTTCTGTTTGGCAAAAGAAATAATTAACAGAGTGAACAGACAGCTTAAGGAATTGGAGAAAATACTTACAAATATTTCCGCTATGCCTTCAAGAGGAGACTAATATCCAGAATTTACAAAAAACTCAAATAACTCAACAAAAAAACCCTGAAATAATCCCATTAAAAAGTGGGCTCAGGACATGAATAGACATTTTTCAAAAGAAGACAAATGGCCAATAAGCATATGAAAAGACTGCTCAATATTACTGATCATCAGAGAAATGCAAATTAAAACCACAATGAGATATTATCTTATACCAATGAGAATGGCTATTGTTAAAAAGGCTAAAAATAACAGATGCTGGAGAGGATGCAGAGAAAAAAGAATACTTATCCACTAATGGTAGGAATGCAAATCAGTGCAACCTCTATGGAAAACAGAACGGAGATTTCTCAAAGACACACAAATAGAACTACCATATGATCCAGAATCCCCGGTATCTACTCAAAGGAAAGAAATCATTGTATCAATAAAATACTTGCACTTATATGTTTATTGCAGCACTATTTACAATAGTAATGATATGGAATCAATCTAAGTGTCCATAAATGGGGAATTGGATAAGGAAAATGTGATATATATTCACAGTGGGAAACTACTCAGCCATAAAAAAAGAATAAAATCATGTCTTTTGCAGCAACATGGATAGAACTGGAGGCACTATCTTAAGTGAAACAACTCAGATACAGAAAGACAAATACCATATGTTCTCAGTTACAAGTGGGATCTAAATAAGGTGTATACATGGAGGCAGAGTGTGTAATGGTGGACAATGGAAACTCAGAGGGGTGGGGGATAAGAAGGGAGTGGATGATAGTAAGTTTCTTGGTGGGTGCAATGTGTGTTGTTCCAATGATGGATGTACCAAAGGCCCTTACTTCATTCACCACAATGCAATATATCCATGTAACAAAACTGCATTTATACCCAACGAATATATACAAGTTTTAAAAACTAAAAGAAAAGATAAATAAAGACCCTGAGCTTCTTGGACCCTGTGATAGATTATGGTGCTATTACATAGTAAAAACCCATCTGATAATTTGTCCCATTTTCAAAGACAGTCTGCCAATTAAATCACTTTACTATGAAACAGCGTGTCTCTTAAGGTGTTTCCCTTGTTTTTGTTTTATAAAATCATATGGTATTCTCAAAAAATTATCAACAAAATATTAACAAATTAAACAATTGTATAAACAGAATTATATAGCACGACCAAGAGAGACTTATTTCAGGTATGAAAGGCTGGTTCAAAATTCAAAAATCAATGACATCAACAGGCTAAAGAGAAAAATCATATGAGCTGATCAATAAATGCAGGAAAAGCATTTGAGAAAACACTAATTCATGATTAAAAAATAAATCAGCCAGTTAGGACTAGAGAACTTCCTTGACCTGATAAAGAGAATCTACAAAAAAATTCTACAGCTAACATCATACTTAACGGTAAGAAACTAAATGTCTTCCCCCTAAGTTTGAGAGCAAGGTAAGCATGACTCCTCTCACCACTCCTGTTCAACATTGTACAAGAATTTCTAGCTAGTGCAATAAGACAAGTAGAGGATATAAATAATACATATATTGGGAAGGAAAACATAAAGCTGTCTTTGCAGATAACGTGATTATCTATGAAGAGAATCCCAAAGAATAGAAAGAAAAAAGACTCCTGGAAAAAATAAGCAATTATATGGGGGCTTCAGAATTTAAGGTTAATAAACCAAAGTTAAATTCTTTCTTATATGGCAGCATTAAACAATTGAAATTTGAAACTAAAATCACAATATTATTTATGTTAGCACAAAAAAACTACTTAGGTCGAAATGTAACAATATATGTATATCATTTATATAAAGAAAACTGCAAAGCTCTGCTGAAAGAAATCAAACAAATTCTAAACAAATGAAGAGATATTTCATGTTCATTGGCAAGAAGACTCAATACTGTTAAGATGTTGATTTTTTCCAACTTAATCTGTAGGTTCAGTAAAATCCTATTCAAGATCCCACTGGTGGAAATTGATAAAATAATTATAAAATTTATATAGAAAGGCAGATACCCAGAGGGGCCAAAATAATGCTGAAGTAAAGTAAACTGAAGTGTTAACACTACCTGACTTCAAGACTTACTATAAAGCTAAAGTAACCAAGACACCATGGTATTGGCAAGAGAAGAAATAAATTTATCAATGGAACAGAATAGAGAGCCTAGAAATAGATGCCATTAGCTGATTTTGGGCATAAAAGCAAAAGAGTTTTGATTGAGAAAGGATACTCTTTTCAACAACTCATGCTGGAACAATCGGACATCCACGTGCAAACACAAAAATAAATCTATACACAGACTTTCTATCTTTTAGAGCAATTAACTCAAAATAGATTGTAGACCTAAATATAAAGAACAAAACTATAAACTTCTAGAGAATAACACAGGAGAAAATCTAAGTGACCTTTGATTTGGTTTTCAGATACAACACCAATAGCACTATCCATGAAAGAAAAAATTGATAATTTGGTCTTTATTAAAGTTAAAAACAACTGACCAGCTAAAGACACTCTTAAGAGAATGAAAAGACAAACCACAGAATGGGTGAAATATTTGCAAAGCATATATATTATAAATAACTTGTATCCAAAATATACAAAAAAAAAAACCTCTTAAAATTCAACAATTAAAAAAGCCAACAACCCAATTTAAGAAATGGACAAACAAACTAAACAGGCTCCTCACCAAAGAAGATGTACAGGTGCAAAATGTGCATAAGAAAAGATGCTCAACATCATATTCCTCAGGGGAACTGCAAGTTAAACAACAATTAGGTATTACTACACACCTATTAGAATGGCTGAAATAAAAAAAAAAACCTGACAATGCTGGTGATGATGTGGAGCAACAGGAACTCCCATTCATTGCTGGTGTACCCAATAGTACTACAACTTTAGAAGACTGTTTGATAGCTCCTCAGAAAGGTAAACATAGTCTTACTATATGATACAGCAATTGCACTCCTAGGTATTTACTCAATTGAGTCAAAGACTATGTCCACACAAAAGCCTGCACATAAACGTTTATAGAAGCTCTACTCATAATTGCCAAAGCCTGGAATTAACCAAGTGGTATTACAAATGGCTAATGGATATCCAAACTGTGGCACAACTATACAGCGGGATATTATTCAGTAATAAAAAGAAATGAGCTACCAAGCCATGAAAACACATTGAGGAATCTTAAATGCATAATATTACATGAACAAAGTCATCTGAAAAAGGCTACATGTTCTTTGATTCCAACTAAATGGCATTCTGGAAAAAGCAAAACTGTAGAGAAAGTAAAAAAACAAAATCAGTGGTTTCCAAGGGCTTGAGGGAGGAGATGAGGGATTAATAGCTGAAGCTCAGGGGGTGGATTTTTAGGTCAGTGAAACTATCCTGAATGATACTTTAATGGAGAACACATGATATTATACATATATTAAAACTCAAAGAATTGTACAGCACAGAATGAACCTTAATGTAAATTATGAACATTAGTTAATCACAATGTATCAATGTTGGGTCATTAATTGTAATAGACATACCGCATTAATGCATAATGTTAATAAAAGGAGAAATTGTGTTGGGGGAGGGGAGCATATGGTAACTCTGAATTATCAGTTCAATTTTTCTGTTAGTTTAAAACTGTCCTAAAAAATAAAGTCTACTATAAATAAATAAGGTGATAAAACTCAGAAAAAAGTACCCATTCAGAAAAAAAGACTAAACCTGAAGGAAAACGAGCAAATAAACACAATATGTAACGTAAGAAAAATAGAAGGTAAAAAATAAATACTTAAAAAGAAAAGAAAGAAAATGTAGAAGAGAGAAATTGACAAATTAGAAGCTAGTAAAGAAGCTTCAACATATGTAATAGAAGTCCCTGAAAAAGTAAAGCAATGTAATGAAACAGAACAATAGCAACAATAAAAATCTGTTGGCTGGGTGTGGTGGTTTATACCTGTAATCCTAGCACTTTGGGAGACCAAGGTGGGTGGATTGCTTGAGCCCAGGAGTTTTGAGACCAGCCTGGGCAACATTGCAAAACCCTGTCTCTATACAAAATATGCGCCCCCACGCTCCCCGCCGCCACACAAAAATATTAGCTGGGTGTTGTGGCGCATGCCTGTAGTCCCAGCTGCTTGGGAGGTTGAGATGGGAGGATCGCCTAACCCTGGGGAGGACAAAGCTGCAGTGAGCCATGATCACTGCACACCATCCTGGGTGTCAGAGTGAGATCTTGTCTCAAATAATAAATAAATCTTTCATTAAAAAAAATGTTCTACACATAAAGATTTCAAACTTAAATTGAATGGATCTACCATGTTCCTGGAAAATGAACCCAGAACAAACAATATCAAGCGTGGCAGGCAGGTGAACACCCCTATCTAAAGATGTCTGCACCCTCTTCCCCAGGATTGTGAATATGTTAGTTTGCATGGCAAAGGGAGTCTGCTATTGTGATTAAGGTTAAGGACCGTGAGATGAGGAATTTATCCTATAATATCTGGGTGAACCTGATCTAATCACATTGATCCTTGTAGGAATAGAACCTTTCCTGGCTGTGGTCAGAGGGCAATGTGACTACTGAAAATGCATCAGTGGGAGATATGACAATGCTGGCTTTGAAGATGCAATAAGAGGTCCATAATCCGAGGAATCTGGACAGCCTCTAGAAGCTGGAAAAGACAAGCAAACAAATTCTGCCTTAGAGTTCCATAAAGGAATGTATCTTTACTGATTTATCCCAGTGAGACTCGTTTTGGGCATCTGACCTAGAGAATTGTAAGGTATAAATGTGTGGTATTTTTAAGCCACTAAATTGGTAGTATTTTGTTATAGCAGTAATAGAAAAAAGTAATATACCAAAAAAATGTAAGAAAGTAGTCAGCTTTAAAGAAAAAATTATTTGGTTATCCAAGCAAGAAAGAAAATGAGATTGCAATCAGAGTTTTCAATGACATTGCTATTGAATGTGAGCAATGAGAGAATGTGATGGAGTAACATTTTCAAGACACCAAAAGAAAAAAGTGTGAACTGAAGATTTAATGTCCAGTTGTTGACAAATTTTAACAATATGCAAGTTCATGTGGAATACCCTTAAATATTTCCTAAAGAATCTTCTAGAAAATGAGCTTCAGGGGACAAAAATGACTAGAAAGACATTAATAAAAAGACTGTTAAGTCCTCAAAAACTGAAATCGTTAGTACGAAAGAAGATATATATGTAAAAATCTGAATTTCATTAGAAAGAATGAACATACAACATGATATATTTTATTTGTAAAAAGCAAGAACATATACCTCGCTCTGCCTACAGAAAAATAAACAATTACTACCTAAACATAGTGACCAATCTAGGTGCAGTGTATGCAACTAATATCTAAAACCCAGGCTACGGTTTCCAGGTACAATTTCCAGAGATCCTTAGAAAAAAGGATGCCAAGCTCTGGGAAATAAAATGAATAAGATGCCTCAAATATCTTGTAATACAAGATAACATGGATCTATCCAAAAATATCCAAGTAGTTTTAAAAGATTCTAGGAGCCAGATTGAAGTGGCTCTCACTGGCTAAAATCTCTTAATTTGATCGTCAATGAAAATAATAGTTACAATGTACTAAAACGTATTTTAAAAGTTTGCTTCCATGAGTTTATTATAATACAAAAAAGGCCTAATGGGTCATCATCAAAATATGCTTGGAACTATACTCATTAATTTAAAAATAGGTAAATAGAATCAAACATTTATCCTGCCATTCCCATACTAATGTACCACTGGGTACTCTAACAGTAGATCAGAGAATGTTTCACTACATAGTATTATACCAGCTAATAAATGAAAAAGAGAAGATGGAATAGAATTTAAACATTTTGTTCTCCTAATGAATTACTTGATCTAAGCATGGGGCATCGACATCTGCTAACATCATAAAAAGAAAAAAAACAGACATTTTGCCTTCTGATAGAACAATAAGCATTTATCAAACTGTGTTAGGAAAAAAAAAAAACTGAACTCAAAACTGTTAAGTCTCTCAGGAGCAAAAGAAAACACACACACAATACACACACAAAAGCCAAAACTGATCAAAACTCTAGATCCAACTATATATATTCTACATGTCCAGGACAGATAGAAGACAAAGGAATCTGTTCAAGTACGTGAAAACAACTTGTTTCTCTTCAACAACAATAACAAAAGCAAGAAAGCAAAGAGTGGAAAACGGGGAACTAGAAAAAGAAACTAAAGACTTAAAGGAATTTTTTTAATGAATTGGCACATATGTATCTGATTCAAGCTATAAATGCATTTATAGGATTTATGAGAAAATGGATAGTTCTCAAAATTACTGAATATTTGATAATATTAAAAAAATTGTTCAGTTTTTCAGTAAGGCATTTATATTTTCATTATGTTAATTAACAAGTGAGTTCTTTTAAAGTTATGTACTAAAATATGGAGATATAAAACATGATATATAGAATTTGCCTCAAAATTCTATAGGATGGAAGAAAGTGAATGTATATAGTCAATGGGGTATACAGCATAACATGAGTTGACAATTATTGAAATTGTGTAACAGATTCAAAGGGATTTCATTTTACTATTCTATGTTGGTATATTTGAAATTCTCAATAATAAAATGTTTAAAAAAAAACAAAGACAGTGTTTGCCTTTCTCTGGCCTTCTGATGACTATTCTGTTCTTCAAGATTACAACAAGTGTTACTGGAATAACAACATCAAGCATTTTAAGTTATCTAGGTAGTTTGAATATACTGTTTAAAGAATTGGTGGCTTGAATACATGTAAAGCAACTCAGTTTCCTCTTAGCTATGTTTCCTCCATCCTTTCCAGAATGATGATTCGTCTTATAAAGAAGATAAAGACAGAGGATTGGAGCAGGAATTAGCTTAGCCTTGGCAAAAAGTGAAAGGGAAGAGAGTTGTCGCAACCAACATCGCTCTAGGAATCCCTCCTGTAGGAGCGGAGAGCCTCGAATCTAAATTTGAAATATATAGGATTGATTTTCAAATACCAACACTTACTATTTAGGCCAAGAGAGAAGCTACAGCTGGACACTGCAAATATTGTAGATTTGAAGTCCTCAGTAGCTGAGTTCATTACTTTGTTAATGGGACAACATCATTTCTTTTAATATTGTTAAAAAACTTACAATGCTTACTTCTATAATTTTCACTGATATTATCTCATAATAATTTTAAAGGGCATTCATTTGATGTTTTCTACTTACTACGCAATCTTTGTGAATAATATTAAATATGTGAGCTTTGTGAAGAGAGAAATGCTAAAATGTACTAAAAGTTATATTCTATTATTCCTAACTTGAAATTAAGAGCTCCTACTATGAAGCTATTTGGATTTCTAATTTCCCCCCTCATAGCATAGCAGTAGCATATGCTCAGGTACGGGATAATATTGGCAAGCACAGCAATGAACTTTCACTGGAAACCCCAAACACTGAATGCCTTATCTTTCTTTCTTTTCTTTCTTCTTCTTTTTTTTTTTTTCAGAAATTCCCTATCATATAAGATATACAATGCCATTTGTGCCAGAGTGCTTTGCATAATAATGGTTTCCTTCAGTTTTTCAGGCTTACATAGAAGAATCCCAAAGAGAACTACACAGTAACATCAACCACAAAAAAGAAAATTGCCTGTTTTTCACTGAAACTGCTCTTATTCTTTTTCTAAATTTTTTAACAATTTTATCTTTTTAAATGTAAATACTTGTAAGAGTTCAGAAAAGATATCCAGTTATTAACATTTCAGGTATAATTATTACTCTTTCTAATCCCCACCTTCTGCATGGAACAGTCTCCTTTAGAAGAAGTATTATTACCTCCCTACTTGTGTGGGCCCTCAGACATCTTCAAATAAGCGTCTGTAGGTAGGACTCTCTGATTATAAAGGCAGAGTGAAATTAATGTTATTAATGTACCAAGGTGTGAAGTATGAACTTCAACTGGCTTTCCCCAAAGAACTCTGCTGATTACGTGTTTGAAGCTACAGAAGATCTGTCTAAAACATCTCTGTTGAAGCCTTTTACTAGCTCTTGTGCTAATAAGTGAAGTCAGTCTGTGGCTTTTCTATAATGTGGAGTCAGAGTGCTGACAAGCAGCTTATCAGCGCTAATGATAACTACTGTGTTTCAGCAGCCGGGATCAGAAGATGTATTTCACATTTGCATTTTTTTTTTCAGAATTGAACACTTAAGAAATCAGTAGAATGTTGCCAGGAGCCTTGCTTCCAAGCTGCTGCCTTTAAGAATTTTTGCAAGCCCTGAAAGAGTAACCAGAATACATTCAATTTCTTATGAATTTTTTAGTTCATGATAAGGACAGAATTTTAAGGTGCCCCCACTCCTGGGGGACTGTTAAACACTTCTATTATTCTAATCATCTTCTGTATATCTGAAATATCTCAAGACGGTTCCTCCTTTTTTGAAGCACTTCAAAAGGTACAGCTTTTAGGGAGCTGATCTAAAGCTACACTTGATGTTGACAAGGGGGATGCTGAGTTACAACTCTAAGAACTCCTCTTGATCCTCCAGCTTATAACAGCCTTGCTAAATTTAGAAATCTTGATTGTTGAACTACCTTCAACCCACCAAATTGGTCCCAATCATTCATTTGTTATTCATTCACTCATTTACTTTATGAATCAGTTTAAAAATATTTACTGAGCATCTACTACATGCTGTAATTATTGTATTACATGCTGGTCAGGTAAGAGCGAGTAACATAATCCTGAAGGAATGCACAACCTAGGGAGGATATCAAAACACAAAAGCTTTGATAAAGCACTTTTGGCAGTCAGAAAAAGAATAAAGAATGCTCCTTGTGCAGTGAGGAAGGCGTCACAAAGAAGGCAATGATTACCCTGGGCCTTAAAGGATAAGGACTCTATAAAAAGGAATATTGGTACATTTTTATAGTGCATTCTTTATAGTGCCAATGAGGCCTCTTCCTTGCCCCCTGCAAAAAGAAAAAAAAATCATGATTATAAGCTAGTAACAGTGCTTTGATCTTTAGTGTCAAGAAATTCTATCTTCAGAAAGTCTGTTAAAATGTGAAAGAAGTTTGCTCATTAACTCTTTTATAGGACTCTCCTGTTAACATCCCATGACTGGTATGAAGTTCAAATGAAAAGATCACATTCTTTGTAAATTGTAAAGTGCAATGCAAATATCAGTGATTTGTGATGTTGCTTATATTACAGTAATAACATCATTAATAAGGATTATTTTATCAATTTTCTAGACTTTAGCAATACAACATGGAGAAAATTTACACATAGAACTGGTTTAAAAAATTGGTTATGTAATATCATGGTGGATACTTCCAAAAAGGCGTATTAGGGAAAAATAGGCTTGGAGCTTGGCATAAAGAAAAATTGTTTTGTGCTACCAGAGAGACAAAATAACCAATAGGCTAGATTATCTCATTTTGTTTAGAAATTAAAATGACTTCTGACTAGTTGTCACACACTGAAATCAGGGGCTCTCATTTCACACGTTTACATCAGCCATGCTACTTTGTTTCAATGACGCTGGATTTATCCTTCATCTTCTCAACCTACCTGTCAGTTACTAAGCAAGAAATTTTTCTGTGGCTAGCTTAAACCTATACTGGGGTGCCAATAAACCAGAGACACCAAAAGTATTTCTGAAGGAATAGATGTGACATTTTAATTAGAAGCATCAAAGTAATCATTAAAAAAAGCCAACCAATATTCTATGGCACAATTTTAGTCTTGTTTTTTAATTTAGAATTATTTTAAATCAAATATAGGGAAGAGTACCAGAAAGTTTTCAGTGTTTAAGGCCCTCTAAAGGTCTTAACAGGATCCCACTTGGGATTTTAAAATCATTTTTATAATTTTCCTGCAATCCTAAATGACTGAAAGGAGTAGCAACAAGATCTCCTAAACCGAGCACAAGCCTGAACATCAAGGTCTCTGAGTACCATCTCCCTGCAAACTGAAAAATGGGCAAATGATGATAGACTAATAGGAAAGGATGTTCTCAAACCAGATTATATTATTGGGTACAGCCTGAAAGCAGCTAGCACTAGCAGCAAGTTTTCCACTCAAGCTGTTAATGTTTCCTAAGAAAATTCCTCACATTTAAACAGTGTCTAGCCCCAAGCCTTCCTGTCACTCCTGTGCTACACACAAGAGTAGAAAGGTGGCCTTACAGTTTGATTTGCATAGCCGGATTGTGTAAAAATGGTCCTTAGTATCTTTCTCCTGGTCTGAAATTGTTTCTGATAAAGTTACCAGTGCATTAGACAATACAGCCTTCTGTCCATCAGGAACATGTGTAACCACAGGTGAGGTGACAGGTCTCCCTTCAACAAATACATCCTCCCCACAAACACAACCGCACACGTTAGTTAACCAGAATTGGCTTATTTGCAAACCCCACTGAAGAAATGACTATGGTGTTTGGTATCAGTGTGGTGATGTGGTTCAAAGCACACACTCAGGCAAAACAGAACAGTAACTTCAAAATAAGAAAATTTTTTCTTACATGTGTAAACGTGTTATTCACTGCAGCATTTTTTAAGATCTCCTTTTCCTTTCACATCTTTCTTTTGCACCCGTGAAGGCCCCTTACCTTCACTTTCAAAATTCTCCCAATGCTGGCCCCTGACTCTCACCTTTCCAAATATCACCCTTTTCTTCTACTCACTGCCATCCCCTGTTGGCTCCCCCTTAATTTTAATATCGCATCTCAAAAGCCCACCATGAAAAAAATGGGTATGGAAACAGTCCCACCTTAGATGGAGTAGAGGGGAAACACCAAGTAGAAAAAACTAAACATTTCATATTTTTGACAAAAAAAAAAAAATCATCTTTTGTGCCAGCCTGGTTGTCATTTCAGAAAGCTTTGGGTCTTAAGTAAATAGGAAATGATGGGAAAGTTTTATTGGGGTAGAGGTGATACTGAGAATATGTGGCACCACCCAGGAAGGCACCCCCTGTAGAGTCACAACCACGCGTGCTACCATTGATTCAGAGCCTACAATATGTCATGGAGTTTTACATAAATTATTTTATTTTTCCTCAGCACAATATGGTGGGATAGGTTTTATTTTTTTTATTTTATAGAAGAAGAAATGTGGGAAACTGAGGTAGGCTAAATAATTTCCCTGCTATTTGTAACAGAGGCAACATGAAAGCTCAGTGCTTATAGTTTGCAAACCAGTCACATTATTACCCTAAAGTCACAGCATTTCCACAGTGGGGGGACTGCCCCTCATAGCTGGGAGACAGCGTTAGATGCTACGGTAGCTCCTTAATAAAAACATTGCCAAAGACAGCCTTCACTCACCTTCTCTTAATGTTAGGCCTGGCCCAGCATTTCCACAGATTCTAAGACTATGCTGGCAATCAACCACTTTGGCCTGCCCTCTCCCCATCTCATAACAATCTTGTGTCTTATCTTAAATGTGGGTCACAAAGGAAAATAGCCATCAGGATGGCAACCACTCACTCCAGCTTTGGGGTAGTTGATGCTACGTGAAAGAAAGCAATCTTTCTCTTTCTGCCTTGCTCCCTTCCTTCAGATTCAGATGCAAAGGTTCACAATTCTTAGGAGTTAAGGGGGTTAAATCTTCATAGGCCATTCTTTAAGCTTTAAAACAAAACCAATAAAAAAGCTCTGTAAGCCCTAACACCTTTTATATATTTTGTAGTTAAAAGAGAAGAAAGAGAATAAGGTGCCCCTAGCAAGGCATATATATGCCTTCCACTTCAACCTATGGCATTTTCATTCTAACCCTATTTTCTCTATACAGCCTGCCAGTAATATTCTTAATTAGGGGTCACTATTACTTTCTTTTTAAAATAAGAAATAGTATAAAACCTCCCATTTTCCACTTTTATGGAAGGGACATAGAAACATATTAGTTAAAGGCAGTTTGCATTCTGTTTTTCCTACCAAAGTGATCCTTATAAAATCCAGTTCACGGTATAATTAATGACCTTTTCTCATGCTTTAGGGCATAAGCTGATTACCAGTCTGGGTCAGAGAAAACATTTCCCGGGTGTAGAATTGCACAATTAAATGTGTTGTGAGGAATCTGTGCTTTCCTTTGATGCTTTGGTCTTTGCCACGGTGGGGGGCAGGATGCTGGGCTGGATGGGCAGTTGCTGTGTTACAGCGTGCCACATCCTCTGCTTCTCCAAACACACTGGAAAATGACCTAAGACCACCTGCAACACTCATCACATGAGCTCTTCTGATGCTCCCACAAGAGAAGCAGATGTCTGCAAGTGAATACTCAGGATGCAGCCAACCGAAACAAGTTTTAACATTACGTGAAAGTTGATCTTTCTAGGGAAGGGGGAAAAGGTAAAGAACCCCTCCTGACTATCTTTGCTTTCCCTCAGAAGTTGCTGATGCATCATTTTTGTATAAATTAAAACTTGTGTTTCTGTTTTAACTTTAAGCAAAGGGAAATCATGTGTTCCCTGAAACACAAAAGCTACAAATAATTATGTTATATAGGGAATTAAAATATTAAAGTGGACAAGACTTGCAATATCTATACATCAGCCAAAATTTTCTAAAGCAGTGCTGTGCATATAATTTTTCTGGAAGATGGAAATATTCTGTATCTTTGCTGTTCAATATGGTAGCTACCTGGCCATGTGTTATCAGTCATTTGAGACACAGCTAGTATGACTAAGGAACTAAAATTTAAATCAAATTTAATTTAATTCATGTATTTAATTACATTGCGATGTAAACTTAAATATATTGGTTTAACTAAAGTTAAATAAAATGTTTTATAGTTCTGATGCTTCAATGAACAGTAAAGAACCATCTCTCTTTGTCCATTAGTTTTCTCACTTACAAGTGGGCATAAATAAATAGTTTTTAAAATTCTGCCTTTTAAAAAGGGAAAAACTCTTCCATTTGTTCTAATTCATTAATGTAGGATTAAGATGTACTGTATATCTTCCACATTCTTTTAATCTTTATATTTTATTCTTTCTATTATCTTTTTACATATCTTTATAATATATTCTTATATATTTTTTATCTTTATATTATATATTTAGTATATTTTATTGTCTTCTTATATCTTTATATTCTTTTTATATCTGCCAAAAGTAAAGAGAAATAACCACAAGAGAGATACCTTTTAAAAACTTACTTAGTTTACATAATCCTAAAGGTTCTTAAAGGAAGAAACAAAATATTTATATATACATCTGATGTTTCAATAGTGCAGGTTTATTAGGTGTGACTATCTTTAAAGATGTAAACTATTTTCAACCACCTAGTCAGTTCTCCTTACAAATGTTTTAAAGGGTTTTCGACGTTGTCGAATAATGATTATAAAACATGAGAAAGACTGAAACATTCCAACAAGCAGGGAGTTACTATTTTACAATTTGTGAAATACATATTATGATATACAGTTTATAGATTTTTTTCAAAAGCAGTCAAAAATGGTCAAACTCAATCAAGTGTATTGAACACATAATGTTTCCCCAGCAAAAAAGACAAGCAAACACAATAGAGGTCTTTTTGACTGATAAACAGTTTAAGCTAAAACTGAAAAAGAAAAAAATCTAAATTATTTTTAATAACTCTGTACTGAAGGAATTTTTGGCAGTCAACATAATCAAAATTACTTTCATATGTTGACATAACTTAAAAGAATTGAGAGTTCTCAACTTTATCCAATCCCATATCTTAAATGATCATCTACTTGAGAAAGCAGGAACACATTTTGCTATTTTACTAATTATTGCTCTTGGTTTTGCAAAGCTTGCCATCTCATCAGCATTCAAGTGCTAATTATCTAAAACTAGAAGTTAGTCAAATATATTATTGCTATTATGTCAATCGAATATTTTGGTTACACTGTTCTTTTGAAGAATAGATTTTAAAGGCAAAATATCCCAAAGTTAAAAAATATGTAAAGAATTGCAAAGTCAGAGATTAAAGTTTCTGTAGTCAACTCTAAATAATTTACAAAGAAAAATCAATTTCATTTATCAAAATACTTATCACTATAATAAATTGTATTTACTTCTCTAATGCAATTAGTTTAATTTTCTATAATTATCTTGATATACATTGAAAATATAGAAGACAAAATAGTTATGATTTCCAGAAGTTTATAATTTATAATACCTGCTTTTCATTAAAAAAATTATAATGGTAATTAAATGAATTATTTTAAGACAAGATGCCAATACTTTTTGCCACAAATATTCCACTCACTGGTCCAATAACATTATCTTCATCCAAGGACATGGTGAGAACTATGAGTCCCCAGTGTCTTATTCGGAACTCTCAGAACCAAATGTTTTTGTATTGTTTTTCATTTTTTAGAGATAAGAGTCTCACTCTGTCGCCCAGGCTGGAGTGCTGTGGCACAATCATAACTCACTGTAGCCTCAAAATCCTGGGCTCAAGTGATCCTCCTGCTTCAACCTTTCGAATAGCTAGTATTGTACAAGCATGCACCACCATGCCTAGCTACTGTATTGATTTTTTTGTAGAAATCAGTTCTTACTCAGGCTGGTCTTGAACTCCTGGTCTCAAGTGATTCTCCCATCTCTGCCTCCCGAAGCACAGGGATTATAGGCATGAGCCACCATGCCCTGCCAGGACTGACTGTTTTCAAAATTTAAAATGTTTCTAGGCCAGGCGTGGTGGTTCATGCCTGTAATCCCAGTATTTTTGGAGGCCCAGTATTTTGGATCACTTGAGGTCAGGAGTTTGAGATCAGCCTGGCCAACATGGTGAAACCTCATCTACAAAAATACAAAAATTAGCCGGGCATGGTGGAGGGCACCTTTAATCCCAGCTGCTCGGGAGGCTGAGGCAGGAGAATGACTTGAACCTGGGAGGCAGAGGTTGCAGAAGGTAAAAAATTAATATATGATGTAAAACCTCCAGTGGGTTCTGGTGCAATATCTTGCAATTAAGCATATTAATATTTTTGTAGTAAAACATCTGAATATCGATAACAAGTGGCCTAAAGACTAGCCACACACAATTTCAGATCAGCATGTGCTAAGTGCATTTACTCAAATTTACCCTAAAATGTTTAGTTTTCAATTAAAGACAATTCACAAACTATAGGGAAACAATATTTGAAATACATGTATCTGACAAAGGGTTCATTTCTAAAATATATAAAGAACTCTAACAAATCAATAATTTTAAAAATGGGCAAAAAAGAAAGCAAGCCACTTCACAAAACAGAATATACAGATAGCCAGTGAGCAAATATAAAAGCACTCAACATCATTAATCATCAGTAAACACAAATTAAAACCATGATGTGACGCCATTTCACATCCATTAGAAGGCCCCACGTCTGAAACATCAAGACTGATCATGCTAAATGTTGGTGAGGATGAGTGATCAGAACACTCATACTCTGCTGGTGAGAGTACAAAATGACATAACCACTTCAGAGAATTATTTTGCACTTCCTTATTAATCTAAATATCTACTCTATGACCCAGTAATTTCATTCCTCGGTATGTACCCAAGAAAAATAAAAATATATACCAACCGAAAGACTTAGACAAGGATGGCTGTAGCAGCCTTACTCCTAATAACCAACAATTGAAAGCAATCCAAATTTCATCGACAGAAGGATATGCAAAGTATACTATGTTTATATAATAGAATGCCACTCAGAAAAAGAGGAATAGACTGCTGATACAATGTGGATGAATCTCAAAACTTTTTTGAATGAAAGAATTCAGACACAAAAACGAACATACTATACGATTGTTTACATGAAATCTAAGAACAGGTAAAACTAATCTGTGATGATAGTAATCAGAAGGTGATTCCTGGGAGCATTGTAGGAAAAGGGTAATTTAAGGAAACTATGAAGTGATGAAAATGGTTTATATCTTATTTTGAGTGGGAAATAACACGGGTGTATCCAGTTGTCAAAGCTCATCTAACTGAACACTTGGGATCTAGTATTTTACATAAATTCTACCTCAATCTCTTTAAAAAACCTATTTTCAGAGTTGTTTTTTCACTTTGGAATTGCAGGTAAAGGACTGTGGACCTGTATTAAATGCTTGCTTTTTGACAACTCTTCCCTCCAATGGAAGCAGTTAAACACATTCAGAGGAATTCTGCTGTTAAGGACTGTTGGCCTGAGGATTCAAATCTTGGTGATCGTTTAATTTTTCACAGACAAATCTCACACAGTCTGGCTTGATAAATCAAGGACGATTACTTCAAAGATAGAAAATGTAATTTTGCATTAAAAGCCTCAAAGTACAACCCAGGTTAATAAACCCAGTAGATAATATTTACATCTTAAAGAAAAGACTCCAAATTTTTTCTAGCCACCGCATCCCCTGTGTTCCAAATTGTTGTCTTGTTAATTTTCCAGCTGATGGGCAGAGTAAAACTGAGAGAGGAGACTTCATTTGTCTCCACTCGTTGTTGAGGGGTCCTCAGATGGGGCACCTGCTGTTTATTCACTCCTATTGGGTTTCAACATTCCAATCACATAGCAATGCTAGGACTTGAAGTTCCTTTCAGATTATATTCCATGTTGTACAATAAACCCTCAACTTCAACAGGAAAATTCTTTCCAGTTACCAGGTAGAGCACTGGCTACAATTAAGAATCTTTGGGGAATGACTTAATGAAGACATCCTAACCAGATGCTGCTCTCTTCATTAAATGAAGCTTTGAAAAGGATGAAGCACTTGAAAAGCTAGGATTATCTTTTACATGATTGTCTATGGCATACAAAACTACATTTGCATCTCTGCCTGTTTCTAGCCTAAAGAAAATTCAAAACAACTAACATTAAATCTTCAAATTGTGTTATATCTTCCTTCAATTAAAGTTCATTGAGAAAACTCTCCATATTTACTTTATATTGTTGTCTTTATTTGGTTGTGATCTACTGTGTGAATGGTAGAAAGCAAACAAAACTATGCACTTATGAAAAAATATATTACAAATTATGTTAATTATACAAGTCTTAAGACAATTCACTGTTTATTCCTGTAAGAGGCAGTGTGGAATAGAAGAAATGACACAAGTTTGGTAGCATGCCAATATGGATCGAAACAGCCATTTTTCTTAGCCATGGAACCACGGGCACTTTCTTGCTACTATTTAAGTCCTAGTTTCCTCATCAGTAAAGTGAGGATGATAATATTAGTTACTTCAGTAACTACTACAAAGAGTTACTGAAAGAATTAATGGAGATAATATTTGTAAATGTCTAGTAGAGCAGCCCCATATTTAACTTCTCTAGAAAATTACTGAGCACATTATTTCAATTTGCTTCAATTTTCTATCTGTAAAATGAGGGTAATGAAACCTTCCTTATAGGGTAAAATTAACATGTGTAAAACACTTAACTACTGGCCAATAAAAAGATACTAATATTAGTACTGTTTCTCTCCATTCCTCCCATTTATGATATGAACATTCTTATGTTACCTCTTGCCACTTCACTATTGGTGTGAATCTTTACCCATTATTGAGAATTAAACTCCAGAAATGCTCAAAGTTTGAATCAGTATTGCACTGACTGGCCCCTTAGTCTTCAGAACATAGGAACATGATAATAAAGCTGTTTGATTCAAGAAGCTCAGGGCATAACCAAAATGCAGCAAGATCTCTACAGGAAAGAGGGTATTTTTTTCCAGGAGAGGGTGGGGAAAGGATGAGGGCTGTGGAGGATCCTGAGAGTAAGGGATCACCTTAACTAAAAGAGAGTCATAGCACTTCTCTGGAGCAGAACTGCCTTTTCCTGATCCCCAATGCCTGAGAGAGTCCTTGGTACATACTATGTGTTCAAGTAATATAAGCTGAACTAAGTATCTTGTTCAAACTTCCCTGATCTGAAAAGAGCTTCCCTGAATCTCCCCAAAAGGCCTAAACATGCCTAAACACCAGCATATTTAGTGATTTGCATTAAGACTCTTAAAGGTAATTCATACACATTAATCAAGTAATTCTGCTTCTCATAATATACTCTAAGGAGAAAATCAGTTGTGAATGAAATTTGTTGTACAAGAATATTCAATGCAGATTTATAATAGTATAAAATTAAAAATAAAAATCCAACAAAAGGAAAGGAGTTACAAAAATTGTGTTAAATGCTTAACATGGAATTTTACAGAAATACCAATAATCATGTTTCCAAAGTTTACTTGATAACTGAAAAATATTTATAAAAACTATTAAGTGAAAAAGCACTTGTATATATACAGAGTTCGTTGTATAAAGAACATGACCAGTGTATTTTACCTCCAAAATAAATATGTACATAAATATATATACAATTTTACACACAAACATATAAGTATATAAAGACAGGAATAAATTATTCTAAAATGTGAATGGTGACTATCTCTGGCAAGGCCATGGAAAATTTTTATTTGTTTTTCTTTTAGTTTTATGTATTTTCTAATTTCCTATAATGACTTCATTTTACTTTTATAAATAAAAACATTTTAAATTGCAATCCATGTTGAAGAGCCAAAAAAACAAAAAATAGTAAATATAAAACCACTTTATAGAATGAAACTTTAGGCCTGGCTTTGCCCTTTTGTACCATGTAACCACAGACTAGTTCTCTACTGGTTTACAGTTTCCACTTCTGTATTTGTTAAGAACAATAATTCCTACTATTCAGTATTGTTGACAGGATTAGAAATAACACATGGAAAAAGTCTAGAATATTACAGTTGTTCGGTGAATGACAGGTATTCTCATTGTCATTTACATTCTGCCTTACATTATTTTAACTTGATTTTTGACATCTATATTAATAAAGTATAATCCCCATGAGGAAAGTGCTTATCTGTATTCCCCACAGCACCAGGTATAAAGTTTTATGAAGAGCAAGCTTTCAATTAAGCCCACAAAATTGTAGCAAAATAAAGAACTTGAAATAAACTTGAAAAATACTTCCAAAGGTGATCGTTATCTACAGCCACATAACATAATATAGGAAGGATCTCACATACAAAGTTGCAGGTACAGTCACTCATAGTGTTATCTCTTTCTCCAGTGAATTTTAGAATATGATTGATAATGCCGGCCTTGAATTCTTTCTCAAAACCAAACTTGAATAAGTGGCAAGTACTGTACAAAGCAAGCCAGTTCCATCTTTCAAAATATTTACAGTTTAAGACAGAGAAGTTTTAAAATTGGAAGAAAGCATTAAATGCAAATTATATTTAAGTTCTCTCTTCTAAAACCATAAAATACAAATTATTTAGTCTGTGAAAACTAAATGAGATTGTGTATATGGACACATTATAAGTGACATACATGCTATTACTACCAATGTTTTAAACATATATTCATATCACCCTGTATCTGTTCTTCATAACACTTACTGCTTGTATTTAAATATTGTATTAGAAGCCCCTAATCTGACCCTGTTCCAGGTTCATTGCATACCAAGCTCCACTTGGAGTCTGCTCCAGCACTCCGACTTTCATCCCTCCCTCAAACTTTCATGATCTCTCCTACCACAAGGAACGGCCAACATTGTTTTCAGTGCCTCAAATGCTCTTTCCTCTGCCCTTTGTCTTCTTAACTCTTCATTTCTCTGCTCTCGGTTCTTGTGTCACTCTTCAAACAAGTCTTCCTGATTATCTCCAACCTAATGGAATCTGTCTTCCATTAGCAATGCACCAAGTACCTCTCCTTCATTGGCATGGCCAAAGTTATACTTTTTACTAAGCGATGCCTATTAGGCACTCAACAAACAACTGCAAGAATAATAAATAATATCTTTATGGGCCTATGACAAACTGGACTTGGGATCAAGAACAAGATTCAAGTTCTGGCTGACTCAGGTACCTCTCCATTTAGCACTATGCTATGTTGTCAGCTATATAACCTTGGAAAAATTATTGAGCTTCCCTTTCTTGTTTTTGGTTATATCAGGAACTATTTTGAAGTGGCTTAAGCCAAGCCAAATCTATTGGCTCAAGTAACTGGAAAGAGAATGTCCTCACACTCCAATCTCCCATATCTAACCCATAATAGCATCTATTTCTATAGACTGCCTTCTTTCCTATTACTATCAATGAACTCTATTTTCCCGTTAAGTCTTCCTCCACTAGCACCCTTGATTCCATCCTTCTCTCCCCTATTCAACAAACTTGATCCAGCAATTCTTCCATGTCCTTACCTATCATCATTTTTTTTTCTTTCTTGTGGATCATTCCCACTGCCATACAAATATGCTATGATTTCTCCTATCTTAAAGAATAAAATACTTCAAAAAAATTAATCTATGTCCCCAGTGAAATACTGCCTTATTTGCTCCCCTTTGCAGCAAAAAATTCTCTTAAAAAAAAAGCTGTCTGTGCTCACTGTCTGCCACTTTCCTCCCCCAATCTCTTGGGTGCACTCCAGGCAAGCTTTTGCTCCAGTTAATTCACTGAAACTACCTCTTTGATACTTCTCCTGGCAAGGTCATCAGTAGACCCAGGCTGACCCACTTGACATAGTTAACCATTCCTTCCTTCTTGATCTACTTTATTCTCTTGTCTGCCAGAGCACCACCCTCTGCTGGTTTCTCCCCAGCTTTATAGTTCACCCCACTCATCCACTGTCATATAATCAAATGCCTTCTGTATATGCTGATGAAACCCAAATTTATCTCTCTTAGATTCATTTTCCTATTTCCAGGCTCATATATTTAATTCTTTACCATCATATCTGCTCAGAGGACTAACAGCTGTCTTAAACTCAACATGTCCCAAACTGAACTCCTGCTCCACCTACTGCCTTCCCCACCTCAGCTGATAGTGATGACATTTGTCAGTTGCTCAGGGTAAAAAAACTTGATGTCATCATTGATCCTTCTCTTTTGGTCATAATACTATCCAATCCCTCAGGAAATCTTGTTGGCCTGCATTTAAATCCATAATCCAGTCATTTCTCACATCCTTGTTCAAGTCGCCAGTAATTATCTCTCCCATGAATTATTAAAATAGCCTCCTTATCAGTTTTCCTATTTCTATTGTTGACCAATCTGATAGTATTTTTCAACAAATCCCTTAAATGTATAAATCAGATTATTTCACTTTTCTGCTCAAACCTGACGATGGTTCCACATTTTACAAAGATAAAAACAAAAATTCTTAAAACAGCTACACAGCCCCACATAATCTGGACCTACTTCCTTTTACCTCTCTGATCTTATCCCCTTCAACACTTCCCTCAAATAGATTCTGCCACACTGACCACCTGTCACTAGTATATACCTGGCACACTCTTACTGAAGGTCAATGCACTTGCTGTTTCATCTCCCTGGATCACGCTTCTTCCAGATACTCCTTTGCCATACTCCCTTACTTTTTTCAAATATTTGTTCAAAATGCCTACCTTGATTCTCTTATTTAAATTGAAACCTACCTACCTCCCTTCTCCCAGCATTGCCAATTTATTTTCTTACCCTATGCAATTCCCCCTACTCCATGAGATTTATCATTCTCTTACATACTGTGCAATTTACTTAAATATTTTGTTTATTGTCTGCCTTTCCCTATTAGAATGTAAGTTCACAAAGCAAACATTTTCAACTGTTTTGGATCCCCAAAACCTAGAAAACCCCCAAAACCTAGAATCCCCAAAACCTAGAAATCCCCAAAACAGTGCCTAGCATTTGACTTGTCAGGCACTCAGTATCTATTGGATGAACGGGGATATTAGAGGTGGAATGGGCCTCAGGAACAACTGGTTTCAGAAATAGTACCATGTCATCTGTCCAGACTTTCTGCATTCATCATCTCTGTTTTGTTTTCTGTGTCTTTAGCCTCTTTCTCTCCCACTACAGGTGAATTTCTTCTGCAGTATGCGGGGGTGTGAGATGGGGATGAGGCCACAGAGAGCCTCATATTTATAATGTCCCAACTAAAAGTAAAGAGATAACTTTTCTCTTTTATAGTCAAAAAATCAAATTTCAGGGAAGGACTCTGACTCACCTGGTCAATGGGTGAAATAATTAGCCAAATCTGGGTCACAGAACCACTCTTGTTAGGAGTAGAATCTTGTAACTGACTGCCTTATGCATGGGCTAAGTGACATTTCCAAAATGTAGCAGAATATTACAAATCTAATGGGCTGGAAGTATCAAAAGAGGATAGCTACATTTTCTTATTTCTCTAATTTTTTTTCTTTTCTATTATCCTTTTCTTAATTCTAGTTTGTTCTCTTTAGTAGTAGGGCATATGTTGTTTGTTAAAACCCATGTCTCTAACTGCAATATTAAAAATCTGGAAAACATCACCCAAAGCCTTTAGATGCAGCAAAAAAAAAAAAAAAAAAGGAGTGTGAAGTTGAAAACTGAAGAGAAAATTACCCATGAAAACGTTTATTGGTGGTGCATGCCTAGTAAATTCTTCATGACAATCACAAAATAACTTACCTATGAGTCATATTTAGCATGTACAAAATATATGCACATATTAATGATCATACATCCTTTCAAGATAAGTGATTATTAACCACAGTTTACAGATGACACATCTGAGGGATAAAATATTTATTGTCACAGTGTCACAAAGCAATGAAATAATGGATCCTAGATTCAAGTTTTGGTCCTTTGAATACAGATGTCATGAACTTCTTACTATACACCACCACTTGCTCATAAAAATTTTACTAGCAAGTAACATATCATCTATCACGTTAAAGTTTTCACAATGGCCACATACTTACCCAGCACCCAATTGGCACCATCAAGAATAGACAACTATAGAATTCTCTCCATGCCAGACTGAGTCCAGTCCTTGGCAAGATGACCAAATGTATGCTTTTATTCCTTCTAGTATCTATATGGGAGATACTGATGTGCTAGAAATGAATGGGTATTCTACACTTTCCATCCAATCTTCAAGATCAGTATCCCTAGAAAATGTTTTACCTACTATGCCTGAATCAGTCCAAAATTTATTAAGAAATGAAAATTCTTTCAAAGGTTAAGTAAGGATGGGAATGTTCCGTCATCCTGTCCTATTTTTGTCCTCTCGGCTGCAATGATTCATCATAGTTTTAGGAAAGTGTTTCATGAGAGGTTTTATAAACAGATTCATACTGGCTTGGTGTATGAATGAACACCTCCCACTGATTCTGGGTGAGAAAACAAATTTTATACAAAATTATGTACTAGTTTCTAGCTAATGCTTCCCCTTCCTACACAACAGTGAAAATATAGTCACTAAGGTGCTAGAAGAAGTATAAGATAGTGATTAGAAACATGGATCCAAAGGTCAGAACACCCCGGTACAAATTTCAGTTCTGTCACTTGCTATCTGTACAATTTTGGACAACTACTTTTCTTGCCACCTCCCCTTTCTTTTTAATTTTTTATTTCCATAGGTTTTTGGGGAACAGGTGGTATTTGGTTACGTAAGTAAGTTCTTTAGTGGTGATTTGTGAGATTTTGGTGACCCATCACCTAAGCAGTATACACTGAACCCAATTTGTAGTCTTTTATCCCTCGCCTCCCTCCTACCCTTTCCCCTGAGTTCCCAGAGTCTGTTGTACCATTCTTATGCCTTTGCATCCTCATAGCTTAGCTCCCACTTATGAGTGTCTTTAAAAACGGGACTGGTAATAGATCCTATTTCATAGGATTGCTGTGAGTACTCAAAGAATTCTATAAAAAGCACTTAGAACAGCGCCAGGAAAACTATAAATGTTATATAAGACTGTTGCTACCATTTTATCTAACTTGTCATTTTACAGGTGAGGAAACTGAGGCAAAACTTGTATAATTCATCCAAGGTCATAAATCTAGTGTATAAACATCTGACACCTCGTTATCCATTTGCTTTTATACACACTATTTTGTCTTTTATATCCTGTCTTTTAATACATGGAAAAATTTCCATTCATTAAGCGTAAATGTTAAAAACAAACTGTATATTACATGAGAACCAACGTGGCTGCCTTGAAGACCTACAATACTTTTGGTAGTAAATAGTTCCAGGTGTGTAACTGAAGGACTCTGAGAATGATGCACAAGCCAAGTCATATTTTAAAACTCATTTAGACATCTTGATGAGGGCAATGAGGGACATGTCTTGTTTTTCTGGGATTATGATTTCATTGCTTTGCATGAGTAAAGACCTATTTCTTTCCTTTTCACTTCAGTTAATTTGCTCTGCAAATAGGCATCAACAGAGATATACTTAATAAAGTGTGAAACATAAAAATGGAAAACTTCCTATTTGTTTCAACCAAATATATGGGAGAGAAACAGTGCACTCACTAGCGTTGGCCATGCATTCGTCAAGGTGCAGTGTCAAAGTCAATGTGTGTTACAGTGAAGGATGTTGCATTCAAAGGATGGCCTTGCTATATAAAGCAGGACATATGAAAGCCCAATATACCATCTAGGCTATGAATTACCTTTCCCTTTTCTATTTGCCACCTCCTTCCCTTTTATTTTTAATGATAATGAAATTGAATTAGGTATTACATGTCAACCTGAGCCATGTGTCTTCAGTGTCCTTGCATTTATCATCAAATACAGTGCATGCCACCTCAGTACACACTTCCAGGCTGGGCTGCTTTCCTGTCTGGTCCAACGCACAAGGACAGAGCAGACATATCAGAGATTGACAATAAGGCACACTGATGTAATGTATATAATGTGTCACATTGACAAGTCACCCCAGGAAACACTAAAGGGCCCAGCCAACACTGTTTTTATTATAGCAATGCTTTTTTTTAGAAGAAATCTATGTTAAGACAGATTGATTTGTAGATAATTTGAAGGTAAAATAGTTGCTATCACTTCTGAAGAGATGCCAATACTTAGTCCTATTCTCAAATATTTAGTTATGTATCTAATATATAGTTCATCTTAGAATACTGGCTTAGTCTATCTTAGAACAGTGAATAAATTATATGATGGAATGTAAACAATCATTAGTTAAGAAAGTTGTCCTGAATATCTGTAGCCTAAGAACACAGTGGAATTGACCAAAATATTCTTTAGCAACATGTAATCTCTACCTTCATTTTTGTATTCATTCATCTATTCATCAAGGTTTTCTTTAGACTTCTTTGTCACAATGTGAAGCAGTAGGGATACATTGTCCATCATTCTACCCATGGGGCTCAATGACTAGTGAAGGGAGTAAATATATTCAGATAATTTCAGTGTACACACCTTGGAATGTAGTGAGTTCAAAGCACATCTCTGAATGACTGGCCAGCTATGAATTATTAACACAGCTTATGTTTTATATAATATAGGTATAAATACAGTACTGAGGGAGGAAAGACTACCTCTGCCTCCAGGAGCATGAGTTGTGAGAGGAAAAAACATACGCAATGGGTCTTGAAGGATTATAAGAGAGTCAAAAGGAGAATATGGAAGAGGGGCATTTTAAACACAGGGATTAGCCTGCGCAAAGGCACAAAAGCCCAAGAAGGTGTGACATGCTTGGGGCCGAGTTATAAACTCAAGTGTTGTATATCTGCTCATATCGTGGTTAAAGTTAGGAAAAAACACAGCCAAAAGGATAGACTCGAGTCGAATTTTATTCCATGCAAAACCCTTTTTACTTTATCTTATGGTCATTACAGGATCACCAAAAAGTTGAAGCAAGACTGTGATGTGGCATTTTGGGGAAAGGTAACTGGTGACAGTATAAAGTCTAAACTGAACCAGTGATGGCATAGTATCAGGAAGCCATTTACAAGACAAATGCAAAAGATGCTCCAAGCCAAAAAGGGTCAAAGTCCAAAAGGAGCAAAGCAGGGCAAATGGAACACAGAGCTGAATTTACAGTGGAAAAAAATCTCCTGTTCCCCCAAACACATTTCGCTCTTTCAACTGAAAACATCATTATAATAGCGAATTGCCTCGTTAAACCAGTCTTTGTTTAGGGATAGAGAAAAAACAGACACAGTTAGAAAGACTGAATGTGAGGAGATTTTGGGTAATAGTATTAACCCCGGAAGCAGGAAGCAATAGCATCTGATGGAGTGATATGACGAGATATGTGAATTAGACATTTTAAAACAATGTAGTAAAACTAGGGGGAATGTTAGCAATAACATTCTCATATTTCCAAAATACTTAGTAACAAACATGATTGGTGGTGGGGTGGAGGGATAACAAGCTTCTGAAGGCTCTGAAAATTGACTAAGGCTAGGCAATATGTTTTTCTTTGGTTACGGCAAGATTAGAGCAGATCTCACATTCAAACAAGACACGTAGAAGGAGAAACACCCAAAGGGTACCCAATGGCCAGATGTCACCATTAAGTCATTGAGGCAAAGCAGGCAATGACAGGAAAAAGAAGGACTGAAGGAGCCTGCTGTCAGATTTAGAGCTGGTTGTCAGTAGCTTGTCATGGATTAGCTAGGCACTGTTGGCCCAACAGCCATGGTAAATTGAAGTCAGTGCATATCCATAAATCTTGCCTTCATCTACAACATACAGCATCCTCTGCTTCTCAGACCCTTTCAGTTGCTTATGGGTCATAATCAAACTGAAAGGCATTCACTGTAAAAGTGGTTGTGGTGAGTTGAATGGTAGTCCTCCAACAGATATATCCACCCAGAACCTGTGAATGATGTGAGCTTATTTGAAAAAAAAAAAAAAAGGCCTTTCCACATGTACTTGAGATAAGGATCTCAAGATAGGATCATGCTGGATTAAAGTGGGTACTAAATCCAACGACAGTTGTCCTTAGAAGAGAGGAGAAGAGGAGTAGACACACAGTGAAAGGACCCTCTGAAACCAGAGTCAAATATCCAAGTGATGCATTTACAAGGCAAGGAACGTCAACAACTGCAGGCAACCACCAGAAGCTAGGAGAGAGGCTTGGAACAGATTCTTCCCAAGAGCCTCTAGAAAAACAACAGCAACAACAACTTGATTTTGGATTTATGGTCTCTAGAACTATAAGCTAATAAATTTCTGTTGCCTTAAGCCACCCACTTTGAGGTAATTTTTTACAACACAGAAAACTAATATAATGGCCTTATTCTAATGTTGGAGTTAGCAGTTCCCAGTTGGGCAGTCATAGACATGTTATGCATTTGGGGTGTTCAGATTTGAATCTACCTGACTTGCTCTAAAACACAACTGCAGATTTTAGTTTGAGGACACAATTAAAAGATTCAAATAGCAGATGGATATTTTAAATGTCACCCTAAAAAACTGCTTTTAGGCTGGGCCCGGTGGCTCACGCCTGTAATCCCAGCACTTCGGGAGGCCAAGACGGGCGGATTACCTGAGGTCAGGAGTTGGAGACCAGCCTGGCCAACATGGTGAAACCCTGTCTCTACTAAAAAAACAAAAATTAGCTGGGCATGGTGGCATGCGCCTGTAATCCCAGCTACTCAGGAGGCTGAGGCAGGAGAACTGCTTGAGCCTGGGAGGCGGAGGTTGCAGTGAGCCAAGATGGTGCCACTGCACTCCAGCCTAGCCAACAGAGTGAGATTCTGTCTCAAAAAACAAACAAACAAACAAACAAAAAAACCCCTGCTTTTATATAGACATTAGAAAATGCTGCCAGGGGTCCCTTTTTATTTCTTAGAAGTTCTGGTTGAACTAACATTCAGTGTCTAGGGAAGGAGAGACAGAAATGGGAATAAACTCTTATTCCCATCAGTGCCTGAGCTAGCCACCACAAACCCCTTCTATGACAAGGTTGCCCTCAATTTTACTCTTACATCTATAATGACTCTCATTACCCTTTCCACTTGTGACATTCCTATTTGCCACTAATTGACCAAATTAATCAGTGGGACAGGAAATAATCGCTCACTAGCTGTCAAGCAAACCTTGTCACTTTGTGACTTCCAAGGGCTCGAAGCCATTCAATTCAATTAGCTTCAGTGTTTTACACCCAGCACTCTACAGCCATTTGCAAAATTCCTTTATGTTTTGTTCTTTTTTCCCGCAACAGACAATAACACATCTTTAATAAATATACTAAAAATAGACACAAGAACCGACCATGGTGAAAGCGCTGCTTTTGAAGGATTCAACATCCTCTGCTTTAAAATTATCCACTATAAAAGTTATATCCTTTCTGAGTGCCCTTTTAATGTCTGGAGGAAAAACCAGATTTTCTGGTTGTCCAAAAAGATCAGTAGCTAATTACAGCTAATAGCAGTCAACTTTCACCTCTCCATGCTAATGGAGGGAAGCACTGATGCGGGCAATCCCCAAATGGCAACTCTTCCATTAAATTTCAGCAAGTAAAAACACAAAAACATTTATACCTCAAGGTTGTTCCCTTAGTTCTTTAAGAAGATGCCTGATAAGTCAGAGGTTGTCTTCTAGATTGTCTAAAGGTAATATAGATATGTTCCTACCACTCCTTGTACTTCACATTGCAACTGTACTTAACACCAAAATTAAAATGTAATACACATCCCTTAGCAGGCACTAGCTGAGAAATGAATGGAAGGAACCCAGAGTGCTGATGTCACCAGGTCATAAAGCCTGTAATCCAAACTTGGATTACCAGTAGTAATCAATAAAAACAATAACAACTCCCATTACTGAGTACGTGTTACATGCCAAGTATATTACCTGCATTAGTATCTATAATCATGGTAACAATCCTGCAAGGTATGATCTTTCTCATTTTATCAACAGGGAACTCAGACTCAGAGCAGGTATGTGACCAACTTTGTGTTACCCAAATAGCAAATGACCTAATATCTTACTCCATTCAGGCTGTTACAACAATATACCATATACCGAGTGGCTTATAAACAAGGGACATTTATTTCTCAATTTCTCACAGTTCTTAGAGGCTGAAAAAGTTCAAGATCAACGTGCTGGTAAATTTGGTGTCCGGTGAGGGACCATTTCCTGTTTCATAGATGGTGCCTTCCTACCGTGCCTTCACATGCTGGAAGGGGTAAATGAACTCCCTTGGGCCATTTTTACAAGGGCAATGATACCATTCATGAAGATTCCACCCTCGTAATATATTCACCTGTCAATAGCTCCATCTCCCAATACCATCACATTGGAGGTTAAGATTTCAACATATGAATTTAAGGGGACAAAAACATTCAGACCATAGCACTGAGGTTATATTCAAATATAATTTTACTCTAAGGTTTAGATTAAGCTCTTTCACAAGGCTGTTTAGATAAAAAGAATGGATGTGTACTCATCATTTTAAAATTTCCCTGTTGCAATCACAGCTGTCGGTTGCATGGACTAGTTCTATGGCTTGGATGTTGAACCCCTCCAAACTTCATGCTGAAATTTGATCCCCAATGTTGGAGGTGGGGCCTATTGGGAGGTGTTTGGGTCATGGGATCAGATCCTTCATGAATAGATTAATGCCCTGGTAGGGGGTGGTGAGTAAGTTGTTGCTCTGTTAGTTCCCTAGAACTGGTTGTTAAAAAGAACCTGGTACCTCCTCCCTCTCTCTCTCTCTCTCTCTCTCTCTCTCACTCTCTCTCTCTCTCTCTCTCTCTCGCTTCCTCTCTTGCTGTCATTGCTACATGCTCTGGCTCCCCCTTTATCTTCTGTTATGAGTAGAAGCTACTGGAGGCCTTCACCAAATGCAGATGCTGGAGTTATGCTTCATGTAAAGCCTGTAAAACAGCTAGCCAATAAACCTCTGTTCTTTATAAATTATCTACCCTCAGCTATTCCTTTACAGCAACACAAACAAAGATAACTAGTTAGGTCACTTTACAAAATTAGGTGCTTAACTAATAAAAATATCCTAACATCTCTCTAAAGGACAGAAATTATTGTATGACACATGGCACTTGAGGTTTAGTTACTGAAATGTAAAAGAACCTAGTTAAAGGTTGTTTTATTTAGAAGGCAACTGCTGACAGGAAGAGATCTTGAAACACCTAGGATGTCATGGCTCTGGTGTCATAATATGGCTCCTACATCAAACTTACCCACTGCCAGGTTGAGTTCTAAATCAAAATTCCCATCAGACAAGTTTAATTAATGTCTTCTTATTTTGTAAATAATTATTCTCTAGAAATAAACTTTTAAAATGAGTTTAAAAATTTACATTCTAGGGGAAAAAATAAAGAAAAATTATACTTCTGCAAAATGAAAATTATGATAAAGACATATTATGAATTTTTAATATTCCTCAATAAGCTCATTATCCTTGAACAATATTGACACAACTAATAGTTTAATTCTATGATGGTGGTAATTTGATTATTATGAGTAAAGTCCATTCTGATCCCCGTAAAGACTGAGCCAGAAACTATGCTAAGTGCTGTAATTCAGAAATAATAGTCGGTGACCACATTCCAATGGAAGAGACATACATATACACAAATAATTATATCCAAAGTATAGTTACTGTTGGCAGCACCGCCATTCACAATGTTTCCAACAACAGAAATCTGGAGTCATTCTTGACTCTTCACTCTCTGAAACCTCTACTTTCAGGCCTTCTGAAGGTATTGATAGCTTTACTTCATAAATTTTTTAAAAAATTTATCACCTCCTCTCCATCCTCACTCTTGTTCCCTTTGGCCACACTCTCATTATCTCTCACCCAGACTTCTGTAACAGTTTTCTGTCCAATATTTCTATCTGTTACATTACTTTTCTCCATAGAATTATGTCTAAAATGAAAATCTATGTGATCCTCATGCTTCCAGCTAGTTATGAATGTCTTTGTGATAAGACATTCAGATGAAAAGAAGTTCAAATGCTGGACCTTTTCATGCAACACATGTGTGATCTTGGGCATTGCTTATACTCTTTAAGCCTAGTTTCTAATATTTAAACTGTTGCTATCTTATCGATCTCAGAGATAAATGAGAAAAATGTAAATAAAACACAAGGCTTATATCAATCACTCAATAAAGATCAAATCATAATCATCATTTTAAGCTCTTTAGCTTTCCATGCACATGCCCTTCATGGCCAGGCCTTCACCTAACTCTACATCCTTATCTCCAGCATCTCTTTGCCTTACACTTTATGCTTTAGCAACACAGAAATATCTATAGTCACCTAAAAATGCCACCATGGCTTTGCCTAGTCTAATGGCTCAGCTTGGAATGCTGATTCCTCTTGAAAGAGCCATCATCAGAGAATTACCTCACCTGAAGTGACAATCTTCCTGAAGCAACCCATATTCTGTGCCAAAACTATGTGGGAGTATAAAGACCCTGACCTTTTGGCCCAATGCAAAACAGCTCTAATAAGTAATACTCCGGAATTCCAAACCAGGGTGTTGAAGCTTTGTTGGGTCCACATTTACTCTCACAGATATAGATCCTTAATAACCATCTTGCAACCCAAACTGTCTCAGCATCTTTTCCAGAGAGCCCACCTGGGATGTTTGGTACTAAAAGTGGAATTTAGGGCCTGGATCCTTCACCACATAGATAACAATGAGTTCCCCAACTCTGGTGGTAAGTAAAACACCAGACAGCCCCTAACACAAGTGATGGTCCAGTTGTTAAAACTGAAGGTGAATTGGGCTGGTGTATTAGTGGAAAGGAGGTGAGATGGTTTCCACATATCTCCATTTAAATCACTAGTCTGGGCACTGCAGAAACCAATTGCTATAGACTAGAGCTCAGCAAACTTTTTTTTTAAAGGGCTAATTATAAATATTTTTTGACTTTGTGGACCAAGAGGCAGCACTGAAGATATGTAAGTACTTATATAAACATTTAAAATATAACCATTTAAAAAAGGAAAACCATTCTCAGCTTGCAGGCCATAAAGAAAACTCTTGGGTGACCAGATTTGGCCTGTGAGCCATAGTTTGCCAACCCCTGCTCTAAACTGCTGCAATCAAGTAGAACAAGTAGATGAGTGGGACCAAAGAAGGATGTGAATACCAGGAAGTAAGAATCACTGGGAACCAAATGAGGTGCTGACTACCACACTGAAAATGCTCAAAAGCAGTACTTTAATGCAGCATATAAGGAATTTACATAGAAATATCTTTAGAAAGGCTGACATCATGTTAACTCTAAATATATATTATTTAACTTGACATTTATTATCACGAGATTTTTAACTATTAACAAAACATATAGCATAATTAGAACCTGCATCATTTTAAATTTTGGTTAATGTTTCACATCTTTCCTCTGTAATCCATAGGCCCTGAAGGATTTATAGTATTTTAATGTTTCCTTTTTAAAACAATAACTCATTACTCATTCATTACCCAGCCAACATGGCTGCAAATCAACCATCACTAAGTCCTTTTTTAATTTACATACAATAAAATTCACTTTGTATTTTTTATGTACTGTTTTATGAATCCTTAGAAAGGCAAAGATTTGTGGAACCACCACAACAATCTGGATGTAGAAGAGGTTTCTCACCTCCAAATTCCCCTGTGCTGTTCATTTGTAAAGAAATTAATTAATTAATTTAATTAAAGCCACCCTTAACTTCTAGTTATTAGCAATGAGTGATTTATTTGCAGTCTCTATAGGTTTGCCTTATGTGGTATGTCATTCAAATGGAATCATACCATATGAATTATAGCTTGAATTGTAGCTCCTGTAATTCCCATGTGTTGTGTGAGGAACCTGGTGGGAGATAACTGAATCATGGGGGTGTTTTCCCCCATACTGTCCTCATGGTAGTGAATAAGTCTCACAAGAGCTGATGATCTGATGGTTTTATAAGGGGAAACCCCTTTCACTTGGCTCTCATTCTGTCTGTTGCCTGCTGCCATGTAAGACATGCCTTTCACTTCTGCCATGATTGTGAGATCTCCCCAACCACGTGGAACTGTGAGTCCACTAAATCTCCTTTTCTTTATAAATTACCCAGTCTTGGTTATGTCTTTATCAGCATCATGAAAACAAACTAATACAATAAATTGGTACTGGTAGAGTGGGGTATTGCTGTAAAGATACCTGAAACTGTGGAAGCGACTTTGGAACTGGGTTGGAACAATTTGGAGGGCTCAGAAGACAGGAAAATGTGGGAAACTTTGGAACTTCCTAGAGACTTGTTGAATGGCTTTGACTAAAATTTTGCTGATAATAATATGGACAATGAAATCCAGGCTGAAGTGATCTCAGATGGAGATGAGAAACTTGTTAGGAACTGGAGCAAAAGTGGCTCTTGTTATTTTTTAGCAAACACATTGGTGGCATTTTGCCCCTGCCCTAGAGATCTGTGGAACTTTAAACTTGAGAGAGATGATTTAGGGTATCTGGCAGAAGAAATGTCTAAACAGCAAAACATTCAACAGGTAACTTGGTTGCTGTTAAAGGCATTCAGTTTTAAAAGGAAAACAGAGCATAAAAGTTTCAAAAATTTGCATGACAATGCGATAGAAATGAAAATCCCATTTTCTAAGGAGAAATTCAAGCTAGCTGCATAATTTGCATAAGTAATGAAGAGCTGAATGTTAATCCCCAAGACAACGGGGAAAATGTCTCCAGGGCATGTCAGAAGTCTTCACAGCAGCCCCTCCCATGGCAGGCCTGGAGGCCTAGGAGGAAAAAATGGTTTTGTGGGCTGGGCCCAGGGTCCCTGTGCTGTGTGCAGCCTAGGAACTTGGTCCCCTGCATTCCAGTCACTCCAGTCATGGCTAAAAGGGGCCAACATAGAGCTCAGGCCGTGCCCTCTTTTTCATTATAAATTACCCAGTCTCGGTTATGTCTTTATCAGCATCATGAAAACTAATACAATATGTAATCTTTCACTGATTTCTTTTACTTAGCATAATATATTTGAGATTCATCCATGTTGTTCTATGTATCAGTAGTTAACTGTAACCTTATATTTCATTGTATAAATGTACAATAGCTCTGCTAATAATTGATCAGTCAAAGGACATCAAAGTTATTTCCAGTTTGGGGCAATTATAAATAATGCTGTTACAAACATTCAGGGTCTTGTGTGAACATAAATTTTCCTACCTCTAGCAAAAGACCTAGGAGTGAGATTGCTAAATCATATAGTAAGAGTATATTTGACTTTATTTTTAAAACTACCAAACTGTTTTCCAGAGTGCCTATACCATTCTGCATTTCCACCAGGAAGGTATGAGACTTCTAGTTTCCCAGTTTGATTTCCAGCCCTTTTTTAAAGCTATGCAAGTAGGTGCTTAGCATTATCATGTTCATGTTTTCACTGATATTTCCCTACTGAAGTTGAGCATCTCTTTATGTGCTTATTTGTCAACTCTGTATCTGCTGTAGTGAAATGTCTTTATCAAAACTTTTATCTATTTTTAAATTGGATTAGGATTATTTCTATATTCTAAACAAAAATTATTTGTCAAATATATTATTTATGAATGTGTGACTAACGTATTTTTCATTCTCTTGTCAGTGTTTTTCAAAGAGCAATAGATTTTAGTTTTGATGAACTCCAATTTATCAATTTGCTTTTTTATTAATCCAAGGGCACCAAAATTTTATCCTATATTTTCTTATAAACTTTTTAATACTTTTTAGTTCTACATTTAGGTCTCTAATGCACTTTGAGTTAATTTTTGCATAAGGCATGAGATTCATTTTTTCGTTGTGTATGTATGTCCAATTGTACCAGTATTATTTGTTGAAGAGACTATTCTCTCTTCTTTGTTGTGCCTTCACACTTTTCTCAAAAATTAATTGACCATATTTGTGTAGGTCTATTTCTGGACTCTCTATTCGGTTCCAAAGATTTATGTGTCTAGCCTTTCAAAAATACCACATTATCTTGAATACTTTAGATTTTTAGTAAGCCAAAATCAAGTAGTATTTCTGGGAAATTGCCTTAATTCTTCTCATAGATATGCAAATAAATAGATACAACCCGTGAAAAAAAAAACTGTGTTTAAAGACACAAACTTTCTTCAGCATTTCCTATAGTGTAAGTCTGCTTGTCACAGATTCTTTCATGTTTTGCATTCTTTTGCTTTTGCTTTTGACATCTTTTTTTGGTGGACATAGAATGCCAGGTTGATAATTATTTTTCTTTTGGTACTTTAAAAATTCTACTTGATTGCTTCAAGTGTGCACTGTTTCTAATGAGAAATCTGCTGTCATCTTTTTTTATTCCTCTTAATTTTTCTTTTTCTGACTGATTCTAAGATTTTCTCTGTATCACTGCACAATTGGGGAAAGTTGATTATTATTTACTCTGAAGTAGTTGTCTTCACGGTTTTATTCTCCTGTTTGCTTGGGGCTAGTTGGGTTGGTGGATTTATAGGTTTTATCAAATTTGGGGAAAATATAGCCATTATTTTTCCATAAGATGCTTCTAAAGGAAATGAGTAAAAGAGGAAGTTTCAGGGCAAAAAATATTTGTAACTAAATGAAAATAAAAATAAGATAACAGAACTTGTGGAATGCCACTAAAGTACTTAGTGAAAAATTTATATCATTAGATGCCTTTATTAGAAAAGAAAAAAGATCTCAGTGAACTCAACTTTTATATTTAAAAATTTTAAAAGACAGCAATTTAAACATAAAGGAAGTAGAAGGAAAGAAGTAAATAATGATGAAGATCAAAATGGAAATCAATGAAATTTAAGAAAAAAAGAATAGAGAAAATAGAGAAAAAAGCTGTCCTTTCAGAAGATCAATAATACTGATAAATCTCCCAAATAGGAAGAAAAAAGAGAAAATATATAAATTTATAATATCAGCATGAGAAGAGATATACAGATTCTACAGGTATTGAAATGTTCATAAGGAAATTTATGAACAATTTTATGCAAATAAATTTTGCAACTTACATAAAATAGACAAATACTTTGAAAGACACAAACTATCAAAGCTCACTCAAGGAGAAACAGATAACCTGAAAGGTCCCATAGCTATTAAGATTAACTGAACTTATAATTAAAAATATTTTCACAAAGAAAACTTTAGGTCCAAATGGCTTCATTGATAAAATCTATGAAATATCTAAGGAAAACGCAATACCAATTCTACATAAACTCTTTCAGAAAACTGAAGAGTAGCATCTATGTTTCAAATTGCTGTAAGAGCACAGCATTATCCTGTTACTAAAGCCAGAAAAGATAGTATAAGACGTTAAAACTACAAACCAATATCTCTAAAGGACCTAAGTTGCACCAATTCCTCACAAAATTTTAGGAAATTGACTTCAAGAATATGTAAAAAGAATAATAAATTATGATCAAGTGAGATTTATTCCAGGAATTCAAGGTTAGTTTAATATATTAAAAAATCAGCCAAGGTAATGCACAATGTTAACATATTAGAAAAGAAAAGGAAAAAAACATGATCATTCCAGTAGACACAGAAAAAGATTTGGCAAAATCCAACATACATTCTTGATTTTTTAAAAATGTCTCTGCAAAGTAGAAATAGAAGACAACTTTCTCAACATGATGAAAACATGTATAACAGCACATATTCAAGGATTACTCAGATCAGAGAATTATGAGATGCCAGGGAAATGAAGTATATTCATATATTATCCAGATAATACCACACAAATAGAATACACTTTATGGTACAGCAAAGTAGTATAGTAGATAGTGCTCATTTAAAATTAGAAGAGAAATTGCTTTTATTTTTCCCCAAGATGGCAGATTAGAGATTTTTGCATGCCTCAGCCACTCGGAAAGAGAAAGATGTGCATAAAGATCAGTTATGTGAGCTTTAATTAGAAAAGAAAAATGGGAATCTACTGGATCCATGAATCTACCGGATCCATGAGATCTACTGGATCTCATCCCTGCGACACCGCAGATCCCATGGATGAGAATGGAGACAAACATTCCCTATGACAGCATCCAGCTGATAAAAGTAAGTAAAGTCCCAATATATGACAGAGGCAGAAAGCCTCCATCTGTAACTCTCCTTTCCTCTTGGGATCTGAGCAACCCAGGACAAAAAGAAAGGACTTTGTTTCTCCCAAGCCCTGGTGCTAAACTGCGAAGAGGTTTCAAAATGCTGAGAAGGAAAAGCTGCAGGGATTTCCCAGACCCAGGACCAAGAGCAGGACACTATTTTTAAATCTGGCCATCCACAAAGTCAGTCATTCTTTTGTGACCTGGCAGCATGGCAGCACAGGCATTTTAGTATCAGGCCAAAGACTAGAGTGCTTGCATTAGAGCAGGGTAGGGACCCCTAGAGCCAGAATTTTGAATAAAGAACAAAGTGGAAATCAATGAAATTTAAGAAAAAAAGAGTAGAGAAAATCAAGAAAAAAAAGCTGTCCTTTCAGATGATCAATAATATTGATAAATCCCCCAGTCAAATACCCAGGAAGAGAAAAGACATAAATTTATAATATCATAATGAGAAGAGACATACAGATTCTACAAATGCTGAAATGTTAATAAAGAAAATTATGAACAATTATATGCAAATAAATTTAGCATGTGGAATGTGCCTCAGCAGTAGGCACTGGAATTGTGCTCTACCTGGTCACAGGTCTCAGTGGATGTAGAGCTGCTACAGCTATGGTTCCTCATGGATGACAAGACTTACAGCCAAAACCAGCTTGGCGACCTGGAACTGGTCTGCATATGTCATTGCTGGATGCCACAGCCTGCTCCCCTGAAATCGGGGTGCAGTGGGGTCGTCTCCACCCCACACCCAGGCATATCTCCAAACATTTGGAACACCTCCTCACCTGGATCAGCAGCCTGAGCTGCCCTCTTTTCCTGTGCAGAGATTGTGGTGCAGTGGGGCCCTCACTATTTTGCACCCAGGCAGATCTCTAGGCATTCAAAGCACCTGCTCACCCAAATTGGCAGCCTGAGTCCCCCAACCCTTACTGTGCAGAGATCAAGGTGCAGGGGGTGGGGCCAGCTCATACCCAGGCAGATCCCCAGGCATTTAGAGCACCTGACTACCATTCAGCAGCCTTAGCCACTCCACCCTTCCTGTGCAGAGATTGTGGTGCAGTGGGCCCTCTACACTCCATACTCAGGTAGATCTCCAGGCATCTGAAGTACTCACCTGAATTAGGAGTTTATGCTGCCCCCAACCCATGCAGAGAACTTGGGGCTCAGCAAGTCTCCCTCAGGCACACCTCTGGGCACTTGGTCATGTCCCACTGGATTCTCCCTCAGTGCTGGTGCTTGTGTCTGCCATGTGAGGACCTGTAGGTGGGCCTGCCTAATTTGGCTCTGCCCATCTTGCTCCCTGCCCCACAGGGCTGAGCAGAGAGCTCAGACCACTGTGCCCTCCATGGATTAGTCCATTGCCTGCAGCAACAGAGAGCTCCTCTTGGTAAACAAGAATCAAGGATATACCCAACAACATTGGCTGCAGCAGGCTTTTATCCGTAAGTACCATCTGCTGAGACCAGCTCAGTCAGGGAGACCCTAACCCAGCAGTGCTAGAGGAATTAAAGACACACACACAGAAATATAGAGGTGTGAAGTGGGAAATCAGGGGTCTCACAGCCTTCAGAGCTGAGAGCCCTGAACAGAGATTTACCCACATATTTATTAACAGCAAGCCAGTCATTAGCATTGTTTCTATAGATATTAAATTAACTAAAACTATCCCTTATGGGAAACGAAGAGATGGGCTGAATTAAAGGAATAGGTTGGGCTAGTTAACTGCAGCAGGAACATGTCCTTAAGGCACAGATTGCTCATGCTATTGTTTGTGGCTTAAGAATGACTTTAAGCGGTTTTCCGCCCTGGACAGGCTAGGTGTTCCTTGCCCTCATTTTGGTAAACCCACAACCTTCCAGTGTGGGCTTTACAGCCATCATGAACATGTCACAGTGTTGCAGAGATTTTGTTTATGGCCAGTTTTGGGGCCAGTTTATGGCCAGATTTGGGGGGGCTTGTTTCCAACAACCATCTACTGGCTTGTAGGTTGGACTGCACAGCCTAACATAAAACCTGCTGAAAGAAGTGCATAGAGCTATGGAAGCAAAGCCAAAAGACCTTACCCAACATTCTCTACACTCATACCCACTAGAGAGTAGGGTAAAGAAAAAGGAAAAGAAAAAGATAATTATAGTATAGAGAAAGAAAGAAAAAGAAAAAATCCTACCCACATACAAATATCGTGAAAATTTAGAAGTGCCACCATCTCCAGATGAGAAGAAACCAGTGCAAGAATTCTGTCTCAAAGGAAAACCTGAATGTAGTGACACCAAAGGATCACACTAGCTCTCCAGAAATGGTCCCTAACCGAAATGAAAACTTGGAAATGACAGATAAGGAATTCAAACCATGGATTTCAAGGAATCTCATTGAGATCCAAAATAAGGTTAAAAATCAACACAAATAAACTTCTAAATCAATCCAGGAAATATAGAAAGGGTAAAAATCTTAAAAAGAAATAAATCAGAGCTTCTGGAATTGAAAGACTCAAAGAAATTTCAAAATACAGTTGAAAGCTTCATCACTAGACTGCATACAGCAGAAGAAAGAATTTTGGAACTTGAAAACCAGTCTTTTGAACTAACCTAGTCAGACAGAAAAGAAAAATGAATTAAGGAAAATGAACAAAGTCTTTGAAAAGTATGGGATTATGTAAACCAATCAAACCCACAAATAACTGGCATTCCTGAGAAAGAAAGAGAAAAAGTAAACAACCTAGAAAACATATGTGAGGAGATAATTCAAGAAAATTTCCCTAATCTTCCTAAAGCGGTAAACATCCAGATAGAAGAAATCCAGAGAACACCTGCAAGATGCTTTACAAAATGATCAAGGCATATAGTCACCAGACTGCCCAAGATCCATAGTGAAGAAAAAAATCTTAAAACAGCTAGAGGGAAAAGGCCATATAATGTGCAATGGAAATCCAACAGGCTAACAGTAGACTTCTCATCAGAAACCAAGAGACATCAGGGGCCTATTTTTAGCATTCTTAAAGAAAACATCTTCCAACCAATAATTTTATATCCTATCAAACTAAGCTTTATAAGAGAAGGACAAATAAATTTTTTCTAGACAAGCAAGAACTAAGAAAATTAGTTACCACTAGACCAGCCTTACAAGAGATCCTAAAAGGAGTTCTAAAGATGAAAATGAAAGATCAATACCTGCTACCACATACAACAACATACTTAAGTACATAGCACACAGACCCAATAAAGCAATCACACTATTGAAACTACAAAGAAATCAGTTAACAACTTCATGATAGAATTAAAATCTCAAATATCAATATTAATCTTGAAGGTAAATGGTCTAAACACCCCACTTAAAAGGCACAGGGTTGCAAGTTAGATAAAAAATAAATAAATAAATAACACCCATCCATCTGCCACCTTCAAGAAACCCATCTCACACATAACAACACCCATAGGTTCAAAGTAAAAGGTTAGAGAAAGATCCTTCATGCAAATAAAAAAACAGAAAAGAACAGAGGTCACTATTTTTATATCAAATAAAACAAACTTTAAGCCAACAACACTAAAAAAGGACAAAGAAGATATTACACAATGATAAAGACTTCAATGAAACAAGAAGACTTAACCATCCCAAATATATTAATATATGGACCCAACATTGGAGCACCCAGATTCATAAAACAACTATGTCTAGAACTAAGAAAAGACTTAGATACACACACAACGAATATTGGAGTACTTCAACACCCCATTGGCAGCATTAGACAGATCATTGAGGCAGAAAACTAACAAAGAAATTCTAGGCTTGAATTCAACACTTGACCAATTGGACCTAACAGATATCTACAGGATACTACACCCATTAACCATAGAATATACATTCTTCTCATCTGCACACAGAACATATTTCAAGAGCAACCACAAACTTGGCCATAAAGCAAGACTCAATAAATTTGTAAAAATAGAAATCATACTAACCATACTCTCAGACCACAGTGGAATAAAAATAAAAATCGATACCAAGAAGATCTCCCCAAACCACATAATTGCATGGAAATTAAACAACTTACTCTTTAATGACTTTTGGGTAAACAACAAAATTTAAAAAGAAATTAAACAATTTCCAAACATAAATGAAAACAGAGACACAACATGCCAAAATCTCTGGGATGCAGCGAAAGCAGTATTAAGAGGAAAGTTTATAGCTCTTAAACACCTATCTCAAAAGGTTAGAAAGATCTCAAATCAGCAATCTGATATCACATGCCTAGAGGAACTAGAAAAACAAGAACTAACCCCAAAGCTAGCAGACAGAAAGAACTAACTAAAATCAGAATTGAATGAAATTGAGACCCAAAAATCCATACAAAGAATAATGAAACAAAAAATTGCTTCATTGAAAGGATAAACAAGATTAATAGACTGATAGCTAAATTAACAAAAAAAAGAGGAAGATCCAAATAAGCACAATTAGAAATGACAAAGAAGACATTCCAATAGATCCCACAGAAATACAAAAGATATTCAGAGACTATTATGAACACCTCTGTACACACAAATTGGAAAATCTAGAGGAAATGGATAAATTACTGGAAGCACATAACGTCCCAAGATTGAATCAGGAAGAAATCAAAACCCTGAACAGATGAATATTGAGTTCCAAAATTGAAGCAGTAATAACTTACCAACCAAAAAAAGCCCAGGACTAGACAAATTCACAGACAAATACTACCAAACATGCAAGGAAAAGCTGGTATAGATTCTACTGAAACTATTCCAGTAAGGAAGAGAGACTCTTCCCTAACTTATTCTATGAAGCCAATATCACCCTGATACCGAAACCAGGCTAAAGATAGAATGAAAAACGAAAACTACAGGCCAGTATCCCTGATGAACATAAATGCAAAAATCCTCAACAAAATACTAGCAAACTGGATCCAGCAGCACATTAAAAAGTTAATTTACCACAATAAAATCGGCTTTATTCCCAGGATTTAAAGTTGGTTCAACATACATGAATCAATAAATGTGATTTACCACATAAACAAAATTAAAGACAAAAATCATATGATCATCTCAATTGATGCAGAGAAAGCCTTTGATAAAATCCAGCATCCCTTCATGTTAAAATCCTTTAACAACCTAGGCATCAAAGGAACATACCTCAAAATAATAAGAGCCATCTATGACAAATCCATAGCCAACATCATATTGAACAGGAAAAATGTGGAAGCATTTCCCTTGAGAACTGAAAAAAGGGAAGAATGCTTACTCTCACCACTTCTATTCAACACAGTACTGGAAGTTCTAGCAAGAGCAATCAGTCAAAAGAAAGAAATAAAAGGCATCCAAACAGGAAAAGAAGAAGTCAAACTATCTCTCTTCACTGCCAATATGATTCTATACCTGCATAACCCTAAGGACTCCATGAAAAGGCTTCTGGAACTGATAAATGACTTCAGCAAAGTTTCGGGATACAAAATCAATGTACAAAAATCAGTAGCATTTCTGTACACCAAAAACGTTCAATCTGAGAGCCAAATCAAGAACACAATTCCATTTACAATAGTCATGAAAAATACCTAGGAATATATCTAACCAAGGAGGGGAAAGTTCTCTCTGAGGAGAACTACGAAACAGTGCTGAAAGAAATTAGAGGTGACACAAACAAATGGAAAAACATTCCATGCTCATGGATTGGAAGAATCAATATCATTAAAATGGCCATACTGCTCAAAACAACCTATAGATTAAACACTATTATTATCAATCTATCAATATAATTTTTCATAGAGCTAGGAAAACCTATTCTAAAATTCATATGGAATCAATAAAGAGACCAAATAGCCAAAGCAATCCTAAGCAAAAAAAACCAAAGCCAGAGGAATCTCATTACCTTGACTACAAACTATATTACAAGACTACAGTAACCAAAAGAGCATGCTACTGGTACAAAAACAGATACCTAGACCAATGGAAGAGAATAGAGAACCCAGAAATAAAGCCACACACCTACCGCCATCTGATCTTTCACAAAGTTGACAAAAATAAGCAATGGGAAAAAGACTCCCTATTCAATAAATGGTGCTGTGATAGCTGGCTAGCCATATGCAGAAGAATGAAAGTGGGCCCCTACATTTCACCATAAGCAAAAATTAACTTGAGATAGATTAAAGACTTAAGTGTAAAAGAATCCTAGAAGAAAACCTAGGAAAAACCATTCTGGACATTGGCCTTGGGAAAGAAAGAATTTTTAACTATGTCCTCGAAAGCAATTGCAACTAAAACAAAAACTGACAAGTGAGACCTAATTAAACTCAAGAGCTTCTACACAGCAAAAGAAACTATCAACAGAGTAAACAGACAACCTACTAAATGGAAAAAAAATTAACAAACTATGAATCAAACAAAGATCTAACATCCAGAAGCCATTAGGAACTTACATTAACAAGCAAAAAACAAACAATCCCTCCAAAATGGGCAAAGGACATAAACAGACACTTCCCAAAAGAAGACTACAAGAAGCCAACAAACATATGAATAAATGCTCCACATCATCATTAATCGTCAGAGAAATTTAAATCAAAATCACAATGAGATACCATTTCACACCAGTCAGAATGGCTATTAATAGAAAGTCAAAAAACAACAGATGCTGGTGAGGCTATGGAGAAAAGAGAACATTTAGACATTGTTGGTAGAATGTAAATGAGGTCAGCCACTGTGGAAAACAGTTGAGAGATTTCTCAAATAACTTAGAACTGCCATTCGACCCAGTATTACTGGGTATATATATTTAAAAAAAATAAGTTCTACCAAAAAGACACACACACTCATATGTTCATTGAAGCACTATTCACAGTAGCAAAGACATAGAATCAACCTAGGTGTCCATCAACAGTGGATTTTATAAAGAAAATGTGGTACATATACATCATGTAATACTATGTAAGCATAAAAAAGAACAAAATCACATCCTTTGCAGCAACATGAGTGCAGCTGGACATCATTATTCTAAGTGAATTAATGCGAGAACAAAAAAACAAATATCACATGTTCTCACTTACAAGTGGGAGCTAACTATTAGGTACTCATGGGCATAAAATGGCAACAATAGACATTGGGAACTGCTAAAAGGGGAAGGATGGGAGGGGGTAAGGGTTGACAAACTACTGGGTAGTATGCTCACTACCTGGCTGACAGAATCATTTATACTCCAAACCTCAGCAACATGCAATATACCCATGCAACAAACCTACACATGTACCTGCTGAATCTAAAATAAAAGTTGAAATTATAAAAAAATTATTGAAATGATTAAGGTAAATAAACAGAATTAGAAAAGAGATTGGGCATTTTACATGTCTCATTCTATCTCCCTATACTTATATGAGCTGGCCTAGATGTATATGAAACATCTTCAGTCCCCTGGATACACATAAGCTAGGGATTTCAATTATCCAGTTAAATGCACACACACACACACACACACACACACACACACACACACACACACAGACACACACCTGGTTCAGATGTTTAGAATCATTAGGAGAAGGAAGCATCATTGGAGATTAACCTCTAATTTCTACAGCAGGCAGAGAATATTGTTACAGCTGTAACCCTATGGATAGGACTATGAAAAAAACTTGAGAACCCAACTCAGGAATTATGCATATTCTAATACAGTTGAGCCTGAGATCCTGGAACACGTTATGTTTTTATTAAGAATTTGGGTAGGATACCTGACTAAACCTTTCTTTTCTGATGTCTGAAGCATGTAAGAATGAGAACAACATTCAAAATTCAATTAAAATCAAAACAAGCCTTAGTCATCAAATCAAAAAGGGTTAATAATGATCACACTGGGGAAGACTAAGTGAAAAACTGTCAAACTCTCTCCCACTCCAGCCAATAAAGTAAATAAAAGATATCACATCTCAGGTGGGATGACAGAGATCAGAGCTACCATTGGAGATGCAAATTAGGTGAGGACAGCAGTCTGTCTTACTTTTACTTATTTCACCAGTCTATTTCCTACAGAAATCAGATGGCCCTCGGAGAACGAACTATTTCCAGCTCAACCAAGTAGTAGAAGCTCCAATCATAGCTGCCATGCCAAACATAGTTATCATTATTAAAACAGATTTACAAAGCTCCAGGTATTTGATATGAGCCCATTAATTTGGTAAATGTGTTCTTTTCTATTCCAAATGGAAGAGAGACTGTAAAATGGTGCGCATTCACATGGAACAGATGATAATATTCACTTACAGCTTTGCTCCAAGGCTATGCTAAATCTACTGTCCTTTTTCATAATAAAATCTTAAGAAATCTGGGCCATCTGGACATCCTGCACAATATCACCTTGATCCCTTATATCAATGACATCCAGTTGACTGGACAGAATGAGCAAGAGGCGCTAGGCCTCAATAAATTATATGTCGTCCAGAAGGTAGAAAAGAAACCCTATGACGATTGAGGAAATTATCACTTCAGTAAAGTTTTTAGGGATCTAGTAGTCAGAGCTATACCAGGACATCACCTCCAAAGTGAAAGACAAACAGCTACATTCTACATTCCCTATACAAAGAAGGAAGCCTAATGGCTCATGGATCTCTTCAGACTTTGGAGGTAACATATTTCACTGGAGGAATAAAGTAATACTCCAGCTCCTAAACAAGTTAACATAGAAGGGTGATCATTTTAGGTGGAACCAGGCTGCAGTGCATACAATCTGGGAGATATTGAAACACACAACCTGGAAGATCCAACATTGGGAAAAGATGCAATGTGAGGATTATGGCAAGCACCAGTGACAGAAACACAATGTGTCTCTGGAGCAAGGTGCAGCCATCTACAGTGGAGAATTAAATGTTTTTTGAGAAACAGTTTCTGCATATTTCTAATCACTGGCAGAAACAGAATATGTGACCAGGAGGCACTAAATAACCAAGCATGTTGAACTTCTCATTGGAAGGTGGATTTTGTTGGACCCAAATAGTCATCAAATTGGGTGAACTGAACGTTGTAAGATGGAAGTGTTGCATCTGCAACCCAGCCCAACCACAGCCAGAGGGCACTAGTAAACTGCACAAGCTCTTAGTCCAGTCACCAGTCAGCCATGTCACATACCAAAGGTGCACCAGCACCCCTCCCTCAGCTCACACCTAAGGCCATATGGGAGTTTCATAAGACCAGCTGAAAAAGAAGGAAGAAGGAGTCAGGCTCTGTTGACATATCAATTGGCCAGACACATGAGGCAAAGCCAAAAATATATGATGATTTCATTCCAGCCACACTTACAGGTGGCCTTGAATGAGAGTGAAGAGAGAAAATTTTACCAGTAGGTAGACCAGAAAGTGGTGTATCTGTTCATTCAAGTGGCGTGGAAGGGAAAGTGGGCCAATGCTAGTATATATGGAGGTTCTGGGCACTGTCCAGTAGCCTAACAGAGACACAGAAGGAAGAACTGGAAGATCTGGTAGTTGCATACAGAAGTGAAAACAAAGTGTGAAAATCTTTGTGTCACATCTTAATGCCCACCAGAAAGCATACACCAGGGAAGAGGTACTAAATAACTGAGAAGATAACTCATCCAGTTAATATTAGCCAGCGATCATCACTGGCAACCACAGAACAAGGGGTAAATGAAAGTAATAGTCATGGTGTAGTCATGGTGTAGTCATGGTGAAAGACTTGGAGGTGATGCATGGGCTCAGTAGTATGGACTTCCACTTCCTAAGACTAATCTAACTGCTGCCATCTCTGAACGTCCAACCTGCCAACCATACAGACCAACACTGCATTCCCAGTATGATGATATTACTTGAGAAAATCAACTGGCCTGTTGGTGGTTAGTGACTGCATTGGTCCTCTTCCATTTTGGGAGGGCCAGGGGTTATTACTCGTAGAAACAGATGCCTCTACTGGCTATGGTATTGCCCTTTTTGCTCACAAAGCCAGAGCCGGCACTATCTTGGGGATCTGGGGTTTTACAGAGTCCATGATTCCCAGCCATGGAATCCCACACAACATAGTGTCTGACAGGGAACTCACTGCACAGTGAAGGAGGTATCAGAGTAGACTCATGATCCTGGTTTCCACTGGTCAAATTATTTACTGCACCATCTAGAAGCAGTCAGACTCATGTAGCACTGGAACTGTCTGTTGAAAATGTGACTGAAGTGCTAGCTTAGAAGCAATACTTTGTAGGGATTACATTCCAGGATGCACTATATACACCTAATTAAAGAATCTCAATATGGTGCTGTTTTCAATAAGAAGAATATGTGACTCAGAGCACCAAAGAGTAGAAGCTCAAGTGGCCTCAATTAACATCCCTACTAAAGACCCACTGATGCACTTTGTGCTTCACATACATATAACTCTATGTTAGAATTTCTGGTCTTCAAAGGAGCCCACTCTTGCTAAGGTACACACCATGGGTCTCATTTAACTATAAAGCATGACTGCCCCTGAGCACTTTGGACTCATTTTGTCCAGGGACAAGCAGGCAGAAAGAGGAATTACCATCATGGTAGGGTGTTTGATTTTGATAATCAGAATATAGTGCTTCTTTCACTCCACAGGTAGAGTGAGGGATACAGGTGGAACCAAAGTGATTCATTGGATTCGCTTAGGATGATCCACTCCCTGCCTATTTAGAACTATGGAAAGTGCAACATCCCTGGCCTAAGAAACATTATTATTACATGGCATTCAAACCCCTCAGGAATAAGGCTTGGATTATACCATCAACTAAGCCACCAAGACCCATGGACATCAGCCTGATGGCTGAAGTTGGAGAGAAGTTAGGACAGATAGTGGACAAAGGAGGTGGTAAGTACAAATCTCAGCCCTGAGACTAACTACAGTGATGAGGGTTGCATTTTCTTATACTCGCCTCTCTCCTAGATCTCCCCTCAGGAGGAGAGGCCTACAAGAACCATGGAGGAGCTCCTTTCTGAACTCAGCTATAGATAGGATACTGTACAGTGGAAATGGTATACTGAGGCAGCCATAGGTAAGCCACTCAGATCTCCCTTCAAGAGAGAAGCTGCCGGAAGGAGGATAGCTAGTTAGTTCCCCAACTGTAGCTGCTGTGCCTTAGGGATCCATCGCAGGATCCACTCCAGGGCCCCACTCTCACTAGGCTGCTTGCAGAAAATGCCCGAGCACAGTAGAAGGTGAGGGGAGTACTGGAGCCTGACCACTTCTACCCCTTCATGGGATTCTTCTAACAAATTTTGCTCTGGAGCTCTTCATAGGCCTGGCCAAGACATTCCTTCTAGAGGTATACTACAGTTTAAGGATCCTCCTATTCCATCCTCCTTTCTTTCCTCCCACTCTTCACAAGAACTAGGTTTGCATGAAGCTCTGAGGCTCTCCCCTGCTACTCGACTTCCTCTCCCCTTTATCCTTCATAAACATTTCCCCCAGTAAATCTCTTGCACTTCTATCTTGACATCGGCTTCGACAAGTACAATCAACTTTTTCTATTTCTCAATTCTGGGTCTTGGATACACTGTTTTGTCTAAACAGCTATTCTCCCTTTACCTGGCTGGCTTTGACTTTGACCACAGACAACAGATACCGCTTCAGGCATCACTTCTTCCAATAAATCTTTCCTGACCTCCCCACCATCCCCAAATCTATGTTGGATGTTCCTGCTAGAGATTCCTTAGTACCATTTACATGCCTGTCTAGCCCTCATCCCTCTGATTTTTAATTTCTTTTTATCTGTCTATATCCCTCCCCAAACTATAAATGTCATGATGAAAATACCTGTATTCTTTCATCATACCTAGTATCTACCACAATGCTTTACAATACTTGATTTTTTAAGGACTCAATAAATGCTTGTTGAATGAATAACAACACAAAGCAAGAGAATAAAAACCATGGAAACCAACCAAGAGTGGACCCAGAGATAAAGAACAAAAGTGAAACTTAGAATTCCACTGACTTAAACACACACACACACACACAGACACACACACACACTCTTTAGACACTTTTAAAAGGCACCCTAGAGCTTCAGAAATGAGCAAAGTGAGAGTTATTAAGGGCATTGACCTACTCAGACACAGATCTTCAGAATATTGGTGTTTAGCCATGACATTCCTTTCATTGGCAACATAGTCCGTTCTTGCTGAGGATGAGACTGTCACCGCACACTGAAAGTAACCCAAGCCACATGATGCCACCAGATATAACTCCCTAGAGTCACCAGCTTTATTTTGGTCAGTGATAAGAACCACTCTACCTATGAGCAGTTTATGGCACTAACTCAAATGCACAAAGATTTACACCAGCCACCTGAGAACAGCATAGAAGGTTTCTCTCGGAAGTTGTTCCTCTAGACTTCTTCTCATTTATCCATCCAATTTGCTCTTGTATTCGTTCCTGTCAACCTGACCCCAGATTCTAAGCTTTATATCCCACATTCAATACTTGCTTCTAATACTATTGGAATTAACGACTCTCTGACTTCGCTTCTTTTCTGCACAGGTTATGTATTCTTCTATGGTCTGGGGCTTTTTGTGTTCCAGCTATTTCTGTGTCCATCTTTATTTTGAATAAAGACTCTCTACTCTTGCCCAAAGGAAACACAAAAAAAATCCTCATAATTATAGAGACCATTTCATGGGGGTGGGGGGCGGTAAAAAAATCATTGTAATAATATTTATTTTAAAAGTTTATCATCTAGAAGCCACAGGAATTGCATTCCTTTTTCTGAGTTATAAAGAATTACATGCATGAGTACACAGTAAGTTCTGCTAAGTCAACAATGGTTTGAAGATAGTTATTATAAAGCCATCAGAAACTGATGTCACTTCAATTGGACACCAAAATTTGACATGCCTGGTAATGTAGCCCATACGGTAGATTTGGGTCTTAATGTATCACTTTCAAAAAACCTTAAATTCTCAGGGGAACATGTGTTAAAAAGAGAAAGATTACCTGAATCTATGTAGATTTTCCAGGATACTACACAGCCTATGGAGCCGAGTAGGAAGCAGAAGCACTTCTTAGGTGCAGCTGTAGCACCTCAACGTGGAGGGTGAAGTCTGGAAAAGGATATCTAAGTAGAGCTTTCAGGCACATGCAATCTTAAGGAGGTGGGCAAGGCAACAGTATCTGAGGCGGAGATGGAAAACCAGGGATCCGAAGGAAAGGAATAGCAGGTTTATAAAAGGACAAGTAAAAGGAAGACCAGGAAAATATTAGAGACAGTAAATTACAGCCCACAGCCCAATCCAGATGTCAATTTATGGTATTGCAGTAGCCACTGCATAAAGAGGTTAGTGAACTACATTTAACATGTGTGCATTTCATTTTATTTAATGATTAAGCTCTTTAATTCTTTGTGTCTATGAAAAGTCACAGTCAGAAAATCCAGATAGACTATATTAATCAGAGCACATAATTCTAGTGGTAGACATGCTTATTCCCAAAGCCTGGATATATTCCTAGAGCTTTTGCAGTGCCTTGTTGTCTTGAGGTAAGAAATATGGTTGGCTCAGCAGCATTTGTTAATTTATGTAAGAAGGAAAATGAATCACATATAAACATATGGAAATATCCAAATGCCAATTTTTTTTTAGGTTAGTTCTTTGCGTCCTCATTTTCCTTTTAGCCTGGGGTTTACATTATCAACTTTTAACATTAAACAGACTCCTTGCTCTTAGTTTTCAAATGCGTGTATGTATGTGTGTGTATGTGTATGTGTGTGTGTGTGTGTGTGTGTGTGTGTGTATGTATATATATTTCAGACTAAGTAAAATTAGTGTTTTCTTTGGACAGAAAACTGACAAAGAATGGGAAATCCTTACTTTAGAATATTGCAGTTAAGGGTCATGAACATTTAAGCAGGAGTTACTGCCATCCAGAGGCAGAAAGCCATGAACTGCCATATCCTATTACAGTTTTACTATAAAGGAAGTAAGCCAAGAAAAATGTGTAGGTTGTTGCAGTTTTGCTCATTAAATCATCAAAGAATGGAAAACTAATACCTAGATTCAAGTGTCACTGGGTTTGTGCTCCTACTGTCATCATGAATGACGGAATATATTTAGCATTCTTCAAAGCTTTCATCGTGAAGGAGAATGCAGCTTTCTGTGATCTAAGGCTAACCATTTCCATAGACTCTCCAAGCACAACAGTGTAAAACATCTTGAAAATAAACTCTTGTATATTTCTTTGAAAATATTGTTTTGAAGCCACGTGGTACCTCAATGGAGACACTGAAATTAATATTTCTAGTGGCTGATGAAGGCAGCCTATTATCCTTCAGCACAGGTAAAATATCATATTTCCTGGCTATGAATTTTCTGTTAGGACACAAGGATATCCATCATATAAATAGTGCTCAGCAACTACGTGTAGTTTTCAACAAAATATACACAGTAATTAATTTTAGCAGCATTATCCTGAAAGAGTTTGTGAAAGTAAAAAGAGTTTGTAAAAGAGTTTGCATAGCTGAAAAGTGTGCTGGAATTATACTGAGGGACCTGCTTACTATACAGGCTCAAACTTAGAGAAAATGATATGTTGTTCTTCTAACACTCTATCACTTGACATTGCGTTTTGACTGTTTAACAGTCTGTGTCTACAGCAATTCCAAAGGCCAAATTTCCCCTGGAAATAAATAAATACACAAATACATTAATTCTAGAGTCTTTCTGCTTATTTACATTTTTGTGGTAATCCAAATTCAAACCCTCCATCAATTTGAGTTTTCAACAACAGGAAAAAGTAATGACTCCAAACAGGCATTTTACATACCCTTGACAGATACAAGGGTAACTGTTTTGAATACTTTTTAAATTTTGAATACATGTACACAGACACTTACACACACATAATCACATACACACAGACAATGTGAATGATAAATTCAGTAAAAATATAGTCTGTCTGTTGATCAGTCCTGCTTCAATATTCTAACCAGCTTCTGCCTACCCAAAGGATTTAAGGGTGGAAACCTTTTGAGTAAAATAAAATAACTCATAATGGGATGAGAAAATATTATTAACTATTTTCACGCTGCCAAAAGTATTTATTGTGCATGTTAGAATATTTTTTGGAAACCTGTGCTCGAAGCTGCTAAAGGGGATATGGGTAAAACTTCACCCATTAATAGTATAAATAATTTTAACTTTAAGGAAAAAAAGCACCAAAGCAAGAAAGCCTACATTTCTGTAGTGCTATGATCCCTGTCTTAAAATCCTTTTCCACTTTTTGTTTGTCAGTATCTTTCCGTTAGACTTCTTGCATGTACAGGGTTCTCAGCGCCCTCTACTGGTTTTCTGCCTCAGGTTTAAAAAAAAGAAAAAAAAAGGGAATAAAGCAGTCATTCAAATCCTGGGCAATGGCACTCTCCTGACTAAATAGAAAGGAAAAAAAGAAAGACTTATCTATGCTGATGCTATTTATTAGACTTCTTGTTGTCTTAATAAATCACTGTCTTTAAATTGTTTATTTATTCCAATGATCAGGTGTGAGGTGGGTTGTTTCTGAGGACTTTCAAATCATTATTAAGTCTTACACTTCAGCTCCACGATAGGAGGTAGCAACATAAAACAAAGAAAAAATACTGAAAATACATTGCAAATAAAACTGACTTATTTTATATAGGCATAAACCATTTATGAGTGGCATAGGACAAGGTTTGGTGATACAAGCACACTGAATTGTTAACAGTGGTTACCTATGAAAAGAAGATCGGCATTGGAAGCAAGGGTATGGGGTGAGGGTGGGCATTTTCCCTCGTTACTGTATACATATGCATTGTTTAAAATTTTAACAGAGACTGTATTATAATCTTACCACTTCTCATCTCATCTCTTGCTACCATTTCCTTTCAGGCCATTATTACCCCTCACTAACCTCCTACCTGCTTTCCCTGCATCCTTCTTGATCTCCTACCGCTTTCCCTCCAGAGAAATCTTCATAGAACAGTCAGGGTAATTCTTCTTAAATATGATTCACAGCATGGCTTTCCCCCTGTCAAAGCCAGCCAATGGCTCCCCATCATATTTAGAATAAAACCCAGTCTCCTTTGTTCCCCAAATTCCCCCCAGATAATAATGCCTGGCCCTCAATAGGTGCTTTTGTAATGAGTATTTTAATGAATACCAAATAGATAAACAAGACTGTACTAAGGTATTATCTTAACAGTCTTTAAAAGAAAAAGTAATGAAATTGGAACAATAGTGAAAACTCGTTGCTAAATAGCAGTTCAACTTGAGTGAATTCACTTTACCTTTCTGGATCTTATTTGTCACATGGACTAAATAATGATCCTAGGTCTAAAGTTTTAATGGGCCAAGGTCTCAAGTTGTTACCCATAGACACAGACATAAACACACACTCACACACGTGCCAGCTGTGTGCTTATTATAGATGAAATCCTATCTTAAGCTGTTTTCTGATGACATTGCACTATACAAATGACAGAACTCTGATAAATATAGGTGACATTATTGAGCATTTGCTAAGTGCCAGCACTGTGTTAAGCATTTATAAATTTATTTAGAGCTTAAGATATATTTACTCATTTATGCTTCAAATAACCATTGATGTAGGTGCTATGAGTAATTTACAGATTAAGAAAATGAGACATAAATTAAATATCATTCCCAAAGTCATATAGTTAGTAGGTGACACATTGGGATACAAACCTCTTCTGTCTGGTTGCCTCAGCCCAAGTTACCCCAGACCAGTGACAGTCACCAGATGACTGCCAGATGCTGATTAGCTTTGTCTCACCAGTGTCCACCTGACACTAGGAATGGACACATCTTCCCAAGTTATACAAGAGATGGATGGATATGTGTACAAAACTGGGCTTCTGTTATAAAGAAAAAAGAGGAAAATGAATGGTATATGTGCAAACAGTAGTGTTTCTTAGAAAATGAAAACTTGTTAACATCATAAATATCCACCAGTAACAGAGGGAAAGTTAAGTAAATGATTCCATATCATAAAGATAAAATAGGATGAAGCCACTGAAAATGATAACATTGAACAACAAGAAAAATGCAGAGATACAGAAATGCAAAGAGAAAAATCAGAAAGCACTATAATTATAATTATGCGAAATTGTACATGCATATAGACAAAGAATGAGAAAAAATGTGTGTTTACTTTTTATTTTTAGACTTCTATTATTCCTGATTTATTATTGTTTGTATAGCAAAGAAGAAGAAATCCAGTAATCAACATGAATTTTCATAGCAAAGACTTGGAACCAACCCAAATGTCCAACAATGATAGACTGGATTAAGAAAATGTGGCACATATACACCATGGAATACTATGCAGCCATAAAAAATGATGAGTTCGTGTCCTTTGTAGGGACATGGATGAAATTGGAAATCATCATTCTCAGTAAACTATCACAAGAACAAAAAACCAAACACGGCATATTCTCACTCATAGGTGGGAATTGAACAATGAGATCACATGGACACAGGAAGGGGAATATTACACTCTGGGGACTGTGGTGGGGTGGGGGGAGGGGGGAGGGATAGCATTGGGAGATATACCTAATGCTAGATGACGAGTTAGTGGGTGCAGCACACCAGCATGGCACATGTATACATATGTAACTAACCTGCACAATGTGCACATGTACCCTAAAACTTAAAGTATAATAAAAAAAATAAATAAATAAAAAATAAATAAATAAAAAAATAAAACAAGAGGACCAAGAAAAAAAAAAAAAAGAAAGCAAAAAAGGAGCAGGAGTAGCTATACTTCCATCAGAAAAAATAGATTTCAAGACAAAAATTAAGAAGAGACAAAGAAGGTCATTATGTAATGATAAAGGGGTCAATTCAGCAAGAGGATATAATGATTATAAATACATATGCACCCAACACTGGAGCACCCAGATATAATAAAGTAAATATTATTAGAGCTAAAGAGAGAGATAGACCCAAGCACAGTGACGGCTAGAGATTTCAATACCCTACTTTCGGCATTGGACAGATCACCCAGACACAAAATCAACAAAAAAAATCATCAAATTTAATCTGTACTATAGAACAAATGGACCTAGTAGATATTTACAGAACATTTCATCCAACACCTGTAGAATACACATTTTTCTCTTCAGCATATGGATCATTCTCAAGGATAGATCATATGTTAGGTCACAAAACAAGTCTTAAAATATTCAAAAAATTGAAACAGTATCAAGTATCTTCTCTGACCACAATGGAATAAAACTACAAATCAATAACAAGAGGAATTTTGCAAACTATACGAACACATACAAATTAAACAATATGCTCTTGAGTGACCAGTGGGTCAATGAAGAAACTAAAAAGGAAACTGAAAATGTTCTTGAAACTAATAATAATAAAAATACAACATACTAAAACCTATGGGGTCACAGTGAAAGCAGTACTAAGAGGGAAATTTATAGCTATAAGTGCCTACATCAAAAAACAAGAAAAATGTCAAATAAATAATGTAATGACATATATTAAAGCACTAGAAAAACAAGAGCAAACCCAACCCAAAATTAGTAGAAGAAACAATAAAGATCAGAGCAGAAATAAATGAAATTGAATGAAAAAACCATACAAAAGATTAAAGAAATGAAAAGTTGGTTTTTTTGAAAAGATATATAAAACTGACACACCTGTAGCCAGACTAAGAAAAAAAGAGAGAAGATCCAAATAAACAAACTCAGAGATGAAAAAGGAGACATTACAACTGATACCACAGAAAATCAAAGGATCATTAGTGACTGCTATGAGCAACTGTATACCAATAAATCAGAAAATCTAGAGAAAATGGATAAATTCCTAGACACATACAACCTACCAAGATTGAAAAATGAAGGAATCCAAAACCTGAACACACCAATAACAAGTAACAAGACTGAAGCCATAATAAAAAAATCTCCCAGTAAAGAAAAATCACTAGCATCTCTATATGCAAACAGTGAACAATCTGAAAAAGAAATTTTAAAATCCCATTTATAATAGCAACAAATAAAATTAACTACCTAGGAATTAAGTTAACCAAAGAAATGAAAGAGCTCTACAATGACAACCATAAAACATTAATGAAAGAAATTGAAGAGGACACAAAAAAATGGGAAGATACAACATGTTCATGGATTGCAAGAATCAATATTGTTAAAATGTCCATACTACCTAAGGCAATCTACAGATTTGATACAATCTCTATCAAAATACCAATGACATTCTTTACAGAAATAGAAAAGTAATCCTAACATTTATATGGAACCACAGAAGACCCAGAACAGTCAAAGCTATTCTGAGCAAAAAGAACAAAACTGGAGGAATCACATTATTTGACTTCAAATTATACTACTATTATAGTAACCCAAACAGCATGGCATAAAAACAGACACATAGACCTATGGAACAGAACAGAGAACCCAGAAACAAATCCACATATCTACAGTGAACTCATTATCGGCAAAGGTGCCAAGAACACACATTGGGGAAAAGACAATCTCTTCAATAAATAGTGCTAGGAAAACTAGACATCCATACACAGAAGAACAAAACTAGACCCCTATCTCTTGCCATATACAAAAATCAATCAAAATGGATTAAAAACTCAAATCTAAGACCTCAAACTATGAAACTAATACAATAAAACATTGGAAAAACTCTCCAAAACATTGGAGTGGGCAAAAATTTCTTGAGTAATAATACCCCATGAGCACAGACACCCAAAGCAAAATGGACAAATGGGATCATATAAAGTTAAAAAGCTCCTGCACAGCAAAGAAAACAATCAACAACATAAAGAGACAACTCAAAGAGTGGGAGAAAATATTTGCAAACTACTCATCTGAAAAGGGATTAATAACCAGAATATTCAAGTAGCTCAAATAACTCTTATAATCTTATAATTCGATTAAAAATGGGCAAAAGATCTGAATAGCCATTTCTCAAAAGAAGATATACAAATGACGAACAGGCTTATGAAAAGGTGCTCAAGGCCAGGCACGGTGGCTCACGCCTGTAATCCCAGCATTTTGGGAGGCCAAGCTTGGCGGGAGGATCACTTGATGTCAGGAGTTTGAGACCAGCCTGGCCAATATGGCGAAACCCCGTCTCTACTGAAGGTGCAAAAATTAGCCTGGCGTGGTGGCAAACACCTGTAGTTCCAGCTACTCGGGAGGCTGAGGCACGAGAATCGCTTGAACCCAGGAGCGATTTTTTTTTTTTTTTTTGAGACGGAGTCTCACTCTGTTGCCCAGGCTGGAGTACAGTGGCACGATCTCGGCTCACTGCAAGCTCCGCCTCCCAGGTTCACGCCATTCTCCTGCCTCAGCCTCCTGAGTAGCTGGGACTGCCGGCACCCGCCACCACGCCTGGCTAATTTTTTGTATTTTACATAGAGACGGGGTTTCGCCATGTTGGTCAGGATGGTCTCGATCTCCTGACCTCGTGATCTGCCCGCCTCAGCCTCCCAAGGCGCTGGGATTACGGGCGTGAGCCACCGCGCTCAGCCCCCAGGAGCAATTGTTGAACCGCAATTTGGTGAGCTGAGATGGTGCCACTGTACTCCAGCCTGGGGACAGAAAATCACTGATCATCAGAAAAATGCAAATCAAAATGACAGTGAAATATTATCTCACCCAGTTAAAATGGCTTTTAATCAAGACAGGCAGTAACAAATGCTGGCAAGGATGTGGAGAAAAGGGAACCCTTGTACACTGTTGGTGGGAATGTAAATTAGTACAACCACTATGGAAAACAGGTTGGAGGTTCCTCAAAAAAAACTAAAATTAGAGCTACCATATGATCCAAAAATTCCCTGCTGGGTACACGCCCAAAAGAAAGGAAATCAGTAAATCAAAACAGTATCTGCACTCCCATGTTTCTCGCAGCACTGTTCACAATAGCCAAGAATTGGAAGCAACCTAAGTATCCATCAACCAATGAACGGATAAAGAAAATGTGGTATATATACAATATGGAGTACTATTCAGCCATAAAAAGAAGAATGAGATTCTGTCATTTGCAACAACATGGATGGAAATGGAGGTCATTATGTTAAGTGAAATAAGCCAGGCACGGAAAGACAAACTTTGAATGTTCTCACTTATTTGTGGGAGCTTATTTGTGGATGGAAATGGAGGTCATTATATTAAGTGAAATAAGCCAGGCATGGAAAGACAAACTTTGAATGTTCTCACTTAATTGTGGGAGCTGAAAATTAAAACAATTGAACTGATGGAGATAGACAGTAGAAGGATGGTTTCCAGAGGCTGGGAAGAGTAGTTGATAGGGAAGTAGAGATAGTTAGTGGGTACAAAAAGTAGTTAGAAAGAATGAATAAGACCTAGTATTTGATAGCACAACAGGGTGACTATAGTCAATAGTAATTTAATTGTACATTTAGAAATAAATTTAAAAGTATAATTGGATTGTCTGTAACACAAAGGATAAACATTTGGGGAGGAATACCCCATTTACCCCGATATGATTATTATGCATTGCATGCCTGTATCAAAGTGTCTCATGTACTCCATAAATATATGCACCTACTACGTGCCCACAAAAATTAAAAATTAAAAAAAGAATCTAATGGAAAAAAAAAACATGAATTTTCCTGAAAATCTACTCTAGACAAATGATCTAAATATAATACAGCCTTAGCAATAGCCTAAGGAAAAATGTAAAGAATTTTTATCACATACTGAAAACACTGATCCTAACAAAAAGCATGTGATTTGTTATATTCCTTTTAATCTTCCCTACCTATCATTTTCTTAGAGCGGAACTTTTCCTTTAATACATATCATTGCCCTCAATTCCAAAGTCTGTGTCTCATTATGCATTTATCTCAAAATTTAATGTTTTTTCTAGTTGAAACCATCCAACAGCTTTTCTCCTGAATTCTATGCCTCATTAGCAATCCTATGTATGAGATATTTCATATTCATAGAGTTTATCATTAATGAAGTACTATGAATTTCCAAATATTTTATAGCAATTAAAACTAGATTAAAAGATCACAGGTAATAGTGTTTGACCAGGGTGAAAGGAATAGAAGAAAGTAAGTGGTTTTGGGGTGCAGAACACAGATGTAAAATTACTTTCCTGGCATTATAGCCTATAAATTGTAAAATTTTAATTTTAAAAAATTAAAATCTTCACTAATTTTTTAAAAATTAAAATGACATGAATTTCCCCATAACTGTTAAATTAGATGTGGGTATAGGTGTATGTGTATAGGTGATATGTACGTATCAAGTTGTAAATGTTATTTTTGTCTATATGTGGGTGTCCCACATGCATATCTATCAGGATTTCAATTGATTTAGCTTGGTACTTGGTTGCCATTCTCTCTCTCCAAAACTTAAAATTCAAAACACAATCAGTAATGTCCAGTATTATCTATACACTGATCAGGGTTTAATTTGAATCATATCGATATCAGACAAGTCTTTTCAACTGTACACTGTTTGGCCCAAATGATTCTAAACCTTTCAATATTGTTGGTAACAAAATGGTGAGAGGGTCAAAAAACATTCAACTGGATTTGAAAGAGAAATTCTCCTAACCAGAGAAAGCAAATGTTCACATCTCCAATTCAACCATTTGCAAAATAGAGTCAATAAAATTAGTCTTTAACAAAATAAAAACAAGTATTTAAGGAAAAATTTGCCAAAATAATTTTAAAATTATGTATTTTATATATTAAATATATATTAAATATACTAATTAGATATATCATTAATATAGTATATATTTAATATTTATAAATTATATATTTTATATATTAAATATATAATATTTGAAATACACTAATTATATATAACATTATTATATATTTAATATTTATAAATTACAGAAGCAATAAATTTAAGTCCTATAAAAAGAAAAATTTAAGTCAATACAAGAAATAAACAACAGAATTAAACTCCCAAAGATTTTATCATGGATAATCACTATAAAACATAAAATAAATATAGTTAAAATATTTTTAAAACAAAGATCTCTTCAAAAGCACAGAAAGACAAATTCCACATGGTCTTACTCACATGTAGAATCTAAACATGTTGATCTCATAGAAGTAGAGAGTAGAACAGTGGTTACCAGTAGAATAGTGTGGTTGTGGGGGGATGGAGAGAGGTTGGTCAATGGGTACAAAGTTATGGTTAGAAGGAATAAGTTCTGGTGTTCTATTGCAGAGTATAGTTAATAATCATGTATAATTTAAAATAGCTAGAAGAGAGGGTTTTGAATGGTCTCACTGCAAAGAAATGATAAATGTATGAGGTGATGGATATCCTAATTACTTTGATATATTACACAATGTATCCATGTATCAAAACAATACACTGTAATCCATAAACTTGTACAATTATTATATGTTAATTAAAAACAAAATAAAACTTTCAAAAATACATAGGTTTATGACATTACTTAGAACACCATATAGGTTACGTGGGGTGGGGGAAAGGGGGCAGGCAGTAAAACAAAATGTAAAAAAAAAAATTATTATCACTGAAATTTAAAATTCGGTGAATCGATTACACAGCCAATTGCATACAACTAAGAAAGGAAGCAAGGTCTTGAAAATCAATCTAAATACTAACCCAGAGAACTAGAGACAAAAAGAGTTAAATATAAATAAGAAGTTAATAGACTTGGAGGATAGAACATTATATCTAACTGAGATAAGAGAAACAGAATAGAATAAAGGGGCTTTATGAAAAAATATAACTGATAATTCAGATTGAAAAATCACAGTAAATAACAAGAAGAATAAAGAAAAAAACCACACCTAGACAAATCAGGGTGAAACTTCAGAATTGCAAGGACACAAAAGAGAGATTATTAAAGCCCAAAGGTATAACAAATTGACAACAATAGAAGCCTAAGGACCATAAAAACATCTTTATACTATTGAAATACAATAGCATAAAATTGCATAACCAGCCAAATTATGATTTAAAAACAAGGATAAAATAAACATTTTTTATTTAATCAACATCTCTGAAGATTTACTTTCAACAGATCTCCCTAAATTAAGTTGCAAAGAAGTACTTCAGAAAAATTGAAAATGTTTTGAGACAGAATACTTGGGAAGCAAGAAGAAATAAAGCAAAGAAATTAATAATAGTAGATAAGATGGGAAATTGTTGACTATTTAAAACAATAATACATCAGCTAATTGTGGAGTCTAAAAGAAAGTAGAATTAATACTCAAAACAAAAATGTATGCCAAACAATTGGGGCTCAATGAAGTTTAAGAGTTTAAATATCTTATACTGTCCATGAAGAAAGCAGGAAAAAGTATTAACTTCAGATATTGTCAACATTTACATACATACTATTAAAAAATACAAGAATAAGCACTTTGATAGACCAATTACATGGTAGGTTCATTGACAGTTCTTAATTTCACATGACTCCTTGAATTCATTACTTTGATAATCTTCTCCCACACTTACTTTGTGCTTGCCATATTACTTTTTTTGGCCAGTAGGACAATGGCAAATTTGATGAAAATAGAGCCTTTTAAAAGTTACTTGAGTGTTTCTTATACTTCTTCTTGTCCCTTCTCCTCCCCCCGCCTGTTCTTCTTCCTCTTCCTCCTCCTTTCTTCCTCCTCCTCCTCTTCTTCCTCCTCCTCCTTCCCTCCTCCTTCTCCTTCTTCTTCTTCTCCTTCCTCCTCCTCCTTCTCCTTGTTCTCCTTGTCCTTCCTCCTCTCCTTCTCCTCCTCTTCCTTCTCCTCCTCCTCTTCTTCTTCTTCTCTTATCTCACTCTCTTCCTTTCACTTCTCTGCAATTGCTATGAGAACGTGCATGAGTGAGCCTGAAAATATGCCTAGACTAGCTTGCTGGATATAAGATACATCGAGAAGAACAAATGTATTTCAGGGGAAATCCTACACCTGTCAGCTCCTTTCCTCTCTCTTCCAAACAATCTGCCTGTTGACCATAGAAGGATTAGCAAAACTAGCTGAGACTGGCTCAAATCAGCAAATCACTCTGCTTGCTAGAATCATAAAAAAAAATAATGTGTCAATAGTAACTTAATTGTATATTTTAAAATAACTTAAAGAAGGTAACTGGATTGTAACTCAAAGGATAAATGCTTGAGGGGATGGATATACTATTCTCCATGATGTGCTTATTTCACATTGCATGCCTGTATCAAAATATCTCATGTACTTCATAAATATATATACTTACTATATACCCACAGAAATTAAAAATAATAAATAATAATAAAAGTGTGTTACTTTCATCCACTAAAATTTGGTATAGTTTGTTATACAGCAAAAGCTAAGTGATACAACCACAAAAGAGAAAACACTTTCCAAACTAATAGAGAAAAAAAATTGCTCCTAAAAAATCAATTTCTGTGAGACAATATCAGAAGTTGTAATGTACATGTAATCTAAAAGAAAAACATTGAAAGGGGTCAAAGAAATATTTGAAGTCACAGTGACTGAGAACTTTTCAAAATTAATGACAGAAAACCACAGATCTGGGAAGCTCAGAGAACACCAAGCAGGATGAATACCAAAAATATCACAGCTAGTCATATCATATTCAAACTTCAGAAAATTTAAAAAAGAGAGAAAGAAAAGAAAAGGAAGGAAGGAAGGAAGGGAAAGAAAGAGAGAGAGAGAGAGAAAGAAAGAAAGAAAGAAAGAAAGAAAGAAAGAAAGAAAGAAAGAAAGAAAGAAAGAAAGAAAGAGGGAAGGAAGGAAGGAAGGAAGGAAGGAAGGAAGGAAGGAAGGAAGGAAGGAAGGAAGGAAGGAAGGAAGGAAGGAAAGGAAGGAAGGAAGGAAGGGAGAAAGAGAGAGAGAAAGAGAGAAGGAAGGAAGGAAGGGAAGGAAGGGAAGGAAGGGAAGGAAGGGAAGGAAGGAAAGGAATCATAAAAGCCAGAGCGGGGCCAGGAACGGTGCCTCACACCTGTATCCCAGCACTTTGGGAGGCCGAGGCAGGCGGATCACTTGAAGTCAGCAGTTTGAGACCAGCCTGTCCAACATGGTCTCTACTAAAAATACAAAAAAAATAGCCAGGCGTGGTAGCGGGTACCTGTAATCCCAGCTCAGGAGGTTGAGGCAGGAGAATCGCTTGAACCTGGGAGGCGGAGGTTGCAGCAAGCCAAGATTGTGCCACTGCATTCCAGCCTGGGGGATAGAGCCAGACTCTGTCTAAAAATAATAATAATAATAATAATAATAATAATAATAATAAATAAGAAAAGAAGAAGTCAGAGAGATTAAGGGTGCAGGGGGACACCAACTATCTATAGAAGAATACACGTAAGAATTATAGCAGCCTTTTTGTTAGCAATAATGCCATCAAAAAGAAAGTGGAGTAAATTTTTTCAAAGTTGAAAGAGATAAAACATAAGCCTAGAGTTTCATATTTAAGAATTATTTTGGGCCGGGCACTGTGGCTCACACCTGTAATCCCAGCACTTTGGGAGGCCAAGTCGGGTGGATCACCTGAGATCAGGAGTTTGAGACCAGCCTGGCCAATGGCAAAACCCTGTCTCTACTAAAAATAACAAAAGTCAGCTGGGTGTGGTGGTGCACACCTGTAATACCAGCTACTCAGGAGGCTGAGGCAGGAGAATCGCTCGAACCCAGGAGGCAGAGGTTACAGTGAGCTGAGATCATGCCATTGCACTTCAGCCTGGACAACAAGAGCGAAACTCCATCACACACACCCAAAAAAAGTTATTTCTAGATATCTTAAATCTAAAAATCGTCTTTCAAATGTGGAGGAGAAACCAAGACTTTCTCAGACAAACAAAAATTGGGTGAATTTATTGCCATCAAATCTTCCCTGTGAGAAATGTTACAAGAAGTTCTTTAGGCAGAAGAAAAATGATATAGGTCGGAAACTTGAATCTACATAAAGAAAGAGGAAAAATAAACTATTCAACTTACAGAATCCATCAATTTTCTTATTCTAAATTGATCTAAAAGATAAATATTTGTTTAAAGTAATTACAGTAACAATGTATTAGGTCATTATTAGCAAATGGATAAGTGAAATGTAAAAGAGCAATATTATAAGAAGTAGCAGGGAGGAACTGACACTGTTTAGTTATAAGATAGGTGCCCTATACATGAAGTAGTGTACTGTTATTTGAAGATAGACTTAGATTAGCTAAAATTATATTATAAACTTTAGGACAAGCATCACTTTTTTTCAAAGAAGTATAATATTGTATAAATAGATAAAATTAATAAAGTACATAATAAAAAGAGAAGATTAAAAGGAGGAAGATAAAAAAACAAGGAGTGAGTGAATAAAAAATAGTTACAAACATGTTTGATATAAACCCAAGCTAATAGCAATATATCATGCTAACAGTAATCAAAGAACGCTGGAATAGCTATACTAATTTAAGACAAAGCAAACTTTGGACCAGGGAAGATTGTTGTAGATAAAGAAGGGTACCACATGATGATAAAGCAATCAATTCTCTAAGAAGAAATAAGAATCTTAATATGTATGCACCTAACAAGACCACAATAAAATACCTTAGGCAAAAACTGGTAGAACTAAAAAGAGAAATTAGACAAATCCACTAATATAGTTGGAGACTTCGCACACCCTTGTCAGTTTTGACAGCTCAAGCAATTGAAATATCAGTAAGGATATAGAAGACCTGAATAGCACTATTAGATAATTTGATCTAAATATCACTTATAGAATATTCCATCCAAGAACAACAGAATACACATCATTTTCAAGTTCACAGAAAATATTTCCAAGACAGACCACATTCTTGGCCATAAAACACAACAAATTTAGAAGAAGAAAAATCACTCCAAATGCATTATCAGGCCACAATGAAATTAAATAATCAGTAACAGAAAAATAGAGGGAAATATCCAAATATTTGAAGATTAAACAAAATACTTTTAAATAATGTGTCAATGAAGAAGTCTCAAGGAAAACTAAGAAACATTTTATACTGAGAACGTAAATTAGAATAATTTGTTGAATACAGTGAAAGCCATGCTTTGTGGGAAATTTGCTCCATTAGTTACAAAGTGAATGGTAGTGTTATTATTCAATCCAGCAATCACACTCTAAGGTGGATTTTTTTGTTTATGTTTGTTTTCAATATGCAGTCTTGCTCTGTCGCCCAGGCTGGAGTGCAGTGGTGGGATCTTGGCTCATTGCAACCTCCACCTCCCGGGTTCAAGCAATTCTCCTGCCTTAGCCTCCTGAGTAGCTGGGATTACAGGTGCACGCCACCATGCCTGGCTAATTTTTGCATTTTTTAGCAGAGACAGGGTTTCACCATGTTGGCCAGGCTGGTCTCAAACTCCTGACCTCGTGATCCACCCGCATCAGCCTCCCAAAGTGCTGGGATTACAGGTGTGAACCACTGTGCCCCGACTACTCTAAGGTTTTTACCCAACTGATTTGAAAGCTTTGGTTGACATAAAAATTTGCATGGAGATGTACATAAATGTTGTACTCATATGTAAATTATATCTAAATAAATTTAATTTTAAAAATTACTATATAAAAATTAACTTTATTCCTATACCAGGATCAACTGTCTTTCCAATGGACCTAAATAGAGAGACATACTATGTTCGTGGATTAATATATTCAATATTGTTAAAGTGTCCACAAGGTATCTATAATTCAAAAAAATGCAATATTAATACAATCTAAAAATGTGTGAAATATAGAAAAAATCTAACACAAGATGTGCCATATCTTAAGAAATAAATATAAAATTTTATTAAAAGAATTTAAAAAAGACAAAGTAAATGATTTATCATGTTCATAGATATAAATATACAATATATTTAAATACCACTTTTCTCAAAATTAACCTATAACTATAACGCAAAAATCCCAACAGAGGTTATTTGAAATTCTGCAAGTTAATTTTAAAATATACCTGTAAGAACTGGGATCAATAGTCATAATATTTCTGGAGAAGAAATTGTTAGAGTATTAGCCCTTTCGGATACCAAACTTTATTATAAAACTAGAACAATTAAGATACAGCCATAATGACATATGGATGATCAAATCAATAGAACAGATGAAAAACCCAGAAACATTTATGCCTGTGTATAAAATTGCTCTCCCAATGCAAATTTGTGAAGAAAGGGTAAACCAGTCAATAAATGGAATCAGTATAATTGGTTCTGCTTAAAAAGTTAGATCTCAATGCCCTACCTTACACAAAGATAAATTCCAAAGGTATTAAAGAACTAGATGTGAAAAGTAAAATTTTAACATAAAATGAAGTCTTTTTGATCCTAGAGTAAGAAAGGAATTCTTTTAAAAACACAAAGATTGTGATCCATAAAGAAGATTAATTTGACTGTATTCAAATTTTAAAATGTCTGTTCATCAAATGACACCAAACAAATTGAAGAAATAAGCCATAATCATGAAGAACATATTTTAAATACATATAATAAGAAAATAACTTATATTCAGGACAACAAGAGAAAGACAACTTAAAATGATCTCGTAGTAGGAAAATGAACAAAGTGTAGCAGTAGGCAATCCACAGGAGAAGAAAGCAAATGGTATACAAGTTTAAAAAGATGCCCTCAACCAGTGACAAGGGAAATGTGAACAAAAACCACCCTGAGGATTCACTTCACATAGTAAGGTTTACAAAAATAAAGTTTAAAAGTTCAACGATACCAAGGGACATTGGAGAACAACAGGAACAATGCTGGTATGAATGTATATTGATGTAAGTACTCAATAAATGCATTTGGATCTCCTAAATTTGAAGATGCACATCCCTTACCAGTGGCCATTCCACTCCTAGGAAATGTTAAGATACATACAAAGAAAAAGTAGTTCCCAGCAGCATCCAATAAATGGAGTCGACAAAAAACATCTACCAATCCATGATCTATTTATCCATGGGTCATGGATAAATGACCTATGCCATACTCTTGCAATGGACTACAATATATAATTGTAAAGTAACTCTAGGATTAACATGAATAAATCTCACAAAAATAATGGAGCAAATTCCAGAAAGACATATATAATCTTTACATAAATTTGTAATGTATATACATTTTAAATATTTAATTCTAAGCAATCTAATAATATATTGTTAAGGAATAAGCTGACATATAGTGAATAAATATATCAGAAAAACACAAAATACTGAGAGTGACTTTCTGGTGGGAAAAGAGGATAATGTGATTGGGTATGAGATAAGAACACACAGGGCTTCAGTGATATTTGTAGTGTTTTTATCTCTTAAGCTAGTATGTGAGTTTATGAGTATATACTATATTAGTTATGTCATTTTTTAAATATAAGCTTTTTATAAAAATAAAGAGCATAGAATATAGAATCAATGTGTCAATCCCAGCTCCATCATTACTTAGTTACTTTCAACCAACTTATTAACCTGTCTAAGCCTCAGTGGTCCAATGTAAAATAGTTACAATAATACCTAACTTACAGAGTTATGGTAAGATTTAATGCACTATTGTTACCATATTTAAAGCACATAGCATAAAGCCAAATGCAGAAATCACTTAATAAATGGAAGCTATTATTACCTGCATGTGGCTCATTCCCTGGAGAGTTGTCTCTTGAACCTAATTATCACAGAATCATGTCTATATTGTAGTGCAGATAGGGTTTTCTCAAGAGGGTACACACTAGTTACCATATAACTACTGGGGCCTTTAACTTCTTGTCACTCATGTCTTTGGGGAAAAAAATGTACCACATTTAAGCAGTCTGGTGACATCGAGTTAATTTTTGAATATACAAGCAAAATTATCAAAGAAATTCCACTTCTTTGTTAATTGCAAAATAAGCAGCTCTCTAGTCAAGAACTAATTCTAAACTAGCATTTAAGCAAAGTAGGTAAATGAGCTATTCATGGAGCCTTAGAGGTTTTTAATAACTTTCCTCCTCTCCAATAAATTAATGTGTGGCTCTTGGGAGTACTTAAGCTTTGCACTAACAGAGAGCTTGTAGTTTTTTTTAATTATTGTACCATATTTTCTAAAGAAAAGAGACAAATATACCTTCTAAAGATAAGTAAGTCAATAGAGAATATTCTTTTTTGCTCTTTTGACCCAATCTAAATTTTTGAGAACCCAATCTGGTTCTCAAAAAAATATCTGATAGTGTAAAAGGAGCAAGGTCCTTTCACATGCTTCATCAGTACTGCCAATTTACGATTTTTTTTTTTTTTGGTACTTGATTTCATTTCTACTTAACAAAGAAAAAATCTTTTTTTAATATTAGCATGCCAACCACCATGATATTCTATTTGTTCTTGGTCTATCTAGTCTCAAACAAATATATAAAAATGGTTAAGAAAAAAAGTATTAAAAATGACCCCTAGACACATTACTGTTAATTCAAACTCCAAAAGCAAAGACACTCTTACTGGCCCATGAGCAAACTGTACATGTTCATCTTACCCCTTCCAAATCTACAGGAAATAATAAAAATCCTCAAAAGACCATAAATGTTAACCAGAAAATCATAATTACTAGTTTCAGTTCCAATATTTTTTTCTTCCCTTCACTTTTCCAATGTTTTGCTCTTCTGAGAGAGAATGAGACTTTCTGTCCTGAAATTATGTAGTCTGGTTGGAGCATGAATCCAAACCGACTAAGTTAGGAAAAAAAAAAAAAAAATACAACCTGCAGTTCTACTGGCCAAACTGGAAATAATGTCACCTCAGGTAAGGCCCTTCAGCATGCATATCCCAGAAGGAATGAGACATGAATCCATCCCACCTCACTTATCACATTCTGCTCTTGAACCAGAGAATCTCTCATTTCAAGGCTGGCTGAGTTCCCTTACAGTCTAATGAGTCTGCCATTGCCGTAGGACAAAGACATAACAAACAAATATGCACTTAGAAAAAGCAGGCCAGGTGTGGTGGCTCACACCTGTAATCTCGGCACTTTAGGAGGCTGAGCCGGGTGCATTACTTGAGGTCAGTAATTTGAGACCAGCCTGGACAAAATGATGAAACCCCGTCTCTACAAAAAAATATAAAAATTAGCCAGGCGCGGTGGCCCATGCCTGTAATCCCAGCTACTTGGGAGGCTGAGGCAATAGAATTGCTTGAGCACAGGAGGCAGGGTTTGCAGTGAGGAGAAATCACGCCACTGCACTCTCAGCCTGGGTGACAGAGTTAAGACCCTGTCTCAAAAAGAAAAAAAAAAAAGCAGGCATTATTACATTGATACGAGAAAGAATATAGACAAGTGTGCTAAATGTCAAAGGACACATTATAACGTTGAAGATTTTAGAGCTATACTATCTTACTTCGAGGGTTGTATTTGGTCTTTGGAAGGGTGTGTGTGTGTGTGTGTGTGTGTGTGTGTATGTATGATCACTGGAAAAATGAGTAGAGTAGCTTATATCTCTATCTCACTCTGGCAAAGACCTTGATAGAGACTAGGTAAATTATAGCACAGTCTACCAAAACTACTCAGCTGAAATACTCCTCACCCCCAAATTATTCATTCATTGAATAGCTATATGTGCCAGGCACAGTCCTAGGACCTGGAGATACAGTAGAGAACAAAAGAGATGCCACCTATCTAATGACATTGTTCTAATCTGCTTAAATTCAGACTTTGAGAAATATACTTCAGGAGTTTACTGCATCCACAGATTGCCTCATGGTAGGATGAGATCAGTTTCAGAGTAAGACCAATGCCTGTGGATAGTAGGAGAGGGCTTTTCTACAAAGGAGTAGGAATTCTGTTAAGAGTTCAGCAAAGTCTTATGCAGATTAGCATAGTTTCATCAAGAAGTCAGCACTCCAAATCTGTTTTTCTAATTTAAAAAAATTAAAGATCTCCTTACAACATTGATGTTTTTCTGAATGTCGCTGTTTACTACATGCTATAAGTTAGCTCGTATTTTGTACATATATCAAAAAAGAATAAGCCAATTCAAAATGTGTGAAGTCATTTCATATTCACGTGCTATTCTAACAGATAGCTTTCATTCTTTAGTAGAAGCCTTTCAGAACTCAAAATAACCTCTCTTTTTTCTGTTTGAAGAATTTTTTTTTGTTAAACACATGGTTAATAGCCAAAGAGCTCAATATTTAATTCCCCATGCTGCTAATGTAATAAAGATGAACCTAAGCAACTTATTTGACTAACAAGGTATATAGAAAATATGTAGTCCTTTGTTAAGGTAACTCATCAGATGGAAGACTTCACGGATTTACTTAATAGCATTACTTTTCACATTGAAAAGAAACAAATGTATGAATTCTCTCTGGGGTACTTTGTTATTATGGTAAATCATAAGAAAAGATAAATAGAAACATATTTCCCTTTCAGGAGGAAACTGCTATGTCTATTCTGAATTGTTCCTAGGCTAAGTTTCAGATAGTGGTTGATTTCCACTCTCTCTTTCCTCTTCCTCTTTCCTGGCTATTTTGGTATGTCAGAAGATGTTATTCTAAAAAGGGGTAGAAGAAAAACAAGCTATTTTGTTACTTGATAGTTGTTCTTACACACACACACACACACACACACACATGCACAAAAATCCTTTGGAGACAGGAAAATTGAACATACTGGAGAAAATACGGTTGATGGATTTGTAACAGATTTAATGTTCCCTATCACCTCAGATGTATTCCATATTTATGTTGATGTGAACTGAAATATTATTTTTACATACTTGATTATACTCAAGGATACACGATGACTGAATAAGTTCTTTATTGGTACTCTTTTTGTCTGTTTTTCCTGAACATCCATTATGTAGTAGTTGTGAATTATATACAGATAGATAGATGATAGATACATAGATAGATAAATAAATAAATAGTGTAAACCAAAAACAAAATTCTAAGGCCCTCCAACCCCCTGAATGGACTCCTTCCTTCCTCTTAGCCAGGGCACTCCAAAATTAACCTGAAAGACTGGTTCAGGCCATGACAGGAAGTGGGTTCAGCCATGCCTCACTATGCCCTCCTCCCTTTTGGGATTCAGGATAAGCTCACCAGCATTTAACATCAATGCAGACCTTAAGTCTGATAAGAAACATTTACAATCTATTCTGTCTGAAGTCTGCTACCTGGAGGCTTCATCCACATGATAAAACTTTGGTCTCCACAACTTCTTCTTATAACCCAGACATTCCTTTCTATTGATAATAACTCAACTAATTGCCAATCAGAAAATTTTCAAATCTACCCATAGCCTGGAAGGCCCCCCACCTTCAAGTTGTCCTACCTTTCTGGACAGAACCAATGTATATCTTAAATGTATTTGACTGATGTCTCACATCTCCCTAAAATGTATAAAACCAAGCTGTGCCCCGACCACCTTGAGCACATGTTCTTAGAATCTCCTGAGGGTTGTGTCATGGGCCATGGTCATTCATATTTGGCTCAGAATAAATCTCTTCAAATATTTTATAGAATATGACTCTTTTCAATGATGATTAGATAAACAAATAGAAGATAAATAGATTTGAATCGTGAAATCACCATTTTGTAGGTCAAAAAATAGTCAAATGTACATGGAAGTTATCTTATGATTGTTTTTATATGAAAATAAAGAGAAGTATAGAAGTTCCTTTAGAAACTAGCAAACAGTAAATTCCCAACATCTATTGAATAAATGAGAAACATAAATAATGGTGTAAACCCACTCAAATTTAGCAAATAAATCAAATAATGTTATCCTAAATTATTTTTAAGACACTAAGCTGAAGGCTATGTTACATAGACAATATATTTAAAATCACCTATATTTTCTACACTGTCCAGTTTGTATTTTCATTTTAGGACCCCAAAATTATTCTTCAAGTTTAGAAAGCAATAAATTTACTACTGCAAATTCCAAAAACATGATGATAGTAAAATGACTGCTCTTCTTTACCTGTTTCCAGTGGTAGTAATAATATTTTTAATTGAAATTCTAAACTATGCCCCAAATTGGAAAATCAGTTTGCAAAACAAAACAACAGTCTACTATCTAATAATCCTGTGCTTTTTAACCTACTGATATGTCAGCCTGCATTGTTAAGCCAAAGTCAATTATTGTTCCCAAAGTTAACATATAGACCAGTGTCATATTAGTTTTATAAAGAAAACTTATAGTCAAAGGAGGAGAGTGACTTGTTTAAGGTCCTACTTGAATTCTCTACTAACAGTCAGGTTTATTCTCCTGCTTCCAAGAGATTATTTTTTTCACTATGCCACACGAGACGGACAGGCTTCTGCAAATGGACTAGAAAAAAATAATGAAGTTCTTCACTTCTTCAGCTTGTAGAATAGGACTAGAAAATCTTAGCTTTTCCTCTAGATTTCCGTTTTCAAGCTGATACATTGTATTTTTTCAGCCCTCTTTACCTGATTATGGAATATTAGGCAACATTCATTATGAAAGGAAACTCATAAGTCCTCATTCATCTACTTTGCCTGTTAGTTCTTTTCTTTGAAGCAGATGCTGTACGAAGCAGCAATTTGGGAATGTTTTTGAAAGTATTTTTTAAGGCAGTGAGATGATTTTAAGAAAGGATAGATCTCGAGGCCACTTGTTTCATCTACTGTTACTACAAAACTCTTTTGGGTGAATGAAAAAGTGGCCATTGGACATAATTTATCTCTCCCACTCAGTAAGAAGCCCAGTCGAATATCCTATTGATTTCACTGAACTACCTACCACAAAGATATTTAGTGAAGTTGGTAGTCAGAGAGGACAAGCCACAGGATGTGTGCCATAGACCAAATACCTCCAGTACAACATTGTGTCAGCTCTGCCTCCATCATGAGATGATCTATTTCAATCGCATGTGAGAAACAATGGATCTTGCAGGTAATAGATAACTCCAAAGTAATAACATCCAACAAAAGCAGAACAGAAATCACTTGAGTACCAACTTCTAGTCCCTAGGATTGAAAATGAGCTTTCATGGGAGCCTAAACCTAAAAAGGATACATTCTTGTACTCCAGCATACTTATAAAACTACTATACTTTAAAATGTGTGTATGTTGATCAAAGACAGAAAAAGCAATGACATTTATTATATGTAAACTGTGGCAATGCTAACAGTATACCTGAGATTGATGGGCTAAGTCTCAAAATCCTAGATGTAATTTTCCAGCACGTTTGACTAGCTAAATACATATATATAAAGAGTTTTGGCAACAGTTTTCACTTCATTGTCAATGGTTTTTAAAATATCGACAGAAATAGAGAGGAAATCCTGAAAAGAATGAAATCATTACAGCAAGTTCTACTTGTATATTTTTAGACAATCAGAACAATTCTTTGAAGGCAGTTTGTGGTAATAATTTTACGCACGTTTCCTATATTGCCTGTGCCTGGAATCCACCCTGATCTGGCTTCCTGGCTGGCTGCCCTCCTGTAAACATTGTAAAAATGAAATGCTGCCACAAGAAATTGTCTTCAAGGCAGGCCACTCTACTAAAGTCCACGCCACAGTGGCAGTTTGAGTTAGGAAAACAAACTACTTCATCAGATTCTAGAAATTTAAGGAATTACTAGGAAATGAATGTTGAGCCTTTTTTTCCTTTAGGAATAGTAGAAATGACGAGGATGATGAGGATGACAATATATTGAGCACCTAATGTGAACATATTGATAAAAGCACTGAGTTACATATTGAATACATTTAACCCCTTCCTTGTAACAACACTACAGGATGGCTTTATTCTCCCAAATTTGCAGGTAGAATTACAAAGTCTGATAGGGGTGAAGACGTTTGCCCAAACTTTGATGGCATGAGGCCTGTCCCCAGCCCAGCACGTAACTAGCAGAGCTAAAATTCTAACTCATTCAGCAATCAGCTAGCTGACAGGCTCCTAAAGTCAGCAGCGGCAGTCAGCTGAGTCCTGAACAAAATAAAGCATGATAGAATAGTGCTTTCAATGGAGAATGAGTGATTTCTACTGTCATCTATCTTTTAAACCAGTTAGCATGCCTCCAAAGAAGTTGCCTAGGTCTCAACAAAAACTAGAGAAAGGATAAGAGAAAAGTGTGAACTGTGTTGACACGAAATCCAAAAAGAATATTTAAATGAACTTTGAAAAATAACCTTTAATCCTATCCAAGTAAATTATATCTATCCTTACTGAATGTGACTTTTGCTGCCCAGTGATGAGAATAGAAAAATATGTGTGTGTGTGTGTGTATATATATAATATATATATATATATATGACAATTTGAAATAAAGTAAAATGTGACATGACCATCAGCACATACAATCTTTGTTTTCAATATAGAATTACATAATTTTAATCAACACAAAATCAGTTTCTACCAAACACCGCCAGTTGAATGATATTTTTTAAATGTCAGTTGAGAGAAGTTCCAAATTATTTGGAAAGCAAATGATAGTTTCAATATCTTGCTTTAGTCGTTTATTATTTACTCTTTCATTCTACAAAGAGTTATTGAACAGTATCATTATGCTAGCATCTCAGGATAAAATCGTGGGCAAATAAGCATGAAACAAGATCTGTGCCTTTAAGGAGCTAAATGACCCGGTGATATCCATTTTTCTTACTTAAAAATGTATATAAAAAGTGTGAGCTGGGTGCCGTGGCTCACATCTGTAATCCCAACACTTTGGGAGGCTAAGGCAGAAGAACTGCTTGAGCACAGGAGTTCCAGACTAGCCTGGGCAACATGAAGAAACCCAATCTCTACAAGAAATACAAAATTTAGCTAGGCATAGTGGTGCGTCCCTGTAGTCCCAGCTACTCAGGAGGCTGAGGTGGGAGGATTACCTGAGCCTGGGAGGTGGAGGCTGAAGTGAGCTGTGATTGTGCCACCGTACTCCAGCCTGGGCAATGGAGTGAAACCCTGTCTCAAAAAAAAAAAAAAAAAAAAAGTGTGCATTAAGTTCCTTCTATGTGCAAAGTATTTTGTTTTATCCTTAGACCAGGAAGAGGACATATTCACAATGTCTACTTGAAATTATGTCTGCTAAAGGCATAAAGAAGGAAATCCAGCTGCAGTGAATCAGGAAGAGAAGATGGAGCTGGTATGGAGTACAGATTAAAGTGAGGTATAGACAGTTCAGAGATGGGTTGTGGGCAAGCAAGCCTGTTTGAGACTCTCTACTCTTCATTCTGTTAAACTAAATTTGGTCTGACACTGCCTCCTTACTTTGAGTTTCTATGTAGATAACTACAACCTAGTTTAAGAGTATAGTCTTGTAACAAGTAGTTGAGTCTCAGATGAGCTTCAGCCAATCACACGCTGCCAACTATCAGAACGTGTCCATATTAGGCAACTGCCAAGCTGTAACCAATGTAGCTGTTTCTGCATGTCACTTGCTGTTTCTGTCTATAGATACTCCCTGCTTGTATTGCTGGGTGGAGCTCTGTGAACCTCTGCTGGTTCTGAGTGTTGCCTGATTCATGAATTATTCTTTGCTCAAATAAATTCTGTGAAATTTACTTTGTCTGAAGATTTTAACAATCCCAACCTACAATTGTGGTTGATGATGAGCAGCAAAACCATATTGTAGAAAAAATGTAAACGTTTGGTAAGGAAACCTGGGCTTTAGTCCCACTGCCTCTGCTAATGTACTGTGACATCCAGCATGAGTACTTTCTCCCCTTTGTGTTCGGTCTCCTCAGACGGAAAGTGAGAGAACTTGGACTAGGTGATCTATAAGTTCCCTTCAATTAATTTAAGCAAGTAAAACTTTATGTTCTATTTTATTCTAAGGAGGAATTACATATGTAAATACATTTTTACTTCTAATGTCAGCAACTTTACTGTCCTTAATAGGAAGATTTAGTAATCCATAAGTGTCATTATCATTTCCAAAACACCTTTTAATGCTTGTTTGCAAATGGCAAATGAGCTATGTGTGAATAGAGTGTAAATATTAATCAGGTAATCTCAGTCTGTATTATATTGAAAGATGAATGTGAAAGTAAAAGATTCAATTGACTATTCAGGTATTTTATAAATACCATGCCTTCCAGAAAGGGCTTTACTCACATGAGGTGACAATGGCAGTCACCTACTTGCTGTGATTTGAGGACTCTCTATTTCTAAATTATATGCATCACTATATCTGAAATTCTACCATTGCTGCTTTATTTCTTCCTGTTAAGACTTTGAGATTTCTCATCCAAGATGCAAATGCCCCTTAGAGAGTTCACTGCAATAGGCCATAAGCAGAGAAAGACATTAATGGGAGAAAATATAAAGCATGTAAGTTTTCATTACCAGGAGAAAAAAAAAAAGAAGATGTGAAGTGGGCTGCCTTGGAGACACTTTCTACAAAGAAAATCCTGGGCAATTGGAGGCCATATGAAAGCATCGGGTGTGTCAGAAGGGAGGGTTTGGCTGTGTTGGGAAAAGAAATGCTGAGCAGGGTGGGAGAAAGCAAAAGACAAATTTTGTCCTCTTTATTATTTTTCCAGGGGTTAGCCTTGGTGGCAGATGTTTGTCATCTAGTCAATAAAACTAGGGGTGACTGAACTCTTCATAGTTAATCCTGAGACATTTTAATTGTTTAGATATGTTCATGAACATGTCAAGAGTGGTTGAAATTAAATGAGATAATGCACATGAAATGATTTGTATCAACTGAAGTATGAAACAGATGTTATTGTTTTTATTTGATAAGGAAAGCAAGGGTAAGGGGCTTTAGAGGATAAAGGTTAAGGGAAGTAGCTATATAAATATGTAAAATTATGTCTGCCATCATAGGCTAATTTAGCCCAAAAAGTAATTTTGCCCTTTCTTAATCATAACATCAATCCCTCTCTTCTGAACCGAAACATTGGAACTTTTAGAGAAAACCTTTCCCTGCCTGAACACGGTAGAGAAGTAACACAGAAGACAAGACTTTTATCAGGAAAAGAGGTTCTAGAAGCCGTTAACCCCCAGCATGCCCAGAAGACACTGGGGTTTCATAGGGGAGAATTTCCATTCTATTTCAAGTAGAAAAAAAAGTGATACAGATTAAGTTTCAAATATCAGCTAGAATTAACCCATTTACCCAGAATCCATTTAACCAATGATCTGTGAAGGACAGTCATTCTGAACTCACCTTTGAGCTTCCCATTTACGGACAATAAGTTGTATGTAAATTTCCATTTGTTTATCCAGCCACGGTGTCAGCAATAATTAGAGAATGATTATAAAACATTACTATTTTCCAAAATTGATCACAGGATTAATTTTGGCGTAGCTGAGGACCAATTCTCTATTCTCAACTATGTGTGATGGTCAGCCTCTGAAGCCCCTTTGGATCATAAAAGCATAATAAACATAAAGTAGCTCCAACCTCAAATAGGAAAGAGACATATTCTAATTTCTATATGAAAATCTGAATAGTTCTCTTCCATGATTTTCTGGTAATCTGAACTTATGCTCATGAAACTTGACTCCCCAACATAGTTTCAAGCATCAAATCATATTATTCTAGACTCAACTTCCCTGTTTTTCAAATTGATTCTCTTTGTTCCTTCTTTTAACATTTTTTTCCCGTTGATATGTAGAAAGAACCAGGTGTTTGTCCTGATTTCAAAGAAAAAAATAATAGCCAGAATATTGCACTCATGCATCTCCATAGAGTCAACACTTTCTACCTGAGGGTGTCTTTAGCAGAGAAAATAGCCTGGAGACAGAAGTACTCCTGGGAGCAGTTAAGTTACGGCTAGGGGAAGACAGAACACTGAGGTATGTTACAGAGAGATGCAAGCTCAAAGATCAGGCTTTCTGCATATTTCTGGCTGATTACTACCTAAGTCCCCAGAAAATTTCTGACCAGCCATGGACGTTTTATGAAGGTTGAATTACTGGAGTGACATAGCCAAGCAAACATTGTTCCAATTTACGCAACCACATAGGATCTAGGTAATCTCTTATCACACCTTTTGTGCCATAATAACATAAACTAAGCTTTTGAAGGGATAGGGATCAGAGAAGAAGAATCTTCCCCCAACCGTATCCCTCTTTAATGGCCACAGAAGAATAAGAAATGAGAGCCTCATGGAATTTAGAAACAGAGGCAGCTCGTTTAGCTATTGTCATTCCTCTGTCAAGGCTCTTGCTGATCATGCCTGGTAAAACCAATGCAATAGCACTTTATACCTGTTAAACTGGCAAAAATTAGACAGCTGACAATGCCAAGTAAAGACAGTGATAGGGAGGTGTAAGGATCCTTGTGCACTGCTTGGGAAGAGGTAAAATGGTTTGACATTTTTAGAGAGGATTTGGAGCACTTAATCAAAATACACGTTCACATTCCTCAAGATCCATTGGCTCTGTGTGTGTGTGTGTGTGTGTGTGTGTGTGTGTGTATGTACATAAACTCTCACATAGGTCCCGAAAAAGGCCTGTATGAGGATGTTTATCTCCAAGGCAACTTGAGTATCCATTATTGGTAGAGTTAATAGGAAAAAGATAGTGGATGCCCACATTGATTTAAGCAACAGATTAGATGTACACGTAGTAACATAAATGGATCTTATACATCTAGTTGGGAAAAAATAAGAAACAGAATAAAATAAATATTGCAATACCTTATGCATAACTCTAAGATAAAGTGACACAAAACCACAATACATATTTAGAAACAAAAATTGCAAATAGAAAGATTCACATTAAAACACTCTAGAACAAGGGACCCCAACCCCCAGGCCATGGACCAGTACTGTTAGGAACCAAGCCACACAGAAGGAGGTAGTGGCAGGTGAGCAAGTGAAGCTTCATTTGTATTTACAGCCACCCCCCATCATTTGCATTACCCCCGAGCTCCACCTCCTGTTAGATCAGCAGAGGCATTAGATTCTCACAGGAGCACAAACCCTATTGTGAACATGCGAGGGATCTAGGTTGCATGCTCTTTATGAGAATCTAATGCCTGATGATCTGTCACTGTCTTCCATCACCCCCCAGATTGAACTGTCAAGTTGCAAGAAAACAAGCTCAGGGCTCCCACTGATTCTACATTACAGTGAGTTGTATAATTCTTTCATTATATATAACAGTGTAATAATAATAGAAATAAAGTACACAATAAATGTAATGTGCTTGAATCATCCTGAAACCATCTGCTGATGCCCTGCCTGGTCTGTGGAAAAGCTGTCTTCCACAAAGCCAGTCCCTGGTGCCAAAAAGGACTGCTGCCTGTGGGGGAAGGGAAGAGAATAAAAGTAAGAAATAGGGATAAAAGAGAAAAAGGAAGAAATGATAATTCTAGAATCATGATAATTTTCCTTGAACTTGGAAATATGTTTAATGTAATCATCTGTATCTGAGTCCAAACAACATTTCATCTATGGAGTTTGACTCATATAGTTCTTCTCATTCTTTGTTCTCTTCCTTTATATCAACAGCCTTTTTCTGACATGATATAAAATCATGTGCTTATGACATGCATTAAAAAGGAGAAGTGCTGGATCTAATATCCTTGGTCTAATGGATCCCCTTGCAGAGATACAGGGCTCCCTACACACACTGGGATATCTAGGTACAAGCCCAAAGTTCATATACAGACTTTCTAAAATCATTGTATTTAAAAGCAGAAAAGTGCCGGGCACAGTGGCTCACATCTGTAATCCCAATACTTTGGGAGGCTGAGGTGGGCGAATCACCTGAGGTCGCGAGCTCAAGACCAGCCTGGCCAACATGGTGAAACCCCGTCTCTACTAAAAATATGAAAAACAGCCAGGCATGGTGGCAGGTGCCTGTAATCCCAGCTACTCAGGAGGCCGAGGCAGGAGAATCACTTGAACCCGGGAGGTGGAGGTTGCAGTGAGCCGCGATTGTGCCATTGTACTCCAGCCTGGGTGACAAGAGCAAAACTCTGTCTCAAAAGAATAAAAAATAAAAATAAATAAATAAAAGAAAAGACTGTAGGTATCAATCAAAACCCTCACATCTTATAAATGAAGTGGCTAGAACAAGATAACAAGTGACACAGAGAGAATGCATAGCACTTAACCCAGTTAGGAGATTCTCCACTATATACTTGTACAACACATTACATATTTGAATTACTACTGTCTTGTATAGTTTGCCACTATTTCGTCCTATGTTTTTCAGTGCAGTAGCAATTTTTTTTTACCTCTCTCACTGTGTCCAACTCAACAAAAATGTTTATCAATGAATAGAAACTAATTCATTGTACAATATTGATTAAGCTACCCTGCTATCGGTAAAGGTATAGGGTCAATAACTGCAAGAACTAACTACTTCCTTCTGGAAATGTATCTACTGGTCATTGTGAGATCTGGATTCACAGCAGAACTTATGAAAATTAGGTGAGTCTTGATTAAATCAGTGAGTTGGTATCATAATGAAGAAACAAATTATCTAAGAGGATTCTTGTTTCACCTCAATTCTCACCCCAAACACAGCAAATTAATTAAACCACAACTCAAGATAGAGTTCAGTACTTTCTACTTGCTAAATCCTTTAATCTAATATGGAATTAACCTCATTGGAACCTTGTCACATTGATTTCTCTGCAACTAACGTGTCACAATATGACATGCAGGAGGTAGCAAATAAAACTTTTACATACACTCTAGTTATAACAGCATTTGTCATATTCCTGCACACCATGTTGGTCCACACCTCTGTGCCTTTGCCATGTTACCCAGCAGCCAGGAGGTTCCCAAGGCCTGGTTAATTTTTACTTATCTTTTAAGACTCAACTCAAGTATCATTCACCCAGGAAATATCCTTGAGCCTGCATTAAATATTCAAGAAGTAATCTGAGGCCAAGCGTGGTGGCTCAGGCCTGTAATCCTAGTACATTGGGAGGCAGAGGCAGGTGAATTGCCTGAGCTCAGGAGTTCAAGGTCAGCCTGGCGAACATGGTGAAACCCCATCTCTACTAAAATACAAAAAAATTAGCCCGGCATGGTGGCCCATGCCTGTAGTCCCGGCTACTCAGGAGGCTGAAGCATAAGAATTGCCTGGACCTGGGAGGCTGATGTTGCAGGGAGCTGAGATCGCGCCACTGTACTCCAGCCTGGGCGACAGAGGGAGACTCAGTCTCAACAAAAACAACAACAAAAAGTAATCTGTGTGTTTGTCTCTTATGCTCAGCCCAGTCAAAGCTACAAGAATGCAGGAACTGTTTTTTTCTATATTCCCTATATTCATCTACCCAATTCCTAACTTATAATAGGGGCTCAATAATTGAACAGAACAGATATAAGAGAACTAAGAAAGTCAAGATCAGGGACCCAATTAGATTTTTCAGATATATCAATCCAGAGGTTACAGTCCAGCCTGGTCCAAGTGGAATGGAGTTTACAGCTAATTAATCACAGCCAGTTACGGATTTATGTTTTTCCCTCTCCACTGATATGGTTTGGATCTGTGCCCCCACCAAATCTCATGTCGAATTATGATCCCTAGTGTTGGAGACGGGCCTGGTGGGAGATGATTGCATCATGGGGGTGGCGTTTTCATGAAGAGGTTAGCACCATCCCCTCAGTGCTGTTCTCGTGACAGTGAGTGAGTGAGTGAATTACCATATCTGGTTGTTTAAAAGTGTATACCACCTCCCCCTCTCTCTCTTCCTCCTGCTCGTACCATGTAGGACGCCTGCTCCTGCTTTGCTTTCTGCCATGAGTAAAAGCTTCCCGAGGCCTCCCCAGAAGCAGAAGCTGCCATGCTTCCCGTACAGCCTGTAGAACTATGAGCCAATTAAACCTCTTTTCTTTATAAATTACCCAGTCTCAGGTATTTCTTAATAGCAGTGCAAGGATGAATTAATACAACCATTCCTACAGCTTTACTTAATTAGTCTTAAAAAAACGGTTACAGTCTAAGGGATAGGGTAGTACCATAGGTTCAGACAGGCAAAAACAGCTCAGTTAGGTCAGTGTAGGGTAGAAGGTAAGCTGTTCTCTCAGGTCAGAATCTGGCAAACGGTTCACGGTTCACGGTTCATGGTTCACGGTTCACGAGTGTAAGTTTCAAGCAAGAGGAAGGAGTTACTCAGGTTCTGAACCTAGGCAACAAAGTGTCAAAGACTCAGGCAGGATACCAGATAATAAAGGATCAGAATACCAGGAAATTAGAACTGGCTACAAAGCCAATAACTCTAGCCAGGGCTCTCTATAAACTTCAGGTCAAGTACAGTCTGGTCTCAGAATATAGGCCAACCCAAGATCCAAGTTGGCAATAAATCAAAAGAGGTCGCTAGTAAGAACAGCAAAGAGATCAAGAACAAACCAGCTTTTAAATAGCTTCCATGTCAATCAACATGAATTCGTAGGACAAGGCTACATCCTAATACCTCTATCTAAAATGCCCAAGATTGGAGCTCTTATAGTAATACAACATAAGCAGAGTATATTCTTATAAAATCTCCCAGTTTGGTTTCAATGAATATTCTTATGTATGAAAGTAATGCTATCATTCCAAAACAACTGTATTCACAATCTAGAGAGGGGCCAGGCACAGTGGCTCATGCCTGTAATCCCAGCACTTTGGGAGACCAAGGCGGGTGGATCACCTGAGGTCAGAAGTTCAAGACCAGCCTGGCAAACATGGTAAAAACCTCATCTCTACTAAAAATACAAAAATTAGCCAGGCATGGAGGCTGGCACCCGTAGTCCCAGCTATTCAGAAGGCTGAGGCAGGGGAATCGCTTGAACTCAGAAAGTGGAGATTGCAGTGAGCCGAGATCGTGCCACTGCACTCCAGCCTGGGCAACAAGAGTGAAACTCTGTCTCAAAAAACAAAAACAAACAAAGATTTAGAGAGGGCTTTAAGTGCTCCCACTACCAACAACAATGGCAAAAATGTAAAGTAACTCATATGTTAAGTAGTTTGATTTAGCCACTCTACAATGTACATATTTTAAAACAACATGTTGTGCACAATAAGTTTACACGACTTTTGTCAGTTAAATAAGTATATAAATGAGATCTACAGAGGAAAAATGTTTAATACTTCAGAAGTAGTATTGTCTTATATAAGCCTTCTGATAGATTTCTAGGAAATAGAATTTTAATTCTCATATGAGAAAACTGCTTATTTGACTAAAATGTCAACCTAAAATTTTAAAATGTATAGTTATTGTTATGTGTTAACATATGACTTTAAATCTTTAGATTTAAAGCTGCAGGTTTATTTATCAGAAAATCAATCTCAAAAGTAAAATTATAGCTTCCAAAGATGCTATCTAATAGCCTGAAAAGTTGTTATTTTTGCAAAGTTGGCTTTCTCCACAGTCACCTCAGTTTGAAACTTTGTTGGAGGATCGGCCCTTTCATCAAAGCCCCATACGGGGAAGCTTATCGGGCAGATGTCAAATGACAGCTTTTCCGGGATGCCAAGGAGTTATATCCTTCCCCGAAAATATTTTAGGACAAAAAATTACCTCAGTATCAGTGGATAATGTAGTAGCAATGACAAAAAATGATTTAAAAATTTTTCCAGACTGGGTTTTTTAAAATAAACTTCCAGAAGCCATTACCAAACTTCCTTCCCCAATAAAAGCATTCTGATATAAAAGAACTAGCATGGGTATCTCAGGCTTTGTTTCATAGAGGAATGATTGCCCTGTTAGAGCAATCCACTGATACTTCAGCAAGAACATTCTTGAAGACTTTAGATTACAGAGGGTGGGTGATTGGAAAAGAATTTAAGATGTTAGAATGTTTACTGGGTTACCAGAGATGGGAGAAGTGGGATAGGATTTAGGGCAGAGAGTCAGTCAAGTGTGCAGCTTCTTCCTCACTTTTACTCAACTGAATAAAATGAGGAAAGCCAGAGAAAGGCTTTAAAATTAACTAACAAATAGTAGCAGAACTGGTTTCTTCCAAGGCACCCTTTGACAGTAGAGCAAGCATTCTTTTCTCTCCTTTGACATGGATTTGGGATTCTTGTTTTGGCATTACATACACACAGTGCATTCTTCATGGGAAGTAGACATTTAGTCCCAATTCTAAAATTTTGTTCTAATAAAAACTTTGTCAAAATGCAATGTGGTGTCCTAGACGAAATCATGGAATAGAAAAAAAAAAAGACATTTGTGGAAAAACTAGAGAAATTTGAGTAAAATCTGAAGTTTAGTCAATAGTAATGTGCAAATGTTGATTTCTTAGTTTTTCTAAATATACCAGGGTGATATGTGAGGTTAACAAGGACAACTGGGCTATACAGAAACCCTCTGTAAAATCTCTGTAAACTTTGTATATATAAAATTACTTCATAATAACAGGGGTTTTGTTTTTAACTCTACACTATGTTTGTCAAGAAGAAGAGGATAGCAAATTTACCACTCTGTACAAAACTTGTTTCACCCATGCTGCCTTTGAAATGCACATAAAATACATTAAATCTCTTAATTGCTAAACTAATAATTCTAACTTGTTTTAGAAGAACAGATGTATAAATGCATCTGGAACTGCTGTAAACTCATTATAAATCAAGTTATAGATGAAAAAATATTCAAAAAATATAAAAATGTGAAGATATAAATTCATATGGCTCTTGAAAGAATAATAAATTCAATTAATGAGCATTGTGAATTTCACATTTTTATAGGAAAGCAACTTCTATAAAAGCAATGGAAAAGCTAAGTTATATAGTAAGTCAGTCTGTAGGAATTAGGATTTAAAATGTTGGAAATGGTTAGCATAGGATAAACAAATTGAATTATTATTATTTTTTTTGAGACTGGTAGTATCATTACTCTGTTGCCAAAGTAAATGCAGTGGTGTGATCACAGCTTAAATATTTTGATGAATGAGATTCACTGATATTTTGTCTATGCATTTCTGTACATGCATACTAAAAGGCACATTTCTAATTATTCACTGTTGTATAATAAAATACGCTGAAATACAGATGATCTTCAAATTACAATGAGGTTATCTCCCAATAAACCTGCTGTAAATTGAAAATAAAAAGCAATGAAAACTTTTCACTATTACTTGCTAAAAAGAGCAAATTATTAATTAATTTCAATTTAATAAAATTTTATTAATGGTCAGTGACCCACTGCTCTGATATATTGGGGTATGGGTGAGAGGTACTGAATAAACATAAAAACATGATACTGAATATTTGTTGATTCACAAAATCTGCAAGAGCTTTTCCTGAATATATGTCTGTGGCTTGAGCCACTGAAAGAACAAACTTGGTAAGTAAAAATAAATAGCTATATAAAAAATTAATGTGGAAAAGGAAAATCCAATTTTACTTTCTAAATTTGCCATTTAAATATTCCTTAAAATGAATTCCTATTCAGTCTAAAGGCAAGAAATAAATGTGGTAAGATCTAACAGAGTGATGATTAGAGATGCAACAAAAATACAGTAATAGGTATTGACAGATGCCACAGGAAACAGCGTCCTCATAGAGATTCCCCAGGAACCACCATTACGATCCGTCCTCCTGTTTGCACTGGGCTAATCTATAATCACCGTAGATAATTAATTCTGTTCCTATTTTTAAAAGATATACAGAAAGGACACTCACACGGACTCCCTCAGTTATACATTGCAACATTTAGCAAATCTCATTGCTGAAGTTTTTCCTTACTTTAGTTTCCAAATCACTATGTAATTCTATGAAAGAAAAACAGAGAGGATATTAGTACATTAGGATCTCTAGCAATCTTTTCTGTTTTGCTATAGAGTTATCAATCCCTCAGAGATTGATGGCTTCTAGATGAATGAATAAAGTAAAGCTTCTGATACTTTGCCCCAGGATATTGACAAACCAACTTCCCCATTGTGACTCCCATTCTGACTCACCCCAACATATCCCAAACTGGAATAGCAGACCTATGAAACTGATGCTGAAACAGCCACTGTACTCCTCTTAATGTCACAATGCTCTCTAATACAATATACATACTTACAAAATATATAGAAACATCATCAATAAGGTTGGATATGGCTGCCTTTTTGAGATTTGGATTAGAATAGGAATACATTAAGAAAATAAAATCTCTTTGTGAGATCTAATATGATATAAACTTTACATTAGTAAAGTTCCACAATAATACCCCAAAGCAGGTAGCTCGTTAAGAAAATATTGTCCCATAAACAATTTATCCATATAACTTATTATTTTTATGTAAGTTTCATATGATTTCTTTAAAATATATTTTTCATACTAAGGAAGTTGAGAAATTTACTCAGACACTAAAATTAACAAATTACCCTGGATTTGCAATTCAATTAATTGTCCTTTCTTTGTGTTTCTTGGCAGGCCCAGAATACTTTGTAAAATTTAGCTCTAACTAATGTTGACAAAATATTTTAGGCCACTGGAAATGTCAGTAATGTCATTTTCCAGGCCAGTTTCAAATTGAAAACATGTTCATACTTTGCACACAGTTTTGTCACACAAATTCTCCTCAGTGAACTCACGGCAATTTAAATATTTTTAAATACACATATTTGTGGATACTATATGGCAATTTTTGATCAACCAAGTGAAAATAGATTTATTCAAAAATGTTTATTTCTTTGTATTAAAAATGTTTAAAGCATTAATATTAACTTTATATGGCAAACTATATAATTTTTTTAGACATTACCAAATTATCCTCACAGTACCCAGGCCAGCCAGTATTTTCTCCATTTTATCCAGAGTTAATAAAAAGCAGAATGGAAAAGTGATCTTGTGCCTTAAATTCTAGCTTAGTGTTATGGCCATAAGATCCTTTTTCATAAGAATCATGTGAATTTTTCATTATAGTGAAACTTGTAGATAGATTGAGCTACCTATAGCTTGAGCCACTTTCTTAAAGAATGAACTTGGCAAGTAAACATAAAGTAAATAACTGTATAAAAATCAATACAGCAAGGAAAAATCAGGTTTTGTTTAATGAATTTGCCTTTTAAATCTTTACCCAAACAAATTCTTCTTCTATCTAAAGGCAAGAAAAAAAAATGTATTGAGATCTAATAGAGTGATTTGGGGGAACAACAGTGAAATAGTGGTAATAGGGATAGGATAGAAGAATGAATTTAGGAATACTTTGCCCCTTGGAAAACCTGAGTCTTCTTGTTAGATAATATGATTCCAAAACTCTGCCTCCGGGTAACAGTTTCTTCCACTCATTCTTTAGTTTTAGTTCTACCTGTGAGAATGACTGAGAAGTTTTTCCTAAAATCAAGTACAGCAGCCCCTCCTTATCAGCAGGGGATACGTTCCAAGACCCCTAGTGGATGTCTGAAAGCTCAGATAGTATCAAACCCAATTGCCATCAATAAGAACATGTTTCTGTCCATGCCTTTCACCCACAAATTTGATGCCTTTTCCATGTTAACTAATCACTTACCATGTACTGTGGCTGAAACGCACAGTTTGAGGTGCAACAGCAAAATTAGCACGAAACTCTTTTTCCTTCTTCAAAATATCACAGATGGAAGCTCTGTTCTTACCCACAGATGTTAGCAACCTCAGCATGCCATTTTTTCCTTTCCTTATGAAGCCAAGAACTTTCAGCTTTTCACTCAAAAGCAGTATTTCACAGCTTCTCTTTGGCATATCCAAACTGCCAGCATCACCACTCTTGCATGTTGGGGCCATTATTAAGTAAAATAAGGGTTATACGAATACAAGTGTTTCAATACCAACAGAGTGGATGTGATAGCCAAGATGGCTATTAAGTGACTAAGGGCAGGGTAAAAGAAAAGAATGTACAGGTAATGTGTAGACAAAAAGATAAACATGGGGTTGGCCTTACAGAGACATGGAAGGCTGGATTTCAGTGGAAGGCAACAGACTGAAAGGATTAGCAAGCACAGAATTGGGCCTGGTCTGGAATGTCCTGGGGGACTAGGCAGGTTATCAAAGTGGGGAAACAAGGAGAGGCGTAAAAAAACTCACTCTCTAAGTGCTATTCAATGGAAACAGAGTTTCAATTATACACGTTGAATAAGCTCTAGAGATCTGCTGTATGATATCATGCCTGTAGTAAACAATACTGTATTGTTATGCCTAAAATTTTGTTCAGATGATAGATTACATGTTAAACATTCTTACCACAGCTAAAATAATAATTCATTCACTGGACAGGACAGAGGGGTCTTCATCACTGAGCAAGGCAAGGAAGGCCCTGCCATTAGAATCAAGATATAAATTCAGAGCACTGAAACATCATCAATTAATGTTGAATAGAAAGAATCATTGGTCCAGTAAAGGATCTGTAGTTTCACCTTTATGCTTCTTTTTTTCTTTCTAATGTAATCGACTCTCCCATCTCCTTATCAAAACAGAAACAAATCTGTTATCATTCATACTCATACTTTATGTGTAAATGTTTCAGATATATTCCATTTAAATTTTTGTTTCTGATTATAGAAGGAAAGTCTTTGAATACTGTTAGTGAACAGCTCTCACAAATGGATAAGTCAGTTTTCTAACTCAGGAAAGACTCAGCTGATTCCAAAGATTCACCTGGCTTGCCATATCAGACTTCTTTATTTTAAGGCAGAGTCTTGCTCTGTTGCCCAGGCTGTAGTGCAGTGGTACAATCATAGCTCACTGCAGTCTTGGGCTCCTGGGCTCAAGCAATCTTCCCGCCTCAGCCTCCTAAGTAGCTAGGACTAGAAGCGCATGTCATCGTGGCTCACTAACTTGGTGTGTGTGTGTGTTTTAAATTTGTAGAGACAAAGTCTCACTATGTTGTCCAAGCTGATCTTGAACTCCTGGCCTCAAGTGATCTTCTGGCCTTGACCTCACCAGACATCTTTGATATGAGAAGTCAGCTGTTGCATCATTGTGGAGTTTAGGAAGCCTGAGAAGATCCCCACCTCTCTTGTCTCTTCATTTTTTTCACTGAAGCCCTTTCATCATTCCTCCTTTTCAAATCTCTTTACTTTTCAATATCCTTGATATATCAGTTTAAATTTTATTCCTAGCAACTTTTTCTTGCCCCTGCATTCATTTGTTGCTTTTGTGATACCTAAAATTCCTTTACTATCATCATGCTATGTTAAAATTTCCTGTTTACTTGCCTATTCTCCATTAGACTACAAATTTAAAGAAAGAAATGGCCAGGCTTATTTATGTACAATTGCAGCCTCAGCACCTGGACTAGTGTTCACCATTTAAAAATAAGCATTCAAGACATATTTGTTGGAGAAAAGAATAACCACATAAGCCAGGGATCCAAGTTCTGCTCTCTCCTTTTACCTGTAACTCTAAGTCTCTCCTGCAATTTTATCTTTACTTCCACTCACTTCAAAGCATAGTATGTAATCCAGCAACCCCATAGCATTATAGTTTAAAATGTCTACTGCCTCAAAGACTGGCAGGACTGTTCAATTTCTTTATCGACACTGCCATCATCCCAAAGCAGGCCACAGTCTCCCCTTTCCTGAATCACTGTAGTAGTAAGCCAAGGTCTCCTTGCCATCACTTTTGCTCATCTTCAGACTATTCTCCCTGGAGGAATGAGGGTCTTTTGAAATCGTAAATCACATCCTTTCTCATTTCCTTAACACTCTGGAATGGCTTACCAAGAGTTATCTGTGTATAGAACAGATTCTCAGGATTTCATTTGGGTGGTAGGGGAAGAGATATTGATCTTTAAATAATCAGAGGAAGTTCTTCATCTCTCTGATGCCAAGTTCTGCCCAGCCACCCTACTGCACTCAGTGTTTCTGATCAGCTCAGCCTCTCTTTGTTGATCTCATTCACCTGATTATTCACCGGGCACTGGTAAGGCAACATTCTAAACCTACTAATTTAATGCACAACTTGATGTTTGAAGAGTCTCTGTTCTATTTTCTCTACTAAGAACTCTTCCACTGACTAAAGCCTACTAATATTTGAAGATTCCATTCAGTTGTCCTCTTATCTAGGAACCTTCACCTGAGCCCCCAGAATAGATCAGATGCCCCCTTTGTGCTCCCTTAGCACCTGATACATAGCTCTTTCAGAATTCATTGCAATATAGTGCAATCATCTTTATTTTTGTCTACGTCCTTTACTAGACTGTTTCTTCATTCATTTCACATGTACCCACCAAGCATCTATTATGTTCCAGAATTGTTCTGGGTTCTTGGAATGTCTTGGTGAACAAAATATCACAGCTCCCTGACCTAGAGGAACTTACACTCTAGCAAGAAGAGATAAATGTCAATCCACTTTAAAAATAATTAAAATATACATTATGATATAGTTTGGATGTTTGTCACCTCAAATCTCATATTGAAATGTGATCCTCAATGTTGGAGGTGGGGCCTAGTGGGAGGTGTTTGGGTCACAGGGATGGCTTGGTGCCCTCTGTACAGTAATGAGTGAGTTTTTACCCTTGGTTCACAGGAGAGTTGATTGTTTAAAAGAGCCTGGCATCTCTCTTGCTATGTGATACAGCAGATCTCCTTTTCTTCTGCCATGAGTAGAAGCTTTTTGAGGCCTCACTATAAGCCTAACAGACGCTGGATGCCTTTCTTGTACAGCCTGTAGAACCATGAGTTAAATAAACCTCTTTTCTTTGTAAATTACCCATCCTCGGGTATTCCTTCATAGCAGCACAAAACAGACTTAACACACATTATCAAAAGAGAAAGTGAGAGCAAATAGAGCAGGGAAGGGAATCAGGCACATGTGCAGGAGGTAGGGGTGAAGACAGGGAGCAGTATTGGATAGTGTGGTCAATGCCAGACATTGACAGGGTGATGGGAGAGCAAGGACATGAGGATATGCGAGAGTAGCCCCAGAGCAAGAGCATTCCAAGTGAAGAGAGTAGTTAATGCAAAGCTGTTAAGTAGGAGCTGCCTGATGTTTTCAAGGAACAACAAGTTGGCCAGGGTACTTGAAGTAAAGGGAGTAAGGGGAGAGTGGTAGGGAAAGGAAATCATGGAAGTGTAATGGGTTTGAAATAATGTGAGGTCTTATAGGTTATTATAAGATTTGTGCTTTTACCCTGAATGAAACAGGCAGCCATCTCAGGATTTTCAGCAGAAACAATGACATAGTAATTTACTTTTTAAAAAATGTGTTCTGGCACCTGATTTGAGGTTAAAGTAACAGGATGGAGACAGGAAGCCCTGTTAGAAGACTATTTTAGTAAGAAAAGAGATGACGGTGACTCAGACCAAGAGTGGTGAGAAGTGGGCAGGTTATACTTTAAGACTTTAAAGACAGAACAGACAGCATTTCCTAACAGATTGATGGGCAAAGGGAGGAAAAGATAGGAGTCAAGTATAATTGCAAGATTTTTGGATCAAGTAACTGAAGAAAATAAAATGAAATTGGCATCAACTGAGATGAGCTCACCAAGAGAGTCCGTGTAAATAAAGAGGTAGGTCAAGGTCTGAGCCCTGCAGCCCTTCAACACAAAATAGCAGGGGAAAAGAGTAGGAACTGAGGAAAGACATCAAGAAAGAATGCCAGGAAGACAAAAGGAAAAGCAAGCATGTCTGGCCTGCAAAAGCCTTAAAAGTATACTGCAGAAGTTCTTCCTGTTGTGTGTATCATAAGAACATTAATATGACATAGCAAGAGATTTGAAGTGGAGTTGGGAAGGGGGAATGCTTTAGTCTGAATGTTTATGTCCCTTCAGAATTCATTTGTTAAAACCTGACCCCCAATGTGATAGTATTAAGAGATGAGTCCAGCCAGATGGGGTGGCTCACACCTGTAATCCCAATGCTTTGGAAGGCCAAGGTGAGCGGATTGCTTGAGTCCAGGGGTTTGAGACCAGCCTAGGCAACATGATGAAACCTTGTCTCTAAAAAATACAAACATTAGCAGAGTGTGGTGGTGCATGCCTTTGGTCTCAGCTGCTAGGGAGGCTGAGGTGGAAGAATCACCTGAGCCCAGGCAGTAACAGCTGCAGAGAGCTGTGATTGCGTCACTGCACTCCAGCCTGGGTGACAGGAGGGAGACCCTGTCTAAAAAAAAAAGAGTCCTTTGGGACATGACTAGGTCATGAGGGTGGAACTCCCATGAATGGGATTAGCATTCTTATAAAAGAGGCCCCAAAGAGCTGCCTCGGTCCTTACACCTTGTGAGGACATGGTGAGAAGGTACCATCAATGATAAATAGGCCCTTGCCTGACACCAAATCTCTGGCACCCTGATCTTGAACTTCCCAGTTTCCAGAAATGTGAGAAATAAGTGTCTGTTGTTTTTAAGTTACCCAGTTTGTGGTACTTTGGTATACCCGCCTGAATGAACGAACAAAGGAGGAATAGATGACTTCTATAACATGATAAGCTTCCTAGCCTTCTATTTTTCAGCTATTTAATTAATACTTATGCATATGCCTGTGCCACATCTAAATGGTCATAATTAGTATAAGGGCAATTTATTTATGTACTTTACTTTTTTTTTTTTTTTTTTGACACAGGGTCTCACTCTGTCACCCAGGCTAGAGTACAGTGGCACAATCACTGCTCACTGCAGCCTTCAACAATCGGGCTCAGCCTCCCAGGTAGCTGCAACTACTGGCGCATGCCTCCACACCTGGCTAATTTTTTGTATTTTTTGTAGAGACAGAGTTTTGCCATGTTTCCCAGTCTGGTCTCAAGTAATCCTCCCAAAGTGCTGGGATTACAGGCATGAGCCATCACATCTGGCTGTACTTTACTTTTAGGTTGGCCATAAAACCTTACTAAATATCTCCCTTATTGCTTTTGTAGAGGTCTCCTTAACCTTCACAGATATAATTTCCCTGTCCTTATTCCTTTTCAGTTTCTCCAAAAGGAATGAGTTCATTATGTGAAAAATATAGTAAGGCCTTGAACAAAGGGGATGAATGAAAAACTAGAAAGAACAGTGAAATTCTAAAATATTAAACTTAACAGATACTCATAGATTTTTAAGTTAGAAAAAAAGTAATACTGTATCAGTAAATAACTCAGTAGAGGCAATGTACTGAGTTTTGGTAGGACATTTGAAACACTGCATTATAAAGCCCTCCAAGAAAATGTTTTCAAATTGATTTGGTTACACAACCTGTCACTGAGACTGAAATAGCAAATAATAAAAAAATGGCAACACCCTGAATTGAGAGAAGATATTCAATGGGATGGCAAAAAGGCCAGGAGCAAGTCTTGTTTTATGTAGCATCTTAATTAATTATTTGAAAGGAGGAGTGAACATTTACAGATTATATTTGGAGATGGCACTGACTTTGATGATGCTACAAAAATGATTAAGGAGGAAAATAAAATGCAACAGGGCTTGGAAAATTTGGAAATATTAGAAAGCAAAAGAAAAAAGTAGAAGTGAATCAAAAATAAATTTTAGAAACGTTTGAAGAATAAAACTTTGAAAGCAATAATCCTAGGCATTTTTAACATCTATAGAAGCTAACATAGTTTTCTCAGTATAATAAATGTGATGAATACAGAGCTCAGCAGCTCTTGTTTGACACATTTGAAGACAAAATGGTTATAATTCCTCTTTGGATAAAATAGAATTCAGAAAAAAAGGTTAAAAATTTGCAACACTTGCAACCTTAAACTGATATGTACTTACTAATGTAATAATAGAACTTGGCATGGATTGTAAGTACCATGTCAGGTAAAACAAACAGAGAAGTAATGAAATTATCATGATCATCATGGTGGATGGGAGGCAGGACTCGATTGCAGCTCCAACACAGATGGACAGAGTAGCATGTGGAGGTTCACATCGTGAATGTTAGCTCGAAAATGACTACAAGAACAAACCAGGAATTCCGAGAGGACCCACAGACCCTCTGAAGGAAGCGGACTGCTCCTACAGGACCCAGAACATACACCAAACACAGTGCTGGTATCCTCGGCTGAGAGACCCATAGATGGTTCACATCACAGGACTCTGTTCAGACAACCCCCAGTATCAGCCTGGAGCCAGGCAGACTCCCTGGATGGCTAGACACAGAAGAGAGATAACAATCACTGCAGCTCTGCTCACAGGAAGCCACATCCATAGAAAAAGGGGGAGAGTACTACATCAAGGAAACACCCCGTGAGACAAAAGAACCTGAACAACAGCCTTCAGCCCTAAACCTTCCCTCTGACAAGGCCTACCCAAACGAGAAGGAACCAGAAAACCAACCCTGGTAATAAGATAAAACAAGGCTCTTCAACACCTCCAGAAAGTCATACTAGTTCACCAGCAATGGATCCAAATCAAGAAAAAATCCCTGATTTGCCTGAAAAAGAATTCAGGAGGTTAGTTATTAAGCTAATCAGGGAGGGACCAGAGAAGGGCAAAGCCCAGTGCAAGGAAATCCAAAAAACGATACAAGAAGTGAAGGGAGAAATATTCAAGGAAATAGATAGCATAAAGAAAAAACAATCAAAACTTCAGGAAACACTGGACACACTTATAGAAAAGCAATATGCAGCAAACCACCATGGCACGTGTATATCTATGTAACAAACCTGCACATTCTGCACGTGTGTCCCAGAACTTAAAGTATAATAAAAAAAAAAAAAAAAAAAGAAATGCAATATGCTCTGGAAAGTCTCAGCAATAGAATTGAACAAGTAGAAGACAGAAATTCAGAGCCCAAAGTCAAGGTCTTTGAATTAATCCAACAAAGACAAAGAAAAAAGAATAGGAAAATACGAACAAAGCCTCCAAGAAGTCTGAGATTATGTTAAATGACCAAACCCAATAATCAGTGTTCCTGAGGAAGAAGAGAAATCTAAAGGTATGGAAAACATATTTGGGGGAGTAATTGAGGAAGACTTCCCCAGCCTTGCTAGAGACCTAGACATCCAAATACGAGAAGCACAAAGAACACCTGGGAAGTTCATCGCAAAAAGATTGGCACATTGTCATCAGGTTATCCAACATTAAGATGAAGGGAAGAAACTTAAGAGCTGTGAGACAGAAGCGCCAGGTAACCTGTAAAGGAAAACCTGTCAGATTAACAGTAGACTTCTCAGCAGAAACCCTACAAGCTAGAAGGAATTGAGACCCTATCTTCAGCTTCCTCAAACAAAACAATTATTAGCCAAGAATTTTGTATCCAGTGAAGCTAAGAATTGTATACGAAGGAAAGATACAGTTGTTTTCAGACAAACAAATGCTGAGGGAATTCACCAATACCAAACCACTGCTACAAGAACTGCTAAAAGGAGCTCTAAATCTTGAAACAAATCCTGGAAACACATCATAACAGAACCTCTTTGAAGCATAAATCACACAGGACCTACCTATAAAACAAAAATACAAGTTAAAAAGCAAAAACAAAAAACAAAAAAAACAAAGCACACAGGCAACAAAGAGCATGATGGAATGCAACACTACCTCACATCTCAATACTAACATTGAATGTAAATAGCCTAAATGCTCCACTTAAAAGATACAGAACCACAGAATGGATAAGAACTCACCAACCAACTATCCACTGCCTTCAGGAGACTCACCTAACACATAAGGACTCACGTAAACTGAAAGTAAAGTGGTAGAAAAAGGTATTTCATGCAAATGGACACCAAAAGTGAGCAGACATAGCTATTCTCCAAAGTTCTGAGACAAAAGTAACTTTCTATCTAGATTTCTTATACCTAGTTAAATAAGAATTCAAGAACAAGAGCAAAGTTAAGATATTTTCAGATTAAGATATTTGTATATATGTATATAGATATATACGTATATATGTATATACGTATATATCTATATATGTATATATGTATATATATGATATAGGATATATATGATATATATACACATATAGATATAGATATAGATATATCTCATATATATATGATGGAATACTACCCAGCCATACAAAGGAATGAATAACGGCATTTGCAGTGACTTGGGTGAGATTGGAGACTATTATTCTAAGTGAAGTAACTCAGGAATGGAAAACCAAACATTGTATGTTCTCACGGCTATGTGGGAGCTCAGCTATGAACATGAAAAGAATGATACAATGGACTTTGGGGACTTGCGGGGAAAGGTGGGAGGGGGGTGAGGGATAAAAGACTACAAATATGGTGCAGTTTATACTGATCAGGTGATGCGTGCACCAAAACCTCACAAATCACCACTAAAGAACTTACTCATGTAACCAAATACCACCTGTACCCCAGTAACTTATGGGAATAAAAGTAATGAAAGTAAATCTTAAACAACAACAAAAAACCCTTTATGGTGAAATTCCCAAATCTTAAACAACAACAAAAAACCCTTTATGGTGAAATTCCCCTAGCACTGGAGTTATCAAGAAAGAGAAGTTGGTTAAGGGTACAAAGATATGGTTAGACAGAAGAAATAATTTCTAGTATTCAATAATACAGTAGGAAAATTACAGTTTACAATAACTTATAGATTTCAGAATACCCAAAAGAACTGTAATGTCCCCAACACACAAAAGAAAAGATAAATGTTTGAGATGATGGATGTAAAAATACTATAATTTGACCACTACATGCTGTATACATGTATAAAAATATCAGATGAACCTCAAAAATATGTACAACTATGATATATCAATTTAAAAATTGAAAGCACATTTTATTATAAAATAGGCTTTGTGCTAGATTACTATTTTGCCCAACTATGGTTAATGTAAGTGTTCAGAGCATGTTTAAGGTATATTAGGCTAAGTTATGATGTCTGATAGGTTGGTGTATTATGTGTTAAATACATTTTTAACATACAACATTTTCTCCCTCCTCCCACCCCCCACCAGGCCCCAGTATGTGTTGTTTCCTCCAAGTGTCCATGTGTTCTCATCATTCAGCTCCCACTTACAAATGAGAACATATGGTATTCAGTTTTCTGTTCCTGCATTAGTTTGCTGAGGAAAATTGCTTCCAGCTCCATCCATTTCCTGCAAAGGACATTAATCTCATTCCTTTTTATGGCTGTATAGTATTCCATGGCATATATGTACCACATTTTCTTTATCCAGTCTATTATTGAAGGGCTTTTAGGTTGATTGCATATCTTTGCTATTGTGAATAGTGCTGCAGTGAACATACACATGCATGTATCTTTATAACGAGCGATTTATATTCCTTTGAGTATATACTCAGCAATGGGATTGCTGGGTCAAATGGTATGTCTGCCTCTAGGTCTTTGAGGGATAATCACATTGTCTTCCACAATAACTAATGGATGATGGGCTTAATACCTAGGTGATAGGATGATCTGTGCAGCAAATCACCATGGTACACATTTACCTATGTAACAAACCTGCACATGTTGCACATGTACACCTGAACCTAAAAGTTGGAAATAAAAAAGACATACAATATTTTCAACTTACAGTGGGTTTATTAGGGTGTAACTGCAGTGAAAGTCAAAGGGCAACTATACAGTCACATTCTGAAGTACTGGATGTTAAGACTTCAACACATGAATGCAGGGAGAGGCAGAAACACAATTCAGCCTATAACAATGATTACACAGCTAAAGGACAAAAGAACAAGACACCATAGAAGAAGAAATAGCAATGTAAAAAAGAACTAAATACACTCACGGAAATGAAAATACAGTCAATGAAATTTTAAAAACTGAAATGGAATAGCCATTTAGATACAAAGGAAAAGAAAATTGATGAATTAGAAGACAAACTTGGAAAAATTACCTGGAATGCAGCTAGAGATATTTAGAGGAAGAACAGATAAAAAATGAGATTGAGACATCAATGACTGAAGAAGAAATTCTACTATATGTATCAGTTAAGTTTCAGGTAGAGTGAATTAAGATAATACAAAGAAATAACAGTTGAAGACATACTGGCTCGGAATTTTTCAAAAATCGATGAACAACAGAAATACTAAGAGTGATGAAGTTCAATAGGAACAGAGAAAGAAAAATGAAAAAAAAATGAACAACTCACAACAGAAATATTGAAGTGAAATGAAACAAAGCAATCATGAAGAAAAACAATCTTAAAATAACCAGCAGAAAAAGACAGATTACCTGCAAAGAAAGAAAAATTCACCTTTTACCTACTAGATTTCCCAAAAGCAATAATGGAAGCCACTTTAAAAAAAAAAAAGTCTATCTCCAAAGTTCTGAGACAAAAGTAACTTTCTATCTAGATTTCTTATACCTAGTTAAATAAGAATTCAAGAGCAAGAACAAAGTTAAGATATTTGCAGACTAAGATAGCATTTCTCACACGCAGACTATTAAAAACTATTAAAAGCTGTACATTAGAAGGAAAATTAATTACTAGAGTATAAAGAAACAAAATTAGCAAAGAAATGACTAACTCAAAACGGACTAAAGACTCAAATGTAAGATGTGTAACTATGAAACTACTAGAATAAAACACTGAGAAAATGCTATAAGACGTTGGTCTGAGCAAAGATTTTCAGGGTAAGACCTCAAAAGCATAGGCAACAAAAGCAAAAGTAGACAAATGGGATTTATTTCAAGCTAAAAAGCTTCTGCAGAGCAAAGGAAACAATCAGCAACAAAGGGAAAAGACAACCCACAGAATGGGAGAAAATATTTGTAAACTATGCATCCAAGAAGGAACTAGTAACCAGAACGTATTAGAAACTCCTACAATTCAGTAGCAAAAAAGCAAATAATCTGATTTTAAAATGGGCAAAAGATCTGAGTAGACATTTTTCAAAAGAAGACATACAAATGCCCAACAAGTGTATGAAAAAATCCTCAATATCATTAATAATAGTGGAAAGGAAAATAAAAATTACATTGAGATATCATCTCACCCAAGTTAAAATAGCTGCTATCAAAAAGACAAAAAATAACAAATACTGGTGAGGATGTAGAGGAAAGGGAATGCTATTGATGAGAATGTTAAGCAGGACAGCCATTATGGAAAACAGTATGGAGGTTCCTCAAAAAACTAAAAATAGAACTATCATATAATCCAGCAATCCCACTGCCATGTATATATATACACAAGAAAGGAAATTAGTATACTGCAGAGATATATATGCACTCCCATGTTTATTGCAGCACTATTCACAAAAGCCAATATATGGAATCAACCTGTGTCCATCAGTGGATAAGTAGATAAAGAAAATGTGGTATATATACACAATAGAATATTATTTAGCTATACAAAAGAATGGAATCTTGTCATTTGCAGCAACATGGATGGCAATGGAGGTCATTATGTTAAGTAAAATAATCCAGACACAAAGACAAATATCACGTGCTCTCACTCTTATGTGGGAGTTAAAAAGTGGATCTCATGAAGATAGAGAGCAGTATGGTGCTTACCAGAGGCTGGGAAGGGAACAGGGGAGACGAAGAGAAATTGGTTAATAAATAGAAAAATACAGTTAGATAGAAGGAATAAGTTCTGATATTTGATAGTAGAGTAGAAAAATTATAGTTAACAATAATTCATTGCTAATTCAATAGCTAGAAAAGGCTGGCAAGATGGCTGAATAGAAATAGCTCTGATCTGCAGCTCCCAGTGAGATCAACGCAGAAGGTGGGTGATTTCTGCATTTCCAACTAAGGTACCCAGCTCATCTTACTGGGACTGGTTAGATAGTGGGTGCAGCCTACCGAGAGCGAGCTGAAGCAGGGTGGGGCATCGCCTAACCCAAGAAGTGCAAGGGGTTGGAGAACTCCCTCCTCTAGCCAAGAGAAGCCCTCAGGGACTATGCCCTGAGGAACAGTGCATTCTGGGCCAGATACTATGCTTTTCCCACAGACTTTGCAACCCACAGACCAGGAGATTCCCCAGGGTGCCTACACCATCAGGGCCCTGGGTTTCAAGTACAGAACTGGGTGGTCGTTTGGACAGACACCAAGCTGGCTGCAGGAGTTTTTTGTGTGTTTTTTGTTGTTGTTGTTGTTGTTTGTTTGTTTTCATACCCCTTGCTTGGAATGCCAGCAAGATAAAACTGTTCACTCCCCCAGAAAGGGGGCTGAAGCCAGGGAGCCAAGTGGTCCAGCTCAGTGGATCCCAACCCCAGGGAGCCCAGCAAGCTAAGATCCACTGGCTTGAAATTCCTGCTGCCAGCACAGCAGTCTGAAGTCAACCTGAGATGCTCAAGCTTGGTGGGGGGAAGGGCGTCCACCATTACTGAGGCTTGAGTAGGAAGTTTTCCCCCTCACAATGAAAACAAAGCCTCCCAGAAGTATGAATGGGTGAAGCCCACCATGGCTCAGCAAAGCTGCTGTAGCCAGACTGCCTCTCTAGATTCCTCCTCTCTGGGCAGGGTATCTCTGAAAGAAAGGCAGCAGCTCCAGTCAGGGGCTTATAGATAAAACTCCCATCTCCCTGGGACAGAGCACCTGTAGGAAGGGGCAGCTGTGGGCCCAGCTTGAGCAGACCTAAACGTTCCCGCCTGCTGGCTCTGAAGAGAGCAGTAAATCTCCCAGCACAGTGCTCAAGTTCTGCTAAGGAACAGACTGCCTCCTCAAGTGGGTCCCTGACCCCCATGCCTCCTGACTGGGAGATACCTCCCAGCAGGGGTCAACAGGCACTTCATACAGGAGAGCTCCAATTGGCATCTGATGGGTGCCCCTCTGGGACAAAGCTTCCAGAATAAGAAATAGGCAGCAATCTTTGCTGTTTCGCAGCCTCTGCTAGTGATACCCAGGCAAACAGGGTCTGGAGTGGACCTCCAGCAAACTCTAGCAGACCTGCAAAAGAGGGGGCCTGACTATTAGAAGGAAAACTAACAAACAGAAAGAAATAGCATCAACATCAATGAAAAGGACTCCACACAGAAACCCCATCCAAAGGTCACCAACATCAAAGACCAAAGTTAGATAAATCCACGAAGATGAGGAAAACCCAGAGCAAAAAGGCTAAAAATACCAAAAACCAGAACGCTTCTTCTCCTCCAAAGGATCACAACTCCTCACCAGCAAGGACACAAAACTAGATGGAGAATGAGTTTCACAAACTGACAGAAGTAGGCTTCAGAAGGTGGCTAATAACAAACTCCTCTGAGCTAAAGGAGCCTGTTCTAACCCAATGCAAGGAAGCTAAGAACCTTGAAAAAAGGTTAGAGGAATTGCTAACTAGAATAACCAGTTTAGAGAACATAAATGACATGATGCAGCTGAAACACACAGCACAAGAACTTTGTGAAGCCATACACAAGTATCAATAGCCAAATCAATCAAGCAGAAGGATATAAAGATTGAAGATCAACTTAATGAAATAAAGCATGAAGACAAGATTAGAAAAAAAGAATGAAAAGAAAAGAACAAAGCCTCCAAGAAATATGGCACTATGTAAAAAGACCAAACCTACATTTGATTGGTGTGCCTGAAAATGACGAGGAGAAGGGAACCAAACTGGAAAACACACTCCAGGTTATTATCCAGCAGAACTTCCCCAACCTAGCAAGACAAGCCAACATTCAAATTCAGGAAATATATAGGACACCACAAAGATACTCCCTGAGAAGAGCAACCCCAAGACACATAATCATCAGATTCACCAAGATTGAAATGAAGGAAAAAATGTGAAGGACAGCCAGAGAGAAAGGTTGGGTTACACATAAAGGGAAGCTCATCAGACTAACAGCAGATCTCTCTGCAGAAACCCTACAAGCTAGAAGAGAGTGGGGCCAATATTCAACATTCTTAAAGAAAAGAATTTTCAACCCAGAATTTCATATCCAGGCAAACTAAGCTTCATAAGCAAAGAAGAAATAAAACCCTTTAAAGACAAGCAAATGCTGAGAGATTTTGTCACCACCAGGCCTGCCTTACAAGAGTTCCTGAAGGAAGCACTAAATATGGAAAGGAAAAACCAGTACCAACCACTGCAAAAACATACCAAATTGTAAAGAACATTGACATGATGAAGAAACTGCATCAACTAACAGGCAAAATAACCAGCTAGCATCATAATGACAGGATCAAATTCACACATAACAATATTAACCTTAAATGAAACAGACTAAATGCCTGTTTAGACACAGACTAGCATATTGGACTAGCATATTGGATAAGACACAGACTAGCATATTGGATAAAGAGTGAAGATCCATCGGTGTGCTGTATTCAGGAGACCCAGCTCATGTGCAAAGACACACATAGGCTCAAAATAAAGGAATGGAGGAAGATTACCAAGCAAATGGAAAGCAAAAAAAAGGAGGGGTTGCAATACTAGTCTCTGATGAAACAGACTTTCAACCATCAAAAAAGACAAAGAAGGGCATTACATAATGGTAAACGGGTCAAGGCAACAAGAAGAGCTAACTATCCTAAATATATATGCACCCAATATGAGCACCCAGATTCATAAAGCAAGTTCATAGAGACCTACAAAGAGACTTAGACTCCCACACAGTAATAACTGTAGACTTTAAAACTATATAGCTGTGGTAATAACTGGAGACTTTAAAATTCCACTGTCAATATTAGAAAGATCAATGAGACAGAAAATTAACATGGACATTCAGAACTTGAACTCATTGCTGGACCAAGTGGACCTAATAGCCATCTACAGAACTCTTCACCCCAAATCAACAGAACATATTTATTCTTCTCAGCACTACATCAAACTTACTCTAAAATTGACCACACAATTGGAAGTAAAACAATCTTCAGCAAATGCAAAAGAATGGAAATCATAACAGTCTCTCAGACCACAGTGCAATCCAATTAGAACTCAGGATTAAGAAACTCACTCAAAAACGCACAACTACATGGAAACTGAACAACCTGATCCTGAATGACTACTGGGTAAATAACGAAATTAAGGAAGAAATAAGTAAGTTCTTTGAAACCAATGAGAACAAAGACACAAAGTACCAGAATCTCTGGAAGACAGCTAAAGCAGCATTTAGAGGGAAATTTATAGCACTAAATGCCCACAGGAGAAAGCAGGAAAGATCTAAATCGACACCTTAACATCACAATCAAAAGAACTAGAGAAGCAAGAACAAACAAATTCAAAAGCTAGCAGAAGACAAGAAATAACTAAGATCAGAACAGAACTGAAGGAGATAGAGACATGAAAAAGCCTTCAAAAAATCAGTGAATCCTGAAGTTGGTTTTTTGAAAAGATTAACAAAATAGGCTGCTAGCCAAGACAAATAAAGAAGAAAAGAAAGAAGAATCAAATAGACACAATAAAACATGATAAAGGGAATATCACCACCAATCCCATGGAAATACAAACTACCATCAGAGAATACTATAAACACGTCTACACAAATAAACTAGAATATCTAGAAAAATGGATAAATTCCTGGACACCTACATCCTCCCAAGGCTAAACCAGGAAGAAGCTGAATCCTTGAATAGACCAATAACAAGTTCTGAAATTGGGGCAGTAATTAATAGCCTACCAACCAAAACAAAGCCCGGGACCAGACGGATTCACAGCCGAATTCTACCAGAGGTACAAAGAGGAGATGGTACCATTCTTTCTGAAACTATTCCAAAAAACAGAAAAAGAGGGACTACCCTCTAACTCTTTTTATGAGGCCAGCATCATCCTAATATCAAAACCTGGCTGAGACACAACAAAAAAAGAAAATTTCAGGCCAACTTCCCTGATGAACATCGATGCAAAAATCCTCAATAAAATACTGGCAAACCAAATCCAGCAGCACATCAAAAAATGTATCACCACCATCAAGTCAGCTTCATCCTTGGGATTCAAGGCTGGTTCAACAAACACAAATCAATAAACATAACCCATCACATAAACAGAACCAATGACAAAAACCACATGATTATCTCAATAGATGCAGAAAAGGCCTTTGATAAAATTCAACAGCCCTTCATGTTAAAAACTCTAAATAAACTAGTTATTGATGGAACATATATCAAAATAATAAGAGCTATTTATGCCAAATCCACAACCAATATCATACTGTATGGGCAAAAGCTGGAAGCATTCCCTTTGAAAACCGACACAAGACAAGGAAGCCCTCTCTCTCCACTCCTATTCAACATAGTATTGGAAGTTCTGGCCAGGGCAATCAGGCAAGAGAAAGAAATAAAGGGCATTCAAATAGCAACAGACGAAGTCAAACTGTCTCTGTTTGCAGACGACCTGACTCTATATTTAGAAAACCCATCATCTCAGCCCAAAATCTCCTTAAATTGATAAGCAATTTCAGCAAAGTCTCAGGATACAAAATCAATCTGCAAAAATCCCAAGCATTCCTAAACAGCAATAACAGGCAAACAGAGAGGCAAATCATGAGTGAACTCCTATTCACAATTGCTACAAGAGAGTAAAATACCTAGAAATCCAACTTACAAGGGATGTGAAGGACCTCTTCAAGGACCTCTACAAACCACTACTCAAAGAAATAAGAGAGGACACAAACAAGTGGAAAAACATTCCATGCTGATGGATAGGAAGAATCAATATCATGAAAATGGCCATACTGCCCAAAGTAATTTATAGATACAAGGCTATCCCCATCAAATTACCATTGACTTTCTTCACAGAATTAGAAAACCTTACATTAAATTTCATATGGAACCAAAAAAGAACCTGTATAGCCAAGAGAATCCTAAGCAAAAAGAACAACCCTGGAAACACCATGCTACCTGAATTCAAACTGTACTACAAGGCTACAATAACCAAAAAAAAAAAATGGTACTGGTACCAAAACACATATATAGACCAATGGAAAAGAACGCAGGCCTCAGAAATGATGCCACACATCTACAACCATCTGATCTTTGACAAATCTGACAAAAACAAGCAATGGGGAAAGGATTCACTATTTAATAAATGTTGTTGGGAAAACTGGCTAGCCATATGCAGAAAACTGAAACTGGACTCCTTCCTTACATGTTATTCAAAAATTAACTCAAGATAGGTTAAAGACTTAAACATAAGACCTAAAACCATAAAAACCCTAGAAGAAAACTTAGGCAATGCCATTCTGGACATAGGCATGGGCAAAGACTTCATGACTAAAACACCAAAAGCAATGGCAACAAGAGCCAAAATTGACAAATGGCATCTAATTAAACTAAAGAGCTTCTGCACAGCAAAAGAAACAATTATTAGAGTGAACAGACAACCTACTCAATGAGCGAAAATTTTTGCAATCTATTCCTCTGACAAAGGGTTAATATCCAGAATCTACAGAAGGCAAGAAACGACTAAGATCAGAGCAGAACTGAAGGAGATAGAGACACAAAAAACCCTTCAAAAAATCAATGAATCCAGGAGCTGCTTTTTGGAAAACATCAACAAAATTGATAGACCGCTAGCAATACTAATAAAGAAGAAAAGAGAGAAGAACCAAATAGACGCAATAAAAAATGATAAAGGGGATATCACCATCGATCACAAGGATACAAACTACCATTAGAGAATACTATAAAGTCCTCTATGCAAATAAACTAGAAAATCAAGAAGAAATGGATAAATTCCTGGACACATACACCCTCCCAAGACTAAACCAGGAAGAAGTTGAATCTCTGAATAGACCAATAACAGGCTCTGAAATTGAGGCAATAATTAATAGCCTACCAACCAAAAAAAGTCCAGCACCAGATGGATTCACAGCCGAATTCTACCAGAGGTACAAGGAGGAGCTGGTACCATTCTTTCTGAAACTATTTCAATCAGTAGAAAAAGAGGGAATCCTCCCTAACTCATTTAGGAGGCCAGCATCATCCTGATACCAAAGCCTGGCAGAGACACACCAAAAAAAGAGAATTTTAGACCAATATCCCTGATGAACATCACTGCAAAAATCCTCAATAAAATACTGGCAAACCGAATCCAGCAGCAATTCAAAAATCTTATCCATCATGATCAAGTGGGCTTCATCCCTGGGATGCAAGGCTGGTTCAACATACATAAATCAATAAATGTAATCCATCATATAAACAGAACCAAAGACAAGAAACACATGATTATCTCAAAAGACGGAGAAAAGGTCTTTGACAAAATTCAACAGCCGTTCGTGCTAAAAATTCTCAATAAATTAGGTATTGATGGGACATATCTCAAAATAATAAGAGCTATTTATAACAAACCCACAGCCAATATCATACTGAATGGGCAAAAACTGAAGCATTCCCTTTGAAAACTGGCACAAGACAGGGATGCCCTCTCTCACCACTCCTATTCAACATAGTGTTGGAAGTTCTGGCCAGGGCAATCAGGCAGGAGAAAGAAATAAAAGGTATCCAATTAGGAAAAGAGGAAGTCAAATCGTTCCTGTTTGCAGATGACATGATTTTATATCTAGAAAACCCCATCATCTCAGCCCAAAATCTCCTTAAGCTGATAAGCAAATTCAGCAAAGTCTCAGGATACAAAATCAATGTGCAAAAATCACAAGCATTCTTATACACCAATAACAGACAAACAGAGAGCCAAATCATAAGTGAACTCCCATTCACAGTTGCTTCAAAGAGAATAAAATACCTAGGAATCCAACTTACAGAGGATGTGAAGGACCCTTCAAGGATAACTACAAACCACTGCTCAATGAAATAAAAGAGGACACAAACTAACGGAAGAACATTCCATGTTCATGGATAGGAAATCAATATCATGAAAATGGCCATACTGCCCAAGATAATTTATAGATTCAATGCCATCCCCATCAAGCTACTACTGACTTTCTTCACAGAATTGGAAAAAACTACTTTAAAGTTCATATGGAAACAAAAAAGAGCTGGCATTGCCAAGATAATCCTAAGCCAAAAGAACAAAGCTGGAGGCATCACGCTACCTGATTCAAACTATACTACAAGGCTACAGTAACCAAAACAGCATGGTACTGGTACCAAAACAGAGATATAGACCAATGGAACAGAACAGAGCCCTCAGAAATAATACCACACATCTACAAGCATCTGATCTTTGACAAACCTGACAAAAATAAGAAATGGGGAAAGGATTCCCTATTTAATAAATGGTGCTGGGAAAACTGGCTAGCCATATGTGGAAAGCTGAAACTGGATCTCTTCCTTACACCTTATACAAAAATTAATTCAAGATGGATTAAAGAATTAAATGTTAGACTTAAAACCATAAAAACCCTAGAAGAAAACCTAGGCAATACCATTCAGGACATAGGCAAGGGCAAGGGCTTCATGTCTAAAACACCAAAAGCAATGGCAACAAAAGCCAAAACTGACAAATGGGATCTAATTAAACTAAAGAGCTTCTGCACAGCAAAAGAAACTACCATCAGAGTGAACAGGCAACCTACAGAATGGGAGAAAATTTTTGCAAGCTGCTCATCTGACAAAGGGCTAATATCCAGAATCTACAATGAACTCAAACAAATTTACAAGAAAAAAACAAAGAACCCCATAAAAAGTGGCAAAGGATATGAACAGACACTTCTCAAAAGAAGACATTTATGCAGCCAAAAGACACATGAAAAAAATGCTCATCATCACTGGCCATCAGAGAAATGCAAATCAAAACCACAATGAGATACCATCTCACACCAGTTAGAATGGCAATCATTAAAAAGTCAGGAAACAACAGGTGCTGGAGAGGATGTGGAGAAATAGGAACACTTTTACACTGTTGGTGGGACTGTAAACTAGTTCAACCATGGTGGAAGTCAGTGTGGCGATTCCTCAGGGATCTAGAACTAGAAATATCATTTGACCCAGCCATCCCATTACTGGGTATATACCCAAAGGACTATAAATCATGCTACTATAAAGACACATGCACACGTATGTTTATTGCGGCATTATTCACAATAGCAAAGACTTGGAACCAATCCAAATGTCCAACAATGATAGACTGGATTAAGAAAATGTGGCACATATACACCATGGAATACTATGCAGCCATAAAAAATGATGAGTTCATGTCCTTTGTAGGGACATGGATGAAATTGGAAATCATCATTCTCAGTAAACTATCGCAAGGACAAAAAACCAAACACCGCATGTTCTCACTCACAGATGGGAATTGTACAATGAGAACACATGGACACAGGAAAGGGAACATCACACTCTGGGGTGCGGGGAGGGGGGAGGGATAGCATTAGGAGATATACCTAATGCTAAATGATGAGTTAATGGGTGCAGCACACCAGCATGGCACATGTATACATATGTAACTAACCTGCACATTGTGCACATGTACCCTAAAACTTTAAGTATAATAATAATAATAATAAAAATAAAGAAATAACTAGGATAACAGAAAAAAAAGAAATAGCATTGTTATCTGTTCTGTATATAATAAAGTTTCAGTGAGAGTTTTCTTTTAAAAACGGCTTCTGCTGCTTTGAAGATTTAAAGATCAGTCTATTATACAAAGGTGCCATTTGGCAAATAGAACAGTACCCTACCATGAAAAAAAATCAACACTTATTGAATAAACAGACTACCTTGTAATTTTCAGATGTAAAAAAACTGAGGTAAAAATGCATTTTATTTGGTTCCATTATTCTCCAAAGCAAAGTCTTAACAGAAGTAGTATATTCTCAAAGGCCATTTTATCTATAGCATCCTGAAGAGAAAGAGGTAAGAATTTAATTAAAATGAGGATGAATTTATAAAATTGGATCACCTTAGCCAATATAGCTTTGCATCTTTCATTGTCCACTGCTATTATTTTTCATAGTCAGATATAAAGAAGCTGCTGTAATCACCTTTGGTGATGCATTCGAGAACAAGGCAGTCAATCCTACCAATGTCCAGAAAATTATTTAGAAATATCTTCTTCCTAAATAAAATATGGTATACTGTATTTTCTGTATAATGAATAACACAAAATCGACTTATTTCTCAAAGCTCAATCACGGCAGACAAGTCTCATTTTCTTTACCTGTCAAACATATATGATAGTTCCTCTACAGTCAATCTCTTCAATTGTACCCAAATTTCATCCCGCCACTTCTCTCAAGGACATCAGACATCACTCGTACAATTCTTCATATCCTATACTATGACAGTAATTCCTCCTCTGTACTGGATCTTTCTCATCAGGACATAAACATCCTTTTATATTTGTGCTATATTTTTTAAAGACTTTTCTCTAATCTTCACTTCATCCACTCACTGTCTAGCTGTCACTTCACATTTCTTTTTCCCCTTTATAGCAAAACTCCTTGAAAGGGCTGTCTGTATATGCTGTCTTGAAGGGGCTGTTTGTACCTGCTGTGAACAGCCATCACTCTTATCTAAGTCGCCATATACCTCCACATCTCAAAATCCCAGTGGTCCATTCTCAGTCATTTCCTGGATTTAGCAACATCATTTGATAGAGCTGATCATCCCTTCTTTCTACACTTGGTTTCCAGGACACTACAGTTACCTGGATTTCTCCTGTCTCAATGCTTGTTACTCTTCAGTGTGCTTTGCTAGTTCTTCCTTCCTCTCCTTCCTTACTATGTACTGTCAGAGTGCCACAGAAATCTCGACTTTGTCTTCTTTTCTCTATAATCACTCTATTGGAGATCTCGTTCAGTCATGGCTCTCATAACAGTCAGAATGGCTATTAATAAAAAGTCAAAAAAAAAAACAGATGCTGGCAAAGTTGCAGGGAAATGAGAATGTTTATGCACCCTTATCGGGAATGTAAATTAGTTCAGCCCCTGTGAAAAGCAGCTTGGAGATTTCTCAAAGAACTTAAAACAGGGCTACCATTCAATCCAGTAATCCCACTACTGGTTATTCATCGAAAGGAAAATAAATTTCAACTAAAAAGATACATGCACTTGCATGTTCAATACAATACTATTCACAATAGCATATACATGGAATCAACCTAGGTACTCATCAATGGATTGGATAAAGAAAATGTGGTACACCATGGAATACTATGCAGCCATAAAAAAGAATGCAATCATTCCTTTGTAGCAACATGGATGCAGCTGGAGGCCATTATCCTGAGCAAATCCACACGGGAACAGAAAACCAAATACTGCATGTTCTCTCTTACAAATGAGAACTAAACATTAAATACACATGGACATAAAGATGGGAACAACAGACACTGGGGACTACTACAGGAGGGAGAGAAGGATGGGAATACGGATTGAAAAACTACCTACTGGGTGCTATGCTCACTACCTGAGTAAGGGGATCTGATCTATACCCCAAACCTCAGCATCACACAATATGCCCATTTAACAAACCTGCACACGTACCCCCTGGATCTAAAATAAAAGTTGAGAATATAAATAATAATGCAAATAATAAAAAGATTAAAAATAAAAAAACTAAACACCAATAACTCCCAAATTCATCTCTCCAGCCCTGACCTCCCAAACACAAGACTTAGTTATCCTACTATCTATCTGAAATTTCCATTTGCTTGTTCAATAAACATTTCAACACATCACTCAAGAAACCTACCCCACCTACTATTTTCTTCATTTGCCATGATGGCAACTCCACTGTTTTCATTTGCTTGCACTAAAAATCTTAGCATCATCTTTGACTTCTCTGTTTCTCTCATATTCTATATCCAATTCTCAGGAAATCATATTGTGTTTCCTTCAAAATATATCCAAAATTCAACCCATTCTTACCACTTCTGGTACTTTTTACCTGACCCAAATTACCATCATCTGTCTCCTGAATTACTGCAATAGACTCCTGACAGGTCTCTTTGACTGTATCCAATGCCACTTCCTCTCCTGACCTGCAACAGACTAGTCTCGGTAGAAGAGCCAGAATGATTATATTTAAAGATATATTAGGTTATGTCATTCCTATGCTACCAGGCCCTATGTGTTGTGGCCCCATGACCCCTTTGACTTCCCCTCCTACCTCCTTTTATTCACTCAGTTTCAGCCACTGTGGTTTAATGATCATTTCCATTGTTCTTTCATCAAGAATTATGTTGTTAAGCCTATTGCAAGTAGAGCCTATTTTGTTACTGAATATTTATTGAGCACCTATTTTGAGTCAGGAACTATTTTTGAGGTAGTTCTTGCTGTTCCTCTGAAGGCCAGACATGCTCCTCTCTTATAGCCTTTGCATTGGCTGTTTCCTCCTCCTGAAATGCTCTTCCTAGGCTATCACCAATTTCGTCTTTGTCCAAATGTCACTACCTTACTTAAACCTTCTCTTACCTACTCTATTAAAAATTGCAATCAGTAACCCCTCCCTGCCATCCTTCTTATCTAATTTATATAAATACTTTTTTCTTCAGTACTTACCATCTTCTAACATAAACTATAAATACTGAGACTCAATTGTTGTGCTTATGTATTGTCTCTTTATTCTCATTACTGTGTAGGCTCCACAGGGATCATTTTCATCTTGTTTGTTCAATACTGCATGGTAAGCACCTAAGACACTGTCTGATAGGCTGGGTGTGATGGCTCACACCTATAATCCCAGTGCACTGAGAGGCCAACATGGAAGGATCACTTGAGGCCAGGAGGTTGAGACCAGCCTAGGCATCATAAGGAGACCACATTTCAAAAGGCCGGGTGTGGTGGCTCACACCTATAATTCCCAGCACCTTGGGAGGCTGAGGCAGGAGGATCATTTGAGGTCAGGAGTTCGAGACCACCCCAGCCAACATGGTGAAACCCTGTTTCTACTAAAAAATACAAAAATTACCTGGGCAGTAGTGGCACATAGCTGTAATCTTAGCTACTCAGGAGGCTAAGGCAGGGGAATTGCTTGAGCCTGGGAGGCGGAGGTTGCAGTGAGCCAAGATACACCACTACACTCCAGTCTGGGCAACAGAGGGAGACCCTGTGTCAAAAATTAAAAAAAAAAAATTAGCCAGGCTTGCTAGAATGTACTCATAGTGCTGGCTACTCTGGAGACTGGGCAGGAGAATTGCTTGAGCCCAGGAGTTCAAGGTTGCAGTGAGCCATGATCATTCCACTGCACTCCAGCCAGGCTAACAGAGCGAGACTCTATCTCAAAAATAGTTCCTGACTCAAAATAGGTGCTCAATAAATATTCAGTAACAAAATAGGCTCTACTTGCAATAGGCTTAACAACATAATGCTTGATGAATTGAAAGAACAATGGAAATGATCATTAAACCACAGTAAGCAAAGTGGTTCTCAACCAAGAACGATTTTGCCACTCCACTCCTCCCTCTGCCCCTTGTATGGAACATTTGAAAGTGTCTGAGGCTTTTTTGATTGTCACTCCTCAGAGGCTGCTGCCTAGTGAACGTAGGTCAGGGATACTGCTAAACATCCACAATGCACAGAACAGCCCCCACACAACCAAGAATCACTTGGTTCAAAATGTCAATAGTACTGAAGTTGAGAAACCCTGGTTTACATTGAAATTTTGAGAGATCCAAAAAGCAGGAACAGAATATTCAGGAACTAAATATTGTAGAACTACTCTGATTAGATATTTTATTGTGCCTAAAGTTTTATTTTAGTGACTCCTTCCTTATATTCTAAGTTATAATAGGATCACACACAGTATTGTTCAATCCTGCGATTTGGAGGGTAAACTGCTCAGTTTAACAAGATTACCTGAGTTCCACAGAAATTTGATATATTCACACAGCCAGTTAGCAGAAAAACCATGATAATGTTTTAAAATCTGAATACAAAAAAACTTAAATTTTAAGATCTAAAGATAAAATAAGAAAATAATGCTAACAAATAAGATGCCCTACAGCTGGTATGTAGTGAATATGAGGATGCTGTTTAACAGCTCATTTTCTACAAATTGATCCTAGACTGTAAAACTTTTCCAACATGCCTGCTAGTGGTTTTCAAAGACACTTAAAAGTGAGCATGGCCCCAATCTAATTCAACAGTGAACCAAAAAAAAAGCAATAAAACAGCTGCCAAAAAAAACAAACTCCCCTCTATCTCTACCAACTACCCTTTTCCCTTCTCCCCACCAAGACTAAGACACTTACATATGACCCACGAATTGTGTACATATGGGAAAAGAATACTCCAAATTTAATAAAAGTATTAACCTAATATATTGTTGGAATAAAAGCAATGATATACTGGAAATGGCTTATGCAACTAGCAAGAACCAATTGAGCATATTTCTTCCCAAGCTGTGTTCATGGATGGTAAATTTGTAGCTTGCGGTCAGCCATCACAGGAGGATTTATACCATGAAAATTGGCAAATTCTATAAATCAAGGCTTTTTCTCCTCCCAAAGAACTGACTATTAAACATTTGATAGTATACCACTAATTATATTTGATATGATACCATTAGGTTTGCTGAAGCTTTGCTCTCCCAAATTGTAATTTTGAAGAATTCTCTTTAGTCCTGAAGATCACCATTACAAGTAGGGGTATTTTTACTTCAGGGATTCAACTTGGATTTCAAAGTTAGATGGTCAGGATTTGAATTCAAGCCTTGAGTAAATTATTTGCTTTCTCTTAGTCCTATTCTCCTCATTTGTAACATGAAGATATTAATATACCCAACAGAGAATTACTTGTGAACATTAAACGAAATAGCTTCATGAAATTCTGAGTTCAGAGGCTGGCAGGTACCTGACGTTCAACTAAATACCTCAGCCTCTGTCAAAAGGTGAGAAAGATTGCTGGGGTGTTGATACATGCTGATGGCCAACACCATTCATTTCCTTCTCTGTCTGTCTCTAAACCAATAAAATGCAAAAAATGTGGGAGACCAAAGAAAAAGTAAATTGTTAAACATAATTGGTGAAATGTTTCAGAATACTAAGGAAACAGTCATTCACACCAAGGGCCAAGTGATTCATCTGAACCACAAATGTTACCTCCAGGGCTGGCTACCGAATTTGTCCAGGGCAAAATGAAAGTGTAGGCCCTATTGTTCAAAAATTATTAAGAATGTTGAGAGAGTTGCAGTGCAGCATTCAGAATGCAGGGCACTGTGGGACTGCACAGCTTGCATGCTCCTAAAGCTAGCCCTGGTTACTTGGTTTCTCATCCTTCTTTCACTGCCCTCGCCTCTTCCATCACTTTGCACACACACCCACAGTCATACTTCCTCATTTTTTGTTTTCTGATGCATGATAAAGATTTTGCAATCTTTTTGCAGCACAGATAGCTTGATATGGCTGTCAATGCCAGGGGAAAAGGACATTCGCTTCTGGTTTGTGGTCCTCTCTTCCTTTGTGTTCCTTTTTTTATGTTCACTTAAAAACCGTCTTCCAATTGTAAAAGTTCTTACCATCTACTTAACAATATTTTGGCCTATGAAGGTAATTTTGAAAACATTTGACATAGCCCATATACAATTTTTGAATGGTGCTTTTAAAATTCATCATTACATATCATGACTTTAACTCAAAAGCAGCATCTATTTCTTTTTTCACTTTTTTTCACTTTTAGATTCAAGGGCACATGGGCAGGTTTGCTATATAGGTAAATTGCATGTCTCAAGAGTTTAGTCTACAGATTATTTCATCATCCAGGTGATAAACATAGTACTTGATGGGTGGTTTTTTGATCCTCTCCCTCCTCTCACTCTCCACCCTCAAGTAGACCCCAGGGTCTGTCGTCCCTTCTTTGTCTCCATGTGTACTCAATGTTTAGCTCCCACTCATAAGTGAGGACATGCAGTATTTGGTTTTCTGTTCCTATGTGAGTTTGCTTAGGATTATGCCCTCCAGCTCCATCCATACTGCCGTAAAGGCCATGATCTCATTCATTTTTATGGTTGTGTAGTAGTCCATGGGGTATATGTACCACATTTTCTTTATCCAGTCTACTGTTGATGGGTATTTAGGTTGATTCCCTGACTCTTCTGCTGTGAACAATGCTGCGATGTACATACATGTGAATGTGTCTTTATGGTAGAATGATTTATATTCCTTTGAGTATATAGCCAATAATGGAATTTCTGGGTTGAATAGTACTTCAAATGCAGCATATATTTCAAGAAAAAATATAAGCTGTGGAGAAAGACAAACTGAGGCTTTGCCAACTATTAGCTGGATGGCAATAATTATAAATTATATTTAAATTACATATAATTTGTTCAAAAATTATAAAGAACTTTAAGACAATGACAGCAGAGCATTAACACAAGCATGGAACATATTACAACACACAAAAAATTTATAAACTACTTGACAATCTGTTTTGTCATTTGTAAAAGTTATGAAAGCTTAGGACATAAAGTTTTTAAAAGTGCCTGGCACATATTTTTTCAAAATTACCTATCACAATAGGTATATAGTCACATTGTTACAACTTAAGGTAACTTTCAATATTCTAGCTTGGGGTCCCATTGTTTGCAAATAATACTAAAACAACAAGAAATAACACTTTGACTCCTTTAGCATATTTGGAAAGGTGAAAATGCTTCCATCTGTGAAACTCTAGCTGTTAATTAAAGAGCAAAAGACAAGGACAAAATGTATGTAATAAACATATGTAACTAAAGTAACTAAAAATTAGTAAGGCTATAAACGGAGCAGCACAATCAGAACTCCACATCATTTATCTAAGTAAACAACTTATTGTACCCCTCTGCCTTATTTTCTTCATCTATGCAAGTGAGAAAATTGGACTAAAAAGCTTAAAGCTTTTGCTTTCCCTCAAGGAGCCATACTGAAGAGGGAGAGAACTCAGAAAGGGTATCCCAAATGGGTACTATTAGGTTGGTGCAAAAGTAATTGTGGTTTTTGCCTTTAAAAAAAATGGCAAAACCACAATTACTTTTGCACTATCGTAATACTTCAGTGGAGTTACTGGGTTCCAGGTTCCGGTCCTCATGTTTTTATAATCAGAAACTCTTTTATGAGTATATCCTACCAATTAACCTCAAAGAGATTTATTCAGGCAAACTAAAATCGAGGAATCTAGTTTTATAAACTAGAACACCAATTATTAAATTACAATAAAATAAGTAATGCCAGATTAACAGTCTTTGATCATTTGCTCAGAGTGTTTCTTCCTGGTAGATCAGTTTACCCAGAGCCTAAATTATAGGTGAGAAGTTTGCTTGAAGAGCCCAGAATCAGAATATAAGAGTTCAATTGTCATTAACAAAGCTTAGCTACGTGAATTGGATTGCTTCTCTTCACACCGGGAATATTTTTCCCCAATAATCAATATTAGCTTTTTGGAACTAGAAGGACATCTCTTCTGTACTTCCCTGAACACTATTTACTATCCTATACATAGCTTTTTCTTTTAACCTCTGCATAGAATGTCGTCCTTCTATTAATAACCCTTTTATCATTCAGTTACGTTGTAATGTAATTGATTAAGTCATCTTTTTGTTACATCTCAGGCAGTGAACTATACTCCAGTCACAGGGGTTGACCTGGGCATTTTAATCCCCAAATTTACAGATCGTCTTTTGGAGAAAGATAGTGTCATAGAGATGTACAGAAATTCAGAACACTTATGTTGGGATCAAACAGAATTGGCTTAATACCTAAGCAAATTGAGGCAAGTTAAGTAACCTCTCCAAAGCTCAAAATCCTCATCTGAGGCCGGGCACGGTGGCTCACAACTATAATCCCAGCATTTTGAGAGGCCAAGGCGGGTGGATCAACTGAGGTCAGGAGTTCAAAACCAGCCTGATCAACATGGAGAAACCCCGTCTCTACTAAAAAATACAAAAACTAGACAGGCGTGGTGGCAGGCGCCTGTAATCCCAGCTACTCAGGATGCTGAGGCAGGAGAATCGCTTGAACCTGGGAGGCGGAGATTGTGGTGAGCTGAGACAATGCCACTGCACTCCAGCCTGGGCAACAAGGGCGAAACTCTATCTCAAAAAAAAAAAAAAATCCTCATCTGTAAAATAGAAATAATAACACCTACTTTTTGGGTTTGTCAAGAGGATAAATGAGATTATATATATAAAAGTTCAATGTTTGGCCCAAAGTAAGGGCTCAACAATGAATATATATAGCCATCAATACTTTCAAACATTATACACTGTGTTTTGGCCAACATCCATCTTCCAAGTTGGCCTTTATATTCTTTTACCTCAAAACTGGGGGGAGGGGGGCACCTATACACCCTTTATGTCTGGAGCACATTTCAGTATTCACTTTCTTCAAGTCAACACATACAAAGGCAAAGGCAGGTGAACTTTCAAAGGCAATATACTCTTCATAAACTGAAAACCAATGAACTATAAACTCACAAGCTAATAACTAATTATAGCTTTTTGTTTTGCCCATTCTGGCAACGTATTTTGCTATTTCCTCACACTGCAAATGTTACTCTATTGAACCCATCAGTTCATAAAAACAAGTTCAGCATCCCCTTGTCATATTTAATATAAATCAACTGTACCATGAAATTTTGTTTTGTTTAAGCTCATGATAGTTACCAGTGTAGACCATGCAAACTTTGGCCTTTTAACTCCAAGACCATTTTTCATTCTATTTCTTTGTTAGGAGGATCTGTTTGTGTATAATTAAATGTGGCTTTCTTAAACTTTTACAGTTGGTAGCTTAATGTATTTTTGTTTTATTTCGAGTACAAAGGCTACATAATGCTTTTGTTGGCATCAATTCTAGTTAATATGCCAGCTACATAATTTTGTTCTCTGCAATATGTCAGCATTTGAGTGCCTTGGGCTCAACAGGTGGTGCTAGATAAGGTTCTGGCAAATCAAATAAGTAATGTGGTTATTTCTTTTGTCAAATTATAATTAAAAACAGAGTCTATGTAAAATGAGACTTACATTTTCCTGTTTTTAAAAGGGCTCAACATCCAGCACAAATCATTTTCTATAACAAAGACCCATTAGTAAGGAAGCATATTGTCTGCATAAATATGCAACACCTTCTGATCTGCAGTTTCATTGGTCTCTGTAAAGTTTATTTTGAAAATCTGATGTGTAAGCATTGCTTCATAAGGTACTGACTTTTCCGCTCTTCTGTAATTCAGGAGTATGAACTTAAGCCCATGCCAAAAATTTAAGAGGAAATTTAAACATTCTTATCTACTAAGGTATAGAATATTAAGAAACTCTGTGAACATTTTTACTTAAATCATTTGCTTAAAAAACTTTTCTTTGTGTACTGTGGTATCCTAGTCCTTGATTATAAGAGAGCAGGGGCCAGTGCTTCCATAATCAAAAAACTATACAGATCCTTAGCCAAAGAGTTAGGTTCCTCTCCCATAATTTAATATCCAGCACTGCCAGATAGCTGAGCACTGCCCTATAGTGTGATGGGATATAAGAGACTCATATGCCTGATTATGTCTCTGAAAGTTCTCCCTGTGAAAGTTGTTCCTGCAGGGCAGGCATATGTGCTGCTTGGCCACCTGCTCCTGTGCGCTCAACACCATTTCAGAAGACACAAACCAGCGTAGGGCAAAATGTCCCTTATAGTAATAAGTTAAAGCATACCCTGAATGTGTATGCTTTGGAAGATGGACCTGAATGTGTATTCTGAGCTATGGAATCCAGCAGTGGCCAACACAGAGACTCGTTTCTTGTCTATGAGGACCATCCGAGTCCCTAGCCCATTCCATGGAACACAGGCTGTACAGGGTATTGAGGCCTTCAGTCTTGGGTTAAATGAAGGTTGCCAGGTGGAAGTCATTAAGGGAAGAGTGTTTAGTGAAAACGTTGTATAAACGGCATGTTATCTGCAAGCAGTTGCAGTTTTCCTGCCCAGCCCATCACCACTGGACTATAGGTAAGGCAGATATCTTGTCCAGCTCACTGCCATTGGAACTCTCTCCCCTGTATGTAGCCACCTAATAAAACCCCATGTTTCATTTGCTAGCTCTGGGTCTCTTCTTCCCCCTATTGAACCTGATGCCTTCCATATTGAGGGTAATAGGGGTTTGGCACAACACCAGACTGTTGTCATATGCCTCCTCTGTTCCCAAAAAGAGGCCAGCATTGCCTTTCCGCAAACCAGAGTACGTTAATATTCTGGTTTGAGTTTTACTGTGCCAAAATCAAGAAATTTTAGCAAAGGAATCCATTATGTAGTTCTTTTATTTCAAAAACATTCTGATCCATTAATTTTTCTGTCCCCATATAACAGTTATCTGAAGAAAAATCAAAGCAGACCAAAAGTATTCATCATGATATGTGGGAATACCAGGTTGTTTGGCATAAAGAAGATTGAATAAAACTTCTCCAGGTGGTCAGACTTCAACATGAAGTATCTATTTCTCTACTTTCAACTGAATTTTCCTTTATGCCCTGAAGTTAGCGCTACCTCAGTCAAATACATTTTTATTTTTTCCTAAAGATATAAGTTTCCTAATGTCTTCATATAACTAAGACTCATGAACTACTGTGTATAAATGTTCCTTAGTTCTAAGATAAAGACTTGCAGATTTGGCAGACTAAACAGCATCTATATTTTGTGTCTACATTTGGCTTTATTTATAAAAAGTATGGTGTATGTCTGATTACAGATCAACAGAAAAAAAGGTTTCCAGACTGAAAGGCAAGATAATTAAATGTTGCATAGATTTTTAAATTAAAGTTCAAGCAAATTGAATGCATATCACATATGAAACATGAAATCATGCTTCTAGTCTCGAGACTACTGTTGTCAAGCTGGGCAAATGGGAAAATCATTTCTCTGTTGCTTTATTGGTTTCTTCATCTGTAAGAATGAGGACCTGGACTAGAACTAGAGTTGTCCAAACATTTAAAAGCAATATCTCTCTTTCTTCAAGCTAAAAACAGCAAACCATAAACCTAATCTACACAGAAAAATGGGCAAGTTCCCCCGCACTTTTACTTCTCCTCCTGCTTGGGCCCCCAACACCACCCCTGGCCTAGAAAATACCTAAGATTCCAAGGACTGTGAACCAGCTTAATCTCTTGAGTTGCTGGCCCAGTTCTACAACTCCCTAACTGTAGCATTGCAAAATACCATGTGTTTTATACACACTTTACAGAGTACACCGCTTCACTTTGCATTCCTCTCAATCTTCTGAAGTAAGGAGGATGGCTATCCTTATTTCTATTTCAGATGTTGAGAAAGCGGGACCTCCGAGAGATTAAGGTAATCTCTAGATAGGCAGTGAATAAGGGCTGAAACTAAAGTTGCAAGCCAAAACCTCTCTGTACTCTGTTTCCTACTTAATACCCTTTCCTATATAGCACAGTCATAGGTTTTATTGCTTTTGATTTTTGCATGTTTCAAATAAGCCGCTCAAATTTTGACCATAAGAACAAAGACAAAACTTTACTGAGGGTAAGAAAGAAACAACAAATAAATTACCAAATTCAATAGGCTGAATGTGGTCATTGAACCTTTCACCATTCAATGTTATGCTAAAAAATAATTGCTAGGATTATTGACTATAATCCTCATAGGGTTTTAATTCTGATGTTTGCGCTTTAGCTATTTCATATTGAAAGTGTCTAACACCACATTAACACTACTCCATTAAGGTGTCCAATGGGCCAAAATCCTTGTTCCACTTTCTAAGACATTGGGGTAATATCAAAGAGAGAAATCTACCATTGTAAATCAATTCTCTCCATATTTCTTTATAAACATACCATTCCAATTAAAATTCTAACAGGATGTCTTTTACTCTTAAAATTATTCTAAATTTGAACTGAAAAATAACATGTGAAAATAGCTACAAAACTCTGGGAAAAAGAAAAGAATAAGGACATTTTAGTATCGAGTGTTAAACATAGTGTAAACATGCACTAATTAAAACAGTGAAATACTAGTACAGGAAGTAGATAGATGAATAGAAGAAGTGAGTAGAAAAACCTATAAGTAAACTAAAGCAGTTCTCAACATGTGGTCCAAGCACCCCCAGAGGCTCCTGAGACCCTCTCAGATGTCTGCAGGGTCCTCCCTTAGTCAATTATATATCACCTGCGTGATACCTGATTTTTTTAAAGGAAAACAAAATATCACAGCAGATTGAAGTAGCAGATATGAGAATCCAGCTATCTTCTCCTATGAGACCAGACATTAAAAGATTCGCAAAAACACTGAAATAATGCCACTTTTCTCAGGAGTTTTCTTTGTAGAAAAATAAGGTTACTTTTCATAAAAATATGCTATTATGTTAACATGTAATAGGTTTGTTATTGCTGTTTTTAATGAATTGATAAAATTTTAAGTATTTCTTAGTTTTAATTTCTAAAGTGATAAATATCAATAGCTATAACTCACACAAACTAAAGCTCTGTGAGATGCTCAGAAAATATTAAGAGTTCAAAAGCATTTGCAGCCAAAAAGTTGAAGAACTACTGGACTAAATAATATATCAAAGCTTAATATTTGGTAAAAGGCAACACTTCAAACTAGTGGGAAAAGGATGAAGTATTTAATATTGTTGAAACAAGAACCCAGTTGTCTGGGAGAAATGTGCCTCTGCATCTAAGCAGAGCCAAAACAACTTTCTGAGAAGAATCTCCTCAATTTCAGATGAATTTCTAGCCCCAAAGAGCATATAAGAAATTTAATCTTAATCCCAATTGGGGCTTCCCATTTTTTTCCCATGATTATGGCAATATCCAGCAGCATTAGTGCCAGAGTATCATCTTTTCACACCGGGTACCATGGTGACAACCACTGTCTCAACCCACAAGGTCCCTTCAAGGTCAGTGCCTTTAGACTGTACCAATTGCCCAGGGACCTTTGTTGAGGCTGGGAACCACCAACCATTCCTCTCTGATTTTCAGTCACCTTCCCAGGATGCTGCCAGTACAGAGGGTACCTACACCTCACCAGGACCTACAAGTCTGTAGGACCCTTTTCCCTGACCTAGCCCAGGTGTTTATTTTCTGTACTTGACCATTTGGTATCCTTCCATAGGCCACACTCTTAACTGCTGCCCTTGCTTACCACTCTGGGCCTAGCTGTGTCACTTCCCTTTTATAGGGGTGTGCAGTTTATAGTGTACAATGACCAAGTACATTTAAACACATCTGTATCTTATGCCTACAACAAGGCAAAACATTTTTCCCTACTTCTCACTGTAACTGCAATAAAGACTTTAGCTCCTAGTTCCTTCTTCTTCCCATTCACTTGGCCTTGGTGTTGCTCATGTGGCCCTGTGTGGATGCCATGACTCCCCACCTCTCTAGGGAGCTGTGAGTATAAATAACTTCTTCCTTCATGACAATCACTTTTGTGTCTGTGTGTCTTACCACACCTAACTAAAATAAATCCCAGATACCATGTAAAAACACCTGGGAATTTCCTTTTAGTCTAGATGTCTTTCCTCTAGCTTCCTGGTCCCTTTTAATGCATCCAAATGGTTTTTGCCAGGGGTCTTGTACTGCTGCGAAGCCAGATTTTGATAACTCGCTTCTTCGTCATTCCTGAGCCTGAATCCAGTGATTCTACTTCCATCTTTTCTGCTTTCATCTTTGGTTTTTGGTATCTTGCCTGGAACCTTGCACCTTTCCCAGCTTTAGGTACGGTCTTATTTTTCAGCTCCCTCATCCATCTAATGGGGTCTTATTACTCGAGAATAAAACCTCCCTTACGTCCCGTTGTTCATGTTAGCTGGTTTGCTCTTCAGCTTCACCTTGATTGACGCATCAAGAAATATCTATTGAGCACATATTAATTCCAGGTATTGTGCCAGGCATTGAGTATCTATCAGTGAAACAAAGAGACATGGGCCATGATCTGTAGTAAGATCATGCATTCCGAATTCTTCACTCTCTGCTAGAATCTACCTCTGTCTTCAACCCTGCTCTTCACCCTGTGACACTCCGTGGTTATTTGCCTGAGCCTGAAGGGATGGTGTAAACGTGTGTTTGGGGCTGCCCTTTCATGTTTTCCTACCCATATAGGTAATTGTAGTTTCAGGTCTTGATGTCTTCTGCCTCCCCTCTCCTGAAGATCACTGAGTTGGCCTAGCAGACGCCTGAAGGCAGGAAGAGGTGACATTTTGTATTTGAGGAAAGCGAGAAAGGTTTGGAGCAACTACTTTCAAGAATGAAATTAATTACTTTAGAATAGGAAATTAACTGGCTCAGCTCAGGTTAATTAATAGCTCAGTTGGGGCTGCAAATATACACGTTATTAATGTAATTTTCAATAGAATGTTATTTATTCATCTCAGCCTGTTTGTGGCTTAACACAAATTGGGGATAGGGATGAGGAGGTGTGGAGGGGAGAAAATGAAAGGAAAAACTAACATGTACTTCACTCCAGTTATATTACAAAATATTTATTTCATTTAATATATCACTCCTATGAGATGGTTACTACTATCAACAATTCATATAAGAAAACATAAAAATTAAATAATTTACCCAGGATCACACAGGGAGTAACTGATAGTCTTAGGACTAACCTAAGTCTGTATGGTACCAAATGTATAGCTTTTAGGATACTTTGTAGCATTTTAAAATATATGAGTATTTATATGTGAAATGCTACATTCCTTATCTATACATTTTCAGATGTGATGACACAATGACATGCAAGCTCCTGCAGCTGAGTGTCTCTCAAACTATAATCACTATATGAATCACCTGAGGATTTTATTTAAATGCAGATTCTAATTCAGTAAGCCCAGAGTGAGAGCAAAGAATCTGCATTTCTAACAAGCTCCCAGGTGATACTAACACTGCTGGTTTATGGAACACACTTTGAGTAGCAACACCTTAGTCCACTCCCCTAGATTTTAAAGAGAAGAAAACCAAGGCTCACATAAGATGAGGAGACTCTGATAGCAAATTAATTAGTGACAGAGCCAAACAAGACCAAAAAGTCCAGTGTTCCTTTCATTATGTTCTTTACATTACATAAAATATTACTTAGGATTACAAAACACATCAAATATATTCAGTTGCTCTGTTTTTGCACTTGACAATAAATTTAAAAACTAGAAACAATGTGTATTAACGATAAAACTTGCTGCTTTATCCTTTTAAGAATAAAAAATGTTAAGTGTAATTTTAAAAACCATAGATACACATCTTCTGGAGAACATATTTATCATGTATTGAATATGGAAAGTAAAATTGCTATTAAGCATATAATTTACTACAGAGCTTGCAAACAAATTACACTTATTTTATGGAAATGCTTCAATTTTTATTTTGTTTTGTTTTTACTTAAGACGCTATTTCACATGTAAAGGGCTTTTTGCAATGGCCTAAATCTTTCTCTCAACAATAAAACCTTATGTGATTTTTAAAAAATAATTCTCCAAGTCTCAAATACAGCGTGCGTAATGTTAGAAAATGCAGTAAACCAATATAAATATGCATAAACAAATATGTAAATGTAATTGTTTCCCAGCTTTCATGAATGTTACATATTAGAGAATAACATCTCCATGTTTCTCTTGGCCCCCAGGGGTAATTTTTTTTAATTATACATGTACATGTCAGAACTGAATACACCAGCTGATGTTCATGAGGAATTTAAAAATTTGAAAAGAAAGAAAAGTTGTGGAGATTTTTCCACTATTTATATTCAAGTGTGTAAGTAAAGGCATCACCTTAATTAGGGTAGTCACCACATTAAGGTATGATTTTTTAGACTAAAATTATTTGAAATGATGCACAGTTCAAGCAATTGTGGGATATAATCAAGGCAAAACCTTTTTTATGAAAAAATATAATTAGCTATATCATCAAAGACTAAATAGAAAGAGAATACATTGATTTTACTTGTTTTTTGTTTCTTTTTGGAAATGTTAATTATATTTGTCTTTTAGCAGTATGATAACAAGTATCTTGAATACACTTAAATTGCCAGTTGGCCAATATTTTAGTATATCAGTTCTCCAAACCTGACCCCACTCCCCTTACCTCTCTTTTTTTTTTTTTTTTGGAGATGGAGTCTCATTCTGTCACCCAGGCTAGAGCGCAGTGGCGCGATCTCGACTCACTGCAACCTCTGACTCCCGGGTTCAGGCAATTCTCCTGCCTTAGCCTCACAAGTAGCTGGGATTACAGGTGCTCACCATCAAACCCAGCTAATTTTTGTATTTTAGTAGAGAAAGGGTTTTACCATGTTGGCCAGGCTCATCTCAAACTCCTGACCTCAAGTGATCCGCCTGCTTCGGCCTCCCAAAGTGCTGGGATTACACGCATGAGCCACCACGCCTGGCCTCCCCTTACCTCTCTTGAAAAGTTTCATGGCATGTTCCTATTAATTGATTTTGTTGTTCTTTTGATATTAATTTTTATTTTTTACTTGTTTTTGGTGAAGATCTGTTTGAGGAGTACCTCAAAAGAAGTTGCTAAACCATTGCCTGAAAACATCTCTGGCTGTCAGTTACAATGGTGGACTACAATAATGGTTAAGAGCACACATTCTAAAACCAAATGGCTAGGGTTTGAATCCTGGCACTACCAAGGAGCTCTGTGTCCTTGGGCAAATTGGAACTCTTTATGCCTCAATTTCTTTATCTATGAAATGGGGTTAATAATAATACTTACCTTATGTAGTTATTTGGAGGATTAATCTTGATAAATACCAGTAAACCAATTGCCCATTGAAAGCAATTAATAAATGATGATGATCATGATCATGATCATGAAGAAAAGGAGAAGAGAAGGAGAAGAACAAAGAAGATAAGAAAATGAAGAGAAAGATGAAGTAAAGGTGAAAAATGAGGAAGAGAAGAGTAGAAAGAGAAGGAGAAGAAATGAAAAAGTTGTTTCCAGGCCAGGCGTGGTGGCTCACGCCTGTAATCCCAGCACTTTGGGAGGCTGAGGCAGGTTGATCACGAGGTCAGGAGTTCAAGACCAGCCTGGCCAAGATGGTGAAACCCCGTCTCTACTAAAAATACAAAAATTACAGCACGCCTGTAATCCCAGCTACTTGGGAGGCTGAGGCAGGAGAATCGCTAGAACCTGGGGGGCAGAGGTTGCAGTGAGCCAAGATCATGCCACTGCACTCCAGCCTGAGCAACAGAAAGAGACTCCATCTCAAACAAAAAAAAAGAAAAAGTTGATTCCTAATTAAAATAACATACTTTCTGAGAAAAGAAAGCTTAAATTTTAGCTTTAGCTCTGCCACTTTGTAATCTTAAGCAATTTTTTCTCTACTTAATTTTTCTCTTGATAATTAAATTTTTTTCATTTTTATCTTGAGAAAATGTAACCAGCTCCTTGACGCTCAGTTTTCTCATCTATAACATTTGCCTCATATTTAAAGGTGTTGTGAGGATAAGATGAAATAATATACGTAAAAGTGTATTTCAAAAATTTTAATGCTATAACATTATATTATGATGTATTATATATAGTATGTATACTATAATATAGTATATTTTATATATATATACCATATTTTCTGTATAATTACACAATAGTTTAAAAACTTGGACTTGAGACTTCTTGCCTTTAGCTATTTATATTAAAATTTCCCGTTAATCTTTGGGATAACTTTTTTCAAATAAAAGGATTAGAATAGGAATGACATCTTACTGTCTGCTATCTAAAGCAGTAACAAGTGCATACTGGGAACCAAAGACTTGAAAAGAAAATGATGTGGGAAAAATAAACCTTGTCAAGATACATTGGTTGTGTCCTCAGTGCTATCAAACTAACAAATTATTTACTAGCAATTAGTTGGCCAAGAAAAAAGCATGTGATGTCCAAAAAAATGAAAAATGGTAAAATTTAAGAATAGTTTGTGTTTCTTTTCATTGTATTGGTAGCCTATAGCCTTAATAAAAGTCATTGGAATTTTCAAATAGGTTATATATAACACTTAATCTTATAAGTATACAAAGTTGTCAGTAAAAACTGCATTGTGCAGCACCAAGTACATTGAATGTTCCCAATAAAAATGTTAGTTACACATGTTTGTTGCAGCACTATTCACAATAGCAAAGACTTGGAACCAACCCAAATGCCCACCAATGATAGACTGGATTAAGAAAATGTGGCACATATACATCATGGAATACTATGCAGCCATAAAAAAGGATGAGTTCATGTCCTTTGCAGGGACATGGATGAGGCTGGAAACCATCATTCTCAGAAAACTAACACAGGAACAGAAAACCAAACACTGCGTGTTCTCACTCATAAGTGGGAGTTGAACAATGAGAACACAGGGACACAGGGAGGGAAACATCACACAACGGGGCCTGTCGGAGGGTAGGGGGCTAGAGGAGGGATAGCATTAGGAGATATACCTGCTGTAGATGACGGGTTGATGGGTGTGACAAACCACCATGGCACATGTATACCTATGTAACAAACCTGCATGTTCTGCACATGTATCCCAGAACTTAAAGTATAATTTTTTAAAAAATGCTAGTTACATTATTATTAGAAGTAGTATTATCATATAATCCTCATGAAATCAAATCAGAAGATTCTTGTTGAAGAGAACACATTTTTACGGTAAAATGGCTGATTAGATGAGTCAATCCAATCCAAGAAGCTAATTTCGATGAGAATTGTACTTATCTAAAGAATCACATAAGTAAATCCCTTGTCCTCTATTTCCAAGTCCTAAAGTATAAACAAGTATAATGGAGAGAAAAATGTCTCTTTGACCTCCAAAAGTTTGATAATTGAGTCTGTGAAATTGACAGTAGACAGATTAAGAGGAGAAAAAGCATCCAAATTTATTACATACATGGAAGATCACAGAAAGAAAATGGAATACCCCAAAAACCCAGTGAGATCTAGAAGCTTATATAGTCTCTTCATAGGGGAGAGTAGAAAAGGATATGTAGGCAACTTAGGGGACCATAAATAATTTGGGAGGAATGAATAGTTATAGCCTGTGACACAGTCTGTCTGGACATGGCACTGATCTGCAGTCTCTTCTTCTGCCATATGGTTAATTTTCCCTGGTTGATGAGATTTCCCAGGGAGGAGACTCATTGAGGAGACAATTGAGTTCCATTTTGAAAGACTTATCTTTAGGCAGATAACAGAAGTTCAGAGAGTCCTTCCTATGTCTAGGGGGATAAATAAATTAGAGACAGGAAGGTAGGAGAAGGTCAGAAGAGACCTTGTTTCTCTCCTAGCTCAAAGCACTCAGCAAGCCAAAGCGCCATACTTTGGGGTATCATCTTCTGAGCCTCAGCACAAGATAAAGTTATGGTTTGGTATTTTAGCCATCCTAACTATTGAAAGACTACTCAAATATTCTCTCACCAAAATTTTATTTGTTTTTATTGGTTTTTTTCTAGTTCTTAAGTTTCCCTGCTACTATAACCTAGCTCAGCCTACAGTATCTATACTACCCTTTTTTCCAAATTAGATACTTTATTATGACTACCTCTAATTCTCACTATAAAAGCTTATTAATTCTTTTAATCATTTATCTTTTAATTAGGTCCTTTTCACTAAATCAAAGCTTTAAAATGTGTTGCCTAGTTTCTTCATGAGTTTTTTTGCATATCACATAGTTTAAAAAAATAACAATTTTAATCAAGAAGAAATAGAAAATCTGAAAACTCCTACGTATACGATAATGTAAGAGCTAAATAAGATTAAAAACTAGAATACTGATTAAGGCAATTCACTACATTAAAAAAAATAGGGAAAAATATGTTCATTAAGAATATAAAAGGCATTTTATGAAATTCAGTATCCAGTCATGATTTTTAAAAAGGAAAAAAATAGAAATCGCATATAAAGCCAAAAATTGAAAGAAAATCCTCAGACTGAAAAAGGACATCTTCATGACCTTCTCCAAAAAGGCATTCCACAAACATGATACTCAATGATTGGAAAAGCATAAAAGATGGTTTGTAGAGGGGAAGATTTCTACACAGAAAACCTAAATAATCTACCAATTCAAATTAATAAGAGTTCAGCAAAATTTCTGGTCATAGAGTCAATATACAAAGGTCAATTTAACTTATAGACATCACCAAAAATTAGTTTAAAATGTACATTTAAAAAGATATTCTAAAATTTTTAAATTACCAAGAAATAAATCTAACAAAAAAAGTATGAGATTTATAAATAGAAAATGACAAAATGTTGTTGAACAACATTAAAGAACTAGGTAAATTGAAATATATACCATATTTATAATGACTATTCAAAACTGTAAAGGTGTCAATTCTGTTCAAATCAGGTATCAAAATTATACTGAGGGTCAAATCATGCTTGTTTATTGTCATTCAATCATTTATTCATTAACACATATTTTATAATTAGCATACATAAAAATAATGTATTCTCTGCCCGTACTAGGGCTATTTTAGTTACGAATAAAGAATAAATCAACTCCAACTAGCTTAAGCGATAAAGGGAGTGTTCCCATATCCCTAGAAAGGTCTAGGGATCATTTTAGATTCGGGCCCACTAGATTGAAGAACTCAGTGTCATCATTAGGACTCTGTTGGTCTGACTCTCCCCTTCTCTCTCAGCTCTCTTTTCCTTTGTTATGTTCATTCTCAGGGTCTTCCCACCTGGCAGCAAAATAGCTGTCTTCTACCTGCTACAGGCTGAAAACCTATTCTCTGCAATCCCAGCAGAAAAGACTTTTCTCAACAGCTGAAACCACACTCCAGGAATTTAGTCTCATTAACCTGGTTTGTTTCACATGCTATATTACTGTGGCCAGTGGGGAGGGAGGTATGAACTGACTGATCAGGCTTGGGTGACATGCCTCCCTTAGAACTACAATGGAGTCAGCCCATCCCAATCACTTGGATTAAGAGTTATAATGAATTCCTACCCCCAAATATAAAAGCTGTTACCAGAAAAAGGGTGAACAGATCCTGTGTAGACCAAAAGCAACACATGTCCATGACAGGGTGAACAGAAATAGAAAGATCTTTATTGTTTTCTAATCAGTAGTCATCCATAGTCATCAACGAACAGTTCATAAATTTATATTTAAAGCTCAGACACTTGCTCTGAACTTGTGTCATAAAACAATGGTCAAGAGACATCTTTAATCAAATGTCTTACATAGATCTTAAACTGTGTCCAAGTTTAAACTAGATGTCTTCTCCTCCAAACATGTTTCTTGTTCTATACCTCCCCTCTCATGTTATTATTTCCATACATCTCAGTGCAGAAAAACAGGAATCATCCTAGACCACTCTCCCCTCTCTTTCATCCCTTTATTCAATTGGCCACTTAATGCTAGAGACTCAACCCCCTAAATAGCTTCCAAATGTGTTCTTTCATCAGCATTTCACTGACTGCTTTAGCTCAGGCTCTCCTAATTTCTCATACGCATTTGTACAAAGGCTGCCTGACTGGTCTTTGTGCTGCCAACTTCATCCTTTCCGATCCATCCTCCACATTCATCATAGTGATGTTTCTATGATATGCTCGGACTTGTAAGTCCTTAAAATTCATCAGTCATTCACCATCAACTTCCAAGTAAGATATGCAACTTCTAAATGGAACATGAAAACCTCTACAGGATGTGGTCTGCACCCTCCCTACTGTCTTTGTGTGTGTGTGTGTGTGTGTGTGTGTGTGACACTTCTTCACGCATACCCTACCCAGCTGCAGAACTAAACAAGGTGCACATCCTAAAATGAGCTATTCCCTCTACCTCCCACTTCATCTTCTGAGATGTAGCTGAGACATGTCTCTAGAAATCTGTCCTGGAAACCATCCATTCCATTCCATTCACATAGCTTCTCATGTTTCCATCAGTACATTTACCTATTGTAGTCATATGAAGTTAACTGTCTTCCCCTCTCATCTACAAAATAATTTAGGTTAGGTACATATCTTTTATTCCTTTATCTGATATCTAGCCCAGCACCTGACAAATAGTAGGTCACTTAATCAAAGTGTATGAATAAATGTGCAGGTATATACTCCGTATTAAAAGGTGTTGTGAGGATAAGATGAAATAATATATGTAAAAGTATATTTTAAAAATTTTAATACTATATAATATAGTATTATATTATGCTATAGTATATATACTATAATATACTATAGTATTATAATGCTATATAGCATATTACATATAAGCATATTTTCTGTATTATTATATAAGTTTTAAAACAGCAAGTTTTTAAACCATTATATAATTTAACTATGCTGTGTCTTAACACATGACCTAATTCATGTAAAACCCAAAATAACAGATTGAGCCAATATTCAAGGGTTTGCTTCTTCCCGTCAGTTCCATTTATTCTAATAAATTCAACCTCTAATATTACTGGTAAATCAGTGTCCCTAAGTACTCTGTATATTGCAGTGAATTTTTATATGTATTTAAATATTTAAGACTGAATGCAATGAACAACATATTGTGTATGTGTATACCAAAATACAGTGACAAATATTTTTCATCCAATTTGTGTTATTATACAATATGTATTTCCTAGAACTGTGTTTACTGTATCCTTGCTCCCTGCTGCATAAATAAATGTAGATCTCTAATGGATGGATGACATACATTTTATTCCGCTATGTTCTTCCTCCAGCTGGGTTTAGTCCTATCAAAGCCACCTATCTTAAACTGTAAACTATAGTTGCAAGTTTGGGTATACATTTTCTCTCCTATCTAGATTGTAAATCTCTGGAGACCTCACACTATCTCAACTCATACTTGTTTCCCTCATCAAGGCTCAGCCATGTGCCTGTCCAAGAAAAATACACATTAATGTTTTATTAAATTGAATGGTTCAGCTTAGTCCTTTTGATGAGAAGGAACTATGGGCTGCCTCTTTTATTTAATGTGTTTGGTTTTTAGGAATTTTTGAACTGTTATTTAATTTAGGTTCTGAAATTATGGTAGGGTTTTCTCTTAAAAGCATAAAGTAATACTTTAATGAGAAAATCCAAAAGAGATTCATCACTGGAACTACAAAAGTGAATTTAGCCATCATCCCTCCCCATTTCTTCGTCCCATTGCCTTGTTCCTTTTTATAAGCACAATGGTTTCATTAAAATGTAAATTATCTGTAACATTGACTTTCCCTTTCCATCTCTCCTTTATTATTAGTTACTTCATTACTTTTTTACTAGTAACTCACTGTTTCATTACTCTCTTCTTCATTACTAGTGTTTCCATGGAATCAGTAATTAATGGTACAAAGATAAATTCTTTAACATATAGAATGTTTATTTTCTGAACATAAGATTAAAAGTTCCTAGCCTTCAATATTCTAATGCTCCAGTATGATTTTTAAGAATAAGGAGATGTATACTATAGTTGGCAATGTTGAGTAGACTGGCTTGGGTTGGGTTTACCAGCTTGAGAAGTGAGTTTATGAACTTAGTCACAGACAGACTGCCAGCTGACAATCTGTCAAATTCAGATTACAAAGACTAACAGAAGAAGAAAATAGATATCATCTGATACTTTCTAGTTAATGTACTGTACACAAAATAACAGGGCAAATGAAGATGATTTTAGGTGGGGAAATGGGTCAATCTACTGTCAAGTTTTCCATGGAAATTTGTTGCAAACAAACTTTAATTGGGTTCTTTATTTAGTTAGCCATATTTGAAATATCTTTGAAGATAAGATCATTGACTCACATTTTAAGAGGAAGTGATTGGAAAGTAATCTTAAATGTAAAGCTCATGAATACAAATGGGTTTAAATGGGGGTCTATTATCACCTCAATGCTTGTATGCAACTCCATTAATATTAATGAGAGTTAGACATAAGCATTTATGCGAGATGAATAGACCCTTATTGTGTTTACTGCAAGATTGTTTTGCTTGCCCAGAAACCTGTAGTGTTGAACTCAACCAGAGTTGCCAACAACAATGAATATTAAAAGAAGAAAACTTCAATATTTACAGCTTTTATTTTCTCTCTCCCTCTCAAAGATATACCATTTCTTACAAGAAAAGGGAATTAAAAATATATGCATTTATTGGCTTGTAAAATTTTGCTTCAAGTGACAAGCTCACTTCCTACATAAATATTTAATAAGATAGAAATGAATATATAGTAGACTCGTTTCATTCTTCTAAGGGTTAAGTTCCATTTCTGTAAATTGGTTTGTACCCTATTTCAGTTCTATCTGTCTTCACCTCTGGGAATTGTCTTTTATTCTTTCATGGTGTATTGAGATCATCAGAGATTTGCTAGTAATTGACCAGTTTGCACATGAGTGGCATCTGTTAAAAGATAATGTAGGGATTCCTGGGCAAAATGGCCGAATAGGAACAGCTCCAGTCTGCAGCTCCCAGCAAGACCAACACAGAAGGCGGGTGATTTCTGCATTTCTAACTGAGGTACCTGGCTCATCTCATTGGGACTTGTTAGACAGTGGGTGCAGCCCACGGAGGGGGAGCCAAACCAGGGTGGGGCATGGCCTCACCTGGGAAGCCTAAGAGGTCAAGGAACTCCCTCCCCTAGCCAAGGGAAGCTGTGAGGTACTGTGCCATGAGGGACAGAGCTATCTGGCCCAGATACTTCACTTTTCCCACTGTCTTCAAAACCTGCAGACCAGGAGATTTTTTGGGTACCCACACCACCAGGGCCCTGGGTTTCAAGCACAAAGCTGGGCGGCTGTTTGGGCAGACACCAAGCTTAGCTGCAGGAGTTTTTTTTCGTACCCCAGTGGCGACTAGAACATCAGCGAGACAGAACGGTTCACTCCCCTGGAAAGGGGGCTGAAGCCAGGAAGCCGAGTCTTGCTCAGCAGATCCCAACCCCATGGAGCCCAACAAGCTGAGATCCACTGGCTTGAAATTCTCACTGCCAGCACAGCAGTCTGAAGTCAACCTGGGACACTCAAGCTTGGAGGGGGTAGGGGTGTCCACCATTACTGAGGCTTGAGTAGGCGATTTTCCCCTCACAGTGTAAACAAAGCCTCCAGCAAGTTCGAACTGAGCAGATCCCACCAGAGGGCCACAAAGCCACTGTAGCCAGACTGCCTCTCTAGATTCCTCCTCTCTGGGCAGGGTATTTCTGAAAGAAAGGCAGCAGCTCCAGGCAGGGGTTTATAGATCAAACTCCCAACTCCCTGGGACAGAGCAACTGGGGGAAGGGGCGGCTATGGGCGCAGCATCACCAGACTTAAACGTTCCTGTCTGCTGGATCTGAAGGGATCAGTGGATCTCTCAGCATAGCACTCAAGCTCTGCTAAGGGACAGACTGCCTCCTCAAGTGGGGCCCTGACCCCCGTACCTCCTGACAGGGAGACACCTCCCAGCAGGGGTTGACAGGCACCTCATACAGGAGACCTTCGAATGGCATCTGGCAGGTGCCCCTCTGGGATGAAGCTTCGAGAGGAAGGAGCAGGCTGCAATCTTTGCTGTTCTGCAGCCTCTGCTGGTGATACCCAGGCAAACAGGGTCTGGAGTGGACCTCCAGCAAACTCCAGCAGACCTGCAGAAGAGGGTCCTGACTGTTAGAAGGAAAACTAACAAACAGGAAGTAATAGCATCAACATCAACAAAAAGGATGACCACTCGAAAACCCCATCCAAAGATCACCAACATCAAAGATCAAAGGTAGACAAAACCACAAAGATGAGAAAAGAACAGCACAAAAAGGCTGAAAATTCCAAAAACCGGAATGCCTCTTCTCCTCCAAAGGATCACAACTCCTTGCCAGCAAGGGAAGAAAACTGGATGGAGAAAGAGTTTGATGAATGGACAGAAATAGGCTTCAGAAGGTAGGTAATAGCAAACTCCTCCAAGTTAAAGGAGCATGTTCTAACCCAATGCAGGGAAGCTAAGAAACTTGATAAAAGGTTACAGGAACTGTTAACTAGAATAACCAATTTGGCGAAGAACATAAATGACCTGATGGAGCTGAAAAATACAGCATGAGAACTTCATTAAGCATACACAAGTATCAACAGATGAATTGATTAAGCAAAAGAAAGAATATCAGAGACTGAAGATCAACTTAATGAAATAAAGGGTGAAGACAAGATTAGAGAAAAAAAGAATGAAAAGGAACGAACAAAGCCTCCAAGAAATATGGGACTATGTGAAGAGACTAAACCTATGTTTGATTAGTGTACCTGAAAGTGACAGGGAGAATGGAACCAAGTTGGAAAACACACTTCAAAATATTATCCCGGAGAACTTCCCCAACCTAGCAAGACAGGCCAACATTCAAATTCAGGAAATACAGAGAACACCACAAAGACACTTCTCGAGAAGAGCAAACCTAAGACACATAATCATCAGATTCACCAAGGTTGAAATAAAGGAAAAAATGTTAAGGGCAGCCAGAGAGAAAGGTCAAGTTACGCACAAGGGAAGCCCATCAGACTAACAGTGGATTTCTCTGCAAAAACCCTACAAGCCAGATGACAGTTGGGGCCAACATTCAACATTCTTAAAGAAGAGAAATTTCAACCCAGAATTCCATATACAGCCCAACGAAGTTTCATAAGTGAGGGAGAAATAAAATCCTTTATAGACAAGCAAATGCTGACAGATTTTGTCACCACCAGGTCTGTCTTACAAGAGCTCCTGAAGGAAGCACTAAATATGGAAAGGAAAAACCAATACCAGCCACTGCAAAAACATACCAAAATGTAAAGACCATCAACACTATGAAGAAACTGCATCAACTAATGGGCAAAATAACCAGCTAGCCTCATAATGACAGATCAAATTCATACATACCAATATTAACCTTAAATGTAAATGGGCTAAATGCCCCAATTAAAAGCCACAGACCGGCAAATTGTATAAAGAATCAAGACCCATCGGTGTGCTGGATTCAGGAGACCCATCTCACATGCAAAGACACACATCGGCTCAAAATAAAGGGATGGAGAGAGATTTGCCAAGCAAATGGAAAGCAAATAAAAGCAGGGGTTGCAATCCTAGTCCCTGAGGAAACAGACTTTAAACCAACAAAGATCAAAAAAAGACAAAGAAGGGCATCACATAACAGTAAAGGGATCAGTGCAACAAGAAGAGCTAACTATCCTAAATATATATGCACCCAATACAGGAGCACTCAGATTTATAGTTCTTAGAGATCTACAAAGAGACTTAGACTCCCACATAATAATAGTGGGAGACTTTAACACACCACTGTCAATATTAAAACAATGAGACAGAAAATTAACAATTATATTCAGAACTTGAACTCAGCTCTGGAACAAGCAGACCTAATAGACATCTACAGAACTCACCATCCCAAATCAACAGAATATACATTCTTCTCAGCACCACATCACTATAGTCTAAGATTGACCACATAATTAGAAGTAAAATTCTCCTCAGCAAATGCAAAAGAATGGAAATCATAATAAACAGTCTCTCAGACCACAGTGCAATCAAATTAGAACTCAGGATTAAGAAACTCACTCAAAACCGCACAACTGCACGGAAACTGAACAATCTGCTCCTGAATGACTACTGGGTAAATAATGAAATTAAGGCAGAAATAAAGATGTTCTTTGAAACCACTGAGAACAAAGAAACAACATACCAGAATCTCAGGGACACAGCTAAAGCAGTTTTTAGAGGGAAATTTATAGCACTAAATGCCCACAGGGGAAAGCAGGAAAGATCTAAAATCGAAACCCTAACATCAAAATTAAAAGAAGTAGAGAAGCAAGAGCAAACAAATTCAAAAGCTAGCAGAAGACTAGAAACAACTAAGATCAGAGCAGAACTGAAGGAGATAGAGACACAAAAAAACCTTCAAAAAAATCAATGAATCCAGGAGCTGGTTTTTGAAAAGATCAACAAAATAGATAGACTGCTAGCCAGACTAATAAAGAAGAAAAGAGAGAAGAATCAAATAGACCCAGTAAAAAATAATAAAGCAGCTATCACCACTGATGCCACAGAAATACAAACTACCATCAGAGAATACTATAAACACCTCTACACAAATAAACTAGAAAATCTAGAAAAATGGATAAATTCCTGGACATATACACCCTCCCAAGACTAAACCAGGAAGAAGTTGAATCCTTGAATAGACCAATAACAATTTCTGAAATTGAGGCAGTAATTAATAGCCTACCAACCAAAAAAAGCCCAAGAGCAGATGGATTCACAGCTGAATTCTACCAGAGATACAAAGAGAAACTGGTACTATTCCTTCTAAAACTATTCCAAGCAATAGAAAAGGAGAGACTCCTCCCTAACTCTCTTTATGAGGCCAGCATCATCCCTATACCAAAACCTGGCAGAGACACAACAAAAACAAAAAAAGAAAATTTCAGGCCAATATCCCTGATGAACATCAATGCGAAAATCCTCAATAAAATCCTGGCAAACCAAATCCAGCAGTACATTAAAAAGCTTATCCACCATGATCAAGTTGGCTTCATCCCTGCGATGCAAGCCTGGTTCAACATATGCAAATCAATAAATGTAGTCCATCACATAAATAGAACCAATGACAAAAACCACATGATTATCTCAATGATACAGAAAAGGAGTTCAACAAAATTCAACAGCCCTTCATACTAAAAACTCTCAATAAACTAGGTTTTGATGCGATGTATCTCAAATTAATAAGAGCTATTTATGACAAGCCCACAGCCTATATATTACTGGATGGGCAAAAGCTGGAAGCATTCCCTTTGAAAACCAGCACAAGACATGGATACCCTCTCTCACCACTCCTATTCAACATAGTATTGGAAGTTCTGGCCAGGGCAATCAGGCAAGAGGAAGAAATAAAGTGTATTCAAATAGAAAAAGATGAAGTCAAATTGTCTCTGTTTGCAGATGACATGATTGTATCTTTAGAAAACCCCATCGTCTCAGCCCAAAAACTCCTTATAGCTGATAAACAACTTCAGCAAAGTCTCAGGATACAAAATCAAAGTGCAAACATCACAAGCATTCCTATACACCAACAATAGACAGACAGAGAACCAAATCATGAGTGAACTCCCATTCACAATTACTATGAAGAGAATAAAATACCTAGTAATATAACTCAGAAGGGATGCGAAGAACCTCTTCAAGGAGCACTACAAACCACTGCTCAAGGAAATAAGAGAGGACACAAACAAATGGGAAAACATTCCATGCTCATGGATAGGAAGAATCAATATCGTGAAAATGGCCATACTGCCCAAAGTAATTTTTAGATTCAATGCTATCCCCATCAAGCTACCACTGACTTTCTTTACAGAATTTTAAAAAGCTATATTAAATTTCATATGGAACCATAGAAGAGCCAGATAGCCAAGGGAATCCAAACCAAAAGAACAAACCTGGAGGCATCATGCTACCTGACTTCAAACTATACTACAAGGCTACAGTAACCAAAACAGCATGGTACTGGTACAAAAACAGATATATAGACTAATGGAACAGAACAGAAGCCTGTGGAACAGTTGCAGATATAACACCACACATCTGCAACCATCTGATCTTTGACAAACGTGACACAAACAAGCAATGGGGAAAGGATTCCCTATTTAATAAATGGTGTTGGGAAAACTGGCTAGCCATATGCAGAAAACTGAATCTGGACCCCTTCCTTACACCTTATACAAAAATTAACTCAAGATGGTTTAAAGATTTAAACATAAGAACTAAAACCATGAAAACCCTAGAAGAAAATCTAGGCAATACCATTCAGAACATAGGCATGGGCAAGGACTTCATGACTAAAACACCAAAAGCAATGGCAACAAAAGCCAGAATTGACAAATGGGGTCTAATTAAACTAAAGAGCTTCTGCACAGCAAAAGAAACTATCATCAGAGTGAATAGGCAACCAACACAATGGGAGAAAATTTTTGCAATCTATCCATCTGACAAAGGGCTAATATCCAGAATCCACAAGAATCTTAAGCAAATTTACAATTAAAAAAAAAACCCATCAAAAAGTGGGCAAAGGATATGAACAGACACTTTTCAAAAGAAGACATTTATGCTGCCAACAAACATGAAAAAATGCTCATCATGACTGGTCATTAGAGAAATGCAAATCAAATCCACAATAAGATACCATCTCATGCCCCTTAGAATGGCGATTATTAAAAAGTCAGGAAACAACAGATGCTGGAGAGGATGTGGAAAAATAGGAGTGCTTTTACACTGTTGGTGGGAGTATAAATTAGTTCAACCATTGTGGAAGACAGTGTGGTGATTCCTAAAGGATCTACAACTAGAAATACCATTTGACCCAGCAATCCCGTTACTGGTTATATACCCAAAGGATTACAAATCATTCTACTATAATGACACATGCACATATATGTTTATTGCAGCACTATTCACAATAGCAAAGACTTGGAACCAACCCAAATGCCCATCAAAGATAGACTGGATAAAGAAAATGTGGCACACATACACCATGGAATACTATGCAGCCATAAAAAATGATGAGTTCATGTCCTTTGCAGGGACATGGATGAAGCTGGAAACCATCATTCTCAGCAAACTAACGCAGGAACAGAAAACCAAACATCGTTCTCTCATAAGTGGGAGTTGAACAATAAGAACATATGAGCACAGGGAGGGGAATATCACACACTGGGGTCTGTCATGGGGTTGGGGGCAAGGGGAGGTATAGCATTAGGAGAAATACCTAATGTAGATGACGGGTTGATGGGTGCAGCAAACCACCATGGCACACGTATGCCTATGTAACAAACTTGCATATTCTGCACATGTATACCAGAACTCAAGTATAATTAAAAAAAGAAGAAGAAAAAAAAAAGATAATGTAGCCTTGCAGTTCACAATTAGCTGCTGGTCATATTATTAACTTGTGGCCAAACCAGAATAAAGACTCCTGAGGCATCATTTTCCTTTAGACAACTTCATTTTGTTCTTACTGTAATCTCTATTATAAATGAAGCACTTTGGCTGAGAACGATTTGTGTATCATACAGCTTGTCCATCCCATGTATGCAGTAATTAGTAATCCAGTCCTTGTGGTCTCATTTTCACTCACCCTCTCTTTCCCTTCATAAGCTCCACATCCCAAGAATAACAACCACCAAAAATCAACAGCACTGCTCTTCCCAGGAGAGAAAAGATCAATGTAATATGAAAGTCAGATGAGTTAACCTCTACTACTCACTTAAATGATGAACACCACCATCACTAACATATTATTTCCAGGCTTCAGAATATGCATGTATCTGGCCATTTTATTCCCAATGCCAAGATGTGCCTCATTTGGCAGGAAGCATGTATCAGAGAAATACTTTCTTTCTTTTTATCATATTAATAGATGCCAATTTGAACTGAGCTAAAATTTGTATGGATAAGCCAGAGATTAGCAAGTAAACACAGACACTCTCCTGGATATAGCAGAATAGAAATACTGCTGACCTATGCATTCATGAATGACAATCCAAATATAATACAATGAGCCCTGCAATAACAAAGAGGCTAATTAGCTGTACATGAAGAGAAGGGAAAATACTCTTTTCATATGGGTAAACTAAATTCAGTTCAAGGCCCTTTAGACCAATAACCATTTTAGACAACCTGACTAAAACGTATCTTAAAACCAAGTCAACTATGTTTTAGTAAAAAGAGAAAATTGACATAGTATCTTTTATATATCAACTGATCATCAGAGTGATACAAAGCAAACGCAAACTTCTGTTTTATTTTAAATTAAGAGACTAAAGGTGACAGAGAAAAAAAAAGGAAGTTAGTTAAAAACTACCAGGTCTCTAAGGAAGATATGTAAGTGTCTAGTGAGCAAATAATCCATTTATAGCACTATAAAATAATATAAATTATATATAATTACTTCTTTTGAAAAAAAATCGTTTTTAGTTTGAAAAACTATACAGCAGGAAATTTTAAATCACAAAATTTAAAAATGCCAGTAATGAAATCATTTTGAATGAAACTGCTATTTGGGGATATTTTGATACAATATTTTATTTAAAAAAACTGAAAGTATAACACTTAGACTATTAATAATTATTAATTAATGCTAAAAACCCTCTGTGGACTAGATGGGAGGGAAACATTCTTGCCTGCAATCTCACAGGAAAGAGGACTGACTTTTCTCTTAAAGGACATGGCAATGGTTAGACCAGTTAACAGAGGAACCAAGGAAACTTGGGAATGGCCAAAGCCCATATCCAGCCAATAAGGGGAGGGAAGAGCCAGGGAAAATAACTTATCACCTTAGAGATTAGTCCTTGTAAGAGGCCTGAAGTTTGGACTACAATGTCTAAGAAAGATATAGAAATATGGCTGTATTGAGGCTAGTGTCTGCTCAGGATTCTGATAACACTCAGGATTCTGTAGGTCCATTAGATTCTTTTTAAATCTCGAACTCAAGTCATAAAAAAGTAATATTTATGTAGATTCAAATGAATAGAAATAAATATCAAAGTAGAAATCAATAAAGTAGAGCTACAATAGAGAAAATTAATAAAACCAAAAGCTATTCTTTGAGAAAATAAATAAAATAGATAAAACTTCCACAAGACTAATCAGGAAATAAAGAGAAAAGATACAAATTACCAGTATCAGGGGTAAGAGAACTGACATCACTACAGATTGTACAGATATTAAATGAACAATAAGAGAATGTTATGAATAATCTTATGCCAATAAATTCAACAACTTAAAAAGATCACTTTCTTAAAAGATGCAAACAACCAAAGCACACTCAAGAAGAAACAAATAATCTAAATAGCCCCTCATATATTAAAGGAATAAATGGAAGGCAGGCTACAGTGACAGGATTATCCAGGCAGTGGGTCACTGGAAGTTGCTGCCATGGTTCTGGATGGAGGAGGGGGTCCATCTGGTTTGAGGCAGGCTCCCAGGCAATGTCTGGGGAATATGGGAACCGATAAAGATTGCTATGTTATAAGAGTCTCAGCCAAATTGACTAAAGTTTGGGAAAAAAGACCAACAGGAAAACTGACTACAATGAGGAAACTGAGGCAGAGATTCAGACTCAAGAAATGTGTATAACCCTTGGTAGGGTTACTGGTGAGAAGCCATGTAGTTCAGTGAATGAACAAGTTCAAACCCGATGAAGGATCGTTCCAGAAACAAGTTACTGGAGTGCTAGGGCCCTTAACTGCATAACCTGGATTAGTGAATGCTCACCTCAAGCTTCCAGTGGGGCTAACAATGAAGGTCAGAGACTAGACAATTGTTCACCAATCTGCTTTCCTTTCTACTTTACCACACAACTGGACCATACGTGCTACAAATCCCTGCCACTATGGAACTGAGTTCTGATCAACAAAGTGAGTTGTGAGTAAAAGTAATGTATACTGCCTTTTAGCTCAGGCCCATAAAATCCCCTTGTGCTATCTTACAGGCTCTCTCTTCTTCCTCTCCTGCTGGCTGACTGGAGAGGATCTAGAGGCCCCAGAGAAAAAATGAAACCACAAGACAGAAAAATCCCAGGTTCCCAAATAACTGTGTGGAGCAGAGCTTACATAACTTTGCCCCCATTCCTGATACCAAGTAAACATTGCATGAATGAAGGTGTCAGGCCACTATTACAGTCACCTACATTATTTTTAAAAGTGATACGAACATCTCCAGTAACTGCCATTAGACACGGATGAAAAATAGCTGAAAATAACACTTGGGATTCTGTAGGTCCATTAGATTTTGTTGAAATCTCGAACTCAAATCATAAAAAAGTAATATTTATGTAGATTCAAATGAATAGAAATAAATATCAAAGTAGAAATCAATAAAGTAGAGCTACAATAGAGAAAATTAATAAAACCAAAAGCTATTCTTTGAGAAAATAAATAAAATAGATAAAACTTCCACAAGACTAATCAGGAAATAAAGAGAAAAGATACAAATTACCAGTATCAGGGGTAAGAGAGTTGACATCACTACAGATTGTACAGATATTAAATGAACAACAAGAGCATGTTATAAATAACCTCAGAAAATGCCTTGTGGACACATGAAATATGATGAAGCGGTTGGGTGAGGGTTATTAACTAATCAAGAAATTACTGATAAGCAATTTGTCATGATGCAAGATTAATTAGAACACATATCAAAGATGACTTTTAAGTAACTTTATGTTTTCATAAAATTTAGACATTCAAAATAAAATAAAATAAAATTCTAAAATCAACATAAATTATAAAAATCTATATAATCCATTATTGACTAATGATATTAGGTTGGTGCAAAAGTAATTGCGGTGTTTTGTTTTTGTTTTTGTTTTTATTCAGAGTCTCGCTCTGTCACCCATGCTGGAGTGCAGTGGCGCGATCTTGGCTCACTGCAACCTCCACCTCCTGGGTTCAAGCAATTCTTGTACCTCAGCTGGGATTACAGGCAGGAACCACCACACCTGGCTAATTTTTTGTATTTTTAGTAGAGACAGCGTTTCACCATGTTAGCCAGGCTGGTCTTGAACTCCTGACTTCAGGTGATCCACCCACCTCAGCCTCCCAGAGTGCTGGAATTACAGGTGTGAGCCACCGTGCCCAGCCGCAATTGCGGTTTTGCCACTAAAAGTCATGGCAAAACAATAATTACTTTTGTACCAACCAATAATTGATAACTGACTATATGAACAAACTAAAATAGAAAACTCTGTGTTTTTCTAGATGCAGAAAAATCATTTGACAAAATCCACCATCAATTTCTGCTCAAAAGTCTCAGCAAACTAGGAATAGAAAAGTACTTCCTCAAACTGATAAGAAACATCTACAAGAAGCCTACAGCTAGCTAGCCTTGTATTTAATGATGAAAGACTGAATACTTTCACCCTAAGATTAAAAACAAGACAAAGATACCTGCTTTCACCCCTCCTGTTTAATATAGTACTAGAGGTTCTTGTCAGTTCAATATGGCAAGAAAAAGAAATTAAAATTGTACAGTTCTGGCCAGGTGCAGTAGCTCACGCCTGTAATTCCAGCACTTTGGGAGGCCAAGGCAGGCAGATCACAAGGTCTAGAGATCGAGACCATCCTGGCCAACATGGTGAAACCCTGTCTCTACTAAAAATACAAAAATTAGCTGGGTGTGGTGGCATGTGCCTGTAGTCCCAGCTACTTAGGAGGCTGAGGAGAATGGCTTGAATCCAGGAGGTGGAGGTTGCTGTGAGCCAGATCGCACTTCTGCACTCCAGCCTGGTGACACAGCGAGACTCCGTCTCAAAAAAAAAAAAAAAAATTGTACAGTTTCAGGGAGAAGTAAAACTGTCTTTACTCACAGATGACATAAGGGTCTGTGTAGAAAAGCTAATGGAATCTACCAAAAAAGGCTACTAGAATTAGTAAGTGGTTGCAGTATACAAATAAAAAAATCAATTGACCTATGTATCCTTGCAATGAAGAGTCAGAAATTAAAAATTTGAAAACACTATTTAAAATGGCATAAAAAATATGAACTACTTAAACATGGTGTGAAAGAGCTGCACATTACTAAAAGAAATTAAAGAAGATCAAATATAGAAAATACAATTCAGCTGGGCATGGTGGCTCACACCTGTAATCCCAGCACTTTGGGAAACCGAGGTGGGCGGATCACCTGAGGTCAGGAGTTCGAGACCACCCTGACCAACATGGAGAAACCCCATCTCTACTAAAAACACAAAATTATCTGGGTGTGGTGGCGTGCGCCTGTAATCCCAGCTACTCAGGAGGCTGAGGCAGGAGAATCACTTGATCCTGGGAGGCAGAGGTTGTGGTGAGCTGAGATCATGCCATTGCACTCCAGCCTGGGCAACAAGAACAAAACTCCATCTCAAAAAAAAAGAAAAAGAAAATATAGTTCATTCATGGGGTTGGAGGACTTAATATTTCTAAGATGTCAGTTCTTGCCAAATGGATTTATAGATTACACACAAACCAGATCTAAATCCCAGCAGACTTTTTAGCAGAAATTGAAAAACTGATTTCACAATTTTTATGAAAATGCAAAGCACCTACAATAGCAAAAGCAATTTTGAAACAAAACAAAACAATGTTGGAAGACTAACACTACCTGATTTCACAACTTATAAAGCTATTTAATTAAGACATTAAGACACTGTAGCATTCACAAGAGACACAGACAGATCCATGGAACAGGATAATAATACAGAAACAGACCCATATATGTGGACAGCTGATTTTTTTATAAAGACATAAAGACAATTCAATAGAAAAAAGTATGATTTGTTCAACAAATAGTACTGGAGCAATTGTATATCAAATGCAAAAAACAATTGAACTTCAATATCTATATCACACCATATTCTAAAATTCTGTCAAAATGGATCATACACCTAAATGTGAAACTTAAAACTATAAACTTGTAAAATAAATCATAGAAGAAAATCTTCACAACTTTGAGTGAGACCAAGATTTCTTAGATATAATACCAAAGGCATAATTAATTTTAAAAACATACTGATGAATTGGTCTTCATAAAATTTTAAACTCCTGCTCTTTAAAGGATACTGTTAAGAGAATTAAAAGACAAGTCACATACTGAGAAAAAGAGATTTACAAGTCTTATATCCAAAAAAAAGAATTTCTATCCAGAATATATAAATGAATTCTTAAAAGTCAGTAATAACAAAAAAGCAATTTTTCTAAATGGGCAAAATATTTTAACATGCCTTTCATCAACAATATATGAATAGTAAATAATTCATAAAAGCTGCTTAACTTTAATGTAATTAGTCATCAAGGAAATGCAAATTAAAACCACAATGAATTATGACTAGTAATTTTGGAAGTTGGTTTGGTAATAAATATCAATAAATACGAATTTAAATAGCTAAAATAAAATACCAGTTTAAATGGCTAAAATAAAAAAAGACTGACTATCCCAAGTATGGCAAGAATGTAGAGAAACTGGAATTCTCATACACTGCTGTGGAGATCTAAAATGGTACCACCACAATGAAAAACAAGCAACTTCTTAAAAAGTTAAACATGCACAAACCCTATGATCCAGGTATTCCAATTCTAGCATTCATGCAAGGGAAAACAAAGTGCATTTCTATACAAAAAAAACTGTATACAAATGTTCTTAGCAGCTTTATTTGTAATGCCCAAAAAGTGCAAAGAACTCAAATGTCTATCAATAGGTGAATGGATAATCAATCTGTAGTATATCCATTTAATGGAATACTCTTCAGCAGTAAAAATAAACTACTGATACATACTATCATGTGAATAAATCTCAAAATAATTATGCTGGGTGAAAGAAGACAGATATAATGTATTACATACTCTTTAATATAAAAATCTAGCAAATGTAAAATAATAGCAACAAAAAGTCTAGCAGTGGTGGCCTGGGGACAAAATACAGAGATAGATTATAAAGGAGCACAAAGAAAGTTTTAGGGGTGATGGATATGTTAATCATCTTAATTGTCATGATGGTTTCACAGGTGTATACATGTCAAAACTTATTAATTGTACATTCAAACGTATGCAGTTTATTTTAGTTATACTTCAATAAAGCTGTTAAAAAATGGGATTAACAAAAATTCTATTTTTATAATTTCTGGTTGCATGAATAATGGATTTATAAAATAGGTTATATGGTATAGTTTACGGGGCCCTTACAGAATGTTTCTGTTTCTAAATCCCTTTCTTTGTAATCAGCTTTCCCTTTGCACATGAGCAGGGGAACAGGTAATACTGCACAAGGAAGATATCAAGAAAGCTTCAAATTATGGCAATTATGACGATGATGTTAGCCAACAGGTTTTGAGCAACTTTTTATTTTGGTCAGGCAATGTTCCAAGTATGTTAAATCTATTGACTCAGTTAATTTTTGCAGCAAAACTAAGAAATATGTAATAATGAAAATTTTAACTCAGATTTGTAGATGAGAAAACTGAGGCACAAAGAAAGCTTATGTATGTTGTTCAAGGTCAATTATTTATTAAGTAGGAGAAAGGCTATATAAGCTACCTAAGGCAAAGATCAAAGGACAGTGGAAGTCAAAAATTAAATCTAGGCTTCTGAACCCCCCAAATCAAGTGTCCAATACACAGGCAGATGTGTAGATTGTTACCTATCAATTATTAGGTGTTTGCTCTGTGCCAGACATTAAGAAAAGCTTTTCACACTTTCTAAAGATTATCTCATGTAATTTGCAGAGCAATTTCATTCTACAGATGTGGGCAGTTAGGCACAGAATGGATGAGTAACCTGGCCAGGACACTTGATCATTATATGCCAAAGCCTACATTTGAATCCAGATCTGTCTGAAACATCATTGCTTTTCATCACTTTTCATGTCTGTTTACAATTGCAGTTGTATCATGGCTGCAAATTGAATTCATACTACAATGCTTATGGTCTCAGCAATGACTAATTCCCTCATTTTGTCCAATCTGATCCACATAAGATCCATCAGCATTATTACCAGTAACTTCCATTTCTCAGGAAAGAGTTAACCAGCAGTCTAATTCTGTTTAGTCTTTCTTGGTTAGAAATGCTCATCTCTCAGATAGCCTTTCTCCTGCCTCTCACACTCTCAATTTTCTCCCTGCTATCATGTCTGGATTTATGGGAGGAAAAGTGTATATGATATTTTGGCATTGATAATAGGGGCATAGTCCTCTTACTTATGCAATGACCAAATACGATCTTTGATCTCTTCCTGTGACCAGACATCCTGCTGACCTCAATTCTAAAGTTTGCAGTTGGCATTTTGCTCTCTCTCAGCTTGGACAAATTCCAGGGCATGCACTGGCTGACTTGGCTCTCCCTTGGCTACTGCTGTGCACCCTGCTGACATCTGACTGTAACTTCCATTTGTTCCTGGTCATATCCTAGGCGGTCAGTTCCACAGTCCTCATTACAAAGTCACCTTGCCCCACTATGGCCACCTATACCTCTGCCAAGTTTCCCATCCAGAAACACTGATTCTTTCCACACAGAAAATTTGAGGGTAGTGTAGGAAAGATAAAGTTCGCCCCCCACCAGCTGACCATGTTACTGTCCAGGCACAAAATTGTATTTTTTAAATAATAGCAGCTGATTACTATCTAATTCTTTCTATTTACAATTCTTTTGTAATAAATTTTAATCTACCTCTAGGCAGGAAGATACTTCCAAAAAGCCAAAACTGGGGGGAGGTTCCAAGATGGCCGAATAGGAACAGCTCCAGTCTACAGCTCCCAGTGTGAGCGACACAGAAGACAGGTGATTTCTGCATTTCCAACTGAGGTACCAGGTTCATCTCACTGGGGCTTGTTGGACAGTGGGTGCAGCCCATGGAGCAGGGTGGGGCATCATCTCACCCAGGAAGAGCAAGGGGTCAGGGAATGCCCTTTCCTAGCCAAGGGAAGCCATGAGAGATGGTACCTGGAAAATCGGGACACTCCCACCCTAATACTGCGCTTTTCCAATGGTCTTAGCAAATGGCACACCAGGAGATTATATCCCGTGCATGGCTCGGAGGGTCCCACACCCACAGAGCCTCACTCACTGCTGGCACAGCAGTCTGAGATCGAACTGCAAGGTGGCAGTGAGGCTAGGGGAGGGGCGTCCACCATTGCTGAGGCTTGAGTAGGTAAACAAAATGGCCAGGAAGCTCAAACTGGGTGGAGCCCACTGCAGCTCAAGGAGGCCTGCCTGCCTCTGTAGACTCCATCTCTTGGGGCAGGGCGTAGCTGACCAAAAGGCAGCAGAAACTTCTGCAGACTTAAACGTCCCTGTCTGACAGCTTTGAAGAGAGTAGTGGTTCTCCCAGCACAGAGTTTGAGATCTGAGAACGAACAGACTGCCTCCTCAAGTGGGACCCTGAACCCTGAGTAGCCTAACTGGGAGACACCTCCCATTAGGGGCCGACTGGCACCTCATACAGCCAGGTGCCCCTCTGAGATGAAGCTTCCAGAGGAAGGATCAGGCAGCAACATTTGCTGTTCTTCAGTATTTGCTGTTCTGCAGCCTCTGCTGGTGATACCAAGGCAAACAGGGTCTGGAGTAGACCTCCAGCAAACTCCAACAGACCTGCAGCTGAGGGTCCTGACTGTTAGAAGGATAACTAACAAACAGAAAGGACATCCACACCAAAACCCCATCTGTACATCACCATCATCAAAGACCAAAGGTAGATAAAACCACAAAGATGGGGAAAAAACAGCAGAAAAGCTGAAAATTCTAAAAATCAGAGCACCTCTTCTCCTCCAAAGGAAGGCAGCTCCTTGCCAGGAATGGAAAAAAGCTGGACGGAGAATGACTTTGACGAGTAGAGAGAAGAAGCCTTCAGATGATCGGTAATAACAAACTTCTCTGAGCTAAAGAAGGATGTTCGAACCCATCGCAAACAAGCTAAAAACCTTGTAAAAAGATTAGATGAATGGCTAACTAGAATAAACAGTGTAGAGAAGACCTTAAATGACCTGATGGAGCTGAAAACCATGGCACGAGAACTATGTGATGCATGCATAAGCTTCAGTAGCCAATTTGATCAAGTGGAAGAAAGGGTATCAGTGATTGAAGATCAAATTAATGAAATGAAGTGAGAAGAGAAGTTTAGAGAAAAAACAGTAAAAAGAAACAAAGCCTCCAAGAAATCTGGGACTATGTGAAAAGACCAAATCTATATCTGATTGGTGTACCTGAAAGTGATGGGGAGAATGGAACCAAGTTGGAAAACACTCTTCAAGACATTATCCAGGAGAACTTTGCCAACCTACCAAAGCAGGCCAACATTCAAATTCAGGAAATACAGAGAATGCCACAAAGATACTCCTCAAGAAGAGAAACTCCAAGACACATAAATGTCAGATTCACCAAAGTTGAAATGAAGGAAAAAATGTTAAGGGCAGCCAGAGAGAAATGTCGGGTTACCCACAAAGGGAAGCCCATCAGACTAACAGCTGATCTCTTGGCAGAAACTCTACAAGCCAGAAGAGAGTGGGGCCAATATTCAACAATCTTAAATAAAAGAATTTTCAACCCAGAATTTCATATCCAGCCAAACTAGCTTCATAAGTGAAGGAGAAATAAAATCCTTTACAGACAAACAAATGCTGAGAGATTTTGTCACCACCAGGCCTGCCTTACAAAAGGTCTTGAAGGAAGCACTAAACATGGAAAGGAACAACCAGTACCAGCCACTGCAAAAACATGCCAAATTGTGAGGACCATCGAGGCTAGGAAGAAACTGCATCAACTAACGAGCAAAATAACCAGCTAACATCATAATGACAGGATCAAATTCACACATAACAATATTAACCTTAAATGTAAATGGGCTAAATGCTCCAATTAAAAGACACAGACTGACAAATTGGATAAAGAGTCAAGACCCACCAGTATGCTGTATTCAGGAGACCCATCTCACATGCAGAGACACACATAGGCTCAAAATAAAGGGATGGAGAAAGATCTACCAAGCAAATGGAAAACAAAAAAAAAGGAGGGGATTGCAATCCTAGTCTCTGATAAAACAGACTTTAAACCAACAAAGATCAAAAGAGACAAAGAAGGCCATTACATAATGGTAAAGGGATCAATTCAACAAGAAGAGCTAACTCTCCTAAATATATATGCACCCAATACAGGAGCACCCAGATTCATAAAGCAAGTCCTTAGAGACCTAGAAAGAGACTTAGACTCCCACACAATAATAATGGGAGACTTTAACACCCCACTGTCAACATTAGACAGATCAACGAGATAGAAAGTTAACAAGGATATCCAGGAATTGAACTGAGCTCTGGAACAAGTGGACCTAACAGTCATCTACAGAACTCACCACCCCAAATCAACAGAATATACATTCTTCTCAGCACCACATCACACTTATTCCAAAATTGACCACATAGATGGAAGTAAAGCACTCCTCAGCAAATGTAAAAGAACAGAAATTATAACAAACTGTCTCTCAGACCACAGTGCAATCACACTAGAACTCAGGATTAAGAAACTCACTCAAAACCGCTCAACTACATGGAAACTGAACAACCTGCTCATGAATGACTACTGGGTACATAACGAAATGAAGGCAGAAATAAAGATTTTCTTTGAAACCAATGAGAACAAAGACACAACATACCAGAATCTCTGGGACACATTTAAAGCAGTGTGTAGAGGGAAATTTATAGTACTAAATGTCCACAAGAGAAAGCAGGAAAGATCTAAAATTGACACCCTAACATCACAATTAAAAGAACTAGAGAAGCAAGAGCAAACACATTCAAAAGCTAGCAGAAGGCAAGAAATAACTAAGATCAGAGCAGAACTGAAGGAGATAGAGACATAGAAACCCCTTAAAAAATCAGTGAATCCAGGAGCTGGTTTTTTGAAAAGATCAATAAAATTGATAGACCACTAGCAAGACTAATAAATAAGAAAAGAGAGAAGAATCAAATAGATGCAATAAAAAATGATAAAGGGGATGTCACCAACGATCCCACAGAAATACAAACTACCATCAGAGAGTACTATAAACACCTCTACACAAATAAACTAGAAAATCTAGAAGAAATGGATAAATTCCTGGACACATACACCCTCCCAAGACTAAACCAGGAAGAAGTTGAATCTCTGAATAGACCAATAACAGGCTGTGAAATTGAGGCAATAATTAATATCCTACCAACCAAAAAAAAGTCCAGGACCAGATGGATTCACAGCCGAATTCTACCAGAGGTACAAGGAGGAGCTGGTACCATTCCTTCTGAAACTATTCCAATCAATAGAAAAAGAGGGAATCCTCCCTAACTCATTTATGAGGCCAGCATCATCCTGATACCAAAGCCTGGCAGAGACACAACAAAAAAAGGGAATTTTAGACCAATATCCCTGATGAATATCAATGCAAAAATCCTCAATAAAATACTGACAAACTGAATCCAACAGCACATCAAAAAGCTTATCCACAATGATCAAGTTGGCTTCAGCCCTGGGATGCAAGGCTGGTTCAGCATACACAAATCAATTAACATAATCCATTATATAAACAGAACCAAAGACAAAAACCACATGATTATCTCAATAGATGCAGAAAAGACCTTTGAGAAAATTGAACAGCCCTTAATGCTGAAAACTCTCAATAAATTAGGTATTGATGGGACGTATCCCAAAATAATAAGAGCTATTTATGACAAACCCACAGCCAATATCATACTGAATGGGCAAAAACTGGAAGCATTCCCTTTGAAAACTGGCACAAGACAAGGATGCCCTCTCTCATCACTCCTATTCAACATAGGGTTGGAAATTCTGGCCAAGGCAATGAGGCAGGAGAAGGAAATAAAGGGTATTCAATTAGGAAAAGAGGAAGTCAAATTGTCCCTGTTTGCAGATGACATGATTGTATATTTAGAAAACCCCATTGTCTCAGCCCAAAATCTCCTTAAGCTGATAAGCAACTTCAGCAAAGTCTCAGGATACAAAATCAATGTGCAAAAATCACAAGCATTCTTATACATCAATAACAGACAAACGGAGAGCCAAATCATGAGTGAACTCCCATTCACAGTTGCTTCAAAGAGAATAAAATACCTAGGAATCCAACTTACAAAGGATGTGAAGGACCTCTTCAAAGAGAACTACAAACCACTGCTCAATGAAATAAAAGAGGACACAAACAAATGGAAGAACATTCCATGCTCATGGATAGGAAGAATCAATATCATGAAAATGGCCATGCTGCCATTTATAGATTCAACGCCATTCCCATCAAGCTACTAATGATTTTCTTCACAGAATTGGAAAAACTACTTTAAAGTTCATATGGAACCAAAAAAGAGCCTGCATTGCCAAGACAATCCTAAGCCAAAAGAACGAAGCTGGAGGCATCATGCTACCTGACTTCAAACTATACTACAAGGCTACAGTAACCAAAACAGCATGGTACTGGTACCAAAACAGAGATCTAGACCAATGGAACAAAACAGAGCCCTCAGAAATAATACAACACATCTACAACCATCTGATCTTTGACAAACCTGACAAAAACAAGAATTGGGGAAAGGATTCCCTATTTAATAAATGCTGCTGGGAAAACTGGCTAGCCATATGTAGAAAGCTGAAACTGGATGCCTTCCTTACACCTTATACAAAAATTAATTCAAGATGGATTAAAGAATTAAATGTTAGACTTAAAACCATAAAAACCCTAGAAGAAAATCTAGACAATACCATTCAGGACATAGGCATGGGCAAGGACTTCATGACTGAAACACCAAAAGCAATGGCAACAAAAGCCAAAATTGACAAATGGGATGTAATTAAACTAAAGAGCTTCTGCACAGCAAAAGAAACTACCATCAGAGTGAACAGGCAATCTACAGAATGGGAGAAAATTTTTACAATCTACCCATCTGACAAAGGGCTAATATCCAGAATCTACAAAGAACTTCAACAAATTTACAAGAAAAAAATGAAACAACCCCATCAAAAAGTGGGCAAAGGATATGAACAGACACTTCTCAAAGGAAGACATTCATGCAGCCAACAGACACATGAAAAAACGCTCATCATCACTGGCCATCAGAGAAATGCAAATCAAAACAACAATGAGATAACATCTCACACCAGTTAGAATGGTGATCATTAAAAAGTCAGGAAACAACAGATGCTGGAGAGGATGTGGAGAAATAGGAACACTTTTACACTATTGGTGGGACTGTAAACTAGTTCAACCATTGTGGAAGACAGTGTGGTGATTCCTCAAGGATCTAGAACTAGAAATACCATTTGACCCAGCCATCCCATTACTGGGTATATATGCAAAGGATTATAAATCATGCTGCTATAAAGACACATGCACACGTATGTTTATTGTGGCACTATTCACAATAGCAAAGACTTCGAACCAACCCAAATGTCCATCAATGATAGACTGGATTAAGAAAGTGTGGCACATATACACCATGGCATACCATGCAGCCATTAAAAAGGGTGAGTTCATGTCCTTTGCAGGGACGTGGATGAAGCGGGAAATCATCATTCTGAGAAAACTATCACAAGGACAGAAAACCAAATACCACATTTTCTCACTCATAGGTGGGAATTGAACAATGAGAACACATGGACACAGGAAGGGGAACATCACACACTGGGTCCTGTTGTAGGGTGGGGGAAGGGGGGAAGGATAGCATTAGGAGATATACCTAATGTAAATGACGAGTTAACGGGTGCAGCACACCAACATGGCACATGTATACATATGTAACAAACCTGCACGTTGTGCACATGTACCCTAGAACTTAAAGTATAATAAAAAAAAAAAAGAAAAAAAAACGCTCTAAGAAAAGAGAAGTAAAACACATATGGTCCCCATCTAAAGAGGAAGAAACCAGTCCAAAGTTTGTTCAAGCTAAGGGGAATGTTAAGGCCATCTTGGTCATTAGTTATGATTTCTATTACTTTGACATAAATCTATAAAGAAACATCATAGACAATTTAAATCAAATGAAACAAATATGCTTCTGTAATAATTACTGTGTCAAAGAATATTAATAAATATTTATGTCTATTAAAAAAGCCAAAACTACATTTTCAAAAAATTATATAAGTATATTGTACAAAATAGTACAAATGAAGTTTTATGAAGTATCACTTCATAACATTGCAAATATCTTATTTGATTATAAAGTGTTTTGATTTTATTAAAATATAATAAGTGGTTATCTAATAATTAACGGAGTTTGAGGATGAGAAAATAATAGCTGATGTTAGTTTTCAATTATTTTAAATGTTGATGGAAATAGCTTTAGTTTTGTCATCAGACTGTTAAAGAAAATCAGGGCTAGACGAGGTGGCTCACGCCTGTAATCCCAGCATTTTGGGAGGCAGATCACTTGAGGTCAGGAGTTCAAGACCAGCCTGGCCAACATGGTGAAACCCCATCTCTACTACAAATACAAAAATCAGCAAGGCATGGTGGCATGTGCCTGTAATCCCAGATATTCGGGAGGCTGAGATGGGAGAATCACTTAAACCTGGAAGTGGAGGTTGCAGTGAGCCGAGATCGTGCCACTGCACTCCAGCCTGGGGTGACAGAGTGAGAATCTGTCTCAAAAAAAAAAAAAAAAAAAGAAAAGAAAAGAAAAGAAAATCAGGAAACAGCACTTTAAAATGATAAAAATGTAAATTAAGTTTTCTTATGATTGTTTCTCCTTTGCCTCCAATATGGAATATTCAAATTACTGTGAATCCTTCATTCTTGCATTCTGCAATGATGTGATTTGGCCCTCACTTAGCACTAATATAATTGTAAACACAAATGCTAACATATACACTAAACAGCATGCTAATACCAGGTTATACACTATGACTTTCTAATTCCTGCATATTACCTCTTAAATAAAACACTAAATTTAAAATCCATCATAAAGAGCTCACAGGTCCCCAGAAACCCTAAGATATTTCTTTTAAAACTGCAATATCAAAAACTGATAGTGGGCACCTATTATTTACCAGGGACTATACTAGTATTTTAACATGCATAGTTTTAATTACACTCACATGAGCTTGATTGTATTATCTTCATTTTTACAGAGATTCAGAAAATTTAAATAACTTACTAACATAGTGAGTGGTAGAGCTATGAATAAGCACAGTCTTTCAGATGCCAAATAACATGCTTTTATCATACCACGATTCTATGAAAATATTTAAGATATTGTCTAAGATCCATATTAAATCATATACCTCATTATATTACCATATATAAAATACAAGTAAGAATCTGAGCGAGAATACCTATTTTTTATTGTCTACATCTAGAAGATATTAGGTTGGTGCAAAAATAATTGTGGTTTTTGCCATTACTTTTGCACCAACCTAATATTTATACTGCATTGTTTCTACAAAGACCCAGTGGTTCATAATGTAACACTAAAATTAATATTATCAACATAGATTTGAAGTGTTACCTCCAAATGTATAAAATATCAACCATCATCACGTGCTTTGTAAATATTCCAACTACACAATCCTAGCCCACTAAATTTGAGCCATAGGCATTCTGCATAGAAGCAGGTTATAAAATACTTAATCTTTTTTACAAGAAACAGAAGACCTAATAAAGGTGTTCTCAGGAAACTTTACTGTACAAGAAACAGAACACCTTATAAAGATGTTCTCAGGAACATCTACTGTACACTTCTACCATCTTCCTTAACAAGGCCAATCACAGTTTAATGCCGAATTCTAGCTTTTACAGTTTAGCAGAGACACTGAAATAGGATTGAGATCGATTGAATAAGCTTTTCCTTAAACAGTCAGAGAAAAATACCTAAAAGTTGGCTTACCAGTCATTTAAGAAAAAGCAAGTTATTTTATTTGTGCACAGCAAATTACTTTTAAAATTATTTGCTCAGGATTCCTAGATAAACCGATGGATTTCAAGCTCAGATTATAAGGGAATGAAAGAATAATCAGCAAATTCATAAATACTCCCCCCATGGTTAAAAAAAAAAGCACCCTTTGTTGAAGATCTTATTTCTTGACTGTAATAGCAATATACACAATAGTGCTATTATCTATATCCCAGCTATGAAATATAGGAAGAAAGCTACAATAAATTTATTAAAAATATAATTTTTACACATAGATGTTATTGGTCTTTATTGAAGAAGAACGTCTTCATTAAAATAAAGAATTTAACAAATAAATTCAATTGAAACCCTAATAAATGAATCTACTTGCTTTCTTCACTATTACAGGTAATAGCTACTTATTTATCTCTACTCATCCATGTACCTATTCCTGAGTTCTGGTTTTTGAGTCAAACAGGAAATGAAGAAGCCATTTTGCCAAAGCAAGAGAAACTTCTATATGTCTCTAGTAAATTTTCTAGGCAACTGAGTTTTAGCATTAGTGAAAAGGAATTTCCATTAGCTCAATATAGATACATAAAAATTCCAGGTTGAAATTTGACATTCTTTCTTTCAATACTCTGACCTTTAAGAAACTTTTCCTGACTTACATAGTCTCTGCTTATTCCTTATTCTGCAATCCCTATGGATTTATACTTTTATGTACACTATTAATTTGCATTATTTTGATGTGTTTCTCCTATTGCTATTAAGTCACCAATGGCTAAATATGTGTTCTCTCTCCAACTATAAAAACCTCCCCTACTTTTATTTTTCATACTATTGAACACAGAGCTATGACAAGGAAGGAACACTTTGAATGTTAACATCATCACTCTACAGGAAGATACTGTTTGCTACCATCAAAACGACCAAGAGTAGATAATTTCATTTGTACTGAGAGTCTATACTTTAGCAGAAATTTCTTTAGAATACATATATACCTTGTAATGCCAGGCTCCACTCCCCTATAGCATATAATTAATGATCTTTTTTATTATTGATAAACTTTATCAGGAAAATACTTTATCATTTACCAAAATTCAAATAGCTATCTTGGTGGCAAATCCTATTAAGGTTTTCTGAAGAAGATTTCTTATGTCAAATTACCTTAGAAAAAAGGAGAAGCATGAGAATTCATTATGTTAAGAAGGTTGCCGCCAAGAGAAGTTAAGTTGCATTTAGAAACTAGGAAGCCAGAGGCTTCTGATTCATGTTTAAAACACATAGAAAAATGCCTACAGCAAATAAAATATTCCTTAAAGTAACCCCATTTAATAATTTAATCCAATATAAGTCATCAGCGATTGTCCATGGAAGAATAGGCCTCTACTACTTGCTCAGTTTTTAATAGCTATATGGAAATATAATTGACATACTTTACAATTCACACATGTAAGGGTACAATTCAATGGACGTTAGTATGTTTAGATATATGCAACCTTTACTGCAGTCAATTTTAGAATATTTTCATCACCTCAATATAAAACCTGTACTCTTTAGCTATCATCCCCTAGTCCTCCTCCCCGCCACCCATTCCTTTTATCTTTAAGAACACCATTATCTGCTTTCTAACTCTATAGATTTTCCTATTCTTGACTTTCAAATGACTGGAGTCATATAATAATGGACTCTGCGACTGACTTCTTCCACTTAGCATAATGTTTCCAAGGTTCATCAAAGTAACATATATCAGTACTTGATTCCTTTTTATGGCTAACTAATATTCCATTACATGAATATACCATATTTCACTTAGCCAGTCATCCATTGATAGACACTTGAGTGGTTTTCAACTTTTGGCTATTATGAATAGTGTTGCTATAAACATTTCATACAGGTTTCTGTGTAGACATATGTTTTTATTTCTTTGGGGTATATATCAAGAGTGGTATTTCTGGGTCATATGGTAACTCTATGTTTGTTTAAGGAACTGTCAGACTGTTCTCCAAAGTGGTCCCATTTTACATTCCCACCAGCAACGTAAGAGGGTATCAATCTGTCCACATCATCACCAACATTTATCATTGTCTGACTTTTTTAACTAGCCATCCTAGTGTGTATAAGATGGTATCTCTTGATGATTTTCATTTGCATTTCCCTGATGACTAATGATGTTAAACATCTTTTCATGTGCTTATTGGCCATTCGGGTATTTCCCCGGAGAAATGTCTTTTGCATTCTTTGCTGATGTTTTTAATTTGCTTGTCTTTTTATTATTGAGTTGAAATTCTTTATATATTCCAGATACAAAGCCCTTATCAGACATATGATTTAAAACTTTTCTCCTATTCTGTGGTTGTCTTTTCACTTTTCTGATCCCTTTCTTAATAACTAAGCCCTGATTCCTTAGAAATACTTTCACATTCACTCTGGAAGCCACGTTGATTTCTAGACACTCCTACCAGTTGTAGATTCCAAGCTACAACCACCTGGATGTGTTTTATTTCATCAAGCACAGATAAGCAGATCATCACAAGTAGGATCTGAATTTTATTATCAGCTGTTTTCCTTCCTGTAGTTTTCCAAAAGTATCATGATAAAAATTCCCCCCTAAAAAGAAAATGTAGAGCTAATTTAGAACTTCTAGAGAATATCTAATTCATTTCCTTATTTTTCTCCATCTATCTGAGAAAGAGATCTGTCTCTCCCTTTGTCTTATCACTTGTTTAAATTCCCCAGAAGAGACTCCACTCTTGTGCTTACCCTTCGGCTTTGCCATAAAGAAGGACATAACTAGTAACAGACACTTTGGCTGTTTAAAACCATTATTTTGAGTTCTCCAAACACAGATTTTAGAAATACTCTTCAAACAACAAATTCTTTGAGAAAATATCTATTCTGGAATTCTGCTTTGTTCTAAGTCTAACAAGTCAGCATTTCTACTGATGACTCTATTATTGCCAGAACTGTTTCATTTATTGCAAATTGCATAAGGCAGTTTTGGCTCTCAAGATTTTAGACCAGATGCAAGTTTCAAAGAATTTTTTTTCTGAAGATGTGTTAGCTATTCTGTGATTTGAGAGTCCAAATAAATTTGGATATTTCCTACCCTCCAAACTTAAAACCTGAATAATTGCCTCAAACAGTAGTTTTGAAATTCTCCTGATTCGATGCTGGTTGGCATATTTCTAAGTGGAGTGATCAGAGTAGATATCTTGAAATGTTCATTATTGTATTCTGGAACCAATGAAAAACTTATCCCTTACACATAATTATCATTACTATCTACATAGAGTTTTGGCTCTAGTTATCAATTGTTTTAAGACATGGTCTTATATTTAGGTGATGTGATGCTATGCTATTTTCTCTTTTACGTGACTCTACTCCTTGCTGCATGCTGTATCTCTTCCATTCATTCTGTGCCTTTAGAAATCACTGGAAACCCTCAAGATAAAGCCTGAACTTACAGAGAAGAACAAAAAGACTTCTGATTTGCAGCAATATCGTAAATAAGTGATGTTGAAAGAAATTACATAAACAGTTATAGGTGTGTTTCCTTTATTGTTATTTCTAGTAAGATGGAACTTTTTAAAATCTAAATTGTCATCAAAGCAATTCTACTCCAGAGAAATTAACTCACAGTCTCTCTATACACCCAGTTTCTCTGTATTCTTCTTTAAACAGAAACAAATACATAGAAAGGTTTGGGGAAAATTTGTTACATGGATTGTAGTGATTTTCAACATTTTTTTATTAGTCATACATGGGTTTCCCCAAACAAAAATATATGTCATTCACAGCATATTCCTTTCTGTACCAAAGATATTAACGTCTTTAACATGATTTGCCTTCCATGAGGAAGTCTATGATGGAAAACATAATTCAACAGAGAAACTGAGCAAAGAAAGCACTAAGGTAAAAAGGAAGACTACAAGGCTAATTTTTACATAGACATTTTAATTCATCCCCATTCTACAAAGCAGCGAATAGCTTTGCACTGCACTTAAAATTCCAGGGCAGCTGTATCTGAGCTTATTTGCCCCAAGTACAGACTCAGAAGCAAGTAATGCCACAGGAAAGCGTGACTGGGTTTGTAAGTTGAAGCCGATTCTCTCTACTAACAAAGCATAAGGGATACATTTTTACTGTGTTGATATCCATCATAAAATGTTATTTGACACATTTTAAGCATGTCATCTTCAAATTAGGGGTGGATTATTTTTTCTTTCTGAAAACATAGAAATCACCAATTTTTAAAATGACCCTTTTATTCAATCTCTTCCTCCCTTGTTTATGACCTACGTTTGTGCCTTCAATATAGATGAATGTTGTATAAATCTCTTCTTCTGTTCCCATAACCAAATGTGAAGTAAAATCTCATCTAGGGAGAAGGAGACTGGCAAAACAGTCAGTAATTCAAGTCATTCTGAATCTCTCAAGACTTCATTACTAAGCATTCTGTACACTTTGCATAAATCTTATCAAGCATGAAAAATTATTCAGATTTGTTCAGGAGCATGATATTCCCCTAATTTCAACTAAAATATCATTAATAGAATTTTGTGAACTGCCTTTAATGCCTTTAAATACAACTTAATTTAAAGTTGTACACTCTATTCCTTAAGCAATGTTTGGGTATTACCAATATACTGAAAGATAGATGAGATGTGCTCATGGCAATACAGCTTTTAACCTTTCCTCTCCTCTACCATGACGGGGGTGAATTACCGTAAATGATGGGTACTCTGTCTGCAGTGTGGACAATTGATTTGACCTGACTGCCTCCAAAGTTCTAATGGACTTGGTGGCCAAATCCCCTGAGATATAAAATATGTTGAAGTGAATTGGGGCAGGTTAAAGAACAGACCTGCTTTTCATTGCAGGCTCTGGCTATAATACATCTCCCAGTTGTTCAGGGCAAAAGATTAAACATGATCAATACCCAAATCATTTTTTTAAAGTGTTGCCCTCAGTAAATCTATTTTTGTTATATTTTTCCCCCTGCCAAGCATGGTTTTACAAATCTTGAAAAGATCCTTTTTTTTTCCAATGCAGAATTGCATACACAGCTCTATCTTCAGTTTATTTCCATTTAATTTATCCTCATCTGTTCAGTATATTGACTACTTGGGCCACACAAAATTTCTCTGGATTTAAATAGCTAATTCCCCATTCTTTGAGTTTACACTGAAGTTTCTATTTGCAGTGAAGAAAAGACTAACAAAGAGGAAGGAAGTATGATAGGAAATACTACAGGCAAACAAAAGAGAAAATAATAAAGAAAATGATTCCCAGATAAAATGCCAGAAAAGTGGACAAATTTGAATTTTAAAAGTTGTTGAAAATGTTGAAATTATATATTTTTCCAACTTACATAAAAGTTGAGAAGAAGAAAAAATAATGGCTAGGCATAAAATGCTAAATTAATTGATATTATAGGAAGTAAACAACAATAATGTAAAGTTAAATCCCAACACTCGACTCCCAAACTACCATTAGAGGAAGCAACACACAGACCTCAAGGGGAGATCCATGAAGAAAGAAAAGGAAAAAGTTAAAAAGAAACATCCAGTAAACCAATGAAGGAATCACTTTAATGAGTTGCTGCTTCTAGGAAAGCTGATATCTGAATAATAATGTTTTCATTCTAGATCTCACTGGATACAGAACTTCTTTGGAATGAATATTATCAGTCCTGTATTCCAGAAAACAACAATGTACAAGGTAAACTTTGTGTCATAACCTCCTAAGAATCAAATTTCTTTAAAAATGCAGAGTTAATCTGGTCATTAATGTTCATTCAACAAATACTGGGCAATATTTGTCCAGTATTCAACAAATACTGGACAAAACATCATGCTAGATAACAAGAGAAAAAAAAGTTAGATGAAAGACATCTATTCCTGTTCCCCAAGGAGATAATAATCTAGCTGAGAAAATAAAGTAAGCATCAGCGACAACGTTAGTCTTAGGCAAAATATGGTAAGTACTATAACAGATATAAAGTGCTTCGGGTTTTAGAGTAAGAAGTATCATTCCCTTGTCAGAGCCAAGAAAGCTTCATGGAGGTGCTCAAACACTGGCTCAAATGCAATATGTAGCTAGAACAATTTTTAAGCTCTGAACATTTTCATAAACTAGGTAGAGGAGGGAAAATGATTTCCATAAGTGTACTACATTATGAGTGTACTCACACTGCCTTTCTATGACCTAAACACTGAGCCTTAAATTAGGGACCCACAAACTTTTTCTGAAAAGGGCCAGATAGTAAATATTTTGGGCATTGCAGGCCATATGTTCTCTGTTGCAATTACTGCACTATGCCAAAGACAATATATAAACAAATGAGCGCGACCATGTCCCAATGGTAAAACTTTACTTATGGACACTGAAATCTGAATTTCATATAATTTTTACATGAAAAAAAGTATATTTTTTCAACCACTTAAAAATGTAAAAACATTGCTTAGCTCACAGGCTTCCAAAAAAAAATAAAACAGGTTATAGGCTGGATTTAGCCTGCAGGCTGTAGGTAGACAGTCCCTGTTATGCTTTAGAATGTTAGCTTCGCAACCCAGCTAAACTTTTCTTTGTAATTTTCTATCTACCACACCTTCCTCAGACTGCATCTTTCCAAAATAATCTTTATAGAACATCCATAGGGGAAAAAAAAACTCTTCCCTTCCTATACACGTTTGTAGCTACACTTTAAGACATTTCAGCTCTTTTCTCATTTTCTTGGAATGAATCAACAAATATGTATATCATATGTGCTATATTATATTTCATAGTTTTCTACAAGTGCAGAGGTACCAGTTTTGTTTGGATTTTATACTCCAATGCCCTTCCAGGTGATAATATTTTACTGAATTTTTTAAAGCAATAACAACGTATGGGTCAAAGACAATGAATATTTAATATAGAGGCACAGGAGGAGATGAAGCATAAATTATGTATTTTATCCTAAAGGGGAATTTTGAAATAATTTTCTAACATGAATGCTCCACCTACTAGTATTCAAGAGCCTATTCTTGTGATCTTCACGAAAGGACATTTGCAGGATGCACACCGGGAATCTTATTTCTATGTTGTCTCATTAAATCTCATTTGATCTACACTTTCACCCTGTGGAAGATATGTTATATCATTTCCATTTTTAAAAGTTTGAAGAGATTTGCTGTTCACATCTCCTGATCCGAAGTTAAGCTTCTCCTGGGTAAAGCAGAGATGGAGTTGTAGACAAAAATTGTGTGTGTGTGTATGTTTCTGTGAGTTTTCTTAATGTTTCTTAACTGATTTTAGTGAGCCTCTTTAGCAAACCTGGACATCAAACATGTATTTCTTTATAAACCCTTTAAGTGAAGTATAAAAATCCATCCAGAAAAGTTATTAATCCTAAGTGAACAGCTTAATGAAAAGCATTTAACATGTTCATGTGACATGTGCAGATCAAGAAACAGAACATCAACAGCATCCCAGAAAATCCCTCTCTAGTCCCCCACAATCTCTACCCCATCTATCCTCTCCACCAAACAAATATCTTTCATATCAACTTCTGTTCTGTTTTGACATTATTTAAAGCTATGCATCAACACCATATCCTTCTGCCCAGTGCTATCATCTCAACTAAAATGTCTTTATAGCTTTATGCCTTTTGTGACACAGCATATTAAAATTATTAATAGTAACTTGTCCTCCAGTAAGAAAATTCTGGTTACATTACTTACTAGTTTTGTCACTATGAACAAGTTACTTAACCCCTCTAAGGCTCAGTGGTTTCCTCAGTCATAAAATTTAGACAATACTGGTATCTATCTTTGTGAGATTATCATGGGGAAAAATGATAAAATATACGTAAACTTGCTAACACTCTGCTCGTTATCTAGTAAGAAAACAATACATAATATTTATCATTATAATTTCAGTATTTACTAGTGTGGCATGATTATAGGCAGTCAATAAATATTTGAGTCCCTATCCTGGGCTCTGGGTAACTCAGCTTGTATAAACTACATAAATCTCTACCTATACATAACCCAATTCCCTCTCTAATTTTAAATACAATCAAGATAATCCTAAATCTAAAACAACTGTTAGTAACTCTTCATTATTTCTAAAATCAAATTCACAATATATGCATATTTGTGTGTATAACTCTCCTAAAATGAAATACTTTCCACCTGGTTTCTCCTCAAAATCTATCTGTTAAGACCCATTCCAAATACTGCCTCCCATAGTACATCTTTACTTAATCTGATTCCAGGTAATCTCTGAAGGGCCAGGTTCTGTTACTTTCCTGAAGCCCTTCCATTGTCTCTCTTGGACAAGAGAAATACATGAGTGACCACACTGCACTTTCTATAGGACAGTCTCCCTGAGCACAGGAACTGTTGTCTAGATCACTTACAGCCAGCCCAGCATTATATTTTACATATAATAACAATAATATACTAAAAATCATGCTATCAGACAAGTATGTAGAAATTTATACTTTAATTCTTTTATCAACCTTCAAAACATGAGAGCTGCATAATATAATTATTCTCAGTTTGCAATTGTTTAATTTGACAAACACAGATATACCACTTACTACGCCCCAGCAGGACTGGCATGCTTTGCATAGTATAACTCACTTAATCCTACTGGGTGATATAGGCATTATCATTGTCCTCATTTTACAGATAAGGAGAATAAGACAAAATAGTTGAACAAGTAGCCCAAAGTCACCCAGATAGTAAAACAAATAAGTGAGGCTCATCCTCAGGCAGGCCACCTAACTACCATGCCACCATGTACTGCAGCCTGCATCATGACGGGCCACCAATAAGTAGGTGAAGAAATTGATTGAAGATAGACTTACAATTAAAGCTTTGGTCTATAATTAAATCAGTGTGTAAAAAATGGATTTTCTAACTATGGGGGTGGGGGAGATTGATGTTCCTCTTATGCCTCAATCTCTTCATCACCTGCTTCCTTTTCAGCTAAGCACAGTGTACTAGAGAGCTTAGCTCATCCATAGGGCTTGTTGCAGGCACAACAAGGAATCACTGTGGGTTTTCATGTCCTAGAAGTAGATGTAGCTAAAAAGCATTAATATGTTTTTGCAAAAAAAGATTAACAAATTCTTGTTTTCAAAAATCAAAGAACTTAAATTATAGTAGGATAATCTACTTTCATAATCAGTATTAACTTTTTAGATCAGTATTAACTTGTTCAATGACCAGGCATTTCTTATGTGGATTTGCTTTTCTTATCTTCAATGCATGTTTATTAAATATCTGCTCTGTGCATTGCACTATCCTAAGTTTCAGAGATACTAAAATATTAAGACATTATTTCAAATGTTTTATCATTTAGTTTTCTCTTTTAAGAAGTATCTTTTTTCCTTCTTTAACTGGTGGTCTTAATTGAGATAACATCTACAGAGCATTTTCTATTTCTTGGAAAGCAGGTGACACCTTATAAAGTTTTATGCAAGCATTATGGTTAACATATGGCAAATTATTCTAGGCAAATGCTGTTTATAGATCTTTCAAACGTTTTTCACTTAGTTTAAATTTGTATTGATCTAATTGCAATTCTTACACTTCTTAAGGAAAAAACTAATTTTTTTTCTCTCAGGTAAAATGAGTAAAACACCCAGAGAATACTTAGCAGTCTGGGAAGAATATTTTAAAGATTCTATCCCTATTTGCCTCTTCCCTCTAACTAGCATGAACACATATTCCTTACATGGTACATTTGTTCCATTCCATGGGTTAGAATGTTCTATTCGAATCTGCAGGTGACCTCTCTGGGCCTTATTCTTGTATCTGGAAACATAGGCAGTTATGGCTGGCCTCATGTCCCCTTAAAGGCCAAAGTTGAACACTACATTATCTGGGCAGAAAACACCTTATTCTTATTCCTCAACAGTTCTAACAACTCACAGCCCTTCTCAGTCCCTTTATGAACACAGATGTCGTTTTAATGGGGGGGAGAGCTGAAGTGACAAGAAGGTGACCTGTGGGTGAACCCAGGAGCAGGTGAGGCCTGTCAGTTTTTAATTTGAAACTGGTGTCAGGCCTGAGGAATGGCTGGTATAATCACATTTGTAACTGATCTCCTATAAACTCTGCAAACATTCAAGGGATGGCTGTTGTGAGCAATATGAAATTAACAATTCATGTGCAGGTCTCTGGGCACCTAACTAAATCAAATGTATCTTTGAAAACTGTATAAATACTGCATGTTTTCCAGATGACAAGATTGGCATAACTAAAAAGCACTGATTGTACCCTTAATGAAAGATTTGTTTTTGGCATCAATTTATAAAGACATAATATTTTTAAAAGACAATTACCATTTCAAGGCATAGTTTATCACATAGTCCAAGCACAAAAGGCCTAAAATTAAACTCAATGCTACCATCACATAACATTCATCTTCAAAAGTTATGCGCTAATGTATACTTTCACAGAATGTTTTCTGCTTAAAATATTTTCTATCCAGTCCCTTAAGATTTCATATAGCAAAAATTCACTTTAACTTTAGAAGTATTGCTATTCAATAAATATGCCTTAGGCACAACTTCTAAACTTTACAATTGATAGAAAATTATATTAACCTGGAACTTGCCTACAAAAGTAAAATTCAAATGTTCTGTAGCATTATAACGGTGTCTCTACCAAACCAAGAAGAGTATTTCAAAGCTCTACAAGTTAGAACACTTCTACAGGTTTAGAAAATGAAGTGACATTTAGTATCTAGCAATAGCGGTTGACTATTAGAAGAAGATTGCTTTGGGACACGAGATTTGTCACTTTTCTTCCACAGATTTAGGAGGAGAAGTAGTAAAAATAATCACTGGTATTTTTAGTGATTATTTGCTGAGTACTGTCCTAAGCACTTTACATGTACTGACTCTTCGAGTTTTCACAACCACGTTCTGAGAAAGATCTGCTTATTATCCACATTTTACAGATCAAGAAACCTGAGCCGCAACAAGTTTATGTAGCTTACTAAACCAATCAATAGTGGGCTCAGGATTTGAACTCACATCTGATTTCAAAAACCCTCTCTCTTAACCATTCTTTATCACCCCCTGGGACATATCAATTTTGTCACCTCACTGCTACTGTGACACTGAAGGACATGAACATGTGGACTACATTAAATTATTTTCAACTAAAGGACAAGTGAGATAGACTGACCATGATGTGTTTCCTGTTGGCAAAACAATGGACTGTTCTTACTGCATCTCCTTAGAACTCGGTCTTCTTAAGAACCATTTCAGGTGCTATCATTCCCTAAATTTTAGACATATGGAATTTCTACACTTTGAAGTGGCCAGTCCTATATTATTTCTTCTGCTGAAGCTATTCACATGTCTGATAGAAGAAAACATTGCATAAGGAAAAGAGCTTAGACTGTGAATTCAGAGAACTTGGATATGAATCCCAGATCTGCAACTTACCATCTAGGCGAACTTGCTCAAATGACTCAGCCTTACTGAACCTTGGTTTCTTTATCCCTATGATGGTTTCAGGTTCTAACTGAGGTCTGAGGGAAGTCAGTGGGTGAGTGGCAGGTAGCTGGAAAAACACTCGAGGAATCGTAGACAGTTTCAACATGGCTTGACTTTCTCTCTGGGCGTGAGCTAGCCTTGTTGCGAGTGAGCCATAGGCGCAAGCCGTATGTACAGCATCGGTAAGATAGTTATACCTTTTACAGACAACACCAGCTCTGAGCCAGCCACGAGCTCACATGAGTGGTTACCTAATGTGCCTCAGGTGGAGTGGTTACATAATGAGTAGAGTTGTGCACCTGCACTTCAAATTCACTGAGTCATGCCGGACCGGATGTCTGCCTCAGCTGGTTCTTGACTGCAGCACATCCACTTTCCTTACAGATGGTAAAAAAAAAAAAAAAAAAAAAAAAAAAAAAGTTACTGGCAAGTATGTTCTTAGAGGGTCATTGTGAGACTCAGATGAGACAGTGTAAATAAAAGTACTTTGTAGATAGGGATATACAGGGGTTAGCCCCAAATAAATAACTTACTTGAGCTAATTGGTATCACTTAGAGACCAGATCAAGAGACAATATAACCTCAGATTTCTTTCTTATCACCCTTTTCTTTCATAGCAGGGAGGCTTTATATAACGAATACCCTCCTCTTTTCCTAAGCAATGTGAGTAAATATTAATGGTGGCCCTTCCTTAAGATTTCAATAGGAATAGATTCAGTAACAAAATAAAAACATTCACGTGCTAATGAGTTTCCAGTGTCTCAAGTCCAATGTCTCGAGGGCTTTCACGTGTGCTATTTCTCTCCTTGGATCACCATTAATGCACCTTCTTCACCTGTGTATGCTTACATACCCCTCTAGAGTCAATTTAAGTCACTCTCTCTTAAGTCTTCTCTGAATCCCCATATAGATCTAAATTCTATTTCTCCTATCATCCAATAGCATCTGTTTTCTGCTTCTATTGCACTCAGAACATTGTATTTTAACTACATACCTGACTTTCTCCCAGCTTGAGTGCAAGACTTTAGAAGGCAGAGAACGTAGCTGAATATATTTCTCTATGCCTAGTATCTAACACAGTGTCTGGCATAGAGTAGAGGCTCAATAAAGGATTGCTGACTGTAGACTGGGATCCATGGTTTATAGCCTAACAGACATGAGAAATGAACTTTGAAAATAAAGTAATTCTATAAATAAAAGGCAACTCAGGTGGGCAATACATTAAACTAATACATAATAGGAGGAACAGATAAGCAATTTGTGGGAAACTATTCAGTAACAAGCAAAGTAGAAGAAAAGATGTATTTCGAATATGAAGTATTTTGAAAATCAATTAAAATAATTTAGACTTAATACAGTAGGTTATTTACTTACTAATCAATCAATGTATTCACTCATTCAACAAACATTTTTGAGTGCCTGCCATGTGCCATTTACTAAGTCACAAAAATGAGTAGGCTATGGTTCCCCCTTCCTTGAAGAGTTTATAATACTGTAATTTCATAAGAAGCATTTGTGGAGAACCCCACAGCATAAAATTGGGATAGTAGTCTGGAGGCTAAGTGTTTATAAACCACAAAGCTAGATAGGTAGCTGGAGGTTACACAAGCCAACTAAATCAGTAGAGCACATTCACTCTTCCCTCTGTCTCCACCATAATTATCAGACAAAGGTCTAGGTCCCTGGCTCTTTGATCTCAGTTAAATTGCCTCAGCATAGTGGAAATTCCCAGGAGACCTGTTCACACAGCAGTGCAGCTCTGGCATCAACAAATTCCATGCACAGAACTTCCTCTTCACACGACGTCTCACAAAGCCTTTTCTTCACTCTTCCTTTCTCTTCTTTACCTCTACAATCCCTTTTTCCCTGTATTGGTTTGCCAGATATGTATTAGTTTGAAAGTGCCACAGACTGGGTATTTATTTTTCTCATAGTTCAGGAGTCTGGAATCTGAAATCAATTTATCACAGGGTGGGTTTTTCCTCAGGGCTCTCTCCTAGGCGGTAGATGGCTGTCTTCTTCCTGTGTCTTGACATGGTCTTCCCTTTGTGTGCATGCGGCATGCTGGACCTGGTACTCCAATAGGGATGACACCATGTTCAAGAAGCTGAAGAAGAGACCCAGAGCCAGGAAACAAGACACGGCGTTTATTGAGGGAAGCATACATGCAGAGTGGCCCAGGCAGAACTGCCGTGGCCTGCAGAAAGTATGCCATTTATAAGGCATTTTTCACTCCCCCTAACAACCTCCACCTGGCAACCTTTGTTTAACCCAACACAAAGGGCCTCAGTTGCCTGTACATCCCACGTTCCATGGGACTGGATGTAGGCTCAGATGTTCTTCACAGATAAGGAATGAATCTCTGGGCTGGCCACTCTCGGATTCCTTAGCTTGGAACTGTGAACACATACATACTCAGGTGCATCTGCCATACGGAGTCATTTTCAGGGTATGCTTAAGTTCAGTTATTGCTGTCAGGTATATCTACCATACATGTGCTTTTTGTCCTAATCTCTTCTTATAAGGACACCAGCCATATTGGATTAGGGCCCATGCTAATGACCCCATGTTAACTTAATTAAAACCCCATCTTCAAATACAGTCACACTCTGAGGGACTGGAGGTTAGGATTTCAACATGTGAATTTGGAGGAGTCAGGATTCAGCCTGTAACTATCACTGTCCCATCTCTTCCTAGCATCAAGTGATTTTAAAAACTGCAGCCACGGTGCCACTTCCATCTCTGACTGAGCGTGAATCTACAATCCCAGCTCTATAGAGTTTAGAATAATGAGTTACTTAAATTAGCTGCACTTTTGGAGAGTCTCCAGAAATTTCAAAGGAAAAAAAAGCCACTGGTACTGGATTTCATATCCAGAGATTTGATTTAATTGGTTCAGGTTGTAGTCTGGCCATGGGGATTGTTAAAAGCTCCCCAAAGGGCTCAAATATATAGTCAGGGACAAGAACCAGAGGAAGGACTACTTGAGTTAAGGGTGGTAGGGATATTCAAATATAAATGGGGTGACTCAGTGAGTTCAGATGAGGAAGTTATTTAAAAATTTTTTATTATACAACACACTGAAAAAAAAAATCAAGGCTTGATTGACTTTCTTGCCTCTAAAGATGTTTCCCATGACTGGTGCTGACTTGATCATTTACTAGTAGTAAGTTAACCAGTAAATGATCAAAGAATAACTGCCAATAAGGACCCCTGTGACAGCCAAAGCTCTAGCAGTATTTTCTGCCTTTAAGAACCCAAAGCTTGAGTGGATGGAGAAGGGGAAACTAAATCCACTTTCATGGTCTCCACCACTTCAGAGAAATACCAATGACAAACCCAAAATAAATGATTTTGAGTGAGTTCTTTTTTACATTTTCTAATTCCTGAAAGTGTTGTTTTAATAAATATCATAAAGCTAACTTAAGAAGGAAACTTTGGAACTCTGTTGCAATTTATTAAAAACTGGGTTTACAACTGATCATTTACACTGAACTCCCATTGTGTCCTCAATTTAGATAATGCACATGTATGGCTAGTTTTCCCAATCAGCAGATCCTTGTGACGCATGGCCCTGATGCTATATTTGAGTTTAGAGAAAGAAAATACATACTTTATTGCAAAAGAAATTTCAAACTTAAAAAATTAACTACAAAAACTAAAATGCCTGGCTTCTAGAGAATCTGACTTTGAAATAATAGTGGAGTTTAGTTTAAAACTTCTCATTTTATTATTCAGACAATTGAAGTCAAAGTAGAGATTAGAGATGTAGAGGAAGAAGACTTATAGAAAAGAAAATCTCTCTTTTACTTAAGCTAAGTGTCTTAGTCCATTTTGTGTTGTTATAAAGGAATACCTGAGGCTGGGTATAAAGAAAAGAGGTTTATTTGCCCCATGGTTCTGCGGGCTGTACAAGAAGCATGGTATCAGCACCTGCTTCTCGTGAGGGCCTTGGAAATCTTCCACTCATGATGGAAGGTGGAAGGAAGCCAGGATCACTCACGTGGCAAGAGAGGAGGAAAGAGAGAGGAGATGTGCCAGCCTCTTTTTAACAATCAGTTCTCACAGGAACTAATAGAGCAAGAACTCACTCATTACAGCAAGGACAGCACCCACCTTTCTGAGAGTTCCACCCTCATTAACCAAACACCTCCCACCAGGATGAAATTTCAACATGAGATTCAGAGGGGACAAATATTCAAACTATATCACTCAGTTTCAAATAATTATACTTCAAAAATACCAAGCAATGTTTGAAAGTCTTGAAAAGTACCTTTTTGAGCAGTTTTTCTAAAACTTCAAATTTTATGGCTGTAGTGCTGTAATTACAAAAGCTATGACACCATACTTCATTTGAATGTAATTCATTTTTCTTCTTTAAAAAAACTTAGAGAAATATTTCTGACTTCTGAATTCTATATGCTTCTTCCTTATATTACATATGAATTGCGATTCTCAAACACGATCTTCTTCACTGGTAATTTTCATTTTCTGTTTCATTTACTTCTGTATTTCTCCACACATGCATACATACACACTCACTGTTTAATGAAATGGGAATGATGTCTACACTCTGGTAGAAATCCACTGACACAAGCCAATGAGGTCAATCCTCAACTACCAAACTAGTTTTGCTCCAAGATCCATGTGTGATATGCTTATAACTTGAAAAATATTTTCCTCCATAAAGAATTACAATTAGTGGCTGTAATTGTAATTATACAACAAAGGCCAGTCAACAAAAAACATGACAGATACCTGTACTTTACTTACTATATATTAGCATACTAGTGTACACTCAGTTGGTATACAGTGGTGTCTAGGGCAAGGCTATACAAGAGAAAGGAAGAAGGGATTTGCTTCCTCTTTCCGTGCTTTCAAAATCACCCACCTATTCTCTCTCTCAGTCAAAACCCACATCTGTCAGTGTAGTCTACCTTATTTAAAAAGCATAGGTTACTTCCCTTCATCCTCTCAACACTATAATAAGGTTTTCTTTCAGTTTTATACCCAAGAAAACTATGCATCAGAAAGCTCGAGAAGCTTGCCTAAGATAAAACTATCAGACGTGGTAGAGTAGGGATTCAAATTCACATTTGTCTCACTTTCAACCAAATAAAAGAAACATACTGGTCACCACCAGTATTTGGTCTGATTCTCAACCAAATAAAAGAAACATACAAGGTCACCACCATGCCATTCCCAAGAGATTGCCCTTATGATCCAAATACCCCCACCAGGCCCCACCTCTAACACTGAAGTTAAAATTTCAACATGAGATTTAGCGGGGACAAATCCTGAAACTATTACTCAGTGTCAATGAAATGTACTTCGAAAACACGAGGCGATGTTTAACATACTTACGTACACTAATGTGTGAATGAAATGGTCTTTCAGTCTCTGGAATTCCCAACTACGATATCCAAATACTCTTTCTTGGTCCTTATCTGAAGTATCTGATACTATTTATTAATCCCTCCTTCTTGGCTACCATAACCAGACTTGGTATTTTCCTTCTGTTTTTTTTTTCCATCTTTTCTTTAATCTGATAACCTCCCTAGCCTTTCCAGAAGGCTATTTTTTATTTTCCCTAAGGTTAAATTTGCCACATTCTTCCCTTCTCATGATATATATTTCCTCTTAAGAACCTCAGCCATTCCCCTATTTCAATTATTATCCATGGGTTGATTATTACAAATCGTATCTCTAGCCTATATTTATCAGTTCTAGAACTTTCATTCTAACAACTTACTAGAAGTTCCCACCTGCATAAACCATAATGACCCCAAATTCAACATATTCAAAACTGAACGTATTATCTTCTTCTAAATACATCCCTGCTTCTGGAGTCCCAGTTATATTTATTGGCATTGTAATGATCTGTCTAGCCTTCTAAGATACAAATCTGAGTCATTCTTGACTTCACATGCTCCCCATCATCCAGTTATCAAGTTCTACCAATTCTACTTACTAAACAAACATCTCCTGAATGTATTTCCTCCTGTTTATTCCCATTGACTACATTTCTCATTAAGACTATCTAAATATTTTTAAGTAGTGTTCCTGCTTCTAATCTCACTGCAAACTTCTTCACCGTTATTATATTAACATTTTTTAAATACTGTTCAACAAATACTTGTTAAGCACCTATTACATGCCAGCAGTGTGCTGGATCCTAAGGATGTAATGCAAAAGAAGACACAGGAAAGTCTCTCAGAAAGTTCACAGATTCTAAAGGAAAAAAAAAGGCAAAATAGAATATCTTTTAAGAAATATTAAAATAGGAGTAAGCACAGGTTTCAAAAGATTCAGAAAGAGAAGGCATTTAACCTAAATAGGAAGTTGGCTTTCTTTTTTATGTTCCCAACACTTTGCACATATCTCTATTTTTGTTATTTCAACAAAGTCATTGTTAGAAGAGCATAAGAGCTGTGACCAATAACCAGAAGTAAAAAGAATCAAACAATAAACAGACTAGAAGAATCCAATCAAGTGATAACTAAGCATGGTCAGCAGAATCACGTCCATGAAAGTGACTAAAGTTATAATAGATTAGAAAATGTTAGAGAAGGGAATAAAACCCAGGGCATATTGATTACAAAAGGAACCTCATCCTGAAGGTTATAGACTTGGAGTTTCCTGTTGTCTTAGTGACTCCAAAATTTCTCAGTATTTTCACTGACACTCAGGATAAATCAACAGCCATATCTTCCTGCTCAAACTCAAATCCCAAATCCAGAAACATCAGCTCACCCAAGGTGGCAACCATGTGATAGTCATGAAATGTTTGACCTAGCAATGCTAGCTTACCTAAGGCAACAAATAAATCTATTACTCTTAATGAGTAAATGTTTGGAAAGATTTGGAAATAAACACATCAATTATACCACAGATGACTCTCATATTGCTAATTATTTCATGTTAAATTGAGGATAATCTATATATGTTTGTTAAAGTATTTGTAATATTTTTTAAAAGACCTATCCAAGAATTTGAAAGATTAATCCTTTGGTTTCAATTTAAATATATAATTGTGTTTAAAATAATCATTTTTAAGCTGAAAGTATGAAAGAATTTGGTTACATTTGCTAATAGTGTCAAATCCTTTTTAAACTTAAACTTGATTTTCTAACTTTAATTTATTAGAATTTAGGAACTGTTTAAAGTACTTGAGAAGGTTTTTATTATTAGAATTTATATATTCCCAATTAAACATTTGAAGTATTAAAAATACATTAACTGCCGGGCACGGTGGCTCACGCCTGTAATCCCAGCACTTTGGGAGGCCAAGACGGGCAGATCACAAGGTCAGGAGATCGAGACCATCCTGGCTAACACAGTGAAACCCCGTCTCTACTAAAAATACAAAAAATTAGCCAGCCATGGTGGTGGGCACCTGTAGTCCCAGCTACTCGGGAGGCTGAGGCAGGAGAATGGCGGGAACCCAGGAGGTGGAGCTTGCAGTGAGCCGAGATCGCACCACTGCACTCCAGCCTGGGCGACAGAGCGAGACTCTGTCTGAAAAAAAAAAAAAAAAAAAAAAAAATTACATTAACTTTCTAAATTATTTTAAATAAGAAAATGTCATTAAATTTCTAAAAGAGATCAATTTTTAAGGAGATTTAATCTGTTTAACTTAAGATAAACACAAAGAAAAAGTTTAAAGAAGATTGTAAAATAATGACCAAGCTTTGCAAGTTAAATGTAAACTCTCAAGGAAAATTATTTTAATAGAAATTTAAATTAATTCAGATAATTATAAGTAGTTTCGCTGCACACAAAAGCTAGTCTCTAACATAACTTATTTCGATAATTATAAAGATTTGTTATATGTCTGTCTTTCCAATAGACTATAAGTTCCTTGGAGACCAGACCGAGACCAGAAACCTACAGATTGCCTGGCGCAGTCAATACTCAGTGAACGTTCAAGAAAGGAAATATTCCTTGGCCCTACCTTGTAGTATGTTCAGGCTCCATGCTTTGTCACACTGGTCTCCTTACTGATTTTTATACATTTTACACTCTTATCAGTCTTTCTGCTCATGCTGGTACATTCACCTGGACTCTTATTTCTACTTACTCTCCACCTCTCTACTTCACCTCTGTCTACATACTATGCTCCAAATCAAATTTAATATACTACATAGCCCTAGATATAACCATACAGACTTAGACAAAACCAACCAAAGCAGAAAAAATTACCTATATATGTAATGCCCATAAGTGACAAAAAAATTCTTTGATTGTTTAAATCTTATTTCCAGCCAAACATTGTTTGCTCTTAAAAAAGAAAATCTGATGAGTTGTTATTAGCCACATATTTTCAAAAATAAAACGCATTCATGATACTGAATTCCTACTAAAACAGGCACATGACTAGGAAACATTTCAGACTGTGGCACAAAGAAGTGGAGACCACCAGAGCATGGTAGCTTTGCTAAATGGAGGAGGCAGAAACGAGAGTCAGGGCTACTGTTCAGAGTAGAATTTGCAAAGCATGGTACCAGAGGGGCAAGATCTGGACAAAGAAAGAATTCCAGAAATTTGCAATCATATTGTAATCCTGTTTACAAGGTTTGCATCATATTCAACCATCTTACTATTATTTTCTTATCTTTAAACTACAGATATTTTAAAGATTTTCACAATATTATATCTAAGAATCCTATAATTATAAAATGTCAGGAGATGTGTGAAAAGGAAATACTAGGTTAGCAATATCTCACCATGAAATATCTTTTTTTAATAAAAAACTTAAGTTCCACTTTTGTCAGTTTCTAGGTATGTACATCTATATGTATATGTGTATACACATATATACGTATATGTGTGTATACATATATACATATATAATACATATATATATTTATTTGTATAAATGTGTATATATATACATATTTATTTGTATAAATGTGCATATGTGTGTATATATATGCATACATGTGTATGTGTATATAGGTATGTATGTATGGCAAGTATTTAGTTGGTTGGAAATTTTGAAACCTTTGTACTCCCAGTGTTTAGTTCTGTTATCAAATAAAGCTACATACAAAAAGGTCATAGCAGGCAATATCCAAATAGAGGTATACTATTAGTAAAAAAAAAAAAGAAATTCTAATGACATGGAAATTGCTTAATTGAAAATAGTGACTAGTGGCCAGACGTGGTAGCTCATGCCGGTAATCCTAGCACTTTGGGAGGCTGAGGTGGGCAGATTGCCTGAGCTCAGGAGTTGAAGACCAGCCTGGGCAACACAGTCAAACCCCAACTCTACTAAAATACAAAAAAAAATTAGCTGGGCGTGGTGGTGCACATCTGTAATCCCAGGTTCTCGGGAGGCTGAGGTGGGAGAATTGCTTGAACCTGGGAGGTGGAGGTTGCAATAAGCCGAGATCATGCCACTGCACTCCAGCTTTGGCAACAGAGCGAGACTCTGTTTCAAATATATATATATGTGATCTCTGAAAGAAGGAAAGCTCACACATGAGGTAAACCCACATTTTCCCAGAATTTCTGCCTGAAGAAACATTTCAGACTGTGGCTCAAAGGGGTAGAGACCACAAGAACATGGAAGTTTTGCTAAACTGAGGAGGCAGAAACCAGGGTCAGGGATACTGTTTAGGGTGGAATTTATAGAGCACAGTACCACAAAGGAGAGATCTGGACAAAGAAGGAATTCCAGAACTCTGTAAGATCAAGAAGAAAAAACAATAGAAGCTGTGAGCAGAATGGTACTTGTGAAGGTTGTATCATACTAGGAGACAAAGGATTTCTGAGAAGTCAGATTGTTGAGATCTCAATGAATAGCCCAGGCATTCAAATGAAACTCCCAAAGTCCCAGACATTAGGGTTAGAACTACTCTAGCCCTAAAGATGACTCTGGACTCACTCTAACAAAGGTTAAAAACAAGTCTCAAAAGGATCATGCTGATATACCAGTAAATTATCTACCTGCCAGAACAGAAATCAACACTATTTAGGCGTATACTATAAAATTCAGACTCTCGACAATGCAGTATCCTTGCTTCCTAGCACCACTAACAATGACTGGACATGTAAAAAGGCATAAACAGATGGCTCACACTAGGAAAGGAGGGTAAAATCACCTTCAATAGAAACAGACTCACAGATAACAAAAATGTTGAATTCACAGATAAGAAATTTTTAGAAGCTATTATGAATATGTTTAAGGATTTAAAGGAAATGTAGACACACTGGGTAAAGTTATTTCTCAGTAGAGAAATGAAAACATTTTTAGAGATATAAATTATAATTCTAGATCTGACAAAAAAAAATTGGTATAAAAAATTCATTAGTTGTACTCCACAGCAGATTGGAAACTTTAGTAGAAGATACCTAGTAGAGCTAGAATACAGAGCAATACAAACTATTAACACTAACGACACTGAATAAAAAGCTAAAATGATAAGCAAAGCCTCAGTGACTAGTAGGAAGATATCAAACAGCCTAACATACATATAATTAGATTTCCAGAAGTAGACAAAAGAAATACTGTGGTGGAAAAATATTTGAAGATATAATAGCTAAAATGTTCTCAGATGTCACAAAAATATTAATCCACAGATGCAAGAATCTTTAAAAAAAAGGCCCAAGAATAATCAAAATGCTAAAAATCAAAAGGAAAAATAGTAAAACACAGAATTTTAAAAAATTATAAAAATATCACTGATTTCACATCAACAATGCGTGCCAGGAGGCCATGGAAGAACTTATCTAATCAGCTTAACTTTTTAAAATGTGAAATTCTATATCCAGTGAAAATATCATTCAAACATGATGACAAAATAGGGAAATTTTCAAATAGACAATATCTGAGAGAAATTGTAACTAGCAGGTCTGTACTACAAGAAATGTTAAAGAAAGTTTGTTAGTCTAAAAAGAAATGAAAGCAGGTAAAAATGTGGACATGTATGATGGAATGAAGAATTCTAGAAATAAAAAAATGTGCATACACGCAAAAGATTTTGTTTTTTAAAAAATATGACTGTTTAAAGAAAAAAATAAGAGTAACTTATATGTAGAAATAAATGACAACAAAAACATAAATGGGAGGTTGAAAAAAATATGATATAGCTTGGATTTGTGTCTTTGCCCAAATCTCACATCAAATTTTAATCCCCAGTGTTGGAAGAGGGGCCTGGTGGGAGGTGATTGGATCATGGGGGCAGATTTCCCCCTTGCTGTTCTCGTGATAGTAAGTGAGTTCTCAAGAGATCTGGTTATTTAAAAGGGTGTAGCACCTCCGCTTTGCTCTCTTCCTCCTGCTTCAGCCATGTAAGATGTGCCTGCTTCCCCTTCTGCCATGATTATAAGTTTCCTGAGGCCCCCACAGCCATGCTTCCTGTACAGCCTGCAGAACTGTGAGCCAATTAAACCTCTTTTCTTTAAAAATTACCCAGTCTCAGGTATTTCTTTATAGCAGTGTGACAATGGACTAATAAAATATACAATTCAAATTTTCTTAAATTTTACTTAAAATGACATAGCTCATTTGAAAATTGAGTGTAATAAGTTAAAGATGAATATTTTAATCCCTAGGGACACCACTAAAAACAGTTAAATATAAAGCCAATAAAGGATATAAAATGGAATATAGACATATGCACGCAAAAGAGAAAGGAAGAAAGTAAAAAGAGTAACATCAGCAACAACATCAAAGTGAGAAAAATTTAAAAAAAGCAGACAATAGATTTTATTTAACCATATTGATATTTAAATTACACATAAGTGGTCTTGAACATTCCAATTAAAAGGCAGGCATTAAGAAACTGGATAAAATAACAAAATCCAACTCTATTGTTTTTAAGAATGAACTTCATTTTTTAATTTTTTTAATGATATTGGAAGTACTTTATTTTATCATGTGACATCATATAACAGCAGTCTTATTTACAGCTGCCTAACCACACAATGTAGATTTGAATTTGAATAGGGAAGCTGGCTCAGAAACAGCAATACTACTGACTCAAGAACTGATGTTTACATGATGACGTTTTGACTGATTTACAGGAGTTTTAAAACACAAGTTTATACTGATTAGAATTATTTCATGGTTTCATAAAAGCACTACTGTATTAAACCAAAAATAAACTAGGTATAGTTTATTCACATAATGAAGCTGCAATTGAAAACAAGCTTACAAATTTCCCATCTCAGGTCTTTTTTCTGTTCTCAGCATTACTACAAATGCCTCCTTCCATCACCATGCTGAACTCCTCAGCATCTTCTATATCACTTCCAGAGGAATGTCTGGAAAGTAGTGATGCTTATCTTCCCTCAGAAGCAAACTGATAATGCCAATATCCCCACAACTCATACTTTTTGCCTTTTTGATATGTGCTTCTTTTTGGCATAACAGAAGAAACACACCACTAGGATTCTGAAAACCTAAACTCTGGGCCTGCTGGTTATAAACTGCAGAATCTTAGAGCGTGTATCCTCCCCAAGTGCCTCTTTTCTCAACTGCAAAAAAAAAAAAAAAAAAAAAAATTGTATTTGTTTGGTCCTTTGTACTCCTTTTATTACTTATCTTCATAATAATCCTTAGACTGAAGAAAGGCAGCATTATCCCCAGTTTATAGAAGAAATTCAATCTCAAAGCAATTATACAATCTACCCAAGATCCCACAGGTAGTAATATATCAAATGGCAGAGCTAAACTCACACAATCTCACACAAGATCCTAGTACTGGAATGTGTTGTGCTCCTAAGTTTGCTAAATGGATGAAGCAGGAATTTCCCAGGTACCTTCCAATGATCACATTCTGTGCTTCTACTTGCTATTTTCTCTTCTCTCAACTAGCGTTAAAATCAGAAAATATGTATATTTAATCACTAAATTTCATTTGTCATGGATCTTTGATTTAACTGTTGTTTTAAGGTTTTTTTGTATTTCTATATTGAATTCAGAAAAATAATTTTTTTTTTCAAATAGTTCTTGCTGCTGCCTGCCTCTCCGAAAGCTTTTGGACTTACCTATTTGTCAAGGCAAAAAATGCTAACATTTTATAAACATCACTAATCACTTTTTATAACTTTAAAGACAATTATTCCATACTTAAAACCAATTCAAAACAAAAGAAATTCTGGTTAATTCTTATTCTCTGGAGTACTAATAAAAATGTATTTTCTACTGATTTTGTATCCAAGGACTAAATTTTAAATGCAAAATTATTAAAAGTACAAAATATACAAAAGGTTAAAGTACAAAGTACAAAATGATTAAAAGAGAAAAGGATGAAATCATACCACATACCTATTAATCATAAGAAAGCTGGAGTACCTATATTAATATCAGAGTATACTTCAAGATAAGTATTTCTGGCCAGGCGCGGTGGCTCATGCCTGTAATCCCAGCACTTTGGGAAGCTGAGGCAGGTGGATCACTTGAGGTCAGGAGTTCAAGACTATCCTGGCCAACATGGTGAAACCCTGTCTTTACTAAAAATACAAAAATTAGCCAAGAATAGTGGTGTGTGCCTGTAGTCCCAGCTCCTCGGGAGGCTGAGGCCAGAGAATTGCTTGAACCCGGAGACAGAGGTTTCAGTGAGCCGAGATTGTACCACTGCACTCCTGCCTGGGTGACAGAGCAAGACTCCATCTCAAAAAAAAAAAAAAAAAAAAAAAAAGTCAAGTATTGCCATGAATTGAAAAGAACATTTCATAATAATCAGGAGTCAATTAATCAAGAAACACTAACAATCCTAAATGTAAATAAACCTAATAATATCATGGATCTAATAAAACTTCAAAATGCACAAAGCAAAAACTAAAGAAATAAAGGAAGAAATAGACAAATCCACAATTACATTTGGAGATGCTACCTCTTATCTTTCTAGAATTGATAGAAAAACTGTCCAAAAAATCAATAATTATATTAAAGATATCAGTTGAACAATTGAACCTAGTTAACAAATGTCAGTAGTACACTACACCCAACAATGGCACAATGCATATTCTGTTCAGTAGTACATGGAGTATTCACCTACAGAAATTATATGCTGGGCCACAAGAAGTTTCAGGAATTTGGAAATATTGTAATCATACAGTGTATGTTTTATGACTAAAAAGATCAAATGAGCAATCAATAGCAAAAAGATATCTAGGAGTTTCTAAGCCTTTAGGATAATGCCATTCACTTGATTCCAAGTCTCCATACACACTATCCCCGGAAACATCAAATCACCAAATAGTGCAAATAAAACCACACAAGACTAAGAGATTAAAAAAATACCATGAATTTCAATAACCTATAAGTACACTAAAAAAAAAAATCCAACAGAGCTCTCATTACTAACTGCAAACTTTTGAGTGGACAGAGTGGGAAAAAGAACTGAAATGAAACCAAAAAATACTGTCCCATAAAGAGAAAAAGAGAAAGTCTAACACTAAATGGTAAAAACTGAACAAAGGTTTGGGACTTGGTCATTCACAACACTGTCTTTGGAAAAGGGGTTATAAAGTGATCACGATTAGAAGTGACAGTCTCAAAGAATCATTGCTTCTTGGGAAAATCAGATTAATAGTGAAAAGGTGGTACCTCTTGGAGATAGGGCAGTGCAAGGAAGTAGAAAATCTTCCCTTCCCAGCACCAGTATCATACATTAAATGCACTGCATTTCACTAAACTGACAGAAAAAGGGCTCCTGTCCTAGGACTCTGTCCACAGTGCACAGAAATAGGAAAAAAAAAATTTCATGCATAACTACTAAACATAGGAAACAGAAAATATGACCCAAAAGAATCAGCTGATGACAATTCTTCCCTAAATACAATAGTTACATAGAAGAAATGGTAATATAACAATTTGTACTAAATTATATATCCTTAAGTATTTTGGGATATAAAAAATAATTTGGAATCATAAATTCTAAAATTAAAAACAAAAAGGGACAAAGGAGAGTAGAACATAAAATTGAATAGACCACATTTAAGATAAAAATAGAATAAAACAAAATAATATTAGAAATAAAGATGAAATTATAAAGGGATAACAGATTCAAATTTAAATAGTAATGAGTATTGAATAAAAAAAGGGAAGACATCCAAGAAAACAAAACTGATATTTTTTTCTAAACAGAGAAAAAAAAATTCAGAAAGTGGTTGCAGTGTAATTCAGGTAAAGAAGAGCCAACTTAAATGTTACTGAAGAAGGAAGGAAGGAAGGAAGGAAGGAAGGAAGGAAGGAAGGAAGGAAGGAAGGAAGGAAATATTAAAAACCATAAACAAAAAAAACTTTCCAGAAATAAAAGAAAAAGTGAATCTACACATTGAAAAGTTATAGCAGATACCTAGGAAAAGGCCTAACAATAAGCATTGTATTTATTTGTAGATCTAAGACCAAAACAAGGATGAGGCTCTGAATAATGTCATATGTGAGTATGGTTTGTTCTCACAAAACAGAAAGAATGCAACTAAAAAAATATTGGCTTTCTCACTTGTATATTTATTAGATGTGAGTCAAAATACATCATTTAAAACTGACAGATCTTACAGCAAATGGTAAAAAATATAAGTAAAAAGTTAACCACTGGAACAAAAGTTCCAAATCCTAAGAATTGAAAAGAAAATTTTAAATGGCAAAGAAGACACAACAAATAATACACAATATACACAGAAGTTATATTATAACAAAAGTTGAAAATACATCAGTTGAAGTAATAAATGTGAAATTATTTAATTCATTTAATAAGAAAAATATTTTCAAGTTGGCTCATAAAGCAAAATCCAACCCTGTGCTGAATACATGATACTGTTAAGGTTCTATATATTTAAAGCAACTGTTGAAAAGACAAAGCTAAAACTAAATTCAAACAAACAATTAAATTCAACTGAACTCTATTTCAATTGAATAACAATCACATTTGAGAAAACTAATTTAAGGAAGTTTTGAACACAATATTTTGACTTTTACATTCAAAATATTCATAGTACTTTGACATTATACATACAAAAAAGACTTCAGGTCTGTTTGCAATTGTACCCAACCCCAACTCTGGGGTGTACAATTGCAAACAGACCTGAAATCTTTTTTGTAAGTTTAATATGTGAGAGTGTGTGTGTGTGTGTGTGTGTGTGTGTGTGTGTGTGTTGTCCTGGTTGTGACAATTCTAAAACTACTTCATGTGCTTTGTTTTACAATGTTGATATTGTGGGGGCGGTGGGTGGGTGGCTCTTTTACTGAGGAAGAAAGGAATATTATTTGGCAATAAAAAGGTTAATGCATGTCACGTAACACAGATGAGCATCAGATTCCATTTATATGGAATTCTGAAACAGGCAACATTAATACATGACGAAAGAAACCAGAACAGTGGTTTACTTGGGGGAGCTGGGGCAGAGGTGGTGATGGGGAGTAGGACCTTGTAATTTAAGTATAATCACAATCAGCTTTATTTATAATAATCACTTCATCACAAGGAAGCTTTTCTCAGTATCAATGCATAAATATATATAAAAACACAGTTAGCAAACTTCCAGTCTTTTCCTTCCCAGCCAGTGTGAAATTGCTTATAAAATTTCTGTTGACTTTTGCCATTTATTTACACCTACTGGCAGAATGTCCACCATGGCCAACTTGACTCTGACCATTCCTAAAGTAAAGACTGATCTAAAGGATCTGGAATAAGGTCTACCTGATATTCAAAAAGAGAAGCACAAGCCATCTGCCCTGAGTGATAAGCGGCATGACTTTTTCTTATTATGCAGCACTGTTATACTGTGCAAGAGTGTCCCATACAATGCAATTTACACAGCTGTACTGCTCTCACTGAGAAGATGCCCTTTAAAACAATGCTGTATTTTTGCTCGAAATTTTACATACTTTAAGATAAAGAATGGACTGGAAAGTAATTTCTACTAAAGAAAACTTCTATAAGAAAACATACGGTTTTTAAAAATCTATGAGACTGCATTTCAAAGTATCTTTTATTATTGGCAACTAAAAATTACTTTCTCCAATAATGGCAATCTGCAAAACAAACTGCTGTATTTTCACAGTGTCCAATCTGTTGTTTCTCTACAACTAATAACTTCTTGAATAAAAGTGCCCAGACTTTTTCCTAAAATTCAGATTTTGACACTATAATCTACATTATATTTATATAATCATCTGAATTCCAGTACCTTAATTACAATAAAACATGCACTTTTTAAAAAACATTTTGTGCTTAAAATTTCTTATTGACACAATCAACCCTTTTGTCTATTTTTAATAGTAATAATAAAATTTCCCAGTAGGTAAAAGAAACATACAAATTATGTAAAATTTATTCTAATTGTTGATTATCAATATTTGATTCTCAGAATAGTAGCAGTTTTAACACTTTTACTACAATCACAAGTGCTAGTTCATGTCAGAATAAGTAGACTAAACCTTTATCTGTGTATCTCTCAAGCACGTAAGTTAATGTCAAAAAAACAAAGATAAGATATAATACTAAGCATTTCAATTCTGTGTGGATATTTGTATATTACACAAGCTTTTACATGTCAGTGTATTTCAATCCTTTCCAACAAACTAAACAAACTAAATTTTGATATCTGGTCTTTTTTTATTTTTATTTTATTTTTTTTTAACTCCAAGCTACTGTATATTCTTTCAAATCTCTGTAAATATTCTGTATTTCTAGGTTTTTGGTCCTATTATTTTAGCAATATATAATGACATAATTCTGTATTTAAGACAATGATTTCTTCCAATGTGATTTTTTTTCCCCATATGGATAATATTCTGAAGGGCCATAATATAGCATGCCTGCCAGGGCAGGTTGAGGGGAGGAAGGAAGCATGGTTATAAACAGCACCACTGGCATATATCCACTAGGTGTCAGTCATGCAGTTAGCATCAATTTACATTCTTAATCCTGATGGTCATAAACACAAATTCTATTAAAGCTACCCCTGATTCAGTATGAACATACCACAGAGACTCCTAGAATTTTATGCAATGTGGAATAAAGTCTTGTGACTAGAAGAGCTACTGTTTTGCACTAGTGAGGACTTCAGTCATCAATGAAATGCAGGCTTTTCCGAAGTGCCATTGTTAGTTGAGGACAACTGTGTTGGGGGCAGTTGTGATGACTCTAATCAGTTTAGATTGATATGGTATCTAAATGAGAGAATGATAGGGTATCATTTCAGAGAGTTCTCTTGAAAGATTTAGCTTATGGAAACAGGGAAGCACAATGCAGAATATTTCTTATATATTTAACATTTAGAATATTTCAAAGAATACCCCCTCCCCAAATGCTGATTATATTGAGAATAAAATAGTCTTGGGGAAATTGACTTAAGAACACAAGACATCTTGGGTTGTTGCTACCAAAATCAAAAATTAGTTCTATTCTTTCAGACACCTGATGTATTCTTCTCAGTAAAACAATGTGTGAGTTTTATAGGAGAGGTTCTTAAGGATTCTTTTAGAAAAGTGTCATATAAGGTGCTTACTGTTTCTGGGAAGGCAGTATAATGACTGTCTACTCAGTTATCAGATTGTCTCAATCCAGTTCAAAGTGTTAATTGTCACCGTGGACTATGTTTGAACTCCTTGCTGTATGACTAATCCCAAGCATTAGTCACCATAATCCCAAGCATTCCACACAATTTCCAAATAAATATGGGAGGCAAAATAGAAATAAGGTTCATAAAGATCTTTAGGAAAGGCTTGGTTCCTTCAACAGTAAAATTAACGAACCAAATTAAGTGGTCTCAGATTTTCTTTCCAGCTCTGCTGTTTTGTGATTCTATGATGCAACATGTTGTTTTCCTTAAAACAATGGAAACTTTTTATGATGAGTAGTTGTAACATGTTAGTTGTTCTTAAAGATAGAAAAATGTAAATATGTGTTATCAATTACATTACTCCTCAACCCTGATCCCTGCTTTTGTGGTCTAAAAGTTTATCATTTTTCTCCCTTCTCACACCCAGTGCAAGTCAAGGATTTCTCTTCCAGAGTTATCTTTATGTTGCTTCTATTCCCATTTCTCATTTCCAATCCCAACTCATCATCCACTCCCTAGCCCTGCACTCCCACTTAAAACGAGATCGTCTTTGAAGAAATATTAATTTGGAGATTTAGTGAGATCCTACCCTACTTAAAGTCTGCTGCAGATAAAGTCACAGTCAGGCAAGGAACTATAGTTACAGGATGTTTCCAAGGCATGAGGAGCAGCATATAATACTCTCAGTACTTTTGACACCATTGTGATGATGAGATTTCATAACTGAGAATCAGATAAGCATACAATCTATATCATGCTTGTTGAGAAGATCAAAAAAGTGGAACTTGGAATTCTAAGATGTGCAGATACAACACCTGTCCTCAGAGTATCATCCAGTTTCTATGCATCCTTTTTATAAAACCTTGCATTAATTCAGCTTCTCAACAAATATTTATTGGCCAACTCTATGCCAAGCACTGTGCTGAGCCTTGGAAATGAAGCTGTGAAACAGGCAAAGGCTATCTGTTGTCAAAGGATTTAAAGTCTAGTAGAGAATAGTGATGAATTAAAGCACATAAGGTTCTAATGGGAAATAAAAATCACTGGGTTATTCTTACATAATACAGCACTAGTATGGTTACCAGTATAAATAAAACATAATGCTGTACAGAGCAGACATGTAGATTCTCCCAAGCAATGTGTCCTAAATTGCAGGATGATTTCCATGTAAATTGCAGAGCTATAGTTCCAGGGAGTCTTAGATGCATGAACTGAGACAGTTCTAAAGAATCCCTTCATTCAGTTACTACTTTAGAATTCTGGAAGCCTGTATGAACCTAAGAAATACATTGCTCAGAGATCAGATTCTAGCCCACTGTTTTCATTAATTTTATTTTTATTTCCTCAAAAACCTTATCAAAGTGTGATGCCTTTGAAATGAAAAGCTATTCCCTCCTTCCTTTATACTTTTGATGTTAGGCTCCCTCGGAAAGACTTTAAGTAGAAAACCCTTGGAAGGCCTCAAAGCCAATCCTGCTGTCACTTTGCACAACTTATAAAGGACAAACTAGCTAATAGACTACTAGAAAGGAGAAGTTTATTAAACCAAGCAATTAGCTCTTTACTTTAAAGGGATTTGATGAGACTAAATGAAGTAAAATATAAGAGGTAACTTAAGTTTTTTTGAAAGGGAAGACAAAGTGTTCAGGGCTATAGGAATAAAGGTACAAAGATTTAATGAATATTTGTCCGGTGCTTTACACTTTATAAGTGGTTTTCACTTACTTTATTGGCTCCTCACAATAGCTGTTAAATAAGCAGGGCAGATACAGAGCTTTCTGTGGTCCCTGAATATGGGTCATCAAAGTAACAATGAAACACATACCTTGCAAGTTTATATAAACCTCGCTGAGTGGTGAGGGGCGGAATGCTGTTGGGGCTGGCCAGCAAGATCTCACTACAGCACAGCGTTAGCAACCATGCACAGGCTGACAAGAATAAGGAGAGAGGAACTGCTGGGCGAGCATGACTCCCAGAAGACAGATGGAGGGGCTATTAGACACAATTAAGCCAAGTCTCAGAGAGGCTAAAATGAGGTATTTAAGACTGTATAGTCTGATGACACACCACTCATTAGTCACCCAGTTTAGTAACAGTCCTTCTAATATGCCATATTTTCTCTTAAACAGTTGTTAAAGCAAGGGACAGGGTGGTTGGTCTTCCTGGGTTGAAGGCTTACTATATGCAAGATGAATTTGAGGTACTGGGCGTACATTACCTCTGTAGTAAAGGTGTGTGGATATTAACTTTTCTTAAAATTTAAATTATATTTTCAGTGTCCTAAAGAAAAAATTCTACCATCAGCTCTCCTGGAAAGCGAGAAATTGGGTTATAAAGCAAATGTTCTACTCCTTATCCCAATTTACCTTCCATAGTCTTAAAGCCAAAACCTCAGGTACTGGTCATATCCTGGCATGAAAAATAATTAGATTGCACTTACATAAAGGAGGTTATGAACTGAGCCTTTTCAGACTCCAAAATGTTCTAGACAAAAGCAAACAAGCTAAGGATTTGTTCCCTATCAAGAAAATTGTTCATCTATATCCCCTCTCATTTCCTCAATATTTTGACCTTACCCCAGCTGGTTAGCCAGCCCCACAATCCATTTAGACTTTAGAACAGAAATAAAATGCATACATACATACTGTAGCTGTAATTCAATTAATCTTCTCCTTGGGTTTCCTCTGCTCTGTGCCAGGGTCATTTGTAAGGCCATCACTCAGTCCAAACTGTTGCACCTGTGCTGCTATTGAAACACCCCTTCCTCCCTTTCACCCCTCCCTCGCCTCTATCCTCCCAGGCACAGTGCCCTAATCACCTTTTTCCCAGGCACAAAAGCTTTCCTTTGCAAGAAGGAATGTCAGAATTCCCCCAAGCATTGGCAAGGAAATATTTAAATGTAATCAGAGGATCTTCCTTTGTTTTCTTTTTTTTTCCTGGGGAAATTAATCTCTCTAAGGTACTGGATGTATTCTTTTGCTCTTCCGTGAGGCAACATCATCATACAGTGCTGAAGTGGTCACAGCTTGCAAAGGCTAAATATTTTCTTCTCCTTTGCTGCTGACATAGATGATACGTGCCTGGTTTCCTCAAGCATCTCTAATTGAATACTTTGCTTCATTTAAATTGTTTTAAACTTGGCTGTGAGAAATGTGTGTATGTATGTCCCATCCCTCCCCCACGTAGAATATGAATGCAGACTGGCAGCTGTGGCTCCCCTAATAGCTGCCCTCTCCCAGCTGTAGTCCCTTCAACTCTATCAAGCTTGAGAAACTTTCCAGTCCAGTTCTCTCCAGTCATTGCCAGACTTTGAGTTTCATATAGTTCCTAGGAGAAAAGCTAGACTCTGTTATATAGCTTTATAAGTTGGAAGAGCTTTTAAAGTCAAACTAGTCTTACTTAAATCTCTGCTCCACCACTTGCAGCTGTGTGAGCTTAGACAAATTACTTGACCTCTCTGAACTTCAGTTTTATTATTTGTGGTAGGACAAAACCAACTGCATAGGGCTGCTGTGAGCATGAAATGGGATTTTATACATATATATATTCTAGTATAATCCCTGGCACATACTTGTTTTAAGCATTTTTTTTATTTTCTATATTTTATGATGTTCTAATATCTCAGAAAGCTTGCTGGCCAGGGAGAGACTTCACCTCCCAGGAGTAGCCAATTCTTATACAAAACAGGGGTCTCCAGGGAGCACCAACCAATCCCGAGTCTACAGCCTCAACCATTTCCTTGTCTAGCTCTCACACATAAAGCCAATATTTCCACACCCCTGAATAACTCTAGGGAACAGATCTATGCAACTAAAGACCACCTCTATGCCCCAAAGCCCCCTAGAATTATTGAAACTGCCAACCTTAAGCTCTTCGCCCTGCCCTGCCTTGCCTTTCCTGCAGAAACCCCAATAAAGGCTCTAGCCTCAGCTTTCCCCTCGCTCCCACTTCTGCTTCCTGGCACTGGAACCTCCTCCATGGTCCTGAGTTGCATGCCTTGCCTCTCATTTCCTGGGGAGCTGTGAGCAGCAGTGAGCCTTTCTTTTAATGGCATTACCTCTCTGTGTCGTCACACAGTCATACCTCTCTCAGTTACACTGCGGGTATAATTTTAGAACAGTATTTAATGAATGTGAACATCTCCCCTTCCCATATTGTCATTTAACGATTCCTGAGTGTCCATAAGTTGTAATTAGATATAGTGGACACAAACACAGAGAATTTCACTCCATTGCTATCAAACCAACAAGATGTAGACAGACCTGAAGGCTTGTTAGGTAAAGCTCTGCGGCAGTGGTTCTCAGGCTTTAGCTGGCATCAGAGTCACCAGGAGAGTTGTGAAAACCCGGATTACTGGACCCAACATCCAGTTTCTGATTCAGGAGGTCTGCGTTGGCCTTCCAGAATTTGGATTTGTAAGAAGTTCCCAGGTGCTATTGCTACTGGCTCAGGGACCATATTTTGAGAACCATAGCTTTAGAGGATGTGAAAATGAGCAGTTTGGGGAAAATAACTGGCGTGATAGGATAAACAAATATCTCAAGTTGAATAGAATCAAAGTTTTGGAGTTTGGGGGAAACATCAACAAAGGAGATCCCTGCTTCACAAAAGGTGCCTAGATTACTTAGGCAGAGTTCCCAGAGTAAAACACGCTCTCAGTCTCAGAGAAAGAGCCACTCGGAGAATTTTCTGTTGTTTGTTTTGTTTCTGGATTTTTTTAGATGTCCATTGTTTATTTCCCTTTCCCTACATTTTTTGGCTAGCAGGGTCAATATGAAAGCTTATCATTTATCCAGCAGAAGTAAAGTGCTCTATAGTCTGCTTTGGTGATAAACGGAGGCCAGCGATGACTTAAATTATCTACTAACATTGTAGTGCGGCCACAATGAGTGGCGTGAGGAGGCCTCATCAGGCCATGCAGCTGACCAGCCTGTTGGGGAGAGAGCCCCACAGCAACTTGCACTGACACCCTGGAAAGCAGTTCTGGGGGCGTTAGCACTGACTCATTGAATCTTCACTAGAATTCTTTGAGGTAAGTATTTCAATCTCCCCTCTACTAGAAGTAGAAAACTAAAGCTCAGGGAGGCATTCAGCCATTTCCCCCAATTATTAAATGATATCACCTGGATTTTTCAGGTCTGCCTGCAAGACTATTTCAACTCTGTTATTTCAGTTCCCTTTTCTGTGAAATGAGGAAGCCTGAACTAGGAATCTTCAGTTCTTGCTGGCTCATTCATTCTGTGATTTTCCAGGTTTTCTCTTCTAAATGTAGAGTGATTTTTCTTTTTTAAAATAGTCCACACATTCCCAACACAGGCACATAAATAGTGTCACTCTTTTAAACTATCACATCAACACAGAGCATTTAATAACAACAGCATTTTTTCTCCCTCAGCTTGGTTTTAAGCCTCTATTCTTTGGCAGGTCTGTCTTGTCCCCAGGTTTCTAGGAATGAACTAAAGGAACTTTTGCATCTGCATGAACTAATAGCCTCTTATGAAGCAATGTGGGCTGTAAGTAGAGTTGCCAGAGTGAGTCAATAAAAAGACAACTAGTTAAAGTTTGAATTTCAGATAAATAACAAATAATTTCTTATATGTTTACCCCATGCAATATTTGGAACATAATTACACTAAAAAGTTATTCACTATTTATCTGGAATTTTATTATTATTTTTTTTTTTTTGAGATGAGGTCTTGCTTTGTCACCCTGGCTAGAGTTAGGTGGTGCAATCACAGTTCACTGTGGCCTCAACCTCCTAGGCTAAAGCAATCCTCCTGCCTCAGCCTCCCGAGTATTTGGCACTACAGACTCACACCACCACGCCCGGCTAAATTTTTTTTAATTTTTTATAGAGATGAGATCTCCCCATCTTTCCTTGGTTGGTCTCAAATTCCTGGGCTCAAGCCATCTGCCTGCCTTGCTTTCCCAAAGCTCTGGGATTACAAGCATGAGCCACCGTGCCCAGCAGAAATTCAAATTTAACTGAGCATCCTGGATTTTATCTGACGGCCTGCTACAAAGCCTCCCTCAGAGGTCATCCCTGGGCTCTGTATTGTCAGGAAAAACAAGGAGTGGGGAGGGAGCTTAGAAACTGAACAATGCATGAGGTAGGAACAATGAAGAAAAGCCTTTTCCCTCCTCCACGAGCTGTAACTGCTGCTTCCTTCTGCACATTGCACTGTGGTCAGGGAGCCTTGTTAACTACAGCTCCAACACCACTTTATAAATCATTACTCACTTCCTGTCCATTAACATTACCAAACAGCAGGGGACAACTTGTAAGCTATTATCCTGTAGTCAAGCCCTTGCATCAAAAACATTAGCTCACCAAGTATATTTGTACATTTTAGTAAGGATTGCTCTTTCCTAAGTCAAGTTTTAAATCTCCCCCGCCAACACACACACTATTTCCACCTCTTTACAACTGCATACATGTAAATACCCTGACTTATCTTTCTCTTTTACTACATCATTATCAAATAACCAAATTTCCCTATTCTTACCATGATCATCAATAGAACAAAGGTATTAGTAAACACCAGAAACCATCAGATAATGCAAAAAGACAATTCAAACCATGAGGTCTGCCCCCTGGGAACTTCTCTAGGTGCTATGGATACAAAGATGAACAAGACACTTTTTTGTGAATCCATTTAAAATATTTGGGAAATTTGGCCCGGTGCGGTGTCTCACGCCTGTAATCCCAATACTTCAGGAGGCCAAAGCAGGCAGATCACTAGAAGCCAGGAGCTTGAGACCAGCCTGGCCAACATGGCAAAACCCCATTTCTACTAAAAATACAAAAATTAGCTAGATATGGTGGTGTGGGCTTCTAATCTCAGCTACTTGGGAGGCTGGGGCTAGAGAATTGCTCCACCTGGGAGGTGGAGGCTGCAGTGAGCCAAGATCTTGCTATTGCACTCCAGCCTGGACAACAGAGTGAGAGTCGGTTTCAAATAAATAAATAAATAAATAAATAAAGTATTTGGGAAATTTAAATGATTTGGAAAGGATTCTTCAGGCCTCTTGAACTACTGTGAATACCTGGTGCCCACTCAATGCACAAGTATCCTTTTCCTGGAATTACTTCCTCCTCCCTGACAAGTAGATGCTGGCAACAATCTCAGTGGATAATTTGTGTCTCTGATCCCTTGGCCACGGCAGATTGTACCAGAACATAGGCCTGATAAAAGCAGTGTCCATTTTATTTCTCACCTGGGAATTTGAGATTCAGATTGAGAAACAGCTACTCAGCCTCTGAGCATGGTTGGAACTAGGACTTGGTAACTGGAGAGCTGTGGAAGAACGGGTTCTGTGTATGGATTCAAGATGTGGAAAAAGCCAGTGAAGGGAGAAAAGGAGAAAGCAGACAAAATGAAGAGAGAGTGGCTTTTTCTCCCATTCATTCAAAATACATTTGTTAATGGCCTTCTGTGCATGTATGTGTCAAACACAGTTCTGAACTCTAGAAACAGAGGCGTGAAGAGGTAAAATCCCTGCCTAAGAATGACAATAAATGAGAAGATAAATAATTAATAATATGATATATCAGATCAGTGCTAAAAAGAAAAATTAAAAATGTAACCTTTATTATCTAGAAATAAAAAGTTCTACAAAGGTGTAGGGCAATTTCAAATGGAGTAGTCAGGAAGACCTCACTGAGAATAAGACATTTGAGAAAAGACCTGAGGGAGATGAAGCAGTGAACATCTTAAAGGGAGATACATTGGCACTTTGGAGGTACCTTGAATTTGAACAACTAACTTCACAACCTAAAATTTAAAGTACATTTGCATAACATCCTCTAAGATATCATCTCTCTCCTTTGCCTTTGACAAGTATTACTCAAGCACCCATTGTATATCTACTGTGTGGAGTCAGGACAGACAAGTGGATGGAGTGGATATGGAGTGAGTAGTGGCCTGGGAGTGCTGACATCAGCGAGAGAAACAGGCAGAGTGCAATGCAGGGTATCACATGGCAGGATGAAGGCCTTCGGGTATAGAGTACTGGGTCACAGACCTACTTGGATTATAATGTTTACAGCCATCTCCATGCTCCACTCCACAACTATGCAGGACAAAATAAGAGGAGCTACCACCACTCAAGCCTGTCCCCCACTTCCCAGAAAGGAGGTAACCTAAGGAAATGTCAATATTCAGTTAAAACATGGAAGCGGTAGTCTAGAATCTAGGTCAGAAAAAGCTACCGTGTTTAAAGACCTTGTGTGAATCGGAAGCTGAGAATGTTTCATGCTTATTGAGGGTCTAAAGATAAAATATTGTTCTCTTGTTTTAAATAAAATGTATTAAAAGAAGGGCTTCTGTATTTATGGGAAATTAGACTATATTCCAACTTCAAATCTATATTTTTATTATGCTATGATGTCATCATAAACAGCAAGTGACATTCCCTTTGGGTGAAAGAATAAGGCATGGCAAACTCAAGTTTTCACAAGTTAATAGGTAAATTACCCTCACAGTGGGATAACTGAGACCAAAGAGAAGGGAGGCATAAAGAAGTTAAAGAAAATAACAAGAAAGAACAAATCATTTAGATGGAAGGGGGGATGGAGGGAAGGGATCTGAAATTGAGGCACTAGAGCAGCTGCTGGCAGCCCAGCATCCAGTGTATTATGAGGAGAGGCTGAAGATCGGAAAGGTTCTCTTTTCTCTGGGAGCCTGCTAATCTTCAGGCACTACCACAAATAAGCGATATATCTGAATTATTATGAGCATGCAATATTTTGAATGACTTCAGGCTTCATTAGGTTACGGTACCACATAAGTCATGTCACACTGTACTTGGATGAGCTGGTACATATTTGTTCCTTTCCTAGAGGTTAAAATATGTTTTATTTTTTTCAGCTTCTTTTAAATCTGTAAATAGCAAGGCTCAGAAGACTGCACTTTGTCCAATGTATCAAAATAAACCTTGGCCACAGCTATCATTGTATCATAGCAGGGTCAATATGAACCAATAATATAATCCTTCAAATCATAATTTGGTTCCAAATCATTTTAGGTTTAGGATTCAGTGGGGGAGTGGAGGGGAAGGTTGCAATACCAAATGAAAGGAGAATACATTATAGAATGAAGGAGAAAACCAAGGTGGGGATGGCAGAAGTGGGAGGAAGGTAGAGGGCAGGGACCATCATCACACCAAGGGCATGACTCCAGCATGGCCCCTTCCAATGCAGCCTGCTCCAACTCACCTCTCCCCTGAGCTCTAGAGAGAATGATCTACTTGCAGATGCCATCACACCTGCTATTTTGAAATATTTCCCACATCCATGCAGTTGGTCTTCCAGCTTTATTTCTCAAGCATCCTGCCCTGTTGTACAACCACAAGCACTATCTTTCAAGATACAGTTCCATCTCCACCATCTAGAATTGTCTGAAATATTTGCCTCCCATTCCAGAAATGGAGAATTGACCATGCCCTTCTTTGTCTCTCCTTTCCCCCTTCTCCCAATCACATAGTCTTAACAGAACAATTATATTTTATTAAACTTAGATGTCAGATCCCTTCCTATCAGACTTAAAGCTCCTTGAGGGCAAGAATGGTGTCTTTTTCATTGTTACTTACCAGGATCTAGCAATTAAAAGTCAAGCAGTCCAGTTATATACAACTTTAACTCTCATGACATCAACTAATATATTTTAGATAATTATCTGATCAATTGGGAAATTCAGGCTAAAGTAGATGATGTCTTCTTTCCAAGTCCACAAACTGAACTTTAACCTCTGACCATGATTCCAAGTACAATGTGTTTGGAAGATGCTAAAAACTAGATTCCAGCGGACATAGGGTCATGTGGGCTGCTTCAGCTCTTTTTGGAAGAAAGGGAATAAAGTGAAGAATGTTCAATTGTCAGTTATTTACACTCAAAAGACCGGAGGAAGAACTGTGTGTGGTCAGAAAATTAATCCTTAGCCCTTCTCAGAGGAAATTCATTTCAAATCTTGATCTCCTTAATTCTAATTTAGTTGTACCCACTAACTATTAGATGGTTCAATGCAGAAGTTCCGTAGTTACTTCAAATACAACAGTAGCAAATCTGAATCCATCATTATCTCACTTAATAATCTCTTCCTGTCAATAACCCCTCACTCCCTGGGCTGCATGGCTCAACTATTGGGATACTGTTAATTCTCTCCTCTTTTTCACATCTCACACATTATGATTATCTTACATATGCATCAGGCTTTAGAGTTTTAAAAACACCATCATATATAAATTGTCTCATTTAATCTTTGCAGTAAACCTGCTCAAGATTTTTTTTTTAAATGAACATTGGAAAAATTGGCCAGGTCAGTAAGTTAATAATAATGATACATCCAAGACTCAGATCTCAGTCTTCTGACTCCAAATTTAGGTCTCACCTTCAAGCACTTATAAAGCCTATTTCATTTTATTTGAAACATTGATCCTTCTTTTCACTCCTACTGCTACCTAACTATCTTGGTGCTGACCCTCAGTTATTTAAGCCTCAATAACTACATTTGTCTCCACGTATCTAAATTGACTAATCTCCATCCATCCTCTTGATGATAATGACAAGTTAATATGCCTCAAACATTGTGTTCTTCATACCCATAACAATATAATAGATTTCAACAGCATTCACTGCCCCAAGAATAAGCTACACAAGAATATGTTTGGGAGCAGCATGGAAAAGGAAAAGACACTCTCATAAATTTCTGGTGGTGATGGCGGTGATGGCTATTGGTATAACTTTTCTGAGGATAAATTTGGAAATATCTACTGACATGCAAAATATGCATGCCCTATGCCTTAGCAAGTTTACTTTAAGGATTTATATTGTGAAAAACTTATTTAAGATTACAAATACATATTACAATTCAGGATGATTGCGACATTGTTTTCAGTAGTTATAAATTGAAACACTTTAAATGTTTATCAAAAGTGAGTTTGTTAATTAAACAAAGTTTAGTTCATACAATGGAATGCAATGTAGTTATTTAAAAGACTGATGTAGATCTATGTGCATCAACATGATAAGATGGCCTATAAAAAGTGAAATAAGCAATAAGAGAAATATATTATTATTCATACCATTGTGTTAAAAATATATGTATGTATGTATGTATGTATGTATGAATAGGAAATCTATTTGTGTTTGAATAAGAAAAAGGCTGAAAATACATATATGATACTCTTAAAAGGGTTTTATTTTGAGTCGCAACATTATAGAAAACTACTTTTTAGTTTTTTTAATCCTTTGAAATTTCAAACTATGTTTTTTAATGTCAGAAAAAAATCAATCAATAAATATATAGGAAATTGACTGCTAGCATTGAATGTGAGGCTTTTTTAAAGGTATATTTATAAAACAGTCTAGCATATGTATTGATATAATTGGAATTCCTTAGAAAGTAGAGAGAATGGAGCAGAAAAAATATTTTACAAAACAATGGCTAGTAATTTTCTACAGGTACTAACAGGCATTAAAACACAGATCCAAGAAGCTCATAGTATACCAAGCAAAATAACAACAAAGAACACCTCTCCATGCCATACGGCATATTCAGATTGCTAAAAACAAAAGAGAAGGAGAATATCGTGAAGGCTGCCCGAGAAAAAAATACACATTACATACAGAGGAACAAAGATAAGAATTACACCAAACTTCTTGTCAGAAACAGTGCAAGCTAAAAAAAAAAAAAAAAAAAAAAAAAGTTACTTTTTAAATGCTGGAAGAAAAAACTTAAAACCTAAATTCTATACCCAGACAAAATATTTTTTCAGAAATGAAGTACGAAGTATAAAAAGACTTTTCAAACAAATGAAGCTTAACAGAATGCATTGCCTAGAAACCGACAGTACAAGAAAAGTTACAGAACATTCTTCAGGCAGAAAGAATAGGATAGCAGATAGAAACTGATAGGAAAAGATATACCATGTAAATGTTAACAAAAGAAAACTGCAGTATCTATATTAATATCACACAAAATATATTTCAGAACAAAGAATACTATCAGAAATAAAGAGGTAAATTACATGACAAAAGGGTAAACTCTTCAAAATGACATAACAATTCTAAATGTGTATGTGCCTAACAAAAATGTCAAAATGCATAAACAAAAAGTCACAAAACTGAAGAGAGAAATATACAAATCTACAATTAGAGTTGGAGACTGCAATACATCTCTTAGTAATTGATAGAATAAGGAGGCATAAAATGAGTACCAATATATACCTTAACACAATATTATTCAATTTGCCCTAATCAACATTTGTAGAACCTCTGTGTGACAACAGTATAACATACATTCTTTTCAAGTGCTCATGGAATATTCACCAATATAGACCATATTCTGGATTATAAAACAAATCTCGGCAAATTTAAAAAATAGAAACCCTATAATATGTGTTCTCTGACAATTATGGAATTAAACTAAAAATTAATAACAAAAACATCTGGAAAAGATCCCCAAAAGTTTGGAAATTAATAACCCGTGGGTCAAAGAGAAAATCTTAAAAGAAATAAAAATATGTTGAACTAAATGAAAATGAAAATATAACTTATCAAAATGTGTAGGATGAAACTAAAGCAGTGATTAGAGAGAATTTTATAATGTTAAATACTTGTGTTAGAAAAAATAAGAGCCTCAAATCAGTTGCTAATCTCTCTTAAGAAGGCAGAGAAAGGAGAGAAAATTAATTCCAAGGAAAGAAGGAAAGAAACAATATAGAAAGAAATACAAATCAATAAAATCAAAAGCAGGAAAACAGTACAGAAAACCAATTGAACCAAAAGTTGATTCTTTGAAATGATTAATAAAATTGATAAACTTCTAGACAAACTGGCAACAAAAAACAGAGAAGACTCAAATTACCAATATCAAGAATGAAAGAGGAAGTCATCACAACAGACTTTGGAGACATTCAAAGGTTAATAAGGGAACACTACAAAAAAAACTCTATGCCTATAAATTCAACAACTTTAATGAAAAAGGACCAATTCTTTGAAAGTCATGAACTACTAAAATCAATCAAGAAGAAATCATTAATCTGACTATTCCTATATCCATTTAATAAATTAAATTTGTAATTTAAAACTTTCCTAAAAAGAAATTTCCAGGACCAGACAGTTTCACCGATGAATTGTACCAAACATTTAGGAAAAGAATAATATTAATTCTGTATAACATTTTCCAGAAAAAGGAAGAGACTTCCCCAATTATTTTATGAGGCCATCATTAGTCTAATACCAAAACCAGACCAAATCATTATAATAAAAAGAAAACTACAGATGAATGTTCTTCATGAACATACATGCAAAATAGTCAACAAAATATTAGCAAATCGAAAACAGAAACATATAAAAAGGATAATAAATGTCAACCAAACAAGTTATCCCAGGAATACAAGACTTCTTCAACATTCAAAAATTAATCCACATAATTCACCATATTAGCAGAACAAAGAAGAAAAAACAGCCAGGCACGATGCCTCATATCTGTAATCCCAGCACTTTGGGAGGCAGAGGCAGGCTGATGGCTTGAGCTCAGGAGTTCAAGACAAGCCTAGGCAATATGGTGAAACGATGTCTTTACCAAAAATACAAAAAAAATTAGCTGGGCATGGTGGTGGGTGCCTGTGGGCCCAGCTAGTCGGGAGGCTGAGGTGGGAGGATCACTTGAGCCTGGGAGGCAGAGGTTGCAGTAAGCCGTGATGGTGCCACTGCACTCCAGCCTAGGCAACAAAAGGAGACACTGTCCCAGGAAAAAAAAAAAAAAAGAGAGAGAGCGAGAGGAAGAAAAAACATAATTATCTCAGCATATACAGGAAAAGCATTTGATAAAGCTCAATATCCACCTATTATAAAAACTCTCAGAAAACTAGAAAAGAAGGGAATTTCCTAAATTTGATCAAAGGAATCTACAAAAATCTGTTGCTAACATTATACTTAATGGAAAAAGACTAAGTTCTTCCCCCTACCCATGGTAAAGAACAAGGCAAGAATGTTCTTTCTCACCACTTCTATAAAAACTTGTACTAGAAGTGCTAGCCAGTACAATTAAAAAAAAAAAAGAAAGATAAGGCTATCAGATAGTAAAAGAAGGAATAAAACTCTTTGCTTTCACAGACAACATGACTATCTATAGAAAATCCCAAGTAATCTGTAAAGCCTACTAGAACTAATAAAACTTTATCTAAGTCACAAAATATAAGATCAAAACACAAAATTGTATTTCCATATAATAGCAATAAATAATTAGAGCTCAAATTAGTTTTTAAAATATCATTTATAATAGCACCTCCCAAAAATGAAAAGAAATACTAAAGTACAGATCTAACAAAATATGAGCAGGATCTGTATTCTGAATACCATAAGATATTAATAAAATAAATCAAAGAAGACCTAAATAAGTGAAGAGATATAGCTGTTCATGGGCTGGAAGACTCAGTATTGTAATATTATATTGGAATATTATACAATATTATAATGTCATAATTGTATTACAAGTGCATTGCATTATATTGCAAGTATAGTATAATCTTATAGTAATTATACAATACTTTCATATTGTACAATATTGTGTTTTAATGTTGGATAATATTATAAAGAAAAGACTATACAGACTCAAAATTGATCTACAGATTCATTGCAATTCCAATGAAAATCCAAGCTGGCTACATGGTTTGTTTATTTGTTCATTTTTGGAGGAAGGGTAAATATTGGAAAGCTGTTTAATGTAATGGAAAGACAAAGGAACTAGAATAGCCAAAATAATTTTGAAAAAGAAAAACAAAGGTAAGGACTCACAATACCTAGTTTCAAGACTTACTGTAAGTCAAGAGTAATAAAGAGAATGTGTTATTAGTGAAAAGATATACACAATGGTAAGCAGTAAAGAAGTCTAGAAATAAATCCACATATATATAATCAACTGGCTTTTTAGAAAAGGACAAAGGCAATTCCATGATGTTAGAAAAGCCGCACATCCTAATGAGAAGGATATAAGCCTGGACATAAACCTGTATGCAAATGTTTATAGCAGCTTTATTAAAAATGAACAAAAACAGCCATTCTTCAACTTGTGAATGAATAAACAAACCATGTGACATCTATATAATGGAAACTGTTTGGCAATAAAATGGGACAAACTTGATTCGCACAAAAACATGGATGAATCTTAAATGCATCTTCTAAGGCAAAACAACAGAAACTGAAAGCAAATTCGTGGCTGGCAAAAAGGTTGGATGTGGAGAGGGGCCGACTGCAAAGAGGCAGAATGAGAGATGGTGATGATGAAAATGTTGCAAATTATGACTTTGATGATGGAAACACGACTCTACAGATTTACCAAAAACCACAGAACTGTCCATCACAAACAGTAATATTTTTTACCATATGTCTGTTAGAGAAAATCAACAGGAAATGGGTTGAATCCAAAATGGAATAACCATAACAATTGAACATCACCAGTAATAAGACATATCAACAGCCTGTTTTTCCTGATAGATTCACTGGGAAGGGCACACTGTGTCTGTGCTATTCTTACCAAAAATGCATAACCTCAATCAAATCATGGGAAAATATCAGGTAAACCCAAAACAACGTTATGTTTTACGTAATATCTGACCAGTGCGTTTCAAAAGTGTCAAGATCACAAAACACAAAGACTAACAAGCTCTCACAGATTATTGGAGACTAAGGAGAAAAAACAATTAACTACAATGTGAGGTCCTGGGTTGGATCTCAGAAAACTAGAAACATGGATGATAGTGGAAAAACTGATGAAATCTGAATAAAGTCCACAGTTTAGTTAATAGCATTGTTACTAATTATAATTTCTTTATTTTGATAATTTTTCTAAGTTTATATGAAAGGTTAAAATCAGACGAATCTGGGCAAAAGTTATGCAGAAACTTTCTGTACTATTTTTTACAAACCTGTAAGACTACAATTATTTTAAATTATTATGTTTTTATTAAAAAATTTAAATATATTCTGAAGCTGTACTTAGTTTTACTTTAATGTTCACTAGACTTCAGTACCAACACAATTGGCATATTGATATATATATAATTGTTCTGAGGAAAGCTTGTTTGATTTGGTGATTTTCTGTATTTTTACTAAGAAATGGAAGTATTTCCATTTCAAGTAAATTGGTACAAGAGCCAAATTCAGTGAGAATGATAATAATTTTCCCCCAGAAACCAACAGAGCCTCAGAAGAGTAGACAAAAGTTTGGGAAGTCTTTTGAGAGTTTCCTAAAATCAGACTTTTATAATGGCACAAATGCTTTCGATAAGGATTCTTTGTATCCTTTCTCAAAGGACTTTTTGCTTATTAACTTAGGGAAGTGAGGGCAAGCATTTTTTTTGGAGAAGTCACAGTACATTTACAACACAGCTTTCAACATCATTGGTAGGAATTTGTAATCTTGAAAAATGCATGGAAGTCTCAATGCACTTTATAAAGGTCTTTGGGAGACAATATAATGGAATTCTTAACACAGTCCAATCAGAGTCTATCTCTTACTTATGGGCATGTACGTGTACTGTGGCAAATATTTTGGTATCCTGGGTATCTTTAGTTCAATCCCCAGAATATTAAACAATTCCCAGGCTTCGATTTTCTGTAAATGTTCAAGATCATCTAATAGCAATGATGTGAACTGCTCTGACAGACAGGTAATAAAAATTATGCTAATGAATTTGTAGTATAAAATCTCTCTAGGTGGTCTTTATTCTTGTTGAATCTTTAATTCATTTTCCTAAATATTTAAACAAGTCACTTTTATAACTCTACAGACCCTACTAAGAAATTGGCATCTCTGACCTGATCTGCAGATATTCTTGAGCTTCTTTCTCTTTATTGGGTTGGCCTGTTATATTGTGTTATGCAGAAATGACCAGTATTTCTATTAACAGCTACTCCTTTAATTATTCTCCCAAGTATTGATGAAGGTCACTAGTGAAATCTTTCTCTGGCCTTCAAAGTGTTATATTTGGTTCTGTGTAGAAAGATTGTTGAAGAGTATCAATTTCAAGTTCACATTATAATGATCTGGCCAAGTAGTATTTTTTTAAATCTCCAAAATTAGAAATGCCTATCTCTTACATTACAAGCAGCCACATTCTCAAAAGGCTCTTAAGATCAACAATGAGACATGAGCAAGGAGAGGTAAGGCTGGTGATACATATCATTTCAATTATATCAGAACTGTTTTAATGCCTTAGCTTTAAGGACCCCCCAATCAGCAAGCACCACAACGTGAGTCTTTTTGGTGACTCCTATTTTATCTCCTTTGCCTAGAAAGGATATCTACACATGAATTTAGAAAACAGGATAGGCCTCAATCACTTCAGCTACACGCAAACCAAATTCTTTTACTCACAGAGTCTCAAAAGTTTCTGAGTGGAGATTTTATGCAACTGTTGATTTAAAATGCACTAAAGAATTTATACTTTCATTTTCTGGAGCGTTCTTTTTAATCAAGATCTTATGCTTGATACTAGAATACCTACTGGGATAGAAAAAAAGTAGATTGAAAAGCAAACATTGAATCACTATACTTTTTTACATAAAATACATATCAAGATTAATTACAACTTAAAAACTTAATCTGCAACTGCAGCAACTCAGAGAAATAGGACACTAATAGCATCACTGATTCCAGCATAGACAGCATAACAATAATTCTAGAGAAAATCGAGTGCCGTAGAAGGCAATCCTCATTAGCTGTTTGTCATGGCAGGTTACATCCCATGCTGTCAGGTCTCCTTGAATACTCACTTACAACTGAAACCCAGAAGTTGCCCAGCAAAAGGGAGAACATATTCAGCTTTGTAAAGGTAACTTCCATTTGCAAACAATAAACCCTAATCATATAATATTTAGCAGGATTTTACTATAAATTCAATTCTAATTATATTCAATGCAAGATTCAATTTTGTTTCATATTCTATGTTGTTTGTTTTTCACTTAAATTAGAGCCTCTGTTCCCAGGGGTGTTATATCTTCAGTAATCTCATACCTCAAAATGGCTACCTCTGACCATCTCAGCTTCAGCAAATCTCTTGAACTCTTTCTTGAATGATCGATCTTCAGCAAATGCATAACACCTGCTAAGAAGACCTTTTTCTTCTAATATTTAAATCCAAATATTCAATTTATTTAAAAGAGAACTTTATATGTGCCTAATTATTTACCTTCAAATTATCAAAGAGAAAAAATGGTAAAGGTTATTTACTCATCAGGAAAGCTTTTGAGTCACCAATACATTTTCAGAAAACTTTTAATGATGTTTAATACAGGAAAATGCTTTTTTTCTGAAACTTCAAAACCCGGTTCACATGAAACTACCCTATGATTAAAATAATCTCTAAACTTGTAAGCAAGAATCTATTTAACCCACAAGTCTATTTCTTTTCTCCCTATTTTCTAATCAAATTCTAAAATGTTGTGGAAAGATACAGTGAAAATATCTACTGCTTTGCGAGCAGTCTCGTTCAATAACATGCAGACCTACAATACCCCTCTCATATGCATTTTAAACTTAGAAAAATCTGACTTCTGAACCAACAGTTCCAGTTCGAATTTTGAGATAAACAGTAGTAATCCCTGGACTTTAAAACCTAGTATTTAGGAAATGTGGGTGAACTAATGGAATTAACCCAAATGTATAAAGAAACTTGAAACATGCTGATGGAGACCCCTAAAGTAGAGGGCACATACATATGCAGGCACTCCATTTCTGAGCCTTCTTAATTAATCTACTATTTTCTCCAGAGCTGGGATTTTCTACTTTTAATGCAATAGCAAAATAACAATTCAGCATGTTCCCAGAGTACAAACAAGGATTGTGCTGATGTAATATTTACAACTGCATCTTCTCTGTGTTCTTCTTTTATCTCTTCCTCAGCTCTGGGTCTTTTATCAGTCAGTCAGCTAAGGTCAGACTCACCTCAATGGCTCAGCACACCAGTCTTGTTTCCATTACATTTGGAGGCAGAAAATCTGAATCTTTACAATGCTGACCTTATTGTTTTACAAGCTATTGATTATGGCTATCAAATTTCAACAGTTTACTGGGGTCAGTCTCTGGAAAAAGAAAAGGCAGAAAGAGAAGCCACATTCCTCTCCCTCTTCTGACTGCACTGACTTCTCCATTAGTTAGATTTTGGTGTAATTAGAATGAATCACTGCCAGACGCAGCTCCTGTCTATTCTAGACTGCCACTCTTGATTCACCTAGATTTTTGGCCATACATCAGAGAACACATCTGTTATGTAATGAGGAATGTACAGAGTGGAAAGGGGAGGTCAGCGAGAAGCGAATGGGCCCTCTCTAGGAATGATTATAGAGTTACTGACACACAAATAAATGGCATGTATCACAATCCACAACTTTTAGGAAGTGTAAATCTCATATTTGACATACCCTTTGGCAAGAGATAGACTTTATGAATCTTTTTCATATCACTAGAGCAGTTTTATACAAGGATACCCTGTCCTGACATAATTCTCAACCTCAAATGCTTTTATCTATCAGGAATATATTTTTTCACTGTAATTTTTTTCAATACATTAGGCCTTCAATATAATAATCATTATACCACAGTACTTTTGCTTCATATATTATTTTCTCCCCTTGACTACTTTCTTTCTAATCTTGTGATTCCTTTAATAATATTACCATTTATTGAATGCTCACAATATTCTGGCACTGTGCTAAGTGATTTAGTTAGTTATCTCATTTAAACCTCAACAATACTGAGGTAGTTCTGTTATTGTCTTTACTTCATGGATGAGAAGGCTGAGATAAAGCAAGCTTAAGTGATTTTGATGACGATCACATAAAAATTAAGTGGTAGAAATCAGACTTGAACCCAGGAAATACGTCTCTGAACCTATAAGCTTAACCACTGCACCAGATTGGCTCCTTTTCATTAAAGGAACAAGTGAATGAACTAGCCAACTACCCACCCACCAACTCTGTGCCTGTCTCTTTGCTTGATACTGAGAATACAAAGGTGACCCTCTCATTGTCCCAATTCTTAAGTACATCACAGAATAACAACATGTGCCAAAATAGCTTCATTATAAGAATATAACTAGAATAAAATAGCTAACATTTGTTGCTTATTATGTGCCAGATACTGTTTGAAATGCTTGACCTACCTTGTCTAATATAAACCTGATAACTCCAAGGTAGGTACTATTGTGATCCCCATTTCATAGATAAGAAAAGCCAAACACAGGAAAGCGTGGATGCTTGGAAAAGACAGCCAGCTATGATGGGGTAGATCTGAGATACAAAGTCAGGTGGAAAGAGCCACAAGATATGCAGATAGTGGGCTAGATTTTGTAAAGGAAAATGTGTCTCTTCAGTTAAAAAAAAAAATCAGAGAAGTCTTCATAGCAGTGATGGCATTTGATCAAGACCTTGAATCATAAGAAAAGGCAATAAAATGAGCTAAGACATTCATGTAGAAAAACCCAGGGCATATATATATACTGAGAATAGTAAATAGTTCAGAGGAAACCATGACTGAGTGTATGATTAATAAAGACCATACTATGTATATTTCCATCCTCAGAGTATCCTTGAATCATTGCTACTATATAACATAATGGTAAGTGGGCTACAGAATTTAAGTTGTAACTCACCTACAAAAACAGAGGGAAACATGCTTTTGAAAAACTATTAAACACATTTTTCACATTAGAGCTTGATTCTAACATGCATTTTAGTGACACGGCTGTCCAGTGTCTTCCAGTCATCGTCATTGTCACTGGTATACTCTTGGGACAGATTTTCTTGCCTCAGTTTTTATTATGCACCATATCAGTCAAGGTCCCAACAAAAAATAAATGGCGCAGTCAAAATGGGATGGCTTGAGAAGAGTTTGTTTTCATAAAAACTATTATAAAGTTGTGGGTAGAGTGTGGAGGAACCACTAGGGACAGTGCAGAAACCTGGACTAACAGCAATGGAGTATTCCATCCCCCTTTGCATAAAGGCATGAGGAAAGGGAGAGGTGAAGAACCCAGAATGAAGAAGAGCCAGTAGAGGAGGCGACCCTGAGGACAACAGTGACCTTCAGTGGAAGGAAACAGACACTTGAAAGGAGCCAAGGGAATAAGGGAACACCTGATTTTTCCCCCACCTTTAAACCTAGGTGTTTGGGGCTGGACTTCCTATTGGCCTAAGCAAACCAGAAACCATATGGCATAAGCACCATGGTTGTTGTCTCTGTAAGTCAGCAGGTCAGAAGGGCAGAAGGAAGATATTAGTACATCTACATACAATTTTGTTCTGCACATTGTCAGCTTTTCAGGAATAAATGATTTAAATCATCATTAAAATATGCCCCTGACTCATATGGAATCTTTTAGATTGTTATAGAAGATCACTTGAACTTAGTAAATACACCTTAACAAATGACTTTTTATACTTTCAGAGTAAATATACGCCCCAGGTACTCAGATATTCAAGTAATTATGTTGTAACTCTTGATTCAGACAAAAGAAACTCTCTGGGGACTGTGGTGGGGTTGGGGGAGGGGGGAGGGATAGCATTGGGAGATATACCTAATGCTAGATGACGAGTTAGTGGGTGCAGCGCACCAGCATGGCACATGTATACATATATAACTAACCTGCACATTGTGCACATGTACCCTAAAACTTAAAGTATAATAAAAAAAAAAAGAAAAGTCATTTGGTATTTATTTTAATGGTTTGAAGGGTTTTTGAAATAGGTTGAAACAGAGTTTTACATGAAAACTTCCGTTTAGGTCAGTGAATTATAAACTTGGTTACACAATGAAATCACCTGGGAAGCTTTCGAAATTACTGATGCCTGGGACCCAGGCCTGGAAAGTCTGTTCTAACTGGTCTGAATTCTAGCCTGGGCAACAGAAGTTCTAGATGTTCCCCAGTAGAGTCTAATGTGCAATCAAGACTGAGAGCCACTGATTTAGTCCATAATGATAACTAACAGGTGGTCTTCTTATCAGCCTTTTACAATATGATCTTATTGTTCCTGTTTACTCAGTAAGATATTTGTCCTCTTCAAAATTAATCATAAGGCAATTAACCGTATGGTTAGTTAACTGAACCATTTAATAAATTAAAATTACTACATGAACCTTGCCAGTTTGCCTTTATTTACTCTCCATGTCAACATCATCTGAATCAAGCAATTATATTGTACATGGATAGCCTACATTTTATCTCAAAGTTGCTAAGGAAACAAGTTATATATTTATATAATGCTAATCTGAAGAGGAACCAGTAAATGTTATTGCAAATATTAACATTTATTTTGTAGTTTTTTCTTTTGAAAAACTCAGCTCAGCTACAAGCAGATCTCACAAAATGTTTTATTGACTATAGGAGCATTTTTCCTGCATTGACAATGCAGTCCCATCTAGCACACTTCATCACTGCTAGATAAGGTTCCATCTAGCAGCAGTCCAGCATAGAAGTTAGAAGCTGGACTCTGAGTTTGAATCTGACTCCATCGCTTTCTAGCCATGCAATTTTTGCCAAGTCACTTTTCTGCTTCTGTAAAGCTAAAATAATAATGCTCACCTCACAGGGTTATTAAGAGAATTACCAGAGTTGATATGGGTAAAAGCACACAGCACAGTATCTAGCCCATAGGAAGAGTTATATGTGTTAGCCATTATTAACAGCCATGCAACCTGGGGTGACTTATGTGCTAGGAAAATGTCTTTTTCTCCAATAGAAATTTCCTCTCAGTGATACATCAGCTTACCAATTAGGCTTTAGTTAACATGCAAAGGTCATTCATACAGCTAATTCTTGGCTTTAGAAAGTATATGAAAAAAATCAATAAATACACAATTAAAAAGAAAAGGAATTAGAGTTTTCATATTTCCATTTCCATCTCTCTTAGGAGCCTTCTTGATAAATACTCATTGATACTGCAATCAATAAAGGGAAGGATTTGGAGATCACACCTGCCAAAAAAAGGCAGAAAATGGGGAGAAAGTTCACCTAAGTTCTCTACAATGTAAAAGCATAAAGTTAATTTCTAATCAAGTATTTAGTTGAATGAGGGTGATTCAAAAATTGCCTTGGTTATATTGAGCTGAAGGTTTTCTCTTTGACAGGGGACAAGTTCCTGCCCCATCTGCATTCTGGTGGTTCATATTGTTCTTACCTAATGAGATATAAAATATCTCCTAAATATTGACACTTTAGAGGCATGCTTCACTCAGCATGAAGGTTTGAGACATCAAGGATACCTTGGGCATCCTCAGATTCCTACAACTTGTCAGACAAATTAGCACCTTTTCAACCAAGGGTAAAATTGAGTTTCACATTTCTTCCTGGTGGGGGGAAAGAATGAAGGAGAAAATCACTCTGGTTTAATACTCCCTTTGTTAAGACAAATACAGAGAGCCTTATCATCTCTGTACAGCTCTCCCTGACCTCCTGATTTTTAATTCATTGGTTTTAAATGATCCTTGACAGTTAAGATCCTTTTGTCAGTGCCTCTGTGCTTACTGCAGAAGACAGACACTGTGGCTTTTATTAGTCAAGCTATTTCTCTTTTTATGAAATTTAACAAATTAGTCTTAAAGAAAAATTAACATTTTGTTAATAGATGCTGACAAATAGATTTTTAAATTTTTTAAAATTGTATAGGCATTTAAAAAATTTACTTGAGTCCAGTTTATGAGCTGAGTTAACCACTTTAAGAAGTGAGAGGATGACACTAACAGCTTTAAAATTCCTCTGGGGAAGCTTCAGAAAAATGCTATCCTGTAATTCTGAATAAAATGTACCATGTTCGTTCTTCCTTTCTTTTTCCTACAAATAACTTTTAATTTCATAAAGTGGAAAGAAATACATGAAAAATGCCTTGAAAAATATTGTTTGTTATTGTCATTGTTGTAAAACCATATCTTTATCTTTCTAGAGCTTAATATTATTGAACCCCAAAGCTCCAGAAGAACTTTAAAAAAATTTCCCCCAGAAAAAGAATCTCTTTGTGGCAAATTAACCCCCAAACATCCAACAATTAATGAACTTAAAAAAAAAATCCAACTACTGGGTATTTACCCAAAGGAAAAGAAATGATTATATCAAAAATATATTTGTACTCGTATGTTTATTGCAGTACTATTTGCAATAGCAAAGACATGGAACCAACCTAACATTAGCAGATTATTGGGTTTTTAAAATGTGGTATACATACACAAAGGAATTGTACTCAGCCATAAAAAAAGAATGTGATCATGTCTTTGGCAGCAACATGGACAGAACTGGAGGCCATTAAGTGAAATAGGTCAGAAACAGAAAGTCAAATACTTCATGTTCTTATTTATAAGTGGGAACTAAATAATGTGTACACATGAATATAGAGTGTGGAATAAATAATAGACATTGGAAACACAGAAGAGTGGAGAGGAGGGGTGAGAAATTACCTAAAGGGTACAATGTACACTGTTCAGATGATGGTTACACTAAAAGCCCAGACTTCACCACTATTTAATATACCTATGTAACAAAACTGCAGTTGTACCCCCTAAATATATAAAAATTTTTTAAAAGCTGGCATAAACAGGGAGGACATGACAGGAGGTATTTCTCTGAAACACAGTTTGGTCAGTTTGCTCTGGGGGAAGAAGAATGAGTTGTCACTACAATCAGTATCTATTCTCACAAAAACAGTTTTTTCAGTGGGACCCAAAACTATCAAAGCTAGTAGGATAATGGACAAAACACAGAAGAGGCCAAAGAGATGAGAAAAGAAAAATCACAGAATTATAGAACTAGAAGACGTCTGAGACTTCATCTGAGAGATCATCTCCTCTAGTTCCCTCATTTTTCAGACAATAGGAAATTAGATCCAGTTAGTGGCTTTCCCATAGTCACATTCTTACTTCAGCTGCCAAAACAATATCATTTCATGTATCAGCAATGCTTCTGGGATTGGCTGCAACAACAAGGACACCACTAGTTGCAGTAAAACAGTATATGTACATCAGTAGTGGGTGTTCCAAACCACAGACCCTGGAAGAGAAGACAAGCAGTGTCAGAGCACCAGAACATGCAACAGCTCTGTGGAGAAGGGTTCCTCAGTGAGGGAGGAGGATGGAGGGTCGCTTTGCTGCCTATAGCTTCTGGAGTATCCGTGAGCTACTTTAAAGACATACATTACTTAGAAGACAGCTACTTCATTGCCCAGGAAATTTAACTGTATTCTTGCCATCTTTCTGCCCTCCTACTGAGTTCCCTGATTGATTTTATTCAGATGATAAAATACAGCATTAGGAGAGATCACTTGCGAAATTTAATTCATCACACAGATGCTGGAAATGATTGACTTTATTATACTCTTAAAAAGGAACTTTATATAGAAAGATCATTACCAACCACTACAAAAACACACTTAAGTACACAGACCAATGACACTATAAAGCAACCACACAAACAATAACCAACAATAACCAAAATATGGTTACAATAATATGCAGCTAACAAAATATGTTAGCTGCATAATAACCAGCTAATGCAAAACAATGGGATGAAATCCACCCATATCAATACTAACCTTGAATGTAAATGGGCTAAATGCCCCATTTAAAAGGCACAGAGTTGCAAGCTGGATAAAGAAGCAAGACCCAATGGTATGCTGCCTGCAAGAAACCCATCTTGCATGCAATGACACACATCAGCTCAAAATAAAGCGGTGGAGAAAAATCTACCAAGCAAATGGAAAACAGAAAAAAGCAAGGGTTGCAATCTTAACGTCAGACAAAACAGACTTTACACCAAAAAAGGTTAAAAAATACAATGCATTACATAATGGTAAAGGATTCAATTCAACAAGAAGACCTGACTATCCTAAGTATATATGCACCCAACACAGGAGCACGTAGATTCATAAAGCAAGTTCTTAGAGACCTTCAAAAAGACTTAGACTACCACACAATAATAGAGGGAGACTTCAATGCCCTACAGAGAGTATTAGACAGACTATCAAAACAGAAAATTAACAAAGATATTCAAGACCTAAATTCAGCACTGTATCAAATGGACCTGGTAGACACCTAGAGAATTCTTCACCCAAAAACAACAGAATATACATTCTTCTCATTGATGCATGGCACATACTCAAAAATCAACAACATAATCAGACATAAAACACTCCTCAGCAAATGCAAAAGAACTGAAATCATAACAGCCACTCTGTTGGACCACAGTGCAATAAAATTAGAAAACAAGACTAAGAAATTTACTCAAAATCATATGATTACATAGAAATTGAATAGCTTGCTCCTGATTGACTTCTGAGCAAATAATGCAATTTAGGCAGAAATCAAGAAGTTCTTTGAAACTAATGAGAACAAAGATACAAATACCAGAATCCCTGGGATGCAGCCAAGGCAGTGTTAAGAGGAAAATTTATAGCACTAAATGTCCACATCAAAAAGTTAGAAAGATCTCAAGTTAACAACCTAACATCACAACTAAAAGGACTAGAAAAACAAGAGTAAATGAACCTTAAATCTAGCAGAAGACAAGAAATAACCAAAATTAGAGCTGAACTAAAGGAGATTGAGACACCAAAAAAACCATTCAAAAGATCAACAAATACAAGAGTTGTGGGGTTTTTTTTGAAAAAAATTAATAAAATAAGCCACTAGCTAGACTAATAAATAAGAAAAGACAGAAGATCCAAGTGAAAACAATTAGAAATGACAATGGGATATTACCACCAACTCCACAGAAATACAAATAATTGGCCGGGTGCGGTGGCTCATGCCTGTAATCCCGACACTTTGGGAGGCTGAGGTGGGTGCATCGCCTGAGGTCAGGAGTTCGAGACTAGCCTGGCTAACATGGTGAAAACATGTCTTTACTAAAAATACAAAAATTAGCAGGTTGTGGTGGTGGGCGCTTGTAATCCCAGCTACTCAGGAGGCTGAACCAGGAGAATCACTTGAACCCAGGAGGTGGAGGCTGCAGTGAGCCAGATCATGCCACTGCATTCCAGCCTGGGTGACTGAGTGAGACTTGGTTTCAAAAAAGAAAAAAAAAAAAGGAAAAAAGAAATACAAATAATAATCAGAGAATACTACGAACACTTTATGCTCACAAAATAGAAAATCTGGAAGAAATGGTTAAATTCCTGGATACACATACCATCCCAAAACTGAGCCAGAAAGAAATTGAATCCCTGAACAGACCAATAATGAGCTCCAAAATTGAATCAGTAATATATAGCCTATCAACCAATACAAGCCCAGGACCAGATGGATTCACTGCCAAATTCTACCAGATGTACAAAGAACTGGTACCATTCCTACTGAAACTGTTTCAAAAAATTAAAGAGAAGGGATTCCTCCCCAGTTCATTCTACAAAGCCAGCATCATCCTGACACCAAAACTTGGCAAAGACATAACTAAAAAAGAAAACTTCATTCCAATATCCTTGATGAATATCAATGCAAAAATCCTCAACAAAATACTGGCAAACCAAATCCAGCAGCACATCAAAAAACATGTCCACCATGATGAAGAAGACTTCATCGCTGGGATGCAAGGTTGGTTCCACATATGCAAATCAATAAACATGATTCCTCAAATAAACAGAACTAAAGGCAAAAATGACATGATCATCTCAATAGATACAGAAAAGGCTTTTGATAAAATTCAACTTCGTTTTATGTTAAAAACTCTCAATAAACTAGATACTGAAGGAACATACCTCAAAATAATAAGAGCCATCTATGACAAACTCACAGCCAACATCATACTGAGTGGGTAAAAGCTGGAAGCATTCCCCTGGAGAGCCAGCACAAAACAAGGATGCCCCCTCTCATATTCAACATGATATTGGAAGTCCTAGCCAGAGCAATCAAGCAAGACAAAGAAATAAAGGGCATCCAAATAGGAAGAGAGGGAGTCAAACTATCTGTTTTCAGACTACATGATTCTGTATCTAGAAAACCCGAATCTCAACCCAAAAGCTCCTTAAGCTGATAAACAACTTTAGTAAAGGCTCAGGATACAAAATCAATGTACAAAAGTCACCAGCATTCCTATGCACCAACAACCATCAAGCCAAGAGCCAACTCAAGAATGCAATCCCATTCACAACTGCCACAGAAAGAATAAAATGCCTAGGAATACAGCTAACCAGAGAGGTGAAGGATCTCTACAATGAGAACTACAAAACACTGCTCAAAGAAATCAGAGATGACACAAGCCAATGGAAAAACATTCCATGCTCATGAATAAAAAGAATCAATATCATTAAAATGGCCATACTGGCCAAAACAATTTATAGATTCAATGCTATTCCTATCAAACTACCAATAACATCCTTCACCGAACTAGAAAAAAAACTATTTTAAAATTAATATGGAACCAAAAAAGAGCTCAAATAGCCAAGGCAATCCTAAGCAAAAAGAATAAAGCTGGAGGCATCATGCTACCCAACTTCAAACTATACTACAGGGCTACAGTAACCAAAACAGCATGATACTGGTTTTATAAAAAGAAAAAACAGACACATAGACCAATGGAACAGGATAGAGAGTCCAGAAATAAGTCCACACACCTACAAATCTGTTTTTTGACAAAGTTGACAAAAACAAGCAATGGAGAAATGACTCTCTATTCAATAAATGGTGCTGGGGTAACTGGCAACTGTATGCAGAAGATTGAAATTGGACCCCTTCCTTACACCATATACAAAAATCTACTCAACATGGATCAAAGACTTAAATATAAAACCCAAAAACAATAAAAGCCCTGGAAGACAACCTAGGCAATACCATTCTGGACACAGGAATGGGCAAAGATTTCATAACAAAGATGCCAAAAGCAATTGCAACAAAGGAAAAATTGACAAATTGTATCTAATTAAACTAAAGAGCTTCTGCACAGCAAAAGAAACTATCAACAGAGTAAACAGACAACCTACAGAATGAAAGAAAATTTTTTCAAACTATACATCTAACAAAGGTCTAATATCCAGCATCTATAAGAAACTTAAACAACTCTACAAGAAAAACAAAACAAAACAAAACAAAACAAAACATAAAAATGTGGTCAAGGACATGAACAGACACTTTTCAAAAGAAGACATACATGTGGCCAACCAGCATATGAAAGAAAGTGCAAGATCACTGATCATTAAATAAATGCAAATCAAAATCACAATAAGATACCAACTCACACCAGTCAAAATGGCTATTATTAAAAAGTCAAAAAATAACAGATGCCTGCAAGGTTGTGGGAGAAAAAAGAATGCTTATACTCTGTTGGTGCAAGTGTAAATTAGGACAACCATTATGGAAAAGAGTATGGCAATTCCTCAAAGACCTAAAAACAGAAATGTCATTTGACCTAGCAATTCCATTGCTAAGTATATACCCAAAGGGATATAAATTTTCCTGTCATAAAGACCCATACACAAGTATGTTCAATGCAGCACTATTCACAATAGTAAAGACATGGAATCAACCTAAACACCCATCAATGGTAGATTGGATTTAAAAAAAATGTGATACGTATACACCATGGAATACTATGCAGCCTTAAAAAAAGAATGAGATCATGTCCTTTTCAGGAACATTAATGGAGCTGGAGGTCATTATCCTTATCAGACTTACACAGGAACAGAAACCAAATACTGCATGTTCTCACTTACAAGTGGGAGCTAAATGATGAGAACACATGGACTCATAGAGGGGAACAACACACACTGAGGCCCACTACTGGGGGGTGGAGGGTGGAAGGAGGGAGAGGATCATGAAAAATAATTAATGCATACTAGACTTAATACCTGAGTGGCAAAATAATCTGTACAACAAACCCCTGTTATGTGAATTTTCCATACACCACAAACCTGCACATGTACCCCTGAGCTTAAAATAAAAGTTAAAAAAATTAAAAGGAGAATCTTCAACATGGAGTAAAAAGATTGTAATTTTTGTAATTTGCAATTCAAATGAAACCAACATGTACTGGGTGCCTACTTTATGCCAGGAATGGTGCTAAGAGTTTTCATTTAGAGTATTTTATGCCATCTGCAGAATAACACTGTGTCAGTCTTATTATTACCCAGAAGAAGTCTGGTGAAGTCCAGTAATACATCAAAAGTCATGCACAGAACAAGTCAGTGAACTGGAATTTTCTCCCCCAGATCTTCTACCGTGAGTCCAGAGCTTCTCTACAATGTTATACTGAAGAGGAATATGGAATAAACAAGAGTATATTAACTATGAAGTAAGGTAGTTCTGGATCCAAATCTGGGTTTGAAACTCACTAACCACAAGACCATGGGTTAGCAACTTAACCTCTCTATTTTCCTGTGTCCTCTTTATAAAACAGGGAAAATACAACCTATCTTAAAGAGTTGTTCTAAGGATTATATTACTTTAATTATGTGACTTAAGGCAACTAATATAGCAAAATATCTGGCAGGTAAATTTTGGGCCATTTTGTTAATTACACTTAAAAACTCTAGCACTGAAAACAGTATTTAGCATTTAGTATGTGCTCAATAAATCTTTGTGAAACAAATGAAAATAAAATCATCTAGCATACAGTAAGAGCTCAATAAATGACAACTATTGTTATATAAAGGGTGGAGAAAATTTGCTTTGATGTCCTCCTGTTTGCAGAAATATCTTCTCCTGACAATAAATAACTTAAAGGTTTTTTTTTTTTTTTTTTTTTGAGATGGAGTCTTGCTCTGCCACCCAGGCTGCAGTGCAGTGGCATGATCTCGGCTCACTGCAAGCTCCATCTCCCAGGTTCATGCCATTCTCCTGCCTCAGCCTCCTGAGTAGCTGGGACCACAGGCACCCGCCACCACTCCCGGCTAATGTTTTATTTTTTTATTTTTTTTATTTTTAGTAGAGATGGAGTGTTAGTCTGGATGGTCTTGATCTCCTGACCTCATGATCCACCCACCTCAGCCTCCCAAAGTGCTGGGATTACAGGCATGAGCCACTGTGCCTGGCCAACTTAAAAGTTTTAAAATTAATTCTTTTCTAACAGACAGTCTTAAAATGGGGAAAAAAATATCCTATTCTCAACATTTACCAAAAAGTGGAAGCAGGACATAAGACTGTGTCTGAGTTGACAGTGAGGTGGTGAAATTGAAACTATTTTGCTAGTAATATGGTTATTCCAGATAGCATTTGGAAAGGTCCTAACAAACAAGAAATTTATAGCAAAATAAAGGATGATTTCTAGACACTGGAAAAAGCAATTGGAACAAAGGGGCTTAAGTAATCAACTCACAAAATCATTTAACAGAAGGGTAGTGGTGCAATATTGACCAACACACTCACCATTCATTCAGTCATTCATTCATCTACAATGCTAATTAATCTAGACCAACCCTACTTTACATGACACTGTTAGAACCTGAAAATGCAATATGAAAAGCACGGCTCTCTTATTGAATTATCCAGTAATCCAATAAGAGAGACAAGGAGCCAACAACACCTCAGCCAGCTGGAAAAATGCAGGAAAGATACCCCAGAGAAAGCAATGTACACACTAAATTTTGAAAGATAAATAACTTTTCAAGGGAACAAACTAGGAGTTTGCAAACTGGCAAAGAAATACATTATAAGAGAAGTCAGCCTGTGCATACAACTACAAATAAGTCCAAAAGCTGAAAGCTAACATTGGAGGAGCTACTGGACAGAGATGAGTTTAACCAGTTATACAAGGTCTACACATAAACAGATGAGCGTATGGATATGGCTCATCTATATTAAGGAGGTAGTCTGCTGTACTCAGTCTACCAACCTAAATGTTAATCTCATTCAGAAACACCCTCAGAGACACACCCAGAACAACGTTAGATTAAATGTGTGATCACCCTGTGGTCCCGTTAAGTTAACACATAAGAGACAGACCAATGTGGATTGGAATAGTGAACTTAACCCACACCTTAAATAGTGGGCAGTATTAGGATAGGAGTGGAGGTGCTTAGAGAGAACAGAAGGGATTGAGTCAAGGTAGAAGAGATCAACAACAGCAGCAAAACTCTAGAGGCTTAAGCAGAAGGTTTAAGATGAGCAGTGTTGACACACAGCAATTGGTAGGGTGATATCATCCATTTGAAAGTGAAATTTTAGAGTGATGGGCTGTGTGCCATGCTCTATAGATTTTGCTCTATATAGATGTGGGATACTTGACAAGGATTATTGTGATAACTAATTCAGGTTAAAGTTTTAGCACTACCCGAGTACACAGTAAGAAATACATAAATGATTTTGATTGGGATTTTTGGCCCCTTTCTTTTCTTCATCTCCTTTATTCCATCAGCTACCTAGCAACAGTCATTTTTCTTGGATTTTTCCTCTTTCTTAACCACTTTCTTTCCTTCTAAGATATCATGTCTTGTCTGAATCACTGTTAATATTGTCTTTAACCAGTTTCCATTTCTCAATCCGCTCAAATTCATACTACCACCAGATTGATCTTCAAAATCATCACTCATTTTGAGTCATTTTTAAAACTCCTAACATTAAATCCCATTGCTTTTCACATCATTACATCGCATTTCAGCTCACTACTCTAAAATTTCACTCTCTAATGGGTGATACTACCCTATCTCATGCTGTGTGCCAACACTGCTCATCTCAAACCCTCTGCTTTAGCCTCTAGAGTTTTGCTGCTGTTGTTGATCTCTTCTACCTTGACTCAATTCCTCCTCTTCTCTCTAAGTACCTCCACTCCTATTCTAATATTGCCTACTCTTTAAGGCTAAGGTCAGGTTCACTATTCCAATCCACATTGGTCTGCCTCTTATGTGTTAACTTGACTGGACCACATGGTGCCCACACATTTGATCTAACATTATTCTGGGTGTGTCTCTGAGGGGGATGAGATTAACATTTGGATTGGTAGACTGAGTACAGCAGATTGCCTTCCTAATTACTGATGAGCCTTATCCATTCAATTGAAGGCCCTAATAGAAGAAAAAGGTGAATAAGAAAGAATTCCTCCTGCCTGACTTGCTTGAGTTACAAATTCGCCTTTTCTGGCTTGCAGAGTTAGAAACATTGGCTCTTCTTGGATCTCGAGTCTGCCAGCTTTCAGCTCTCCTGGTAATTCAGACTCTGACTGAAACTTTTACCATTGGCTCTCCTCCTGCATGCCCAGCTTGCCAACTGCAGATCTTTTTGGTTGTTGTTATAGACAACAGACTGGTCTTGAATGCCTGAGCTCAAGCGATCCTCTTGCCTCAGCCTCCTGAGTAGGTGTGTATCACTGCCCCTAGCCCTAAACTATAGCTCTTAAAGACTTCATAGCCTCCATAATCATGTGAGCCAATTCCTTATTATAAATGTGTATGTATATATACTTATATATGTATACACACTCATGCGTGCACACACACACATTCTGTTGGTTCTGCTTCCCTTGGAAAACCCTAATATACATACCTTAATTAACGTTTAGCAAAATATATGTACTACTTCTCCAATAAGGTTATAAGCCCTTTGAGGCTGGAACCATTCTTATACTTCTTAGGATATTAATTAGCTCAGTGTTATTCATACATTTGGCACCAAAAAAAAAAAAACCAAATACATTGATTTACAATGAGAATTTCAACAGCTGATATGTCAAAATAAAAGGGATTAAAAAGCTTTTAGATGGGAAAAAGCAAAGGCTAATTTTAGATAAAGTTGGCAGTTGATATTAGAATCCTATAAAGAGGGGTTAAAAATATTCTAATTTGGCTTCCGACCCAGTCGACCATAAGAAGTGCTATCCTAGTAAAATGCTTCTAAGACTATAATAACATTTCCTGTTTGAAATGGGTAAGAAGGAAATGTGCCTGGGAAAATTTTGACCCTTTTACTTTCTATTATACCTAGAATAAGTACATCAAGCAGTTACAGACATATCTCAAAGATATTGCAGGTTCAGTTCTACATCACCATAATAAAGTGAACACTGGGTAATAAAGTGAGTCACACAATTTTTTTTGGTTTCCCAGTGCATATAAAATGATGTTTACACATACTGTATTCTCTTTAAGTGTGAATTTTTACTGGGCTAATCTTATAATTATGACATCATTATATTCAAAGTTGCTAATTTAAAAAAAAAAAAGAAAGGAAGGAAAAGAAAAGAAAGGAGAGGAGAGAGGAGGGGAGGGGAGGGGAAGGGAAAGGGTTTAAGGAAAGGAAGAAGGAAGGAAGGAAACAAAGGAAAGAAGGAAGGAAACAAAACAAAAAAACAACGAACAAACACAAAACAACTACAACAACAACAAAAACAGATGGTATACTATGTCTTACTCTGCTGCCCAGGCTGGAGTGCAGTCATGCAATCTCGGCTCACTGCAACCTCTGCCACCTGGGTTCGAGAGTCTCCTGTCTCAGCCTCCTGAGTAGCTGGGATTACAGGCACCCACCATCATACCCAGCTATTTTTTTTTATTTTTAGTAGAGTAGAGGTTTCACCATGTTGGCCAGGCTGGTCTTGAACTCCTGACCTCAGGTGATCTGCAAGCCTCAGCCTCCCAAAGTGCTGAGATTACAGGTGTGAGCCACCATGCCTGGCCTGGTACAGCAATGTTAAAAAGTCATTATCCAACAGCTAAATGTAAGGTGTCTTAGACTTGATGCTGGACCTGAAAATGGACATTAGTGAGACAAGCAGCAAATTTAATTGAGATCTGAAGATGAGTCATAGAATTAAATCAATGTGAATTCCCTGATTTTGATAATTGTACTAGGCTTAAGTAAGATGTTAACATCTGGAAAAGCTAGGTAAAGGGTATATGAGAATTCTTTGTACCATTTTTGCAACAGTTGTATAAGTCTAAAATTATTTCAAACTTCAAAATGAAAAGCTAAAATTTAAAAAAAATTAAATCACAGACAAAGCCATAGATATTTTAAGTGATCACATTAGACATTGCATAATTTAGACCACTCAATCCAGAACTGCTCACCTCAGGGAGGTTAACCACAGCTGAATAAATTCATTAATGTTTTTTCCCTTAATCTGCCACATCCTACTTCCTGAGTCTGAAGTATTTGAGTTGAGTTCACTTCCAATCCCATAAAAAGGGAAGAGGAAACATGTTTAAAGTGGGAAGCAATTGTACTCTAACTGGCTGCTGGGGGTGTGCTACCTCCAGGAAACAGAAAGCCCCACCCCTTTCTGTTTGCACATCCTAAGCACTTGCAAATTAAAAGCCACGGCAGTGTGAAAATTCCTGAGGAATTTCAAAACGTCATTATTGATAGGAAACCAAATAGAGTCATATCAGAAACACATAAGTAATTTCTTTTCCTATTGCCCTTCTTTGGTATCAACACCTTTTAGCCATGCTATTTCTGGCTAGAAAATTTATAGCCAAAACCAGGATGTTCATCTTCTCTTGGTTTCAGGTAACACAATCAGACTCCCAAAATATCATGTCATGCTGTCCATTATGTTCTATAAACCAACAATCAAACAGTTGGAATTTTTGTCCATCATTTTGTAGCATACAAAGTTTTCACAAGTTTTTTTTTGCATGTTGTTGAGGGAATTAAATCAATGGTGGCACTAGAGAACTTCTCAAGCCTCTCCCCATCCCCTGCTCCCCCTCCTCTGTTTTAGAAGGCAGTAGATGTTGTTTTATGGCATCTGCACTATCGACATTACAGCTCATCAACCCTCTGTCTGATCCTAACATTAGCCAGAAACACTTGGGTAGTACTATATGTTTTAAAGAACAACATGACATGATTTGTTAACTAGATCAAGAAATACAACCTCTTAAACTGTGGGTTCATACTTGTGCTATTTTGACACAACCAATGCTACAAATTTCTATTCTGTGACAGAGTGCACTAGCTAATGGTCAATCTTAGAAAAATAAAGCATCAAGGAGAGTCTTCTAAGTGAAACCTTAGCAAAGGTTAATTATCTTTACAGTCATCTGTCCTATCATGATTTAAATGTGCTGGGTAGAGCTGGGGAAGATTACGTTTTGAGAAAATAAAGTAAAAGACTCAAAGGTGCATTTTGAAAGATGGCAAAATGCTAAGGGTGTTACAAAATGCTTCATGATTCTCACCTAGGTGTGGATATTGAGTAAGGTCAAGAGCTGTAAAACCTTTGCACACAGCTTTGTCTGTACTCAGATGAAGATAGTTACAACAGCTCCAAGCAAATCATAAAATAAGGGAATCGGTCTTTGATGGCCTTGTCTTATTCCTGCTCCACGCTTCCCAGAATGGTACCTTCTCCTCTCACTGCAGAAGAGCTGTGCCTCTCTGTTCCCAGAGCCTTGCCCCTATCAAAACTAGGACAAATCTGATACCTGTATTTACTTTCCCACACGTATCCCTTTATACTAAGATGTTAAACTCTTCTAGATGTGTTAAGACTTTTAATTCTGTGAAATAAAAAGCTTTGCTTTCTTTTAAAACGGTGCCAGTATTTAGAGAGGAAAAACAAACCATAGTTCTGCTGAGAAATCAAGCATTCCTTTCTGACTTCAGAAAGCAAAGTAGACAAGCATTGCTTCTTTTAGGGAACTAGAGGAGCAAAATCATAAAGAGAGGCTCCCTAAATCCTTTTATGAAGCAAATCTTAACCCCTCCCTTTCCCCGTTATTCCCCAGTTTGCTTCTTCATGCTAACTCGCCGCTCCAGGGGCCATCCGGACAAGGGTCTTGCTTCTCCTACAGCAGAGTCTGCATTGTAACTCTCAGCTTCACCTTCATATTTTATCACGCAGCTTTCCTTCTCTTTCGAATGCCCTAGAGCTCAATGAATCCGTAGATCAAGGTAGGGAAAAAAGAAAGAGAAAACCTGGGATCTGCTCAAAAACTTCTCATTTGTGGGCAGAGGCTCCTAGGAGAAGATTTGTAAGATGGAGACAGACAAGTTCACACCTCAGATCATAAAAAGGTATTTGAGGTCAAAGTAGCCCCTGTTGTGGAAGAGTAATATAAAAATTTTACCCAAAAAAGTACACACAAAATATACCTGAGTGGCAGTCATGGTGGAAGTGAGGATGAAATAGAACAGGTTATTTGGAAAATGTTGTTGGATTATGAAGAAAAATCTACATAGTGACAATGTGACTGTGTAAAATTTTCACAATTTCGTTTTTTTATTTTGAAAAAATTGTAGAAATTATCTAATTCAGCTTCCCACACAAAGTGGGGTGGGGAATCTTATATTCTAATTAAAAACATTTACTTCAGAACTTGGGTAATGTTACATCATATAAAGAACAACAAGAGGTGGTTTGTTGGAGGAGAGGAGGTGTAAGCCTTTTAGCAGCTGTGCATTCTCAGGCAAAAATTTATCTTCTCTGGGACTCCAAGAAAATGAGAGCTATTTGAACCCAGTTAGCCTCTAAGATTCTGTGGTGATTCCCACCACATAGTGTTTAATTTACACTAATTTATAAGTTATTACAATGGCATTTATAAATTTCATTAAGTATATGTTAAACAATGTACATTTTAGTTCTATATAAAAACACCTTCATGGTTTAAAGTTCATTACTTTGAGTATCATTGTATACTTATACTGCAAAATCCACAATCAAAACAAAAATAATCTATATTGTAATGCTGTCTTATTGACACATTAATGACGTTGTGTCCATGACAATAAATGATTACGTTCACATTTCCGAGAGACTCTTGGAGACCCCCTCTGTGAGTTTGTGAATTTTCACCCAGCATTGTGATACCACCGATGAGGAGTCTCTCCTATTCTGTCTCCCCTCTGCCCTTTATCAAAGGGGCCACAGATCAACCAAAAAGAAAAAAAAGAAAAAAGCCACACTTAGCTACAGAATGTCTCCTTTATTGAATATGTATCCTTTGTTGAACAATGAAAAGCAGCAAGTTGCTCAGACAGATAAACAGGAAGAGAGAATAAAAAATCTACATGTGTATGATATCGGACTTCTATTTTCACAGGATACTGACTGTAATTCACTCACAAAATAGCCTCTCCAATTCTAACTGAGCAAGTCTAGTTAAACATGACAATTTTAAAGCTTTTTAAGGAGCTAATTAATTCATTTGTTGATTAAATACAAATAAGGTCCACTTTTATTTTCTTAGCCTCCGGCCTGGGCTCTCAGAAGGCTGTTAAGCCTGCATAATAACTTCATCTGAATTTAATTTTTTCAGGCTACTTTGAAACGGTTACATAACTAATTCATATTAGTCATCTCAGAGAAATCTCAGACCAAGTTTTCATGTGTAAAGAGGCAGCCCTGCTAATCCTGCTTTCCTCTGGATCATAGCCTATGTGAAGGAGTTGAGAATTCTGCCACTATAGGTTGATGCTTGACCTTTGGGATTTTTCTGTGGATCTGCTACTGGTAAGTTAATATAAATTAGTGCACAACCAAAGTCTCAGAAATTTGAGTGCATTTATAAATTTGAAATTAAATTTAGTCTATAGAGAAAAATGAAGCTGATTTTGACTCACGTCTCATTTGGAAATGGCCTAATACCCTAGCAACCTCCTTCTGACTATCCTGCTTTCCCCTGATGTAGCCTGAGTTAACTCCAATTGGGGAGTAACATTTGGCCTTTCACACTATAGTTGCTAATGAACAACTCACTCCAGATATATTGGGAAACTCAAAGAAGTCACGTTATGTAGTCAGTAAGTTGCCTTTGTCAATGAATAATTCTATAAGCACTGCAGACAACAATACAAAATGGCTTAGATATTAACCTAGAATTCACCTGACTCAGCATAATCAGTGTAGCTTTTGAAAGGGAGAAATTGCTTTTACAAGCTCTATTACATTGAGAAAATTAGTCTTAGGGGCTTTCTTCACTCTATCCTAAGCCAATCTTACTCTCTTATTTTCCCTTTTCTTTACTGCCCTGCTTTCTGTTCAGCCACTATCCAGGCCTATCTCCATGAATAGCAAAGCACTAAATTGGCAGAGAACAATGAACATACTTTGTAGGCCAAGCAAACTAGGAAATAACCTTACTCATTAAGTAAAAGCGCTACCTTTCCTCCTTGGAGAAAACTGTGCCATGACTCTATTATTCCAGCCTGCATTTCTAGAAAATATCTAAATCTAAAGCAATGTTCCTTCTCTGTGAGTTCTATGAATAAAAATATTTATTCTTTTTTTATACTATGACTAAAGAGTCTATGAGTTCAGTTTCAAATCACCTAGAATGTTCAGTGTTTTATACTGCATGAGAGGAGAATTTATTTAATATGTTTACAGCTGGGTAATAGTGTACAGCATAGGATGGAAATAGGAAATTTTATCCTATGCTTTTAGACAAGCACTTTGAAGCCAGAATCCATTCATTCAAGCACCGTAAAATGATAAACCCAATATATCAATGCATCTTAGAGATGGACAGTGGGAGCTCCATATCCTGGGAGTATCCTCAGCTCCTGGAGAGATTCAGATGTGTTCCCATCTGCAGCCAACTTTCAAATACCTGGGGCAGACATCTAAGCCACTTTATTTATTAAGGTGTAACTGACCTGGACTAAGGAACCAAAATAGGCTTCCCTGAAGAAGTGATAGTCACGATGTCAACAATGAGTAGGAGTTAAAAGTAAAAGATGACAAAGGAGTGGTGGGGATTTCCAGATACAGAGAACAAGATCTGCAAAAGTCCTGTAGTGAGCAGGAACATGGCACATTCTTAGAGTCTGAGAGGAAGCCGGACCACAAAGAAGAAAAGTGAAAGTTTCAAGAAGATACTACAGATACAGATAGTGGCCAATGCATGGCTTTGCTGGCCATCTGCTCCCTGGGAATGAGGACACACTTGACTTATATCTTGTCTCTCCCTTATCATTGTGTTCCTTTGGACTTAGCAGCCCAGCCATGAGCTGTTTTCATCGTAAATGATTAGAAATTCCAAAGATCACTGCAGTAGTATTTGCCTTAGGTACCAAATGTGACAGCTGAGGCTAAAAGGTGCTGGGCATCTGTATCCAGAAAAGCTGCTGGATGCCTCCAACTAATCACTGGACTTTAGTGCCATCTAAGAAGGCAAATCAGACACCAACTAATAGGGAATAAGATTTCTGAGCTATTGGCTTATGTTTTTTCCCCAGCAGTTTTTCTTTTACCTCCAAGCAGTTTGGGCTCTGTGCTCTTTGCCTCAGGGAAGGGATATGACAAGCAGGAGAAAAAAATAAAACCTAGGAAGGAATATGCCTTCTAAATATATATATCTTTAGGGAGACCTAAAGAACTAGATTTAGGCTAGTTAAATTTAATTTTAAGTAAATTAACTTGGATAAATTTTAAAATGTGGTCCTCAGCCACACCAGCCACATTCCAAGTGTTCAATAGTCACTTGTGGCTATTGGCTACTTGTATCGATCAGCACAGATATAGAACACCTTCATCATCATACATGCTATACTGGACAGTGCTGGCCTACAGCAGAGACAAAATATTTGTGAGAAGCAGAGAGGCAAGAGGAAGACTTCTCTTCCAATAAACTATCAACTTGTATCTTTAAGATAGCAGGAAAAAGACATTTATGCTCCCTTCTCTCAGCAATCATCTTAAAACAATACCAAAAATGAGAAACTGAAATGTAAATTCCATCATTGGTAAAACTATGAGCTGCCATATCCCCAAACCACAATACATGAGGAAAGTCAGCAAGGATCTATCATGTATGTGGGAAGACACCAAGAGAAGATATCTGTGGCTGCAGATGTCAAAGAAAGCCTATAGAACCTAGTGCTCAAAGTAGGTGATCTAAGCTGAAGGGTTAATCCAATAAGCCCTGTCTTTGAATGAGAATTTGGGGGGACTGGTATAGAGAACCTCTTAGGATCAATTTGGCAATGCGAAGAAGCTGAGAGTGTGGAGCTGAACAAGGAACACATAGATGCTTTTCTTTGCTGAAGGGCACCTGCCACTAGATAGGGTATGAGGTGAGGTACTCTTTATAGAGAGCCTCCATGTAAGTGTAGATCTCCTTCAATGGTGGGGAAATCAGTTTAAGAACTCACTCAACCACATACACTTGTGCCATAAGAAACTTTCTTAAGAACCACGGAGAGTACTACTAGCTTAGGACACTGCCCCAGAACGTTCCCCACAAATCTAAAAAGAGTTGGATCAGGAAGAATTATTTTCATTTAAAGATTAATGATAAGAATGGGACAGGCAAAGATCTGTCTTTGTCCTTTCAGCCTGCTATAACAAAAATATCTTAGACTGGTAATGTACAAACAACAGAATTTATTGCTCACAGTTCTGGAGTGTGAAAAGTCCAAGATGAAGGCATTGGTGGATTCAGTGTCTGGTGAGGGCTCACTCACTGCTCGAATGATGGCTCTCTTCAGCCTTTTTTTATAAGGGTATTAATCCCATTTATCAGGGTGGAGCCCCCTTGACTTAATCACTTCCCAAAGGCCCTCCCTGTTAATACTATCACACTAGGTATTAGGTTCCAACATATGAATTTTGGGAGGGACACCAACATTCAGACCATAGTAATATCTCCACACAGATAATACAAGAAAAAAAAAGGTAAAAAAGGAGCAGAAAAAATAAATAGTGAAGAAAGAAAATACATCAGAAAAATGTTGCCATGTCACAGATGAAAATTGAGACCCAATGTATTTCTATTCACTAAGAACAAAAGAAAAAAAATACTTCTGGAAAACAAGAACTAAAGCAGGGTTCAGAAAAGACACATAGAGAAGACGAAAGATGAGCACTTAGAGCACTCAGGAAAAATTGGAAGGAAAACATTCATCACGTAAATGAAAGTCATGATGGAAACAAAAGGTAGAAGAATATGCACCGCATAGAACACGGTAGGGGTAGTGGGGTACCAAATGTTTTTTTTGAGATGGAGTCTTGCTGTCGCCCAGGCTGGAGTGCAGTGGCACGATCTTGGCTCACTGCAACCTCCTCCTCCTGGGTTCAAGCAATTCTCCTGGCTCAGCCTCCCAAGTAGCTGGGACCACAGGCATGCACCACCATGCCCAGCTAATTTTTCATTTTTAGTAGAGATGGGGTTTCGCCACGTTGGCCAGGCTGATCTCGAACTCCCGACCTCAGGTGATCCGCCTGCCTCAGCCTCCCAAAGTGCTGGGTGAGCCACCATACCTGGCCACCAAATATTCCTTAAGTGTGCAAAATCAGATGGAAATAAAGACATCATTTTTAAAAAATGGAGAGAAACAATCACTATGAGAGACAGAAGAGATAAATTATACATAATTAGTGTTACCAATAGAGAATAAAACAAACAGAAAAAGATACAAAAAATAGAATTTGAGGAAAAATTTCTATGCTCAGGAAAATTATTAGTCAGAATTATTAATATTAATTATTGTTTATTAATAATTATTTTATTTATTAAAACAAATGAAAGATATTAAGTGACTTTTTTTTTTGAGAAAGAGTCTCTCTCCATCGCCCAGGCTGGAGTGTATTGGCACAACATCAGCTCACTGCAACCTCCACCTCCCGGATTCAAGCAATTCTCCTACCTCAGCCTCTTGAGTGGGGTTACAGGTGTACATCACCATGCCCAGCTAATTTTTGCAGTTTCAGTAGAGATGGGGTTTCACCATGTTGGCCCAGCTGGTCTCGAACTCCTGACCACAAGTGAACTGCCCTCCTTAATGCATGTACAGTGTAGCAGATACTGTCGTGTCCCCTCTCATGTTCCTTGGGCCTCTCAGTGTTTTCTGACTTCCAACTGCCAGTGCCTGTCACATCTTCATGCCTGATGGCATCCCTCCGACACTGGAAGGCTGCTCTGCTCATGCACAAGACAGGCCTAAAGTGCCAGGGAATTCACATTAATTATTAATAAAATATTGTATTATATATTAATAGTGCTTAATGGAGCCAAATTAATCACCTCCCAAAGGCCCTACCTCTTACTACTATCACACTAGGTATTAGGTTCCAACATATGAATTTTGAGAAGGATACAAACATGGTGACCATCGTTAATAATAATGTACTGTATTCTTAAAAATTGCTGAGACAGTAGATTTTTTTAAGCATTCTCACCATAAAATAAATAATAAGCATGTGAGGTTACATATGTTAATTAGCTTAATTTAACCATCCCACAATGAATACATATTTTAAAATGTCGTGTTGTATATCATAAATACACACTATTTTTATTTGTCAACTTAAAAAATAATTTTTCAAAGACTTATAAAGTAATAATATGAAGGCAGTGTGATATTAGAGCAAGGATAGCCAAAAAAAAAAAAAAAATGAAACAGACAAGAGAAACCAGAGACAGACTAACACATATGCTATAGCTGCTTAATTTATTATAAAATTAGCATTGCAGAGCAGCATGGAAAGAACGATGTCTTCAATTCATGGTGCTGGGTCAATTAGGTATTCTTATGGAAAACAATTAAAACTTGACAGCTAACTTAACAGCTAATCATATATTTTTAAAAAGTGATTTCAAATGGATTCCAGACATGAATATGAAGGGCAAAACATATATAAAACGAAATGTAGAATATTTTCAAGATGTTAGAGCAGAGAAATATTTATTTTAAATAGAACACAAAAATACCAGTATTAAAGAAAATTTAATAAATGACACCAATTAAATAAAGAACATTTATTCATTTAAAAAAAAACAGTAAAAGAGTGTAAAAACATGCCACAAAGTTGGAGAAGGTATTTATAACATGAATAACTTTTAAAAGTTCCTATCCAGAATATTTAAACAAATTTTATAAATTAATAAGAAAATAACAGACAACCTAATAGAAAAATTCTCCCCTCAAACCTCCACCAAAAAAAAAAAAAAAAACCCCTTGTCAGGTACTGCTCAAAAGAAAAAATATCCTACTGGTCAATTGACATGAAAACTTCAAAACTGATCACTGATTTGAGACTTAAAACAACAATAAGATAATACTACAGGTCCACCAGAATGGCTAAAATTAAAATGGCTGACAATACCAAGAGTTGAAGTAGAAGATACAGAGCAATAATTAATCTCATACTTTGTTTGTGGTACTTTGAAAACCAGCTTGGTTTTATTGAAAATATACTTACTTTATAATCAACAATTCCATTCCTAGCAGATTCCCTAAAATAAGAGTTAGCAAACTAAAGCCCTCAAGTCAAATCCAGTCTACAACCTGTTTTAGTAAATAAAGTTTTATTGGAACAGCCTTGCCTATTCCCTTAGGTATGGGTGCTTCTTCACAAATTTGGGTAGTTGTAACAAAAAAAGCCATAGGACCTGCAAAGTCTAAAATATTTACTCTCTGGGGCCCTCTACAGAAAAAGCTTGCCAACCCATGCCCTAAAGAAATGCATGTGCATATATATGCAACAGAAGATTGAGCAAACATGTCACTCAACATTTTTCTTAATAGCCCCAAACTAGAAGCAACTCCAGCATCCACTATCCAAGAGTAGAATGGATAAATAAATCGTGGGATACTCATGTAAATATTAGAATACTATACAGCAATAATAATGTACAAACTTCAGTTATTACTAACAATATATATGAGTAAATCACATAACAAAATTTAAACACAAAATAATTCATACTTTATGAGTCCATTTATAAAAAGTCCAAAGGCAGGTAACACTGAATCAGTTGTTGTTTTGTTTTGTCTATCCTTGCTCTAATACCACACTGCCTTCCTATGATTACTTTATAAGGCTTTGAAAAATTATTTTTACATTGACAAAAATGGCATATATTTATGGTATACATGACATTTTAAAATAAGTATTCATTGTGGGATGGTTAAATCAAACTAATTAACATATATATCAGTATTTAGGCATCCTCATTTAGTTGGCAAAGAAAAGCAAATAAGCAAGTACTATAAAAGTTGGAATCACTGGTTTCCTTTAGTGGAAAGGAATGTATTGGGATTAGGAAGGAACACGCAGGGAGCTTTAGAATGCTGGCAACTTTCTGATAATTGTTTGTTTTATAATTGTTTCAGCTGTTTACTTATAATATGTATTCTATACTGTTATGCAATTTTCAGAGGAAAATAAGGTTAAAAAAAAAGTGTGGAGACTTAATAAGCACTGTTCGGTGGGTGCCACTTGTCATTTATGAGCTTTACTCTGGAGTGATTTGCTGGTCCATTTTGGAGACACCCTGTTACGTAGGATCTTTAGGTCTTTCCTCTGGGGCTGCTCTGGTTCTCCAGCAAAGACTCTTCCAACCTCCTGCCTGAGGGGTGACACCTGGACTACTAGAATTCTGGGAGTTGAAAATGAACAGTTACCCAGCAGCAAAGGGCAGAAAAAGGCATCTTCGAATCTACTTCTTAAACAGTGTTCAGTAAATTCTTACTTTAGCTCTCTACGCCCTGTTATTTCCACCTTATACCCAGCACTGAGCATTTCTGAGCCTTTTGGGAATTCTACCTGTAACTGGGTCTGAGCTTCCATATTTTGAGTAAGATTTGGCTTCCTCTGGTGTAAGTCAGTTGTCCCTCATCTGTTTGCTTTGTAACATTCACACAGACTCTGCCTACTCTCATCCCTCCATCTTGTTGGTTATATTTTTTACAAATCTCTTTATTGTATTTTTCACTGAGGTTTCAAAAGAAATAAAATTAGATGCATGTATTCAATCTACCATCTTTCCACAGATGGAGTTTGATTTCTTAATCTCTAAAATGAACATCAAGGGCAATCAGGCAGGAGAAAGAAATAAAGGGTATTCAATTAGGAAAAGAGGAAGTCAAATTGTCCCTGTTTGCAGACGACATGATTGTATATTTAGAAAACCCCATTGTCTCAGCCCAAAATCTCCTTAAGCTGATAAGCAACTTCAGCGAAGTCTCAGGATACAAAATCAATGTGCAAAAATCACAAGCATTCCTATACACCAATAACAGACAAACAGAGAGCCAAATCATGAGTGAACTCCCATTCACAATTGCTTCAAAGAGAATAAAATACCTAGGAATCCAACTTACAAGGGATGTGAAGGACCTCTTCAAGGAGAACTACAAACCACTGCTCAATGAAATAAAAGAGGACACAAACAAATGGAAGAACATTCCATGCTCATGGATAGGAAGAATCAATACCGTGAAAATGGCCATACTGCCCAAGGTAATTTATAGATTCAATGCCATCCCCATCAAGCTACCAATGACTTTCTTCACAGAATTGGAAAAAACTACTTTAAAGTTCATATGGAACCGAAAAAGAGCCCGCATTGCTAAGACAATCCTAAGCCAAAAGAACAAAGCTGGAGGCATCATGCTACCTGACTTCAAACTATACTACAAGGCTACAGTAACCAAAACAGCATGGTACTGGTACCAAAACAGAGATCTAGACCAATGGAACAAAACAGAGCCCTCAGAAATAATACCACACATCTACAAGTATCTGATCTTTGACAAACCTGACAAAAACAAGAAATGGGGAAAGGATTCCCTATCTAATAAATGGTGCTGGGAAAACTGGCTAGCCATATGTAGAAAGCTGAAGCTGGATCCCTTCCTTACACCTTATACAAATATTAATTCGAGATGGATTAAAGACTTAAATGTTAGACCTAAAATCATAAAAACCCTAGAAGAAAACCTAGGCAATACCATTCAGGACATAGGCAAGGGCAAGGGCTTCATGTCTAAAACACCAAAAGCAATGGCAACAAAAGCCAAAATTGACAAATAGGATCTAATTAAACTAAAGAGCTTCTGCACAGCAAAAGAAACTACCATCAGAGTGAACAGGCAACCTACAGAATGGGAGAAAATTTTTGCAATTTACTCATCTGACAAAGGGCTAATATCCAGAATCTACAAAGAACTCAAACAAATTTACAAGAAAAAAACAAACAACCCCATCAACAAGTAGGCAAAGGATATGAACAGACACTTCTCAAAAGAAGACATTTATGTAGCCAACAGACACATGAAAAAATGCTCATCATCACTGGCCATCAGAGAAATGCAAATCAAAACCACAATGAGATACCATCTCACACCAGTTAGAATGGCGATCATTAAAAAGTCAGGAAACAACAGGTGCTGGAGAGGATGTGGAGAAATAGGAACACGTTTACACTGTTGGTGGGACTGTAAACTAGTTCAACCACTGTGGAAGATAGTGTGGTGATTCCTCAAGGATCTAGAACTAGAAATACCATTTGACCCAGCCAACCCATTACTTGGTATATACCCAAAGGATTATAAATCATGCTACTATAAAGGCACATGCACATGTATATTTATTGCAGTACTATTCACAATAGCAAAGACTTGAAACCAACCCAAATGTCCATCAATGATAGACTGGATTAAGAAATTGTGGCACATATACACCATGGAATACTATGCAGCCATAAAAAATGATGAGTTCATGTCCTTTGTAGGGACATGGATGAAGCTGGAAACCATCATTCTCAGCAAACTATCGGAAGGACAAAAAAAAACCAAACACCACATGTTCACACTTATAGGTGGGAATTGAACAATGAGAACACTTGGACATAGGAAGGGGAACATCACATACCAGGGCCTGTTGTGGGGCGGGGGGATGGGAGAGGGAAAGCATTAGGAGATATACCTAATGTAAATGACGAGTTAATGGGTGCAGCACACCAACATGGCACATGTATACATATGTAACAAACCTGCACATTGTGCACATGTACCCTAGAACTTAAAGTATAATAAAAAAAAAAGGAAAAAAAAAAGAACACCTGGAACTCTTAAACAAAACAAACGAAAAAAATGCATGTCCATGAGTAATCAGTAAAACATTCAGCAGGTTGTGTGAGCCAAAGGCCAAATTACTTTTTAAAAATAGTGCTTTGTTTCTGTAATGTGAGGCTGGTATTTCTAATTACCAAATCACCTACTATTATTAATAGAAAATATTTGAGATACATATACCTCACCTAATGCTCCCTGGAAAATCTGCTTACATGGTTAGGGCTAGTGAAAACAAGGGATTCTGAATGTAAAAGATCATGTAATCGGATTTAATTGCTCTCTGTTGGTGCAAACCAATTTAGGATAAACTGGGAATTCATAAACAAAAATTAATATAACATTGCCAATTTTGAGTGACTAATGTGGACCAAGTCCTTTACAAAGGCACCACTATGAGATATTTATCATGATAACGATTTTGGAGATGAGAAAATAGAGACTTAATGTGACTTCCTCAGAGTCATATTTCTCTAAGGAAGTTACTAAAATTTCATTCCTTATGTATATAATTTGAAAGCTTCTTTTTTTTACTACTATAGCATGAATAAAGTATACAAATATTTAAAAAAATAAATAATAAATAAAATGAACATCAAAATAACTATCTTGTGTGGTTGGCATAACTATTAAAAGTGATTTATGTATGTAAAGCAAACAGTTTCTTTCCTGTGGCTGTTAAAATAGAAGGTCTTAAATACAGATAAAACCACACCATCTATACATACACACCACACACACATACACACATACACACACCCTCACATCCTCCTCCTTCCCAGGAAGATCATGTAAATTAAATCAAAGGTAGAATTCAGATGTGGATTATTCAGATATGAAGCTTACTCTAAGGGTGGGCATTCTTAGTCCATGATGAGAAAATATAATTGACTACAGGAACCCTGAGGATATTTAGATAAGCAGCATCAAACTTTCTCTTAAAAGATACTATTAAAACAGGACACACATTCATAATCAGTTGTGTATCTGGGGAGATATTTGGATTTGAATAGGACGATATTAGTAAGCATTAATAGAACGTGCTCTATTGCCTGACTTGTAAAATCTAGTCGTAAAAGAAGATCACAGTTTCCTGTTAATTAGGACCACCTACAGTGTTGGAAACCTTTTTGGATGATCAAAGAGGTGGCATACTTAACCCAGGAGATGTTGACAAGCTCTTCAGCTAGTTAGCATAACGTAACTTTCAACTAAGTGCTTGATGTACAAGCTCTTTTATGCTCTGCCATAGTTTGGGTTTAATAGTTTGTGAAGTGATATTCCTTGCATAAACAAACGACAGTTACATGGAAATTTCATTTGTACTAGTGCCTTGTCCCTGTGTCAATTAATTTTCAATATACTTTTGTAATATTTCTTTCAATTATAAGAATGATAAAATAAGATTATAAGAATGATAAAATAAGATATTAAGAAGGTTACTTTCATTTTTGAGTCTGCAACACAATATATAAAGATCTTGAAGGGGACGGGCTCAGATTACATAGGAAATCATCTATTTCCCCCTTGCCCACTCACAACAACTGAAATAGTGGTCCTTAATGTTAAACTTCAGGGAATTGAGAAAAATGTCTTCTTAGTAAGGGGCCTCAGATCAATGACTTCCTGAGCTTGAAAGAAATTTTTTTAAAGCCTCTGGTCTATATAAATAGGAAGCATAATAGAAAGATCATTTCCTTTGGATCAGATAAACATGAGCTCGAATCCCCACTCCATCACTTATATATCTGCATGTTTTGAGAGATTTTACTACATCCCTGTGTGTGTACAAATATGGTTCATAATACCAACTTCCAGGGTTGTGTGGAGGCAAAAAGAAGAAAATGCCCATAACGACCCAACACATTCGGGCCCTTAAGAATTTGTAGCTCCTACTAATAAACAGGTGCTCAATCTGCATTCTTTTTTTCGCTTAAACTAAAAACAAAATTTCTTATCAAGGAAAGTGTCGGTGTATTGGTAGAAAAAGAAATACAGTATCTGAAATAAATTTATATATGGTATCCTTAAAATGATTCCCCTTCCTTCAACCTACTAACATCTATTAGTCAATTAAACTCATTTTACTAACAAACATCTATTGAGCACTTAGGTGCCTAACTCAGCTCAAGAAGCTGGAGCTGTGCTTGGAGACCCTTGAACATCCCTTACTCAGCAGATCGAAGGGGCTTTCTGGACACTTTCTTCGTGGCGATGCGTCCTTTTTCCACTTCCATAGGGAATTGGTATCTGTCATTTTCCATACCCATGAGGTAATTTACAGCAAGAGAAGGGAGCGAGAGTATATTTTCTCCTTACATTTTGCACTATATTGTGAGAATGTTTTGATTTCTTGTTGCTCTGTCATTTCTCTGCTGGAGTATAGTGAATGGGCCAAATGAAGAAGTAAAAGGGTAGAGTGGATAACGAAACTGCAGATCATTTTGGTTACTAAAAAGGGGACAAGGCACCCCAAAGAGAGAAGCACTGATCAGGTGGTGTTCATGAAACGTCTTCCCTGCCTCCTCAGCCCTGCCTGCCCCACTCTGCCCTGCTTCTGCAGTTCAGGGACCAGAGGTTAAGGTGTGCGGAGGAGTTTGTCAGGAAATGAGGCCGGAGGAGCAGGCTCCGGCCAGACTGGGGAGATTAGCCTTCATCCTCTGGCATCAGAGAGCCAGCAGAGGTCTTTAAGAAGGGAAGGCATGTGATCAGATCAGCTTTTCAGGATGATAACTCTTTATTGTGGAAAATGGACTGTGGAGGGAGAGACGTGTTAAGAGAACCAATTAGGAGGCTGTTGCATTATTGGGCTTTCTTTTACAATAACTATATGTTATTCTGTAAAGTGTCTCTAAGGACCACAAAGTGTTGTAACTTTTAATGTTTATTTAATATTCAACACAATTTTACTCCTAAGTATTTTCCTTCACTCCTCATTAGTATATGTTTAAATGCTATCCTAATAAAAAAATTCAACATAAACTTTAAGATATTTATGGTGCTCTCAACTATTCTAAAGTAATTAAATGAATAAAATATGCATGTTTACTTTGCATATGTTAGGGAAGTCTTGATTTTGAATTTAAAAACTATATAAACACTTGTTTCCTTCCTGTTCCATTGTATAATTTATTTTCCAACATAAAACTAATATCATAGGTTTAGATATTGACTAGGACCTTTATTAAGTTGTACAGTATCAAATTATCTTACACTAGTTATCTTCATTGATAGCATTCTATAACCAGTTTAAATAAATGTATGTGTATATATATATGTACACATCTTTGAGAATCCCTTTGGGATTTGAATAGGACGATATTAGTAAGCATTAGTAGAATGTGCCCTATTGCTTGACTTGTAAAATCTAGTTGTAAAAGACTAGATTTTACCACTGAACCTAAACCATCTAAATAAGATTACTAGCAGACTTAGCTCAGTTGCACTTTGGAAATTCATTCTTTTTAGAATTTGTAAAGTATTCATAAAAGCTGAAAAAATGTGCAGAAATTTGCATTGATGGATGTTTTCTTATCCTCCATCAGGAAATGATGTACTTGAAACTCATTATAGATCTTCATAGAAACTCGACTGAACGTGCCTTGGGCTTTGTGCTCATCAGCACATACCGAGTTGACTGCATAATTCATATCTCTTGTGTCACATTTAATGTATAACATGTATTTCCTGTTAATTATGAAAATAAAAACACATCATATATTCTAAGAGCATAATTACAAAAACACTGCAAAAAGTTATGTTTGAAGTCTATTAGCCAATTTCTCTTTAGAAGATATAAAATGGAAGAGTTATTTTCTCTTGCTTTTTGAAAATCAGTTTAACAATGCTTCCCTTTTTTTCTTCCACCTGACTTTACAGAATGATATAGAGGCTCCATAACATAGGAAACAGGAAATAATAGAGACAGAGGAGTTACCAACTCTATCATCTCGAAACATTTAGACAAATAAATAAAATGAACTCAGGACTTTCCAGGACAGAACCAAGATTGTTCTGTGGATATGAAGACCAAAGCAATTCACTGATTAGTGATTAATTATTTTTTCTCTTTTAGAGGCATTTTTAAAATATGTTTGTAGTACATGGAAAAACAAAATTCCATAAAGGCCCTGATCCTATTAGCCTCCCAAAGTCAAAATTATCTTAGATAACATCTCCCTTTATAAAGAGGAAATATATTATGTAATTAAAATTCTAACGACTTAATAATCATAATCTGGCTGGAGAAAACTTTTAAAGTATCATATAGGCCTCATAAATCTTGAACTGCATGTGAAGTTATCAAGCATACTGCAGTTTAAGCTTTCACACCTGCAAAATATACAATCTAAGCTCTAACTGTATGAGGCAGCCATCATTCTTTGGCTCTTTGGTTACTAATTAAACAGGCATGATATTAAAAATTAATTAGCTACCTAATTAATATTACATACTTGTCACAGGTAGTTATTGTGCATCTTTTCCCTGGACTCACAGGAGAGAAACTTTTTGGCATTAAACTTTGGTAGGTTAATTTGATTCACTGCTTAAGAACATAAACTGGATTGTTAGATTGGCTGTCATCAAATATGAAATTTGTTACCTAGAAGCTGATGAGACAGACTTTGAGTTTTCTAAAATGACTCACTTTTGCTACCAAAAATCCTATCTAAGAAAATGATATGACTTGTTTATTAATGCATACATTTATACATTTATTTATTTATGGATTCATTAATTTATCTACAAGTGCCATGAGAAATTAACATGATTTATTAAAACGAATATAAAAATTTCTATTTGCAGGAATGGTTTATAGGTTTTATCTGGTCAATAGCTTCCAATCTGTTGGCATTAGCTGCCTACCATACTCATACCAGTTCAGCAAATAATACTATTAACAATAGCTGTTATTGTTATTATCATAGTAATAAGTTTCCAAAAGTGAAGAGGGGGGAGGGTGTTCTGTGTGCCCAGTATTTGAAGACCTTGAATAAACGATTACATAAAGACCTTGAATAAACTATTACAGACAGTGTTAGAGAAGCTTACACAAAGAACAGTGGAGGCACCAAAAAAAGAGGAACCCATTCTCTTTGTTGAGCCATGGAAGAAATATCTCATGATGAGTCAAGATGCCCCAGAAGAATTCCAGTAGCTGTGATTAGTGAGCAGTGGGATACCTGACCTAGGACCTGAGGACAGAGGTCTGGGCTTGAGATATAGATTTATGAGTCACCAAATGATTCTTGAAAGATGCGGAATATTGTCTAGGTCGACTAAGATGGAAGGGCATCCCAGGCAAAGACATCAATTTGACTAAAAGAACATCCTTATTGACTTATTTTAGATTTCATCATGATAGAAGCATTAGATGTATTTCCTAGGTGAAGAGAGGAAATAATAAAGCATTAGAAACCTGATTGGCTAGAATGAAACATTAAATTATGATTTTATTTATTTATTTATTTTTTAAGGAGACGGAGTCTCACTCTGTTGCCCAGGCTGGAGTGCAGTGGCGCGATCTCAGCTCACTGCCAACCTCTGCCGCCCTGGTTCAAGCGATTCTCGTCCCTCAGCCTCCTACGTAGCTGGGATTACAGTCATGCGCCACCATGTCCGGCTAATTTTTTGTATTTTTAGTAGAGATGAGGTTTCGCCATGTTGGCCAGGCGGTTCTCAAACTCCTGATCTCAGGTGATCCACCCACCTCGGCCTCCCAAAGTGCTGGGTTTACAGGCGTGAGCCACTGCGCCTGGCAATTTTATGTATTATTAATTTATTTCTCAGAGATAAAGTATGTCACCAAACTTACATATTTCATATTTGTATTGCACATTTACATATGTTAGTTATCCTAGTTAATTTAAACAACTCTAAAATTCTATTACTCAGTAAATGATCTGAAGCAGATATTTCCTTAATTCAATGATAACTGCTACTTTGTGATCATTATAAATTTGATACACATTTGAGGTAATAACTCTAGTGTATCGCTTTTATTTAGTAATGAAAAAATCAGAATGACATTTTAATAAAGATTTTCAAATCCACTTATATATTTAGATGTTCCCAATTAATGGCATTCTTAAATATGTGTAGCACAAATACACAAGCTTTTAGGGTTTCCTTAAGTATGTTAAGGCATAGTTAAAAAAAAAAAAACTTAGTTATTTTTATTAGACAAAATTGTGTTTCTGAGCCTGGGTGAACTGCTTAAAATTCCATATAAGTTCTACTTCTTTTCAACTGAAAAAACATATTCTCCCATAGGGATGTGGTAAGAATAAAATGGAGATAAAGCAAGTACAACATGTAAGTGTTAATAAATCGTGACTGTACCATTATTAGAGTATATTATTATGGAATGGTGTATATGCTCTATACAAGAAGACAAAAAAGTACTGAAATCACGCAATTACATTCTCAAATTTAAATGTAACACACATTAGTTGAGGATCTATAGTTCCTGCTTTTAAGGAATTTACAATTGAGTGATGTAATCAAAAAAAGATGTCAAGGTTCATTTGCATTAAGAAAACAACTAGTGTACATGGTATTGTCTAATTGAAATCTGGCCTACCAGCATTTTACAAATGATGGCTTTTGTAACACAGAGAAAATATTAATAAAATCTAATTTAAATTTCTTTAGAGAGCAGCTTTTTAAAATAATTTTAAAATTATGGAATTAATTATTTGATTGGATCAAGTAGTGCAGTTTAAAGGGTTTATCATATCTGTTTATAAATGGTTAATTATCTCTTTGACTCAAAGAGTTTCATTTTAAAGCTCCAGTTGAGACTGTCACTCTCATTCGCCAAATGAGAGACAGATTGCAGTTAGGAATATTCTCATTTGTTTCAGAATGAAATCCTCTAGCCCATTTTTTCCTTTTTCATCCTTCTTCCTGCAAAGATTTATTTTCTAATTTGTTTCCTCTTTTTCCCATGATTGATCATTTAGGGCCTGTTATTTCACATTCATTAAGACCTAGGTGAGTGCAGAGCGTACCCTGCAGAGGACATTGAGGAATTTTAGCTCAGTAGCTACTGGTTGAAGTGGGGTTTATTTTGCCGTTGTTCTGCTGTTGTGGGATTAAGAGGTTTATTTCACTCATCACTTTTCTCTATCTTGTCTGTTAACATGTTGGTAAACTTTCATAAATGCTTTGAGTATTCCCTGTACCAAGGATTAGGCAGACAGTAAGAGACAATAATTATAAAGCAATGAGATAAGGAATTATTCCCAAGCACGGGCTGATAAAGCATAGAAGATGGGCTCAACCCACCTGGAGACAAGCTGAGGGGAAGGTATTTTGAAGGACATGACACTTAGGGTCTTAGAAATGAATAGATATTACCCAGAAGTGTGAAGTGTATGTGTGTGTTTGTGTGGATATAAGCTGGGGTTGGGAGCAGGGTGGGCTTTTCCGCAAAGTAGAAATGCATGAGCAAAAGGCACACACAGACATGAAACAGTGTGATGCTTTTGCTGTTTGGTGGAACTGAAACTGGAGAAGTGAGTAGGTATGCATCAGATTATGAAAAGCATTGTATGAAATGTTGGGATGTATAAATCATGTCATGTATTTTTAGAGAAAGAGAGAAATAGCAGGAACCTACACTCACAAATGCCCAATCCCACCTCCAGAGGTTCAACAAAAGTATGTCCAAAAGTTCATGAAAAGAAACATGCCATATTTATTTTTCCTCTATTTATATTTATTCCCTAGGTGATTGTGTTTAATCTTATGACCTTAAATACCATACGTATGGTCTTAACTCCCACATATTCATCTCCAGCCTCACCCTGTTCCCTGAACTCCAAACACATCCAAATGCCTACTTGATATTCCCAATCAGATGTCGAATGAAGACCTCAAACTTAAGTCCAATACAGAAATCCCATCACCACCTCCCAAACTGTTCCTCCTACTGTTCTTCTCATCTCATTAAATTAAAACTCCAACCTTCTAGTTGCTCAAGAAAAAACATTGCCTCTCATCTCCTTACCTGACCTATCAGGATATCTTGCTGGCTCCTTTCTGAAATATAACAAGAAACCAAAAGTTTCTCACCTCCATTGCTACCAACCCAGTTAGAGCAACTATCATCTCTCACCTAGATTATTCCAGCAGTCTCCCAACTGAGCCCCCTGCTTGTAGGCTTGCCCTTCTAGAGCTGATTCTGCCCACATGGCTCCTCCCAGGGGCTCCCCACCACGCTTAAAGCCCAGAGTCCTTACCATGGCCTGAGACGACTCTTGCCTTGGCCCCTGCTACCTCTCTGACCTTATCGCCTTCCCCTCTACGCATTGCTGACTCCACTCCAGCCTCACCAGCCCTCCCTTGCTGTTCCTCAGACACACCTCTCACACCACTGCTTCCAGACGCATTCACTTGCTATTCTCTCTGCCCAGAGAGTGCTTCCCATCGTGCCTCTTTCTCATTTCTTTCAGATCCCTTTTGAAATGTCATCTTATTGTTGACTTCTGGTCCACTCTGTATAAAACAGCAATAGCTCCCTGCACGTGTACGCATGCGCACGGGCACACACACACAGATGCACATGGATGCACACGTACAGAGAAAGAAAAGAAACAGCTGACTATCTCCTGTAACCTGCTTTATTTTACCACAGTTTTCACCATCATCTGCCTGTATATGTATGTGTATGTATACATCTATATCTACACTAGTAGTTTATCTACTGTCTGTTTCTCACCACTAGAATAAAAGTGCCATGTATACTGGCATTTTGAGCTATTTTGTTTGCTACCAGATCCACAGCTCTTAAAATAATACAATACTCAACAAATACTTGTTAAATGAATGAATGCCGCTGGGTGCGGTGGCTTGTGCCCATAATCCCAGCACTTTATGAGGCTGCAGTGGGCAGAACACTTGAGCTCAGGAGTTCAAGACCCGGCTGGCCAACATGGCGAAACCCTGTCTCTACATAAAAGAGAAAAATTAGTAGGGCATGGTGGTGCACACCTGTAGTCCCAGCTACTCAGGATGTTGAAGTGAGAGGATCGCTTGAGCCCAAGGAGGTGGAAATTGCAATGAGCTGAGATTGTGCCACAGCACTTCAGCCTGGGTGACAGAGCAAGACCCTGTCTAAAAAAAAAAAAAAAAAAAAATGAATGTGAGGTTCCATCCCAAATGGATACTCTGGGTTCCTTCTGCCTCTATCCTCCTACCTCCTACGCTTGCATCTCCAACTTATAAGCTTTCTAACAGCAAAAACCAAGTTTCATTCATCATTCATTCTTCATCTGTATATCTCAAGCATCCGGCACAGTCTCTGGTATATCTTGCCATTCAAAAAGAGACAAAAGTGGTTTCACTGAGGCATATACACTTCTGAAACACAGTAGCAATACGGTCTTCATTACTTTAGCCAGAAATAACTTCTTTATCTTTTAAACCCACTCCCTAATCACAACTCTCTCTCTCTCTAGCTTACCATTCTAATGATGAGGACAGCATGACTCAAGGCAATCCATGCAGGAAGATGAATCATAGTCTCTTGCCCAACACAGCAGCCCAAAGCCCACTTCTTCTCCTCCATCACATGAGGCATGATTCTGCAAGGGGACCAGAGGTAGATTTACTGTGAGGCTAACGAAGTTTAAGTAAGAGGGCTCCTCAATTTCAGACATCTTCTAAAGCTCCATGCTTAACCATTTATCCACAATTACTAAATCTACTCATCTTAAAACTCTAAAAACCTGGTTGAAGTGGGAATTTTCCTAATACAAACTGAAAAAAGCAAATGTCACCCATCCTGCTTTGGAAGGTGCCTGTACTTGTCACCTTCTGACCTCTTACCTGCTTGGCCATATCTGTGTTCATCCTTCTACTTCAATTCTACCTTGTTTAGAAAGGTCTGACCTTGACATTTTCTAAATTTAGATTGGTTTTCATCTCTTTTCTTATGATTACACATAATAATTCTCATTTTCATTTTTCTTCAGAACTAGTTAACAAGTTTATTTCTTGAAGATTTTGCTTCATACAATAATCAGATAATTTTTATTCTGCCAGGTTTCCTTGTGATTCATTTTTCTCATTCACTGAGTCATAGCAAGTTTCATACTATTGTTTTCTTTTCCTCCTTCTACATTTCTTTTTCTAATGTATAGGCTCAACCGTCAACTTCTCTCAGTGGAATCTCTGATTTATGGAGGAGGCTACCGTTTGTCAGCTTTATCGTTCTTTCTCTGGACTGCTATTCACTGTTACGTTTCCTTTCAAGGCCTGACACAGCACTTGACATTAGAGGCGCAAGATGAATAAATGAAATGTAAATCTAAGGGAAGTTACCTTTGAATGGCATATGGTGCCTGCTCCCAGAAGGAGTTAAAAGCTGCCTGTTCATTCATAAATTCAGAATCCCTAAATTGTATTATTCATAGACTCACCCGTAACATAAAGTTGGTATAAATTTAACATGTATAGAGTGAAAGTTAGAACCTGGCTTGCCCTGTGGACTTCATCTAGAGTCAAGAAACTCAGGGGATTCTCAGTTTCTTTAAAAGATTTTTAAAAAGAAGAACTTCAGGTCTTCAGAGTAAAGAGCACTTAAATTTATAAGGTTACACATTCAGTCAGCCAGGATTTTATTTATTGATGTCCAAGGCTTAACAGGAATGAATCAAATGCCCTGACATCTAAAATGTGGGATTTCTGGTTGTCTCAGCATTTTACATCCCTATAAACTTCCTTCTAGAACATGATCTGTATTTTAACCAACTGATTTTTGTAGAATTTCAGGAGGGAAAAATGGTTTTACCTTAATAACTTACAAATCAATACAAAGAACTTCACATAGAGCTATTTTCACAATTTTCTCTGAAAGAGCCCGTGTTTAATATATGCATAACACATTTCCTCGTGCTAAGTAGAATGCTACATTCACGCTGTTCCATATTTCCTTGCCAGTCCTTTTCCACAGAGCCTCTAATTTGCTCAGAAATCAATGAAATAATAGACACAAATGAATGAGAGAGCCACTTCTCTCTGGGTCTTCTTTCCAACTGGGCCTGGGCCTAACATAAGGGAGTGACATCCTTTCTCACCAAGACACTTGAGATTTTTTTTTTCTCCTTTCACTTCTGACTTAAAATTCTTATCATTGAGAGTCTTGTCTGGGTCAGAGTGGGGCAGGTACTACCAACAACAGGGCTTTGAGCCTGAGGTCTACTTTTTGCATTAAAAAGGGATATTAGTCAGAGTGAGGGAGAACTTAAAGTCATATGAACACCAAACTGGAATTTTCTCTTTGATTTACCCAAAAGAGTAGAAGAGACTTAAAAAGGGAATACTTCTCTCCATATAATATCTGTATTGTTCAATTATGTGTCCATTAATTATTAAATATTCTTTACCAGAAACAAAAAATGGCCTTTATAGTTACCCCCAATTTTCCTGATAATGTGAATTACTTTTTCAAAGAGCAAATGAAGAGACAGACTTCCTTTTTTAAAGGAAAGCAAAAGTGTCACCCCCATAAATATCGAAGGGCAGGGGAGGGGAGGTTCTTGGGCTGTGGTTGATGAAGAGGCAGGGCACAATGAGCAGGCATGGGGTCCAGGGAGCAGAAGCAATGAAAAGACCAAAATGGGAAGAAGAATCTTATATCTCACTCTGCAGGGCCATGTGCTGAGCCACCTGTGAGTGGAGTGACGGTAGGCTGTTGGGGAATAGGGATCCCAAGGTAGACACCTAGAGGTCAGAGCATCCTGGTGGTGGAAAGACTTGGATATGAAAAGATGCCCATCTTCATGGGAGAGAACAAGAAACAGCAGCAATCAAGACAACTTCTAATTCATTCCCTACTCTCAACTATTCATTTCTTAACTCTCAGTCATCTTTGCATACCCTAGATGCCTCAATAACTCCCTTTCTGATGGCCTGTGTTACATAGCATGGACGAGGAAACCCTAGATTTTGTATTTCTCTACTCCATTCCAGGAAACCTCCTGAGAATATAGAAATGATCAGTGACTATCATTTTTTTACATCCTCCTTTACACAGCATTATCCTATACACATTATCCTAGACACAGCATTATCCTATACACAGTATCCAAACAATACAGAACCTCCCTAACCCCACCCTACAAGATTACTGTAGACTTCCTTTAGGGGGAAAAAACCGTGGAGACAAATTTAGCCAAGCTACTACTCTGTGACAATCAAACACAAGTTGATGAAGTTTTCACATAAAGGAAACCAGCAGTTTGCCCAATGTCTAAAGTTTGGAGATGAAGAACAGAACTTAAAACTGGGACCTAGAGCTGCAGGAAGGAAGCAGGAACAAAATTTTAACCGAGTTAGAAGGTTTATTGAGACCTCTAGGCATCAGTTAGTCTTTTATCTTATCTAGGACTGTGTTTAGGATACAATTCAGCCATCTGGGGGTTGCTTCAATGAGCTTTGCACTCCAACACCTAAAGAAAAAAAATACCGGCTACTATTTGGAAGTCTTATTTGAGCACTCTTTAAAATTCTTTCCAAAATTAATGAGGGCATATAGTACATAAAGATGCACACAGGGAGGCAGGCAGCATCGGGAGACAACTGAGCATCTCACATGAATGCAGCTGCTAAACAAGTTCATGACATGCATAAAAATGGCAATAGGGTTATACCTGCGGGAACACCTCAGAGGGGCTTTAAACCCTTGAGCAAAATTTAAAAATTTTGCCTCAGACTTTCTGGTCTCTTGTAATATTAAACCAACTATTTGTGCCTGCATAAACAGTTCATTTCATTTTTCTCTTTAATTATATATTGTGACTGCTGAATATTAATCTCACCCTTTTTAAAAGGAAAATGTATATTTTTGTCTGTCATTCAGAGTTTTCATAAATCTTCAAGTTTGAAGCAGATTCATCCAATAATGCGTCACTAGCCCAGCTACCTCTGGTTGCCAACAGTCTATATGAATAGGAGGCAGAATGAGAACAAGGAGACCTTGAACTCATTAAATGGTTTATGAATGGTTCCCATTTCCAGAAAAAGTATAAATTTGTTTTCCAGATCCACTCTCTCTCTCTACATGTGTCCATGATGAGAGAGGCAGGCATTCTTTTATCTTACGGAGATTTTTGTTTTATAGAAGACATAAAAAACAGAAGACAATTTGTAACAATGAATTTAATGCTTCCAATATTAAGCTACAGTATAAATTCCTGCATTAATCTAAAACCATCTAAAAATTAATGCAACTATGAAGATAGCTATGACAACGTCCTATACTAACTCATGCCTGACCAGAAGTTATCCAAACATGTAATGAAGCAGTTTTTTCTGTCCATTTATAACTCAATAATTTACTTTTTCATTTAGAGTACACTTATGTCTGTTGAGTTCAGCTACCTTTTAGCCAACAAGTTTACCCTCCTTTTTCACCATGGCTACATATAGAAATACTACCTGCCTCCAGACCCAGCAAAGATGGAAAGAAGGATGAGGGATGCAGCAAGAAAATACTCTATGAGAGCACACAAAAAGAGGTAAGTTTGTAGAGTACCGCAGAGTCAGACAGTTAGGCATGACAGAAAGAATGGTTTAAAGACATAACTTTGGCTTTGGACCCAAGCCATAAATCAGGAAAGAAGAAAACTCATCTCCTATAACTTAGAATATGCAGACCACTTTTCAAATGCATGGTCAAGTTCTTTGCCAGTCTTTAAGCATTTGCAGACATAGCGCTTTCATGACTAACAAATGGTTTGTATAATTAAAACTGTTTTTTGAAAGCCCTCTGAATTTCAGAGCACACAGAATTATCCTTCACATAGTACTGCATCAGAACAATTAGGTAGAATCAGGCTGCATGTCAGTGCACAGATCATTTGTTTTATGATTAACTTAATTCACCATAATATTTACTTCCACTACTTACTCCCAAACAATATTGATCTGCTCTTTCCCAAAGCAGGTTATCCTGGTCTGGATCAAACCTGTCTCTGCTAGTAACAGTTTCTCTAGGAGACAGTTCTATTTTAAATGTTTCATAGGCCATCTAGTTATTTGTTCATTGTTAGGGATGGTGGGAGAGCTATAATAGACAAGCAGCCTCAGCTGGCCACTGGATGTAAGACTAGATCTGGCATTATTAAAAGGATAGACGGTATATTCTATGCCCTATGGAAAATAGTTTGATAATACATCTTGACCCAGAACTTATTAAAAAATCCATTACCTTTTTAATTCAAGTTCATAATACCCTTTGGAATTTCAATTTAGGCATTTCTTACCAAAATAGTAGGTAGCTTTATTACTGAACATGGGAGATAGAGTCTCTCATATTGACAACTCTCTTACATGAGGGTTATTAATTTATTACTGACAAACTCATGTTCTTACTCTTAAAAAAAAAAAAAGAGGGGGGTTGCACATCTTTGCCTTCCAAGATCTTAGATCGACTCTGCCACTGCCTTGTGTTAATCTTACGGTGGTGCACCAATTCTATTTATTGGGCTGTTAATCTTCACCTAACAAGACCTGGCCCAATCCCTAGGATTGCTCATGAAATCCGCACCCTGAGGCCAGTTTGCTTTAAAAACAAGTACAAACGCACCGAGAAGGGATAGCGTTATACACTCAATTTGGACGACTACATCCCATTTGCAAAATCAAAGATCTTGTGAGGCCATGGGAAATCCAACCTCGGCCTCTTATCCTGCATCAGAAGCGCTGGTCAGGAACCCGACACCTGCTCCCCTCCTTCCGACACACTTGCAAGACAAACACATGCTCCATTAAAAATAACACCACTCTATTCTGGCATGTTTTCTTCCCAGGCGCCTTGCTTTAAAATGTGCTTGAGTTTGTCGCGGCGGGCGGGTGAGGATCTCCAGTTACTGCGCTGCAATGAGCTCCCAGAAGACAGACGGGCGCACTGGCCGCTGCGTGCCACCACTCAGCACTTCTCTCGCCTTCTGAGGCCTTCTTCCCCCCAGTAGCAGGTCCTCGTGCCTTTTAGGTTCCTTCTTTGATATGCTAGCACAACGGAAAGCAGTGGGAGGCAATGCTGCACCTTGCCCCGTACTGGGAACTCCCTAGAGAACGCGGTGTTTGGTTGCAGGCCTTTCCAAACTGATTCTCTAGCATTCCTTTAAAATCATCTGCTAGCAGAAATTTGTCTGACCATTGGGTGTTTCAATAATTGCTCTAGCTGACCTGGGAACTGGGGAATCTGGTAAAGAGACACAGCGTGACAACACAGCGTTTGCTGATTATTTCACGCTAATTTGGACCATAAATTCCTCGAATGGATCCAGTCGGCCAACACATGATTTTTAGCACAGGCTGAGATTCTTCAAAGGGCTTCCATATATCACAATGTATTGCTATTAAGAAAGGATCAAAACAGCAGGTACATCTCTATGGGAATTTAGTAAATACGTAAATTATTATTTAAATCACTGTAGCTGGCTGTAGGAGGAAAAAAATCAGTTTGTATCTTATAGATACAATGTAAGCCTCACTTTCATTTCTGGTTTTTTATTTTTATTTTTTCTGAATGGTCGGGTCGCTTTTCTTGATGTTTTAGCACGCCTTTCTCAGGAGAGTTACATTAAAGAGACTCTGTCCACCAAAATTTCCATTTGGCATGAGTACCCTAGAGAAAGGATCAATGTCTTTTGGTGAAGAAGGGAGTGCTTTAAACTATTAGCACTTAGAAATACATCCGCTTATCTTAACCATTCATCATTAAAATGGTTGAAAAAAACAAAGTACCTTTTGCCTTAATATTTTCTTCATCAGTGCTCCTATGATATGTTACTATTACCATGATTATTTCCTGAAGAATGTGGTTTTCTTTTTTTTTTTTTTTTTTGAGACAGAGTCTCGCTCTGTCTCCCAGGTTGGAGTGCAGTGGCACCATCTCGGCTCACTGCAAGCTCTGCCTCCCAGGTTCACGCCATTCTCCTGCCTTAGCCTCCCGAGTAGCTGGGACTACAGGTGCCCGCCACCACGCCCGGATAATTTGTTTGTATTTTTAGTAGAGAAGGGGTTTCACCGTGTTAGCCAGGATGGTCTCAATCTCCTGACCTCGTGATCCGCCCACCTCCGCCTCCCAAAGTGCTGGGATTACAGGCATGAGCCACTGCGCCCGGCCAAGAATGTGGTTTTCAACAAGTTTTTGGCCTTCTCCTTTTTCTCACCCTACAGTGTCCTTTTGGTGTTATAGAAGTGCTATCACCTATTCCTCTTCCAAGAAAAATGCCTTAAAAAAATGGGATTATTTATGCTTTCCCATTATTAATTTAGAGGACAAGATAGAAACATTCCAGTAGCTACAGAGAAGGTCAGAAATAGGTGAGGTGCATTGGGGGTGAATCTTAAGCCTCTTTAAAGAAGGCTTAAGAAAATATTGAAAGTATGGGAAATGGCATAGGGAAGAGGAAATTGGCAAGGGCAGGGACACCAAGGGTGGGCTGGGGTGATGTGTTAGGAAAGATGGGAGAGGTTCCAGAACTGGGAGGCCAGCCTTCGTTATTAAGTAAATATGTAAGACTAACACTACAGTATAAGAGACAAAAAGCTTCTTTGACTTTAGATATCTTTGGCTTTCAAATGTAATGTGTATGTTTTAAGATTCAGAAAGCTGATTAAAAGGTAAATAACCATCATTGAATATAATGCTTTGTTTAAAAAATGAACTCTTGTTTTACCAATATAGCTGATCAACATAAACAGCGAAACTGGTAATTGGTAAATGCTGTGAAAGTCAGAAATACTCATATATTGACAAAGAATATTGGAAAAGGAAAATATAATCTGAAGCTATTTCGTTAGCATATTTTCAAAAAGCATTCAACAATACCAGGTCTTCTGACAAGCTCAATCAAAATATTCCCATCAGAGTAGTGATTTCTTGTAAGTCCTGCTATTGAAGGCAGTATTCTAGGGTCTTCTGCAGCCATAATTCACAGCACTGGTCCCCAGTCCCTGCATATCCTGATGCTCGGAGAATCATGGTATAGGAGATTATTCATGAAGTGGTTAAAAGGATAGCAATAGCAATAGCTAACACTTGTATGATATTACTGTGGACCAGGAGGTTGTTCAAGCATTTCATGTATATTACTTCATGCACTCCCAGACCCTGCCAACAACTCTATTAGGTATATACTTTTATCGTCCCCATTTTCTGGATAAGGAGATGAGCCTCCAATAGCTTAAGGGGCTTGCCCATGTTCACACAAGTAGTTAAGTACCAAAGCTGGGATTCAAACCCAGGAATGCTGGCTGTAGAATCCGTGGTCTTTCCCACTATCCTATGTTGCTTTTCAAATTTGGCATAACCTTTAAATGTAGCAATTTGTCTTTAGAAGCTAAAGAATCATGAAGATGGTATTTTTGGTCCCATTGACTTGTCCACAATGCTATTTTTATCAAAATTAAAATTATATAGTGCATTGGCAAATATTTACTAAGCATTAATGAAAAGTCATATTGCTAATGTTTTCTCTAAAATATATGTTAAGTACTGTATAAAATGTATGTAAGGTGAGTTAACCCATACAACCAATGTATGAGCTAAAGTAAATTAAGTGATGTTTTATTCATTTTTGGGGTCAATATGCACTGCTGTATATTTTACCAAAATTATTAGGGGAATGGAAAAGAAAATAGAAAAGCAAATTTATCTTTATACTAATGTAACATTATGTTTTCCTCTTTCCTGTAATCAAATCTAAGGTTATGTATGAAGCATTCACCATACTTTATAATCAATGTCTTTATTGATCCTCAAAACTATTGTAATATATAGCTTATAGGAAATTTACATCACAGAAGGCTATAAACACTGCAGCCCAGGTTTCTGGGAAGGTGAATGGTCATCTGGAATAAGTAATGTTGCTTGCCTCCGTGTTACTGTCACAATAATAGTAATAAAAACTAATAATAATATCAATAAATGTGTTTTTATTACTATTTGTCAGGCATTATGCAGATATTATTTCATTTCATCCTGATAACCACCTTACCTGGTAGGTGCTGTTATTATCCCCATTTTTTATATAAAGGATTTTATTCAAAATCAAACAGATAATAAATGGCAAAGGCAGATTTGGGGGTTTTGTCTGTTTGTTGTTGTTGTTTTGGGATGGGGGTCTCACTCTCGTCACCCAGGCTGGAGTGCAGTGGCACTATCGGCTCACTTCAGCCTCCATCTCCCTGGGCTCAGGAGATCCTCCCACTTCAGCCTCCCAAGTAGCTGGGACTACAGACGCACACCACCAAGCCTGGCTAATTTTTGTATTTTTTGTAGAGATGGGGTTACTCCATGTTGCCCAAGCTGGTCTCAAACTCCTGAGTTCAAGCAATCTGCCCTCCTTGGCCTCCCAGAGTGCTGGGATTACAAGCATGAGCCATCGCACTCGCAGAGGTGGATTCTAAATGAGGAAATTCGACTGGGAAGTAGAGAGATTCACCCCTAAAGTCTACTGGGTAGTACATGATGTGAACTTTGACACTGACTGAACTGTGTTAGAATTGTGGCTCTACTTCCTATTAGCCGGTAACCTCAGACAAATCTCTGAGTCTCCATTTCCTAATTTATAAAATGAAGATCATATTACAGTGTTGTTATAAGGATTAAATTTAAAAGCAGAGTCTATGACACCTATGATAGTAAACAAAACTATCTACCCTTTATTGAATGCTTATTGTATCTAGACTTTATGCTAAGTATTTTATAAATGTTATTTATTTAATCTTCCAATAACTCCATCAGACAGGTTTTATTACTCCCAGTTTATAAGAAACAGATTTAGAGAATCTATGCAATCAGTCCAAGTGACACAGACAGTGAGACATAGAGTGGAAAAGTGAATCCTGATCCACACATTGCTCATGATCCACATTGCTCACATGGCACTGGGTCAGTCCACCAGGTAATACGGAGTTCATGCTCTTTCACAAGACTGCAGAAACTGATACTGGGAACCAGTATCACTGATGTAAATCACTAGTCAAAACTGAGATTTGCCTGAGTTCAATATACTTTGTAGTTCACATAAATATTTCAGTATAAATATGACTATCTCCTCTCTGTCCACTGTTGGAGGGTCTCTCATGTTTCTGCACATCTTGCAAGCAGAGCCACTACAATCTTTTCAGAACAGTGAATAGGTCAGTCAGGCAAGAAGCAAGCAGGAATTGTACAGGGAGTTCTCCTGGAGGGGCCACAAGAGAGAAGGGTTAGCCAGGTCATCCTTAATCAGAAAGGCGATCAGCACCACGAAAGCCCCAGCGGCCATTGGGCCCTACAGTCAAGCTGTGTTAGTCAGGACAAACTTACATTTCAGGACAGATAAGCATGAACCCTTTAAGTGGACAGCTTGTGCCAAGAGGGCTTGTTTAGCAAAAGAAGCTAAGCAAGAACATGAGTAAAATTCTGAAAGCTGCAGGCTGTGACTTCACTAATGCAGTAAAAACAACTGTTTTGTTGGCTGACATAAATGACTTCCCTACTGTCAATGAAATCTACAAACAGTACTTCAAGAGTAGTTTTCCTGCAAGTGCTGCTTACCTGGTTGCTGCTTTGCCCAAAGGAGGCCAAGCTGAAATTGAGGAAGTAACTGACCAAGCACCTCTCACAACGGCATGACTATAAGTGGCCCGGTGTTATTTAGTCTGAAATTTTTCACATCTTGACTTTTACAATTGATATAACATCTTAATTTTTAGAACTGATGAAAATGTGAGTTTGACTAAAATATCTGAAGTTATTATGGAAATACCATAGAATATGGAGAGCTAAGCACGAGTTGAAGATTAGATGATTAATCCAGTTACTGATGTAATAAATTATTATTATTTACACCCATATTACTGAATGTAGGAAAGAGATACTCATTACCAAAGAGCGACTCAAATAAATAAAAGGAAAATAATAAGTAGGAAAGATGAGTTATTTTTTCTAAGAAATAAACGAGCACACCTAATTCAAACTAATTTAATGACATGAAACATTTTGTTCTCATGTCAGATGTGTGACTCTGCTTTTATTTGGGTAAAATTAAAGTATTTAAATTGGAATGGTAGAGGTCAAGAAGAAAGTGGACCAAAATTGTAGACAGATAATATTTTTCTAATGGAAATAAAATAGACATGCAGATTAAAAAAAAACAGTGAATAAAATTTGAAATTAGACACAGTGTCCCCCTCCAGGGCAAAGGGCAGGTTTACTTATAAACAGGAAGAGAGAATGAGTGTCTCCCTAAAAGTAAAGGACATGCATAGTTACTGCCCATTATAAAACATTAGGGTTCCTTAAGCTTAAAATCACGGTCCTGTAACATAACTCACTGCAGATGTAGGTGTTTACTGGCCTGCTTCACATTGCCCTGTGAGTATTGGGGTTCATGGAACCAGCACAAGGAAAATAATGGCTACTTGGCTACTGCATGGCTGTTAATAATAAACTATACTTTGTCGCTAATCCAGAGGTCATGAAACTGTAGCTGGCCAATTTGTTAGCTTGCAAGTATGGCAAAATCTCAGGCTCTTCACAGTTCTTGGCAACCTTCTCCCTACCTCAACACACACATTTGGAATATAAGCTCAGCTAAAACAGAGTCCTTGCCTATCTTTTTCACTGCTTTATCTGCAGTATGTAAAACATTTTCTGTTCACAGTGGATACTCAATAAATGTTTGTTAAATGACTAGAAGAGAATAAAGCATTCCTATTTATTCACTTAAAACTAAGCAGTGATCAACTGTATCTGTAGGCCTCTGTGCAAACAACTTATTAGACTGTTTTAACTGCTTGTATTTTATGTTACTTCTAAACTCTATATCCTAATGATTATGTTTGATCACCTGTATAAAAATATATGTAAGAATGTGTAATTCTTGCCACATAACTCATTATTTAAAAACTTAAAAACACCCAAGAAGTAATCTCTTAGATATCACTATCTAAGTGATACCTAGATCTGCTCACAGGTCTAGGAAATACTGCTGTGTACTATTGTCACTTGCACCCTTGCAGTAACCCCTGAGCCACCACAACAAGGATTCAAGAAGCCCCAGTATCGCCACAGAACTCCCTGGCTCCCCTTTAGTGATTAACAACATTCTCCCCCTTTCCACTGGTCACCTTGATCAGACTTTTCCAGTTCTCATCCTGTTCTCTATGGAGAACTTGGAATATAGGAGATACACAACATGGAATATGAAATATGGAAACCACTTGTCAAGAGTTTGATAAGTAGCAGAGATATGCTTCACTCTAAGCAGTGTTGGTAAATGAATCAGTGTTCGCAGTTACTTCATACACATCAGAGCATGTAGACAGCTTTACTAACTGTATCACAACAGGTAAGCATGAACCTGTACAGGAAAGGAAGTGGAGCAAAAAGAGATGTGAAAAGGAGGAAAGACAAAGAAAATGAAGGAGTGAGAGCTTAAAGGAGGAACCTAGAGTAGTACAGTAATAAGTCAAAAAGTTTAATTTCTCATTTCTCAGAGGTGCCAGTTTAAATTCAGTCTCTCTAAATGCTTTTAAAATTGATAGGCACTTTTAAACATGAAAACAGCCAAAATGGGCCATTTTCTTACTGAGCTGCACGGACCATTTCTCACCAGGCTCCTCCAGCTGCCTCCAACAATGTTGCCCATCAGCAAGCAGCTCCTGGGATTGGGTTACAAACAGGTCTGCAGCACCTGCCACAGCCTGCCATTTAAAACTACTGCAAAAGAATGTTTTCTTCTCTCTGGGCTTAGTCTGCAAGCCAAAGAAAAGCAAAAAATTCAACTTAAAAAATTTAATAGGTAGATATAGGTGAATTTATTTTAATATTTCAACTATTTTCTCTTTTTTCCTATTTTGAACTAAAATTTATAGGCCAGGAATCTTTCTTAGAACTTTAGTCCTTTAACAATTTCCCCTCCAGAGCTAGCACAGACAGGTTGTCTGATTGTCTCTTTTTTGTACTGAGTGCAAAACAAACAAGCTTCCATCACTGCAAATGTCGCTAGTGTTTCCCTAAATATAAGCTCAAGTTACCTATGTATTTTATTTATGGTTCACTTCTAAAACAATTTGGACAGCATATGTTTCATGAGATGCAGTGTAAGAAACATTGTAAAATGAAATTTCCCTGTCTTAATTAATGAAGCATCCTGGTAGAATACTTTAGATTTATTAACAATTAAACCACCTCATTGAGACATTTCATAAAATTGAAGATATGGAGACCCAACTATAGTGGTGATATCATTTGCTATTACTGTTAGAACAGAACTTAGGAAAGCAGAGCCTTTGTTTAAAAACAGCCTGCAGTTACGTGTACCATTTAATGCAGACTTATGGTCAGGTTAATGAATTTCCCAGTTCATATATATATATTTTACTAGGCTGTCTTCATCTGGGAATGCATAGATAAAAAAAAGGAAATTATTTATTTTTTTTCTCTTCACGTAACATAAAGTATAGATGAGTTATTTTAAGGGGTGAGTATACTACACTCTATATTTTCTGTGATGTAAATTAATGATATAAAGTTCCTAAAGGAATTACATTGATATATTTAATAATACTGCATCTTGCAATACTAAGTAGTTAAAGGAGGGGAAGAGAGAGGAAAGGGAGTATGAAGTATCTGTATAATGTCTTAATTCCACTTAAGTAATCATATAAAACAGAAAAAAGGGGGAGCACGCAGGATAAATAGAGAAAAAAACATATTGCATATTTCAGTGAGAAAAGTACTAGATAAGCAGTGCGTTTGTTTGTATTTTTCAAATCTGTCTTTAGCCTAATGTTAAGACTCCTTAGAAAACAGCAGAATAATGGGAAACTCTAATTTTTATATTAGACAAATAATTGCTATTATAACAGATTCTCTTGAAATTAATTTTCTCCTAAATAGTTAATATGTTCTACTATATGAATTTCTACTGCATTTGTAAATAACTTGCTTTATTTGCAGGAGTTAGGGGAAGTTGGAAAAGTTCCAAGACATTTTAAGCCTCTGCCCTCGGGAAGCCCACAGCCTCATGGTCTCTGGAATTGGCTAATTTCCCCTCCATCTTGCCCCATAACATATCTTGTATGTGTTATGTGCCTCTCCTCTCCCCTCAAATCCTACCTCCCTGCCCTCAACAGGGTACTATAAAAAGAGTACTTCGTGCTCCTTTCCTAAAGGTAAAACCAATACATTTTGAAATAAAAGTTCTTCATAGATGCTGTAGGTAATGGGTAGAGAAGAGCTCCCACCATCTTAGACTATTGCCTTCTCACCATTCCTGCTGGGGTCCTTCCCAAGCATTGATTGCTCTTTTGAAGAAAACTGCCTTTCTATTTCAGTTTTTAAAAATCAAAGGTTTCAGAAACAGACTCCTTCCTGAATTCCTGCTCCACCACCAGGTAGCTCTGTGATCTTAATTAAGCTACTTTGCCTGCAGAATTTCAGTTTTCTCACCTGCAAAATAGGAATAATAAAAAGAGAAAGAGAGAGAACAGCAGAATAAGGGGAAGATTTAGTTTTTAAATTTTGAGAAAACATTTCTCAAACATTATAGCATTCTTCTCTTTCTCTTTTTAAAAAAGTTACTTCTAATGTATATTTCCAAAGCTCCCCAAGGGTTTTTGTTCAGTTCACAATCTTTCAATTATTAAGCATTGGGCATCCCATGTATGCACTCTGAGTTTCTGCCTTCTTCCTCCTGCTTTGTTTGCTACTGATGCATTGGCCTGAATTACCATCACGTTCAGAGTTAAGAGTAAGGAAAATAAACAACTGCATTCAAAATCATAAGAACAGTAGCCAAACTATCATTTATGTTTCACAAACACACTTCTCCTTAAAACCAGTTGCTATTCTTCACAAAACTTCAGTAATTTTCTTCTTCCTTTTACATTTTCTCAGAACCCACCTTCTCATCTCATGTCATTCCTGATAACCACACCATGCAACAAGTCTGCCCATTGGTTTCTGTCTCAAAGTAAATCCTTCTTTTATTCTTTTATTGCATCTTTTCTTTATTTGAAGCATCTTGCTTGTGACATAATATGTCACAATAAATTTTGTCATCAAGAAAGCATCTCAAATGTAAGGACAACATTAACACATAATGAAAAACTAAATATATAGAAAAAAACTTATTTGAACCATCCATAAAAGCTCTTTTTTCCTCTCCAAGCCATTTTAACACATTTTTATTTGCATTTTGCAATTTATATAGTTGCCAACTTAAGCCAAGCATACTCAGGAAAAGTTAGGTTTCAGTGGGTTCAAACTGGGAAATATCTATTTCAGCTTTTCAGCTCTGCTCACTCCAGGTAGGGATGCCAGACTCACACAAATCAACAAGCAGCCACATGGTGACCAAATGGACCATGCTTCTCAGCATCATTTCAAGATGGCACAAGGTGGGGTGTAAGATAGAGAGCAATGTTGAAGGAACTGTGCTCTTTTCTCAAAGGTAAAACCAATGCATTTTGAAATAAAAGTTCTGAGTAGGTGGTATAGGTAACAGGCAGAGAAGAGCTCCTACCATCTTAGACTGTTGCCTTCTTCTCACCATTCCTGCTAGGGTCCTTCCCAAGCATTGGTTGCTCTTTTGAAGAAAACTGCCTTTCTAATCCAGTCTTTAAAAAATCAAAGATGTTCACCTTCTTGCCCAAGTAATTCATGCCTAATCGTAATGCCAAAGAGAGTCTCAATTCAGGCATTTTGTGTTCTTCTCTCGCATTGGTGCTATTGTCCTGTGTTGTATGTAGCTGGGGAAGAAAAAAGGCCCTCCACATGGAAGCAAGTTTGTCAGAAACTTGCTCAGAGCTGGTAATTGAGGATAAGGAGGCCTTCCTTTGGAGCCATGACCCTTTCCTCTCACTATGAGGATGCATTCGGTGTAAAATTGGTTCATCTGTGACCAAATCCAAAAGGCTTAGTTATCAAACTAAATGATTTCTTTAAAAGTGATTCATGCATGAATTGACAGCACAGTGCCGCAGAAGCACTCCCAGATCACACAACATTGAAGTAGCATGTCCTACAGTGAAGAACTGGTTGGAGCTGGAAGGAGCCCGGGTTGTCATCCCAAGTCTATATCTGAAAAATGATGGACCTTAGATAAGTCAGTTACTCAGGACCAAGCCTCTCCTTTAAAATGCTGACAATAATGGATGCCGACTTCTAGCTTACAGTGGTGTTTTATGTAAAACACAATGACCTTTTGAGAAAATAAGACTCTAGGAAAGAAAAGAGCTCTGTAAACTCAGGATTCAAATATCATTAAGTATTCATTGATGTTATTAAAAACAGATTAGATCAATAATGTATCTAGCATCATCCAGGATAATTTATGAAAAGTAGTATATGGAGTCCCTATATCTCAAAACAAGTTGAAATTACTTAAAAGTGTCCTGATAGAGGTTTAAATTTTTAGGATAGGCTAGATTGCAATATGTTTGAAAGGATCCCTAAGGGCAGAAATTCTAGATTCCCAGTAGAAACCATACTCTGACTTCTTCATCAAATAGGGAATTTCCAAACCTACAGGGGAATAGAAAGGAAATCCAGTACAGACTTGATTGCTTTGTGCTCTTTAAGTGATATTCTTTAGTTGCCACACTGATGTGTTTAAGATGTATTAGGCACACTTCTGTGCCTTTTGGGGGTTTAAGGGAGGACTCTTTAAAGCGAATGTATGACCACATTTGATCAATTCATGGGGAGAGTGGACCATACACATGATGGCTTCAGATATATTCTTAAATGAGATAGTACAGTATAATGCAATCTGGTCTAGTGCAAGATTTGGCAATCTTTCAGAAGAGAGGAGTGATAAATTGCTGAGTACTGGCCTTGGGGGAAACAAGGAGTTTAACTAGAGAAAGCAAGAGGCACAAAGAAGGTCTCTTTGCTAAGAAACACCTCGCTGATTTGAGTTTCATTTGCATTAAACATTCTCCTTGTAAAATACAAATATTCCTCGAGGAGGAGTTACTTTGATCAGCTCAATTTCTGGCTTGATATGGATGAGTCGGAAACTGAGAGGAGTTTTGCTATAGGACTGGTGGAGTGATGGGAGGAAAGATCATTTGGAACATGAGTCACTTTAAAGGCAGCCAGATCTGATGGATGTAATGCTTAAGGGACTGTGTACAGCCCAGGGCAGCAATGAGAGGGGGCACCAGGAAGAGGAAGGGGAGTCAAACCGTGGGAGATGTACTTTATCAACCAGGCAATATTTTCTAGTACAACTGGCTGGGGGCATTGAACATTATTCCCCGTGATTCCTTGGTCTCCATTGTGGCAGGATACTGACTCTTATTCTGTTTGAAAGAACACAAAGTTAAGAGTTCAAAGACATGGGCTTGGCTTTCTCAGTGTGAGTAGTCCATTTGCCACATTTCTTTTGCCTGACTCATCCTGTACCTCTGCCAGGTAGAATGATTGAGACCTGCTCCTGCCACTCTTACCAAGGCACTTTGAGAATAAATGAGTAAATTTCTTTGTTAAGCAAATTTGATGCCCAAATCTGAGGAATGCTAAGATTTAAAATAATAAGTGAAAACTTCAAGAGACTGATGTTCTTGTAGCCTCTTTGGGCTAATAAGAGTAGGCTGGTTACATGCATATGTTTAAGAAATTAGAGTCTTGGTACTGTTAAAGCAAACTAAATATGGCCTGAGAATGACTCTATACTTCTACATTTGAGTCCTTGTGGATGAACCATAACCTAGCTTAATAGGCAGACAAAATTGAAAATTTAACATAGTAGTATGCACCTGTAACAATAGCTGAGTGTTGGCCAATCCCAGCGGCCATACTTCAACCACTTATACACTGCTGGGTGTTCAAACTGTGTTCAAATAAGGCAAAACCTGAGCTGTAACCAATCCAGCTGTTCTGTACCTCACTTCCAATTTCCGTATATCATTTCCCCTTTTTGTCTATAAATCTTCTTCCACCTAGTGGCTCGCTGGAGTCTCTGTGAATCTGCTGTGATTCTGGGGGGGCTGCCCAATGTGCAAATTGTTCATTGCTCAATTAAACTCCTCGACATTTAATTCAGCTGAAGTTTTTCTCTTATCAGTACCTACAAACAATATTCTTTTTTTTTTTTGAGACGGAGTCTCGCTCTGTTGCCCAGGCTGGAGTGCAGTGGCATGATCTCGGCTCACCACAACCTCCGCCTCCAAGGTACAAGCGATCCTCCTGCCTCAGCCCCGTTAGTAGCTGTGATTACAGGCACGTGCCACTATGCCCGGCTAATTTTTGTAGTTTTAGTAGAGACGGGGTTTCACCATGTTGGCCAGGCTGGTATCAAACTCCTGACCTCAGGTGATCCACCCGCCTCAGCCTCCCAAAGTGCTGGGATTACAGGCGTGAGCCACCATGCCCAGCCTCTACAAACAATATTCTTAGAAAAAAAAATAAAGCTGTCTTCTGCATAATAGAAAGCAAACATAATTTTATTAGGGATCTAGAACCCTTTCTGGGAAGTCACAGAGAATGGGATCAGCAGAAGACGACTGATACTTCATGCCAGGTAGACTGCTAAGATCGTATACATTATCTCATGTAATCTTCACTGTAATCTAAAAGAAATGCTATTAGCGTACCTATTTAATAGATTAGGAAACCAAGGCATAATGAATATCTGGCCCAGATACCATAGCCTGTAAATGCTGAAGCCAGAATTCAAATACAGATACTGTCACTTTTTCATTAAAGGGCTAGATCATAAATATTTTTAGCTTTGCAGATCATACAGCCTGCAGATCACAGCCATTCAATTCTGCCATGGCAGTGAGAAAGTAGACAGACAATATGGCAATGAATGAGTGTGGCTATGTCAATAAAACTTTACTTACAAAAACAGGTAGTTGGCTACCTGGATTTGGCTCCTGGCCCTAGTGTGTCAACCCCAGCTATTGACCATTATTATATGATACTGCCTCTTACTATATATAATTTCAAGCTGAAATTATTTGGTTGCTTCTGTACGTTGGTTGTTATTTAGTACACACTGACCTCTTTGTTATTCTGTTAAGTAGCCCAAGATGATGATGTATTGAAAATGTATGGCTTCCTTTTGTGAAAGCTTAGGTTTTACCAATCACCTGTTGGGGCATCTCATCATTTATCTCTCAGAAATAGAAGCACAGAGGCTATATTTTATACCTGCTCAGTCATCTAAGGCTGTTGACTAGCAAGAAAACACACTCTGTTGACTCAAAATCCTGCCCCACATAGAGCATCCAGCTTGGTTGTTAGGGTATTTGTTTCTAAAGATCAAGCAACAATATAATACACTCTGATGATCCAGAACAGATGTGGGGATAAAGCCTAAGCTGAAAATATTCCTGGGGAACTTAAACTAGGATCAGAGGCATTTCCACCAGGCACGTGGCAAGTTGTAGTTTGGAAAATGTGCTCTGTCTTGTATGACTTCAGTGTCCCACTGAGCTCCCCACCTTTGACATAGTTGCAATGAGAGAAGGTTGGATTTGCAAGTGGTATTGACCTCGTTGCCAAGGGAAGTAAAGGAGATTTGGTTCCACTCTCCATCCCTAAATGTGACGGCAGGGAAAGGGCCCCTGAAAAAAAAAAAAAAAATGAAGCTGACCCCAGTATGCTTGCTACAATTTGGTGCTTGTGTATTTGTATCTCTTTTCTTCACTACCTCTACTTTGAAGATGATTGTATTCATTTTGTTTGGGTGCTATATTCCATGCCTAAATCCCAGAGAAGGCATTAACAAAGTGTTGGTACTGACAGACTGACAAAGATGTTGGCCTACTCACCAGTCCCTAAATCATATGAGCATTTAACTGTTATAGTTAGGTTTGTGGGTTCTCTTTTCTCTATTCATATTCTATTTCTCTCTCCCTCCCTCTGTCCCTCTTTCTCTCTTAGTCACTACCTAGTTACCTTGTTTCTATAGCTACTAATAGCAGAGCTACCCTCAAAACTATAATGGAGTTTGCCTCTCCTATTCTTATTTTAAAGAAAATAGAAAATTGAGTACTTTAAAACTTAGTGAATTTCTGCTTTTTAATTGCTCTGCTTCTGATGGAAAATCCACTTTACCCTACCTGATTTTATATCACTGGAAATGGGACTGGCATCGTATCTACATTTAGATTATGGGACAGATAGAGTTATCTTTTTTGAACTGAATTCTAGAAAATAAATCATTGTTCTCATTTCCAAAAGGAAGTAGTAGATAATAAAACCTACATGTATTTGCACAATTTTTTTTAGATACTCTGAATTAAGAGAAAATGCATTATTCACTTTAGCAATTCCAAATTTCAATTAAATTTCCCTTTTAAAAATAGTGCCACTGAATGTATTACAAGTAAAAGTGTCCCCACTTTTTGCCTGGAGGCAGAAAATGTTTAACAAATTTATGATAAAGCAATTTTTTTTCTATCAATCAATCCCTAGAGGGCATTAACTGCTCTTAGGAAGTTTATTGCAGAAGATGACACAACCGACGTGCACAAAAAAACAGTAAGCATGCTGTGAAGTGGAGGAGGAAATGGAACACTCTAACATCACATCCCGGCCATACCAAGGTCCATTGACCCTGTATTCTTTCCAGATAATTAATTTACTACACATTAAACCTCGATGTGAAGAAGGCTGTTGTGCATCAATTGTGTCGGAATAAAAAGTGTTATTGATTTAGGATTTCTATTGTATCATGTGCTGACAGAAAAAACAACAACAATCAAGTTACATCTCATAGATGGAACAAACCTGTGCTATTGATTTAGGATTTCTATTGTATCATGTGCTGACAGAAAAAACAACAACAATCAAGTTACATCTCATAGATGGAACAAACCTGTGCTGAAGGACGAAATTGCTAAATAAGTGCACTCTGGAACACACTTAGCTGAAGCGGCACTGCCTGAAAGGGGTTCTGCAGGGTGAACTAGGAGGCATAATTAGAACCAACTGAAGTGTCTAATATTGATAGATAAGCACTCTAGAAATCAGATTTTGGGATGTGCTAATGATCCTCTTTACAGTAAAGGTCTAAAATAGCCCACTGCCCTCTGCCAAATCCAACCATTAATATTTATTAAATAAAATATGAGTGTACCATTAATTTTAAACAACTGACATAAATCGAAGCTTTCTCCTATTTGAAGCACAAAAATTATAAGGATGAGGCCACACAAGATTGAAGTCATGATGTTTTATAGATACTGAAAGAACTGGTTATCGATTTTAAAAATCAAGTGGCCTCATTAACTAATATAACTTGCATATGGCGAGAAAGAAAAGACAATGAACAAAAATGTTTGGGTTCAAATCCCCAGTAACCAAGAGCAAGTCACTTAACTTCTCTGAAGGCACAACAGTCACATCTGTAAAGCAGAAACAGTAACACTCACTCTACTTACTCATAGGGCTAATAAAATAAATGCGATAATGCATGAAAGTGATTGCAAATATTATTCAGTTCTATTCAAATATGTTATTGAAATTATTTTACTTCAATAACATATTTTTTTGCCGTTACTTTCAGTGGCAAAAACCACAATTACTTTTGCATCAACCTAATATTTGAAAAAAATGATTTTTAAAAAGAATGCAATGATAAGGAGGACCTTTTCCCCTTGGGTGACACATTCTAAACATTTTTTTTTAACATATCACAAATCTCCATTTTTCCTAAGTGGTTTACAATAACTTAATTTAGCCTGAAAGTACTTATTTGAGGTTTAAAAAAAGGTAGGACAAGATGGAGGTGCAAAAATCAGTGACAGTGCAAAATACTCTTTAGAAGGCATTAACTACTCTTAAAAATGTGAACACCCATAATTTCATGGGACAAAGCAACATGACCTGAATTCTTTCTCTAATTCAAGGCACTCTGTGTATTAATAGGACTTCCTCACATGTAATATCTGAAATATTTTTTCTTGTTTTATATACCATCCAAATACCTTTTTCACATGTAGCATTTTCAAATCTGTAGTAGAAAGTTGATTGATGGGATGGACCATCAATATGTAGTTATACTGATCCCTCACAAGTTATTCCTATAATAAAAATAGAATTGCTATAAGCTTCAGTGTTTAATATGATACCCACTAGCCACATGTGGATATTTAAATGTAAATTAATTAAAATTATAAAACTGAAAATTCAGTTCCTCAGTTAGCCTAGCCATATTTCAAGTGCTCAACAGCCACACTAGTCACACAATAGCTGACTAGTGCCTTCTGCATTGGACAGCGCAAATATAGAATATGTCTATCCTCACAGAAAGTTCCAGTAGACTGCACTACTACAGAGGGTCTTTGAAATCAGAGACCCAGCTCACATCACTAGGTATCAAACCTTTTTTTTTTTTTTTGGCATAAGCTATCCTCACTCTTAACCAAGGAACACTGTGAAGTTCTGCTCTTCCAGCTCCTTGAAGCCTGAGTTTCTTGCAGGGTGTGAAACAGTTAAATTGTTTTGCTTTGTTTTTTACCACCAGTCTCAGCACCTAGTTGGAGGACCATGCTTATGAGGGTAGTAGAATTTATGCAATGCAAAAAAATGTAGAAATGTTCACTGAGTGAACAAAGGGTCTGCCTAGGTTTTCTGGGGTCCACCTTCCAAATGGGATCCTAAAACTTAGGTGACTTTTCTTTTGGAAAGGTAAATACACTTCACTTAATGGGTAAATTGTTATGTCCACCATATTAACTGACTCAGTGGAATCACAGAGAAATTTTAAAACTTGCAGAAGAATAAGAATCAATATATGATCAAAGTAGCTGAGAAGACCTAAGCACCTACTAGCCCATAAGGCTGGAGAAAGTATACCTGTTGGCATAACCAGATGTACAATTTCAGAGGAAGCAGAAAAGAACTAGCATTTACTAAACACCTAGTATGTATTCATAGTAACCTTATGAAGTGGGTAGAATAAATACCATTTAACAGAATAGAAAACTGATGTTTAGAGCATAATTCTCCAAAAGTCACACAGCTATTAAGTGATGTATATATAATTTAAATTTACATCTATCCAGCTCCAGTGCTCTTGTTTTTTCCATTATACTTTAAAGACCTTCAAAGAGAATAATATTAGTAGTAAAGGCTGAGGCTCCTGCCTTCTGATCATGGATGGAATCAAAACTTAAGACTCCTCAGAGGGCAATTGGCCAAGAACAAAATGTAGCATAAAGTGAAAACTTAAAGACAATCAAACCTAGTATGCAGAAAGAGCTCACAAATATGTAGAGTGCTAAATGGCAGTACACTTCAGTAGCAAAGGAGTTTACAAAACAAAGGTTGTAAGGCTTGTAGAATAATATTCACATGCTATTCAAATACAGAAGGGAACTTTTATTGCAGCTAAATATGAGGATTAACATAGAGCCCAAGAAAATCTAATAAGGAAGAAAGGTGGAAGATAAGAAGCTGGAATGAATACCTGATTCCACATGCATATGGGAAGACAATGTAATCCCTAGTAAGTGGACACAGAAATGTATAAAACAAAAACAATAATTTATATGCCTAAAATATCTCTGAAATATGCAGATTAACCATGGCAGTTTGAGGATCTTCTCAAGTAATTTATATTTTCCAAACTGAAAATTCCTTTTCTGCTTCAAGCCATGATGGAGTAACTGGAACAGGAGTTGCCTTTCCACTGTAAAAAAAAAAAAAATTAGAAAATTGGACAAAATACACAAAACAACTGTTTTCAGACACCGGACAGCAAAAAAACATAAGGCTGTGTCCCTGAGAGAACAGAAACAAAAATGATAAGCCCTAGGATTGCCCCAGATTTCTATCTAGGTATTCTTTTCAAATTGTAATACAGAAAGGGGGAACTCAAGCAGATCAAAGTGGTATTGCAGAGTCGAGGTGATAGAAAATAGAGTTTAGAAAGGCTGACGTGGCTGGAGTTTTAAGGGCACAGAACCAGACAGCAAAAGAATCAAGCTGAACTGTGATAATCTGCCAAAGCAAAATTTAACATTCTTTAAAAGAAGACACAAAATTAAGTACTAAATAAACAACATTTATTGTGTCCAGCATTTAAAAAAATAACTAGAGATATAGTGATACAGAAAGTTATAATCCATAACCAGGAGAGATATCAGTCAATAAAAGCAGACCCTCAGATGACAGAGATGATGAAATCAGCAGACAGGGACATTAAAGCAACTACTATAAATATGTCCTAGGATTTAAAAGAAAACATGTTTAAAACAACATGTTTAAAAGAATATAATTAAGAGAGAAATGGAAGATATGAGAACTAAATAAACCTTAAAGTGCTGAAAATTAAAATACCTAAATTGAAAAATTACATAAACTAAACAGAAGGTTAAACACTGCAGAAGAAAAGATTAATGAATTTAAAGATATAGCAGTAAATTCTATTCAAACTATGTCACAGAAAAAAAAAACACTAGAGAAATACTTAACTAAGCCTCATTAACCTGTGGAATAGTATTATATTAAGTGGTCTAATGTATTTAGGCATAACTCACTTTGTTGCATTTTTTGTGCTTTGCAAATATTATGTTTTTTACAAATTGAAGATCTGTGGCAACCCCTTGTCAAGTATGTCTATTGGGGTCATTTTTCCAAAGGCATGTGCTCACATCTTGTCTCCATGTCACATTTTGACACATCTCACAATATTTCAGATGTTTTCATTATTATTATATATGTTATGATTTGTGATCAGTGATTATTTTATGTTACTTTTCTAAGTGGTTTGTGCACCACAAACTGTACCCATATGAGACAGCAAATTTAACTGATAAATGTGTGTGTTCTGACTGTTTCGCAGACAAGCTATTCTCCACCTCTCTCTCTCTTTTTAGGCCTCCCTATTCCCTGAAACAAAACAGTATTGAAACTAGGCCAATTGATATCCCTACAACGATGTCTAAATGTTCAGTTGAAAAGAAGAGCCCCACATCTCCCACTTTAAATCAAAAGCTAGAAATGATTAGGCTTAGTGAGGTAGGCATGTTGAAAACCAGGATAGGCCAAAAGCTAAGCCTATTGTGCCAGTTAGCCAAGTTGTGAATGCAAAGGAAAAGTCCTTGAAGGAAATTAAAAGTGCTACTCCAGTGAACACATGAATGGTAAGAAAGCAAGACAGCCTCACTGCTGAGATGGACAAAGTTTGAGTGGTCTGGATAGATGATCAGTCCAGCCAAAAAAAAAATCCCATTAAGCCAAAACCTAATCCAGAGCAAGGCCGTAACTCTCTTCAATTCTGCGAAGGCTGAGAGAGGTGAGGAAGCTGCAGAAGAAATGTTTGAAGCTAGCAGAGGTTGGTTCATAAAGTTTAAGGAAAGAAGGTGTCTCTATAACATAAAACAAGCAGCAAGTGCTGATGTAGAAGCTACAGCAAGTTATCCATAAGATCTAGCTAAGATAATTGATGAAGGTGCCCACACTAAACAACAGATTTTTAACATAAACAAAACAGCCTTCTCTTGAAGAAAGACATCATCTAGGACTTTCACAACTATAGAGGAGAAGTCAATGTTTGGCTTCAAAGCTTCAAAGGACAACCTGACTCTCTTGTTCAGGGCTAATGCAGCTGGTGAATGTAAAGTGAAGCCAATGCTCATTTACCATTCCGAAAATCCCAGGGCTCTTGAGAACTATGCTAAATCTACTCCGCCTGTGCTCTATAAATGGAACAACAAAGTCTGGATGACAGCACATCTGTTTACAGCTTGGTTTACTGAATATGTTAAGCCAACTGTTGAGACCTACTTCTCAGAAAAAAGAATTCTTTCAAAATAGTACTGCTCATTAACCATGCACCTGGACATCCAAGAGCTTTGATGTAGATTAGTGTTGTTTTCGTGCCTGCTAACACAAAATCCATTCTGTAACCCATGAATCAAGGAGTAATTTCAACTATCAAATCTTATTATTTAGGAAATACATGCTGTAAGACTATTAGTTGCCATAGTGATTTCTCTGATGGATCTAGGCAAAGTTAATTGAAAACCTTCTGGAAAGAATTCATCATTCTAGATGTCATTAAGAACATCTGTGATTCATAGGCGATCAAAAGATCAACATTAATGGGAGTTTGAAAGAAGTTGATTCCAATCCTCGTGGATGACTTTGAGGGGTTCAAGACCTCAGTGGAGAAAGCCTCTGCAAATGTGGTGGAAACAGCAAGAGAACTAGAAGTAGAGCCTGAAGATGAGACTGAATTGCTGCAATCTAATGATAAAATTTGAATGGATGAGGAATGGCTTCTTATGGTATCTTATGGAGCAAAGTGTCTTAGGGTTTCTTGTGAAGCAATCTACTTCTGGCGAAAAGGCTGTGAACACTGTTGAAATAACAACAAAGGATTTAGAAGATTCCATACACTTAGTTGATAAAGCAGCAGCAGGGTTTGAGAATTGACTCCAATAATGAAAGAAGTTCTACTATGAGTAAAATACTATCGAGCAGCATTGCATGCTACAGAGAAATCTACGGTGAAAGAAAGAGTCAACAATGTGGAAAACTTCATTTTTGTCTTATTTTTAAAAACTGCCACAGCCACCCAAACCTTCAGCAGCCACTACCCTGATCAGTCAGTTGCCATCAACATTGAAGCAAGACTCCCCACCAGCAAAAAGATTATGACTTTCTGAAGGCTTGGATAATTCTTAGCATATTTTAGCAATAAAGTATTTTTTCATTAAGATATATACATCATTTTTTAGACATAATACTATTATACACTTAATAGACTATATTATAGTGTAAACATAACTTTTATATGCACTGGGAAACCAAAAAGTTCGTGTGATTTGCTTTATTGGAATATCAGCTTTATTGCAGTGGTCATAAATCAAACCCACAATATCTCCTGGGGTATGCCCGTATATAATTAGAAAAGGAAGGAAAGACAAAGAAAATGTATGATGGAATAATGGAAGAAATGTTTCCAAATTTGATGAATACTATAAATCCACAGGCTCAAAAATCTCAATGAACCTCAAGCAGGGTAAACAAACAAACAAACACACCAAGGTATATCATAATCAAATTGCTGAAAGCCAGTGATAAGAGAATATCTTAAAAGCAGAGACAAAGACATTACACATAGGAGAACAAAGATAAAAATAATCTCACTCTTCTCATTATAAATAATGCAAGCTATAGGACAATGGAACAATGTATTTACAGTAGTGGAAGACAACCTAGAATTCAATATCCAGAAAAAAAAATAACTTTCAAAAATGAAGGCTATGGGGAAAATCTTTATGACACTGGATTTGGCAATAATTTCATGGATCTGACACCGAAAATACAGGCAACAAAAGAAAACAATATATACATTGGACTTCATCAAAATTAAGAACTTTTGTGCATAAATGAGTACTATCAAGAAAGAGAAAAAAACAACCTAATGAACAGAAAAAAATATTTGCAAATTACATGTTTCACAAGAGATTAATATTAATATATAAATAACTTCTAAAACTCAACAACAAAAACCAAACAACAATAAAGAACACGAAAAAATGAAACAATTTGGATGAGTAATACCAAGTAAAAAATTAGCTATAATCCTCTCATCTAAAGATTACTACAATTATATTTTTATGTAAAATCTTTTTCTGCACATTCATAGGTTTAATAACAATAATGGAAACATATTTTAATAGTGTATAATTTTTTTATTAAACCATAAACATATTTTCCTATTATTAAAAAAAGGCTAAATAATGATGTAGACTGGGCACTGTAGCTCATGCTTATAATCCCAGCACTTTGGGAGGCTGAGATGGGTGGATTACCTGAGGTCAGGAGTTTGAGACCAGCCTGGCCAACATGGTGAAATCCCATCTCTACTAAAAAATACAAAAATTAGCTGGGCATGATGGCGGGTGCCTGTAATCCCAGCTACTCAGAAAGCTGAAGCAGGAGAATCGCTAGAACCCAGGAAGTGGAGGTTGCAGTGAGCCAAGATCGTGCCATTGCACTCCAGCCTGGGCGACAAGAACAAAAGTCCATCTCAAAAATAAATAAATAAATAAATATGTATTCAGATAAGCAATAGCTGAGAAAATTTTATATCAGCAGACCTGCATTGTCAGAAATGTTAAAGGAAGTTGTTCAGGTAGAAAGAAAATGCCACATGATGGAAACTTAGCTTTACACAAAGAAATAAAGAATGTCAAAAAAACTAAATATATAGATAAATATGAACGATGGTTCCTCCCAGTTTTAATTGGCTTTACATTGAAAAACTCACTTTGAATATGTTAGATCAAAAATACATAAACTTGTGTTACTCCATCTGACCATGTGTTATTTATTCATTTATTTATTTATTCATTTAATAAGTACTATTCTGGGAGGTCCACTATTTTTGGCACTGGCTGTTCAATAGAGAATAAAAAGACAAGGGTCCCTGCATTCACAGAGCTTCTATGTGTTCATGGTCCAGCAACATCAATCAGCTTTGTAGTTCCACCACATTCTCCAGAGCTTCTCGTTCACCTGTTTTTGCTCTTCTCAAATAATTTGTGTCCTCTAGCTGTCTCCATGTCTTCACTTTAGGATTCACTCCTCACTCTCTCAGTTAGATTTCTACCCTGCCAAAAGTATTCCTAATAAGATGATGTCTTGGATGGATTCCCTCCAGAAGTAGAGCCTGAGTTGAGTATTTTTCTGCAAATAATTTATTCATGGAATGCTCTCAAGAGAAAGGAGTGAGAGAAACACAATAGGGCAGAGAAGAAAATAATCTAAGCAAGAATGTCTTATCAACTGGAGACGAGCTTCAGCCAACTCCACAGGGAGTTCTATGAATCGCCCTACAGAAGCAAGAGAGGCAAACTTTTCTATCTATACATGTCGTGCATTGGCTGCAGAAAACAGAGAGAATGTAATGGACAAGAGAAGTATACTAAAACTGACTTGTTTCAAGAGCTAGCAAGAGCCAATTTTTAAATTTCTCAATATTGTGCAAGCTGGCTGTTAAACACAGTCATTATTAGTAATTAAATTACAGGTACATAAATGTACAATTAAATAAAGTATATAAAAACATAGGTAATAGATACTCAAAACTCATCACTTCCTATTTTATTATATTTTACTCATGTTCTTGAGGTTAATTACATCTATTGTATTCTATAGATAAAAATTCTATATAATGGTGCGTCCTGCACCAGTGAGTTTCTCTAACTCCAGATTTAGTGACATCACGTTGGTAGCTTGAAATTAAACATAACGAGGATATTTATGCTATAAATATTGATAAACACTACAAATTGGGGCTTGGTTTATTGTTTTATTGATCATCTATCTGGCCTTTAAAAGGTGATGGAGAAAATGTTACTAAACTAATTACATTGTGAATAGCACAAAAAGAATTAAGGAAATACTCTGGTAGGTATTTAAAAATATTATCTGGTTCAGCAAAGTTATTCAGATCATTAATGAATGAATAAAATTCTGACATATATCTTCTTGTTTCATTTTATACTACTCATTAACATAAACAAAAATATCAACCAGGATTTGCGTAAGAGCTGCGTTTGTTCACCAATTGAATATATCAGTAGCTATGAATACAAGAGTTTGGGAGAAGGGGAGAGCATTCTATGCAAATCAATTGGCTATACAGAATTTCGATAAAGTATTTGATAATTTGTTATTACTGGTAAATTGTATACTACACAACGTTTATACCAGTAACATTTATAATAAAAGGAAGAAGGAAGGGAAGAAGGGAAGAAGGAAAGAAAGGAAGAAGGGAAGGGGAAGGGGAAAAGGAAGGGGAAAGGAAGGGAAGGGAAGAAGGAAATAAATAGATAGATACAAAATAATTTTTTCCCAGAAAGCTGGTTTTTAAACATTTACCAGCACACTGTGCAGGTAGGGGTGGGAATGCAACTTCCCCCATTTGGACGAGGACGATTCTTTAGAAAAGATAGCCATTGTGAGCCTTTAGCAAACAACATTCAAAGTATCAGAAGCGTAGATGCAACTGCCTGGTAAAGGGAATCTGGGTGGGGCACAACAGCATCCTCTGGATGGCTAATGACCTCTATGTTGTTAAATCCTACGGGCTCACGATTCCCAACGTTTTTAACAGCAATTGATAGTTGACCACTTCCTCCTCTTCTAAATAGTCTTCTTTTGGATTTCTTGACATCACATCCTCTTAGCTTTTCTCCTAACCCTTTGGCCTTTTCCCCTCAAACTGCTTTGCTTTCTCTCATTAATTTAACGGTTGGAGTTTCTCCAGATTCAGTTCTAAGGCTTCTTCTCATTCTCCATTCTCTTTCTAGACCTTCTAATCTACTTTCTTGCCATTATTTATTATACATATGTCAATAGCTCTAAATGTGTATATACAGTGCAGATTTATCTTCTGAAGCTCAGGTTCATGTATCCTATTGCTTATTCAACACCTCTACTTGGATATTTCATGGGCACTTCATACTCCGTATGCCCACAAATCAGTTCTTTATTCCAATCTTCTAAACATTTTTTCTCTTCTTATTTGACTTATGTGCCAAAGAAAGGCAAAATAAAACAAGAAAACTACATTTTCCCTATCAAAATAGCAAATTAGTTTTATTTGAAAATAATGAAAATGAAATTAAATGAATATTTTCATGTAGCATGGATAGGAGAGTAATCTGATACAATCTCTTTGGGAGAAAATACCTAGCAATATATATATCATTCACTCAAATTCAGTAGTTCTACAAATATATTGTTTTTAAAACTAAAATATACAAGTGAAAGTTAATGAACAAGACTCATAACCATGTCATTGACAAAATCCAAAATTTTAAATGGCTTAAATCCCAATCAACAGAGATTGGTAGTATCTAGCCTATAGTATATCCATATGAGAGAATATTATGCTTTCAACAAAGTTCGATAATTTAAGAATTGCTTAAAATATTCAGCTGAAACAATAGAACCATACTTTGTTCAAAAAAAAAATTTTTTTTTTTTTGAGACGGAGTCTCTCTCTGTCACCCAGGCTGGAATGCAGTGGCGCGATCTCGGCTCACTGCAAACTCCGCCCCCCGGGTTCACGCCTCAGGGTTCTCCTGCCCCGGGTTCTCCTGCCTCAGCCTCCCGAGTAGCTGGGACTACAGGTGCCCGCCACCACACCCAGCTAACTTTTTTTTTTTTTTGTATTTTTAGTAGAGACGGGGTTTCACCGTGTTCGCCAGGATGGTCTTGATCTCCTGACCTCGTGATCCACCCATCTCAGCCCAAAATTTTTATATGTTACATGATCTCAACTAAGTAAAAAATATATCGCTCAAACCATTAAAAGTCAATCTAACAAACTGTTATTTATGAGATGTAAAATTAAGAGTGCTTTTCTTTCTTCTACATCATACTTTCTGTATTTTTCATATTTCCTGCCTTTTATTTATCCATTCAACACACTATCGAGCATTTTTTTGCCATTCCTTGTTCTAGACACTGGGGACACAGCAATGGGAAAAATAAAACAGATGAAATTTCTACTTACATGGAGCCTCAGCCTCACTGAGAAGATAAACAATAAACAAATTTAAAAATTAGAATATATAGTATGAGAGAAAGTAATTAGATGTTGTAGAGAAAAAGACAGCAAAACAAGAGGATTCAGGAGTGCCAATGAGAGAAGAGTGCAACTTTAAATGGAGGAGTCAGAAAGGCCACACTCAGATAGTGACATTTGAATAGATTCCATTAGGAGTTTAACAGGGTGCCATGTGGAGATGTGGGGACGCACGGCAGACAGAGGGGACAGCAGGAGCAAAGGCTCTGAGGTGGGATGTGCCTGAGCATTCATAAAACAACAAAGAGGTCAATGAGGCTACAGCAAATGGTCATGTCATTTTTTCATGAGTCAAAGACAAGCATTTTAAAAGAAAGAATAGGAAAAGACATATCTGTTTCAGTACAGATGTATCAGAGAAGCAGAATTAAAAACTTGCATTTGATTTAAAAAAAAGACCATACGGAAGTTCCGTTAAATTTTTTCTAATTAATTCCCAGTGATTCTATTTGAAAATTTAAATTGCATTTATTATTAATTTTAAACACAGTATAGTGACTTTGCTTGAAAAACCAGATTTTTATAAAAGTCTTTACATACAAAGAAGTGATTGTGTCCATTCCAAAGATAAAGAAATGTAGTGAATTCAATTAAATATTATACTTAAGTTAAAAGGAATCAAAATGGATAGATCACTAAAGCACAGTGTTAACTGAAAAATACATGTTGGACAATGTGTACAGCAAGATACCATTAATGTAGCTTATTAAACACACACATAAAGCAGTGACATATATTGTTAGCAGATGTGTATGAGTATGTAAAGTTATAGGAAACAAGCAGGAAGGGTACATACTAAAGTGATGACAGTGGTTGCCTAGAAGAGGGGGTGTGACAAAAATGATGGAGGAGGTCAAAGGAGGAAGATATCTTAAAGCTGGAAACAAACAGGGCAAAACATTAATTATTGTTAATGTGAGGTGGATATATAGATGCTTATTATATAAAGCTTTGTACTTTTTCAGATTTTTAAAATTTTCCTCAAAAAAGGAAGGAAGGAAGGAAGGAAGGAAGGAAGGCAGGCAGGCAGGCAGGCCTGTCCTCCACCTATGAGGTAAGCAAGTCAGTTAAAATCAACAAGTGTTCAGTAACCACCTGTGATATTGCAGGCACTGTGCCCAGAGCTAGATGTACTGAAGTGAGTAAGACACAGTCCCTTCCCTAAAGCAGCTTCCCAGGAGAAGTCTGGTAAGCACGAGTATGTGTTTTAATGTGTTTTTTTTTAAGCTACACAATCTAATTGTTAATACCTTATTCTAGATAAATCATCACTGATAATAGCTTAATTTTATTTTCGTGAAGGATACTAACTCTAATTTAACTAGAAAGAGGATACTTGCTAAAGATAGATTTATTAATTGACATTAAACGGGGAGAAGTCAAACAGTCCCGTAATCAATAAGCATTTGTGTGGGGTGGGGTCAATTGCTGCTAATACTCTATTATAAATTACCCTAATGAAATCACAAGTAATGTGATTTCATTAGGGTAATTTACAAAGAATTTACAAATCTTTCATTTGTAAATCATAAAAAAAAACTAACTTAGAGTTCACAGATTGAAAAGTACAAAGATGGTTCTAGCCTCTAGCTCTAGCTTCAGTCAGGACTGGATCCAGGTGCTCAATGTCACCTACAATCTCTCTCTACAACAGTTGGTTCTGCTATCTTTGCAATGGCAAATTTCTAAGGCAGATCCACTGTATGAAGTGAAAAAAATTGGTCATCAGTGGCTCCAGCTAAAGGGAACACTTCACACACACAAGTCCCAGACAGATACTGTGTTCACTCGCAATAGGTTAGCTTTGTGATGTGTTCACTCCCAATAGGTTGGCTTTGTGATGTGTTCACCATGGTGGCCAAGGGACATATCAGCTCCAGTGAGCCGAGAATGGAGGACATGTGCTTCTTCAAAGGAAAATGAACACTGTAAGCAAAAACAAAAGTATATACAGCATATGAAAAAAGTTACTTACAAAATATTTTGTCATTAAGCTGTGGTAATGATTCTGATACCAAGCTCTGCTAAGCATACTACCAACATCATCTAATCTAGACCATATAACAACATCTGAGGTAGATACTCTTATGCCTATTTTAGAGCTCAGTAACTCAACTCCCAAAGGAGTTAAATTGTCCAATTATGTAGCAGAAATGGGATTAGCAACCAGGTGATAGATTAATTATTACTTTGAAAGGATCAGATTATTCTATCAAAATGAGTTCTATTTGCTTTTAAAGATTATTATAATCCAGGCCAAAAAAAAAGATACTCTTAAAATTCTTAAACAATAAATCCAGTTCCTGTTAGTAACTATCTGAAATGTGAACCCAGTCTAATGAATGTCATCCTCTTAGGATAACCAATTCATATCCTACATATATTTCATCACATCCAGTTGCTTTTCAGAATTTATTCTCCATTTTTTTATGGATGGTCTTTGATTTTTAAAAATGTAATTTATGTCTCTAGAAAACAACCTGTAAAAAATAATAACAGTTTTCTACAAAACTACAGCAATTCTTGGCACTCACTGCAGTGTTGTGAGGCCACTCAGCTCAGCCTTCCAGTCCTGGCTGGATTTTCCACGCAAATCTTTCTCCATTTTCCAACTATCCTCCTTTGGGATTCTCTCCACTTTCAGCTCCCTGCTACATATAAAGCAACCTGACACAATCTCTTAATATCAGTAATTCAATTAGTTAATATGTGTAAAGTGCTACTATGTGCTAGGCACTCTGCTAGGCTGTAGGGACTCAAAGAGACACAGTCTTTGTCCATAGTCTAGGAGTGAAGATAGTACTATTGTCTCCCTCTCTCTCACCATCTGTCTCTTCCTTCCTCCCTCTTTATTCCTTTCTTTCTCGGCATTAAGAGAAAAAAAGCAGGGACTGAAATCCAACCACTTTTCCAATAGCCAAACCTGCACCCTGGCCCAAGGCTCCATCGGTCTAGAGGAAGGGGCATCTTTCTCCAAGGTGGTAGCTTTGCACAAAGATGCCATATGTGATTAGAAAGTTCTGCCTGTCTGCCTTCTTTCTTTCCTTTCTTCCTTCCTTCCTGCCTGCCTGCCTTCCTCCCTGCCTGCCTGCCTTCTTTCCTTCCTCCCTTCCTTCCCCCTTCCTCCCTTCCTTCCTTTCTTCCTCTCTTCCATTCTTACTTCCTTTCTTCCTTCTATCCTTCCATCCATCACTATTGGCCACTGTCTGTGCTATAATAGATGTTGAATATCCAACAGTAACCAAGACAGGGTTTCTGTACTCATGAATCTTACAGCATAGCTGGAAATATAAATAGATAAATTATAATAAAAGGAGAATGCATTATTACAAACATGAAAAACAAGTAGCATGAAAGAATAACTAACTCAATCTAAAGAGGGAGAAGAAGAAAATGGTCAGAAGAATCCACCTCTGAGCTGGGTTTGAAGTGTCTGTTGGAATTTGCTGAATGGACAAAAAAGGAAGAGCAGCCAGCCAGAGTAAATAGAATATCAAAGCTGAGAGGTGTGAAACACCATTGTAAGCACAATGGTGTTTCTGCTTCAGTATTAAAGGAATTTTCTACTTGCCACTCTGAAAAAAATCTCAAAGTAGTCCCACAAACTATAATCAGCTTTGAATAAAGGGTCTAGGCAGGCACAATGGCATATCCCTATAGTCCCAGCCACTTGGGAGGCTGAGATTAGCAGATCTCTTGAGCCAAGAAGTTTGAGACTGGCCTGGGCAACATAGTGAGACCCCCAACTCAAAAGAAAAGATCTAAAACTATATTATTTTCCAAAACCAGGGGAAAAAGTCATTCAGGCAGCATCAATAAGCTATATTTTCATCTAGAATTGACCTCAACAGAAGCAAAATTACATGTCATTAGAATTTCTTCATAATCCCAGACCAGGCAGGAGTCAAGTAAAAAGATGAAACATTTTTATTTCAAAGCAGAGTCAAGAGCAGAAAAAAAATGTATCATTCAAATTGAAAAAAATAAAAAATAAAAAAAGGCAGTTCCTTTCCTTTTTCACTCTCAGCCTGTACCTGTCATTATCTAGACATTTGCTGCAACTCTTCCTGCCCTCCTGCTGTGTGGAGACCACTTGGTGAACAAATCTCTGTGCCTCTTAGTAAAGCATGGATAGAGGTTATTGCCCACATTTGTTCATGGATCTACTCCACGTTACAGAGAAATGTTTGCTTAAGAAAGAGCTAAGGGCTGGGCACAGTGGCTCACACCTGTAATCCCAGCATTTTGGGAGGCCAAAGCAGGCAGATCACCTGAGGTCAGGAGTTCAAGACCAGCCTGGACAACATGGCAAAACCCCGTCTCTATTAAAAATACAAAAATTAGCCGGGCGTGGTGGTGCACGCCTGTAATCCCAGCTACTTGGGAGACTGAGGCAGGAGAATCGCTTGAACCCAGGAGGCAGAGGTTGCAGTGAGCCGAGATCATGCCACTGCACTCCAGCCTGGTGACAGTGAGACTCCGTCTCAAAAAAAAAAAAAGAAAAGAAACAGAGCTAGGGAGGTGCCAACACAAAAGCTAACCCGCCCATTTCTTCACAGGACATGTTGGTCCTCTTGAAGTGAGGTCTGAGGTCATTTGTGGGGCATCAGAGAGGATGAACGCATGGCTGATTTTATGAGGCTTGCTGAGAGATAAGGCGCAGACTGCAGCTTTAACTGCTACAAGGTCAAACACTTGACCAAAAATGAAAACAAAAATGAAGGAAGCAGAATGTTGCAAATGACAGAAAGGAGAGAAAACAAAAAGACAATCTCTTAAAATACTATGTAAAAGATGCACTGAAAAATAATTGTACTAAGGTAGCTGTATGAATCTCTCTATGGTTTCTGTTCTGTGTTTTTATGATCAGCTCAAGTAACTAAGTACATATGGCATGTTTGTAAGTAAAGCAGTCAATGAAGTTGGTTACACCTCTGCATTTATTACCATGCCCCTGAGTATTATTAACTTTTACACTCCCCATAAAATATAATTTATCACTTAAATAATTTGCTTTGTGTCAGGGTTCAGTGTGCTCCAGTGCCTTCCTGCTCATTAAATGAGATATTTTTACTTAATGAGCCAAGGATGTCCTTTGTATTTAACATTTGAATTGATTTCTAACACTTCACTCTTATAATAGTTTGGTGTGTAATTCCAAAAAATATGGGTTTTATTTCACAATGTCAAAGAAAAACAGTTGAGATTGTTAGATACATGTGGCATTTTAAGTGATAAGAAATGGTTTTATCCCTAACTAACCATAAAGATGGAGCGAACAAAAATCATGAAAGTATGCCACCATAAAATAATTATTTCTTTGCACTAGGAAGCAAATAACGGAATTTGGGAACTGACATATCTATTGATTGTTCAAAACAAAAGTTCAACTCTAAGCTACTCTGAAAAAAAGTTGTGATCTAATGCAAAAATACAAAGTCAACGCTGCCATGGTTAGCTGAACGTCTTGGGATTTTTTCAACATGTATAACCACTAGCTTCTGGGTCAGCAGTATGCACTTGATGAAAATGACTGGCTGTTTGGAACTTTCTTTCCATTTAACAAACCAAAGCTTAAGAATTGAAATCCCATATTTTCTAAATTATTTTTCAATCCTTTGGTATTCTAAACAGTTGAAGATACTTACTGTCACCAGACAGGGAAAGAGAGGAGAAACCAGGCCCAGAAACGGGGAATAAAGATATCTTTGAGCTGGCCCAAGTGGCTCATGCCTATAATCCCAGCACTTTGGGAGGCCAAGGTGGGCAGATCACTTGAGGTCAGGAGTTCGAGACCAGCCTGGCCAACATAGTGAAACCTTGTCTCCACTAAAAATACAAAAATTAGCTGGGCATGGTGGTGCATGCCTATAGTCCTAGCTACTTGGGAGGCTGAGACAGGAGAATCACTTGAACCCAGGAGGCAGAGGGTGCAGTGAGCCGAGATCACACAATCCAGCCTGGGCGACAGAATGAGACTCTGTCTCAAAAAAAACAAAAAATAAAAAACAAAAAAAAACACATATCTTTGATATGAAAACTACAGGCAAAAATGTTATATTAATCCAAATTATTCATAATTCATAATGTATGCATATATGTGTATACATGTATGTGCATATATCCTAATGTAAAGCTTCTATTTTGGATAACAGCACACTGGATTGATCATTTATTAAGCATTTTTTTATTCTGCTTCAAATATGTATAAACAAGCATATCATTATATTACAATATAAAATCATTAAGAAAAGCAGGATTTAAAAGATTTGGGAATAAAACAGTTGAATGCTTATTCTGGTTTTATATACTCTAGAGAATTTGAGTACTTTTCCCTCGCTTCTTATTCAGAATTGTCTCCTATTCTATATCCCCTGCTTATTCTTCCAGATCCATGAAAATAGACCATAATTTCAATCGTCTGTGATGACAAAGGAACTAGACCAATAATTTCCATGGTTGAATAAGCTTAGAAACTAATGCCTAGTATAGTCTCCGCTTATAGTTTCACAATGCACATTTGCATTTTTAAAACTATGGAAAATTCTACAAAAAGAAAACTTGTTTATCCCAGGGTTTCCCACATGTATATGACTACAGAAACGTTTACTTCAGTAACACCTTTGGATACCCATTAACACTACGGTTTTTTCAAAAGGAATTTCAGAAATGGTTTAACAATTAAATAAATTTAATTAAATAACCAATTGAGTGAGGGTATTTGAGTGATGATTGAGTGAGGGTGTTTATATTTTAGAAAATACCTCTTTCTAGCCAGGCCACAGTGGCTCATGCCTGTAATCCCAGCACTTTGAGAAGCTGAGGCAGGAGGACTGCTTGAGGCCTGGAGCTCAAGAGAAATGAACAAAGTATTAATAAATTGAATGGTACATTTGAGTTAGAGAAAAGTTTAAATTAAGAAATAGTTCAATAATGCACATTTAGTATTTGGAAGAAACTAGTTTGTGTATTTGGGATTCATGCCCTGGAGGATCTAACTTTAATAAATGAAATCGTAATTATTTTAAATTAATTAAAATAAATCATTTTCAATGAATTTATCATTAATACTATTATTCATTTTTTAAAAATTGCCCCAAGTACTAATGTAGTATTAATTCCAAAATAAACATAATTAAAAATAATAAAAATTTAGTAAATTCTCATAACTGGTTCAAAATACGTGTTGAAGAAAAACAGCATTTTTACATACATTGATTTTTTTTAATTGATTCTCCAAGCATAGCTACATTTTTAAAAAAGAAAAAAAAAATGACTCACACACCCTGGATTCCTTTGATTGTTGAACCACTTTTCTAATATAAACAGAAGCAGTGAGTAACACTCTAAATGGTATACAGCAATGTTGTTCTACAAAATGAAGATTAATACCAAAATAACCTTTCAGTTACCTTATATATTTGAATTTCAATTCTGTCAAATAATCAAAACTTTTTCCTTTCATTGTAATATGTATATAATCCTTAAAATGTACTTGCATTTTAGTTTTATGTCTAGAAAAATCTCTATAAATGGATGTCATTAGAAAAGCTCATACGCTGTGATATGCCCATGCCCACAAAAGCAGCCTTATTTCTTTTCACCCCTTAATCCATTTGTCCTCCAGCAAAACCAACAATCTCCCAGGAAGATTTCCTTGAGACTTCTGCTCCAAACTGGTTTAGACACCTGACCTCTAACTCTCAGTGATATCTCATGCCTACCTCTTTTACTTCCACATTTTATCATAATTATCTGTTTATCTGTTCATCTGTGGAAACTCAAAAGTTGAACAAACAAGTGATTTAAAAGTTGGCCAATTATTAAAAAGTCAAAAAACAATAGATGTTGGCATGGATGTGGTGAAAAAGGAAAACTTATACACTACTGGTGGGAATGTAAATTAGTATAACCTCTATGGAAACAGTATGGGGATTTCTCAAAGAACTCAAAGTAGATCTACCATTTGATCCAGCGATCCCACTACTGGTTATCTACCCAAAGGAAAAGAAACCATTATATCAAAAAGACACCTGTACACGTATTTTATCATAGCACAATTCATAATTGCAAAGATATGGAGCCAAACTAAGTGTCCATCAACCGATGACAACATAAAGAAAATGTGGTATATAGACACCCTGGAATACTACTCAGCCATAAAAAAGAATGCAATGTTGTCTTTTGCAGCAACCTGGATGGAGCTGGAGGACATTATTCTAAGTGAAGTAATTCAGGTATGGAAAACCAAATACCATATGTTCTCACTTATAAGTGGGAGCTGAAATATGGGTTCACAAAGGCATACAGAGTGGTATGATGGATGTTGGAGACTGAGAAGAGGGGGGGATGTGAGGGATAAAAAACTACATATTGGGCACAATGTACACTTCTCGTGTGATGGGTGAACTAAAATCTCAGACTTCATCACTATACAATTCATCCATGTAACCAAAAACCACTTGTACCTCTAAAGGTATTGAAACTAAAAACAAAATTTTAAAGATGGCAAACTCCTAAAAGTGAAATTATCATGTAATACTTATAAGATAATCAAAGGAATTAAGTGACGATGATGTTTTAATAAACACGATGTCCTGCTGGGAAGAACGTGGAGAGTGTTATTGCTTCTCTGAAGGATTTTGCCTTTTTTTTTTTAATTAAGTAAATTCTATACCCATTTTTTCCAGAATTTTTTTTTTTAGTTTTACTTTAAGTCAATGATATGAATTAGATAGAATTCTAAGTAAATGCTATACCCATTTTTTCCAGAATGGTTTTTGTTTAGTTTTACTTTAAGTCAATGACATGAATTAGATAAAATTCTCAAGCTTTCATTAAGACTTTAAGAGGCTACCACCTGCCTCCATGGCATTTAGCATTTCACAGACTTCCTTGCATTACCGTAACAAAATGTTCTCATGAGGAAGCAGCTAGTGCTGATTTATATTCTCTACCCTTTCTTTAAAATTGAGACCCCATATGATACTCTTCACTGACCCCAGATCTTCTTGCACTAGTCCTTGTGAGAATGCCCAGCATATTCAGTATCTTGAGCTGAAAAAAGAAAAATCTCTACAAACTTGCTTGGTTAAGAGAGTGTAGGCCCTTGGAGAGTAGAGCCCAAGAAAGTAGAACATATCTGATAATCTTTCTCAGTGCTAGAGTTCCCTCCTTTCTTTTTCCACCATAAGCCCTCATTTCAGCAGATCCAAAAAAAAAAAAAGATTTTTGGAATCACAGGCCTCCTTCCATTATAACCATCATCAGCTTTGATATTACCAGATACTTCCTCTAGTATTTTATTAAAAAATACTGAGTCTCTGTGATATCTCTTATTTCATGACAACGTAGTTTGCAATTTGCCTAGTCTCACACCTGGGAAGAAGCAAGGGCATTTTATTGTATCAGAGCAAACATTCATGTAAAAAGCAGGAGAAAAAAGACCTTTCACTTTTAACCATGAACAAGTTCTCACCCTCCCTGTGCATCTAGTTTTCAGGTGAAGATGAGTTGACCGAAGTGCATGTGGCTGATCCAGCTGTTGCACCCTCCATCCAGTATAACTTTTGTGCCGTTGCCTTTGGTGCAACCCCTTGACATGAAACCACAGTTCTTCCAATAAGCAGAGTGAATGTGAACACATGTTGGCAGAACTGTGCCATTTACAAAGGAAGTGGTGAGATATTACTGAGGAAAAGCTAGACAATGCTGCACCAGCAATCTGATCCCGCTCATTCTTTCTCCAAAATGTAGTTTCCAACTCTGCAGGAGTAGTGGCTGTGAAATACATGGGAAAGAGTTTGAAAAGTATGTATCCCACATTTCACAGCACTTTCCAGGATTTTACATTTCAGTATAGACAAAAGTAAGTGTATAATGCTTGTAAATAAAATTTACAAACCAAACAGAATTTTGCCAAACAAGAAAGTTGTTTCCCTTACAACAGCCCAACTTGTGATTTCATTAACAAAACTGATATGTTAGTTCAAATCAAATATCTCATATCATTAAACCATCCACAAGCAAATTTGTTTTACATTAACAGTTGAGTAACCCTGCAGAGAGTGCAAGTTCAGGGGAACAGAAAGTGAAAATATAGTCTTACCAGCATGATTTAAATTAATTAAACAAGCATTAGTACCTTCAAGCAGTTACACACTATTACTTTAAGTCTTTGGTGGGGAAAGCTATGATTTACATGTTCAATCATTTTAATACTTTCTATGAACCAGATGTTACAGTAGCTTTGTTAGCTGATGCCATAAACAAAAGATACAGTTGAAAACACATGCTATAATAATTAAAATGTTATTATGCTGACACCATCTTTCTTCTAGGATCTTGTAACATCTGTATTGACTGTGATAAGCATTGATTATCTGGAATGATGTAAAATATTTGGGGAGTTAATAACAATCAGGAATTCAGTACATGCTAAGACAGCAAAGATAAATCACAGGAAATACAGATCAAAGCAGGTTTGTGAATAAGCTTGTTTTTATAGTTAATGACTCACTATAAAGTACATATACACATTTCTTTTCTCCAATGAGATGCACAAGGAAATGCCATAAAGAAACATCCCGTCCTGTGTAGCATTTCTGTACATCTGTCGAATTTCCATATGTAGAGAGGAGGATGTCAACACACAGCACTACAAAGACTGAATTGATCCAATCCATCAAGTACTTAACATGCACTTTTAAAATCATTAAAAAGTTCTTTGAATTATTAAGACCTATTTCAAAAGAAAAAAAAAAGCCCACAACTTATAAATCTTGCATTTCCTGGGAGGTTAATTTAAGGATGCTAGGGTCAGCAGTTATCCAGTTCTAGCAAAGATTCTGAAATTTCCCTTCAAATATGGCCTGATAGTGAGTCATTTTCTTTTTTTCTTTTTTTAAAGAAAATCTCACCCAGCATCACCAAGTGGATGCCTTACCCTCTTTGAGAACCTTATTTGAAGAATAAATTGCTCAAGGCACTAAACTGGGGCTCTTTTCAGTTTATCAAAATAGACACAGAAATAACTGACAGTCTGTGATCTATTTCTCACGTATATACATATAGGTGCACAGAAGCTTTGTATAATATAGAGTAAACCCTTCAACGTAATCTAAAAGCTCATCACCATCAGCCTCCCACCTTCTCTCTAGCCTCACCTATCACCACTGACTATCTTTCCCAGCTACTTCCAATCTCCTTCCTGCTGCACTTCACCATAGCCCTTATAACCACAACATACTTCCCTCTCCTGCCTGCCTATTTAACTGCCCCTGGGTCCATTCCCAACATGATTTAGTCTTCATATCCCCTGGAAAGTCTTGTGTGATGCCCTCCACTTTGGGTCAAGTGCATTTTTAAGGTGTGCTCCCACAGAACCTTATACTTACATCTTCCAAAATATTTATCACATTGTATCAAAATGGCCATTTGTCTCGTCTGTTTCCCCACAAGTCTATGAGGTCTTTGAAAGCAGGGGCCACATTTTATACATCTTTGTATTTTCAGGAAAAGTATACAGCATCTACTAAATACATGCTCAGTGAATGGAAAAATAAGTCAATGCCACATTCACCCACATCGTATAATTTGACTCTGAGAAAGATCCTATCAGAGATGTCTTACATCCAGAATACAATGAGGAATTATTCTAAGCATGTTCTAGGGATGCAGAGTATCCTAGACTGGTTCCAACACTTTAGAGAGGATTTGGATCCTGTGAGTTCTCAGAACAAAATGAGAAGAAGCCAAGAGGAAAACTAAAATCCGTCTAGATTTGTACCCTAGAACAAACCTAAATAGGTAGTCAATATGATAACCAATATTTTCCAAATAACATAAACTAGTAAAATGCTTCCCAAACCTGGCTGATTCCACTCCTGAGTGGTTACTGTAGAGATGGGGATTGGAGGGAGAGGACAGAAAAAAGGGAGTAGAGGAGGGTGGGGGAAGACACATGTCCATGGTAAGACAGATAATAGAATGTCCATAGCTGCTTTATTTATAATAGCCAAACATTGGAAACATCTCAAGTGCTCCTCAACAGGTAAATAGCTAAACATTTTGTGGTATATTTATAAAATTAAATACTATTCAGCAATCAAAAGAAAGAAACTACTGATGCACACTACATGGGCAAATCTCAAAAACATGATGCTGGGTGAAAGAAGCCTTACTCAAGAGTACATATTGTGTGATTTTATTTCTATGCAGATCAGAATAGGCAAAACTATGGTAAAAAAAGAAAATTAGAATGGTAATTGCCTATTCTGGAATGGGCCACAAGGACACTTTCTGGGGTGATGATAATGTCCTATATCTACATGGATATAATCTGTGTAATCTGTAAGTTACACAGGTATATGTGTATCTATACATAAACACACATATATATTTGTCAAAATGTACCAAATGGCACACTTAAGATTTGTACTTTCCACTGTGTGTAATTTTTGCCTTAAAAAAATCACAAATAATTCTTGAGTTCTAACTAATGATATACCTGCTGAAATGTTTAGGAGTGAAGTGTATTGAGGTGTTTAACTTATTTTTAAATGTATCAAAGACGGGACTGATGGATGGATAAAAGAATGGAAAGATGAAAAGATATGTGATAAACTAAACGTAGCAAAATGTTAGTTGTAGCCTCTAGGTGGCCAGTATATGAGTGTTCCTTGTAATGATTCTTTCAACTTTGTTGTATTTGAAAATTTTTTATGACAAAATAGTAAGGGTAGAGTATATATTCTAATCCTTCATCCCAAATTACTCGGGGGCAGGGAACCGAGGTACAATCATGTTATTTATCTACATTGTGTTAAGCTTTCCAAGTGACTTTGTATTCAGCAATCAGCTACAGGTTGATGCAATTAATATTTAGGACGTACTGGAATTTGTCCCAATTTAATAATGTTGTGAGAACCCACATCCCAACACACAATTTTTTCTCTCACCTATCACAAATTAATGCCTGAAATTCCACCAATCTAGATTCACTTCACGAGGGAGAAGTAAATAAGCCAGTAAATCAATAATTAACCCACAGTGAGAAAATAAGGTAATGGAGCCTTTCCAACTGGGCGTTACCTGAATATGCATTTTCATGAAAGCTAAGGCAGGCCAAGAACAGAAAACTGAGGGGAAAATGTCTTCTCAGAGAGAATAAGAACATCTGAAAGTGCCCTTGACAATCTTGCCTCCTCTCAGCTGTGCCTGAGAAGTACCATACAGTAAAATAACCAAAACACAGCAATTGATTGAGATACTGAAGAAAAGCTTTTTTGCCCTTTTGGGCCTCAATTACTTTAGCTGTAAAACACAATCTTTCCTGTTATCCATAATGGTTACAAGATAGGATTGACGGATGAAATACAGGATGCCTAGTTAAATTTGAATTTTGGATAAACTGCATATATTTAGTATATCTATGTTTCCATTATTGTATGGTACATACTCACACTAAAATATATATATATATATATATAATTTACCCAACATTCAGGTTTAACTGCGTATTTTGTTTCATTATTGTTTTATATTTGTTTTTCTGTCTGTTGCTAAATCTGGCAACTCTATTCCAAGGGGACGTGAATATTAGAACTTCAGCTCAGATTCAATGCTATTTTGACGAAAAATTCCTTATGACTGAGAAACCAAAGTGACTCATTTTGAAAAGTGTAAGTATTATGTGTAAAAAGGTTTTAAGTGCATGATGCAAACGGAACTTTTTTTTTTTTTTTGAGATGGTGTCTTGCTTTGTTGCCCAGGCTGGAGTGCAGTGGTGCAATCTTGGCTCACTGCAACTTCTGCCTCCTGGGTTCAAGCGATTCTCCTGCCTCAGCCTGTCAAGTAGCTGGGACTACAGGTGCCTGCCACAATGCCCAGCTAATTTTTTTTTTTTTTTTTTTTTTTTTTAGTAGAGATGGGTTTTCACCATATTGGCCAGGCTGATCTCGAACTCCTGACCTTGTGATCCACCCGCCTTGGACTCCCAAAGTGCTGGGAATACAGGCGTGAGCCACCGCGCCCGGCCACAAATGGAGTTTTCAAACTGTAAGCCATTCAGATGAGGCATCCTTGTTTGCAGTAAGACCAATGTCTGATTCTGCAGAGGCTCTGTAATTCACCACTGTGCCCAGCTGAAAAGGAATGGTGGATGCTTCTATGACCTTTATGAAGATAAATAAGGAAAGAAATGCCACAAGATATGTGAATCAATGCAACTGTCTCCATGTGTAAAATGTTGCACATGGTTGGGGTGAGAATGGGGAAGGATTCTTGGCTTGGATGAATACATCTACTTCATACAAATTGAAGAATTGTTTTAACCGTGTTCAGCTCCAACCGAATGCCTCCACCTCAACTTAATGCAAGCATGGGATGTTTCTTACTCATCTGAAGTCAGAGTAGGTTCAAATAACAGACATTAAATCCCCACCCTGGAATCTGGAAGAGGTCACTGGGGCTAACTGAATACTCCATTGTTTTATTTTAAAATTCTGTGTGAAATGGCCACCGATAAAAAATGAGTTTTTCCTTAAAATGCTGACTGAATCTGTTTTGCAGGAAAAGGAATAGGCAGCAGACACAGTTGAAATGTCTCTGCTTGGGCATTCAGCTTCAGAGTGGAGAAGCTGAATATTTCATATTTAAAAGTTGAAATTAAACTTCCAACATCAGGTATCATATTTTAGAAGCCACTAGGGTAAGAGTCAGTCCCAGAAGAGCCTTGTTTATTATTGTTTATTCTCATAAACATAGATCATTTTGAAGGAAATGTGAAAGAGCTGAAAGTAATAAGAAGTTGCTGCCAGATAAAAGCTGACCTTCAGAGTCTACACAAGCAGTTTCTTCCAGGTTTCTTGTAACATGCAGCTCCTTTACATGGTGGGTGAAAATTTTGAGTTAGGAATGTGTTACGTTTTGCACAAGCTTTTGAAATCTTAACTAAACACTAACTGAGGTCACCCCTAAAGAAACAAAAGTGTTTACCTAAATGCAATCTCACCTTCATATACACATCACACATTTGATTTCATATTTTCTACACACATTTTAAATTCATTTGCTCTTTCTTTATACCATAATGTCTTTTCTTATGCTATTTTAGTTTCTCAACTATTGTTTATTCCACCCATTCAGCATGGTACATTTAAGCTTTTTATTTTTTTTAAAGACTATGCATTAACTTTTCTTTTTATAACCCCTGCACAGCTTTTTTTTAAAAAAAAAATTGTTGTAACATTTTGTACTACGCCATGGCACCAGGATTAATTGTGTCTTCAGTCATTATCTTGTCCTTGTTTTTTTTTCAGACCTGTGGCCTCTGAAATTTTTCAAAACAGCTCAGGGACTAAAAAGACATCTTCTTCACAATAGCATAAACTAATGCTCTGTAGACCCAACAATGGATGTTTATTGCACCTTACAAAACTACTTTAATTACCTTCAGATTACTGGTTTTATTCAAATAGATTCATTCTCATCTAAGGACGCCTGTGGACATTTACAAAAAGTCCTTACAATGTACTATTCTATGAAGAGCTATTATAATATTGTCCCTGGCTTATATTTTAAAAATGAAAAGGAGATGGATTCATATTAAATTTTTTAAAACCTTTAGGTATGAATATACCAGAGAGGTTTTATCACTGTATATTATATGAGTTGAAAGCCTGGCACCTTAAGATTTAATTTTCTCTCAGTGAGTCCTGGACCTGTTCCAGCACAGTAACTACATTGTCATAATCAGGTTAATACATATCAGTCTGTTGAACATAATCAGGCCTCTAATTCATGCTGACACATTTATTTAGGCATAACATAATATATATGTATTTCTTTACCTTTGAAATAGGCACCAATTAAAAAGATAAAGCATTTGAGTCTATCTCCAAATTACTTTCTTGTATACTTCATTACTTGAGTACTCTCCATTATCTCAAAAAAAAAGATTTCTTATTTTTAGTATATAAATAAAAATAATAATTTAGATACTATGTATTAAATGCTTATAGTGTCAGATACTGTGCTAAGTGCTTCACTCGTATTGTCATTTAATCTTTATAACATCTCTAGGAAGTGTTTATATTGTTTCCATTCTACAGATAAGAAAATTGAGTCATAAAAAAGTTAAGTAACTTGTAGATATTCCAAAGCAAGTGGTACAGCCAGAATTCAGACCCAGAACTCCAAAACCTTCTATGCACTTGACCATTTTTTAATTTTTTATCCACAAATTCAATTATAATCTAATTTTATTATATTCAATATTAATATATTAAAATGACATCCAATATATGACACAATTTTACAACTGCAAATTTCTATTTTATAAAAATAAGAAATATTGATAATGCTAAAAAATAGCTAACTTTCCTTATACCTCTAAAACTCTCTGAGTTTAATATTGTAGCTAAAAATAAATTTATGTGTGACCCAGTTCACTTAAGAGAATCTCTAGAGATATGTGGATCTGATGGTCTTTTTTGGTCACTACTCACTGTACCATGAACTAAAATAAATTTCACCATAGGCTTAGCCATTGAGAACCTGTGCTTGCCTTCAAAGCAGTATCTGTGTATGCATATGCTATATGGCATACATTTTTCATATAAACAATAAAAATGGCTGGTCAAATAACTAGGAGGAGGATATTGAATGTTCCCAGCACAAAGAAATGATAAATGTTTGAGATGATGGATATGCTAATTACTTTGATCAGATCACTATATATTGTATGTATCAAAGCATCACAATACATCCCATAAATCTGTACAATTATTATATGTCAATTTTTTAAATTAGGATTTATAAAAAAAAAAAGAAGAAGAAGAAGATTGGGACACGTGAAAATGTGCCCCTCAGAGGAAAATTATTATTAAAGATTGTCATTTTGCACTGGCTTTCTACCTTTTAAAAAGGTGGCAAATCAATGGAGATGGGAAGCTCTTAAGGTCAAACGGTCAAATTGGTTTTGTCTCTGAACACAATCCACACAGTTCCCTTGCAAAGGTTTCATTATAAAACATAAGGAATTCAAGACACTGTTAATGTATTAAAATATAAAACTGTTCAAATGTGTTTTCATAAGAGCTTACCTGAATTTGGTTTTCAGGTATTTGGAGTCACATCCAAAATTTCCTGGGTTGTTTAATCAATTGTCTCTTCCTTCCCCTCTGCATTATCCTCCCCGATAGAAATTTGATTCTAAAACTAGGCCTTTTCATTGATGATAAATGGTTTCAAAGTTAGTTGGAGGAAAATCATGAAGTCAGGTTGCTTTGTGTTTGGCCTCCCCTCCCTTCTTAAGCTTTCCAGCTACATTTGCTCTAAGCTTCTCTCTTCCTTCAGCACTTTTTTCACACCCGGCTGTCCTGGATTATTTTAGCCCCATCCCTTCATTGGTAGAGAAAGGCAACATAGTAAACGAACTCATAACGTGATTGCTAGTCTAAGACAATGCATCAATTTGGGGAGAATTTTAGGCACCAAGGCTCTGAACATGGAGGTATTTGGGGTTAAAGGAGCCTCAAATCAAGATAGTCTCTACCAACCTCTTAATATCATTCCTGCTGAGATCAATCTACTGGTGAATAAGTTGAATCCATATCTATTGACCTCCCTTAAAGTAGAAGAGGAAAAAAAACTTGCCTTCAATATTTCAACTACAAATCGAAGTCAAGGGAATTTGCAGAAAGTATAAGTAGTCCTTAGTTGGCCTTCATTCTAAAGTAAGAAACTCACCAAAAGTAAAAGCAAAACTAACGAATCCCATTGCAATGTTTGGCAGCCTTCAAGAAGGCATCAGGAGAACCAGATGTCTCCCTAGGTATAGCTCACATTCCTACCATGAACTTCTAAGACGGAAGTCTTCAAACAGGAGTACAAGCACTCCCCAATGGAAGGCACTTTTATTGCAGTGATTAATAAAAAGCTTTCAAGCATAAAGGATCAAAGATGAATTTAAGTGAAAAGAGAAATAATGTTGTTTCAACTATAAAAGAAGAGCTTTTTCATGAATTTTTTTAAATGGATGATAATGAGTAACAAATTGCTTTGATATTTAGATTTCCACAGGACATGTTTAAAAGAATAATGTTGCAGTTTCTTTGAGTTTTAAGGTAAGCAGTTTCCAGACCCACACATTTCACACACACTCTCCAAAACTGCTCTGCTTAAGAGCAAGCCATGGCCAGTGTATCACACCTATTCTCATTTCCCACTTCCTTGTATTAGGTTGGTGCAAATGTAATTGCTGTTTTTGTCATTAAAATGCCATTACTTTTAATGGCAAAAACTGCAATTACGTTTGCGTCAACCTAATACAATTGTCTTTTGCCCTCTTTACAAAAGAAAGGCCTACCTCTTACTCATTCTGAATCTTATTATGGTGCATTGCCTTTAAAAAGTGTAATCTTTGCGGTGGCAGAGGGACAATTTGAGATATTGGTGTCCAGTAAATTTCTGTTTCTGTTAATCAAGATATTGGCCTGCTTTACAGTTGATGTTTTACATATTTTCAAAGTGGTGAAAAGTTTCACAATGACCTCTGACAGCTTAACACTACATCTTGCATAGAAGAAACACATGTCAGGATTCCATTTTCTTGCAGTGTATTCAAATTCATGAAACACTGTCATTACTTTTCCAAATGAATGTTGAACAGAATAGAGGTATACTCAATTTTTTCTTAGACAAGGCTCTAGCTTGTTCTCAACCATTTCTCTAATCATATATTTATTCCCCCAATGCACTTATTTAATTTAAATTAACTCAACAGGAAGATGTTGTGGATCCAAATACTAAAAGCACTGATTAATACAGCTTTTTTAAGCACTACACCAAAAACTTCTCTTTCTTTAATGTTAATTTTTCTTGAATTTTGTCTCATTCAGCAAATGTGACATTTATCCATAGACACATGAACTAATTGAAGGAAAAAACAGGCACATCCATCTTCTGAAGAGATAATTTCAATAAAAATTTGCTCTTTGTGATTAATAATTATCAAAATGTGAGATGTATTTATTCTGTTTTTTTCACAATACTCTCATTTTGTTAAATTTTTATGAATACATAATAGTTGTACATATGTGTCGGGTACCTGTGATATTCTGATACATACATACAACATGTAATTATTAAATCTGGGTAATTGGGATATCCATCACCTCAAACATTTACCATTTCTTTTTGTTGGGAACATTTCAAGATTTTGCTTCTAGCTATTGTGAAATACACAATAAGCTATTGTTAACTATAGTTGCCTTGTTGTGCTGCCAAACACTAGATCTTATTCTATTTAACTCCTGTTGATCAATTTGATCAATGATGCATCAATAATAATGTAGTGATCATTCAAACCAAAGAATGTCTCTAACATCAGCCTTCTAAAATATTTACCATTTTTAAAATTCAAGGAAAACTTTTTAAATATTTATTAATTCATTTAAAAATAACAATAAACTCATTCATATTAATATAAATTTTTTCTATGAAAAATAATGACATTTTTAAAACCAAAACAAGTTAGAAAGAAGAGTGACAATATTTTAAATTTTTTGTGAATGTCTTTAATGCATCTGGCTTAGAAGACTGCTGCATTCTTATATCTGCTTCTGCATTTAACCCATTGTGATAAGCCATTTGGTTGAAGTATATAAAGAAAATCTAGCTCCTCAAAAATGTTAATAAATAGCTGGAAAAGGGAGGAGCATTTTAATAGCCTTTTCATATCATTGCAGATATTCTTCTCTGACACAACAAAAAACTCAACAAGTGGTAAAAAAGTAGAATATTAGACATTGGACACTACAAAAGGTGGGTGGGTTGAGGGTGGCTGAGGGTTGAAAAATTACTTGTTGAGTACAATGTTCACTATCTGGGCGGTGGATACACTAAAGGTCCGGACTTCACCACTACACAATGTATGCATGTAAGAAATGTGCACTTGTACCCTCTAAATATATAAAAAATAAAATAAAAAATAATATCTTAAAGGTTATTTGCAATGTGGAATCTGAAGCTATATCAATGAAGTTTTTACACTCTGTAACATTAAAATCCATTAATCTATCTTGTGCTTTGTGTTGTTTGTTTTTTTGTTTTGAGACAGGGTCTCACTTTGTCACCCAGGTTGGAGTGCTGTGGTGCACTCTCAGCTCACTGCAGCCTCGACCCCCCAGGCTCAAGTGATCCTCCTGCCTCGGCCCCCCAGGTAGCTGGGATTACAGGCACACACTACCACACCCAGCCAATTTTTGTATTTTTTGTAGAGACGAGGTCTCACCATACTGCCCAGGCTAATTTCGAACTCCTGAGCTCAGGGATCTGCCCGCCTTGGCCTCCCAAAGTGCTAGGATTACAGGCATGAGTCGCTGTGCCCAGCCTGTCTTGTGCTTTAAATGAATGCTTTGAAAAGCCTATGCATAATTTTGTAACATCATGTATTGACCTTTGGAAAATATGAGTTCACTCAGTTAAGTAGATCTTTCAAATGTTGACACATTTGATTACACAATATCAAAAATTCACATTTGTTATCACCACTACTTTCATCAGAAAAGTCTTGAAGTATTGGGAAACTGCCATGTTTCCAGTGACAAATACAAATTTTCCAAAATTTAAGTTTTAAGTGAAAGCTTGAATTGTACCGCCAATAACAAATACTGTCATTTGTTTTTCTTAACAGATTCACTTGGTTCATTTTTGAAAAACTGTTTACCAAAAATCCAAGTCTAAATAATAGTAGTTTGTCTGTCAATAGTTTCTTCAGGTAAAGATGGGGCTCCATGAAGAAGGAAAAAAAAAAAAAACTAGGTAGTTCAGCTTTAACTGAAACAATTGCGCAAACACTTTTCCTTAAAATAACTGTGTATTTCCCAAGTTGCCACAAAGAATATCAGAAAGATATACACTTAAGGGCCAAGATTTAATAAAATTAAAGAACGTTCTGTTCTTTAATTAACGTTCTGTTCAACTCTTTAATTAACGTTCTGTTCTTTAACTGTTCTTTAACTGTTTAATTAACATTCTGTTCTTTACTTTAACATTCTGTTCAACTGAAGATTTTTTAAAGCCAGTGCAGCTGGCTTTAAAAAAAAAATAACCATTGCTCAGTAGTGAAGTATATATTGATTAATAACTGGCACAGTTGAGTGCCACTGTCTTGATTCATGTGAAGACACCAGCAGTTTTATTCGCCATTGCTTTTGCATCATCATTACAAATACCAATCCCATGAAAAAAAGGCAAATAGCTACCTAGCTTATTACTACTATAAAAATAACATTGACCTGGAAGATCACCTGAGGGGGTCTCAAGAATCCCAGAGGTCCATGGACCACATTTCAAGAACCATTTGGACTAAGATATTTGAAGGTATTTTTCTATGACAAATTATAATCCTATATAATTGTTAGGTACACAGTGAAGTTATGATATATGTATACAGTGTGGAATGATTGAATAAAGCTAACTAAAATATTCATCACCTTAAGTATTTATCATTTATTCCTCCTGTCTGACTGAAATTTTGTACCCTTTGACAAACATCTCCCTATTTCTCCCATCCCCCAGCCTCTGGTAACCACCATTCTACCCTCTGCTTCCATGAATTCAATTGTTTTAGATTCCACATATAAGTAAAAACATGTGTCTTTTGTTTTTCTATGCCTCGCTTATTTCACGTAGTGTGATGTCCTCCAGGTTCATCTGCATTGTAAATGATAAGAGTTCTTCTTTTTTAAGGCTGAATAGTATTCCATTTTGTATTTATACCAATCCATTTTTATCCATCCATCCTTTGATGGACACTTAGATTGATTCCATATTTGGGCTATTTTAAATAATGCAATCAACGGGAGAGTACAGGTGTCTTTTCAACATACTGATTTCAAGTCCTTAGGATATACGCCCAGAAGTGGAATTGCTGGATGGAGCTAACTATTTTGATTCCACTGGATACATTTAAGATAATCTAACCCATTTACTTTAAAATGTTTAACATTTGTAATGAATCAGAAATTACTACTATTCTACTTTTTACATTAATACAAAACAAAATTATAGATTTCAACCTAAATAATATGTATAATGGACTACCTAGTTTTTCAAAGTTGTTTTTTTTTTTATGGAAGATATAAACTAAATTTTTGAAGCCCATTGCTCCAAACCCAGGCAAGCAAACTATAGGAAATAGAGCTGTGTTGATTTTACTCTTGCCTGGCTTTTATCTCAATGATAGTTTTCCAACCAAAAAAAAAAAAAAAAACAGTTCATCAGAGAGTTCAGAAATATGAAAGTGTCTTTGTCTTCAACTCTCTGTAAATTCCCATTCTTTTAAATTTAAAAATAGCACATTGAAATTCTTTAAAACAGCAGTAAATCTCATAACTCTACTGCCTTAATACAATCCTTATTTTCAGACATTATTCACAATAAGCACCCACATTTTACTTAGATGAAATCATGATGTACAGAACCATTCTGAAATTAAAGACATTGTTTAAATGAAGCACAAAGTGTAAAGAAAATGCCACCATGAGACATACCCTGTTGACACTTCATTTTATTTTCTACCAGTCTTCTCTATGTAGCCACATATTTTATCTAGACAAGCATACAAACATCCACAATTAGTATCATTTTGTGTCTATGTTTGTTTTAGGTTTCATTTCTTTTAACTTTATAGGTAACTATTTTTCATCTGTTTAAATACAGTTCAAAAACATTAATGGCTAGCCGGGCACGGTGGCTCAGGCCTGTAATCCCAGCACTTTGGAAGGCCGAGGTGGGAGGATCACAAGGTCAGGAGATCAAGACCAGCCTGGCCAATATGGTGAAACCCCATCTCTACAGAAAATACAAAAATTAGTTGGGCATGGTGGTGCACACCTGTAATACCAGCTATTCAGGAGGCTGAGGCAGGAGAATTGCTTGAACCCGGGAGGTGGAGGTTCCAGTGAACTGAGATTGCGCCATTACACTCCAGCCTGGGCAACAGAGCAAGACTCCATCTCAAACAAAACAAAACAAAAAAGAGAAAAGAAAAGAAAACATTAATGGCTGTATAATATTCCATGAACTATTTTCATGCCATGTTACCACCAGAGAGACTGCGCCAATTTACTTCCCCACAAGCAGTACAAAATGACATCTTTCCAAATGTTTGCTACCACAAAGTATTCTCTTTTTCCTAGTATTTGGTAAGTTGGTAAGTAGAAAGAGTTATATTGTGGCTGTTTGAGTTTACAATTCTTTGTGCTGAATGTTTTTCCCTAATTTACTTTCCTGTCAATATCTTCTACTGGTCTTGTCTAACCCTACCTTTGCCCACTTTCTTTTTTCCTTTTAGCATTTTGATGTTTCTGCTAATTCACTTTCATGAGGTCTTTTTATGTTTTATATATTAGCCCTTGTTCTGTCCAACACAGATGATAAATTTCTTACTTTTTGGCTTTTTAATTTGTTTTCAAGAATGATGCATTTTTATTTCCACTAAGTAAAATCTAGCCATTTTTACTCATTATTTACCCTTATGTTATTTGGACCCATTGATCAGGCTGGTGATTCTGACACCAGAACCACATAATTGTTATTATCTAGTACGAAATGTTCTACCTCATATTCCTCTTTTTCAAATTTTCATGCCTGTCTTCACTTGTTTACCTTTTTCCAGTGAAATCAAGAATCATTTAGACAGGTTAGAAAAAAAATGAAATTTGAATTGTAATTAAAATTAACCTAAAATTAATTTTTAAATACATAGTTTTATAATATTTGGTCTTCCTAGCCAACAAAACGATAGTGTTCCTACTTATTTGTTTTTATTTATATTCCTCTGGAAAGTTGTAGTCTTCAGATGCATCCTACATTTCTTGTTAAAGTTATTCTTAGGTATTTAATTGTTGTATCTAATGGGAAGATCTTTTATTCATCATTTTCTAGCTGATTTTTTTTCCTTAAGACAGAGTCTCACTCTGTTGCCCAGGCTTGAGTACAGTACAGTGGCTCAATCTCAGCTCACTACAACCTCAGTCTCCTGGGTTCATGCAATTCTCATGCCTCAGCCTGCCAAGTAACTGGGACTACAGATGTGCACCACCACACCCAGCTAATTTTTGTAGAGATGGGGTTTCACCATGTTGCCCAGGCTGATCTTGAACTCCTGACCTCAGGTGATCTGCCCACCTCGGCCTCCTAAAATGCTGGGGATAAAGGCATGAGCCACCATGCCTGACCTTTCTAGCTGATTATACAAGTCGCTAAGAAAGCTACCAGTTCAGGTAATTAGCCAATTAGCCACGTTACTACTAGTTTTTCCTAATAGCTTTTTCAGTTTATTTTCTTAGATATTTTTGGAAGGGCTACAAAAATAAACTGCACCCAAGTAAGTGTAATTTTTTCTTCTTGTTTAATAGCTAATAATTCTTGCTTCATGTCTTTTGAGATTAATAGAATTTCTAGAATAATGTTAAAGAATGACAGTAATAACTGTCAACCTTGTCTTGTTCCTAATTTTAGAAGAAATCACTCTAATTTTTCTTTGTCAGGTATTATATTGACTCTTGGTTCCAGATATTTTATTTCAATCAGGGAAAAGAAGAATACTTCTGATAATAGTTTACCATTAATTGCTACAAAGAATCTATATAAAATGTGATTGATACTACTTTGGCATCTTTGTGGTTTTTTTACATATTGATGACATGTTATACACTCTCTAATAATAAATATAAATTCTCCCTAACTGGTGTAGATCAGTTGTTTTTGTTGTTGCTGCTGTGTGCTAGCATGACTTTGAAGTTCTATTCCTATCTATTTTCAAAACTAAAATTGACTAAATAGGTTGTCATTTTCCTTTTTTGGTGTCCTCTTTGAAAAGCTTCATATCAGGGTTATATTTTTAAATATAAGCTTTCCAAAGGTGTTTATGCAGAATTCTTTGAAAAAAATTAACAAGTTACTTAAAAAAAAGAACCCGTAACATTTTTATGCAAAATATTAATAATGTTTTTAATTTCTCCTGTTATTAGTCTAATAAAGTCTTTTATCTCTTGATTACATTTTCATAACATATGAGAATTTTTTCTATTTTACTTTCAGATGGATTATCATAAAGTTATCTGCAGTATTCAATTATAAATAGTCTTTTAGCACTATTATATATATATATATATATATATATATATATATATATATATCCTAAATATGTGTGTGTGTTTAATTTTCAAGTTTGGTTTGCTTAAAACTATGTTATTACTGTTAGGTTTCACTGCATTATTGTCTAAGATTATGGCCTACGGTCCACATGACACCTGCTTTGTGTACTCTATTTAGATTTTTTTGTAACTTGGTATATGATCAATCTTTTAAAACAGGCGTTCCCAACCCCCAGGCAGTGGACCAGTATTGGTCCGTGGCCTGTTAGCAACTGGGCTGCACAGCAGGAGGTGAGCGGCAGGCAAGGAGCATTAGCGCATGAGCTCCGCCTCCTGCCAGATCAGCCACAGAAATTAGATTCTCATAGGAGGGTGAACCATATTGTGAACTGAGCATGCGAGGGATCTAGGGTGCATGCTTCTTATGAGAATCTAGTGTCTGATGATCTGAGGTGAAACAGTTTCATCCCAAAAACATCTCTGCCCCATCCCCGCCAACCCCTATCTGTAGAAAAATTGTCTTCCACGAAACCGGTCCCTGTAGCCAAAAACATTGGGTACTGCTGTTTAAAATATTCCCTGGACACTTAAAAATATATTCTCTATTGGTAGTATTTTTTCTAAAGTTCAGCTTAGTTCAATTGCAGTGATTATAGCTACTTGAGTCATCTAAAGCTGAGAGAAGTAAAGCCTCCAAAAATAATGTTTCTTATACTTAATTTTTCCTATATTTTGAACCCCAAAATGTGTCATGCTTGTGAAGTTTCTATTTTAGCAATAAATATTGATCTTCTTTGTCCTACTCAATTCTACTTGTCTTGTATTTTAATAAATTCAAAGTTATCACTGCCACCTCTTTCTTTTTGTAATCTTTTTTTATCCTTTAAATAAAACCTCTTTGGAGGGCATATAAGTAATATATTCTTAGATCTAGTGTTTTAACACAATCTGAAAAAAATTTTACCTATTAATTTGAAATTATAATTGATCTATTTTATTAGCATAATACTTGCTTTTGCATCTATATTTATGCATCCTTGACATTTTTCCCTAACTTTTGTATCTCCCTCAAATAAGTTTTTAACGTGCTTTTACCAGTAGACTCATTTCTTCCATCTCACACCTCCATGAGTTACCAGATTACTGCCATGGAATAATCTTTACATTTTATATCTTTCTTAAAAGTTAGATTTGTATTGGCCTTGATTGAGCTTTATCCCAAAATTTAAAAGTATTTATTCTCAATTCTATATCTAAATATCTTTGAGATTCACTGCCTTCCTTTTATAGCACAAAGTCTCCATCTTTAAAGTCTTCATTTTGCTTCATCTATCTGGTGACCGATGTAAGCAGTTGTTTTCAAGATAGGCACAGGAGTGGTAAAATTTGGAGCACTTAAGCATGTATACTTGTCTGGGTATAAAATTCGAGCATCAGAGTCTTTTTCCCTCAGAACTGTGGATGCTATTACACTGTCTTCTGATCTTTGATACTAAAGAAAAGAAGACTGAAATCACTCTGATTTTTATACTTCACCTTTTTCTCCTTATATACATATAAAGTACTTTTTGTCTAATCTTTTAATTAAAGAAAAAGTTATTTGCTAAAATATGTTCACATAACTGGTCTTTCTTAGTACGTCTTAGACATATTTAAATAATCTGTTTTCACTGGAAATACTTCTTGGCTTTCATCTCTAGACATCGCCCTTCACACCTCTTTTCTCTCTCATCATTTTCAACCCTTTGCCTCTTACCCCGTATTATGGGCGTTCACTCTGTTCATCGTCAATGAAGTTTTCAGCTGCGTCCTTCTAATATCTATCACATACACCTTGAATAGTAATCGTGTGATAGAGACTTTAAATCCATGCAAACTTTCTTTCTCTTACCTGGCTGCTTTTTACTTTCTACTTTCTCTTACCTTGCTGCTTTCTACTACATTTTTGGTGTTCCATTTCTGCTTCTTTTTTTCTTAAGCTTTCTGCTATAGTTTCACAGAGTTCATGCCTAATTGAATTTTAGTGAAGATGCCCCAGGATTTAAATTTTTTTTCTTCTGATTCACTCTTCCTTTTAGTCATTGATATTTTATGCATACACTTAGATATATATATACTCATAGAGATACAGATTTATATATATATATATATATATATATATATATATATATATATATATACACTCATATGTGTATATATTTAGGTATCCCTTCTTAATACTAGGTACATGTACACACCTATATCTATACCTATATCTACAGTTTTGCCACCTATATGAGGTACAAATTCATCAAGTTTTGATTATTTTTTAATAAGTGAAAAAACTTTATTAAGGATATTTTATATGTTCATAGCTATTTTCAATTATTATACTTATCAGAAGTTTATTTGATAAATATTTTACTATAAACATCTTTGTTTCTAATAGTTTCCTATTTTAATGTCTTGTACCCTTAGGGAAATCCTTAAGTTCTCCAAATAGATAACTTTTATTTTGCACACTCTGTATTGCATATCACAACACCTTGCATATAGCAAGTATTGAACAAATATTTCTTATTTGTTAATATAAAATAAAATAGATATAATGAAAGAAAATCCTCTTAGAGTTAATTGCATCTAGAGTTACAATAAAATGAAAATTAGATAGTTTAAACAAATTTTAAGCATGTCTAAATAAAAGCTTAAATAATCCTACAACTTAAATCACGTATCACTTTGAACTTTATTTTTATTTAAAACAACACTTTTTTTACTGTACATCAAATTTTCAATAAGAAACAATTATTTCATTATGATCTTGTAGCACCGAAGTGGTTAAAAACCAAAGTAATATGAGCCCAAGAGACTTTTTTTCCTCACATTGTTTACATTTTTATCCCAGGATATTCAGCAATTTCAGAGTTTGACTTGCTCAATTTGTGAGAAATTTTGTTTTCAGGGAAATCATACCAACTTTGCCTTCTAGTAAATTAAGAGTTCAGAAAAATTCCAATTCTAAAGATGTTTTGAAATAAAGATTATCTTTGCTCTTCAGATTAAATTGCAAGTCCTGAAGATTCTTTTAACCAGAAATTTAAACATGGCTTACCTATACTGAGAAAGCATATTTTCCTCAAAAGAGGATATGGGAGTATATCCCCTATATTGTACATAAACCTACAAAACATACTAATGTGGGGTGTTATAAAAATTTTAATAAGTAAGGCTATGTGCAGCTGGAAATCCTTCGCTAGCCTGAAACATATAAGCAATTCACTCAAGACTCAGAAGTCTTAATTTTGCACCTTTTACTGAGTTTTCATTTTTATCCACAACAGTTTTATTTTAAAGGAATTGCTTTCCTACAGTGGGTTAGCACTATGATCAGAAAGAATATTTTCTTTTTTGCTTTTTTAAACAGAATTCAAAATCTAGCAGATCAACTGAAAGACAAGAAAAAATGTACAATAACCTTCTCAACATCCTCCCCCTCCTTTTCTATACAGTTGCCTTTACAAGAAAGTAATTAATAAACATAATCTTTTGAGATCCCCTAAGTCTTAAACTATGCAAAATTCTACTGACACACAATCTTCCAATCATCAACAGCACTGATCTTTCATGATGTTATATAAATTTGTTTTATATTTCATCCTGAATGTTTAGCTGTTTGAAAGTTGAAATTACTTCTTCTCTGATAACCTCCCCCCACCAAAAAAAAAAGGATGATTTAGAAAGCAATACAGAATTCTGAGATGAGAATCATGAGATGAAGTTTCTATTCCTGAAAACTTGTTGCAAAAAAAAAAAAAAGTACATAATAATATCTGTCCCTAGCTCACACATGTCAAAAAGCAAGCAACTCATGGATACATTTTTTTGGTTTGGATGAAAGGCATTTTGTAAATAGAGGATAGTATATCACTTTTCAATATCCTTAATATAATTTTGTTGAATATAAGAATCACTCAACAACTGCATCTGTCAATTTTTTTCTCATTTTTTCTGCATATATTCTATTCTCTAAAAATTATGTAAAGCAATGATAAGGGAAGTTTCAAAAAGAAAAAGACTAGGAGGAAGTTCACTAGACATTTAGTGACATCGTTACTGCATAATAAGTTTATAAATAACCTTTCTTTATGCTTTCCTTGATTTTTCCAAATTTAAAACAATGAATTCATTTTTTATAATCAGAAGAAATTTTAAATTGTTTAAATCATATACTTTCTGCCTCAAGAAGCACAATAACAAACTTTTCCATGCAATGGAAACACTGATAACCCAACTTTCCACAGTCTCATCTGCTGACATCCTCGCCCCCTACCAACCCAGATGGTCAGGCTGGCCCCCAGGATCCTTGAATGAGCATTTGATCTCTCTCACTGAGTGCCTGATACAAAGACAAAACCAACGCTTAGAGATAGAAACTCTGGAAAATGTCCTTTTTCAGGACAAGTACTTGGAGCCTTGCAGACCACCAATCAGACTCAGTTCAACAGGGGCTTTCTAGAGACATGGTCTTCCCCTTGGATGCCTGCAGAAGGCTTTCTTTCCTATATGAATCTGCCAGAGTTCTCAGCATGCCCTTCAGGGCAAGAACTCTAAATCAATATTCAATTACTTATGACTTTCAATTTTTAATTAACATGTGTCTCAATTGGATGGCTGAATGGTCCTTTGTACTTCGAGAAGTCATTATCAGGAGTGTTATTTTCAGCTCCTTTAAAGACATGTATTTAATTATTTATTACATGTATGGTTTACATTGTGTCAGACCTCCAGGCACTCAGGGGGAGAGATTATTAAGCAGATTAGAACCAGTGTCTAAAATTTTTCCATAGTGAGTTTAACTGAAGCCTAGCCAGGTAAGAATAAAAACACTTAAACATAATACAAGAAGAGCTGGTTGGAAGTCACACACACACACACACACACACACACACAGAGTATACTCTAAAACTGTATCTTTATGTAGCTCTTTGATGCCACATCTTCAAAAAAACACTGGAATTTTTGAGAGACTAAATTCTTCACTTTTTAAAGAATATTTAATAGTTGGACACTTGCAAGAAGCTAGATAGCCTATTTATGCCAAAAATGCAACTTTTAAATGACCTGACAGAATAATTATATGTACAGAGCAAGTGTAATTTATTATTTTCACCTCTAAAACTCGCAAGCAAAAGTACTGTCAGTAGTTACAAAACACCTACCATTTAACAAGCAGATTGCCATCCACCAAACACGCTAAGAGCCTCTATAAACTTTATCGTATTTAATCTTCACAGTCACGCAGGAAGGTAGATGCCATTATCTCTGTTCTATGGACAGGGAAATTAAGTCTCCAAAGTTATTGTGCCCAGAATCACCCAGGTAGTAAGTGATGAGTGGGAATTCAAATCCAGGTGTGTTGTACCCCAAAACCAGGCTCTTTCTAAGATCTGGCCACATTTTCATGCTCATAAAGGGATTTAGGATTACAAATACAAGTGGGATTTTTTTCCTTAATTTCATGGTAGTACACATTTTTAAAATATTTTTGTATGACCAACATTTATCATAACAAAATATGTTAAATGACTAGCATAATTATGTTGATATAGACAAGTGTGGCAGATGGAGGGCTCCAGTTTCTCTTTATTTTCAAATTACACAAAGACATTTACATAAGGAACAAGGTCTCACCACACATCCACGCCGAAGGAATTCTTAATGTCTTAGCTCTCATGTTAATGCGTTCTATCATTTGAAAACAGCTTTTGTAATTGCCAAAATGTCTGAGCACATTTGTTTCTAAATCACAGAAAGATTGTGAAGGAAGTTAAATAGAAAATTAAGCAAGAGGCAAAACACAACAGCCTCTATACTGTCGACCTTGATTCAGAACAAATTATGTAGCTGTAAGCAAGAATTACTCAGCCCTTCTTCCAGGGCAGTCTTTGTTTAGTACACTCTGCTCAGCTCTAACAAAGGGAAATTGGTAAGAAGATAATTAGATCTTCTTTTTAAAAATGACCTAGCAATAGCATCTTTAAAACCACCTGCATCTTTCCAGAAAATGAAATAATACATAAATATAAATGTTTCATGCTGCTATCAAACATTGATAATAAAGGTTTTAATATTTATTGTTACCTTTGGCCAATGCCTGAGTTTACTCTTTAGCAAGAGAGGCACAGTGAGGTAAGGATAGCCTTTGGGTACTACTGATTGGGATGGTGTCAGTATTAGAATATCCCTGTGGAAAAGGGGGCTTCGACATGGCATCCTTAATCTTCTTAACATTCCCTTCTCTGCATTCATCTGTAATCAGCTTTCTCTCAAATTCTAATAGATTCTTCTTCTTTTTTAATATAAGGCTCTGTGCTTCTTCACAATCAGAGATATTTAAATAATCCAAGATCCTTCTGTAGTCTACAGAAGGCGTTTTCCTAGCTGTGCCCTAGAGATTTCCTTGCCCCAACATTAGCAATGACTTGAGGCAAAATGTTTTCCTGTGAACATCAAAGTATTCTGAGCAGTTATCCAGACACCTTACGAATGTGAAGTTCAAACTTTGTTATCTGCGCCTCTCCCACCTGCTGGTAGTTAAAGCAAGATGGGGCCTGGAAGTCATGCCCAAAAATTGGACTGAATGCAGTCTGCACATTAGGACCTTGCAGTTAGTTAAATGATGCTTACTTTGTGCCAAGCGCCATTCTGAATGTTTTATTTTGTAAGCAGTAACTCACTCCTCACAAGAATCTTATAAGGTAAGTACAAATCATTATCCCCATTTTAGAGATGGTAAAACTGAGGAACAGAGATGTTAAAAAAAAATTGCTTATCAGTAAATGGCAGAGCTGGGACTTGAGCCCAGTCAACCCAAGGCTCTATGCTATGCCATCCTGGCACCTGACATCAAAGCCAGAAGAAAAAGGAAGTTTCCCATCTCACTATCACCTCAGCATAACCCACTGCCACCTGAAATCCTACAACATGTTATCTTTCTCTTCTGATAGGGCAGCACCACAACACACCAGCTCATGGCTGAGCTGCATCTCCTGGGAGATCCTACTTCTGCCCTAAATCTCAGAAGCGAACTCTCACTGAGCCCCTCATCACACATTCATCCTGGGGCAGTTGAACAAACTCAATGTCTTCACCCTCTTCACCCTCTTTAGCTCTTCTTGGTCATTCATACTCTTTTAAAGAATCTTTTATATTAACCGGGCGCAGTGGCTCATGCCTGTAATCCCAGCACTTTGGGAGGTCGAGGCGGGCGATCACGAGGTCAGGAATTTGAGACCAGCCTGACCAACGTGGAGAAACCTCATCTATACTAAAAATACAAAAATTAGCCAGACATGGTGGCGCCTGCCTGTAATCCCAGCTACTCAGGAGGCTGAGGCAGGAGAATCACTTGAACTCAGGAGGCGGAGGTTGCAATGAGCTGAGATCGTGCCACTGCACTCCAGCCTGGGCGACAGAGTGAGACTTCGTCTCAAAAAAAAAAACAAAAAAACTTTTTTATTAAAACTCTGTTCACAAGCAACAATTACCACCCAATGCCTTCTTCATCTGTGGGAGGAAGAAGTCTTCTACTGCATTCCAGCTGCCATTATTTTTTCTTTTCTGCAGGCTGGCAAACAGCATTATGAGTCTCCTATCACACACTTTTGGCCTTCTATTAGATTATTTAGGTTTGTATCTTATTTTTCCCACTCTTTGGTAAACAGGGAAGAAACATCTTTTTTTCTCCTTCTTTGTCTTTCCCAGAGCACCTTTGTTATTTGGGGACTATGCCTTCTTTCTCATGCTCAATAATAACCAAATAAAGAAAAGGGTGTCCATGCCAGCAACTAACAAGGGACTATATTTGCAACTATATTTCCACTACAAAATTCAGCTTTTTGAAATACTGCCTCAATTTATTTTCAAAAAATATTTTCCTTTAAAGTAATGCTTATTGTTCTTTGACACTGGTGGAATTGCAAAGGATGATGTAGTGTCATGATATCTTCTGTTATACCCTGATGGTGTTTGATTTACAGACACTATAATGGTAGAAAAAATATCTATCACAGTGACATCGATCGGTATTTTGGCTGGCTGAGGTTAAGCCATAGAGAGGGACCGTCAAGAGGGAAAACGTAGGGAAACTCCTTGCTCCTAACAGAGAATGTGTTTGATAGCTTCTAGTCTGGAGAGCCATTTCCAGACAGATATTTATAAATAAAGAATGTGGCATTCATTGAAATCATGTTACATAGTGTCTCATCAGAACAGTCTACCAGCAGCATGACTGCACCAACCCAGTTAAATATCAGGGGTTTTAGTTCCCAACCCCCTCCCCTCTAATGAATTAGAAAACAATTAACTCACTGACAAATAAAGTTATTCAAAACAACCAAAGCAATTGTGTGTAGACAGTCTCAGATATTCAGGAGTTTTCAGTTTTGTAAATTGTTTTGTCTTCGAATGTCTTGTTTCACTATCTAGCAGATACAAAAATCTTTTTATTTGTTCATTTGATGGGACCAATAGGGAAAAGAAAGAAAATTCAATTTAGTCAAAATGTATTATATACATAGACTATCAAGAGATGGAAGAGACCTTAGTAATTATTTAGTACACTGCCTAATTTCAAAAATGAAGAAAGCAAATATCAGAGTAAAGACATGTTCTTAAGGACACATGTCTCCTTAGCTATAAAAAAGATGAAGAATTTTGACAGCAGTCTCCACAAAGAGTACATTTTCTTCTAGATATAAAATGCCATTTCCTAGAAGCACTTCTCAATAATTACTACTGAAGAATTTAAAAAATAAGTTATCCAAAATGAAGATCAAAAATCTTGTTTTGCTAGGTGACTCTGAAGTCACCAATTGAGACAATATCAGTGAGACAATTATCTAGAGTCATGTAAGTCAACATTTTTCCTTCTTTTCTCTATTCTTTTCTGAGCCTACAAACTATGTATGGGAAATAAAATAACCTATAAATAACATCTTCTTAGTTTCTTACAATCTCCCTCTTCACGTTGACATACCAATGGGAAAAATTTTAAAGGGACACAGTAAGGAAATGACAAGTCAAGAGACACAGACCCACCCTAGTAAATGTCAAACATGCAAACTCCAAAGCTTGTGAGTCTCTCCTCTCTGACTGGGAAATTCACTCTGAATATGTGATCCATTTCTTGCCTTTTCAACTTCCAGGACTGCCCAGTCATACCTGGGGCTACTTCTTTCCCTTGGGCTCCACCAGCCTGTGGGCCACCTGCTCATCAGACAGCACTTTGAGGTCCTTGGACACAGACAAAACAATCAATTGAGTAGCTGGTTTAGTCACTTTTAAACCAACTGTATAGCATTTTCTAGTCACCAAGCAAGAATTTTAACTTTCCACCCTCTTTTCCCTGGAGGCACCCAAGTTAGATTATGGGATGTTGCAAAGGAAAGTGTGGAGGAGCTAAATAGATGTGTAATAAGAAATGATCATTCAAGTAAACAGAATTTTGTCTCATTTAAAGATTAAAGATTAAATTTTTAAAGATTAAGATTGCTTTTGTAATCATATCAAAAATTACTCAGAGGTTTTCTTAAAGATATATTGGATTACATGGTTTCCTCACTGGCCATCCTACACCACATAGGTTGAATGAAGAATTCACCCCCAACTCCACCCTTGGGATTTCATCAAAGAGGCCACCCTGAAGTTTCTGGCCTAGGGGCATCGTGATCTGAAACTCATCCATCACTGATCACCATCAACATCTGTCATCTACCTTTTGCTAAAGGTATCTTTCCCCTTTTCCCCTGCCTGTGACCGCACTATTAAAGAGTTGCTTAAGTTTCCTGATACAAAAAAAAAGTATATATGAATAGCAAAAACATGTTAATTTAATAACACTGCTATCTTTGATTTACATTTTAAAGGAATATTCTAATAAAACCATGACATAGTAATACAGAAAGGCTTTCTGTTTCAGACAGGATATAACAGCTACTTACTTTTCTTTAGTTTTATCTTTTAATTTATTTAATTTCTTAAAGGCAACCACTGTTTTACTGTAACCTACTAAAACTGCAAAAAAATGCTTAAAGTACTTATACTTTCAGATTTAATATTGGGGGAACAAACTTAAAACAGTAATTGAATTTCCACTTTATCTTATAATTTGCGTTCTTAGTAAGAGTATACTTTTAGAGGTATTTCAAGGAATTTCATTTTTTTAAAATGACTCGAAGCATTTCAACATAAAGGTACACTTTGTAGGTCAAAACTAGATTATTTTCCTTGAATTTAAGATGAATAATCTCCTTATAAGTGTCTAGTAATTGTCTGCTTTTTTATTCATTAAAACAATTTTGACTATATATTAATGAAAGAAGAAAGTACCACTAAAATCTTCTATGTAGATTTTCTGAATGGGAAGTTTTGAGATTGTTTTTTCTCAACATTTTCCTGTTTAGCATATCTTTAACTTGTAACTTATTTTTTCCCAGAGTCAAGACACTGACTAACAACAGTATTACTCAGCGATCTATGACACTAGAATATAATTTCCTTAGAATTACTTCCTAGAGGGTTAAGAAATTTCTCTTCCATCCCCACCCAAGAATAATGCTGTTCAAAACTTTTACAAATATGTCCTGCAGATAAATATAACCTTTAAGATAATATGAGTAGTAAAAAAATAAAAGTCATATGAAGTATCCAGTTTTTCAATCAATATATTGAAGCTATAGGATGTTTACATGCTGCTATTCACTTCAGGGAGACCCAGAAGAGAATCCATATCTATTGTACAGGGAAATAGACAAAACAACAGGAGTTTTAGCTACTGGACACCGATTAAAGAATAATGGGAAAACTTTTATGCAGCTAAAAACCTTCTGGGACTACCTGCTTTTAATGGACAGTAACAGGTTTTGAAACACAACCTTTACAGGTTCTGTACAAAGGTCATTTATCTCTTGAAACTTGACTTGAGATTTTATTCATAGTGCCCAAACAATAGTCACTCATTCATTCATTCACTCACTCAGCACATTTTTTGTTTTAGCTTCTTCTATGTGCCATGTACAGGATCTACAGAAAGGAAAAGTATAGCCCCTGGCCTTGCTGTGCTTATAATTAAGAGATAACACAGACATGAAAACCAACAATCTGGGCATATCAGTTAAGTGTTATAATATGGGCATGTTCCATGTGCAATTGAAGTATGGAAGAAGGACTGTCCACAGATGCTCTAATAGTCACTCAATACCTATGTAATGAGCACCTCAGTGTTAGATGCAGTACTTAGCACCAGGATTACAAAGACGAAGAAGGAAACAAAAGTATACCACAATATGACCATTGCCATAGCAGAGATATGCAAAGATACCATAGAAAAACAAGGAAGGATATCTGGCTCAAGGTAAAAGAGACACATTAAGATCTTGAAAAGACATCAAATGTGTTTAAAGTACTTGCATTTACATATTTAATATTAGGAGAACAAACTTAACACACTGGCTGAGCTTGCACTGCTCTGATTTTCTTATAATTTGCCTTCTTTGTACATTTAAATACGAGAAGGATGTGTAGAAAACAGAAGGTCCTATGGCATGGGAGTCTAGCAGAGCCATGTTTTAAAAATGATGAGTAGTAGTTCTGTATGGATGGGGTGCAGGGTGTACCTGAGGGAAAAAGCAAGGTCATCTCAAGGAAGGAGGTTCATCTTGAATACCAGTCTAAGCAATTTGGGCTCTGTTCCCTAAGCAATGAAAGCCATCAAATGGCTTTATAAGGAGGAAAGGTGTGATCAGATTTGCATTTTTTAGAAAAATAATTCCAGCAATTGTTAGGGGCTTGCCCCATAGAGTTTACATCCATTCATGAATCTGACTCCCACCCTATACACAGGCTCAGTCCAGCCCCATTCTCTAGGATACATCTTAACTGTGGGTAAGAACAATAATAAAGTGACCTTCCCAGGCATAACAAGCAGTCTGAGGCCAGGCACGGTGGCTCACACCTGTAATCCCAGCACTTCAGGAGGCCAAGGCGGGTGAATCCCTTAGGTCAGGAGTTCAAGACCAGCCTGGCCAACATGGCAAAGCCCCGTCTCTACAAAAAACACAAAAATTAGCTGGGCATAGTGGTGCACACCTGTAATCCCAGCTACTTGGGGAGGCTGAGGCAGGAGAACCACTTGAATCCAGGAAGCAGCGGCTGCAGTGAGCAGAGATCACGCCACTGCACTCTAGCCTGGGCAACAGAGCAAGACTCTGTCTCAAAAAAACAAACAAAAACAAACAAGCAGTCTGGCTCATTGTTGGTTCAGCTCTCACCGGAAGCCTCCATTCTCCACAACTGGTCTTTCTGCCTTTGCAATCCCTCCTCTCCATGGCTGGGGACACTGTTCTTGTCCCTATTCGACTGCATTTCTGCCTTCGGGGGCTTGACCTCTTTAGCATGAGTTTCTGCTTTTGCAACCTCATCTCTCAGGTCTGTGGTCAAACCCTGGTCATACTTCCCCATTGATAGGGTTTGGTTGTATTCCCACCCAAATCTCATCTTGAATTGTAGCTCCCATAATCCCCATATGCCGCGGGTGTTATTACACTACACTCTCCAGCAGTTATACCACTTTTGGCTTTTTTCTCTGAATCATCTTATTCTAAAGAGCTCAGAGAATTTAGAAGGTGTCACGTTTTATTGGACAGAAGTCCTGGTTTAATAGGGGAAATCTCTTTCTGACTAGATGATATATCAACTCACTTGTTTTTATAAAATGCAAATGACCTTTGGGATATAAAAGGTGGTAAGGTCTTTTAGTAGATTATTCTTCCACATTTAGCATTTTTAAAGCAAAGGTACGTTTATTCAAGATAAGGGCATAAATGATAATAAAGGCACGGAACATCAATTTGCTATCAGACGGCAGGTGGCTTTGTGTCAGTTTCCCTTAAGATGCTACAGAGACTGTATAAAGTAGTGTACACATTTAAAATCATACACAACTTTTCAATGCCCAAGCCTCTTAAAATATTTATACATAATGATATTTTCACTTACATCTACAGCACTATAAAGCAGGAGAAAATTTTCTAAATTTGTTGCTGAATTTTTTTTTCTTTTTTTTTGAGATGGGGTCTCACTGTCACCCAGGCTGGAGTGCAGTGGTACGATCATGGCTTGCAGTCATGACCTCCCAGGCTCAAGCAATCCTCCCAACTCAGCCTCCTGAGTAGCTGGGACTACAGGCATGCACCACCATGCCCTGCTAGTATTTTATTTTTTTGTAGAGATGGGATCGCACCATGTTGCCCAGACTTGTCTTGAATTCCTGGACTGAAGCAATCCTCCTGCCTCAGTCTCCCAAAGTGCTGGGATTACAGGCACGAGCCACCACACCCAGCCACACATTTTTTAATAAAGAATATGTACGATGGAAAAGATATATTCAGACTTATATCTTTCTTGATTAGTATATTGTTATCATTTATTGTGTCTCTACTATGTATTGGGCATAATACAAGGTGCTTTAAATAACGTATATTATTTAATACTGGCAATAATTCTATGGTAGACATAATCTTTCTATAGATGAGAAAACTGAGAGGTTAAATGACTTCCCCAAAATCATATAGCTAGTATGAAATATGTCTGAAATTCAAATCCAAGCTTGTTTGATTCTAAAAGCGTTTTCTTTCTTTCTACCAAGCACTACACCTAGCATAAATTCAGGAAATTTTTTAGCTGGATTTTAATCACATCTCTGCAGATAACTATGTGATGTTGAGCTAGTGACTTAACCTCTCTTTTCTTCAGTTTCCTCATGTGTTAGAATAGGAATAAGAAGAACACCTACCAACTAAGAGTCTTGCTAAGATTGCATAAGTTAACATAGGAAAAGTGTCTGGAACTATGTCTGACACATAATAAGTGCTTCAAAAATTGCATCAAAAATTGATGGTGCTTAACATCATCATTATCATTATTATTGTTGTTGTTATTACTACAACACAGTGCTTCCCCCCCATGGGAAATTTCCCTTGACCCTGCATTTTTTTCCTCTTAAGCTAGAATCTCACTTCATGTTCCTCATCAGAGTTAAACTTATTGAAAGAGGTGTTTATGCTTGCTGTCTCTGTTTCCTACTCAGCTGTGGTTTCATGGTTTCTACTGCAGAAGGTGTTTTTGTTGAGAATTCCATGGCAGAGACACCAAGGTGTTCAACAAAACTCATCTACTTTATCTTCTAGGAACACATTCAGACCACAGTTTCCAACCTCCCTTGCTGTTGGGTGTAGCCATGTGATTAAGCTCTAGCCAATTGAACGTGGGTCAAGGTGATGCAGCCCTTTAAAGGCTTTCACACTGTTTCTCTCTTCTTGCATATGCAGACCTTATGCTGAGGATTCAGACTCATATTTTAAGGCGTGAAAGTATTACAGAGACACCGATTGAAAGGACTCATGTCCCTATATGAATATATGGAGCAGAGTATATATGCATGCACATGCAGACACACATGCACACACACACATACACACAGAACCACCACCTCACCCACAGCCAATTGGAAATTACACGAAAAATAAACTAGTGTTAAGCTATTGAAATGCTGGGATTGTTTTTTACAGAAACTAACGTTATGTATATTAACTAATATGATCACCTATGATATTCATGATATTCTATGTCTTTATCTTACTTGGCCTCTCAGAGAATTTCTTCAAACATTTTCTTCTCATAGCTTCCATGACATCAGACTCTTCTGATTTTCCTCCTCCATTTCTGTGCATTCCTTTCCAGTTTCAGTTTCTGGCTTCCTATCCTCTACTTCAGGGGTCTACAGGCTTTTTCTCTAAAAGGCTGGATGGTAAATAGCTTAGACTTTGTAGGATACATGCAATCTTGCATAGTTTTTGTTTTCTATACAAGCCTTTAAAATAAAAAAAAAACCTTTCTTAGCTGCTAGGCATACAGGCACAGGCCCCAGCGAATTTGGCCCATTGGCTGTGGTTTCTGGACCCTTGTTGTAGTTGACTGACAAATGTAGAAGTGCCCCATTCCTAGCTCAGCCTCATCTTCTGCTACCTTAGCTTCATACACTCTCCCTAGAGAATTTTATCCAATCCCATGCTTTAAACACACCTGTATATTAATGGCTCCTAGATAGATATCTCCTGAGCTGACATTTTCCTTGTGAAACAGACCAAAACCTACAACTATCTACTTGGCATCTCCTCCTATTGGATACCTACTAGGCCTCTTATACATAAAAAACCTGAAGAGGGACTGCTGATCTCCCGCTTCAATGTGTTCCCAGCTTGACAAAGAAAACACCATCATCCTCAAGCCAAAAATATAGGCTCTATCCTTCATTTTCCCATTTCTCTTATTCCCCTAGCCCAATCAATCACTAAGATGTGTTGTTTCTAGTTTCAGTATATATCTGGAATCCATCCACTCCTCTGCATCCCCTGAACACCGTCCTAGTTCAAGCCATTGCTGTCATCTTAAAACAGCCTTCTAACTGGTCTCCCTGCTTCCACTTTTGCCTCCCATAATGGATTCTCTAAAGAGCAACCAGAGTGAAAAATATTTAAACTAATTCATGATACTATTCAGAATTGAGTGTCTTCCCCTGGCTCTTAAAATAAGACCAAACTCCTTCCCCTGTAGGATGAAGTCTCTTCTTTTCTCATTTTGTTCTGCTCTCTATCTCCCCAACTACTCTTTGGCCATTAGCCTCTGATATGGTTTCAACTTGTGTCCCTTCCCAAATCTCTTGTCAAATTGTAATCCCCAGTGTTGGAGGAGGGACCTGGCGGGAGGGCGACTGGATCATGGGGGCGGATTTCCCTCTTGCTATTCTCTTGATAATGAGTTCTCAGGAGATATCTGGTTGTTTAAAAGTGTGTAGCACCTCCCCCTTCCCTCTCTCATCTTGCTCCTACCATGTAAGATGTAACTGCTTCTGGCCAGGCACGGTGGCTCACACCTGTAATCCCAGCACTTTGAGAGGTCAAGGCGGGCAGATCACCTGAGGCCAGGAGTTTGAGTCAGCCTGGCCAACACAGTGAAACCCATCTCTACTAAAAATAAAAACATTTGTTGGGCGTGGTAGTGCGTGCCTGTAATCCCAGCTACTCAGGAGGCTGAGGTGGGAGAACCACTGGAACCTAAGAGACAGAGGTTGCAGTGAGCCAAGATCATGCCACTGCACTCCAGCCTGGGCGACAGAGCAAGACTGCATCTCAAAAAAAAATAAATAAATAAATAAGACAAAACTGCTTCCCCTTCACCTTCCACCATGATTGTAAGTTTCCTGAGGTCTCCCCAGCCATGCTTCCTGTGTAGCCTCCTAAACTGTGAGCCAATTAAACCTCTTTACTTTATAAATTACCCAGTCTCAGCTATCTTTTTATAGTTGTGCAAGAACGAACCAACACAGCCTCTTTCTGCACACTTGACTGTTTTCCAACACTCTATTTCCTTCACAGTGATGTTCACAATGGGTAACCTGCTTGTATTTGTAGTTATTTACCAATTTTTGTCTTTCCCCCAACACGTACATATGCCCTTATACACCAGAATTCAAGCTCCATGAGGGTGGAGATTCCATGTGTCTTGTGTACCAGTGTGATGCCTAGAACATTAACTTGTATGTGTTGCATTTAATAAACTTTTGGGGCATAAGAGATGAATACATGAGTGAAAACAGGAAACAGTCTAGTGAATTCTAGTGACAGAATTTGTTTTGACTTTAATTTAGTGACACCAACACTAACTCCAGATAAACTGTTAGTTATTGATGGTATTTTGCTGCTGAAAATATTTCACACTTGTGCTTGCCTTTGTCTTTACTTTTCGTGAATACCAATGTGAGGCCAAGTGATATCTAATGTTATGAATGTTATTTTGTACAGGAGGACATTGAGGAGGACGTTGAGGTTTCAGCAGATCACCATTTGTATGGTTTGGCTCCATGTTCCCACCCAAATATCATATTGCATTGTAATTCCCAATGCTGGGGGGGAACCTCATGGGAGGTGATTGGATCACGGGGACAGATTTCCCCCTTGCCATTCTCACGATAGTGAGTGAGTTCTCATGAAATCCGATGATTTAAAAGTGTGTGGCACTTCCCCCTTTATTCTCTCTCTCCTGCTCTACCATAGTAAGACATGCTCACTTCCTCTTTGCCTTCTGCCATGATTGTAAGTTTCCTGAGGCCTCCCATCCATGCTTCCTGTACAGCCTGCAGAACTGTGAGTCAATTAAACATCTTCTCTTCATATATTACCCAGTCTCAGGTAGTTCTTTATAGCAATGTGAGAACAGACTAATACAACCATGAATGTGAATTTAGGAGTTCACTTCAAGTTTCTGCTGCCCTAGGCTCATCATCATTGCCCAGTAGACCCTGGACTCAACAAATTTCAGAGAAAATCATTAATTATACCTTTTCCTCTGCCTCTATGAGGGCCCTAGTGCTGCCATTTCAGGTCTCAAAAAAGAAGGCCTTTAAAGGAAATGTGCTATATAAAATATGAAATGACAAAGTTTAATTCTGTACTTTGAAACATGAAATAGGAGAAAGTACTGTCACAAAAATAGTGTATGGAAGGGATTATGAGGCATAAAATATGAAACATAAACAAGAGAACAAGAAAGACTGTGAAGTCATATCCCATTGAAAACAGAGTTCATCTGAAAACTGAAAACAGAGGCCACCTCATCGTCACGAGAGCATCATGCCAGTCTGAGTCCTGGAAGTTGTAGAAATCGTGAAAAGGAACCTGGGGAGAAGAGATCAATAACTAAAATTCTGGATGGCAGATTAAAGGCTAAAGGAATTGATACTGAATTCCCCTGAAGAAGAGATATTTGGAGGGACACCATGGCATCATGGAACAGTCACTCCAGCTGTCTTCTGTGTCTACTAACAAGAATAAGGATTTAACTCATGAACTAGCGTGACTTCAGCCAGATGGGAGAATTTCAGAACCATTGCATGTCTACCTAGGCTTTTCATTCCCTGATGATATTTTAATAATGTAAGATGTCACTGGCTAGAGATATTCGGTAAAGGCATGTCCATCTCATCATGGCAGCAAAGCTTGTCCTGGGTACCCCGGCCCCAAAATTCTTTTTATAACTGCTCTCAAATGGGCTCTTTCTCCTCCATGTTGGAAAATAAGTGTTTACAAACTTCATTTATACTGGATGCAAAAGAACAGGGTACCTTAAAGCATCACTCTTCTCAAATTTGTTTGCATTTGAATATATGCTAAAGGAATCAAGGTTGAACAGTAGAATTTTAGGAGTCAGCCAAGCAGCTGTGAGAATACTTGAATGGAATTTTAGAACTTTTCTGTGTTTTTTCTGAAAACATCCCATGCAGGCAGACATCTAGACTTAGGACCACAGAGGATGGAGAAAGAATTTTGTATTTCCATAAAAGACAAGATAAGTCATTCCCTTGGTATAGTAAATTCAGCTCATAAACATTAGTGTTAACCAACATTTACTAAACAAACTATGTGTCAAGGATTGTGCCAAGTGACGTGAGGAATAAAAAGAGAAAAAGGTCCAGCCTCTGTTTCCCAAAAGCAAACAACTTAGCAAGAAAAATAGCTCTGATCTAATGCAGGGTATGGAGAGCATTTTAATGAGAGTAAAACTGCAGAACTTAGGAAAAGAGACTAATTCCCATTAGGGATGTTCTAATTCATCTAAAAATCTGCTAAATATAGAATTATGTGTACAAGCAAAGATCACAAATATTCAAATAATTAAGCCACAATAAAATGTATATTGAAATAATAATAAAAACAATGAGACTTGTTTTCTGATGATTTAGAAATAACCTCAGAGTTTGACTCGCGACTCTCTTTATAACCATCAAATGTCATTGAACTGTAGACATAGGATGTATTATTGTTTAATTGAATATCCTAGTTAATAAATTCCTGTTTCATCCCTTATTTCTAGGAAACATATGCAAGCTGTAAGATGAAGGTAACTAATTTTTCTTTATTCTTTTAGAGGTTTAATGACATTTTCTGATACATATAATAGAACATGATACAAAATTCAGAAATTCCTGACTTTGGAACAAGGCAGAAAATATACAAGAATCAAGAATTGTATAAATTTTTTAAAGTGGAAAGGTCAGAGAATAGACAATTGTCAGTGGATATCTATATGAATAAAGCCTTGATAGCACAAAAATCCTTATAATGACTTAGGTTCTATCACTACCGCACATATTTTGTAAAGGAATGTCATCTGTGACAGGCAGAGCAGTGGAGACGCCAGCTCTGATCTGGGTGGGAGGAGACCGGGTTAAAGTGCCGACGTGAAAAGTCATACCCCTTCCTAGGCTCCCCTAGCATCTCTTTTAGTTTTCAGGGTAAAATCAAACCCACCTTCTTGGAATGTGGTAAAGAGGTATTGGATCCCCCTCCCAAGTTCTGTTCCCTATCATACCCAGAGTCTGAATCAATCTGAAAACTAGCATCCAGGCCTCGTTATCTTTCATGTTACATCTGTTCAGAACTAAAACTTTCAGAAGCTACACAGCAAGAGGACAAGATGGAGGGAGTGGCAGCATCTGATCTTAGGACGTAAACTTGAATAAGAATTCCACACAGAAAGCAAAGGAGAAGAACTCTGGTGAGCAATGCATGGGGTAAACTGGAAAGTTTCTTGCGTTCAAGAGCCTCAGAATGTGGAAGAGCCAAACAAAGAAAACAAAATCCACATATTAAAAGAAAAGCCAAGGAAACCATCAAAAACACACAATATAAAATAACAAAAGACCAAACATATTGGTACTGTAATCCCAGAAGGTACAATTCTCTTATTAAAACACTGTAATTCTCAGACAGTTTGCTATTTAAAAAAACAAAAATAGAAGCAAAATTTAACTACCTTTGGCTTAATAAAAATGAGAAACAAAAGAGCAAAAGAGACCCACGCAAGGTAGGGGATCTGCTTCAAGTTCAATGCTTAAAGATTAGTACTGGGATGGATCTCCCCACCACAATCTTGTAACAGTTGTTAGTTAAGTGACTACCCGCTATGTCTACATCACATCCATTAGGGGAAGGACCCCAAATTATCATAACAAAATGTGGTTAGAGATTGATACTAAAACAATGGGTAGAGACAACCGCAAAATACCATAGACAGACAGAGGTGAACAAAAGAAGGAAGGTAAGATCACAAATGCCAATAGCTCAGACTAAAACACCGGACACAGACACACCTGGGGCAAATTAAAGAAGGTTTTTTTTTTTATCAAGAAGATTTAAAAGGAAGTCACTACAGTTAGGATACTCAATATTTTCAGATGATAGACAAAGGTGTCAGTTTCCAAGTCCCCCAGAAAGACCTCATCAGAAGTTTATAGTGACAGATGATAAGACTACAGGAGTGAGGATCCCATCATACATTCTAGAAGTTTGATGATCCATTTCCAATCTCAGCCTTATAATAATATCAGGCTAGTGTATATGAAATAAATACATTTGGGGCATTTTTTTTTACCCTACACAATTATTAAACTTAATAGATAAGGTGAGGGCAGATCAGCATGTAAGCCAGTCTGGATGAATGCTGGAGACCATCGCATCTGAGTAAGAAGGTTCCATTCAATCAGTGTTATTCAACGTACAACATCACTAGGGTGTGTTATACTACTAGATGTGGCCACAGACCTCATTTTTTACACTCAGTTTTCCTTGGCCAATGGAGTCTGGTCCAAGCATTTCCTGCATAATTAAGACAAGATAAGATACACAGATGTCTCCGCATGTACTCAATAGTACCTAATGTTATGAGATTTTCCCAAAAGTGAAAAAAAGATATTATATGTGTGTACTATTTCAATTTTGGACAAGAAATATACATATTTGCATAGAAAAGGAACTAAAAGAAAATGCACTAGGTTGTAGTAACATAACAAATGAATTCTACTTTCATCTTTTAGTGTTATTGGTGTTCACAAATTGTTAAAATGATTGTACATTCATCTTATGATCAGAAAGAATCAATATCTTGTGAAAACTACTCTCACAGTAATGTGGAGGGGGATGTGAAGGGTCAAGAAGAACAGTTAGGAGACTGCAGATGTCAAGACAGTAGTATGATAAGGGCCAGGACAGAATTAAAGGATTTAGGAGTTATTAAAAGGGTACAAAGACTTGGGGACTTATTTTATGTAGAAGATGAATATAAGTCCCCTGGCTTGGGAAGATGTGTAGAAGGCAGAAACATTAATTAGGGGTATATATGTTGTTGAGAAGGAATGTCCCAGAAAAATGGTACGTTTGATATTTGGCATGTGTTTGGTTTGAGCTGCCTTGAGAAAGGCAGGTGGAGATGCCAAGTAAATATTATGAGAGGGAAAGATCGAGAGGGAGGGAAGGAGGAAAGGAAGAAGGGAGGGAGAGACAGAAGGACAATGGAAAGATAGACATGAAACAGGGGCTTACAACATAGATGTAGGCTGAAGATACTGTTTGGCAGTAGCACTATATAAACACTATTGACTCTGTGTAGACCGATGTGGTCACAGTGGAAGGTTTATGATTATATAGGCTTATTTTCTTCTTCTATGACAGGGTTTCTCAGCCTCAGCATGACTGATTTGGGGGTGGGATAATTCTTTGTAGTGGGAGACTGCCCTGTGCATTTGTAGGATGTTTAGCAACATCCCTGGCCTCTATCTACTAGATGTCAGTAGCACCAACCTTCCCTTTCAGTTGTGACCAACAATGTCTCGGGAGATAGCCAAATGTTCCTGGGGGTTAAACATCACTTCCAGTTGAGAACCACACTGTTCTAGTGCATAATGGCAATGGGGCATGATGTCATTCAATTTAAGAGGAATCTATGTATTCAGATTAAGATTTTCCAGTAAAGATTTTTATTGGGTTAATATGTGTCAGAAATTGTATTAAGTACTAAAAATACAAAAGTGAATAAAATATGGACCAGGTCCTTATGCAGTCCATTATCCAATGAGGGATAGAGACAGATAAACAAATAGTTACAATGTTTTATTCAAAGTGCTACAGTTTTAGCAAGCACAAAATACTCTGGTAGCAAAATAGGGAATGCTAATGTGACAGAGGAAAAAAAGAGTCAAAGAGAAAGTGACATTTAAGTTGGGTCTTGAAAGGTAAGTATGACATCACCAAGTGAAAATGATAGAGTCAGGCATTCCAAGAAATTTATGTGCAGAGAGGGTAGTGAGTGAGGAAAGTGGAAGAGAGTGCTACAACACCGCTCTATTTCACACCCTTGAAAATTGACATTGTTTCCATTTTTACTCCACTAGTGCTTTGATATAATCTCCAAAGAACTTACAATGGCCCAGGATCTATGTTGAGACATTTTTTGTTTTGTTTTGCTCATTGATGATTCCTGTCTGAGCAACAACATCCCACTTATACGAAACCAGCACCCAACGTGAAATGCACATTTTGCCAAATGTAAAAAAAGTGATACTAACTGTGCTGGGCAAAAGAACAGAACTTGTCTTTATATTTACTCTAGTTCCCACGTATTGCCAAGAGCACTTAAATTGACCTCATATGGGGCCATTAAAAAGGGTTTTCATCCAGCTGGCTGGCTTCCCAGTCAATACCTCAGGAACAACAGGGCTTCTCCCCTGCCTCACCAGGTAACCCCTCAGTGAGACTAATTAGATTTTTTTTCCCCAAAAACATCCAGGCTATTGATTTGAGAATTGAAAATAATATTGATGCAGAGTAGGCAGTTAAAGTTGAATAAGAATTAACTACAGAATTTTTTATACTAAGAAAAATATGAAATGTCTATAATTTTTACTGTTATAAGAATTTCAATTTTAAAAGATTCTTATGATGTAAACCCTTTTGAAAAAATCTGGGCTTTCTAAATCAAAGAAATGACACGATAATTTTGCCAAGTGCCTTAAAATTTAGATTGTCTTAATACATTGAGGGTTTTTGTGTGTCTCTGAAAACAAAGACTACAATGTCCTTCGGATGACATCTATTTATGTGAAGTTTATTAATCATAATCTCCTAATAGCATTACCATTTTCTCTGCCTTTACTATGTATATACTCATTCATTCATTCATTCAACATTTTCTAAATACTGATGATGCACAAGGCTGTGTACAAATATATAGATGCTTCTCAGTCAAAGATGTTGAAATTAAAAAAAAAAAACAACTAAGAGCATAGTTAGTCCTGCCCTTGTGACAGGCACTGTGCTAATGTTTTATGTGCCTTATCTCATTTAATTCCCCCTCCCTAGGTAACAGGTATTATACTTATCTCCATTTTATAAAAGAGTAACTGGAGAGTTTCAGTAACTTGCCCAAGAACACACAGTTAAGGATGACTTAGAGATTGGCCTACCTGTCCTCTTTCCTCTCTCTCTAGTTCCTGAGAGTAGAGATGCCCATTTCTTTCTTTTTTTCTTCTTCTTCTTTTCTTTTTTTTTTTTTGAGATAGAGTTTCATTCTTGTTGCCCAGGCTGGAGTGCAATGGCATGATCTCGGCTCACTGCAACCTCCAGCTCCTGGGTTCAAGCAGTTCTTCTGCCTCAGCCTCCAAAGTAGCTGGGATTACAGGCGTGTGCCACCACGCTCGACTAATTTTTCTGTATTTTTAGTAGAGACGGGGCTTCACCATGTTGGGCAGGCTGGTCTCAAACTCCTGACCTCAGGTGATCTGCCCGCCTCAGCCTCCCAAAGTGCTGGGATTCCAGGTGTGAGCCACCATGCCCGGCCAAGATGCCCATTTCAATGCTTCAGCTGCCTTTCCACTTTCTCTCCCACAATTCCAGTCTGGTCTCTCCAGTCCTCACGGCTGAACCCACATCCTGCATTCTTCCAAGTTCTCAGCCTTCGGAATGCCTTCCTTCTTCCTGCCAAAGAGATTGTAGGAATCAGAGAGGGAAGGCTCACACTCTCCTCTATCCGATGATGCTGTGTCAGTCCACATCCAATTCTACTTTTGTCTGAGTTTACCCTTTTATAGTACTTGTTCAGAAATGTTGGTACTCACTTGATCCTCAGCTTTGTCTGTCTAGAATCTCTCCCTGTTGCATACTTTTAAATACGATCTTATGTTTTTTATTTTCCACATTTAGATTTCCATGCAGACTTCTCTGTGCTTCAGATTCATAGTTCAACTGCCAACTTTAAGTCTCCAGTTGGATGTGGTGGTTTCTAGCACTCATCAAATCCATCTCCTTTTCCTATGTGGGCATAAAACTCGATCATATTTCCCAGGCAGGGGTGACCATGGGGCTGTGTTTTATCTAACAGAATCCAAACACTAGTGATGTGTGTGCCGTTTCCAGTCCTAACCCATGAAAACCTTCCATGCCCACTGCTTCATGCTATTGTTTCTCTTCCTTCTGGTAGAATGGAGACGATCCCAGGGCGACAGTTAAAATCACATGTGGCCATAGTTTCTGTCAGTCTGAATCTCTGAACAACTAGACAGAAGAAAGCTGCCTTGCTAATCTATTTGTCCCTATGTTACAGGAGTAAAAAAGTATTCTTCAAGCTAATATGCATTCTGTATCTGTTTGCCAATTAGAAAGGCAGGTAGCCCTTCATACTAACAAAGTAATGGCAAAACTGCAATTACTTTTGCACCAACCTAATAGTTGTCTCATAGACTGCTCAAGCTTAACATGATTTCTGTCAAAACCTGTCCTCAATCGCCTTCCTTTATTTAGAAAATGACACTTTCTTCTACCAGGTCTCAAAGATCACAAACCTGGGAGTTATTGATTTCTTCTCTTTCTTCATCCTTTACATGCAAACCAAGCAAACTATATACCAAAATGCATCACAAATCTATCCACTCTTTCTATCTCTCCTACCAACTCTCTAATCCAAACTACCATATTGTTTGTCTGGATTGTGACAATAGCTTTCTAATTTTTTTCCCTATCTTCTTCAATTCAGGACTGCAAGATAAAGTTTTAGGGATTTAAAGAAAACAGTACATATTACCATGAGTTATGAGGGTCCAACGAGTTATAAGGTTCCAGGAAAACTTTGTGAAGGAGATTTGCATGATAGATAGGATAGTAATATAACAGTGGCAATGCCAGGGAAGGTGTGCAAGGTAAGGCAATACACAGGCAATGCACAGGAACTACAATAAAACAGGCACTGCTGGGTGCCACTGAGGACCAGGTTACTGCATCCCTCCCCACTATATAAGGAGTTTGACTCTTATTAGAAACAATTTGAGTGAATATGTTTATTCCTGAGTTCTCCTGTCTTAAAATTATCAATGTTCAACTTACAACCAGTCGATCTACAAGAGTAACATAAGAATAATTTTATTTAAAACCAAAAACATCACACTATCCAACTTCAAACTATACTACAAGGTTACAGTAACCAAAACAGTATGGTACTGGTACAAAAACACAGACCAATGGAACAGGTTAGAGGAACCGGAAATAAAGCTGCACACCTACAACCATCTGCTTTTCAACAAAGTACACGATAACAAGCAATGGAGAAAGGACTCACTGTTCAATAAATGATTCTGGGATAACTGGCTGGCCATGTGCAGATGATTCAAACTGGACCCCATCCTTATACCATATACAAAAATTAACTCAAAATAGATTAAATACTTGAACGTAAAACCTAAAACTATAAAATCCCTAGAAGAAAACCTAGGAAATACCATTCTGAACATAAGCCCTGGCAAAGATTTCATGACAAAGACTCCAAAAGCAATTGCAACACAAACAAAAATTGACAAGTGGGACCTAATTAAGCTAAAGAGCTTCTGCACAGCAAAAGAAACTATCAAGAGAGTAAACAGACAACCTACAGAATAGGAGAAAGTATTTGTAAATTATGCATCTAACGACGGTCTAATATCCAGAATCTATAAGGAGCAAACAAATTAGCAAGCAAAAATCAAACAACCCCATTTAAAAAAATGAGCAAAGGACATGAACAGACACCTCTTAAAATATATATATACTTGCAGCCAACAAGCATATGAAAAAATGCCAAAAAAAAGATGAAAAATATGCTCAGCATCACTAATCATTAGAGAAATACAAATCAAAACCACAATGACAGCCAGGTGCGGTGGCTCATGCCTGTAATCCCAGCACTTTGGGAGGCCGAGGCAGGCAGATCACGAGGTCAGGAGATCGAGACCATCCTGGCTAACACAGTGAAACCCCACCTCTACTAAAAATACAAAAATTAGCCGGGCGTTGTGGTGGGCGCCTGTAGTCCCAGCTACTCAGGAGGCTGAGGCAGGAGAATGGCATGAACCCAGGAGGCGGAGTTTGCAGCGAGCTGAGATCACACCACTGCACTCCAGCCTGGGCAACAGAGCGAGACTCTGTCTAAAAAAAAAAAAAAAAAAAAACCCACAATGACATATCATGTCACACCAATCAGAACAGTGATCATTAAAAGGTCAAATAACAGATGCTGGTTAGGTTGTAGAGAAAAGGGAATGCTTATATACTGCTGGTGGGAATGTAAATTAGTTCAGTCACTGTGGAAAGCAGTTTGGAGATTTCTCAAAAAACTTAAAGCTGAATTACCATTCAACCCAGCAATCTCATTCCTGGGTACATACCCAAAATACAATAAATTGTTCTACCTTAAAGACACATGCACATGTATGTTCATCACAGCACTATTTACAATAGCAAAGACATGGAATCAACTAGATGCCCATCAACAGTAGAATGGATAAAGAAAATATGGTACATATACACCACGGAATACTACACAGCCCTTAAAAATAATGAAAAATCATGTCCTTTGCACAAACATGGATAGAGCTGGAAGCAATTTTCCTAAGCAAATTGACACAGGAACAGAAAACCAAATACCTTATGTTCTCACTTATAAGTGGGAGCTAAACACTGAGTACACATAGACACAAAGATGGGAACAACAGACACTGGGAACTACTTGAGGGTGGAGGGTGGGAGAAGGGTGAGGCTTGAAAAACTGCCCATCAGGTAGTATGCTTATTACCTGGGTGACAAAACAATCTGTACATCAAACACTCATACCATACCCCTGTAACAAACCTGCACATGTACCCCCTGAACCTAAAATAAAAGTTGACCACCTTAATAATCAGTAGGAATTACTGAATATGACAGCAGTATAGATCAAAAATCTAAAAAGAAAGGGATTAACCACACATGCATAACTACATATTCTATTTATTTTCATAAGAAAACCTGATAATTTTAATTTTCTTTAAAAAAATCACATCTACCATTTTCCCTGATGTGCGTCATCTGGGAATAGTATATGTCATAACAAAATTAAGCAATATCACGTTTCTAAGTAGGCAGTGACATAATAATATAGATGACTTAAAAACAGGCACAAAATCTAATAGTGAGTTGAGACATGGGTAAGTTAGAAAACTTTAGTTTACAGAGCACTCTCTCAAATACACACAATATTAAAATTTTATTTTAACATTTAAAAGAGGGAATGAAAAGTAAGGAAATAAGGGAGGCAATCTGATATTATGTAAGTACTCTTAGCATGAAATTCCAAAGATCTATGTTCAAGCCCCAACATTAATGATAATTATGGAAAATTTTTTAACATCTCTGTAAAATTATTGGGTTGAACAGTATATTAATCAAGAATAAAGCATAGGTGGTTCATGCCTATAATCCCAGCACCTCAGGAGGCCAAGGCAGGTGAACCACTTGAACCCAAGATTTCGAGACCAGCCTGGGCAACATGGTAAAACTCCATCTCCATAAAAAATACAAAAATAAGCTAGGTGTGGCAGTGCACACCTATAGTCCCAGCTACTTGGGGGGATGAGATGGGAGGATCGCTTGAGCCCAGGAGTTCGAGGCTGCAGTGAGCAGTGATCGTGCCACTGCACTCCAGCCTGGTTTACAGAGCAAGACCTTTCCTCAAAAAATTATAACAATAATAATAATAATAGTTGTACAACTGTGATTAAAAAAAGAATAATTGTTTAGGGTTCAGTTATTGTGTAGATAAGCTTCCGTTCACAGCACTTGGTAATTGCTACTCCTGCTATTAGTAATATATTTGTTGATGAGAAAAAAGTAATCCTTTTTTTTTTTTTTTGAGATGCAGTTTCGCTCTTGTTGTCCAGGCTACAGTAAAATGGCGCGATCTCGGCTCACCGCAACCTCTGCCTCCCAGGTTCAAGCGATTCTCCTGCCTCAGCCTCCTGAGTAGCTGGGATTACAGGCATGCGCCACCACACCTGGCTAATTGTATATTTTTAGTAGAGATGGGGTTTCTCCATGTTGGTCAGGCTGGCCTTGAACTCCCAACCTCAGGTGATCCACCTGCCTCAGCCTCCCAAAGTGGTGGGATTACAGTCGTAAGCCACTGCACCTGGCTGAAAAAAGTAATCCTATCAGTTTATTGCTTGGTTTGAGAAAAGAATAGACTTAATCAAGAATATTTTAGCAAAAAAAAAGTACTTTTTTCTTGTATCGTAGTTTACAAGTAAATTGTATGCCACAAATTTATAAATGTGATTCAGATTTTTTAATTGAAAAATAAATGATGCAAAACAAAGTAGGTTCACTTGTGCTTCAAATTTTAAAACTGCCCATAATAAAATAAGATAAAAACAATGTCCCTTCTTCCTCCTCATCAAAGACAGTTCCTTACTGTCCTAGCTTTCTGAATATAAAACATAATGTCCAAGGAAAATCACCATATTAACCATTTAAAACTCCACCCTCCTGTTAAAGCCTGTGGATGAAAATAAGAGAAATTCTTTTATAACTCTTTTATGCCCAGATTCAAGCAAAAGTGCTGCTTTTTCTCTACTGAATACTTAATGCCTCTCTTCACTGAGATGCTTTAAGCGGGAAGAGAAGCTTGTAGACAGGTATGTAATTGTCAGTATATTAAACTTAACTCAATATTTTAAACATGAAGGGGTGGTGGTAGAGTGTGTACATAAATTACAAAAGTATGGGGTAAAGTACATGTATCTTATGCATGTACACTCCTACACATGCATATGTTTTGTGGATACAAATATATCTTGGAAAACAAGTATATTCTAGGAAATTAATAACTCCACAAAGCCAAATCGCAAATATGTTTAGATAAACAACAAGTAAGCAGCAAAGAACATGGTTTCTATCCAAGCTAAGAAATGGCTCTTCTGAGTTTTTGTGAAGAAATCCATAAGCTGTGTGCTTGACCCCTGAGATCTAGACAGTGTGGTGGAGATTAGAAACATACAGTCTGGGATGTATTTTAAGCTCATGAAAAAAAATAAAAGGCTATGTAAATATATTGTTGTAGAATTGATTGTATTGGTCAAGTAAAATTGAGGCCACTTTCAACAAATTTTAAAGGGAAGCTGAGTATTTCAGGCCAAAGTATGTTTTTCCTGAATTATGTGAATGTTATTTCAACTCTAATAGTTTTGAGGGCTCTGTTAGATGATTAACATTAAGCGTCTCACTTCGTAATTCATTGACTGGAGACTCAAGAAATACATGGTTTTGTTTTATTTTGTTTTTTTGAGACTGTCTCTCTCTGTCGCCCAGGCTGGAGTGCAGTGGCCTGATTTCGGCTCACTGCAACTTCTGCCTCCCAGGTTCAGGAGATTCTCCTGCCTCAGCCTCCCGAATAGCTGGGACTACATGCTCGCACCACCACATCTGGCTAATTTTTATATTTTTAGTAGAGATGGGGTTTCACCATGTTGGCCAAGCTGGTCTCAAACTCCTGGATTCAAGCAATCCGCCCGCCTCGGCCTCCCAAAGTGCTGGGATTACAGGCATGAACTACCACGTCCAGCCAGTGTGAACTTGTTAAAGCAGCTTTTGTGTGGATTGATACAGAAACAGCAGAACTCTGTTGCCCTGGCAATAGCAACATCAGTGGGAAGTCCTGTCCACGTGGCTTTTGAGGAAATGCCTTGCAAAGCTGGGAAAGGTAAAATTAAACCTCAATGACACTACCAATTGTATTACTAAAAATAGCAATACTATGAAAATCTATCTTCTGTATTCAGCACACTAATGGGTCACTAATAATTCAATCCTAAATAAATTTGCCAACATAGACTACAAAAATGACTTGGTAACTTTCACAAATTTACTGACGTGTACATTTCCAGGTGGACTGTCTTCTTAAGGAACTCTAAGCAGCTACAGAATATTTTGCTCTAATGTAGAATTTAGTAAACTCTAAAAAGTTCTGCTTACCTTTTATTATAAATGCTATATTTGAGGGATCTTGGAAGTACATGTATTATTTGATCATATTTCAGCTGAGATTTTATTAAGACTGTTATGATGAAGGTAACGCAAGAGAATCAGATAACCTCGTACTAGAACTTCCTCGATGACTAACAAGCTATATGACCTTATTAGTTAATCACTCTATAAAATAAGGGAAAATAGATTAGTGAGGCCTTCATGTTATACTGGAAAGAGGATAGATTTTGGAAGCAAACAAAACTGAATTTATTTCTAGCACCACTACCTACTGTGAGACCCTGGGCAATGTACTTGATGTTAACGGGACTTATTTTCTTCATCAGCAAAACGTTTCTAGCTCCCTAATTATTTGTATAGTCTATTAGGCCCTCAGTTGCCTCTCGCTTTGTCCCAAACCTGTGATGTTCAAGGGTGCTAGCAAGGTTCTAATGAACTATTCAGCTAGCACCCTTGAACATGCCGCTCCCTTGATTTTCTTCTGTTTTCTTTCCCTTGATACGTTTATCATTGATACGTCTTCAATTCTCACTTCTCTTCTTACTTCTCTCCCAGGCTCCAGGTCTGTATGCTCATCATTGTATGTTGGTATCTCCAAGCATATGTCCAGATTCAAATGTCCCAAATCAAACTTACCACCTTCCCTCCTGGGTTATCTCTTTCGTAGAGGCATCAACATTCTCTGCATCTAACAAATGCAGCCTGGCCATTAACTTTCACTCTCTTCTTTTTATCTATTCTCACTCTCTTGTTTTACATTCGTCTAGTTTAATGGCTATAAAATACCATCTTAATACCAAAGACTTAAAAATTTATACCTCCAATCTAGACCTTTCTCCAATTTTTTGATGTCCCCACCTGGATGTCTAACAGACATCTCAAACTCAACATATCCAGAATTGAACTCTGTATCTTCACCCCTAAAACATACTCCCCCTACAGACTTCCCTATATCTTTCCTTCTAATCCCTCAAGCCAAACCCTTGGCATTATTTTTGGCCTCTCTCCTTTTTTCTCTCCTCATAGTAAATACTCTGGTAAACCTTGTCAATGTTACTATCACATTGTACATAGTGCATGAACAACCCTCACCAGCATAGACTTTTGTCTGTTTCATTGAATAGCTCACTAGGCCATTTGGTGTCTTTGTTCTTGCTTCTTTCTTCACCAGAAAAACAGTTCCCAACCATATTCATGTTTGATTCATCCTTCAAAACCCAGCTCAAATAGTACTCTGTCCACCAAGTGGCCTCTCTAGTTGTTGACTGGAGGAAATAGCTCCTTCTTTTCACATGTCTAATGGCTTTGCCTCTCTTTTTTGACTTATTGCCTTCTAATTGGTGTGACAGCAATCCGTGTATATGTTTTACTCTGCATGAGTGGCAATTCTTTCAAGGCAGATTTCCATTCAGTTCACTATTTATAGAGTCCATACCATATTGTATGTGAACAAAATGATTCTAAGTGAGATCTAAAGAAAGATACATGATATGGCAAGAAGAAATGGAGAAGAGTGATTGTGTACATGCCTTGGGAATTAATTTGGAGTCAGAAAAGTAATCTTAAAGGAATGATGGTAGCAAGGAGTATGAGATACAGAAACAAAGGGGCCACTATCATACAGAGTGGTGAGGAAGAACCTCACTAGGGATCTACTAAATGTCACAGTGTATTTTGCAAGGTTATAGACACCAATTTTTAATTACTATTATAGTATCAATTATTTACTTCTAAGCTTATAAACAGATTTTAATTGTCACATTAATATATCCAAAACAAGTAGACCACAAGCCATGGAATTAATTATTTTTGTTATTTCTATAGTTAAAAACTATCTCTGCTGGGCACAGTGGCTCACACCTGTAATACCAGCACTTCAGGAGGCCGAGGTGGGTGGATCATCTGAGGTCAGGAGCTCAAGACCAGCCTGGCCAACACGGTGAAACCCTGTCTCTACTAAAAATACAAAAATTAGCCAGGTGTACTGGCGTGCGCCTAGTCCCAGCTACTCCAGAGACTGAGGCAGGAGAATTACATGAAGCCAGGAGGTGCAGGTTCCAATGAACTGAGATCACACAACTGCACTCCAGCCTGGGCAAGAGAGTGAGACTCTGTCTCAAAAAAATAATAAATAAATAAATAAATAAATAAATAAATAAATAAATAAATTGTCTCCTCTTGGACATCACTACTGACTCTACAGAATTTATTTTTATTTATTATTTACTTATTTTTTTGGTGGGGCATAGAGTCTCAATCTGTTGCCCAGGCTGCAGTGCAGTGGCACAATGTCAGCTCACTGTAACCTCCACCTCCCAGGTTCAAGCGATTCTCCTGCCTCAGCCCCCCGAGTAGCTGGGATTACAGGCATCCACCACCACACCTGCTAATTTTTGTATTTTTAGTAGAGACAGGGTTTCTCCATGTTGGTCAGGCTGTCTCAAACTCCTGGCCTCAAGTGATCCACCCGCCTCGGCCTCCCAAAGTGCTGGGATTATAGGTGTAAGCCACTGCACCTAGCTCCAGAATGTTTTTTTTTAAATTGGAAGGTAATATTATGAACAACTTTATGCCAACAAATTAGACAACTTTGACATAGTCTCATTTCAACTGGGGACATGGAGAGAGGACTTTTCTCAGGGCTTCAGTCTGGGTATCCATTTCCTCTGAATATCTTTCTCCCTGAAGCCCAAGAAAACTTGATTTGGTGTTGAAAGGATGAAACACACTGACTCTGAATTATCTTACCTTTCCAAATTTTTTTTATTCTTACACACTTCAGATTTCGAATCTCAAATGTCAAGAACTGGACTCTTATGTTCTACAATAACCTCTGTCCACTGAGGTACTAAGTGCCATTGACTGAAGGAGGAGAGGGTCAGGTAGCAAAGGGAAGTGCCAGGAAAAACCAAAATAACTGAAAAGAAGAAATATATGTTATGCTGTTTCATATGTATATTCTGAGATTGGGTCCTCAGTTCTTTGATCTGTTGTCACTACTTCACAGGTACTTTTTCCAGCTACTTACTGATGTCATAGTGTACCTATCTTTTCTGATGAGAAGAGACTTAATCTTCTCCCAGTTAAATCAGGTGTGTGTCCTTGGTTCACCTGTACTGATTCCCCAGTTTGGCTAAGAGTTCTGGTGACTGGTGGCAGACATATACCTGATAAGGAGACAAACGTGAATAGCTAGAACTTTACATAATCAATTAAAATAATGGTTTTGTGGATTAAATATTGCTCAAATCACTCCAACCTGAACCATTTTCAGCCTTCTTATTACAGTGCCTACCATATCACATCTGACACAAATACATAAGAAAGAGCACAGTATTTCCTTCAATTGAAGATAAAAATCTTCACACTGGATGTTTGATCTTCAGCAGCTACAAAAGTTTCCGTTTGCATTAGGTTGTATGTGTCCTTTAGCTTTCAGGAACTGATTAAGGCCTCCATCTCCCACATCATGCTGACAACCTCCATCAGGTCTAACCAATGCAACACACAAAAGATCTAGCATATTCCTGAGTAGATACTTGAATTCGATCTGAAAACAGCCAATATGTCATAAGCAAGAGCATTTGGAAAAAAAAGTTACCCCACAAGCTCAATTCTGCCACCAAAACAAGATAAAACAAAACCTAAGCAAAATCCATTAAAGAGAATCTTTTATGATTCTCTCCTTTTTCACCCTCCTTTTTCTTTGAGGAAAGAGAGACCCAGTGATTGAGCTATTTGTCCACATTATTCCCAAATTCAGTGCCAGCAACAAGACCTGAATTTCTGCTTGCTCATCTCTGTTTCCACAGATTTTTTCCATATTAGACAATCACCCAAGATGGCTGGGCCTACAGAAGATCATGTGCACAAAAAATAACTAGAACCATAGAAGCTTCATTTGTCTATTTTTATTTTGTAATAGTTTTTATGTTTGTATGTGTTGGATAAGAAGAACCTCTAAAAGTAATGTGGAAATCTACATGAATTATCCACAGGCCGTGTCATATATGTAATTTGCCTGGCCTAAATTAACTCTTTTCTTCCAAGGAGTTACTTTTCAAAACAGCCAATAGTTTTATTGAATGTAATGTGTCTTTTTACAAACATTTCAAGAATAAGAACTTAAAAATAACAACTTAACAAAAGTGACAACTGGGTTTTCTATTCTATTTTTCACACAGCCAAGAAAGCTTAATTCTATACCCGAACCATCCCAATACAGCTTTAGGTCTGCAATGAAGGATATTCTACAAACTGCCTCAGCATATTTTGCCCATGTTTACCATTAAATCATTTTTTCTTGTGCCTACTTTGTGTCTCTCCAGCTTTGATATTTACTTCTTCTGAACATTGAAAACCCCAAACTTAATATACCTAATTTATGTCCTTTCAACAAGTACCTAAAATTAGGAGCTAATAAATTTCTGAGTCCTTAATTATATCTGTATATAGGTGCATATGTGTTTGTTTACATACACACCCACACATATACATATGTGTTTGTGCATAACATACATACACTTTTTATTAATAAATATTTATGACCTGTGATTTGAGAAAGAGCTCATCGTTTAAAGTTCAGTACTCTTTTGATTTCTTACATGCAAAAGCAAAATAAATATATTGTGTTCTCTACAGATTTTGTCTGTCCTTTTTATTCCTAATACTGCATTCCATTTTATGGTAACAGTTATAAAGACATGCACTCTAAGAACACAGCATAGTCTTGACTTGAAAAGAGATTGAAACAAAATAACCAATTTTTAAATCACTAACTAGTCTCATCATTTACATCTAGGGTTTCTAGTTTCTTTGATATTATACCATGCTTCCCAAAAGGTTTCTCCATTAATATTAACAGCTTTATGAATCTCATTACTCTCGATTTATGCCTTTTCAATTTATTTAAGGTTGTGTCAATATTAAATTATCTGTCCCTTGTGAGCAACTTCAATAATGTTTAGATGCAAAATGGTCTTAAGTATAACCTAGCAAGCAAAAATCTATGTTATTACTTATAATGTTATCCTTCTTAACAGAATTAACTAATAGTTAATAAGTATTATATTGAAGAGTTCCAATCTAAATTTCTACAACAAAAATACCATAAGCTGTACTTCAACTTTTGCCTTTATTTAACTTCAAATGTATTTGTTTTGGAATAAAAAGCAGAGAGGGAGGTCAAAAAAATGAATTGCAATGTTTGAAACTACAGCCCAGACATCTAGGAGAGGCCACAAACAAAGTTAAGTGAACATTTGGACAAAAATTTCCATTTTAGGAGATTTCCACCTGTAGGAAGATGGAACAGACATACACAAAACAAACAGAAGAATAAAAGGTGGAGACAAGAGCCAGACAAACTGGCAATGGAATTCAGGACCCAAGGAACAACACAATGGTGAGTTTTCTGGGTTGTCTTTTTGCCTTGGATGTTCCAGACTTGCCAAAGAAACCAGGAACCTGAAAATGCCAATGCAGACTCAAAAGCCCCAAGGAAAGAAAAGCCCCTGATAAAGCCCCAAGATTTTGACTCCTTTAGCCAAAGGAACAGGAGAGGGTCAGCCTAGCAAGATGAAAATCTTTTAGACATTAACTACTCTACTCCAGTCAAATACCACAGGAAAAATTGTGGTCCCATCCCCACCCACACAAGCAAAGGCCAAGGGGGAAGCCGTGAGTCTACATCACCAGGCTGTGATGAGACACCCCAACACACCCTCAAGAGTGTTGTAAGAGAAGAACAAGTAGAGAGCTAGGACTTTCAACTTGACCTGACAAACACAGTCCCAGATGCCCCCAACTCCCAACCCAGGGTTCACATGGGAAGCCTGGACTTCCATGTGGGAAACCTGGACTTCCATTTCCACCTGGCAGTAACAAAGCATCTCTCCCCTCCCCATTGGGGTGGTGTTAGAGGTGGCCTAGTAGAGAATCAGGAACTTTATTACTCCCCAGCAGAAACAAGTTCGAATCTTCTCCCCTCTCCACTTCACCACCAATGGTGTCAGTGGAGGCAAGTGGGAAACAGTAATGAGGCATTCCTACCCCTCCAAGCTAAGGAGGTATCAGTGAAGACCTAGTAAAGAGCCAGGACTCCCATCTCCTACTCAGCAATAACGAGGACCACCTCCCCCGCCAACCTCTATTGCCAACAGAGACCAAGTGGGGAAGCTGGACTTCTACCTCTACCTAACAGTAATGAGGTAGTGCCCCCCTTCCCCTGCCTGAGTGGTATCAGAGAAATTCAATTAAAACAGAAAGTTTAAATAAGACCCAGACTCTCATAACAGAATACCCAAAATGTTCAGGTTTGAATCAAAAGTTCTTACTAGATCAGGAACCAAGAAACCTAAGACTGACTAAAAGAAGACAATCAATAGATGAAAACGCTAAGATGACAAAGGTGTCAGAATTATCTGACACACTTGAAGGAAATGAAAAAGTATGAAGTTTCAGCAAAGAAATATAAGGTGTATAGAAGAACCAAATGAGAATTTTAGAATTGAAAAATATCATAACCAAACATTTTAAACTAAATGGGTGGGCTCAATAGCATAATAGAGGAGCTAGGAAAAGAATTAATGAACTAGAAGACAGAAGAATGGAAATTATTCACTCTGAGCAATAGAGGAGTAAAAAAAATGAACAGAGCTTCAAGAAACTGTAACAAAAGCTATAACATGCTTGTCATCAGAGACCCACAATGAGAGGCAAAGAAGGACAGCGATTTTTAAAATACTCAAAAAAATAATGGCTGAAAATTTTCCAAATTTGCCAGAAGTAAATAATTTTAAATTCAAGAAGTTGAGCTTAAAAAGACAGACTTAAAGAAACCTACACCAAGACATTATACTCAAACTTCTGAAAACTAAAGACAAAGAGAGAGTCTTGAAAGCAGCAAGAAAAACCAACACCTTAACTAAGAAGGGGAACCTATTTATTGATTGATTGATTTGTTTGTTTATTTTGAGATGGATTCTCGCTCTGTCGCCCAGGCTGGAGAGAGCAGTGGCACAACCTCGGTTCATGGCAACCTCTGCCTCCTAGGTTCAAGCAATTCTCCTGTCTCAGCCTGCTCAGTAGCTGGGACTACAGGTGTGCACCATCACGTAAGACTAATTTTTGTATTTTTAGTAGAGACAGGGTTTCACCATGTTGGCCAGGCTGGTCTTGAACTCCTGACCTCAAGTGATCTGCCCACCTCAGCCTCCCAAAGCACTGGGATTACAGGCATAAGCCACCGTGCCCAACCAGGGAAAACAACTTAAATAACAGCAAGTTTCTCATTAGAAATTATAAAGCACAAAATAAAATGTCTTAACATTTTTCAAATGCTGAAAGAAAAACACTGTCAACCCAGAATCCCATACTCAGCAAAAATATCTTTCAAGAATGAAGAAGAAATCAAGACATTCTCAGATGAAGGAAAACTAAAAAAACTGATTGCCAGCAAACTTACCCTTAGGAGAATTGCTAAGGAAATCGTCTAAACAGAAAGGAAATGATGAAAGAAGGAATGTTTGAACACCAGAAAAGAAGAAAAAATATGATGAACAAAAATATGAGAAAATACAATTAACTCTCCTCTTGAGTTTTCTTTCTTTCTTTTTTTTTTTTTTTTGAGACAGAGTCTCGCACTGTTGCCCAGGCTGGAGTGCAGTGGCGTGATCTCGGTGGAAGCAAAATTTATAACATGATCTGATGAGGTTCTAAATGTACATAAAGGAAATATTTAAGACTATTATAAAAAGGGTAGGATATAGGAATATAAAGGGCAGTTTCTACACATCACTCAAACTAATAAATAAAACAAGTAAACTGTGATAAGTTATACACACACACCCACACACACACAATACCTATAGCAACCACTAAAAAACCTACACGAAGAGTTATACTCCAAAATACTATGGATAAATTACAATGGAGTTACAGAAATGTTCAAATTTGTCCCAGGAGGGCAGAGAAAAATAAAACAGGAAATCAAGAAACAGAACAAACAGAAAACAAAGAAAGTGACAGACATAAGCTCTAATATATTAACAATCACTTTAAATGTAGAGTCTAAATATGCCAGTTAAAACACAGACATTGGCAGAGTGGATTAAAAAATGTAACCCAAGAATATCCTGTCTATAAGAAACTCACTTCAATATAACATTATAGACAGGTTAAAAGTAAAAGGGTAGCTTAAAAAATACATCATGCAAACATCAAAGAGAAGTGGCTATGATAACATCAGATGACATAGCCTCCAGAGAAAATAAAACTACCAGAAACAGGAAGAGACATAATACAATGATAAAAGGGTCGATCCACCAAGAAGACAGCAATCCTAAATGCTAAACATGCATGTATCAAGCAACAGAGCTGAAAAATGAAGCAGAAACTGAGAGAACTGCAAGGAGCAATAGACATCTTCACAATTATAACTGGAGATCTCAACATCCCTGTCTCAACAATTAATAGAACAACTAGACAGAAAATCAGCAAGGGGCCAGGCATGGTGACTAGTGCCTGTAATCCTAAGACTTTAGGAGGCCAAGGCAAGAGGATCCCTTGAGCCTAGGAGTTTGAGACCAGCCAGGGCAACACAGGGAGACCCTGTCTCTATAATTAATAAATAAATAAATAAATAATCAGCAAGGATGTGGAAAAACTCAACAACACCATCAGGATTTATCCAACATTTATAGAACACTTCACCCAACAACAGAAGAATATACATTATTTTGAAAAGCCTATAGAATATATGCCAAGATAGACCATATTCTGAGCCATAAAACAAATCTCTCCAAATTTCAAAGAACTGAAATTATACAGCAGGTATTCTCTGAACACAATAAAATCAAACTAGAAATCAATAATAGAAAGGTAACAGAAAAAAATCAAACACTTTGAAACTAAACAATATACTTCTAAATAACACATGAATTAAAAAGGTAGTCTCAAGAGAAATTTTAAAATACATGGAACTGAAAGAAAATGAAAATACAACATATCAAAATTTATATTATGCTGCTTAAGCAGTGCTGAGAAGCGTTAAAGCATACATTAGAAAAGAGAAAAATTCCCGAATCAATAATCTTAAGTTCCATATCAAGAAACTAGAAAAGGAGCAAAATAAACTCAAAGCAAACAGATAAAATAAAATAATAAATGGAATAGCAGAAATCAATGAAACTAAAAACAGAAAAGCAATAGAGAAAACAAATGAAACAAAGAGTTGGTTTGTTGCAAAGGTTAATAAAATTGACAAATCTCTAGCAAGACTGACAAAGACAAAAGAGAGAATAATATCAGGAATGAAAACAGGGGATAGCCATACGAAAAAAGCTTGACATCACTGATCATTAGAGAAATGTAAATCGAAACCACAATGAGATACTATCTTACATCTTCTGAATGGCTATTACCAAAATGTCAAAAAATAACAGATGCTGGGGAGGTTGTGGAGCAAAAGCAACAGTTATACACTGTTGGTGGGTGTGTAAATTAGTTCAACCATTGTGGAAGACAGTGTGGTAATTCCTCAAAGAACTAGAGGGAGAAATACCATTCAACCCAGCAATCTCATCACTGGGTATATACCCAAAAATTATATAAATCTTCCTATTATAAAGATACATGCATGTGTATGCTCATTGCAGCACTATTCACAATAGAATAATCATAAAATCAACCTAAACACATATCAATGATAGACTGAATAAAGAAAATGTAGTAAACACCACAGAATACTATGCAGCCATGAAAAAGAACAAGATCGTGTTTTTTTGCAGGTACATGGATGTAGCTGGAGACCATTATCCTCGGCCAACGAATGCAGGAACAGAAACCCAAATACCACATGTTCTCACTTATCAGTGAGAGCTAAATGATGAGAACTCATGGATACAAACAGCAGAACAACATGCACTGGGGCCTGTCAGAGGGCTGAGGGTGGGAGGAAAGAGAAGATCAGGAAAAATAACGAATGGGTACAAAGCTTAATACCTGGATGATGAAATAATCTGTACAACAAATCCCCTGACACAAGTTTACCTATTTTATAAACCTGCACATGTACCCTTGAACTTAAAAGTTAAACTAATTTAACAAAAAAAAAAAAAGACAAGGGATGTCACTGCAGACCAGACTGTGCAGGCATCAAGAATGAAGGGGAAATCAAGACAAAACAAACAACTCTACATACATAAATTTGATAACTCAAGTGAAAAGAAACAATTTCTCGCCGGGCGCAGTGGCTCACGCCTGTAATCCCAACACTTCGGGAGGCAGAGGTGGGTGGATCACAAGGTCAGGAGTTCAAGACCAGCCTGACCAAAATAGTGAAACCCCGTCTCTACTAAATATACAAAAATTAGCCAGGAGTGGTGGTGTGCGCCTGTAATCCCAGCTACTCAGGAGGCTGAGGGACGAGAATCACTTGAACCTGGGAGGCGGAGGTTGCAATGAGCCGAGATCGCACCATTGCGCTCCAGCTTGAGTGACAGGGCGAGACTCTGTCTCAAATAAATAAATAAATAAATAAATAAATAAATAAATAAATAAATAAATAAAGTTCTACTATTAAGGAAATTTAATTTGTAATTTTAAAACTTCCACAATAGAAATCTCTAGGCTCAGAGGATTTCACTGGAAAGTTCTACCCTCCAAAAAATTAACACCAATTCTACGTAATCCCTTCAGGAAATACAAAAGAGCACTTCTCAAATCATTTTATAGGCAGTACTTGTTTCTAGCTTTTTGCCAGAGTCTGTTTCCCAGTCTTTCAGAATGGCCACCCTACAGGCTGCAGTTACAGTTGTTGTTTTTTTTTTAATTTTAAAAATTACTTTAAAAAATTACTTTATAAAGCTAGCATTACACAGATATTGAAACTAGACAACGACAGTACAATATAGCAGTAAAATTCCTTGGCCAGGTGTGGTGGCTCACATCTGTAATCCCAGCACTTTGGGTGGTCAGGGCAGGTGGATCACTGGAGCTCAAGAGTTTAAGACCAACCTGGGCAACATGGCAAAACCCCACCTCTACCTAAAATACAAAAAAAAAAAAAAAAAAAAAAGAATTAGCCAGGTGTGCTAGTGCACTCCTGTGGTTCCAGCTGCTTGGGAGGCTAAGGTAGGAGGATCACTTGAGCCTGGGAAACAGAGGTTGCCACTGCAACCTCTCGGCTCACTAGCTGAGGCTGCACCACTGCACTCCAACCTGGGTGACAGAGTGAGCAATCTCAAAGAAAAAAAAAAGAAGTAAAATTCCTTAATAAAATATTAGCAAATAGAATCCAGCAATATATAAAAAGAATTATACATCATAACCAAGTAGAATTTATTTCAGGGATGCAAGATTCTGGTCCCATATTCAAAAATTAACATAGGCCTTTATATTATCAGGCTAAAGAAGAAAAATCACGATTATATCAATTGATGAAAAAGCATTTGACATAATTTCATGGATAAAAATTATCAGAAAAGTAAGATGAAAGTGGAACTTTCTGAACTTAGCAAAAAATCTATTTTTAAAATACAATCAATGTTATATTTAATAATAAAGTATTTAGCATTTAGTGGTAAAGACTAAATACTTTACCCCTAGGGTTAGGAACAAGACAAGGATGTCCACACTCACTACCCTTACTCAACATAACACTGGGAATTCTAGCCAGTGTGAGATGGCAAGGGAAATAAAAGGCAAACAAACCGCAAAGGAAGAAATGAAACCACCCCTATTTGCAGATAATGTGATGATCTGCATAGAAAATTTCAAGGAACATACAATGGAATTCCTAAAACTAGTAAGTGAGTTCAGCAAAGTTCCAGCATATAAGATAAATATACAAAAGTCAATAGTATTTCTACATGCCAGCAATGAACACATGGACATCAAAATTAAAAATACAATAACATTTTCATCACTCGAAAATGAAATACTTGGATATAAATGTGACAAAACATGTACAGATCTTGTATTGTGAAAGCTACACAACACTGATGAAAGAAATCAAAGAGGATCTAAATAAATGGAGACACATACTGTGTTCATCAATTTGGAAGAGTCAATATAGAAAATATGTCCATTATCTCAAAATCAACATACAGATATAATGCAATTCCTATAAAAATCCTTGAAAAACATTTGTAGGTATAGAAAATTTATTCCAAAATCTATATTAAAAAAGCAAAAGAACTTGACTATCCAAAACAATTTTGAAAAAGAAGAATTATAGCCACGCGTGGTTGTGCCTCTAGTCCCAGCTGCTCAGGACGCTGAGGTGGGAGGATTGTTTGAGCCCAGGAGTTGAAGGGTACAGTGAGCTATGATTGTACCACTGCACTCGAGCCAGTGTGACAGAGCATAATAATAATAATTTTAAATAAAAGAATACAATAATAATAATTTTAAATAAAAGAATACAAAAAAGAATTAAGTGGGGAAAAAAATCAGTCTACCTGACTTGAAGACTTATTATATAGCTACAATAGTCAAGGCTATGTGGCATCGGTGAAAAGATGAATACAGAAATTAATAAAACAGAAGAGGATATACAGATGGTATATACGTACACTATGTAATTAGACTTTGGGGAAATGCAAATTAAAACCACAGTGAGATATCATTACACTCCTATAAGAATGGCTAAAATTAATATAGTGACATCACTAAATACTAGATGCAGAAAATCTTTATCCGTCCTCCATCACTGGTGAAAATATAAAATAGTACAGACACTTTGAAAAACATATTGACAGTTTCTTAAAAGGCTGAACATAAAACTACAATATGGCACAGGAATTGTACTCATGGGCATTTACCACAGAAAAAATGAATACAAAAAGATTGCTGTTTATATTAGTTTCATTTGTAATAGCAAAAATAAAAGAAAAAATATGTTCTACAACAGGTGAATGGTTAAACAACTGCGGTATTCACGCCAAGGAACACTAGTTGGCAATAAAAATGAATGAAATATTGACAAACTCAACAACCTGAATGAATCTCCAAAGATACTGAATGAATAAAGCCAGTCACAAAATAAAGCCACCTGATTCCATTTATATAATATTCTTAAAATTATAAAAATAGAAAACAGATTAGTAGTTGCCAGGGGTTAAGGAGGGATGGAAGTGAAAGAGCAGTCAGTCTGGCCATAAAAGGACAACATGAGAGGTCCTTGAGGTAATGGAAACTTTGTGGATCTTGACTATCAATGTCAGTATCTTGGTTGTGATAATGTACTGAAGTTTTGCAAAATGTTACACTTTAGGGAAGCTGGGTAAAGAATGCCTGCACTCATTCTGTATTATCTCTTACAAGGGCATATGAAGCTACAATTATCTTAAAATACAAATAAAAGTTTAATGTTAAAAATCCATTTTACCAGCCTGGGCAACATAGGGAGACCCCATCTCTACAAAAATACAAAAAAAATTAGCTGGGCCTGGTGTTACACACCTGTAGTCCCAGCTACTCAGGAGGCTGAGGCAGGAGGATCACTTGAGCCCAGGAGGTTGAGGCTGCAGTGAGCCATGATCATGCCACTGCACTTTAGCCTGGGTGACAGAGTGAACCCTGTCTCAAAAATAAAAAAAAAAAAAAATTCATTTTAGATACACATAATAAGTCAACACCTAGCTCACATTAAATCACAGCAGTTTTTAAACAGAACTAGATAATAACTCAATGACACAGAATTTTATTTGTAGAATTTTATTGAATATCTGGAATGCTTACCATATTTTACCAAGTCTGCTTTTTGTTAGTATAAAAAATATGAGACAAAACAAAAACTGAAGTGCCAATAGCATTAATAAAGAAAAGCTCTCCCAGCTACCATATGATCCAGCAATTTCACTGCTGGGTATATACCAAAAAGAAAATAAATCAGTATATTGAAGAAATATCTGCAACTTCATGTTTGTTGCAGCACTATTCACCAAAGCTAAGATTTGGAAGCAACCTAAGTGTCCATCAACAGATGAATGGATAAAGAAAATGTGGTACATATACACAATGGAGTACTATTCAGCCATGAAAAGAATGAGATCCTGTCATTTGCAACAACATAGATGGAACTGGAGATCATTATATTAAGTGAAATAAGCCAAGCAAAGAAAAACAAACATCACATGTTCTCATTTATTTGTAAAAATCAAAACAATTAAACTCAGCCCAGCGCAGTAGCTCACGCTTGTAATCTCAGCACTTTGGGAAGCCAAGGCAGGTGGATCATTTGAGGTCAGTTTGAGACCAGCCTGACCAACATGATGAAACCCCATCTCTACTAAAAAATAAAAATAAAAACAATAAAAATTAGCCAGGCATGGTGGGCACCTGTAATCCCAGCTACTTGGGAGGTTGAGGCATGAGAATGGCTTGAACCCAGGAGGCGGAGGTTGCAGTGAGAGATAGCGCCACTGCACTCCAGCCTGGGTGACAGAGTGACTCCAGTTTTTTTGTTTGTTTGTTTGTTTGTTTGTTTAAAGAGCTCTCCCTTTTTGTTTTTCTGTCTCCCTCCCTTCCTCCCTCTGTTCTTTCCTTTTTCCCCTCCTTCCTTCCTTCCACCAATCCTTCTGTAAAAAGAGCCATTATTCTTCATTTTTACTGAGACAAATTCACAGTTGCAATCTTAAATTGAAAAAGATTATATCATGGATTTAAGACTTGGAAAGAATGACAAAGGGAAACGAGAAAATAAGTGAAGAAAGAAGGGAGGAAAGGAGAAATTCTTTACTTAGGGCTGCTGTGTGCCAAGCACTGTCATTGTTATCTCATTTTGTGCTCATAACATCCCTGTGAGGGATACTAGGATATCTGCTATACAGATAAGCAAACTGATGCCCACGGAGAATGAGTCAGCTGCCTCTAAAAAGAAATTTAAGAAAGCAAATAGGAAATAAAAGTGAGGTGCAAAAAATGCACCATACTGATATTTTAGATTATATAAATATTTGTATATTAAATACTAAATATTAAAAAGCAGATTTTTTAAAACCCAAAAGAGAGGAAAGAGTAAGAGAAAATATGTTATTTTTTGGGATCTTTAAAACATACCCAGGGAATAAATGACTGAACAAGGAGACATGTCATATGTAACCAGCTTTGTTGGATCTGTCTTTAAATTCTCAGCATTATTAGCATCATTATTAGTAGTAATTATTTACTGACTACAACTTTTGCTTTTAAGCACTTCTTTTTGCAGACATTTTTCACTTCCTACTTTCTTGAGCTCTGAATGTTTGAGGTAAAGAGCACTTTCCAGGAATAATCTCTCCCTTCTACACTAACCAAATAAATACAAGAATCATTGGGCAGTAAGTATGCAGGGGAAATAAATCTTAATCAGCTCTTGACCTCCTGCCTAGCCCCACTGTGAATGCCATGCCAGCAAACATATGTTCTGCTCTTTTATTTTATGTATTAATAAACACCAGAAGTGCTTGTCAGTCAACAATGCATTTGAGGTGAGAAGAAAGTGTGTCTCAAATCTTTTTATCCATGTGGAAATTGTAAAATAATCTACATTAATCATTTACTGTACTTCAAATGAAGTATGTGTCCAAAGAGACCATTTGAAGCATTTATTGTCATTGAACATATGGCTTGTTTTCAATATCTCCCTGATTATTTTCAACACAAACATTAGTAGGAGTAGAGGAAGTGTATTCTACCAGATTTTAAAACAGATGTCAATTATATTGAAGTGTTCCATAAGGGCACTAACTTTGTTATTGACATCATAATGGAGATACCCAACTACTGTAATTAGCAATCTATTTAGTGGTATGTAGATCTGTAATCAAATGAAAAGAACTTGGATTTCATTCATAAGTTACATAACACCCGTAATAATTTGTAGCTGTCCAAAGTGCCATATGCTATAGAAAAATTAAATGTGAAATATAATCATAAATAATAATCTTGCTAATAATTTACTAGAGCTATCATTTTAAAGTGGTAGAAAGCTAAGTTGGATCAAGGGAAAGATTATTTAAAACATATGTTTACTATCACTCTAGAATCCTAGAATGATAGTGTTAAAACTTTGTGTCCTTTTTTTTAGCATCAGGGCCTTGTTTGCTGCTCAGGCTGGAATGCAGTGATTTGATCAAGAATCACAGCTCACTGCAGTCTCAAAATCCTGGGCTCAAGTGATCCTCCCACATCAGCTTCTGAGTAGTGCCACCACACTACACTAATTTTTTTCTTTTTTTTTTTTTTTAGAGACAGGATCTCACTATGTTGCCTACAATAGAACTTTGTTTCCAAGAGACATACCATTATATTTGAATATTACCTTCAAAAATAAGTAAATTCAACAAGAATAATATTTTTAAGGAAGGATACGAGTGCTGAGAAAATGGTTGTTGTAGTACAATATATTTATTTTTACAACTGGGGTAAGATAAGTGTATTTTTAATTAATTTTATTTTAAAAAATAATAATATAAAACATTTAAAAATTACCTTTTATTTTTTTATTGTGTGTGTGGGTGCGGGGGTGGAGATATTTGTTACTCTCCTCATCCTGGACTCCCAAAGGCAGATAAATGTATATTTGGTACACTTTCTTTTTTTTTTCTTTTGAGACAGAGTCTCGCTTTGTCACCCAGGCTGGAGTGCAATGGCGCGATCTCAGATCACTGCAACCTCCACCTCCCAGATTCAAGCGATTCTCCTGCCTCAGCCTCCCGAATAGCTGGGATTACAGGCATGCGCCACCACGCCTGGCTAATTTTGCATTTTTAGTAGAGATGGGGTTTGGCCATTTGGTCAAGCTGGTCTTGAACTCCTGACCTCAGGTGATCCTCCCACCTCGGCCTCCCAAAATGCTGGGATTACAGGTGTGAGCCACCATGCCCGGCCTTGGTACATTTACTATGTTGACCAACGCCATCACCATTTTTCCAGTGAACCAAGCTCGAAACTTGTCTCACCACTTCACTGCCACACACACTCAATCACTTACAAAGCCCTCTAAATACTGCCTCTTCTACGTTCCATCTCTCTGCCTGCTTGTCGTTTCTGGCTGCCCTTCCCCACTATATAAGGCCCTATGATCTCTCACCTAAGCCACTGTGAGATCACTTCAGTGTCTGCTTCCATCCACCCACAAACCTCTCTCTAATCACGAATCTCATTTTGTTCACCTGCACAGTGTGACTCTAGTTGTGCTCTTCAGAGTAATAGATGGCAAAGAAAGTTTTATATATAAGGGCCCTCCATATCATTACAAATGGTGTTGATTTAGTCTCTCCATCTGAGGCAAAGCAGCTCTATTCTTCATTCATTCCTTCCAGTAGCTACCAACTAACAAGGAACCATGAATCTAGAATAATATTTCCATTTTCTTTATGAACTTGAGCATGTCATTTAACTTTTGGACTCAGTCATCTCAATATTGTTATCTCAATAATAATAATCCCTTTGTTATTATTATTAATCCCTTTTCTGAAAAAATCCATTTTTTCTCAGTTTTGTTAAAAGTTTAATAGGGGCCGGGCATGGTGGCTCACACCTAAAATCCCAGCACTTTGGGTGACTGAGGCAGGCAGATCACCTGAGGTCAGGAGTTTGAGACCAGCCTGGCCAACACGGTGAGGCCCTGTCTCTACTAAAAATAGAAAAAAAATAGCTGGGTGTGGTGGCGGGTGCCTGTAATCCCTGCTACTCAGGAAGCTGAGGCAGGAGAATCGCTTGAACCCTGGAGGCAGAGGTTGCAGGGAGCCGAGGTCACGCCACTGCACTCCATCCAGCCTGGGCAACAAGAGCAAAATTCCATCTCAAAATAAAAATAAAAAAGTTTAATAGGATAACAGAAGTAACTTATTTTTTATTAGAGGGGCTCTAAGTTATTTTTTAATATACTTAAGACTTTTAGGCCAGGTGCAGTGGCTCACGCCTATAATTCCAGCACATTGGGAGGCCGAGGCGAGCAGATCGCTTCAGGTCAGGAGTTTGAGAGCAGCTTGGCGATGTGACAAAACCCCGTGTCTACTAAAAATACAAAAATTAGTGAGGCGTGGTGTCTCATGCCTGTAATCACAGCTACTTGGTAGGCTGAAGCAGGAGAATCGCTTGAACCCAGGAGGCAGAGGTTGCAGTGAGCCCAGATCACACCACTTGGCAAGAGAGTAAGACTCTGTCTCAAAAAAAAAAAAAAAAAAAAAAAAAAAAAAAAGACTTTTAGCTTAAGGAGAGACCCCACAGAAGCAAAACCTTAACTATATCTAATAACCAGAGAAGGTAAATTCATTTCCCATGGGAATAAAGACAGGCCCTATTGGTCGAGCCATAATCCCACCTTGGCACCACTGCCCCCATTTCCATTCCCTGGTCGTATTTCTTCCTGTAGTTCTTCAATATGCCATGCCTCTGTTCATCATGACTTCATCTTTACCCAGCCTTCTACTTCCAGTAAAACGCAACATCACCCTCTAGTTGCTCCAGCCAAAGACCCAGGAAGCATCTTTAAGTCTACTCCTTCTCTTACTCCCTACATCCACTTAATCCAACAACAAAACCTGCCAGCTCCATCTCCAAAATAGACCCTGAATCCATCCACTTGTCTCCATCTCCACTATTACGCTTTCTGGTCCACACCAGCATCACGGGTCCCTCCTGGTCGCCTATTTCTTTTTCACTCTTGCCATCTGACTCTTCATTCACAGAAGACAAGTTATCTTTTGAAAGTATTATGTCTACAGTGAAGGAGCCAAAGCATCCTCAATAGAACTGCGGTGTGCTGAAGTGGAAATCCAATGTACCCAATATTGCAGCCAAACCTCCCATCCACTTGCTCTCTATCACATCACGCTGTTTTATTCTCGTCATAGCACTGGCCATAATTGGTGACTATTTTACATATCTTCTAAACCCTCTAAACACACACACTCCGTGAGAGCAGGAACCTTATTTATCTGGTTTACTTTTATATCCCCAGTACCCAAACAATGCCTTTACACTGTAGTAACTATCCAAAAAAATTTTACATGAACATCCTTCCCTCTGCCTGTAATACTGTCCACTCACCTCTTCACCTTGTTAACTTCTACATGTCTTTCTTCACCAACTTCTTGGGAGCGCCTTTCTGTTCACCAGGTCTTGCCCACAGATGAGCCCATTTCCTTAGAGCGCTCACTCTGGCTGGTGATTATATGCTTATTTGTGGATCTCCCCCATGAGAATGTAAACTTTTCAAGAACAGAGATGTATCCCATTTTTGTTCACTATCATTTCCCATCAAAATATCTGGCACATACTCTATCAACAGTTTTTTAGTGAATGAAATAAGAAATGAATGCAAATAACTAACATTACTAGAATTCATTCACTTAAAATTCATCACAAGTTTGGCGAGTCCCCATCCTCAGGCCCACCAGCCTCTCGGGGACTTGTATTCATTCACTCAACACAAGCCCATGAGTGCCAGTATTTAAAGGTATTATGATAGGTGCTGTGCGCGCTACAAAGAATCCTACACTGGCCACTGTCAGGGAGGTTTTTGCCTCAAGGAGGTACTGTGCCAAAAAAATAAATAAATATATAAATAAAAATTTTTAAAAACCTGACAATTTTGTGTTTTTGAATTGTACAGTTTGAAAGAAAGAAAAGATAGAATGAAAGAGATAATACATTGGTTTGTTCACCTTATGCTATAAATAACCTATCAGAAATATTTGGCAGAGAAGAGAGATGAGAAATGCTTTCCAGGGTACAACAGAAAGTTAAGAGGGCAAGGCAGGAACCTGTGGCTTCTTCAGGCACAATTCTACCCGAAGACAACTTTGATCAATTATTGGTGAAGTGAATGCTCAGTATAGAAGGAAGCTCTGGTTAGAAAAGCCCTAGGTGGAAAAAAGTGTTTTGTTATTATTGATTTGTATTATTATTATGCAATTGTAGGAAAATATATCATTTTCAGGTAAATACAATGCTTTACCCTACTAGGACTCAAAGTCAATCCCAGGTATGGAAATGGTCAGGATTTTGTTCTCTTAGAAGGATTGTGGACTGCAATGGGTATATGACCTCAATATATTTTTTTTCCTCCCCAATAACAGTAAAGGGATTCAACAAATCTCTATGAATAATGGTGGTGCTAAATGACAATGAGTGATTCTCAGAGTAGTCACCTTGGAAGAGGAGGAGCTAGGTCAGAATCTCCTTGGTGAGCAAGGTATGTCCAGCCTGCTGAGCTTTTTTATATAGAATTCCTTTCTTTACATCCTCCTCTTCTCTCCAAACTAATAGGGAATCAGTGCTTATATTCAAGAGCAAGTATATTTATTATTCATATTTTTTATTTTCTTACTTACAGAAAAATAGATCCTACCTGGCACCCACTGAATGGTGTTGTTTTAAAATGAGATGCTTAAGCCAGGTCTGGTGGCTCACACCTGTAATCCCAGCACTTGGGGAGGCCAAGGCAGGTGGATCACTTGAGCTGAGTTCAAGACAGTCTGAGCAACATGGTGAAACCCCATTTCTACAAAAAATACAAAAATTAGCCAGGTGTGGTAGCACACACCCATAGTCCCAGCTACTGAGAAGGCTGAGGCAGGAGAATAGCTTAAGCCCAGGAGGCTTAGGCTGCAGTGAGCTGAGATTGTGCCACTACACACTCCAGACTGGGTGATGAAGTGAGACCCTGTCTCAAAAAAGAAAGAAAAAAAATAGAAATAAAGACATTCCATACAGAAAATACTTCATTTATTTTGGGCAGAATTTTAATATTGGAAATTGTTAGGCACTATTTGTGTTTCCATAAAGTTATACATATGGCCAACTAAGGTTTGTAGAAAAACAGAGGCTGCTACAGTTCTGTCACGTCTCACCACACCATCTAGCTGTGCTCCCAAGGGAAACTCCCTGTGATCACTTGATAACATTTGCAGAATGATTGGATGTAATGGAATAGAAAGAAAAGCCAATGTCAAGCCCCAGAGTGGGGATGAGACTGTTGGTGGGAATAAAACCAAGGGCCTCACTTCATCAACACCATGTATTCGCCACCTAAACCAACTTTCAGAACCTATTTCTTTGGGTTAAGAATGTCAGCTTTTAGTGGCATCTCTAGTTTCCCTATCTCATAACCTCACAAAGCTGCTAATTCCTTTTTTTTTTTCCTTTGATGAGAGTAATGCATTCATTGCACAGGACACTAAGTACCAACAGGAAAGCCAAGAGACCCAACCTCTTGCATTCCTGGGCTCCTGAAAGATAATAAGAAAGAAATTGTTCTAAAAACAAACAAACAAACAAACAAACAAACAAACAAACAAAAACCACCTTGGCCTGGCACGGTGGCTCATACCTGTAATCTCAGCACTTTGGGAGGCCAAGGTGGGCTGATCACTTGAGGTCAGAGACGTTCGAGATCAGACTGGCCAACATGGCAAAACCCTGTTTCTACTAAAAATATAAAAATTAGCCAGGCGTGGTGGCATGCACCTGTAATCCCAGCTACTTGGGAGGTTGAGAGGCATAAGAATTGCTTGAACCCAGGAGGAAGAGGTTGCAATGAGCCAAGATTGTGCCACTGCACTCCAGCCTGGGCAACAGAGCAAGACTGTCTCAAAAAAAAAAAAAAAGAAAGAAAGGAAAGAAAAGAAGAAAGAAAGAGAGAGAGAGAAAGAAAGAAAAAGGAAGGAAGGAAGGAAGGAAGGAAGGAAGGAAGGAAGGAAGGAAGGAAGGAAGGAAGGAAAGAAAGAAAGAAAGAAAGAAAGAAAGAAAGAAAGAAAGAAAGAAAGAAAGAAAGAAAGAAAGAAAGAAAGAAAGAAAATCTCTTGCCCTGCTCCATCCCCGTCCATTTTTTTTTTGTTTTTTGTTTTTTGGTTGGCAGGAGAGGTGATCCTCTGCTCAGAGCTCTAAAATTACATTATTCCTTACCACTACTCTTTCTAATAAGCCTAAAACTGAGCACACCTGCTATTTCTTAATGTGACTCTTCTTATTCAACAAGGACAGAGGATCCTATATCTTTTAGCATAATGCTGCAGCATTATAAATTTTCCCCAAGCGTGTCATGAGTGCCCCGTAAGGCATTTTGTACAGGTTTTTTTTTTTTTTTTTGAATGACCCTCTCAAAACAAAGTCCTGTGCAGGAGGATTAAAAATCCCTCAGGGAACTTCCTTCCTTTAGCAGATTTTCCAGAAGGAATGTGCTGTGGGCTCTTGATTTGATTTCCTGCCCCAGTTTACAGCATCATGGTATAAGACATGTTTTATCCCTATTTTTTACTTTACAAATGATGTTTGCTTAAAATGAATGCCTATATTGGCTCTAAAACAAAGTAACCAGTGATATTGGTTGGACTGTCACATCCACTTATAGGTCTACAAAGGAAGAAATTGACCTTTGGTCCTGTCGAAGCTGCTGAATTTGAATCAGAAGTGCTGAGTCTTTTGACACTGTTACTCACAGGCTATGTGAACTGGGTAAAAGGTACTGTAGCAGAGATAACTGGAAAGAATCCTGACAATATAGATGTTTTCCTTCCTTCCCAGGGATGGGATGTTGACTGTTAATCTTCCTTACTATTCCCCAAAACCAGCAAGTGGCCACCAATACTTTCCATGTGCACAGACATGCATCTTTTCTATGATAACTAGGCTCAGCAAATAGATCTTTATTGCCTCAAGGTTGCTACAAGCTCTCATCCTTTATTATTTTTCTAAAGAAAACAATGACAGCCATTGAGCCATTGTGTGTTGAATTGTTCCTCCATAAAGATATATTCAAGTCCTAAACTCCAGTACCTCAGAACATGGCCTTATTTGGAAATAGGGTAACTGCAGATGTCATTAAGTTAAAATGAGGTCATATGGGCCAGGTGCAGTGGCTCATGCCTGTAATCCCAGCACTTCGAGAGGCCAAGGTGGGTGGATCACCTGAGGTCAGGAGTTCAAGACCAGCCTGACCAACATAGTGAAACCCCGTCTCTACTAAATACAAAAAATTAGCTGGGTGTGGTGGTATGCGCCTGTAATCCCAGCTACTCAGGAGGTTGAGGCAGGAGAATCGCTTGAACCCAGGAGGCGGAGGTTGCAGTGAGCCGAGATTGTGCCATTGCACTCCAGCCTGGGCAGCAAGAGTGAACTCCATCTCAAAAAAAAAATGAGGTCAGATGGGTTTAGGGTGGGCCCTGATCCAATGACCGGGGTCCTCAAAAGGGACAAGACACAGAGAGAAGAACACCAAGGATTGCTGGCATGCACCAGAAGCTAGCACAGGCACATGGGATGATTTTTTTTCTTCAGAAACTTCCGAGGGAGCAAAGCCCAGGTGACACCTTGATTTCAAACTTCTGGCTTCCAGAACTGTGAGGGAATAAATTTCTGTTGTCTTAAGCCTCCCACTTGTGGTAATTTGTTGCAGTAGATTTGAAAAACCAATACAATTAGGAAATTTTCTCTTTCTTATAAAGATAGCTGCCATTTTGCAAAAATGTGTTTATCCTCTGGGTGCCTGTAATACCTTTAAAAACTAATTAGAAGACCAGGCATGGTGGCTCATGCCTGTAATCCCAACACTTTGGGACGCTGTGGCAGGAGGATTGCTTGAGGCAAGGAATTGGAGGCCAGCCTGGGCAACATTAGTGAGACTCTATCTCTATTCTTTAAAACAGAAGGTTTTTAACTCATTGATAAGCAAATTCCTCTGTCTTCAGTCCATCATCTCTAAATTAGAAATAATATTCTTTGATATTGTTATAGTCCTCTTCTCATAGAGAATGGAATGTTATTTGACCCAAGATTAATGCTTAATAGGTATGGAGTTTCATTTTGGGCAAATACTTGGAAGGGTTCAAAGAGTGCCTCATACCTATTTCCAGGATAATGTATGTGCATATGAAATAAACTGTGTGTGGATAAGGGGTTTTTAAATAACATTTTGAAATGATTTTGGATTCACGAGAAGTTGCAAAAAAATGTAGAAGGAGGTTCCATGTACCGTTCACCTAGTTTCCCCTAATGATTACATCTCATATATCTAAAATAATAATACCAAAATCAGGAAATTAAAATGGATACAACTCACAGTTTATTCTAATTTTACTACTTTTACATGCACTCACTTGTGTGTGTGTGAATAGTTATATACAATTTTATCATATGTGTAAATTCACGTAACCACTACCATAATCCAGATACAGAACTGGCCGAGTACAGTGACTCACACCTGTAATCCCAACACTTTGGGAGGCCAAAGTGGGAGAAACAGTTGAGCCCAGGAGTTCAACATCAGCCTGGGCAACATAGTAAGACATTGTCTCTTAAAAAAAAAAAAAAAAATTTAATTAGCTGGGCATGGTAGCACACGCCTTTAGTCCCAGCTACGTGGAGGCTGGGGTGGGAGGTCAAGGCTGCAGTGAGCTATGATTGTGCCACTGCACTCTAGCCTGAACAACAGAGTGAGACTCTGTCTCGAAAAAAAAAAAAAGACAGAACTGTTTTGTCAGCATAAGGCTCCCTTTGCTTATTCCTTTATAGCCACAACTCCTTCCCCCATATCAATAATCTCTGGTAACCACTAATCTGTGCTCTCCATCTACAATTTTGTTTTGAGGCTGTTAAATAAATGAAATCTTATAGTATGTAATCTTTTTTACTCAGAAAAATTCCCTCGCAATCCATCCAAGTTATTGCATGTACCAATAGTTTATTCCTTTTTATTGTTGAGTAGTATTCCATGGTGTGGCTGTATTATCACAGTTCATTTAACCATTCACATGTTGAAATACACTTGGGTTATTTCAGTTTGGGGCTATTACAAATAAAGTTGTTATAAACATTTACATGCAGATTTTTGTGTAAACATAATTTTTCATTTCTCTGGGATAAATGCCCAAGAGTGAAATTGCTAGGTTATATGATAAGTACATGATTTTTGGTTTTTTGGTTTTTTTTTTAGAAAACTGCCAAACTATTTATAAATGCCAGAGTGAATACACCATTTGACATTCCCAGCAGCAATGTATGATCAGTTTCTCCTCATCCTCTCCTTGTCCTCATCAGTAATCGGTATAATCACTATATTTTATCTTTAATAGTTGTGTAATGATATTTCATTGTGATTTTAATTTGCGTTTCACTAATGTAGGTGTTTAATGATGTTAAACACCTTTTTACCTGCCATCTGTATATCTTCTTCAATGAGATGTCTGTTCACATCTTTTGTTCATTTTCTAATTGTATTGTTCAAGGTGTTTGTACTATTGAGTTTTGAGAGTTTCTTCCGTAGTCTAGAATAGACACAAGGCACTTGTCAGACACATGAGTCTCAAATATTTACTCCCAATTTGTATCTTATCTCTTCATCCTCTTTGTGGGATCTTCCACAAAGCAAAAGTTTTTAACTTTGATGTGGTCCAATTTCTCAATTTTTCCTTGCATTAATTGTTCTTTTGGTGTCAAGTCTATGAACTCTTTGCTTAGCCCTAAGATCCAAATATTTTTATCTATGATTTTTCTGAAAGTTTCACAGATTTGTATTTTCTATTTTGCATGATCTATTTTGAGTTGATTTTTGAGGCTTATTTTGAGGTTCATTTATTTGCCCTTCGATGTCCAATTGCTTCAGCACTATTTGTTGAAAAGTCCATTCTTCTTCCATTGAATCACTTTTGCAACATTGCTGGGGATAGAGTAATAAACAAAACAAAGCCCATGCCAACAATATATACACAAATTTTAAAATGTGTATCATAATGTGAAACAGTGTTAAGTGTTATAAATCAGGGTAGAGTAACAGAGTTGAGAAGTTTGCCCTTTTAAATAGGGTGGTCTTTGAGGATATGAGACATAATGAAGTGATGAGTTGAGTCATACAAATAGCTGGAGGAAAATTATTCCAGGTAGAGAAAACCGAAAGAGAAAAGGCCTCTGTGCTTGGAATGTGCTCAGTGTGTTCAGGAACACAGAAAATAGACCCCTATCGTTTAAGAGGTGGAACCTAAGGCAAAGAATGGAAACCAAGAAAACCAGAGCCTTGTAGATGTCATAGGCTGAGGCTAAAAACCCCACTTTGTTTGTGTATTTTGGTCAAGATAGCCAAAGAAAGACAGCATAATAAAACCTACCATTGTTCTTGGTTTTATTGGCATTGTCAATAACTTGCAACATGAGTTGTGAAACATCATTTATTCACTTGATAAAATTTGTTGTGTACTTATTATGAACAAGATTGTGATTAAATGTCTGAAATGCAAAGCAAAATAGAATATGGCCCCTATACTTGCCCAATTCATAGGAGAGTAAGGGCACAAGGATATTCAGTGCCAGTATAATGGCTACAATATGATCATTAGAGATCATAAATATCCAATGATTCACATATTTATGATAAGTAATGATATAGATATTTCACAGTAAGAATGCTGTGAAAGCACTAAAGAGGAAGTCTTGGGTTATACAGAGGTTGCCTAGGGGCATCAGTAAGTGTTTAAAGGAATATTTGAATTGGATTTCGTAGAATGACTAAGAATTTGTCAGAAGAGACAAAGAATATTTTAGAGAGCGGAACAGTCGTGGCAAAGGCATGCAACCTCAGGGCTTAATCCTATCTCTGTTACTTAAAAGAGAGAATTATTCATCTTCCATTTATGGAAATGTAATTCTGACGACCAGGATTATCTGTTTGGCTGGGCATGGTTCAACAGAAAGGAACACCAAGATAATTAGAAATTCTGATAACATTGTCACTCTGAGGTCCATTATCTCAAAATTTACTTAATGTACTCAAAATGTTTTAACCCTAAACATAAGCCTAATCATTCTGCTTCATGTCACCAAACCTCTGGTTCAATAGGCAAATGTGCCTGATATTTCTCCTCTGGCCAGCCTCTAGTGATTTCTGCCCTGGGAGTATTGTTAGAAGAATCATTCCTTCATTGCTACAACTAACCATAGTCTGTGATCTCAGATTTGAGGTTCCTACTAACCATTAAAATTAAGTAAGCTTCTTTTAAAAGTATCATCATCATTACTATTTGCAATATGCCGAGAATTGTGCTAAGCTTTGAGCAGGAATAAAAAAAGTTTTCCCCCCAGGACCTTCACTAAAGGAACTGACAGTGTTACTAAGGAGACAATCCTCAAAATTATGAAATAATTGGGAAACAATTACGGCCCACAAATATTGACAGAGTAGTACATTCCCTCCAACGGATATAACACATATGCTGAGGACACACTAAATGAAATTCGATGAGAAATTCACTTCTCTACATTTTCAGTATCTTTTTTGAAATGCAAATATCCAGGAAACAGTAGACTTTCTGAGGAAATTCCTGAGATAAAAGGTTCAGATGAGTTCAGGGGAAAGGCTTGATTTTCAAGTTTCACATGGTTCTGGAAGAGGTGAGCATGAAGAGGCTACCCATGAAGGTACTGGTTGTGTTGTATGTCAGCATAAGAGGAGATATTAGAAAGAAGTAAGTAGACACCTGATACAAAGCATGCCTTGCTCAAAATTTTGCACTATATCATAATAAAATTTGCAACTATTTTTAAAAATCAAAAGAAGTTACCCTTTGGACAAATAACCAAAGTTACTTATGTATGGAATAAATATGCAGTTATTAGCCATCAGAATTTAAAGTATTTAATGACATGAGAACCCATTCATGATAAGTACGGAAAACTGCTAGAAAACCAATCATAATCCAAAGGAGGGAAAATGAGAGGGAAAAAAATATACCACAATGTTAATGGTGGTTGTTTCCCACAATATATGGGGTGTATTTCCCACCCTATTGCTTTTTTTAAAAAATTCTATGATGAATATGATTTACTCTAGTATTAATAACAAAATGTATTTAAATGGAAAACAAAATTCTCCCTGACATTAATTTTATGCAGGCTTCCATGGATTTTAGAGATAAACCATTATACCCAGTCACCACTGCTGTGTTGAAAGGTCAACATTGTTTAGGTTGCTTTACCCCAAGTCAATGCATTCCTGCTCCTGACTGCTCCCCTCACACGCCCTGGATGCTGCCTTTGACTCAAGGGAGATATGTGACTTGTCCTCTGTGGCCTCACTATCTAGCTTAGAATACACACTATGTTCAAGATGGAAAGGAATTTTGAAGACTCATGGTTTAAAGTGATATGACGAAATATTCTACAGGAAACGAAGGGTGGACAGAATGTTTCTGAGCCCACAAAACAGAGGAAGTTCAAAAAATGAGTTTCTTTTTTGTTCGAATCTATTATTTATTTTTCCTGGGTATGATATAAATCAGAGGACAGGAGACTCTCTAAAACACAAGATAAAAAAGATCTGGAGATCTGATGAAATTTACAATACTACAACTCTTTAAACATATTTTTAAATATAGGTATTTGAGATAGGGTCTCACACTTATCACCCAAGCTGGAATGCAGTAGCACAAATATGGCTGATTGCAGCCTCAACCTCTCAGCCTCAGGTGATCCTCCCACCTCAGCCTCCTGAGTAGTGAAGTACAGGCATGCACCACCACGCCTGGCTAATTTTTGTACTTCTTTTGGAGACAAGATCTCACTATGTTGCCCAGGCTGGTCTCAAGCAATCCACCCACCTTGGCCTCCCAAAATGCTAGGATTACAGGCATGAGCTACTGTACCCAGCAAAATATTTTCAATATCTAGTAGAAAAAAGTTATTTTATCTAACTTAAAATCACAGATAAAATAAATATGAAATGTAAAGGGGTATTTAATACACATGTTGAAGGAATGACCTAAAATTGTTTTGAGTGGTTTTTATAATTTTTAATATCTATTTCTCCATATATATAACACACACATACATGTATACATACACATATACACACAAACACATATATACATACACATATCTATAAATTTAACACATCCACATTACCAATCTTTCATCTCCTTTTATTTTTTATGTGACCAAATAAAGAACACCAGCACCTGCCTAAAAAATGACTTCAGAATCCCCCTGTAAACACAGACAGACAGGACCATCTAAGCCAAAGGCACACACATAGTTCCACCCCAAAGCCTGGCTGCCATTGGGTCCAATCTGACATTGCTGCCTGACTTCGTTTTGGCTTAGACACAGAATATAGTCAGAGTATTCAAAGGGTACTATGGTGTTGTGGCGTTGTGTACTGATAAGGTCCTGTCAGTATCAAGAGACTACAGTAACCTCAAACGAGTAGTGCCACTAAACTCGGATCCTCAACATTACTTAGCTTCTCTTCTGCTCTTGCAACAATTCCCAGTGCTGAGTTTCCAAAGAAACAGTGTGGTAGGGAAGCTGGCCACAAGGACCACCTGTTCTGATCATCATTAGAGTATGCTGTAGGGACCTTTCTCAGGTAAGAGGCCAACACAAGTTTAGCAAAATCAGGTGTGAAAACACTAACCATGGAAGTAAAATCCGTCCACCCCAGCCATGAAAGAAAATTTACAACTCCACAGAGAACACTTGACTGAGAAACCAAAACGTCTGAGGAAAGAAAACAAATGTGCCTACCTCTAAAGAACATTTCGCACAAATTTAAGGCAATTAAAACTTTTTGTTGAGTTTATAATAACTGTACAGCATCAAAATTCTACTGAGTGATTTATACTTCATCTCAAATCATGCAATGTTCCAGCACCTTCATTTTTTAAATCAAGAAATAAAACACCAATGTGAATTACATAGATTCTTTGGATTTTCAAATACATGCATTCTTTTCCACTTGACATTAGATTTTTCTTCAGAAATTGGAATTTGATCACTGAAGAGCAAGGAGTGATGAACATATTTTCTGCAACCACTCTAACCTCAATGTTACCATCTCCCCCATTCCACATTCACTGGTTTCTTAGTTGGGGCAACCTTAATCTAATTATTTGAGATTTGTGACCACTAGGGATAAGAAAAATGACATGAATTAAAGGGGCATGAAATGAGTTTTGGAAGAATCCATAAATGAGTCTAATGTCCTAAGGATTAAACAAGCGAGAGAGAAAAAAACTGCAACATGACATACGGTCTTTTAAAAGATGTATTTTTGTTTCTGTTTAAGGACTTTTTAATCTTTAAATTCCAAGCTTCTATCTACAAAATTCAGGACATTTACATGTCCTCTGCTTGCCTCTTATTTTGCAAGAATTTACCCTCTTTTTGCAAGATTATTACCCTCTTTCTTAAACCCCAAAATGAGAAAAGTTACTTTTATGTTTAATTTTTTGTACATTCTAGTATCTGTTGAGAAACAAAGCCATGACAAAAAGGAAAAACAGGAACCCCACATCTGACAACAATAAAAAAAATTTTAGTTTCAAATATCACTCAATTGGCTGACACATTTCTTTTTCCTATGGGCCAACAGCTGCATGACTCACTGATGTATGTTTTGCCTGCCTTAGCTCTGAGTGGGTTGATGTAAATAGGAAGTGATGAGGAAAATCAAATTGGAGCAAACACATTTTTTCAAGACTGTAACAGGAAGAGATAGGAAGCCCAGGAAGATACTTGATAGGTATTCAACTCTGTAGAAAGGAGGAAGTAGCATGTTGAAGCACTCGGCTAGTTATTTTGAGTTGAACGGAAATGGGATATAACAGAGAAAGGACGCAGATAGGATGCATTTTGTTGCATAGCAACACAGAGGCTAGAAGCTACTGTACATAACTGAGACCATCTGTCTGTATGAAAGACTGAGGAGAAATGGTTTAAAACAAAGAAGAGTGAGGTTAATACATTTGCAAAGAATAGATGAGGTTTCATATTCCATCTAAAAGGCAAATTTTGTGGTTATATAATAATACCTTAATATTTAAATGTGATTTCAAGGAGTTGTTTTTGTTTTGTTTTGTTTTTGTTTTTTATTAAGATGGAGTCTCATTCTGTCATCCAGGCTGGAATGCACTGATGCGATCTCGGCTCACTGCAACCTCTGCCTCCCAGGTTCAAGTGATGCTCCTGCCTCAGCTTCCTGAGTAGCTGGGATTACAGGCACCTGCCACCATGCCTGGCTAATTTTTTTTTTTTTTTTTTTTTTTTTAGTAGAGATAGGGTTTCATCATGTTAGCCAGGCTGGTCTCGAACTCCTGATCTCAGGTGACCCGCCCTCCTCGGCCTCCCAAAATGCTGGGATTACAGGCATGAGCCACCGCACCTGGCCAAGGAGTTGGTTTTAATACATGAAACATGATGCCTTGTGCTTCCATCTTGCCTTTGTACTACACTCCCTGCTTTGGTTCAGCCACTTGCCTGGAAATTTCCAGAAAGGTTAGCAGGTGGTTAGGTTGGTGAGGTGGGTAGTGTTTGTGAACTTTGAAAGACCCAATTCAGCCCTAAAAGTCAATGCCCAATAAAAATTGGTTATCTCAAAGACAAACCAATGGGGTGGGGGTGAGAGGTGGGGAGAGAAGCCCACCAAAGATAACGCCCACTTCTGTCCTGTGAGTTCCCCAAAAGACTTCCTGGGGAGTCACTTCTATCACAGACCCCTGACCGAATGGAAAGACAGGGAGCCACACACAAGAGTATTTCCGGCCGGGCACGATGGCTCACGCCTGTGATCCCAGCACTTTGGGAGGCCAAGGCAGGCAGATCACCTGAGGTCAGGAGTTTGAGACCAGCCTGGCCAACATGATAAAACCCTGACTCTACTAAAAATAACAAAAATTAGCAAGGCGTGATGGCACATGCCTGTAGTCCCAGCTACTTGAGAGGCTAAGGCAGGAGAACCACTTGAACCCAGGAGATGAAGATTGCAGTGAGCTGAGATCATGCCATTGCACTCTAGCCTGGGCAACAGTGATCTCAGTCTCAAAAAAAAAAAAAAAAAAAAAAAGGAAAAGAAAAGAAAAGGAAAAAAAAGAGTATTTATTTCTTAGGAAGCCCCTAGTACAAGTGGGGAAATGTGAGAAGTGGATAAGTTTACCCATTAGGGACAGGAAGTTCTCTCCAGAAATAATGTCTGATTTCCTGCTGCCAAAGGCTGTCAGCCCTGCTGCTCATTTTGCTTCTATAGAAATATGATAGCCTGTTTCCTTCCCTCTACTCCTGATACTCCCCAAACCTGCCCTTCTCCACACCATAGGCTATCAGCAACACTTTTCCAGAGACTGTGCCGCTGTCGCCTCCTCTTCCCTGGTTGACAGACCCATCCTTGCTTCTCTCCCAAAGTGGGGCACAACAGAGGGGACAAAGAATCCATGTAGTCACCCACCAGTGGCATTCTTTCAGGAGAAATCGTGGTCTCTCCCAAAAAAGCATGCATCTGCTTCATAGAAACCTTCACTTTGGCATTACACAAAGCAGAATGCCACCCCAGCAATATTCTAGTTGGAGGAGGTCTTTATACAATACCCATGGGGCAGAAAACCTCAAGGAGAATGCCAAGAATTAAAAAGAACATGAGCCAACACTGCCCTGGGAGAGGATGAGATGTAGGAGTGAATATTAGCCTATTTCCCACTGTTATCCTTTTTGGGGTAATGTTTTTATGTGCAGTATTTTTTGAGTATTAACTTCTTGCACAGTGATGTTATAGATACACAGCACATATAAGAACATGGACTTCAGTCAAAATACTGGGTTCCATGTCACACACCCCTCTTTGCCAGCCTGATGGCCTTTTGGTTTTCTCGTCTGTAAAATGGGCATAATTACACCAAATACATCATGGGTTGGGAAGGATTCAGAAAGACAATTCACACAAAGCATATGCATAGTAAGCATATGCATACACAGTAAACCCTCATTAAATATCACCAATGAGCATTCTGGCAAACCAATTTTGTCAGATAAAGTTAAGAATTTATCCATAAGTTAAGATCTTGGCCAGGCATGGTGGTTCACACCTGTAATCCCAGCATTTTGGGAGGCCAAGGTGGGTTGCTGACTTGAGCTCAGGAGTTTAAGACAAGCCTGGGTAACATAGTAAGACCCTCTCTCTACAAAAAATAGCTGGGTGTGGTGACTCACGCCTGTAGTCCCAGCTACTCAGAGGCTGAGGTGGGAGGATCATTTGAGCCCAGGAGGCAGAGATTGCAGTGAGCCAAGATCTTGCCACTGCATTCCAGCCTGAGTGCTACAGTGGAACCCGGTCTCAAGAAGAAAACAAAAGATCTTAATCCATATACAATAACTAAGTCTAAAATGATGCATAATATTTGAAAATCTCTGCAGAAAAAGAAATGTGAAAAATAATTTTCCACATTGAAATATTAAAAAATCAAGATTACATGGCTCGTGCTATTTTTTTAAATGTGCTATTTTTTAGTGTGTATATTAATTAGTAACTCTGCATACACATTGAAAATTGAGCTTCAATTTTTGCTATATTAATCAAAAGTTGATTTATTATAATCAGGCATTTCTTTTGATATGCATGCTAACCCAGAAGAATCTGGATCAAGATTCCTTATAGCATATTAAGTTTTAAGCAATGGAATAATTTTTGAGTTTTAGTCCTAAATTTCTTAAACCTTAAATATATCAGCAATTTCTCAAACTCATGTGTATAGCCTCTTATTTTTACTTAACATAGCTTACATTTACTTGTTATAAAGCTCTCATGAAATGAGACAGGCAACTGAGATACATGTACTCCAGGAGTAGCCACAGCAGAATGGCCAGGTCCCTATGCCTACAGTGCACTAGGAAACCGAGGCATGGTGTGGCTTAATGTTACAAGCACTTTTATCTCCTGCAGAGTAAGATAATGTAAAAAGCCAGGTACTGGGAGTCCAGAGACCAAGTTCAAACACCAGCTCCATCACCTCTAGCTGAGATACACTGGGCCCTCTGCTTAACCTCTCAGAGCCTTGGTTTCCTAATTTTTTATGGTATAAAGAATACTACTTTGTAGTATAGAATTTTTTAAATAAAATTAAATGGGAATATGAAAGTACCTAGCACAAAGGAGGCATTCAACATGTGTTAATTTCTTTCCATCCTACAATTCATAAAACAAATTTCCTGTCCACATTGCTTTATCAGATACTTAAATGCAAGCACTATGTGTTCTTGGTCCTCAAATGACAGAAATGAAGTAACAATAAATGAGCGAACTGTCTCAGTAACTGTCTCTCTCCTGTACAGTAAGGAATTATCCTTGGTACATCTCACATGACTCTATAATGTGTGGGGAATGGGCTCTACAGGGACCACTCCATGTGTCTTAGTCCCTCAAGTGTAAAAAAGAGATGGACCTTAGTTTCCATGCACTGCCTCATTTTATGCTTATTTTAATATATATTTTTCTCATAAGATGATTTTAAAAGTTAGACTGTCTTTTATGCATATGTGATATTAGTTCATATCAAGCTGTCTACCATACATGTGGTAGTTCTAGTTACATAATTTGCAGATCAATTTATGTCAACATAAACCTGCCCCCCACAGGGAAATCTCAGAGATTCATACTTGGATCTCCTAAAAATCCTCACCTCTACTGTGTTCCTTATCCCCTACTTCAAGTTATACAGTAGTAATCAAGAAAAGGTGAACTCTGACAATCATACAGGCCAGGAATAAAGTCATGATTAGATTTACTAATTAAGAAAAGATATCTGTGTTAAAATATGTTCATCCTGCCTGGTTAAAAGGAAGCTATTGACCGGGCTTGGTGGCTCACACCTGTAATCCCAGCACTTTGGGGGGCCAAGGCAGGCACATCACCTGAGCTCAGGAGTTTGAGACCAGCCTGGCCAAGATGGTGAAACTCGTCTCTACTAAAAATACAATTAGCCAGGCGTGGTGGCACATGCCTGTAATTCCAGCTACTCAGGAGGCTGAGGCAAGAGAATCGCTTGAACCCAAGAGGCGGAGGTTGCAGTGAGCCGAGATCATGCCATTGCACTCCAGCCTGGGAAACAAGAGTGAAACTCCACCTCAAAAAATAAATAAATAAATAAAGCTATTGCTCTGAATAACACTCTCAGTAACGACCATATCAAACCTAACTGCTGTCACATAAAGAACTTTTAGTTACGACTGAAAGGGGTTTCTTTTTCTATAACAGGATTTTCATTACATGAATAACCCCATATTTCAGAGATTTGATATAACATTAAAAGAAACAGGCTTAGTCCACTCAGCCAGTCACAGTTTTAAAGTATAGATTTGATGTCAGATCCAGCAACGTGTTCTCTAAGATAATTTTTCTGAAAAGTTTGGGCCAGACATAGTGGCTCACGCCTGTAATCCCCCAGCTACTTGGGACGCTGACGCAGGAGAATCGCTTGAACCCAAGAGGAGGAGGTTGCAGTGAGCCGAGATTGCGCCACTGCACGCCAGCCTGGGCAATAGAACAAGACTCCGTCTCAAAAAAAAAAAGAAGAAGAAAAAAGAAAAGTTTATAATCTGTAGCACACTAAATATCTCAGTTTTAAAATATGAGTCCTACAAATTAGTAGGAAAACCCTAATTCCAGTTGGCCAATAATGAAAATTGTGCTTAATTATAAGATGGACATATCTCTAAGAGAGAGAGAAAGAGAGTGTATAGAGAAGGAGGAGGAATGAAATGGGGAGGAGGAGGGAAAGGAAGACTACGAGAGGAGGAGTGGGAGAAAAAGGAGGAAAAAAAAGAAGAGGTTGTGGACAGCATGGACATAAATCTGAGGTTGGACCTCAGAGTCAGCCAGATGAACATGAGTTTATGTTCTGTCTCTGACCCTTGCGAGCTGCAGGACCTGTTACAAGTTATTGTAAACTCCATGCCCCTGAGTTTCCTCTTTTGCAAGGGAACAATTTTTTCTACTAAGGATGTCTCAGGGCCTGGCACAAAGATGATGCTCAACAAACAAACGGCAGCTACCAGTGTCCATTTATACTGCTTTTACATACATGTATTTTCATATATTTATCTCATGTGCCCCTTAGATTATTCCCCTCTTGAATACACAGCCTATTCATCTCATTCTTCTTCCCCAAAGAACCAAAGACAATCTTCTGTGCACAATGGACCATTGTAAAAGAAGCTTGTGCCTCATTCGTAAATATTTTTAAATGCTTACATAATAAAAGTCGGTGTTTATTTTATTTATTTATTTATTCATTTCTATTTTATTTTTGGAGACAGAGTCTCACTGCTTCGCCCAGGATGGAGTACAGTGGTGCCATCTCGGCTCACGGCAACCTCCGCCTCCCAGGTTCAAGCGATTCTCGTGCCTCAGCCTCCCAAGTAGCTGGGATTACCGACGTGTGCCACCACGCCCAGCTAATTTTTGTATTTTTAGTAGAGACGGGGTTTCACCATGTTGGCCAGGCTGGTCTTGAACTCCCAACCTCAGGTGATCCGCCCACCTTGGCCTCCCAAAGTCCTGGGATTACAGGCGTGAGCCACCCACGCCAGGTTGGTGTTTGTCTAGAAGTTTATAATCTTGTACATTACATGATTTCGTCACCGGTAGAGGGTCATGACTGCAAGTTGTCCAGGTTCTTGGCGTTTTGAACAAAGAATTGGACAAAACGCCCAGCAAAGCAAAGAAAGGATGAGGCTATGAAAGAAGGAAAGCAAGGACTTATTGAAAACGAAAGTACACTCCAAGGTGTGGGAGCGGGCCGAGCAGCAGCTCAAGGGCTGGATAGGGAATCTTCTTGGGTCCAAATACCCACTAGAAGTTTCCCACTGGCCACTTCATGCTCACCTCATGTAAATGAAGTGGTAGCCCGCAATCAGTCTGATTGATTACAGAAAACAGCCAACCAGAGGCTGAAGTGAAGTTACAAAGGTCGCACTCCTGTACAAACATCTGATTGGTTGCAAAACCAGTCAGAGGCTAGGGTGAAGTTACAAATTTATACTTCTATGCAAACGAAGGCTCAGCCTGCACTCAGTCTGATTTGCTGCGGACAGCCAATTTCCCACCTGCCGCTCAGAAAATGGTCGGGGGACTTGCAAACTGAGTAGCCTCTGGTCCTTTTGTTACTTAGACAGGAAAAGTTAGGGTTTTCCTTTCAATTTCATTCTAGGAAGTCAGCGTGAAACAGCCTTAGGTTCCCTGCCTCCAGACCCTATTCTCCTGCCTCAATTTGCATCCCTTCCTTTTGGGACTGAGTCCCAACCTCCCCAGCCCCGCCCCATCCCACCCCAAGAAGATGGCAGAACAAGTATTACTATCCGCATTTTACATCTAAACTTAGGGTGCCAAAGGCTAAGGGATTCGCCTCAGCTGTTGCAGGCAGCAAGTGACTTGGTCTTCTGGCCCTGAATTCTTGCTCCTCCTAGGGCAAGCTGGGCTTCTCCTGGGAGTCTGAGTTTACAGAAGCTGATGCTGCCTAGCACCCATTTAATCTCCTTCACTTCCGTGGATAGTGTGCATGTGAGTACCAGTTATTACTATGCACAATGTAATGGAGCATTTAAAAAAGAAGATACCATCTTACCCTAATGATCACCTTTCTGCCTATGGTCAGATTAAAATCCCCAAGAAAAATAGAGTATTTCAGAAGATGAAGCACAAATAGCTTCCCTTGTTCTCAGCATTTGATTCTATTTTATTTCCTTTTCCTAATACTGTTTGAAATGAGCATACGACTAAGCAGTCATTTTCTGAGGCATCCAGTATGTAATTGTTGAGGAAATAACTTTGTTGAATCTGTCTTAGCTAATTTATTGTCATGTACTGTGCTGGGCTGAATTGCTACAAATAGTGACATTGCTGGGTTCGTGTAGAATGCTGGGCTCCCCACCCCCACTCCCCCAGAGCACCTCCACCTCCTCCTCCAGTGTGTATGTACTGGGTTTTTACATGAAGTTTTTTGAATAAAAGATGTTGCAGTTTTCTTTAAGGTGGGATTGAAATCTATTATTCTAGATGATTATAAGTTTAACCAAAAGAGAAACTTGAAATGGAAGCAAGAGTCCCTAGACATAAAAAAGAACAGGACACTGGATGATAACAAGAATAAAATTTTGCTGGGCAGGGACAGTGGCTCATGCCTGTAATCCCAGCACTTTGGGAGGCCCAGGTGGGCAGATCGCCTGAGGTCCGGAGTTCGAGACCAGCCAGGCCAACATGGAGAAACCCCCATCTCTACTAAAAAAAAAAACAAAAATTAGCTGGGTGTGGTGGCGGGTGCCTATAATCCCAGCTACTCAGGAGGCTGAGGCACGAGAATTGCTTGAACCCAGGAGGCAGAGGTTGCAGTGAGCTGAGACTGCGCTACTGCACTCGAGCCTGGGCGACAGAGCTAGACTCTGTCTCAAAAAAAATAAAATCTTGCATTTTTAAATTATTTACTTTGTAGAGGAGCATATTAAACCTTGCAGATATTAATTTAGTTCTTACAGTTTCTTTCAGTTAACACAGAATTTTTCTTTCTAGAGTAGAACTGTGGAAACTGAGGGACAGCGAATTGCAATATACCTGCAGGAGTGTTATGGAGCAGCTGTTTGATTTCTGCCCTGCAGTGCTCTCAAGAAGCAGAGAAGAAAAGCAGAGAGTTAACTAGCTAGGGGCAGAGGTGACCCAGAGCAGGCAGGAGGCAAGCTCCTGTGACTCATTTGGGGCTGTAGCCCTTAGACCAAGGTTTGACAAGTGAGGGCAGTGGGAAGTTGCATAAACAGACCCACCACACACTGTGAGGCTTCTCCAAGTGAGAGGAAGAGAGAAGGAAAAGCCGATGTCTACCTACCCAGACAGCCATCTCACTAAGTGGGGCAGTCTCTGCATCTGTTTCCTGATGTACTAATGATGTCTTCCTGTGGTTCCCCGCCTTTTTTCTTCATGTCAATTATTTTGCATGTCTTTTTAATGCCGCCTTTTTAAAAGCTTCTTACATGTCTTTTTAAAAACTTAATATAAATTAAAATTGTATACAAATTAAATTCATTTATATGCTCACTTAAACGTTCCTTGAGTACTTATTCTATACAAACAGTGTGTGCCAGGGATATGGCAATGAAGGAAGCAGAGACAGTCCCTGCCTCTGTGGAGGAGTCTATGTCTGTGCTAGGAAGGTAACAGGCTGCAGATAGCCTTGCTTTCATTTTCAAGAAGCATCCATTTTTTAAAATCAAATTAATACAAATCTTACCTATATTAATGGGAAAACTTCAGTGTTTAAAAGTTATGGCAAAAAAAAGTTTAAATTTTTACTATGTACTCAAAGGAATTCAAAGGAAACAGAGGCTCCTCCTTTTTGGTGGACGAAATCCACCGTAATAAAGTCCTAAAAACCTCCATTATCTTACCTTAAGCATTTTTTCTTTTTCTTTTTTTTTTTTTTGGAGACAGGGTGTCATTCTGTCACCCAGGCTGGAGTGCAGTCGTACCATCACAGTTTTCTGCAGCCTCGATTTCCCAGGTTCGAGCAATCCTCTCACCTCAGCTTCCCAAGTAGCTGGGGCTACAGGCGCACACCATCACGCCCAGCTGATTTTTTCTATTTTTTGTAGAGACAGGATTTTGCCATGTTGCCCAGGCTGGTCTCGAGCTCTTGGACTCAAGTGATCCTCCCACCTCAGCCTTCCAAAGTGCGGGATTACAGGCATGAGCCACTGTGCCTGGCTCTTAAGTATTTTTGACAAGACAGAGGCATTCAAAGTGTGGTCTCCAGACCTGTATCATCAGCATTACTTGGAAACGTGTTTGAGAGGCATGCTGTCTTGCCCCAGCCTAAACCTACCAAATCAGAAACTCTGGGGGTAGGGCCCAGCAACTCGTGTTTTAGTAATCCCTCCAGGTGCTTTTGATACATACTAAAATGTGAAAGCCATTTCTATAAACTGTCAATCAAAGCCACTCCTAATGACAAGGCTCTATGCCTCAACAGGTTGCTATTCCCCACACCTGGAACTGTTTAAATATCATTTATAGGCCAATTTTTAGCACCTGGTCCTTAGGCATGACAAATTTGAGAATAAAACAAGCTTTACTAGGGTTCCCTATGAGCTCTGAGTTCTGCTTTGAGCAACCTCATCCTTTTTGTATTCGCTTGACCAAGCCTTGCTTTATTACTCAGTTGCAGTAACCCTGCCATATTATTCTTTGTAGCCTGTTGCAATAGTCCCAGCTAATATCGTGACCTCCTCATTTCCTAAATACACTAGGTGACAGCCGCCTAGCCTTGAAAACCAAGGTCAAGGTTTACCATTTCATACCTGTCTGCCAAACTTCAGTCTGATTCCGACGTACTATAGGATCCATTGCCTCCTGCTTGCTATGCAGTCTCTGTGAGTGGTGTTTCGTCACATGTTAAATCTTCCACCTGCTGATGGTAGCCATTGCTTCCCTGCCCACTTGGACCTCTGCCTGCAATGTGACTTTCCTAAGGTCACAGGTATTCATGACAATCAGTTGAAACATCCACCTGGCACTGGACAAGAGACCCGAAGCGTGTTCTATTTGCAGGTCTTAGAGACTAGTGGATAAACACCTTCCTATAATTGTATTCGAGAAATAAAATTATATTGTAGGAGATGAAATAGTAGATAATTGTGGTGCATAGGAATCCTGTATCAAATATCTAATATTCTACAATATATGGAAGTCTTATGGGAAAAACACGTATTGACAATCCAACAATCTACGTATTATTTACAGAACAAAGATTACCTTCAAAGTACCACCTTGATTCAATTACCTAGACTGAGGTTCCCACAGTCACTGGTAGAGTTCATGTCTATGTCATCCTCTGCTGCATCTCAGTATCTAGCACAATATGTGGCAACATATAAACACCCCAAAAGTAGGTGTTGATTAAATGAAGGCATAGTCTATTCCCCTTTTCTTGCTTTCCAGCTATTTTTTTCTTTAAGAGACAGGGTCTCCCTCTATCACCCAGGCTGGGGTGCAGTAATGCAATCATAGATTACCACAGCCTCAAGCTCCTGGGTTCAGGAATTCTCCCACTTCAGCCTCCCAAGTAGCTTGGATTATAGGTGCAAGCCACTGCACCCCACTAATTTTTTATGATTTTTTGTAGAGATAGGGTCTTGCTATTTCATCCAGGCGGGTCTCAAACTCCTGGCCTCAAGCGATCCTCCCACCTCAGCCTCCTAAAGTGCTGATATTAAAGAGCTAAGCAACCATGCCAGGCCTAGCTAATTTTCAAATTAGCTTTATCATCATGATCACCTATTTATTAAATATCATTATATGAAACGTTAGAGCTGAAAAGGAATGCTAATTACACAAAGAGAACAAACAGAAAGGAGTGGGTTAAATCGAAACACATGTACACTGTCCTGGGAGTCAGACAACCTGGATTCATCTCTCAGTTGAGCCACTGGTTAACCAAATTACCTGAGCATGTAATGTAACGCCTGGGTGTCTCACTTTCTTCATCTGAAAAAGTATGAAGCTGGATTCCCCTTCTGGCTCTATCATTCTAGTATCATAAAATGGACCAAGTCCCCCTGACTTTTTGTTACAGTGTATAAATAATGTAATTATTATAAACTAGACTGCCCAGTGTTATGTTCAGCTAAGAAAATCCTCAGTGAAGGTTTAATGTTGAACACCCCGATACACATGAGAAAAGTGGAAGACACTCATTTTTTTCTAGCTGCTGTCAAATGTTTATGCATGCTAGTTGTTCTAAAATGAGAAACTGGCCTAATGCTCCCCCACTGTGCCTAATGCAAGTAAAGATACAGGGAATTTTTGTTGTTGTTGTTTTGTTTTTTAATACTGCTTAACTGGCTTTCTGGGTGAGTGTGGTGGAGGAGAGGAAATAAACCCCTTATTTGCAATGTTTGCCAATTACTGTGGTATAAACTCCCACTATGATCAATTTCAAGCTACCAGCATGAAGCCACTGGAGGCGGAATTGGGAAGAGATGTACACAGTTCCGTCTCCAAGGCCAGAACAAGCCAGTTTCAACACACCACTGGCTGAATCTCACCAATCATTTTATTTATTTATTTATTTTGATGTATCTGAGTATTTTTAAGTGTTTTAAATTTTATATGTGTATTCTAGGAATATGCACTCAGATTCTTTCATTAGGCATGTGTTATTAATAACGTTCATCTTTTTTTATTTTTAATATAGAGACAAGTTCTCTAAGTTAAAGAGAAAGTGGAAAGGAGAAAACAGAGACATCAAGGATAAGAATAAATATTATTTGGTTTAGACCAAGCACACTTTGAAATCAGGTCAGGACAACCTCTCACACCGTCAAATCCCCTTCATATGGCCTGTCAGACTGCATACAATTCAGCCCCTCCTACTTATCCAGCCTATCTCCTCCCCAGTTCCCTCACACACTCTGGACACAGGGACCTGCTAGTCCGCAGAGACACCAAGCTTGGTCCCGCTCCAGGGCATTTGCACAGGCCCTTCCTCTGCCTAGAATGTCCTTTCCCCTATTCTTGACATGGCTGACTTCTATACATCATCCAGGCCTCTACTCAAATAACACCTCCTGTCCATGCTATTCAATATTGCCTGCCAGTTCAGTCACTCTCTACACTCCTTCCCTGATTTGTCTCCCAACACTTATCTGAAATTATAGGGGTTTTTTTAGTGGAAGGATGGGGTGTGGAGGAAGAGGGATTTGGGGGTTTATTTTTAACTTTTTATTGTCTGTGTTTCACACTCCAAATAAGTCCTTTAATAAGAGGGTTTAGGTTCATCTCTACTCCATAAATACTTGTAAAATAAATCAATGAATGAATGAGTGTACAGTTTTTCATTATCCATTTTAGGGGACAAAAGTGTAAAAGGGCTTTAAACAAAAGGAATCAAAATGATTTAGCTAAACTACATAAAATAGGCTCCATAAAGAAAGGTTAAAAGAGGATGGGTGCAGTGGCTCACACCTGTAATCCCAGCACTTTGGGAGGCCAAGGTGGGAGGATCACCTGAGGTCGGGAGTTCAAGACCAGCCTGACCAACATGGAGAAACCTCGTCTCTACTAAAAATACAAAATTAGCCAGGTGTTGTGGCTCATGCCTATAATCCCAGCTACTACAGAGGCTGAAGCAGGAGAATGGCTTGAAAGTGGGAGGCAGAGGTTGTGGTGAGCCGAGATCGCACCATTGTACTCCAGCCTGGGCAACAAGAGGGAAACTCCATCTTAAAAAAAAAAAAAGATACTTACATCATGAATAATGACAGAAATGCAAAATAACCCACAATAATATTCTATAACACACCCACCAAGAGTAACATAAATTTAAATTTCTACCACCACCAAGTATGGCCAGCAAGGGAGGTACAGAACTCCCCTGCACTGCTGGAGGGGGTGTGATTTAGTGCAACCACTTTGAAAAACATTTGGCATTGCCTAGTAATGTTGAAAATGTATATGTCCTTTACCTTTACAATTTCAGTCATAGTTATATGCCCTGTCCCATACCATACTATAAGAATGTTCATAAGAGCATTATTAGTAACAGCCTGTAATAGATGAAAAATGAAAAAATTACACATAGTGTGATTCAATTTACATAAAGACAAAATGAAAATACTGTATAATATTTAGGGATCACTAAAGAGGAATGTGTTTGGGGAGGGGCATACAGGAGACTTTTAAGATACTGGCATTGTTCTTTTTCTCCATTTGGATAGCAATTACAGAAGTGTTCCTTAATTTTTTCTTTTTTTTAGACAAAGTCTTGCTCTGTCACCTATGCTAGAGTGCAGTGGTGTGATCTCAGTACACAGCAACCTCCACTTCCCGAGTTTAAGTGATTCTCCTGAGTTCAAGTGATTCTCCTGCCTCAGCCTTCCAAGTAGCTGGGATTACAGGTGGGTGCCACTATGCCCAGGTAATTTGTGTATTTTTAGTAAAGATGGGGGTTTCACCGTGTTGGCCAGGCTGGTCTCAAGTTCCTGACCTCAGGTGATCCATCCAACTCGGCTTCCCAAAGTGCTGGAATTACCCAAACGTGAGCCACCACGTCCAGCCAATGTTCCTTAATATTTTTTAAACCATATATATGTTTTACACCTGTTTGTGCTAATATTGTGTTACAGCCCCCATTTCTCAGTGGCATATAAGGACAACCATGTGTTTTTCTTGCTCCAGGGTGTGGAAGGTTGGCTGGTCTTGACTGCAGACTGTGGGTTGTGTTCAGGTCAGCTCCACATGCCTCCTCGTGCTCCCTGGACTAGCATCTGCTCAGAGCATGTTCTCAGGGTAGATGGCAGAAGCACAAGGAACCAGGGCAAATCAGAGGAAGATTTAAAACCTTTGCTCACATCACAGCCATTAAGATTCTGCCACAGGGCTGGGCACGGTGGCTCACGCCTATATTCCCAGTACTTTCGGAGGCCAACGCAGGCAGATCACTTGAGGCCAGGAGGTTGAGACTAGCCTGGCCAACATGGTAAAATCTCGTCTCTAATAAAAATACAAAAAGTAGCCGGGTGTGGTGGCGCACACCTGTAGTCCCAGATACTTGGGTGGCTAAGGCAGAAGAATCGCTTGAACCTGGGAGGTGGAGGTTGCAGTGAGCCGAGACTCCAGCCTGTGGTGAGACACTGCACTCCAGCCTGGGCAACAGAATGAGACTCCATCTCAAAAAAAAAAAAAAAAATCATTACAAGTTCAACATCATTCCCCATTTGCCATTAGGGAAAGGAAAATCAAAGCCACAATAAGATACAACTGAACACCCACTAGGATGGCTACAATCAAAATGACAGACAATAATGTGTGTTGACAAGGATGTGGAGAAATTGGAACCCTCTTACACTGCTAATAGGAATGTAAAATACTTCATCTACTCTGGAAAACAGATTCATAGTTCCTTAAAATGTAAAAGAGTTACCATATGACCCAATTCTACTCATAGGTATATACCAAAGAGAGAAATGAAAACATATACTTATATACAAATTTGTACACAAACGTTCATGGCAGCATTATCATAATAGCCAAACAGTAGAAATAACCCATACATCTATCAGCTGATGAATGCATAAACAAAAGGTGGCATGTCCATAAAACAGGATATTATTTTTCCATAAAAAGAAATGAAGTGGCCAGCATGGTGGCTCACACCTGTAATCCCAGCACTTTGAGAGGCCAAGGTGGGTGGATCACCTGAGTTCAGGAGTTCAAGACCAATCTGGCCAACATGGTGAAACCCCGTCTCTACTAAAAACACAAAATTAGCCAGGCATGGTGGCACATGCCTGTAGTCCCAGCTACTTGGAAGTCTGAGGCAGGAGAATCGCTTGAACCTGGGAGGCAGAGGTTGCAGTGAGCCAAGATCATGCCATTGCACTCCAGTCTGGGCAACAAGAGCAAAACTCCGTCTCAAAAAAAAAAACCAAAAAAAGAAAAAACAGAAATGAAGTGCTGATACATGCTACAATATGGACGAACTTTAAAAACATTGTACTGAGTGAAAGAAGCCAGACACAAAAAAACCACATAGTGTATGATGCTACTTACATGAAATGTTCAGACTAATCAAATCTGTAAAGACGTGGTTGGTGTATGAGAAGGGAGGAATGGCGAGTGACTGCTAATGGGCACGTGGTTCCTTTTTGGGAATATGAGAATGCTCTGGAATTAGATAGTGGTGACGGATGCACAACATTGTGAACATGCTAAAATCCACTGAACTGGACACTGTAAGTGGTGAATTTTATAATATGTAAATTTTGTCTGAATAAAATATTGGACTCCATTGGCCAAAGTAAATCAATGAGAGAAGAAAATACATGTCCTCCGCTTAATGTAGGAGGGACTGAAAAGTCACACAGCAAAGGCTTGGCTATATAATCCATAACTGGAAGAAGTGAGAAGTAGGAAAAATGATCCAACCTACTAAAAATAATTTTATGTGTTTTTATGAATTTAAACATTTCTTCAAAATTTTTAAAGCAGGATTCTTAACAGAGAAATTTGGGAATGTCTAAACTTAAATATGTGTTGGGGGGGGCAACATATTTCCTGTAGAAATCCTTGTTTTGGGAGCTTTTTGAAATAAGATGGAAATAACCCATATAAAACTTCATTAATTCAAGATGAGAAACAATTGGAATTTGTGAAGTATCTGAATTATAAACATTCTTGAAGTTCACTTTTATTCTGTTCAGGTACAAACAACATAAACTAATCCAGAGGAAAAAAAAATAACCTGGTAGAGATCTTTAGAGAATTAGTTTAGTGAGAAGATTTTGAATTACAATTAGCACGTAAATTATCCATGCATAAATCATGCTTCTGAAATGCTTTGTGGAATTTTTTAAGTGCCTCAAAATATTTTATTCTGTTGAACAACTTAAAAATCTCTTCCTGCCTCCTAGTCTTATTTACATATTTAATGTGTGTTTTCTGCAAATAAAGTGTTTGCTTAGCAAAATAAATCTCAGTACTGCTCCTGACTCAACCATCGCCAATTGGAAATTACTCAAGTTTCAATTCTACTTGGTTTTACTCAAAGTAAATCACGGTAAAGCACTGAATGGGAGGCCAGGTGTGGTGGCTCATGCTTGTAATCCCAACACTTTGGGAGGCCAAGGCTGGAAGATCACTTGAGCTTAGGAGTTCAATACCAGCCTGGGCAACATGGAGAAACCCCATCTTTACAAAAAATGCAAAAATTATCTCAGCATGGTGGCATGTGCCTGTAGTCCCAACTACAAGGAAGACTGAGGCAGGAGAATCACTTGAGCCTGAGAGGTCAAGGCTGCAGTGAGCCATGATCATGCCACTGCACTCCAGCCTGGGTGACAGAGTAAGGCTCTGTAAAAAAAAAAAAAAAAGCAGTTGTATTAGTCCGTTCTCACACTGCTGTAAAGACATACCCGAGACTGGGTAATTTATAAAGAAAGGAGGTTTAATTGACTCACAGTTCCGCATGGCTGGAAGACCTCAGGAAACTTACAATCATGTTGGAAGGGGAAAGGGGAAGCAGGCAACTTCTTCACAAGGCAGCAGAGGAGACAGCGTGTGAGAGCCCAAGAAAAACTATCATTTATAGAACCATCAGATCTCATGAGAATTAAGTCACTATCATGAGAACAGCATGGGGGAAACCACCCCCATTATCCAATCACTTCCCTCCCGCTATACGTGAGGATTACAATTTGAGATGAGGTTTGGGTAGGGACACAGAGCCAAACCATATCAGCAGTGAATGGGAATAACAAAAGATTATAAATTCAGCTCTCAGAATTAATGTGCCTGGATGTTCTGATTCCTGATCCAGTGTTCTTTTCCATACACCGGGCTTATGCTGGCCAATGTTAATATTCACCTGAAAACAAAATGCTCTCCTACATAGAAATTTTTCTGTGAAGCACAACTCATTAAGTCTTCTTGGCTTTATCTAAAACTGATCTGATTGTGTTACAGTTAAACTCATACCTCTCTCATCTCACCATAACCTAAATTATCCTAGGTAGTTAGAAGCCAGTCTGAAAATGATCAACATGCTCCAAAGGAATCATTCTTTGGTTCAAGATCCAGGAGAAACTGGGTAGAACCTCTCTACACACAGAACCCTACTAAATTGCAATTACCACCTTCACATTCACTGCTCAAAACTCAGCTCTTAAGAAGGGGGTGCACCATGGGCTTGAGAACCCTTGATTTCACGGGTTACCAGAAAATATCGAGAAGGAAAATGAGCAAGGTAGGGAAAGAGATAGCAGCAAATGTGTTAGAGGCAATTCATATACTAACAGACAGCAGAACTACTATAGTATTGAAACCAAAGAGAGAGAAGAAATGCAAGAAAACAATTATAAGAAAAAGATGAGATACTCCCTAGTCCAGGGCCGAATAGCTAGGCTAGTTCTGTCCTTTCCAATAGGAGGCCTCTACTGCAAACATGCTCTGCCAGATCCTCAGTCAGGCAAAGAAGCACCCGAGGTTAATCCCTCTCCTTGAATTTATTGAAGCTGGAGGTACTGGAGCAACACTGGATGTCTTGCATCTGGCATTGTTCAATCCAGGTGTTAATTGAGACAGAAACCATAACCCAGAACACTGGAACAAACTGGGTCCCAATGATTGATACAAGCTCTATTCAGTGAATGTGGATTATCACAAACTGAAGAAGGTCCAGATTTCTTTTTTTGTTTGTTTTTGTTTTTGTTTTTTGTTTTTGAGATAGGGTCTCGCTCTGTCGCCCAGGCTGGAGTGCAGTGACGCGATCTTGGCTCACTGCAACCTCTACCTCCCAGTTCAAGTGATTCTCATGCCTCAGCCTACAGAGTAGCTGGGACTATAGCCATGCACCACCACACCTGGCTAATTTTTGTATTTTTTAGTAGAGATGGCGTTTCACCATGTTGGCCAGGCTGGTCTCAAACTCCTAACCTCAAGTGATCCTCCTGCCTCAGCCTCCCAAAGTGCTAGGATTAAGGCATGAGCCACTGTGCCTGGCCAGAGGTCCAGATTTCTAAATAAAATGTTTCACCATAAAGCTGCTTAGAATGAAGGTTTTCCAGAAGCCACTCACAAAATTTTCCACTTATGTAGGAAATATTTCTCCTCTAAATGCATGAAATCATGTTGATGTGTTGGAGATCACACTGATTAATAAATATCTGAAACTTAAAAAAAAAGGAAAAAAGAAACCCATTTTTCTGACAATTAAAACAAAAGGAAACTGAAAGAAAGCAAAAAGGAGGAAGAAACTGACAAATGCATAACAGGAAAGGCATACACTATTTTTTCTTTTCGAGATGGAGTCTTGCTCTATCACCCAGGCTAGAGTGCAATGGCACAATCTTGGCTCACTGCAACCTTCGCCTCTCAGGTTCAAGTGAGCGTCCTGCCTTAGCCTTCCAAGTAGCTGGGATTACCGGTGCATGCCACCATGCCCGGCTAATTTTTTTGTATTTTTAATAGAGACGGGGTTTCATCATGTTGGCCAGGCTGGTCTTGAACTCGTGACCTCAGGTGATCCTCCTGCCTCCACCTCCCAAAGTGCTGGGATTACAGGTGTGAGCTACTACTCCTGACCTGCACACACTATCTTATGTTATAAAGATAATGTGGACAAAGTACCTGATCACACATGGTAAAAACTCAATCATATTTGTTGAATAAATAAATTAATGACTGACTCACTTTGAAGTAACTGCAATAAAATCAAACTCACTATTTTATCTCCAAAACTCATTATTTGCTGACTTCCCTTCTTCTGTAAAAATGTAATCATTTTATGTTACTCAAGTCAAAACCCTGGAACCATCTCTGCTGTTCTTTTTGCCTCTCCCCTCTCAGCTTCGATTGTTTAAGGATAATTAATTCTTCCCCCATCAGGTCTATTTTATTCATCCCTTTCTGTGGACTCTGATCACCTGAGTCCATATCTCAATATGGATTAAACAAGCATTTAGTGTATGTACATAACATGTCCTGAACCCGTCTACTAGTTATATATCCTACACCAGTCTATAATTGGAGTTACTTCTTGCCTTCAATGAGTTCAAATCAGACATATAAATAATACAATATGACAAAAGTAACCATGGAGCTATTTATAAGGAAAGCACTAGTTGACCAACTCAACCAATTTATAATCATCTTCCCTGTCTTGTTCTCTTTAATCTCTTCCCTTTCAGATAAAATTTTTTGCTATGTGTACCTTGAAGGATTACTATGCACCAGGCATTTCTGTAAGTAACAAGTGTTTTACATAATTCACCTCATTCACTCCTCACAATAGCTCTAGAGATAGGTGGTGTTATTATTTAATACCTCCATTTCAAAAATAAAGGAGCAGTGTTTTTTAATCACAATTAAAAATAAAATTTTTTTTCTCACCCCAGTTAGGACGGCTATTGTCAAAAAGACAAAAAATGACAAATGATGGTGAGGAAGTAGAGAAAAGGGAACTGTCACACACTGTTGGTGAAAATGTAAATGAGCACACCCACTGTGGAGAACGGTATGGAGCTTCCTCAAAAAACTACAAACAGAATTACTGTATGATCCAGCAATCCCCCAGTTGGGCATTTATCGAAAGGAAAGGAAATCATTATATCAAAGAGAAGTCTGCGCTCCCATGTTTATTTCAGCCATATTCACAATAGCCAAATTATTGAATCAACCTAGGTGTCCAACAACAGATGAACAAATAAAGTAAATGTGGGATATATGCACAATGGAATACTATTCAGCCATAAAAAAGAATGAAATCCTGTCATTCGTGGCAACATAGATGGAACTGGAGGAAATCCTGCCATGTGAAATGAGCCAGAAACAGAAAGTCACACATCACATGTTCTCACTCACATGTAGAAGCTAAAAAAGTTGATCTCATAGAAGTAATAAGTAGGACTGAGGTTACCACAGGCTGGCAAACGGATGGAAAAAGGATGAATAGGGAGGGATAAGTAAGGATTTGTTAAAGGATGCAAAATTACAGCTAGATAGGAGGAATAAGTTCTAGTGTTCTATTCCACTGTAGGATGACTACAGTTAACAATAATATATTATATAGTTTCAAATACCTAGAAAGAGGATATCAAATGTCCCCAGTACAAAGAAATGGTAAATGTTTGAGATGATGGATATGCCAATTATCCTGATCTGATCACTATACACTATATTTATTGAAACATCACTATGTAGCCCATGAAAATGTACAATTTGTCCATTTAAAAATTAAAATAAATCATTTTAAAAATCAAAAAAATCAATTTTTTAAATGAGAGAAATAAGGACCAGAATGAATAAATTACTCGCCAAGTTTACACAGCAAATAAATAGCCAAGGCAGTGTGCCTAATTCATTCAGCACCCAGACCGTTCACCACTGTATTGTACTGCACGTTAACACCAGACTAATTTTCTTTTTTTTTTTTTTTCTTTTTTTTGAAACAGAGTATCACTCTGTCCCCCAGGTTGGAGTCCAGTGGTGTGACCTTGGCTCACTGCAACCTCTGCCTCCCAGGTTCAAGCAATTCTCCTGCCTCAGTCTCCTGAGCAGCTGAGATTACAGGCATGCACCACCATGCCCAGCTAATTTTTGTATTTTTAGTAGAAATGGGGTTTCACCATGTTGGCCAGGCTGGTCTCCAGTTCCTGACCTCAGGTGATCCACCTGCCTCGGCCTCCCAAAGCACTGGGATTACAGGTGTGGGCCAACGTGCCCAGCCTGGATTCAGTTTCTTAAACTATTCTGTCACTTGCTCTTCCAAAACCCATTTTCCACAGAATCAAATCCTTAGGAATTTTCAAGGCCCTTTTTATCTAACCACAACCCACTATACTAACCTTATTACTTCCCAATGCAAGCTCCATTCTCTTCAGGATGAACTCTATATTATTTCCACATGTATCGGCTCATTTCAACCTGCTCCCTTTCCAGCCTGACTTGGCCTCCTCCTCTCCAACTGTTTAAATTTTGTTTGTGCTTCAAGACCCAGTTTAAGTCACTTCTCCATAAAAATTTTCTCAACCACCAGAAACCCAGCTTCATGACCCTCTCCTGTGAAGTCTCAAAGCTTACTATCTGCCACAAACAGAATATTTAATTATAGACTACCTTACACTGCTATTTAATTTACAAGTGTCGGCTGGACATGGTGGCTCATGCCTGTAATCTCAGCACTTTGGTAGACTGATCAGGGAGGATTGTTGAGCACAGGAGTTTGAGACCAGCCTGGGCAATGTAGTGAGACCCCATCTCTGTAAAAAAAAAAAAATTAAAAATTAAATTAAAATTAAAATTTACAAGTGTCTAAGACTTAACTATGAACTCCAAGAACCAAGGATCCTAATCTTACATTTCTTTTTTATTATTTTTTTATTTATTATTTATTTATTTATTTTTTTGTGGTTTTCTTTTTTTTTAATTTTTTCATTATAGTTTAAGTTCTAGGGTACATATGCAAAACGTGCAGGTTTGTTACATATGTATACATGTGCCATGTTGGTGTGCTGCCCCCATTAACTCATCATTTAACATTAGGTATATCTCCTAATGCTATCCCTCCCCCCTCCCCCCACCCCACAACAGGCCCCGGTGTGTGATGTTCCCCTTCCTGTGTCCAAGTGTTCTCATTGTTCAATTCCCGCCTATGAGTGAGAAAATGCAGTGTTTGGTTTTTTCTCCTTGCGATAGTTTGCTGAGAATGATGGTTTCCAGCTTCATCCATGTCCCTACAAAGGATATGAACTCATCATTTTTTATGGCTGCATAGTATTCCATGGTGTATATATGCCACATTTTCTTAATCCAGTCTATCATTGTTGGACATTTGGGTTGGTTCCAAGTCTCTGCTATTGTGAATAGTGCCGCAATAAACATACATGTGCATTTGTCTTTATAACAGCGTGATTTAAATCCTTTGGGTATATACCCAGTAATGGGATGGCTGGGTCAAATGGTATTTCTAGTTTTAGATCCCTGAGGAATCGCCACACTGACTTCCACAATGGTTGAATTAGTTTACAGACCCACCAACAGTGTAAAAGTGTTCCTATTTCTCCACATCCTCTCCAGCGCCTGTTGTTTCCTGACTTTTTAATGATCGCCATTCTAACTGGTGTGACATGGTATCTCATTGTGGTTTGATTTGCATTTCTCTGATGGCCAGTGATGATGAGCATTTTTTCATGTGTCTGTTGGCTGCATAAATGTCTTCTTTTGAGAAGTGTCTGTTCATATCCTTTGCCCACTTTTTGATGGGGTTGTTTGTTTTTTTTCTTGTAAGTTTGAGTTCACTGCAGATTCTGGATATTAGCCCTTTGTCAGATGAGTAGATTGCAAAAATTTTCTCCCATTCTGTAGGTTGCCTGTTCACTCTGATGGCGGTTTCTTTTGCTGTGCAGAAGCTCTTTAGTTTAATTAGAACCCATTTGTCAACTTTGGCTTTTGTTGCCATTGCTTTTGGTGTTTTAGACATGAAGTCCCTGCCCATGCCTATGTCCTGAATGGTATTGCCTAGGTTTTCTTCTAGGGTTTTTATGGTTTTAGGTCTAACATGTAAGTCTTTAATCTATCTTGAATTAATTTTTGTATAAGGTGTAAGGAAGAGATCCAGTTTCAGCTTTCTACATATGGCTAGCCAGTTTTCCCAGCACCATTTATTAAAGAGGGAATCCTTTCCTCATTGCTTGTTTTTGTCAGGTTTGTCAAAGATCAGATGCTTGTAGATGTGTGGTATTATTTCTGAGGGCTCTGTTTTGTTCCATTGGTCTAGATCTCTGTTTTGGTACCAGTACCATGCTGTTTTGGTTACTGTAGCCTTGTAGTATAGTTTGAAGTCAGGTAGCATGATGCCTCCAGCTTTGTTCTTTTGGCTTAGGATTGACTTGGCAATGTGGGCTCTTTTTTGGTTCCATATGACCTTTAAAGTAGTTTTTTCCAATTTTGTGAAGAAAGTCATTGGTAGCTTGATGGGGACGGCATTGAATCTATAAATTACCCTGGACAGTATGGCCATTTTCACGATATTGATTCTTCCTACCCATGAACATGGAATGTTCTTCCATTTGTTTGTATCCTCTTTTATTTCATTGAGCAGTGGTTTGTAGTTCTCCTTGAAGAGGTCCTTCACGTCCCTTGTAAGTTGGATTCCTAGGTATTTTATTCTCTTTGAAGCAATTGTGAATGGGAGTTCACTCATGATTTGGCTCTCTGTTTGTCTGTTATTGGTGTATAAGAATGCTTGTGATTTTTGCACATTGATTTTGTATCCTGAGACTTCACTGAAGTTGCTTATCAGCTTAAGGAGATTTTGGGCTGAGACAATGGGGTTTTCTAAATATACAATCATGTCATCTGCAAACAGGGACAATTTGACTTCCTCTTTTCCTAATTGAATACCCTTTATTTCTTTCTCCTGCCTGATTGCCCTGGCCAGAACTTCCAACACTATGTTGAATAGGAGTGGTGAGAGAGGGCATCCCTGTCTTATTCCAGTTTTCAAAGGGAATGCTTCCAGTTTTTGCCCATTCAGTATGATATTGGCTGTGGGTTTGTCATAAATAGCTCTTATTATTTTGAGATACGTCTCATCAATACCTAATTTATTGAGAGTTTTTAGCATGAAGGGCTATTGACTTTTGTCAAAGGCCTTTTCTGCATCTATTGAGATAATCATGTTTTTTGTCTTTGGTTCTGTTTATATGCTGGATTACATTTATTGATTTGCATATGTTGAACCAGCCTTGCATCCCAGGGATGAAGCCCACTTGATCATGGTAAATAAGCTTTTGATGGCTGCTGGATTTGGTTTGCCAGTATTTTATTGAGGATTTTTGCATTGATATTCATCAGGGATATTGGTCTAAAATTCTCTTTCTTTGTTCTGTCTCTGCCAGGCTTTGGCATCAGGATGATGCTGGCCTCATAAAATGAGTTAAGGAGGATTCCCTCTTTTTCTATTGATTGGAATAATTTCAGAAGGAATGGTACCAGCTCCTCCTTGTACCTCTGGTAGAATTCAGCTGTGAATCCATCTGGTCCTGGACTTTTTTTGGTTGGTAAGCTATTAATTATTGCCTCAATTTCAGAGCCTGTTATTGGTCTATTCAGAGATTCAACTTCTTCCTGGTTTAGTCTTGGGAGGGTGTATGTGTTGAGGAATTTATCCATTTCTTCTAGATTTTCTAGTTTATTTGCATAGAGGTGTTTATAGTATTCCCTGATGGTAGCTTGTATTTCTGTGGGATCAGTGGTGATATCCCCTTTATCATTTTTTATTGCATCTCTTTGATTCTTCTCTCTTTTCTTCTTTATTAGTCTTGCTAGCGGTCTATCAATTTTGTTGCTCTTTTCAAAAAGTCAGCTCCTGGATTCATTGATTTTTTTGAAGGGTTTTTTGTGTCTCTATCTCCTTCAGTTCTGCTCTGATCTTAGTTATTTCTTGTCTTCTGCTAGCTTTTGAATGTGTTTGCTCTTGCTTCTCTAGTTCTTTTAATTGTGATGTTAGGGTTTCAATTTTAGATCGTTCCTGCTTTCTCTTGTGGTCATTTAGTGCTATAAATTTCCCTCTACACACTGCTTTAAATGTGTCCCAGAGATTCTGGTATGTTGTGTCTTTATTCTCACTGGTTTCAAAGAACATCTTTATTTCTGCCTTCATTTCGTTATGTACCGAGTAGTCACTCAGGAGCAGGTTATTCAGTTTCCATGTAGTTGAGTGGTTTTGAGTGAGTTTCTTAATCCTGAGTTCTAGTTTGATTGCACTGTGGTCTGGGAGACAGTTTGTTATAATTTCTGTTCTTTTACATTTGCTGAGGAGTGCTTTACTTCCAACTATGTGGTCAATTTTGGAATAGCTGTGGTGTGGTGCTGAAAAGAATGTATATTCTGTTGATTTGGGGTGGAGAGTTCTGTAGATGTCTATTGGGTCCACTTGGTGCAGAGCTGAGTTCAATTCCCGGATATCCTTGTTAACTTTCTGTATCGTTGATCTGTCTAATGTTGACAATGGGGTGTTAAAGTCTCCCATTATTATTGTGTGGGAGTCTTAAGTCTCTTTGTAGGTCTCTAAGGACTTGCTTTATGAATCTGGGTGCTCCTGTATTGGGTACATATATATTTAGGACAGTTAGCTCTTCTTGTTGAATTGATCCCTTTACCACTATGTAATGGCCTTCTTTGTCTCTTTTGATCTTTGTTGGTTTAAAGTCTGTTTTATCAGAGACTAGGATTGCAACCCCTGCCTTTTTTTGTTTTCCATTTGCTTGGTAGATCCTCCTACATCCCTTTATTTTGAACCTATGTGTGTCTCTGCATGTGAGATGGGTTTCCTGAATATAGCACACCGATGGGTCTTGACTCTTTATCCAATTTGCCAGTCTGTGTCTTTTAATTGGAGCATTTAGCCCATTTACATTTAAGGTTAATATTGTTATGTGTGAATTTGATCCTGTCATTAAGATGTTAGCTGGTTATTTTGCTCATTAGTTGATGCAGTTTCTTCGTAGCCTTGGTGGTCTTTACACTTTGGCATGTTTTTGCAGTGGCTGGTACTGGTTGTTTCTTTCCATGTTTAGTGCTTCCTTCAGGAGCTCTTTTAGGGCAGGCCTGGTGGTGACAAAATCTCTCAGCATTTGCTTGTCTGTAAAGTATTTTATTTCTCCTTCACTTATGAAGCTTAGTTGGCTGGATATGAAATTCTGGGTTGAAAATTCTTTTCTTTAAGAATGTTGAATATTGGCCCCCACTCTCTTCTGGCTTGTAGAGTTTCTGCCGAGAGATCAGCTGTTAGTCTGATGGGCTTCCCTTTGTGGGTAACCCGACCTTTCTCTCTGGCTGCCCTTAACATTTTTTCCTTCATTTCAACTTTGGTGAATCTGACATTTATGTGTCTTGGAGTTGCTCTTCACCAGGAGTATCTTTGTGGCGTTCTCGGTATTTCCTGAATTTGAATGTTGGCCTGCCTTGCTAGGTTGGGGAAGTTCTCCTGGATACTATCCTGCAGAGTGTCTTCCAACTTGGTTCCATTCTCCCCGTCACTTTCAGGTACACCAATCAGACATAGATTTGGTCTTTTCACATAGTCCCATATTTCTTGGAGGCTTTTTTCATTTCTTTTTATTCTTTTTTCTCTAAACTTCTCTTCTCACTTCATTTCATTAATTTGATCTTCCATCACTGATACCCTTTCTTCTAGTTGATCGAATCGGCTACTGATGCTTGTGCATTCATCACGTAGTTCTCGTTCCATGGTTTTCAACTCCATCAGGTCATTTAAGGACTTCTCTATTGTTTATTCTAGTTAGCCATTCGTCTAATCTTTTTTCAAGGTTTTTAACTTCTTTGCCATGGGTTCAAACTTCCTCCTTTAGCTCGGAGAAGTTTGATCGTCTGTAGCCTTCTTCTATCCACTCATCAAAGTCATTCTTTGTCCAGCTTTGTTCCATTGCTGGTGAGGAGCTGCGTTCCTTTGGAGGAGGAGAGGCGCTCGGATTTTTAGAATTTTCAGTTTTTCTGCTCTGTTTTTTCCCCATCTTTGTGGTTTTATCTACCTTTGGTCTTTGATCATGGTGACGTACAGATGGGTTTTTGGTGTGGATGTCCTTCCTGTTTGTTAGTTTTCCTTCTAACAGACAGGACCCTCAGCTGCAGGTCTGTTGGAATTTGCTGGAGGTCCGCTCCAGACCCTGTTTGCCTGGGTATCAGCAGCAGAGGCTGCAGAACAGCGAATATTGCTGAACAGCGAATGTTGCTGCCTGATCGTTCCTCTGAAGTTTCATCTCAGTGGGGTAACCGGCTGTGTGAGGTGTCAGTCTGCCCCTACTGGGGATGCCTCCCAGTTAGGCTACTCGGCGGTCAGGGACCCACTTGAGGAGGCAGTCTGTCTGTTCTCAGATCTCCAGCTGTGTGCTGGGAGAACTACTACTCTCTTCAAAGCTGTCAGACAGGGATATTTAAGTCTGCAGAGGTTTCTGCTGCCTTTTGTTTGGCTATGCCCTGCCCCCAGAGGTGGAGTCTACAGAGGCAGGCAGGCCTCCTTGAGCTGCAATGGGCTCCACCCAGTTCGAGCTTCCCAGCCACTTTGTTTACCTACTCAAGCCTCAGCAATGGCGGGCGCCCCTCCCCAAGCCTCGCTGCTGCCTTGCAGTTCGATCTCAGACTGCTGTGCTAGCAGTGAGTGAGGCTCTGTGGGCGTGGGACCTTCTGAGCAAGGCACGGGATATAATCTCCTAGTGTGCCGTTTGCTAAGACCATTGGAAAAGCGCAGTATTAGGGTGGGAGTGACCTGATTTTCCAGGTGCCATCTGTCACAGCTTTGCTTGGCTAGGAAAGGGAATTCCCTGACTCTTTGCGCTTCCCGGGTGAGGCAATGCCTTGCCCTGCTTCAGTTCACACTCAGTGCACTGCACCCACTGTCCTGCACCCACTGTCCAACAAGCCCCAGTGAGATGAACCCAGTACCTCAGTTGGAAATGCAGAAATCACCTGTCTTCTGCGTCGCTCATGCTGGGAGCTGTAGACTGGAGCTGTTCCTATTTGGCCATCTTGGAAGCACCTAATCTTACATTTCTTTATATCCTCCTCCCTATGTCTTTCACAAAAAGGTATTTAAATGATCAAAGAAAGAAATGAATGAATACTAGGATGTTAATAAACAGCTGACAACTTGGCTAACACTATTTGAGGGTCATAGGAAATGAAAATAGAAGATTAATGCTTGCTGAAAAGATAAAATGCATATCGGCAAGAAAATGTTACCAAATAACTGTAGCATTGAGTATATACATACTAGCAAAATTAATTCTTCGGTAGACATAAGCATATTATTAAATATGATATTATCATAACTACACTAATGAAAACGGCCATACAAAATTTCAACCTAATACAGTATTTAGCCACAGAGTTATCCTTTTTCTGTGTGTGTGTGACAGAGTCTCACTCTGTTGCCCAGGCTGGAGTGCAGTGACACGATCTCAGCTCACTACAACCTCCGCCTCCCCAGTTCAAGCGATTCTCCTGCCTCAGCATCTCAAGTAGCTGGGACTACAGGCACCCACCACCACGCCCTACTAATTTTTTTATTTTTATTACAGACGGTGTTTTGCCATGTTGGCCAGGCTGGTCTTGAACTCTTGGCCTCAAGTGATCTGCCCACCTCAGCCTTCTGAAGTGCTCAGATTATAGGACTGAGCCACTGTGCCCAGTCAGAGTTATACATACATTTATTTATTTATTTATTTAGAGACAGAGTCTCCCTTTGTCGCCCAGGCAGGAAGGCAGTGGCACCGTGTCAGCTCACTGCAACCTCCGTCTCCTGGGTTCAAGCTATTCTCCTGCCTAAACCTCCCAAGTAGCTGGGATCACAGGCACCCACCACCACGCCTAGCTAATTTTTATATTTTTACTAGAGATGGGGTTTCACCATGTTGGCCAGACTGGTCTCGAACCCCTGACCTCAGGTGATCCACCTGCCTGGACCTCCCAAAGTGCTGGGATTACAGGCGTCAGCCACCGCGCCTGGCCAAGTTATACCTTTTTAATAATATTAAAAGGTGTTCAGCAATGTAAATAATTAACACAACTAAGATTTGTTGTCAGAATTTTCAGTCTAGTGATCGCTTTGCTTTGGCAGCATACATACTAAAACTGGAAAGATACAGAGAAAATTAGCTTGGCTCCTACGCAAGGATGACACGCAAATTCATGAAGCATTCCACATTAAATTTTTTTAATAAAGTAAAAATATATACATTTTAAAAGAGGCCAGGCTCAGTGGCTCATGCCTGTAATCCCAGCACTTTGGGAGGTCGCAGTGGGTGGATCACTTGAGGTCAGGAGTTTAAGACAAGCCTGACCAACATGGCGAAATCCTGTCTCTACTAAAAGACAAAAATTAGCCAAGAGTGGTGGCACACACCTGTAATCCCAGCTATTCAGGAGGCTGAGGCAGGAGAATCGCTTGAACTCGGGAGGTGGAGGTTGCAGTGAGCCAAGACTGTGCCGCTGCACTCCAGCCTGGGTGACAGAGTGAGACTCTGTCTTAAAGAGAAAGAAAAGAATTTTCAGTCTAGGCATCAGGAGAAAAGAAAAACTGAGGAACAACTGTTTGCCACAAGGTATTTCTTTCTTTTTTTTTTTTCTTTTTTTGAGACAGGATCTTGCTGTGTCACCCAAGCTGGAGTACAGTGGTACAATCAGAGCTCACTGCAGCCTCCACCTGCCAGGCCCAAGCAATCCTCCCACCTCAGCTTCCCATGTAGCTGAGACTACAGGTGCATACCACCATACCTGGCTATTTTTTTTTCTATTTTTTTGTAGAGATGGTTGGGTTAGGGGGTGGGGGTCTCACTATGTTGCCCAGGCTGGTCTCAAACTCCTGAGCTCAAGTGATCCTTCCGCCTTGGCCTCCCGAAGTGCTGGGATTACAGGCGTGAAGCACCATGCCTGGCCTCACAAGATATTCCTTATTCTTACCCCACTGAAGACAGCAGGAAAGGAAAGACACAAGTAAGATATAAGGAAGAACTCCCTTGTTCAACAACGTACTTCTGAGAAAAGTTACAGAATCATTTTTTTGAAGTCTCTAAAAAATGGGATATAGTTATAATTATTTCAAATGTCCAAGGCATAAATTAGGTGATTTCTAAAGAACATTTCCAAATTCTTCTTTTTTCCTAAGACATGAGAGTTGGGAACTTTTAAGCCGTACCTCAACCATTGGACCGCTCTTTCCTGCTGCTGATTCTCCCTCCTAAGTATTGGAAGAACTTGATATTCCTCATAATACACCCAATACCCATTACCCAAAAAATAGTGTTCTCTGAGTTGTGGATCTCTTAAAGTTTCCTGCAGTGTGAAGCCAAATCACAGTTCCCATGTCAAGTATTCAGCAATACACCCAACACAGCAACACGTTTAAGCTTTAATCAGAATGATGCAATTTCTGCCATGCAAATAGAACCTACTTCCTATGGAGTATCTGATATCAGTGTATTCTATTTACACTAATAATACCTTATTTTATCTGCATAATACATTGCACTTAACCTTCCTTGGAAATAGTGTGTTTTCTGTTTCATAAATTGGTTAAAGATAGCTCGTTCATGACAAGGATTTGATTTATTTGAACCCTGCTACTATACTTTGAGAGCCATAAGTGAAAATTAGGACATTATAGCCAAGGTAAAAAGCACATTTATTGTAGTCATTGTCAGCCCTCTCAACCTGAGAAGGAATTGTTCCTTGACACATAGGATGGGGGAGAACATGGTGTGTATTAAAATATGTGTGTGTGTGTACAGGACTTGTCACTTATTAGAAGCTACGAATATTGAAGGTAGTATCACTTCCTATATAATTATAAATTGTATTTTTATAATTATAATTGTAATTATATTAAAAATTATTTAAAAATAATTATCACTATTATTTCTGTCATAAGAATTATTAATAGAAAAGGCAAACAAAGAGCACAAATTCACCCAAAATGAAGTAGAGTTAAAAAAAAAAAGTCAGAAATGCACGTTAAGGAGAGTGTCTGGTTCAGAAACTTACAATGAACTGATTTGATTGAATTTTTTTTTCAAATCAAATATGTCTTTAGAATTAGTTCCTGGAACACCTGGGTCTTCAGTTTTCTACAGTTCTTCTTTTCTTACGCACCCTCTACCTATCAACTCCTACTCTCAAAAAACAGTAAGACATCAATTTTAAACAAATGTGATACCTCTCCCAGAGGCATTTACTCTTTAAGCCCTCCAGGCATTTTGAAGACATTTTCAGCAACAGTAGGCAACTGAAGACTTCCAGGAAAAAAAAAAAAAAGTAGATTTAGTCATTTCATACTAAAACTACAGTTTTAAAAAGCACAAAGTTTTGTAAAAGTCATAGCTCACATTAACAGATGGAACTGGAGGCCAGCCGTGGTGGTTCACACCCGTAATCCCAGCACTTTGGGTGGCTGAGGCGGGCCGATCACTTGAGGTCAGGAGTTTGAGACCAGCCTGGCCAACATGTTGAAACCTTGTCTCTAGTAAAAATACAAAAATTAGCCTGGTGTGGTGGCATGTGCATGTAATTCCAGCTGCTCGGGAGGCTGAGGCAGGAGAATCTCTTGGATCTGGGAGGTGGAGGTTGCAATGAGCGGAGGTTGCAGTGACCCGAGATTGAGCCTGGGTGACAGAGCAAGATTCTCTCAAAAAGAAAAAAAATTTTGAAAAATTAGAAGCATGAGGGATAACTGGCAGCAGAATCCCCAAGTTGGCAGTAGGAAAACATGGAAAGCAACCCAATGTAATCAAAAAGTCTCAGGAATTGGTGGCAATAGTTATCCCAGTAAGGTGTGAAAATGAGCCAAAAACAGAAGAATTGTTTGCACATTTGTTTTAGAAGCAATTAGACCCTGGGTCCCCTGCCCCACTAGGTACAGTTGCGTGACTGTCCTCCCCACACTCCTGCAGAGGGGTGAAGTTGATTCTCTGGGCTCTGGACTGGACAATGCCAGGCACAGTTGAGGAATGAGTATTATATTAACAAGAAACTTTAGTGAAATACTGGCCAGCGGTGGTGGATCAAGCCTGTAATCCCAGCACTTTGGGAGGCCAAGGCGGGTGGATCACCTGAGGTCAGGAGTTCAAGACTAGCCTTGCCAACATGGTGAAACCTCGCCTCCACTAAAAATACAAAACTTAGCCAGGCATGGTGGCAGGTGCCTATAATCCCAGCTATTCTGGAGGCTGAGGCAGGAGAATCCCTTGAACCCGGGAGGCAGAGGTTGCAGTGAGCCGAGATCGTGCCACTGCACTCCACCCTGGGTGACAGAGTAAGACCTTCTCTCAAAAAAAATAAAATAAATAAGAAATTTTAGTGAAATACTATCAACTGAAGATTGGAAGCACCACTGCTTCCCCTACTTGGCTACCAAAACAATGGCAACCAAGAAAGAGATTAGAATATTATTTTCTAACCAACTCAAAGGGAAAAAAGATAATGAAATTGGGGCTTGCCCAATTAAACAAGCAGTCAGCTCACACTAGACTAAAGTGTATAGAACAGCAATAAGCAACTGCACACAAAACTTCCAATCAGTGTTTTGGGTTTTTTTACCCCATTCTTAATTGTGAACAAGAGCCAGAAATCACTAGGCAGCTAAGAAAAAATCTCCAACATGGGAAGAGAGAGTGAGGGGAAAAAGAGAGCATGAATGAAAAAGAAAGAAGAATGAAGGCAGAGTGAGCAGGAGCAGAATACATAAATGAAAAATAAAACAACTTAAAGAGAATAGTCTATGCCAAGATAAAAACTTCAAAGAAACTATCATTAATTTCCTCGGAGATATGAGAGTATACTGCTACAAGAAATAAGAAAGGATGGTATTAAAAGGCAACTGTCAGAGAAAAAGAGCTCTTAATAACAATGTTTTTTTTTTTTTTGAGACGGAGTCTCGCTTTGTCGTCCAGGCTGAAGTGCAGTGGTGCAATCACGGCTCACTGCAAGCTCCGCCTCCCAGGTTCAAGCAATTCTCCTGCCTCAGCCTCCCAAGTAGCTGGGACTACAGGTGAGTGCCACCATGCCCAGCTAATTTTTTGTATTTTTAGTAGAGACAGGGTTTCACCATGTTGGCCAGGATGGTCTCGATCTCTTTTTTAAAGGATAAAAATAAACAACTCAGTAGAAGAGTTTTAAAATACAGTTAAGGAAATACCTATGTAAGTAGAGCAAAAACACAAAACAAAAAGTGGAAAAAGTAAAGGGAAGCTAAGAAAATTCAAAGATATTCCATCCACAATACTAGATATATGAATAATAGGAGTTGTAGAAATAGAGAAAGAGAATAGAAATAAAGAAATCATCATGGGCTAGGCACAGCTGTAATCCCAGCCACTCAGGAGGTTGATGGGAAAGAATCATTTGAGGCCAGGAGTTCAAGATCAGCCTGGACAACACAGTGAGAGCCTATCTCTACAAAATAAAATAAAATAAAAGTCAGCCAGGCATGGTGGCATGCACTCATAGTCCCAGCTACTCAGGAGGCTGAGGCAACAGGATTGCCGGAGCCCAGGAGGCCAAAATTACAGTCCGCCCGCTCTGAGCTCTGATCACACCACTTCACTCCAGCCTGAGTGACAGGGTGAGACCCTGCCTCAAAACATATATATATGTTGTTTGTTTGTTTGTTTATATATATAGCCTAAGAAATTACCGTGGATATAGTACATGAAAATTCTGCAGAATTGAAGGACCTGGGTACCTGGATTGAAAGAAGCAGTCAACTGCTCAGGACACTTGAGTGGATAAAAATAGACCATATTATAGCACATGATTGTACAACTTCAGAACACTGGAAATAAAGAGCTACAAGATGAAAAAAGGAGGTGGTATGGAGGACCCACATGAATGGCTTTGAATTTCTCAACAATACTACAAGCTAGATGACAACAGTGTTCCATACCATGAGAATGTTTAATCAAGTGCCATTTTTAAACATATCAAAATTTATTGTATGGAGGTAAATAAGTACTTAAAGGGAAATGTTTTAGCTGTGAAAATGTAAATTAGAACAGTAAAAAAAAGGCCTGGTGCAGTAGCTCACACCTGTAATCCCAGCACTTTGGGAGGCTGAGGCAGGAGCATTACTTGGGCCAGAGTTCAAGATCAGCCTGGCCAACATAATAAGACCATGACTCTACAAAGAAATTCAAGAATTAGCTGAGTGTGGTGGCATGTGCCTGTAGTCCCAGCTACTCAGGAGGCTTAGGCAGGAGGATCACTTGAGCCCAGGAGTTCAAAGTTACAGTGAGTTGTGATGGCACCACTGTGCTACATCCTGGGTGACAGATTGAGACCTTGTCTCTGGAAAAAGAAAAGAATGGAAAACAAAATATTTCAAATAATCTAAGCTTCCATCTGAAGAAACTATAAACAGAAGAGCAAATTAAATTCAAAGCAAGGAAAAGAAAGGAAATAAAAATTAGAGTGGAAATCAATGAAATAGAAAACAGAAACAATGGAGAAAAGTCAATGAAAACAAAAGTTGGTTCTTTGAAAAGATCAATAAAATTGACATGCTTTTAGTTAGACAACCAAAATCCATTTAAGTACTTACTCTGATATGAGCTGTGTAAAACAGTTATACATACGCTCTACCTCTGATAGTTTTATATTCTAAGTGACTATAAAATAACTTATACGGAAGTTAATTAGACCAAAAAAGATATCGTAAATTCAAGGTTGATGATGGTCCTTGACAGTAGGATGATACCTCAAACTTTTAAGGCCTATGAGTGGCATAAGGTCACTCCCAAACACATAAGGATGGTTTTATGACCCTTGTTTAACTTTTTTTTTATAGATGGGGTCTTGCTATGTTGCCCAGGCTGAAGTGCAGTGGCTATTCACAGACACAACTATGGCACTTTAACCTCAAACTCCTAAGTTCAAATGACCCTCCTGCCTCTTGCTTCCGCCTCCCAAGTAGCTAGGACTATGGGCACACACTATTGCATGGCTTTATCTTTGTTTAAGTTCTGTTTTCATATATATGTGTTCAACTGTACCAGATAAGGGGGAAACTCGATTTAAAAATAGTAGGCAACAGAGGAGTATATATTCTATAGATATTAAATAGATTTGTTATGTATATTTGATATATTCAGATAATTTTTCTTTCATTATTTCACCTTTGTATTTTTCAGTCCATAAAGTCTATGTAATGCCTAGAAGGTTCATTCAATTTTTTTTCCCTACTTAAATCAATATCCATGGCTACAACTGATCTTACAGCATTTTTGGAATATCAATGGTGGTTTTCTAAAATTTTTATGACTTCAGTTGGAGTTTTGCTTCTTTCTCCTTTTGGTTTAAATTCTGGGTTTTCTGAGTAATAATCTATCATCTGGCCTCCCTGTATGTGCCTTGAGTTTCTTCATCTTACACTGATGTAATTCTTTTGTGGATGAGAAAGGAGTGGGAGAAACAACTGAAAAGAGGCCAGGTATGGTGGCTCACGCCTGTAATCCCAGCATTTGAGAGGCTGAGGTGGGAGAATTGCTTGAGCACAGGATTTCAAGCTTAGACTGGGCAACATAGTGAGACCTTATCTCTCCAAAAAAATTAATTTGCCATGCATGGTGGCACATGCCTGTAGTCCCAGTTACTTGGGAGGCTGAGGCGGGAGGATCCCTTGAGCCTAGGAGATAGAGGCTGCAGTAAGCCATAATTGCACCACTGCGCTCCAGGCTGGGCAACAGAATGAGACCCTGTCTCAAAAAAAAGACAACTGAAAAGATGAAAAGTAAGGAGTTGTGAAAACTACTGTTTCTTTCTTCTGTGTGTGTACATATGTGTGTGCATGTTTGTATGTGATATGTATTCAGATATGTGTGCATAAACACAGTTCCAGTTGCAGGGCTGAGAAGCAATCAGCTATATATGTGTGTCATACATATATACACAACTATATACAAACACATACATGCACACACACAGGATAAAGAAAGAAAAATCACAAGAATATTACAGAATAGAGGAAAAAAGAGGATGTGATTGGAGAGAGCCACAGAGGGGGATTCTATGGTACTGGCAATGATCTATATCTTTCTTTCCTTTTTTTAGAGCCAGAGTCTTGCTCAGTCACCCAGGCTGGAGTGTAGTGGCATGATGGCATGATCATGGTTCACTGCAGCCTCAAACTCTTGGCTCAAGTGATCCTCCCACCTCAGCTTCCAGGGTAGCTAGGATTACAGGAATATGCCACTATGCATGTTTATTTTTTGTAGAAATGGGGTCTTACTATGTTGCCCAGGCTGGTCTCCAAATCCTGGCTTAAGCTGTCCTCCCACCTCAGCCTCCCAAAGCCCTGGGATTACCACTGAGCCCAGCAATATCTAATTCTTTATTTATTTATTTATTTATTTATTTAGAGACGGAGTCTTGCTCTGTCGCCCAGGCTGGAGTGCAGTGGTGCAATCTCCACTCACTGCAAGCTCCGCCTCGAGTTCACGCCATTCTCCTGCCTCAGTCTCCCAAGTAGCTGGGACTACAGGTGCCCGCCACCACGCCTGGCTAATTTTTTGTACTTTTAGTAGAGATGGAGTTTCACCGTGTTAGCCAGGATGGTCTCAATCTCCTGACCTTGTGATCCACTTGCCTCGGCCTCCCAAAGTGCTGGGATTACAGGCGTGAGCCACCGTGCCCAGCCTATATTTTTATTTTTTTGAGGTGGAGTCTCGCACCATCACCCAGGCTGGATTGCACTGTCACAATCTCGGCTCACCACAACCTCCACCTCCTGGGTTCAAGCGATGCTCCTGCCTCTGCCTCCCGAGTAGCTGGGATTACAGGCATCTGCTGCCACACCTGGCTAATTTTTGTATTTTTAGTAGAGGCGGGGTTTCACCATGTTGGCCAGACTGGTCTCAAACTCCTGACCTCAGGTAATCCAGCCACTTTGGGCTTCCAAAGTTCTGGGATTACAGGCATGAGCCACCGCGCCCAGCCAGATGCATAAACTGTTAATACACATTTTAGCCACTGAACCATTGGCACAGCACTGTTAGGTTTTCCTTGTAACCTCTTTGTAGGCCCGCTGGATCTGTTTCTCATCCTTCACTCTCCCTGCCCTGGGATTGTTTCTCCCTATAAAGCATTCATGCTTATATCTTGTTCAGGCTCTGTTGTTTAGAGAACCTTGGCTAAGCCATGAGCTGTTTACTTTTTTTCTCCCTGTTTTTTTTGAGATGGAGTCTCACTCTGTCTCCCAGGCTGGAGTGTAGTGGTGCCATCTGGGCTCACTGCAACCACTGCTTCCCGGGTTCAAGCAATTCTCCTGCCTCAGCCTCCCTAATAGCTGTGATTACAGGCATGTGCCACCACACCCAGCTAATTTTTTTTTGTATTTTTAGTAGAGACAGGGTTTCATCATGTTGGCCAAGCTGGTCTTGAACTCCTGACTTCAGATGATTTACTGGCATCAGCCTCCCAAAGTGCTGGGATTACAGGTGTGAGCCACTGTGCCCAGCCTTTTCCTCCCTTTTGTGAGACTTGCCTGTGCATAGTCTTAGTCTTTGTCCTTTTTCCTTTTGGGATATTTATATTTTGTCTAATGATTTGAAATAGCCCTTCATCAGTTGGAGGCCATTAAGTTTTGTTTTAGTATGTTTTAAAATTAAAAAGTACTATTTATTTTTATTTTTTTGCATTTTTGGGATACTTTTTTGTTTTTATTATTTCCTTACGTTTTAATTGTGAACTCTATTAAAATATAGAAGAGTATCCAAACATACATCAACCAATAGCATAATAATAACATGCTAAAATGAACAACTGTGTAATTATTTGTTAAGAATTAGATATTGCTATTTTGAAAACAGTAAACAAGTCCTTATTTCCTCTATAAATCATATTCCCCTACAGTCCTATCATCTTATGGCTCCAGGGAAAGGAGTTCAAATGCTGCATCCACATGGGGAATGATATGACCTGACCATACAGAAAGGGGAAAAAATAGAGAAAGCCCTTCATCTTCTAGAGACGGAGCAAAGTGGTCAGAAATCAACGGGTGAGACGAAGTAAATCTAAATAAACATGACTAGGTCTGAGAACACTAAGGCTCATAGTAGACATATAGAAATAGCATTGGCAGAAAGAGGGATCTAGCAAGGTAGACATAATCAACACTGTGCACAATGTACAGAAGAGCCAGAGGTTCCCACCTGCTCAGGGGAGCAAGGACACGCTGGAAGGACTTAAGAAATGGCAGGGACTTTGAGGCAGAATGCAGCAGCCACAGGACCAGAGACTATGGTGGAGTCCAAGCTCAGCAACAGCAGATGCTAACACACACCAAAGACCAGGTGGGACTAGTTCTATCGCTGATGGTTTAGTGAGAACATAGATTGACACACACAGGGAAAGGCAAAGGACACCTCAGCTGGAGACAAGCAAGAACTCAGAGGACAGCATGTGTATCTTGCCTCCATCACCTCCCAACCCCCAGATGCACTTCTCCCATCACATGAGACAAGTCGGCTTTCCTCCGCACCCTGATGCCTCGGGGGGAGGAGCCAGGAGTGGAGAGAAATCTTGGAAGTCTGAGTTAACCTGAAATGGGCGTAACTGGAAGAAACTGAGCCAACACAGATTGTCAAACAGATGTTCCAACCACAGCATCCATTGCTACCCATGCACAGAAGCTATACATTTTTGGCATAATATGAATTACAGACTATTACATTTACACCAAATTACAGTGAAATTTGAAACTCATTTTGAAGATTCAATGAACATGACTTAGTGATAGTTTGGATATTAAAGTATGAGAGAAAGGAAGAGTCATTTATGGCCCACAGATACCTAGTTTGCTTGCTGAACAGGAGATAATACCATTAACCAAGATCTAAATGGAGAACACTTGAGATAGGAATAATAGGAAAAAAAATTAACCAATATAATTTTGAATCTGTTGAATTTAAGGGTCTTTGGCACATCCTGGTAAATGTTTCAGGAGGCAGCTGGAAATTCTGATTCAGAAAAAGGTTTTGGAAGTCCATCATCAGGAACAGGTAGAATTCTTGTGCTTCTGTAACCAACCCTCTGTAAATTTTTTTGTTTTTTGAGACAGAGTCTGGCTCTGTTGCCCAGACTGGAGTACAGTGGCAAACCCCACTTACTGCAGCCTCAAACTCTTGCGCTTAAGCCATTCTCCCACCTCAGCCTCCCAAGTACCTTGGACCACAGACACACACCACCACACCTGGCTAATTTATTTTATTTTATTTTATGTTATTATAGAGATAGGGTCTCACTTTGTTGCCCAGGCTGGTCTTGAACTCTTGGACTCAAGGGATCCTCCTGCCTTGACTTCCCAAAGTGCTGGGATTACAGACTTGAGCTACCATGCCCAGCCCAACTCTCTGTAATTAAGCTCTAACTGGGTGGTAATCTCATTCCAATTACAAACTCCAAGAAAGTAAAAAAAAAAAAAAAAAAAAAAAAAAAAAACATATGTCTTATAGATCCCCAATTCCCATCAGATTCTGCTGAGCATAGGCTAAGGCCCTGTGGATACCCAAGATCGAGCTATTAAACACTTGCTTTCTTGGTGGGTGGTAAACAGTGAGTACAGGTGGTATTTTCAGAATAAAAAGGATCTCAGGTTGGCAGAGATAGTTGCTCCTTTTATGTGCCTTCCCTTAAGATGGTGAGGTGCTTGTGCTGTGGAAAACAATGCCTGTAGATCTTGGAAGGTGTGCAGATATGAACCAAAGGCTCTCTTGAAATCAGAGGTCTGAAGTTACAGCCTAACACCCCCCACCAAATGAGTCATTCACAGCTCTTTACGCAGTTCCTTCCACTCACACAAGCAAATAGAAGCAAAATGCTTCTAGTTTGTCTTAGTCAATATATTGTGAACATGTTAAAGGCATAATCTATAAATATCCTAGAGATTCATCTTAACCCACTCCACAACAGAATGAAAGGCTACTAGGTGTAGGGTCTATCTTGGATCATTGTTTATTTAAACACTTCAGAAGGCAATAGACAGAAGAAAAGTTCACAGAGTAGGTTCAGAAATAAAACATAAATGGGGCTCAAAGCAATACACTCACATACTCCTTTTAGTTTAGTTACACAGAACTCTTTGCCTTTCTCCCAAAACTCTTACTCCCAAACATATGCTGTTTCCTCTGCCTGAAAGACCATTAGGTTTCTTTTTTCTCTGGAAAACTCCAACTCATTCTTCAAGACACAGCTCAAAGTTCCTCCCTTCTGAGATGAGTTCGCTAGGCAGGGTTGGTGACACAGTGCTTCAACATAGGGGTTTTTTACATTCCATTGCCACCTATTTATATTTGTTTTGGCCAGGCATGGGGGCTCAGCCTGTAATCCCAGTACTTTGGGAAGCCGATGCAGGTGAATTGCTTGAACTTAGGAGTTCAAGACCAGCCTTGCCAACATGGCAAAACCCGTTCTCTAAAATAAATAAATATATATATACACACACACACATATATATACATATATATACACACATATATATACATATATACACACAAATATATATACATATATATACACGCACATATATATACATATATATATACACACATATATATATACACATATATACAAAAATTAGCCAGGAGCAGTGATACGTGCCTTTAGTCCCAGCTACTTAGGAGACTGAAGTGGGAGGATGGCTCAAGCCCGGGAGGCAGAGGTTGCAGTGAGCCAAGATTGTGCCACTGCATTCTAGCCTGGGCAATAGAGTGAGGCCCTGTTTCAAAAGAATAAAAAAATTTCCCCTACTAGACTTTGAACTCAAGGCTAGAGCTATAGGGGAGGGAGACCATTAGGACAAATATCTAATGCATGCAGGACTTCAAACCTAAATGATGGTGGCCGGGCGCAGTGGCTCACGCCTGTAATCCCAACACTTTGGGAGGCCGAGGCGGGTGGATCATGAGGTCAGGAGATTGAGACCATCCTGGCCAACATGGTGAAACCTCATCTCTACTAAAAATGCAAAAAATTAGCCAGACATGGTGGCATGCACCTGTAGTCCCAGCTACTCGGGAGACTGAGGCAGGAGAATCACTTGAACCTGGGAGATGGAGGTTGCAGTGAGCCAAGATCGCGCCACTGCATTCCACTCTAGCCTGGTGACAGAGCAAGACTCTATCTCAAAAAAAAAAAAAAAAAAAAAAAAACCTAGATGACAGGTTGATAGGTGGTGTACCAAACCACCATAGCACATGTGTATCCATGTAACAAACCTGCACGTTCTGCACATGTATCCCGGAACTTAAAGTAAAATAAAATAACAAAAATTACAGGCTGGGCGCAGTGGCTCACAGCTGTAATCCCAGCAGTTTGGGAGGCCAAGGCAGACGGATCACCTGAGGTCAGGAGTTCAAGACCAGCCTGACCAATGTGGTGAAACCCCGTCTCTACTAAAAATACAAAAAAATTAGCTGGGTGTGATGGCAGGTGCCTATAATCCCACTTACTTGGGAGACTGAGGCACAAGAATCACTTGAACCCCGGAGGTGGAGGTTACAGTGAGCTGAGACCATGCCATCACACTCCAGCCTGGGCAACAAGAACAAAACACCGTCTCAGGAAATAAATAAATAAAATAAAATAAAATAAAATAAAATAAAATTATAAAAAACTAATAGAGGGAAAAAAAAGACTAGAACTATATAATTCATTATTTTTTAAACCCAGAACCTAAGTACACATGAACTAAGGTAACTTAGGTTCTGGGTTAAGTTCACATGTACTAAGTAAAAAAATTACTACACATTGTTAGCAGAAGATGCTCAGTAATTTGAATTATGCCTCTGGTCCTCTACTCCAGGTCTGTAGTCTGATGCCTTGGAATCAACTTACATAGAGAGGAAAGAGTGAATTCAGGTATAAGTTATACAACTCATTGACTGTAACCTCTCTCTCTCTCCCTGGAAAATATAAAACACTGTGCAATAAACACCATATGCAAATGTTTGGCAGATTTAATTATAATACTAAAGTTTCTAGAGAAGCACGTCTGATATTCCTTCATTAATTTTCTGAGTATTCAAAGACAATAAAAGGTGGAAGGTATTTTTGGCTTTATCTAACAACATTGTCATAATGCATTTTGACATTTTTAAATGTATTTGAAGCTGATGAAATGGAAATTTTGGATTTTGGCAGTAGAGAAAGAACTTGAATTTCAGCCAGTGGATTCCCAAGATAAATATTAGTGACTTATATTGAAAATGTAACTGAATACAGGGTCAGCTGCTAGCAGCTCAAAAGCCAAACTTGAGAGACAAGGGTTGGTGGGAGGAAAAGTAGGTTTGTTTGGAAAGCCAGCAAAACCAAGAAGATGGTGAACTAGCATTCTAAAGTATCATCTTAATCAGTACAAATTTCAGGTTCTTTTTATGTTAAGGGCAGGGGAAGGCAAGGGGGTTGGGATCAAGAGGTAACCAATAAACACAGACATCTGGGTGCCAGCCAGGGTCCAGTGAGGTTGGGAACTTCATTGTCTTTGGTCAGGTCACAATGCTCCTATAAATCTTTAAGAAAACATAGTTCATTGTTTACATATTTCTCTTTTAATCCCAGAGTTAGCCCTTAAAACTACATTATTGCTATTTTTGTATATTATCTCAGTGTTCTAAAATTATCCTTGCCTATGTGCAGGAATGGGTAAATGCCACCTAAACAATACTGGAGTTAGTTATGGTAGGTTTTTTTGCTGTTTCACTGTTACAATTCTCCACTGTCAAAGACTCATTCCACAATCTTGTGAGATTAGGGACACTGGGACATTTTCTCTCAACTGGCTACTTCCAACTGAACGGGGCCAATGTACTGCAACTGTGGAATGAAACCATTTGACTTGGCAAAGAGCTGATATTCAGGTCCTTGTAAGAAAATGGGCTGGGCACAGTAGCTCACACTTATAACCCCAGCACTTTGGTAGGCTGAGGCAAGAGAACTGTTGAGTCCAGGAGTTTGAGACCAGCCTGGGCATCACAACAAAAGCTTGTTTCTACAAAAAATTTAAAAATTACCCAGGCATGGCGGCACATGCCAGTGGTCCCAGCTACTTGGGAGGCTGAGGTGAGAGAATTGCTTGAGCCCAGAAGTTCTACACTATAGTAAGCTGTGATTGTGCCACTGCACTCCATCCTGGGCAATAGAGTGAGACTCTGCCTCAAAAAAAGAAAAGAAAAGAAATCAGACATTCAAAAACAATTTCAAGGTCCCCTCATTGTCTTCACTGTCAGAGGGTTAAAACGTCTTTACAAGGCTGGGCGTGGTGGCTCACACCTCTAATCCCAGCACTTTGGGAGGCTGAGGCAGGTGGATCACCTGAGGTCAGGAGTTCGAGACCAGCCTGGCTAACATGGCAAAACCCCGTCTCTACTAAAAATACAAAAATTAACCAGACATGGTGGTGGGGACCTGTAATCCTACGTACTCAGGAGGCTGAGGCAAAAGAATTGCTTGAACTCAGGAGGTGGCGGTTGCAGTAAGCTGAGATCACGCCACTGCACTCCAGTCTTGGTGACAACAACAACAATAAAAAGTCTTTACAGTGGCTACACAGGTTATAGTTCATTACAATGTCATGTTAGACCAACCATACTCAACCATAAAGTCATGTATGATTGCATTTTAACCAACTGAGAGGTGACTTGTAAGTAATCTATTACAAATAATAAAATACCAACATTTATGTATGATATTTTATACATAAATTACTGTATACCCAAGATAGTCCCTATCAATATATTATTATTATTATTCCTTGGAATTTGTTATTTTTTCCAAATTAGAGATGAAAAGTTATAGTTACAGATAATTCTGTAGGAAATATATGTAAACTGCCACCTACCCTGTCTATAACGTGGTCCATAGTTAGGAAGTAGCACTAGCTTCAATGGAAATTATGAATTATTTAAGTGCTTCGTTTCTCCACAATTTGAAGGTGAAGAAGAGATTTTTCAAAACGTAAGTATGCTCATAAGGGTAAGTTACATCTATGAATGTTGATATGTATGTTAAGACAGAAAACAATAAGTACCTTAAAATTCTAGAATGCCTATTAATGAAAATAATGGCGTGAAGAAATAAATTTCTTTAGCCAGTAGTCTTAACCTAATTCCATGTTTCTGTTATTTTGGGATTAGAAGGAGAATTACCTTGAGGGAGGGATGTCTAAACTTAGTTAAAGATAAGAGCTCTGAACTCAAAAAACTTTTGTTTTTTGTGACTGGTGTTTTGGAGTTTTGTTTTGTTTTGTTTTGTTTTGTTTTAGACAGGGTCTCACTCTGTCGCCCAGGCTGGGAGTACAATGGTGCAATCTCGGGTCACTAAACCTCCACCTCCTGGGCTCAATCAATCCTCCTACCTCAGCCTCCCCAGTAGCTGGGAGTACAGGCAGTGCCACCATGCCTATTTTTTTTTTTTTTTTTTGAGACGGAGTCTCGCTCTGTCGCCCAGGCTAGAGTGCAGTGGCACGATCTCAGCTCACTGCAAGCTCCGCCTCCCAGGTTCACGCCATTCTCCTGCCTCAGCCTCCTGAGTAGCTGGGACTACAGGCACCCGCCACCACGCCCAGCTAATTTTTTTGTATTTTTTAGTAGAGACGGGGGTTCCACCGTGTTAGCCAGGATGGTCTCGATCTCCTGACCTCATGATCCGCCCGTCTCAGCCTCCCAAAGTGCTGGGATTGCCTGACTAATATATATATATATATATGTGTGTATATATATATATACATATATACTAATATATAAATATGTATACATATATATATTTTTTTTTTTTGATCATTCTTGGGTGTTTCTCGCAGAGGGGGATTTGGCAGGGTCATAGGACAACAGTAGAGGGAAGGTCAGCAGACAAACAAGTGAACAAAGGTCTCTGGTTTTCCTAGGCAGAGGACCCTGCGGCCTTTCGCAGTGTTTGTGTCCCTGGGTACTTGAGATTAGGGAGTGGTGTTGACTCTTAAGGAGCATGCTGCCTTCAAGCATCTGTTTAACAAAGCACATCTTGCACCACCCTTAATCCATTTAACCCCGAGTGGACACAGCACATGTTTCAGAGAGCACAGGGTTGGGGGTAAGGTCATAGATCAACAGGATCCCAAGGCAGAAGAATTTTTCTTAGTACAGAACAAAATGAAAAGTCTCCCATGTCTACTTCTTTCTACAGACACAGCAACCATCCGATTTCTCAATCTTTTCCCCACCTTTCCCCCTTTTCTATTCCACAAAACTGCCATTGTCATCATGGCCCGTTCTCAATGAGCTGTTGGGTACACCTCCCAGACGGGGTGGTGGCCAGGCAGAGGGGCTCCTCACTTCCCAGTAGGGGCGGCCAGGCAGAGGCGCCCCTCACCTCCCGGACGGGGCGGCTGGCCGGGCAGGGGCTGACCCCCCACCTCCCTCCTGGACGGGGCGGCTGGCCGGGTGGGGGCTGACCCCCACCTCCCTCCCGGACGGGGTGGCTGCCGGGCGGAGACGCTCCTCACTTCCCAGACAGGGTGGCTGCTGGGCGGAGGGGCTCCTCACTTCTCAGACGGGGCGGCTGCTGGGCGGAGGGTCTCCTCACTTCTCAGACGGGGCGGCCGGGCAGAGACGCTCCTCACATCCCAGACGGGGCAGCGGGGCAGAGGCGCTCCCCACATCTCAGACGATGGGCGGCCGGGCAGAGACGCTCCTCACTTCCTAGATGGGATGGCGGCCGGGAAGAGGCGCTCCTCACTTCCTAGATGGGATGGCGGCCGGGCAGAGACGCTCCTCACTTTCCAGACTGGGCAGCCAGGCAGAGGGGCTCCTCACATCCCAGACGATGGGCGGCCAGGCAGAGACGCTCCTCACTTCCCAGACGGGGTGGCGGCTGGGCAGAGGCTGCAATCTTGGCACTTTGGGAGGCCAAGGCAGGCAGCTGGGAGGTGGAGGTTGTAGCGAGCCGAGATCACGCCACTGCACTCCAGCCTGGGCACCATTGAGCACTGAGTGAACGAGATTCCGTCTGCAATCCCGGCACCTCGGGAAGCCGAGGCTGGCGGATCACTCGCGGTTAGGAGCTGGAGACCAGCCCGGCCAACACAGTGAAACCCCATCTCCACCAAAAAAATACGAAAACCAGTCAGGCGTGGCAGCGCGTGCCTGCAATCGCAGGCACTTGGCAGGTTGAGGCAGGACAATCAGGCAGGGAGGTTGCAGTGAGCCGAGATGGCAGCAGTACAGTCCAGCTTCGGCTCGGCATCAGAGGGAGACCGTGGAAAGAGAGGGAGAGGGAGACCGTGGAAAGAGAGGGAGAGGGAGACCGTGGAAAGAGAGGGAGAGGGAGACCGTGGGGAGAGGGGAGAGGGGAGAGGGGAGAGGGAGAGCAATATTTTTTAAATATTTTTGTGGAGACCAGATCTTATGATATTGCCCAGGCTGGTCTCATACTCGTGGGCTCAAGTGATCCTCCAGCCTCATTCTCCCAAATTGCTGGCATTATGGATGTGACCCACCACACCCAGCCAAGAGCAGACAACTCTTAAAATTTTCTCCTTCTTTCCCAAGAGGAGGAGAACTTGTGGCTGTGCTTTAGACATTATAAATAAATGTAAGTTAAAATTTTGTAGTTATTTATAGAGATACTTGATAGTTTTGTACCTCTCTAAATATTTTCCATTCTCCGGGGCTGAAAAAAAAAAGAAAAAAGATTTGATTTCCAGGGAAATGGTGTTGAAGGGGAATTTTATCTGTATTTTATTACCAGTATTCTGAAGTTATTCATGCAATGTAAAAAAATTAAAGGATCACAGTTGTTATTTTAGAAATGTTCCCTCCTCACCTATTGTGTGTCTTGCCCTTTGGCCTCCTTCATTTTTCTTGTCTTTTCTGACTTCATGTTGCTACTCTTGTCATCATTTATCCCTTTCCTTTTGATCCATCCCATAAATTACCCCCTGCCCTTGGTCTGAATTTGACATCACCAAGACCAGGTTATGCCTCTCTACTCTTCATTTTCATTCACTTTCTTTCCTGTGGTCCTCTTTGCCCTCTAAATCCTGTACCTTCTACAGAATCCTTGAGGTCAACACTGAGATTCAAGTGGCAAGAGATAATGAGTTTTAAATGTCAAATGTTCTATGAAAAAGAAAACTTTAAAGATGTATTTTGACTTAAACTCTTTTTTCTTTGATATATTTCTACTGTCATAAGAAGTTATGATTTCAAAGAGCTAGAGATCTATTTTCATCCATGAAAGATGTCTCATCCTACGCAAAGGTCACCAAGCTTTAGGAAACATTGGGAGATGAAAACATATGCTTTTGAGAACATAATAAATACATCCTATTGAAAACAAATTTTTCTATACTTTTCCATAATTTTTAATTGTTTATGATTACTACTTAATACTTACTGAGGTTTCAGCTGAAATTTTACTGTAGAACAGCCAGCTTCCTTTCATACTAAAAAACCAAGCGTTTATCAACCACTTACTATATACTTGTCATTGCTCAAAGCATTGGGAGATACAGAAAAATAAATATATAATCTCAGAGGTCTCAGTCAAATAAGAAAAACAAATCTATAAATATGTAAGCAGCACAGTGTAATAATACATGCATACTCCAATATTTGCCAAAACAATGATGGAACCATGGTGTTAGGAGATGCAGAGGTAGATTAGACATGGATCCTGCCCTTAATGAATTTACAGTCTAGTGAAGAAGAAAAGATAGGTACATGACAAATAAAACAGATTAGAAAATGAAACCTTGTTAAATTTTCTTAAAGGGGCTGTGAAATTTTGGAACAGGAAACTTTTATTTACAACTATGGGAAATCAGAGAAGATTTCATAGAGATAATGATATGGAAGCTGGACCTTGAAGACATAGCAGTGGGAACTCTATTGTTTCCACTTAGTATTGCTGTGAACCTAAAACTGCACTAAAAAATAAAGTTCAATGCGGAGCACGGTGGCTCAAGACTGTAATTCCAGCACTTTGGGAGGCCGAGGCAGACACATCACTTGAGGTCAGGAGTTCGAGACCAACCTGGCCAAAGAAGATTATTTAATCTTTCCCTTCCTCCACTCATAGTAGCAGCTTCTATTGGATTGATACACACTGAAGAAGTTTGCCTGGGCTCCACCCCAAAGAACTGCAATCAGCTTTCACAATTCAGTTGGTCACAGTTAGTGCCATATTGGACACTCCTCAGCCCACCTACCGCCCTGGGTGAGGGAAGTGGGGAAGATCTCTTTTGCAGAACTTTCCTGGAGGTACAGAATTTCAGGTTCTCCTGATAATAGTTAGGCTCAACCAGTTTTTAGGGCATCCTCATTAGGCATATGCATGGCATGGGAAATGGGATACAGAGACCTCCTTTGAGACACTATTCATACTACAGCTTGCTAATCAGGGTGCTAAAATATACTGGTAAACAGCAAATGGATTACAGGCATGCTGAGAGATACTAATCTCCTTGGCACTCACAGCAACTAAGCTGGCTTGTCGCCAAGAGAGTCACCCCCAGCCTTAAGCAGCCTTCTTTGAGGATCTTCAGAGAGTTGAAGGAGCATGAGCAACTGGGCTGGGAGCAGGGGCTCAAACCTATAATCCCAGTACTTTGGGAGGTCAAGGCAGGAACTTGAGGCCAGAAATTCCAAACCAGCCTGGGCAACATAGCGAGACCTCCATCTCTAAAAAAAAAAAAAAATTTTTTTAATTAGCCAGGTGTGGTGGCACATGCCTATGCTCCTAGCTACTGGGGAGTCTGAGGCAGGAGGATCACTTGAGCCCAGGAGTTTGAGGCTGAAGTGAGCTGTGACTGCACCAGTGCACCCCGTCTATTACTTGGATATTGACTTTAGGAGCCAGCTCTCTACGTTATTTCAAAATAATAATAGAGCTACATTTTAAAGAATGTGCCTGCCTTTTTAGAGTGGTCACTTAGAACACACCAATACCAATGAGCATATAGACATATTTAATATATGCAACAACAAAGATTCAACTACTGTCTGCCCAGTGCTTGCCATCAGCCTTGTTGCCATCCTCCACCCTCATCTTGCTGGAGGGAATGCTCTTAGGAACCTATTACATAACTCTTCCTGCAGCTCCATGAACCCCTTGTTCCAGGAGTTTGGATGGGGACTCCCGACAGGCACTGGACAGCCAGCAACTTAAATATCTGTCATCACGTAAGTCAGACACACCTCCCTATTTGCTATTAATGGTTTCTAAGTGACCATCCCAACAATGCAAATGCCTTCTGCAAAATTTTGCTATATTATTATATTGAAATACCTGGTATGGAAAAGTTTTATAGAAATCACATTATCATAAGAAATTTCAGTGTTACAATTATAAGGAGAAGATAAGGAAAGGCTATTATTTCCAATATAATTCATGTGTTATAATTATTTTAAATAATTGTGAAGATTGGTTTAAATTTTGTCATATATTTGTGGGAAGAGAATCTATTGTTGAATATAAAAATATTGAAGAGAATATTATTTAAAAGTCTTAATCAGAAATTACATAAAGCCATTCAACTATAACACCTAATATGAAAAACTTACAGTCACGAAAGCAACTTTAAGGCCTCATTAAAAATTATGAAAATAGAGCTTCCAGATAGCTGAATACATGGAGGTTCCTGGAGGGTGGTGCACCCAGGGAGGGTATGGAAGCTCCATTCCGCTTCCCCCATATCTTACTGTATGCATTTCTTCATCTGTATCCTTTGTAATATCCTTTATAATAAACTGGCAATTTTTTTTTTTTTAATTTAAAATAGAGAGAAAGCCAGGCGTGGTGGCTCACACCTGTAGCCACAATGCCTGGCCGGTAAATGTTTTTTACAAGGAAGCCAAAAACCTAGAAAGAGACGTTTGCTTTATTGATATTGTCTGCAATGAAATTCCAGAGCACTACGACAAAGAATCTGAGGATCCTAAACACTTCAAGTCAGAGAAGACAGGATGGGGACAGTTAAGGGCAGGCTGAATAGATAGACATCAGCCCATCATGTGCTTCTACAAGCTGGAGACCACCAGTGAGGTTGGAGGTCTGGAGGCTTCAGACCAAAGTAGGGCAATTTGTACACAAGTCAGTCAAAGACGACATAGGCTTTTGCATGGGTTGATGAATGGTACATGATAATGGATGATGTTCAGGAATATGAAAAAAACATGCCTGAGCAAACTAACATAAAAAGTTTGCAATCAACATTCCTCGCCTGCAAATGACATAGTGAGTCATGCCCAAACAAGTACATGACAACTGATGAAGTCTGATAATTTGAACGAGCCATTCAGGAAGCCATCAAGAAGAAAATTGGCATTGTCCCACCTGCAATTTCTAGCTCAAGCATTCCCCGACTGCCTTCTTCTGGCAGCAGTCCCCTTCTAGTGCTTCATCACTCCATCACCCCTCGTTCCACAGATGTACCTGAATTGCTGTCAGGTCCCAAATATTGGCCCCGGAAAAAGTCTGCCCCAGTAACACTCATGCTTCCAGACCCTGAGAAAAAAAGCCACCCTGAATGTACTTGGCACATACTCTTCAGATAAACGACGTCAGCATAAATCAGAGTTACTTCATATGGATATCTCATGGGGTTTTATATTTTCATTTTGGCTTGTTTTTAAAAAAAAAAAAATCTGATATAGAAAAAGGTGCTTTGTCACACAAACATGTTCCTTCAACCTCTGAGTGTGCATATGATTAAGTAATTTCACATATGATTCCCTAAGTATGCCACACAGCATCACATAAGATGTTAGCTGTAAGATTTGCAAGGGGGCCGGGCGCGGTGGCTCACGCCTGTAATCCCAGCACTTTGGGAGGCCGAGGCGGGTGGATCATGATGTCAGGAGATCGAGACCATCCTGGCTAACAAGGTGAAACCCCGTCTCTACTAAAAATACAAAAAATTAGCCGGGCGCAGTGGCGGGCGCCTGTAGTCCCAGCTACTCGGGAGGCTGAGGCAGGAGAATGGCGTGAACCCAGGAAGCGGAGCTTGCAGTGAGCCGAGATTGCGCCACTGCAGTCCGCAGTCCAGCCTGGGCGACAGAGCGAGACTCCGTCTCAAAAAAAAAAAAAAAAAAAAAAAAAGATTTGCAAAGGACAGAAGGAATCTTCTGTGGTCATAGCAGTAAGCCTGGGAGGAAGCCTTGTTATTGGGCATTTGATGAGGTTTGCAAGGACTCTGAACATAAATAAGAGGCCGAGCACGGTGGCTCATGCCTGTAATCCCAGCACTTTGGGAGGCTGAGGTGGGCGGATCACCTGAGGTCAGGAGTTCGAGGCCAGCCTGACCAACATGGAGAAACCCATCTCTACTAAAAATACAAAATTAGCCAGGCTTGGTGATGCAGGCCTATAATCCCAGCTACTTGGGAGGGTGAGGCAGGAGAATCGCTTGAACCCGGGAGGTGGAGGTTGTGGTGAGCCGAGATCGTGCCATTGCACTCCAGCCTGGGCAACAAGAGTGAAACTCCATCTCAAAAAAAAAAAAAAAAGAATTACTAAATGAACACTTTGCACCACTTTGTTACAACGTGTGGTAATACATAAAAGGTGGCTGGGCACGGTGGCTCACGCCTGTAATCCCAGCACTTTGGGAGGCCAAGATGAGTAGATCACTTGAGGCCAGGAGTTCAAGACCAGCCTGGGCAACATGGCGAAATCCCGTCTCTACTAAAAAAAAAAAAAAATACAAAAATTAACCAAGTGCAGTGGTGCACGTTTGTAATCCCAGCTACTCGGGTGGCTGAACCCTGGAAGGCGGAGGTTGTGGTGAGCCAAGATCACACCACAGCACTCCAGCCTGGGTGACAGAGTGAGACTCTGTCTCAAAAAAAAAAAAAAGTAAAGTCAATTTCCACTCATCAAACCTGAAATTCTCCAAAATACTCTCAGGCATAATATACTTAATTGTTAAATTTCGAACTGCTGATCATCAATATTTGAATGCCAATAGTTATTAAGGTCCCTATGTTGTTAAGTGTGACTCAGGATTTGGGGCCTAATTAACTCTTTAAACTTTTAAAAATTTTAATATCAATCTTTAGAGGCTCCAAGTGTAATTAATGATAACTTATTTATGCTTTCCACAGAATTTAATAAAGATTCCACTTAGAATAGAAGAAGAAGATAGTGCACAAAAGGATTTGGTTAGAAATTGAATCGATTTATGGCAATGAACTGCTTCCTGCTCTGTATCAAGAAATGATTCATTTGGCTGAGGATGCACTTCCCTGCAAAGGGGAAACCAATACTGTGCAGTGGAGACGCCTAGGTTTTGAAGACCAACAGATTGAGCTCAATTCTAGCTTAAAAATTTGCTACCTGTATAACCTTGGTCAGCACCTCCAAATGTCAATTTTATTAATTGTGATTTACCTTTTATTTAATCAACAAAAAACGCTTAAGGGGCACCTTCTCTGTACTGGGTATTATTCCAACTGCTGTAAATTCAGCAATAAAAGATACCTGTCCATCACAGAATTTACTTTTTAATCCTTTTTTTTTTTTAATTGAGACAGAGTATCACTCTGTTACCCAGGCTGGAGTGCAGAGGTGTGATCTCGGCTCACTGCAACCTCTGCCTCCCAAGTTCAAACAATTCTCCTTCCTCAGCTTCCCAAGTAGCTGGGATTACAGGTGCACACCACCACACCCGGCTAATTTTTGTATTTTTAGTAGAGATGGGGTTTCACCATGTTGGCCAGGCTGGTCTCGAACTCCTGATGTCAAGTGATCCACCCGCCTTGGTCCTTGATACAAAGTAAGTGCTCAGAAATGTGAATTTTTTCCTATTTCTCTAATACACTACCTTTTCAAAATTCATAAACATCTCAAAGCAAAAACAAAATCCACTTGTTTCTGTCTTTTAATAACTAAAATAAAAATTATGAAAATATTTTATTGGTTTTCTATTTAATATGTCCCCCAGTGCTGTGTAATTTCTCTTCTCTTCATAATCATTTAATATAAACAATGGTGAATTGTTCCCCTGGCTTCATATAGACACCCTAAATCTTCTTCAGTTTACCCCAGTGTGTGGTACAAATATCATTTTGGGGCCAGGAGAAGTGGCTCACTCCTGTAATCCCGGCACTTTGGGAGGCCAAGGTGGGCAGATCATTTGAGGTCAGTTGTTCTAGACCAGCCCGGTCAACATGGCGAAACCCCATCTCTACTAAAAAAAAAAAAAACATACAAAAATTAGCTGGGCATGGTGGTGCACATCTGTAATCCCAGCTACTTGGGAGGCTGAGGCATGAGAATCACTTGAACTCGGGAGGCAGAGGTTTCAGTAAGCCGAGATTGTGCCACCACACTCCAGCCTGGGCAACAGACCAAGACTTGGTCTCCAAAAAAAAAAAAAAAAATCACTTTAGTGTGTGTGCCATGACATGGAAAAGCTTAAGAGACACTGATTTATACTGATACACATTGACCATAAGATTTGCAGAAAATATGCAAATGAGGAACATTTGCTAGAGTATGGATATCTTTATCAGTGCATTCCCTGGAAAGGCTAGCCTTCTCTTGTAACTATTTGGAAATGAAACAGAAATCCTGAGATTTATAGAGTAACCTTGATTCTTCAATTCTTTCTTCTCCCAATTCCTAAGTAACATGTTCTCATCTAATTCATTTCGATTTTTCAGATCTTGCCAGTAAACTAAATTGATGGATTATCTGCTTATCTTATATCCAGTATTCAACTATGTACCTGGGAAGAATACGGGGGAAAAAATACAGACACTTAGACTTTGAACCAACCTTAACCACAAGAGTTAAGGAACGGGGGTCCCAGAAGGGAGGTTGGAAATGGTCTAAAATGGAACAGGTGCATGAGAAGCAACTTTACACAAAAGATGAGGGCAATGCAGCCCCAGAGTAAATTGTGACCCACTGTAAGAGAGCAACTTAAAATGCAGCTCACAGCATATGAAATGTCTCCAGCTGAATTCGAAGGACTAAAGCCCAGGACAAAGCAAAGAGAGAAGCCTAGGATCTTGGCCTATGTCATTTTCTGTGACTCCAAGATCAAGTAAATAAATAATGGGCAATAACCGACTTCATTTGGAGCCATTTAAAATGATTGCCTCCTTCAGCAGTGGCGTAGGACACCCAGCACACAGATAGGACCTGACAGGCAGGCGGTCAGGAGATGGCACTGAGCGTGAAGCTATTGGTAGGAAGGTATCTGGGAAAGAAAAAGCACTTGCCTGAAATCCCCAAAGCTTTCTCCATTAATGCCTGTTTTAAAATGCCCAGAGCATTTCTGTGAACGATTAAGGGGAGGCAGAGTTACCTAATGAGGCTGTTAAATTCATTAGTTGTGTGCTTGATCTATGTCTGCTTCAAATGTGCATTGGAACAAGGCCTAGGATGTTAAGTCTGTCAGAGGTCATAATCAATAGCAATGTGGTCACTCGGTCCTGAGCCATAGTGAAAGGTTGAAGTCTCCTCCTAAACCCTTTCTTTGAAAATGCAAATGGTTAATTACTGTCATTTGCATCTGCAGCTATGCAAGCTATGATAATGATGTGCTATAATGAAACCTATGCCTCCGGCTATAAACTGATGACCTGAGGGGCTGAGGGAAGATTCTCTCCACCTGTGCACAGGGATTTCAGATTCTAAAGCATGTTAGAAAATTTGGGGAATTGTTCATAACTTAGGGCAAGCTCCTAACGGTAGACAAGTTATGTTGGATCTTACTTTCATAACTTCCAGGATTTTACATGCCAGAGTTTGTTAATCTCCATGTTGTCAAACACTCACAGAATTTATTTGGGTCAAATACTGTTTAATCATGATTGGATCCTAATTTATAAGGCTCTATCAAAATATGTGCATCAAGGACACCTTGATTCAAGTCTATTGTTTTCTATTAGACAAAAAAAAAAAAAACACAACTCAGCTCTTTATATAAACACAATGCTATCCTTAATATTCTCTTTTTCTTTTTTTTTTTGTGTGATGGAGTCTCACTCTGTCACACAGGCTGGAGTGCAATGGCGCAATCTTGGCTCACTGCAACCTCCGCCTCCCAGGTTCGAGCGATTCTCCTGCCTCAGCCTCCTGAGTAGCTGGGATTACAGGCATGCACCACCATGCCCGGCTAATTTTTAGATTTTTAGTAGAGATGGGGTTTCACTATGTTGGCCAGGCTGGTCTCGAACTCCTGACCTTAAGTGATCCGCCCACCTCGGCCTCCCAAAGTGCTGGGATTACAGGCATGAGCCACCACGCCCGGCCAATATTCTCAATATTCTTTAAGTACAGTTGTCATAATTTTCTCAAATCTTGGGCTCTCAAGTTGCATATTTATTAATCACTTCTTAGGAATGGAGCTTTCTTTGTGCTAATGCATTCTTAAATAATCAATTGTATATTGTACAAAGCAAGCAGCTTCATAACAGGCTTAAAAATAACAGGGTGTGTTGAAAAAAAGTGAAAAAATCTATCAATCTATCAATCCAAAACAATGTTACTCATCTTGATATTTCAAAATATTAATTTTTCACTTATCATCTGGAAATGTGGGAGTTGGATAGCCTTCTCTTAGCCGTTTTGACTATTTTGTTAGGCAAATTTTAATAACTGTTTCATCAATTGCAACTTTGTTTATTGCATTAGTCACAGTAAGACTTTGGAAAGGGGCCAGGCAGGCTGAGGCCGGTGGATCGCTTGAGCCCAAGAGTTCGAGACAGCCTGGGCAAAATGGTGAAACCTCGTCCCTACCAAAAATATAAAAATTAGCCAGTCTTATAAGCCAGTCTCTAAATAAACAAATAGATTAACATTTTAGGCCAGGCATGGTGGCTCACACCTGTAATCCCAGGACTATGGGAAGCTGAGGGGGGAGGATCACTTGAAGTCAGGAGTTAGAGACCAGCCTGGCCAACATGGCAAAACCCCAACTCTACTAAAATTACAAAAATTAGCCAGGCATGGTAGCAGATGCCTATAATCCCAGCTATTCAGGAGTCTGAGGCAGGAGAATTGCTTGAACCTGGGAGGCAGAGGCAGTGAGCCGAGATCACACCACTGCACTCCAGCCTGGACAACAGAGCAAGACTCTGTCTCAAAAAAAAAAAAAAAAAGACTTTGGAAGAATTTGAAGGTGAAACAACACACTGGGATTTTTGTTACTGTTGGGAGTGGAAGAGATGGTTGCTCATTTTTATTTCATTTTAACCCTCAAAAGATTTTTTTAAGACTCCTAAATTTCATTCTTTCTTTTCTCTCATTCCATGTGTCCTTTCCTTCACCTCTATTGTTTTCTTATCATTGTGGCTCTCTTCTTATATCCTTACCATAATCATAATAAAAGCTACCATATAGTGAATGGCTAATATAACCCAGTCACTTTATGCAGAAAAGCCATTTATCTAAACTTTTTTTTTTTTTTTTTTTTTGAGATGAAGTCTCACTCTGTTGCCCAGGCTGGAGTGCAGTGGCGCGATCTCAGCTCTCTGCAACATCTGCCTCCTGCGATTCTCCCGCCTCAGCCTCCTGAGTAGCTGGGATTACAGGCACGTGCCACCATGCCCAAGCTAACTTTTGTATTTTTAGTAGAGACGGGGTTTCACCAGGTTGGCCAGGATTGTCACGAACTTCTGACCTCAGGTGATCTGCCCGCCTTGGCCTCCCAACGTGCTGGAATTACAGGCATGAGCCACGTGCCCAGCCTTATCTAAACTTTTAATACAAATGTTGACAAGCAGAAGTTAAATAACATGATCAAGACATTCAGGATTTGAACCTAGATCATTTTTACTATGAAGCCTAGACTCTCTCTACTTCTACTGTTTTTCTTTTTTGTTTTTTTAGAGACAGGATCACTCTATGTGGCCCAGGCTGGAGCACAGTGGTGCAATCATAGCTGACTACAGCCTCGAGCTCCTGGGTTCAAGGGATCCTCCTGCCTCAGCCTCCCAAGTAGCTGGGACTACAGGAGTGCCACCATGCCCGGCTATACTATTTTTCTTTTTATTGCTCTCAACTCAGACCCAATACAACTTACTTCACGTGTATGTTTTGATAAAACAGTTTGCATAAGAGTGATTAGGGGTTGGAAAACTTGGAATAATGGTGAAGAAAGGAGAAAAAATAACTCTGACCTCCCTCCCAAGCCTTTGTTGTCATACCTTTTTATGCTCTTTAGTGTTATACCCTTGAGTCATGCTTTCTCCTAACACATATGAACATTTTTGTACCCGTATTTTCAGTTTACAAAGAACTTTTGCATGTATCTTCTAACACAGTTCACCTCAGTTGATGAAAAAAAAAGAAAAAAAGTTATACAAAAAACTGTTTGTTACAAATTGAAATTTTGTAATAAATGTTTAATGAATAAGATTTTCTTCTATCCTGGTAGGATTGCCAGATTCAGCAAATAAAAATACAGGACACTACATTAAATTTTAATTTCAGACAAATAATAAATCATTTGTTTAGTATAAATATATCCACACAATGATTGGAACATATGTATACCAAAAAATTGTCATTTATCTGAAATTCAAATTTAACTAGGAATTCTATATTTTACCTGGCAAACTTTTTATTTTATTTTAAATAAAGACAGGGTCTTACTCTGTCACCCAGGCCTGGAGCACAGTGGTGCAGTAACAGCTCATTGCAACCTTGACCTCCAGGGCTCAAGTGATGCTCCTGCCTCAGCCTCCCAAGTAGCTAGGATTATAGGCACACACCACCATGCCCAGCCCTGGTAACTCTACCAGTAAAGAGGAACCAAAAATTTCTCTTCTACACAGGCTTTCTAGCAAGTAATTATTTCAGTAGAAAATACTAGCAGGGCTCCCTTTTTTAGCAAAATCTGGATAAGTAATTTAGTAAAGCAAAGATTTCCTCTATAAAACAACTGTGAGCTGAAGTGTCTTTTTGCATGTTTGTATTTAGGTGTAATATGTTTCTCGAAGTAGTCTACACCTTTAAAACTATAATTTTAAAAAAATAAAATAAAAGCATAATTTTAAAATAGAAGAAAGAATCATTCTTGTTTGAGTTTGCTTCAGATTCAACCAACATAGAAACACATTTATAAAACTATTTCGGCAGCAAAAGAAATATGAACTTCAGTTATCATAAAGATGAAAACAAAATATTAAAGCAAATGAGGAAGAAAAACTGCCTTTCACAGACATCATTTTAATCAACTAGAATGATTTAGTCCATTATATTTTGTTCTGTAAATACAACATATTAAGATCTTCCTCTGTGCTTGGCAAAAGGTATGAGATTTATATAAGGTAAGCTTAAGACTACTGAAGACAGGGGATTCAGAAATTGTGATACTGCATGTCAGGGAGATGACTAGATAGGATGAGTCTTAAGAAATCCATGACCGGACCCAGCAATCCCATTACTGGGCATATACCCAAAGGAATATAAATCATTCTACTCTAAAGACACATGCACATGTATGTTCATTGCAACACTATTGACAATAGCAAAGACATGGAATCAACCTAAATGTCCATCAGTGACAGACTGGATAAACAAAATGTACATACACACTGTGAGACACTATCTAGCCATAAAAAAAGAATGAGATCATGTCCTTTGCAGGAACATGGATGGAGCTGGAGGCCATCATCCCTAGCAAAGTAATAAAGGAACAGAAAACCAAATACCACATGTTCTCACTTATACGTGGTAGCTAATGATGAGAACACATGGACACAAAGGGGAACAACAGACACTGGGGGCTACTTGAGGGTGGGAGGAGAGAGAGGATCAGAAAAGATAACTGTTGTGTACTAGCTTTAGTACCTGGGTGATGGAATAATCTATACATCAAACCCCCGTGAGCCAAGCTTACCCATATCACAAACCTGCACAGGTACTCCTGAACCTAAAATAAAAGCTTAAAAAAACAACAAAAAAAAGAAATCCACAGATGTACAGAGTTTGAAGTACTCAACACAGAATTGAGGGATGATTTCAGTCACCCTTCAAAATGTCTCTGACATCTATCTCCATCAATTCCTTCTCCATTACTATTGTCAGAAAAACAGCTTTCTATGTGACACAGTGCTGAGTAAGCCCAGTGTTTGTCAGGGTCTCATATTCAGAGTAAAAGTTGCTCTCATTGAAACTATTACCACCAAAATCTTATAAGCAGAACTGACTTGGAGAAGGAAAAACTGAGGTCACATTCACCTCAGACCTACACTGTGTTTAGAAAAAGATATGAGGGGGGATGATCTCCCAACCCATCCTTGGGAAAGTGCAGCTGCCTCCAGGGTATAAACATGGGCCATTCACCTCCCTTTGTGACTTATAGGATGAGCATTCTCATAAATAATACATGCAGGAGGCTGTAACTGTATTATTTTGATGTTAAAGGTCATCAGTATTCTTTCCAAATTATCACAGTGGTGATTTTATTTTCCCAGAATTTGCTTGTTTAGAGAGGTTAGTCTATAATTGTTTGCATTTGTTTAGGACGTGAGGATCATGACTGACCAACATAAACAACCAAAGGGCAGGTCATTCATTCGAGATAAAACCAGACTAGGGAAACAACTCACAATATTTAGGATTAGGCTATCTTCTCCATGTAACAGTGTGAAACAGAGGAGCTCTTGTTACACCATAGCAGCTCTCAGGGATCTAAAATCTGTGGATATTTAGATTGACTTAATTATTTGAATAAGAGTAAAAAATAAAATTTCTTCTTTTCTTCTTTAATTGCCACTCTTTTTTTAATTCTTGGACGTTTTAGTCTGCCTGCTTATGACTCAGTGAGAATAGACAATTGTCAAACCAACAAAAAAGTACATAGCACTTACCATGAACTTGGCAACATGCTACATCCTATGAGGAATTAAAAGACAAATGAGGTATAGTTGTCCTCATGGAGCTTACAATGTAGCAGGGATTTAGACTGCAAAAGCAGAACTAACTATACTATAAATATAGAATGTGGTAAGTGCACAGGGAGAGAAGCAAAGTGTTATGAGGACACACAGAAAAAAAAAAAAGTTTAATTTAGGTTTTCCAGAAGACATATCTTCTAAGTCTTAAGAAGTAGGTAGGGTTTCTGTTGGTAAATTTGGGAGAAAAACAAAAATTCCAAATGTGCATTGGATCAAAAGCATAGCTGTAATTTATGGTACAGCATAGTCACAAAACTGTTGGATGTAGGGTGGCTGAAACAGGACATGATGGATAAGTTTGAGGATATAGTATAAATAATAGACTGTCTGTTGTAGTGGACTTTTAGTTTGCTTTTGTTTTCCTTTGTTGTTTTAGTTTTTTTGCGGGGGGGGTTGTTTGTTTGTTTGAGATGAAGTCTCGCTCTGTTGCCCTGGCTGGAGTGCAGTGGTGCAATCTCGGCTCACTGCAACCTCTGCCTCCTAGGTGCAAGCAATTCTCCTGCCTCAGCCTCCCAAGTAGCTGGGATGACAGTTGTGTGCCACCACGCCTGGCTAATTTTTGTATTTTTAGTAAAGAAAGGGTTTCTCCATATTGGCCAGGCTGGTCTTGAACTCCTGACCTCAAGTGATCCACCTGCCTCGGCCTCCCAAAGCGCTGGGATTACAGGCATGAGCCACCACGCCCGGCATCCTTGTTTATTTTTTGCATGGCCAGTATCCGTTTCCAGCATCCATTTTCCTTGCTCTGGCAACAGCTCCTGACTTTTCCTTTAGGGAACCTCCCCAGTAATCAGTCACTGTTCCAGTAGGGCTAAAGAGAGTGTAGAATAGGATGAAAAAAATCTAAGAGGCAGCTTCAATAAACTTGTATTAGTCCATTTTCACACTGCTGATAAAGACATACCCGAGACTGGGCAATTTACAAAAGAAAGATGTTTATTGGACTCACAGTTCCACATGGCTGGGGGTGCCTCACAATCATGATGGAAGGTGGAAAGTGAAAGGCACATCTTGCATGGCCGCAAACAAGAGAAGAGAATTTGTGCAAGAAAACTCCCTCTTATCATGAGAACAGCACAGGAAAGACCTGACCCCCATGATTCGATTACCTCTCACTGGGTCCCTCCCACAACATGTGGGAATTCAAGATGAGATTTGGGTGAGGACACAGCCTAACCATATCAACACTCAGCATTTAATAATTGTATGAAAGAAGGTGAACCCACAAAAGAAACAGGGAAGAGGTAGCAAAAGAGGTGGGAGTAAGATTAGAAGAGTTTGTATTGTGAAGAACAAAGCTAGAAATGTTTCTAGAAAGAAGGATGGTCAGTAGTGTCACAGTCACCAAGAGGCCAAATATAATGGTGACTGAAATATATCCATTAAGTTTATTGACAGGAAGGTCATTGATAACCTGAGAGAGAAACAAAGAGAGAGGTGTTTCTGAAGAGTTCTAAGGCTGAAAGCTGGAATGAAGTGGGTTGACATATAAGTAGCAGGTGGGAAAATGGAGGCTGCCAGGATGGACAGTTCTTTCAACTTTTTTATTTTAACTTAGATTTTATCTTCAGGGCACATATGCAGGTTTGTGATGTAGGTAAACTCATGTCATGGGGGTTAGATGTACAGATTATTTCATCACCCAGGTACTAAGCCTAGTACCCAATAGCTATTTTTTCTGCTCCTCGCCCTCCTCCTACCCTTCACCCTCAATTAGGCCTCAGTGTCTTCTTTCCCTTCTTTGTGTCCATGTGTTCTCATCATTTAGCTCCCACTTATAAGCAAGAATATGCAGTATTTGGTTTTCTGTTCCTGTGTTACTTAGTTGCAGAGGACATGATCTCATTCTTTTTAATGGCTGCATAGTATTCCATGGTGTGTATGTCCCACATATTCTTTATTGAGTCTTCCATTGGTGGACAATTAGATGGAGTCTATGTCTTTGCTATTGTAAATAGTGCTGTATTGAACATACACGTGCATATGTCTTTATGATAGAACAATTTATATCCCTTTGGGTATATACTCAGTAATAGGATTGCTGGATCAAATGGCAGTACTGTTTTTTAGCTCTTTAAGGAATTACCACACTGCTTTCCACCATGGTTGAACTAATTTGCACTCCCCCCAATAAGCATTCCCTTTTCTCTGCAAACTTACCAGCATCTGTTGTTTTTTAACTTTTTAATAGCAGCCATTCTGTCGATGTGAGATGATACATCATTGTGGTTTTGATTTGCATTTCTGTAATGATTAGTGATATTGATCTTTTTTTCCATATGCTTGTTGGCTGCATATATGTCTTCTTTTGAAAATTGTTCATGTCCTTTGCCCACTTTTTAATGGGATTGTTTGTTTTTTTCTTGTAAATCTGTTTAAGTTCTTTATAGATGCTGGATATTAGACCTTCTTCAGATGCATAGTTTGCAAATATTTTCTCCCATTTTGCAGGTCGTCTGTTTACTCTGTTGACAGCTTATTTTGCTATGCAGAAACTCCTTAGTTTACTTAGATCCATTTGTCAGTTTTTGCTTCTGTCATATTGCATTTGGTGTCTTCATCATGAAATATTTGCCAGTTCCTATGTCCAGAATGATATTGCCTATGTTGTCTTCTAGAGTTTTTATAGTTTGGGGGTAAGTCTTAAAGACATGTAAGTCTTTAATCCATCTTGAGTTGCTTTTTTTATATGGTGTAAGGAGGCGGTCCAGTTTCAATCTTCTGCATGTGGCTAGCCAGTTTTCCCAGCAGCATTTATTGAATAGGGAGTCCTTTCCCCGTTGTTTGTTTTTGCCAATTTTGTCAAAGATCAGATAATTGTAGGTGTGCAGCCTTATTTCTGGGCTCTCTATTCTGTTCCATTGGTCTATGTGTCTGTTTTTGTACCAGTACCATGTTGTTTTGGTTACTATAGCCCTGTAGTATAGTTTGAAGTCACGTAGTGTGACTTCAACACCCCACTGACAGTATTAGACAGATCATCAAGGCAGAAAATTAACAAAGATATTCAGGACACACTGGACCAGATGGATAAGTTAGAAATCTACAGAACTCTACACCCAAAAACAACAGAATATATATTCTTCTTATCTGCACATGGCACATACTCTAAAATCAACCAGGTAATCAGACATAAAACAATCCTCAGCAAATGCAAAAGAACAGAAATCACAAGAACCACTCTCTTGAACTACAGTGCAATAAAAATAGAATGTAAGACTAAGAAAATCACCCCAAATCATACAATCACATGCAAATTAAACAATTTGCTCCTGAATGACTTTTGAATAAATAATGAAATTAAGGAAGAAATCAAGAAATTCTTTGAAATTAATGAGAACAAAGATAAAACATACCAGAAACTCTGGGACACGGCTAGGGCAGTGTTAAGAGGGAAATTTATAACTGTAAATGCCCACATAAAAAAGTTAGAAAGGCCGGGCGCGGTGGCTCACACCTGTAATCCCAGCACTTTGGGAGGCTGAGGGGGGCGGATCACGAGGTCAGCAGATCGAGGCCATCCTGGCTAACACGGTGAAACCCCGTCTCTACTAAAACTACAAAAAATTAGCCGGGCATGGTGGCCGGCGCCTGTAGTCCCAGCTACTCGGGAGGCTGAGGCAGGAGAGTGGCGTGAACCGGGTAGGCGGAGTTTGCAGTGAGCTGAGATGGCGCCACTGCACTCCAGCCTGGGCGACAGAGCAAGACTCCGTCTCCAAAAAAAAAAAAAAGTTAGAAAGACCTCAAATTAATAACCTAACCTAACATCACAACTAAAAGAACTAGAGAAACAACAGCAAACCAACCCCAAAGCCAGCAGAAGACAAGAAATAACCAAATCAGAGCTGAACTGAAGGACACTGAGACACAAAAACCATTTAAAAGATCAAAGAATCAGGGGCTGGTTTAAAAAAAAAATTAATAAGATAGAAAGACCACTAGCTATACTAACAAAGAAGAAAAGAGAGAAGATCCAAATAAACACAATCAGAAGTGACAAAGGGGATATTACCACTGACCCCACAGAAATATAAACAAGCATCAGAGATTACTGTGAACACCCCTATGCACAAAGACTAGAAAATCTAGAAGAAATGGATAAACTCCTGGATATATACACCTTCCCAAAACTGAACCAGGAAAAAATTGAATCCCTGAACAGACTAATAATGAGATCCAAAATTGAATCAGTGATAAATAGCACCTACCAACGAAAAAGAGCCCAGGACCAGATGAATTCACAGCCAAATTCTACCAGATGTACAAAGGAGAGCTGGTGCCATTCCTACTGAAACCATTCTAAAAAATTGAGGAGAAGGGACTCCTCCCCAGCTCATTCTATGAGGCCAGCAATATCCTGACACCAACACCTGGAAGAAACACTACAAAAATGCTGGGCGTGGTGGCTCACACCTGTAATTCCAGCACTTTGGAAGACCGAGGAGGGAGGATCACTTGAGGTCAAAAGTTCAAGACCAACCTAGCCAACATGGTGAAACCCTGTCTCTACTAAAAAATACAAAAATTAGGCCAGGCATGGTGGCTCACGCCCATAATCCTAACACTTTGGGAGGCCGAGGCAGGTGGACCGCCTGAGCTCAGGAGTTCAAGACCAGCCTGGGCAATATGGTGAAACCTTGTGTCTACTAAAATACAAAAAAAAAAAAAATTAGCCGATTGTGGCAGCATGAATCTGCAGTCCCAGATACTCAGGAGGCTGAGGCAGGAGAATCACTTGAACCCAGGAGGCAGAGATTGCAGTGAGCTGAGACTGTGCCACTGCACTCCAGCCTGGTGACAGAGTGAGACTCCGTTTCAAAAAAAAAAAAAATATATATATATATATATATATATATATACACACACACACACAAAAATTAGCCAGGTGTGGTAGCATGCTCCTATAATCCCAGCTACTCAGGAGGCTGAGGCAGGAGAACTGCTTGAACCCAGTAGGCGAAGGTTGCAGTGAGCTGAGATCACACCACTGTACTCCAGCCTGGGAGATAGAGCAAGACTCTGTCTCAAAAAAAAAAAAAGAAACACAACAGAAAAAGAAAACTTCAGGCTAATATCCTTGATGAACATTGATGCAAAAATCCTCAACAAAATGCTAGCAAACAAAATCCAGCAGTAAATCAAAAGCTAATCCACCATGATCAAGTAGGCTTTATCCCTGGGATGCAAGGTTGGTTCAACATATGCAAATCAATAAACATAGTTGCTCACATGAAGAACTAAAGACAAAAACCACATGTTTATCTCAACAGATGTGAAAAGGTTTTTGATAAAATTCAACATCCCTTCATGTTAAAAACTCTCAACAAACTAGCTACTGAAGGAACACACCTCAAAATAATAACAGCCATATGTGACAAACCCACAGCCAACATCATACTGAATGGGCAAAAGCCAGAAGCATTCCCCTTGAAAACTAGCACAAGATAAGGATGCCCTCTCTCACTACTCCTCTTTAGCATAGTATTGTTGCTATGGAAGTTGTGGCCAGAATAATCATGCAAGAGAGAGAAATAGAGGGTATCCAAATAGGAAGAGAGGAAGTCAAACTATTCCTGGTTGTAGGTGACATGATTTTATATCTAGAAAACCCCATAGTCTCTGCCCAAAAGCCCTTTTAGCTGATAAACAACTATAGCAAAGTTTCAGGATACAAAATCAATGTGCTGGCTGGGTGTGGTGGCTCAGACCTGCAATCCCAGCACTTTTGGAGGCCAAGACGGACAGATCACTTGAAGCCAGGAGTTCGAGAGCAGCCTGGCCAACATGGCAATACCTCATCTCTACTAAAAATACAAAAAGTTAGCTGGGCACGGTGGTGCACACCTGTAGTCCCAGCTACTCCGGAGGCTGAGGCACAAGAATCACTTGAACCTGGGAGGCAGAGGTTCCAGTGAGCAATGATGGCACCACTGTATTCCAGCCTGGGCAACAGAGCAAGACCCTGTCTCAAAAAAAAAAAAAAAAAAGAGAGAAAAAGGAAAAGAAATCAATGTGCAAAAAACACTAGCATTCATATACACCAACAACAGCCAAGCCGAGAGCCAAATCAGAAAGGAAATCCCATTCACAATTGCCAGCAAAAGAATAAAATGCCTAGGAATACAGCTAACCAGGGAAATGAAAGAGCTCTACAATGAGAACTACAAAACACTGCTCAAAGAAATCAGAGGTGACACAAACAAACGAAAAAACATTCCATGCTCACAGATAGGAAGACTCCATATTGTTAAAATGGCCATACTGCCCAAAGCAATTTATACATTCAATGCTATTCCTATCAAACGACCAATGATATTTTTTACAGAAGTAGAAAAAGTATTTTAAAATATATACGGAACCAACTTTAGGAGGCCAAGGCAGGTGGATCACTTGAGGTCAAGAGTTTGAGACCAGCCTGGCCAATGTGGCAAAACCCTGTCTCTACTTAAAATACAAAAATTAGCCAGGCATGGTGATGCTTGCCTGCAGTCCCAACTACTCAGGAGGCTGATACAGGAGAATCCCTTGAATCAGGGAGGCGGAGATTGCAGTGCACTGAGATCTTGCCACTGCACTCCAGCCTGGAGAACAGAGCAAGACTCAGTCTCAAAAAATTAAAGAAAAAAAAAATCATATGAAACCAAAAAAGAGCCCGTATACCCAAGGCAATCCTATGCAAAAAAGAACAAGCAGTAGGCATCACACTACCTTTCAATTCTTTAGAGTAATTTAGTTGTGAAAGAAAGATGACCAACAGTCAGGGGCTCACAGGGAAATGAAGGATCTAATGAGAGTTTGTTTGCTTTTAATTGGATATACTTAAGCATGATTACAAATTGATGAGAAGAATATAACTGAGCCAGGCGCAAGCGGCTCATGCCTAGTATCCCAGCACTTTGGGGGGCCAACACAGGAGGATCACTTGAGCCCAGGAATTCAAGACTAGCCTGGACAACAAAGTGAGACCCAGTCTCTACAAAATAAAAACACAAAGCCAGGCATGGTGGCAGACACCTGTAGTCTCAGCTACTCAGGAGGCTGAGATGGGAGAATTGCCTGAGCCCAGGAGGTTGAGGCTACAGTGAACCAAGGTTGCACCACTGCACTTCAGCCTTAGCAATAGAGCAAGACCCTGTCGCTAAAAACAATAAGAAATAAATAAAATTTAAATTTAAAAAAATGTAATAGAGAGAAAGGATGAATATGCTTGAGAAAATAGAAATAATCAACAGTGTGAGGTTCCTGGAAGAGGGGAAGCAAGGTGATCCAGAGCACAGGTTGGCAAGGCCTTCAACATGAGGGGGACAACCAACAGGTGCCGATAAAGAGAGTATAGGATATCTGGTATCAAGAAAAAGTGGCTATTCTCAGACAATAGCTTCTATTTGTTCTATACAGTAGGAGGTATAAGGCTGATGTGGGATTAAGCACCAAGGTGGACAAGAAGCAAAAGGGGGAAATAAAGTTGAAGGAAGAAGATAAAGTGCCACAAATACCTCCACGGGTTAATTTCTTACATACAGTATTTATTCACACATTGACTTTTTCAGTATTTTTTCACACATAGCTTTTTTATAGTATTTATTTTTTACAGTATTTATTCACACATAGCTTTGGCATACCCGTCAAAGCTATAATGGAAGAAACACACACATTTGGGGACACTTAAAAGTAGTTTGTTTTTTACTCTTGGAAATATGTTAAGTAAATTGCAAGTAAAATAATATTCTTTGTTTTTTTGTTTTTTTGGTTTTTTTGAGACAGAGTTTCGCTCTTGTCACCCAGGCTGGAGTGCAATGGCACGATCTTGGCTCACTGCAACATCTGCCTCCCAGGTTCAAGCGATTCTCCTGCCTCAGCCTCCGGAGGCGTGTGCCACCATGCCCAGCTAATTTTTGTATTATTAGTAGAGACAGTGTTTTACCATGTGGGCCAGGCAGGTCTCAAACTCCTGACCTGAGGTGATCCACCCAGTTTGGCCTCCTAAAGTGCTGGGATTACAGGCGTGAGCCACTACACCCGGCCTAAAATAATATTCTTAACCCTCCGGCTTCAGACAATTTTCACAGGTGTGGGTAAATGTAAGTTTTAAATGACATAACTGAAAATGAGTTTCAAAACCAAAAATGAGTTTTGAAACCAACAACTAAAGTCTGTATTGTCTATTGGTTAATATCCTCATCACCTGACAAGTATTCATCTTTATAAGTTATATAAACTGCAGGTACTGGCAACCACTCCAAACATTCAAATTTAATCAGTATAAGGTTAAATGGATTGTTAAAATAAATAAATAAATAATGGCTTTCTCTTTGGGGCTTCACTATAAAAGCCTTATTCCATCACAAATTTTTTAAAGGTATCATAAACAACAATACTCTAACATAAATCAGAGTGTATACCTTTCAAAGCAATATCACTGATGTCTATTATATTCCTATGATTGATTATCTGCTTACCCTAAACTCATCTAAATGCCAATCCAGGGTGTACACTGAAAGCATGTTTGGTTTTAAAAATAGGGGGAAAATATTTGTAAGCAAATGCATTAGTGGTTTAGAATTTTTACTTACTCATCTTAAAGATGTTCAAGATCTGAAATAAAAGTAATTGTTAGGTAGTAAGTAACACAGAAGCCAAATTAACATGGCAAGATGTCTGTATCATTCTTGAAAAAGGTTCCTGGCATAAAATTCTGAAGGCAGCTTTGTTAAAGTAACATTCAGTAAAGGCCAAAAAATGGTCTATTGAAAGTTCCAAGCTCATATTTATCTTTCTGTATATCAATTTTTCACCAAATTAGTCATTTCATCATTATTTTTTAAAAAGCTGTCAGTGATTATGTGGTATTTCTAAATGTCTGACTTTTGCTATTTTCTATTAAGATTCCTTAGTTTATCTTCTTACACCTGATGTCTTTTCATATGCAATTACCTTTGACAAACACCTCATTTGTCAAAACCCAGTTAGAAAATGCCACCTCTTCTGTGAAGCCTTCTCTTACTCTAATTAGACAAGCGGACTTTGGCTAGGCATGGTGGCTCATGCCTGTAACCCCAGCACTTTCGGAGACTGAGGTGGGAGGATCTCTTGAGCCCAGAAGTTCGAGATCAGCCGGGGCAACATAGCAAAACCCTGTCTCTACTTTAAAATTTAAATTTAAACAACAAAAAAAAGGCCAGGCACGGTGGCTCATGCCTGTAATCCCAGTACTTTGGGAGGCCGAGGCAGGTGGATCACAAGGTCAGGAGATCGAGGCCATCCTGGCTAACATGGTGAAACCCCGTCTCTACTAAAAATATAAAAAAAAATTAGCCGGGCGTGGTGGAGTGCTCCTGTGGTCCCAGCTACTCAGGAGGCTGAGGCGGGAGAATGGCGTGAACTCGGGAGGCAGAGCTTGCAGTGAGCAGAGATCGCGCCACTGCACTCCAGCCTGGACGACAAAGCCAGACTCCGCCTGACAAAAAAAACAAACAAGCCAACAAACAAAAAAAAACAAGGGGACTTTGAAAAGTTCATTGGAAAATGGAATGAAAAAATAAAAAATGTAAACGTTATTTCTCAACATAAGCTCCATCAAGGTCGCAACACATTTGTAAGTGATGATACCAGCCATTTATTTAGTCCATCCCTAAAGAACTAAGGATCTTGGAAATGTAACCTTATCAATGCAGTCTTTTTTACATTATTAGCTGAAGAAAAATGGTGCCCTTTATAGATTTTTTTTTTTTAGGAAACAAAAAGAAGCCAGAAAGAGCCAAATTATAACTGTAAAGTGGATGCCTAATGATTTCTCATCAAAAGTCTTCTCAAATTGCCTTTGCTTGATGAGAGGAATGAGCAGGAGCATTGCCATTGTGGAGAAAGACTCCCTAGTGAAGCTTTCCTCGGTGTTTTTCTACTAAAGCTTTGGCTAACTTTCTCAAAACGCTTTCATGATAAGCAGATGTTATTCTTCTTTGGCTCTCCAGAAAGTCAACCAGCAAAATGCCTTGAGCATTCAAAAAAAACTGTCGCCATGACCTTCGCTCTTGACAAGTCCACTTGGGCTGTGACTGGACCATTTCCACCTCTTGGTAGCCACTGCTTTGATGGTGCTTTGTCTTCAGGATTGCACTGGTAAAGCCATGTTTCATCTCCTGTTACTATACCTCAAAGAAATGCTTCAGGCTCTTGATCTCACTTGTTTAAAATTTCCACGGAAACCTCTGCTCTTGTCTGAAGCTGATCTGGGCATAATGGTTTTGGTACCCATGGAGTGGAAAATTTGCAGAACTTTAATGTTTTAGTCAGAATTGTGTAAGCTGAATCAGTTGAGATGTCTTTGGTATTGGCTATTGTTTCTGCTGTTAATCATTGGTTCCCTTCAATTAGGTACAAACAAGATTAATTTTTCCCACTTAATTAAATTAAGTTCAATTAAAATTAAACCCACCCTTCTCCTCAATGCCATTATATAGGTATTTACCTATCTCTGCCTCTGGAACTTTTTGTATCCCTTGCACTAAGCATAGTTCATGAAATTGTAATGTCAATAAATATAGGATTTTTAAAGTCACTAGAATGTAGGCAGGCACTAAAATAACATGACATCTCAAGCAGCTCCTTAATGCCCCTTTCTCCATCCATGTTACCCACCCATGTTCTCCTCAGACAATACCCAAAATACAAGTCTTTTGGGTTACTCACCCTGTTTTAGACTCATCCTCAAGCAATGCTATGCTTACAAACTTGCACTCTCACAGTCCCACCCATGTTTCTCTCTCTCCTCTCTCTCTCTCCAGAATTTATAACTCTACGTCAGGAGGGGAGGGGAAGTCGGTATTCTTTTAGCTGGTTTACTGATTAAGCTCTGTCCCAATTTAATCTTCTGGTTTTTCTGCTGTTTCCTGACTTCTCCTTCTAAGAATTATTTGGCTCTTCTGCCGAACCCTTCAAGGCTGATTTCCCAGAGTTCCCTCATGGGCTCTTTTATAATTTTAAAATTAATATTTATTATTATCTATTTTAAGAGCACAGAAAAGTATAAAGTGTAATATGAAAAACACCAAAAAGGCTTTTTATCATATTACACTTTATACTTTTCTGTGCTCTTAAAATAGGTAATAATAAACATTAATTTACTGCTATAAAGACACATACACACGTATGTTTATTGCGGCACTACTCACAATAGCAAAGACTTGGAACCAACCCAAATGTCCATCAATGATAGACTGGGTTAAGAAAATGTGGCACATATACACCATGGAATACTATGCAGCCATAAAAAATGATGAGTTCATGTCCTTTGTAGAGACATGGATGAAGCCGGAAACCATCATTCTCAGCAAACTATCGCAAGGACAAAAAACCAAACACTGCATGTTCTCATTCGTAAGTGGGAATTGAACAATGAGAACACTTGGGCACAGGAAGGGGAACATCACACACCAGGGCCTATTGTGGGGTGGGGGGAGGAGGGAGGGATAGTATTAGGAGATACACCTAATGTAAATGACAAGTTAATGGGTGCAGCACACCAACATGGCACATGTATACATATGTAACAAACCTGGACGTTGTGCACATGTACCCTAGAACTTAAAGTATAATAAAAAATATATATATATAAAAATACCAAAAAGGCATCACACAGATTTTTGTCAGATTATTTTAAATAAATGAATGACAAATGTAATATTATTTCCTTGAATGTTCCTCAGCAATATCATTCCCATCCCTCCCTTTCCAGCAATACCCACCATCTTGATTTTGTTATTCATCATTCTCATGACTATTTTTACAACGCATGCAATTTTTTAAACTATTTATATATATATATATAAAACAATTTTTTAGGTTTTTAAAACTTTATGGTATAAGCAGTACATACCTTTCTATAATTTGTTCTTCTGGGTTAAATTTGCAATTTTTTAGAGATCTAAAACAATTTCTTGGCCTGGCACAGTGGCTCATGCCTGTAATCTCAGCACTTTGGGAGGCCAAGGGAGGCAGATCACTTGAGGTCAGGAGTTCGAGAACAGGCTGGGCAACATAGCAAGACCTCATCTCTACAAATAATGTTTTTATTATTTATTATTATTATTATTTTTAGATGGAGTCTCGCTCTTGTCACCCAAGCTGGAGTCCAATGGCACAATCTCGGCTCCTGCCACCCAGGTTCAAGCAATTGTCCTACCTCAGCCTCCTGAATAGCTGAGATTACAGGCACCCGCCACCACACCCAGCTAATTTTTGTATTTTTAGTAGAGATGGAATTTCACCACATTGGCCAGCTGGTCTCGAACTCCTGATCTCAGGTGATCCACCTGCCTTGGCCTCCCAAAGTTCTGGGATTACAGGCATGAGCCACCATGCCTGGCCTTACAAATAATTTTTAAAAATTAGTTGGGTGTGGTGGCACACACCTGTGGTCCCAGCTACTTGAGAGGCTGAGGTATGGATCGCCTGAGCCCAGGAAGTCAAGGCTGCAGTGAGCTGAGACTGTGCCACTGCACTCCAGCCTGGATACGAGTGAGACCCTGTCTCAAAAAAAAAAGAAGAAGAAGAAAAGAAAGTCTAAAACAATTTCTTTGTCTTTTCTCCTATTGATAAACATTTAGGCTGTCCCCAACTTTTTACAACTGCAAATAAGGCTGCAGTGATCATTCTTTGGCATCTCTACTTGTGCACCTGAATAAAACTTTCTCTTCAAACTGTTTGGACTCAGGATACCTTAACACTCTTAGAGACCCAAAAGAACTTTTGTTTATGAGGATTATAACTGTAAATATTTATCATATTAGAAATTAAAACAGAAATTTTTATAAAACAAGAATTTACAGCACACAACGCATTAACTGTCCCAGAAATGATGTCATCATCCATCTGATAATCTCTGGAAAACTTTACTTATGAAGGAATAAGAGTGTGAAAAGAACTGCATAGTATCATTATGGAAAGTTTTGACCTTACTGACTACAAAAAGAGTCTCAAGGGTCACCAACAGTTCTAGATTACATTTTTAGAGCTGCTTCTCCAAGGTATATGATCTGATCTGAATGTGTACCCCAAAATTTGTATGTTGAAGGTTAATCGCCAGTGTGATAGTATTCAGAGGTGTGATAGTATTGAGAGGTGGGGCACTTTGGAGGTAATTAGGTCACGAAGGTGGATCCTCATGGATGGGATTAGTGCCCTTACAAAAGGACTCAAGACAGTGGGTTCACCCCCCTGCTTTCACTTTCACTTCTTCTGCCACGTGACGACACAGCAACAAGACGCCTTCTTGGAAGCAGAGAGATGGGACCGTCAGCAGGCACCAAACCTGCTGGCACCTTGATCTTAGGCTTCCTGGCCTCCAAAACTGTAAGAAACAAATTTCTATTGCTTATAAATTACCCAGGTCTATGATATTTTGTTACAGCAGCACAAACGGACTAAGTTTATAACAGGTTATGGATCTCTGAGTTAACATGAACTGCGAAATTGCTCTTTAAGGTGTTTGCCCCAACATCTGGCAGTTCTGGTTTGTATTTTTGCCTAACTGGCGGATATAAATGACATGTTATTTTAACTTGCATTTCTCTGATTTTCAAGTAGGTTCTATGTGCACGTATGTGTGTGTGTGTGTAAAATGTGTGTGTGTGTGTGTGTGTGTGTGTGTATCCCTCAATGTATATCCCTCAGTGCAAGGGATACAAAAAGTCCCAGAGGCAGAGATAGCTAATAACTATACAATGGCATATATATATATAAAAACATATATATCCTTACCACCACTGTTACCACAAGCAAAAGCAGGTTACATTTACTTTTTAATATTCATATTTGACCTAACAAAATATAACATTAATCAATAGTTTTATTCTTTTCCTGAATAACATAAATATCTAAAAAATAATTACCATCCCTTCTGGTTTACAAGTGGTGTTTTTCTATAAATTTTTTTTTTTTTTTTTTTTTTTTTGACAGAGTCTCACTCTGTTGCCCAGGCTGGAGTGCAGTGGCGCAATCTCAGCTGACTGCAAGCTCTGCCTCCCGGGTTCAAGCCATTCTCCCATGTCAGCCTCCTGAGTAGCTGAGATTACCAGCATGCACCACCAAGCCTGGCTAATTTTTTTGTATTTTCAGTAGAGACGGGGTTTCACCATGTTGGCCAGGCTGGTTTCAAACTCCTGACCTCAGGTGATCCACCCGCCTTGGCCTCCCAAAGTGCTGGGATTACAGGCGTAAGCCACCATGCCAGGCCTCTTTCCAGAATTTTAGTACTGATTTATTTTTATATTTTCCATATTAGTCACTGTTTCGTGTGTGTGTGTATGTGTGTGTTTATGTGTATCCTCTAAACTGTTTCTGTCAGTTTCTTAAAAGTATCTTCCAGGCCAGGCACAGTGGCTCATGCCTGTAATCTTGACACTTTGGGAGGCGGAAGCTTTTTTTTAAGTATTTCCAGTTCACTTCTTTTCTCTTCCGCCGTGGCTAATCTGTTGTTTAACTCATTCACCGGATTTTTCTATTCCATTGATTATATTTTTCATTTCTAGAAGTTACTTTTTTGTTTTAATTTATGTGTTCTTTTCTCACGGCATCTTTTTTATATATTTTAAATAATTTATTAATTTAATTACTTAAAAAATATTATTTATGGTTTGTACCTGATTATCTTATTGTTTAAAGTTCTGGGACTATAAGCCTTCTTGTTTATGTCCAGTGAATGTTCATTTTGGTTGATTTTTTGGAAGAGAGATTCCCATGTAGCCTAGGTTGGCATGGGACCTCCCAGAAACATTGTACATTTGCTTATATTAGGTTTCCCAGAGGTATTTCCAACCCAGAATCAACTTTTACATTAATATTTTGGTTGTATAATTCCCAGACTAAATATGTAGTATAAATGTGAACACCCAAAGAATTGCATGAATGATCATAGTAATTTTATTTATAATAGCCAAAAACTAGAAATAACCCAAATGTCCATCAACTGGAGAATAAACAAATGATGGTATAACCATATAACGAAGGATACCCATTCAGCAATAAAAAGTAACACACTACTGATACATACACCAACATGGTGAATATCCAAAGCATTATCATAAGTTAAAGAAGCTAGTCCTCAAAAGCTATATACTGGGCCAGGCAGGGTGGCTCATTCCTGCAAGCCCAGCACTTTGGGAGACCGCGGTGGGCAGATCACCCGAAGTCAGGAGTTCGAGACCAGCCTGGCCAACATGGCGAAACCCCATCTCTACTAAAAATACAAAAATTAGCCGGGCATGGTGGCAGGCACCTGTAATCCCAGCTGCTACTCAAGAGGCTGAGGAACAAGAATCACTTGAACCCAGGAGGCGGAGGTTGCAGTGAGCTGAGATTGCACCACTGCTCTCCAGCCTGCAAGATAGAGCGAGACTCCATCTCAAAAAAACAAAAAACTTTATACAGTATGACTCCATTACTCCATTTATATCACATTCTAGAAAAGGCAAATCTGTAGGGCACAGTAACCAGATCAGTGGTTGCCAGTGGCTGAGAGTAGGACAAAGGGATTCACTATAAATAAACATGAGGGAACTTTTTTTTCTTTTAAATATTTTTAAAATACAGTAAATAGAGACGGAGATGGGGTCTTGCTATGTTGCCCAGGCTGATCTCCAACTCCTGGGCTCAAGCAATCCTCCCAACTCAGCCCCCCAAAATGCTAGGATTACATGTGTGAGCACCGTGCCCCACCAAGGGAACTTTTTGAGGTGATATAAATGTTCTACATGTTGTTTATCGTGACGATTATACAAATACATACATTTGTCAAAATATGTCAAACTGTTCACTTTAAAAAAGTGAATTTATAGTATGCAAATTATACTTCAATAAATATGTTTAAAAACTTTGAACCCCAAACCCACACTAATATAAGTTTTGATTTTAAAATTTCCAAATGGGATTTTATTTTTCTATCTCAAAGCCAAAATAAAACAGATAGTTTACTTGTCTTCTTTCTGTGCCAAAAAAAAAAAAAGGCATTTTTTCCCCTAATCCACCATTTGAAATACCTGTACCTTAAAGGATCCCAGCTGGGTTTGAATTTTACAGTTCTAACTCAACAAGGCTGAAGACTGTATCTCCTGACCCTATATGTGCATTACAATGCAATCCTCTAGGTTCTTGAGAACTCTACTTCACATAAGCCAGCAAACACCACCTTAGCTCACTCATTTACTGCTAAGGTTTTCCATTCCCTCTTCATTTCTGGTCCCTGAAAATACCCTTTATCTTCTGAGTGCAGCTCTGCTTTAATATGATCTGCTGCATTATTTTTAACACTTTTTTATTGATTTATTTTTTTTTTTAGACAGATTCTTGCCCTGTCGCCAGGCTGGAGTGCAGTGGTGCGATCTCTGCTGACTGCAACCTCTGCCTCCCTGGTTCAGGCGATTCTCCTGCCTCAGCTTCCCCAGTAGCTGGGATTACAGTTGTATGCCACCACACCCAGTTAATTTTTGTATTTTTAGTAGAGACGGGGTTTCACCATGTTGGCCAGGATGGTCTCTATCTCCTGACCTCATGATCCGCCCACCTCGGCCTCCAGAAGTGCTGGAATTACAGGTGTGAGCCACCGCACCCGTATTATTTTTAATACTTTTATGTGTGTGTACAGGGTGGGTTTTCAAGTTTTCTTATCTGCCACATCGTCAGAACCAGAACTGCCCTCATTTTGTCTTATTCTATAAACTGTTGGTAGGTGACATTTATTCCCATGACTTCCTCTGCTATCTGAAGGCTGATGAACTCCCAAAACCATATCTCTAGCATGCACATCTCATTTCAGTTCCAGAAATATACTTCTAATTGACAATGGACATGCTGCCTGGGTATCTCAGACAATTTCAAATTTTATATGTTCCAATTTAAACTCTCACAAAACTGGATTTTTTTTTTCCAGAAAATAGCATCATCATCCCATCAGTTTCCCATGCCATAAATTGGGGAATTTTCTTTAACTTTGCAACTCCCTTATCCCTTTCAATGCTATTGATTGTATTCCTTTACATCCCTCAAGTAAGTCCCCTCCTCTCTATTCCCGCTGCCTTAATTCATACTTCCATTGTCTCTCCAGTGCTGTTCTCTACAGTTAACAACACACCTTCTTACTTTTACCAGAAAAGGACAAATCTGAATATTACTCTTCTCTTTAAAATTCAAAATAATTCTTCCACTGCATATATGATGATGTCCATACTCCCTAATTTGATGTCACATCCTTTCAAGATCTAGTTTCCTTCTTTTTCTTTTCCTTTTTTTTTTTGTCTTTTTTTTTTGGAGGCAGAGTCTCACTCTGTTGCCCAGGCTGGAATGCAGTGGCACGATCTCGGTTCACTGCAACCTCTGCCTCCCAGGTTCAAGCAATTTTCCTGCCTCAGCCTTCCAAGTAGCTGGGATTACAGGCACCCGCCATGATGCCTTGCTATTTTTGTTTGTTTGTATATTTTGTAGAAATGGGGTTTCACCACATTGGCCATGCTCGAACTCCTGACCTCAAGTGATCCACCTGCCTCCGCCTCCCAAAGTGCTGGGATTACAGGCATGAAGCACCATGCCTAGCCATTTCTTCCTTTTTCAGTTTCAACTCCTATTAGCTCCCTCTCAAGCTCTAGCCTTATTGAGCATCTTACTTCCCTAAATGCAACGTGATCTCTCTTTGACATCACCAAATCTTTGAACAAGGATCTGCCTAGAATACTACCCATGCTATGCACCCCATGGCCTAGAGATTTCCTGGCATCCTTCAAATGTCAGTTTAAAAGGCAGTTTTCTCTGACGTCTTTCCTAACCTTCCAAAACCCTGTCCCAGGCAGCATGAGTGCCCCTCTCAACTTCCAGGGGACATATGCCAAATGCCACTTATCATTTTTAAAACATGCCACTTGTTTTTAAAAACTATTTAGAGCTCTGGGCCAGGCGCAGTGGCTCACACCTGTAATCCCAGCACTTTGGGAAGCTAAAGCAGGTGGATCACCTGAGGTCAGGAGTTCAAGACCAGCCTGGCCAACATGGTGAAACCCCATGTCTACTAAAAATACAAAAAAAAAACTAGCCGGGCATTGTTGTGGGCGCCTGTAATCCCAGCTACTCAGGAATGTGAGATAGGAGAATCACTTGAACCCGGAAGGCAGACGTTGCAGTGAGCCGAGATCGCGCCATTGCACTCTAGCCTGGGCAACAAGAGTGAAACTCGGTCTCAAAAAAAAAAAAATCAAACAAACTATTTAGAGCTCTGTCTCCTCAACTAGACTGTGAACTCCTTGAGGGAAGGGGATCTATGTATTATTTGTCTTTACACTCCTAATGCCTTGCAAACTCCCTGGCTCATGGTAAATATTCTGCTGATTCATTCAATAAAACTTGTCATACTCACAATTTAAGAAAGACTGCATGATCTCTTGGGTCTCCTCCAAATCTAAGACCTATAAGCTTGTATCTTTAGTCAAGGGTCAAAATAATCTCACTTAGAACTATACGGTTAAAATATGCTTATTCTTTTTCTATTTATAAGCCTTATATTATAGGTACTTTGTAATGTAAATGTCACTCTATGACGTCCCATGCCTGTGCCATTTCCAGCTTCAGTCTATTTTTTAGAAAGCATAGGGATAAGTGTACATTATCCTCTCTTAGAGCAAATGGCACTTCAGCTCGACCAAGTTTAATGTTCATATAAAAATCAGAAATGCCACAAATTGAGGCATATAGAAACATCTCTCATCTCTCCTTCAGGCTCTGTCTGCCATCTGCATCCTACATCCCCACTGCCAACCTGCATCTGACCACTTTCAATCTAGAAACCTCATTCTCTGTGGAATACTTGAATCAGAACTAATTACAGCAATAACTAAAATGGTCCTATGAATGCGTGCACTGCACAACAAGAATACTTTTACTGGATTACTTAGCCGTGGCATGCTAGTTCTGTTAATGCGCTCTGCCTGGCTTCACTGCAGACATACTTCAGAAAATGTAAGCCTGCAGTTAAAGTAATAGAGGGCCAAAGAAACCTGGAGAAATAAAGAAATAATCAAATTCATCTCCTTGGGAATATGTTTTAAAAACAATCCACTAATGGGAATAAGGGATTTAAGAGGTTCATTTCAGAACAGATGGTAAAACAGAGGCTGGGTCAGTTTTGTAGTTGTTTTTCACTAGTTGGTTTTCTGCTGCATCAGTTTTACTTCAGGTTAGAAAAGGAACTTGAAACAAAACTCAGGGCTTATGATGCTCAAGCTCCCTTAACTGGCACCTCAAGGAAAAGGAATGGACCAAACCATTCCCCCGTTTTCCCTCACTTAGCTATGAACTCATGGCTCTTGCTCTCTGAGTAGAAAATAAAATAGGCCAGGCACAGTGGCTCACGCCATAATCCCAGCACTCTGGGAGGCTGAGGCGGGCAGATCACAAGGTCAGGAGTTCAAGACCAGCCTGGCCAATCATGGTGAAACCCCCGTCTCTACTAAGAATACAAAAAATTAGCCGGGTGTGATGGTACACACCTATAATCCCAGCTACTCGGGAGGCTGAGGCAGGATAATCACTTGAACCCAGGAGGTGGAGGTTGCAGTGAGCCAAGATCGCGCCACTGCACTCCAGACTGGGCGACAGTGCAAGACTCCGTCTCAAAATAATAATAATAATAATAATAATAATAATAATAATAATAATAAAATAATTTCAGTATGGTGTTGCCAAAGCATAAAAGTTATTATCAACCTGATTGTTGGCTAAGTTACATTTGTGTGTGTCTGTGTGTGTGTGTGTGTGTAGACACTCTGTTGTTCAGGCTGGAGTGCAGTGGCACATTCATAGCTGCAGTCCATATTCATGATATAGAAAGAACTCCCATAAATCAATCAAAAAAAGAAACTCAGCCCAATAGAAAAGAGTTCAGAGAGGAAATCAAAATGTCTCATGAACATGAAAAGACTAGTTATCAGGGAAATGCAAATTGAAATTAAATAAAATTGGGAACTTTTCACATTGCCAAAATTTAAATTCCTAGCAATACCAAAGTGTAGAAAGCATATGCATCAACAAGAAATAGCACATGCAACTAATATAATGACTGCAGAACAATTTAGGAACATCTAATAAAGTTGGGAAATGTTCATACTCTACCTATAATGCCCCTGGGTATATGTTCTAGAGAAAAAGTCACAAATATATACAATGAGACAAGTACAAGAATGTTTATTTTCATGTGGTGTGTAACAGTGAAAAGTGAAAAAAAAATCTAAACGACCATGAAACAAAGAAGTGATCACTAAAGAAGAGTGAGGCATAATAGTTAAAAATAAATTATATCATGCAATTGTATACACATAGAATAATCTTAAAAACATGAAAGACAGCAATATAATGTGTACAGTATAATTGCACTTGTATAAAATAGAGAAGCTGGGGACAGTGGCTCATGCCTATAATCCCAGCACTTTAGGAGGCCGAGGCAAGCGGATTACCTGAGGTCAGGGGTTCGAGAGCAGTCTGGCCAACATGGTCAAATCCATCTCTACTAAAAATACAAAAATTAGCCAGGCGTGGTGGCGCATGCCTGTAGTCCCAACTACTCAGGAGGCAAAGGCAGGAGAATTGCTTGAACCCTGGAGGCAGAGGTTGCAGTGAGCTGAGATCGTGCCACTGCACTCCAGCCTGGGCGACAGAGCGAGACTCTCTCTCAATAAATAAATAAATAAAATATAAAATAGAGAAATACAGAAACTGGTACAGTATAATTTCAATTATATAAAGCTTGAAAACATTCATGGGAATGAATAATAGTAAATTTGGAGACTTTACCTCTAAGAAGAGAAGAGAATGTGATTTAGGAGAGGCACACAGGGCCTTCCACTATACTAATAATGTTTTACTCCTTAAGGTAAAGAAAAAGAATGAAGAAAAAGAGAAAGAAGAGAAAGGGAAGATGCAACAGGCAGCAGATGGTTGGGAAAAAATTAAAAGAGAAGATGAGAAATATGAAGAAAGAGGAGAAGATTTGAAGAAAATAAAGCAAAATGTTGATTTGACTTAAGTGATGAGTAAGTACATGAGTACTTGTTATATTGTGCTCTATACTTATCTGAATATTTAAGATATTTCATAATTTAAAAAAGACATAAATCCTTTTAAGTTACAGAAGTCCTAATTGACCAACTGGTATCCTAAAGTCTTGAAAGAGTTCAAAACACATGCATGCACACCCAAAAGAATCACACCAGAGGAACCAAGTAAATGCACTGGAATCCCTCATCTTCTAAGCACCTGACTGAAGTGGAGCTTTGGGTCCTCCAGCCATTGTGCAGTTATTTAAACATAACTGTAATTTAAAAATAAAAAAATAAAAAAACTGGCCAGGCAAAGCGAAGTGGCTCATGCCTGTAATCCCAGCACTTTGGGAGGGCGAGGAGGGCGGATCGCTTGAGGTAAGGAGTTCTAGACCAGCCTGGCCAACATGGCAAAACCCCATCTCTACTAAAAATACAAAAATTAGCCAGGCATGGTGGTGCACACCTGTAATCCCAGCTACTCGGGAGGCTGAGGCAGAATTGTTTGAACCCAGGAGGTGGTGGCTACAGTGAACCGAGATCAAGATTGTGCCACTGCACTCCAGCCTGGGAGACAGAGGGAAACTGGTCTCAAAAAACAAACAAACAAGCAAAAACTAAGTTACAAAGAATCATATACATTAGTAAACTTAAATTATCTTAACACTTAGTAGTACAAGGTAACAGGTAGTATACGAGCAAGATGATGGATGTACTGTTTGTTTCTTTCTTTATGAATACCGCAGAAGAAACTTCACTTAAGGCTGAGTGCGGTGCCTCATGCCTGTAATCCCAGCTCTTTGAGACGCCAAGGCAGATCACTTGAGATCAGGAGTTCAAGACCAACCTGGCCAACATGGTGAAACCCCATCTCTACTAAAAATACAAAAAAATAGCTGGGCATGGTGGCAGGTGCCTGCAATCCCAGCTACTCAGGAGGCTGAGGCAGAAGAATCGGTTGAACCCAGGAGGTGGAGGTTGCAGTGAGCTCAGATTGCTCCACTGCACTCCAACCTGGATGACAGAGTTAGACAAGAAAAGAAAGAGAGAGAGAGAAAGAAAAAGAAAGAGAGAGAGAGAGAGAGAGAGAAAGAAAGAAAGAAAGAAAGAAAGAAAGAAAGAAAGAAAGAAAGAAAGAAAGAAAAGAAAAGAAGAAGAGAATGAGAGAGAGAGAGGAGAGGGAAGGAGAGAGAGAGAGAGAGACAGAGAGAGAGAAAGGAAGGGAAGGAAAGAAACTTCACACAACTGCTGGCAAGTTGGCTCAATTACCAATGTAACAAACACCTAAAGCAATTGTCCAGCCCCTACCCACGTTTTCCTCTGACTCACTATTTCACCTTCAGTAAACCCTCAGTGACTCCGGTCTATGAAACATTGCCAATACTTCTAAGATCTTCAAATACAAAATTCTATTATACAATCATCCCTGGGTATCCATGGGGGACTGGTGAAAACCACAATAGCAAAATCCTCTGATGCTCAAGTCTCTTACATGAAATGGTACAGTATTTGCATATAACCTATATACATTCTCGGGTGCACTTTCAATCATCTCTAGGTTACTTATAATACCAAATGTGATGTAAATGCTATGTAAATAGTTGTTACGCTACATTGTTTTTATTTGTATTTTTTATTGTATTGCAATTTTTATTTCTTTTTTTAATATTTTCAATCCTCAGATACAAAGGGTCAACTGTATATCAAACTATCATCAATACTAAGCATGCAGAATGTTATAAAAGTATGTCAACTATGACATATGATGTCAGCACCTCAAACCAAATTTCACTTCAGTTTAGGTTTGATTTGAAAACATTTTGATGTTATGGTTCTGTGGTTTTACAGAATACTTAAGACTGGTTTGGGTTTGAATAGGTTGAGTAGGTTTAAAGTGAAACATTTCTTCATTGGTTTGTGGTTAACCAATTTATTGTTTCAGAAATTAAAGCTGGTTAGCCAGGCCCAGGTTTGAGTTCCAAGTTCAATTCAGTTCAAGTTCCTGGCAAATGTACAATGAGAAAAGTTTATGATTCCAAAATTATTATGTGCCAAAGATCCCAACTTCCTCAAAAACCACAAGTCTCTCACAACCCTCTCTTATTTTTGATGGGATAAGAGAAATGTGCCAGCAAGAGGCTGCCCACAGCATCAACCCAAAGTCAAACCGAAGACAGGCAACACCTCATCTGAGAGTAAAGAAGACCCCTATGGTTTCACTTTCAGCAGCTGCAGTGTGATAACTGAATTACAATGTGTACCTTTCTTGAGCATCAGAAATCTCTACATTGGCCGAGTGCAGTGGCTCATGCCTGTAATCCCAGCACTTTGGGAGGCCAAGGCAGGTGGATCACCCGAGGTCAGGAGTTCGAGACCAGCCTGGCCAACATGGTGAAACTCCATCTCTACTAAAATACAAAAAATTAGCTGGACATGGTGGCCGGCGCCTGTAATCCCAGCTAGCTACTCAGGAGGCTGAGGCAGGAGAATCGCTTGAACAAAGGAGGCAGAGGTTGCAGTGAGCCGAGATCATGTCATTGCACTCCAGCCTGGGAAACAAGAGCAAAACTCCATCTCAAAAGAAAAAAGAAAAAAAGAATTCTCTACGTTGACAACACTCAACCATGATATCTGGACACAAAAGTGCATTTCTTTCATTTAGAAGATGTGTCAAGCAAGCATTTGCAAATAATTGTTTAATTTTTGTAAGTGGATATATCAATGCACACACATTCATATATATAACAATTGTATATATGTGTGCATTAATGAATTATTCTCAATCACTTGTATTCTGATAAGATTTCTTGTCTAGGAGAAAAATGCCTTGGATGGCAAGGGGTACATATTTGGGAATGTTCTCCACATATGAGCACAAACTATCGTATATGGCATCAGGAAAATGTGACAGAAGATACTTTGCAATATCTTATTCCTGTTCATACCATAAGATAAGGTTGAGAATGAGCACATGAGGATCCGGACCAGGGGCTAGGTGCTGAGGCCTGCCTACAGACTTCACAGGTCTTGGATTCTCTAAAGCATTGGAATGGCTATGGGTGAATAGCTGAGGCCTATTAGACGATTTGCACTGAGAATAACTAGACTGAACAATATCACAGATCACAGACACCTGCAAACGACCAGTCTAAATTTTTTTTTTTAGACGGAGTCTTACTCTCTTGCCCAGGCTGGAGTGCAGTGGCACGATCTCGGTGCTCACTGCACCCTCTGCCTCCTGGGTTCAAGCGATTCTCTTGCCTCAGCCTCCTGAGTAGCTGGGACCACAGATGCACACCACTATGCCCAGCTAATTTTTGAATTTTTAGTAGAGACAGGGTTTTACCATGTTGGCCAGGCTGGTCTTGAACTCCTGACCTCAAGCAATTCACCCGCCTTGGCCTCCCAAAGTACTAGGATTACAGGCATGAGCCACCATGCCCAGCCTAAAGACAGATTTCTATTTTCATTCTGGTTTAAGAGAAAAAAAAGGAATGTTCAGTTTCTTCAGCATGGTTTAATAAGAAATATATTTAGTTTTTGTCCCCAGTTTCTGGCATACAGCACCTAAAATCCTTGGCATTTGCTGAGTGATAGGAGCACGTTCTGTTATTTGTAAGGAGTCCCATTTGATCTTACCAAAGTTTATGCTAATGTGACTTAGGATGGGGCCCCTAAATAGCCTCAGGATGGGGTCAGTCACCAGAAAGACCCAGTGATTATGGGGTAGAACTTTCAGTCTCACCCACTGACCTCTAAGGAAACGTAGGGATGGAGGGAGCTGAAGATTAAACTCTCTAAAAACGCTTTAAAAATGAGATTTGGGCCAGGTGCAGTGGCTATTTCTTGTAATCCCAACACTCTGGGAGGCCAAGGAGATAAGATCACTTGAGGTTAAGAGTTCAAGACCAATCTGGACAACAAAGCAAGACGCTTGTCTCTACAAAAAAAAAAAAAATTTAATTAGCCGGATGTGGTGGTGCACACCTGTAGTCCCGGCTACTCGAGAGACTGAAGTGGGAGGACCCCTTAAGTCCAGGAGTTCAAGGCCGCAGTGAGCTATGATGGTGCCACTGCACTCCAGCCAGGGCAACAGAGCAAGACTCTGTCCAACCCATCCCCCAAAAAAAAGGTAAAAAAAAAAAAAAAAGTTTTTTAAAAAAAGTAAAAATGAGATTTGATGAGCTTCCAGGTTGGTAAGCACATTCATGTGCTGGGAGAGTGGTACACCCCAACTCCCAGGGAACAGAAGATTCTGCACTTAGGATCTTTCCAAACCTTGCCCTGTTAACCTCTTTGTCTGGCTATTCATCTTTATCCTTTATAATAAACTGGTAAATGTAAGTAAAGTGTTTCTCTAAGTTCTGAGTTGTTCAAGCAAATTATCAAACTGAAAGAAGGGCATAAGAATCTCCAGTTTATAGGCCGGGCACGGTGGCTCACGCCTGTAATCCCAGCACTTTGGGAGGACAAGAGGGGCGGATTACCTGAGGTCAGGAGTTTGAGACCAGCCTGGCCAATATGGTGAAACCTGGTCTCTACTAAAAATACAGAAATTAGCTGGGCATAGTGGCAGGCGCCTGTAATCCCAGCTATTCAGGAGGCTGAGGTACAAGAATCGCTTGAACCTGGGAGGCAGAGGTTGCAGTGAGCTGAGATTGAGCCACTTCACTCCAGCCTGAGCGACAGAGTGAGACTCTGTCTCAAAAAAAAAAAAAAAAGAAAAGAAAAGAAAAGAAAAGAATCCCCAATTTGTAACAGGTCAGTCCGAAACACGGGAGGCCTAGACTTGCAAATGGCTCTGAGTAGGGGCAGTCTTGTGGAACTGAGCCTATTCACTTGTGACATCTAAAGCTAACTTCAGGTACATAGTGACAGAATTAAACTGAATTGTAGGACACTCAGATGGTGTTGGAGAATTGGTTGGTGTGGGGAAAAAACCTGCACATCTGGTGTGAGGTGCTCTGTATCCGTGTGGAGAAAATGCTTTATCAGATTTAGTATCCCGTTAATGTTTCCAACCCATTTACAGATTCTCATACCTTGAGAGGAAGCACAATAAGATGAGTTGACTTTGAATTTGCATGAGCTTGAGCAATGAGGATCACAAAAAAACTTCCTCAATATTCCAACCTCTGGATGGTACAGTTGAAAGAGAATTTAGAAATCCCCTCATCTAGGATCTTCTAAATCTAGCTGGCCATCAGAATCAGCTGCAGGGCATTATTTTTAAAATTCCATTAAATAAGAATAAGAATCTCCAGCGCTGGAACCTGGAAATGTAAACTTTAGAGAGCTCCTAAGGAAATTCCAATGAGCTTTGCATGTCACTGATTTCAACCATCAACCTTCCATTCAGATAATGTCAGCACAGACAGCTCCACCTCTGTGATCATCATAGCTAATATGTGTAAAGTGCCTACTGAGGACCAGACACTTTAACATATATTACCTCTAAACCTTACAACTACCCTCAAATTCACACTGAATAGACAAATTCTGACAGTCTCCTTTCTCTAAATGTTCAGCACTATTCTTACATAAAATTTATTCTCTAATATGCTGTTGATGGACATTATTAAGTTTCTATGTATTGCTTCAGAAAGTCCTGCCATCTAAGCACAGAAGACAAAGTGACTGAGTTGCATTTTTCACCTACAGCAAGCTTAAAGTATACACCATACTATTTTCAGGGTTGTGGCATGGGAAATCCCATGATGATTAAGGAAACTAACAAACTGTTGCATAATTAATGTGTTCACGAGTCACAAAGTGGTGTAAATTACCCAGTGCAAACCCATGGGGCTTCAGCACCAGGGAGTTCCAGGGACCAGGGCTCTAAGAATTCACCTTTCCCTTCCCACCTCCAACCATTTCCATGTGGGGCCAACTTATAATTTAGATTGATGGGCCCACCCAAAGCTCTAAGACACCTGGCTGTATGACTAGGTTTTCACACACAAATTGGTTTGGCTCTCATTGAAAATATCCACAGCTAAGCTGAGTGGGGTGGCAACGAGCCTGTAATCCCTATTACTGAAAGGCTGAGGCGGGATGATCATTTGAGCCCAAGAGTTCCAGTCTACCCTGGGCAAGATAGCAAGACCCCATCTCAAAATAAGTGTATCCACAGCAAAATAAGTTTAACTTCAGGAAATTGTGTTGCTAATGTTTCTACTGCTGCTTGCTCCTGGAAATACTAGCAACGAACACTTTGTTAATCAAAACATTTAATCAAATGTTTCAGTCAAAACGTTTCACTTTTAAAATGACTGGCACCCTATAGAGGAATTTACCTATTGAGCATAGTTTGCCAAAAGAATAAAATAAAATGAGCATTCAATCAAGTTTAACCTAAAGCTGCCTCCTCACATATTTTAAGTTCAGCCTAAAGAGGTCTCCATTAGCGTGAACTGTAACCTAACTAGATGTGTAAACAGACTGCAACCTACTCTTGTGCCAATCACCAAGTTTTGGCCAAAGGCAGCCAACTCTTCAAACCAGGCAAATGCTGAGCTGTAACCAATTCAGCTGTTTGTGTACCTCACTTCTGTTTTCTGTATGTCACTTTTCTTTCTCTGTCTATACATCATCTTCTACCACATGGCTATGCTGGAGTCTCTCTGAGCCTACTCTGGTCCGGGAGGCTGCCTGATCCATGACATGCTCTTTGCTCAATTATACTGTTAAATTTAATTTGTCTGAGGTTTTTCTTTTAATATGAGACAGCATCTGATATTACCCGTGCCGTCACTCCCAGCAGCTCAGGGAGTCAGGCCTCACCTCTTTTACGTCATTTCTGAACCCCAATCAAAGCCTCCCAAAGGAATGTTTTGGCAGCCTGAAGACATAGCTAATCCCCTTATAAATAGCTGTTCTTCTAAATTACCAGAAAATTGAATGGATTATAACACAATAGAGCTGTAAAAGTTAGTGCCTCCAAAATAAACCTCAACTATGCTTCTCTTGTGATTATTTAATCTCCTTCAGTCAATCATGTTAATTATGTTATCTACGCCAAACTGTGGATAAAACAGGAAGGATATACAGAGATTCTTCTACAAATTAAAACCTTCATGAGCTCTATTTACAGAAACATGGATATTTAGGGAACTTCAAAATCACTGGGTAGCAGCTAACATTAGTCTTCCAGGTTCATTCGTGGCCATTATCATGGCTTGATCCTCTCAGCAATCATCAGAGGAAGCAGTCAGGGAACAGTGGAAGGAGAAGTATAAAATGAAGCAAGAAATAAGTTTGAGTCCAGATTCTTTACCTTGTTATCTGATAAACAGTTATTTAATCTATCTGGACCTCAATTTCCTTACCTATAAAATGTGGGTGATGAGGCCCGGCGCAGTGGCTCACACCTGTAATCCCAGCACTTTGGGAGGGAGGCCGAGGCAGGTGGATCACGAGGTCAGGAGTTCGAGACCAACCTGGTCAATATGGTGAAACCCTGTCTCTACTAAAAAATACAAAAATTAGCCAGATGTGGCAGCACGCACCTGTAGTCCCAGCTACTTGGGTGGCTGAAGCAGGAGAATCACTGGAACCCAGGAGGCAGAGGTTGCAGTGAGCCGAGATCGCACCACTGTACTCCAGCCTGGCAACAAGCACAAGACTCTGTCTCAAAAAAAAAAAAAAAAAGAAAAAAAGTGTGAATGATGACAGCTACTTTCATTTGCTGAAAGATTAAATGAAATGAATATGTAAAAGCACCTAGCTGGGCATCTGACTTACATTTTCTTTTAAAAAAATTTATTTTAAGTTCATGGGTACATGTGCAGGATGTACAGGTTTGTTTGTTACACAAGTAAGCATGCGTCATAAGGTTTTGTTGTACAAATTATTTCATCACTCAGGTATTAAGCCTAGTATCCATTAGTTATTTTCCCTGATCCTCTCCCTCCTCCTACTTTGCACCCTCCGGTAAGCCCCCGCATGTGTTGTTCCCCTCGATGTGTCCATGTGTTCCCATAATTTAGCTTCCACTTATAAATGAGAACATGCGGTATTTGGTTTTCTGTTCCTGCATTAGTTTGCTAAGGATAATGGTCTGTTATTAAAAGATCAAAAAATAATAGATACTGGTGAAGTTGTGGAGAAAAGGGAACACTTTTGCACTGTTGGTGGGAGTATTAGTTCAACCCTTGTGGAAGACAGTGTGGCAATTCCTCAAAGACCTAGAGACAGAAATACCATTCGACACAGCAATCCCATTACTGAGTATACACCCAAAGGAATATAAATCATCTATTATAAAGACACATGCAGGTCAGGCACGGTGGCTCATGCCTGTAATCCCAACACTTTGGGAGGCCAAAGCAGGCAGATCATGAGGTCAGGAGATCCAGACCATCTTGGCTAACCCGGTGAAACCCTGTCTCTACTAAAAATACAAAAAATTACCCAAGCGTGGTGGCACATGCCTGTAGTCCCAGCTACTCAGAAGGCTGAGGCAGGAGAATCACTTGAACCAGGAGGTGGAGGTTGTAGTGAGCCGAGATTGCGTCACTGCACTCCAGCCTTGGTGACAGAGCGAGATGCCATCTCAAAAAAAAAAAAAAAAAAAAAAAGACACATGCACACATAAGTTCATTGCAGCACTATTCACAATAGCAAAGACATGGAATCAACCTAAACGCCCATCAATAATAGACTGAATAAAGAAAATGTGTATATATACACCATGGAATACTATACAGCCATAAAAAGCAGTGAGATCATGTCCTTTGCAGGGACATGGAAGGGGCTGACTTACATTTTCTCTTCATGCAAAACCAATGGGGATTTTTTGTCTTGACAAAGTAATTCTAAAATAGAACAAGTTTGCGGAACGAGCCAGTAAAGAATTTTAAAGAAAAATAATGGAAGACTACCATGGCCCCAATTCTCTAATCCACCCTGCATTCACCTTTTCTGCAATATGACTCCACAGCTCCTTCCATGAGAAGGTGGAGTATATTTCTCAGGCCCTCAGGGCTGAAGTTAGCCATGTGATTTGTTTTGACCAATGAGACATTAGAAAACTTGCTGCAAGCAGAGGCTTCACAAAGTGCTTGTGCATTTGCTTCCTGTTTTGCCTTCTGCACTTCACTGTGTGAACATGTCTGGGCTAGCCCACTAAAGGATGAAACATATAGGACCCAGTCGCACACATCACCCCAGCCCACAGCCAGCAGACCACCAGACATGAAAATGAGTGCAGCTAAAACTATAAAAAGTACTCAGCTTAAATCACAACTACAGATTCATGAGCTAAATAAATGTTTGTTTTAAGCCATACTTCCTTAGTGTGGTTTCCATGAGGAAAATAATTCCTATAGAAAAATCATTTGTGTCTATTTTCTCAATTCTCCCAAGATAGTACATAGTTAATTCATTATATATAATAAATGCCTTACAGCATTAGATTTTAACTATCTCCTGGAACCCTGTTAGCTATTGCATTTTGGGTGGTTGTTATGAAGCATAATTATAGCCAGAGATAACTGATATAATCATACATTAAAATGCTTTATAAAGCCACCATTATTAAAATGATGCATCACCACAATGACAGATAAATAAAAGAAAATTAAATTTTAAAAAAATCTGTGGCTGGATGTGGTGGCTTACATTGGGAGGCCAAAGTAGGAGGATCCCTTGAGGCTCCAAGTTCAAGACCAGCCTGGCAACATAGGAAGATCCCATCTCTACAAAAAATGAAAAAATTAGCTGGGTACGGTGGCATGTGCCTATAGTCCATCATCTCAGGAGGCTGACATGAAGGATCACTTGAGCTCCTTGCAGTGTTTATGCCACTGTACTCCAGCGTGGATGACAGAGCAAGACCCTGTCTCAGAAAAAAAAAAAATATATATATATCTATATATATATATATAAAGAAGAAAGAAAACAGCTCCCCTGTACAGAGACTGGGGGTGAGGCTCAGAACAATGAGAGACCCCCCCCAAAAAATATTTTTTAAACAAGGGGCATTTTAAGTCTTTGGAGGAATGATGGAGCATTCAATAAAATAATAAAGTATTTTGGGACAAGTGGCTACTATATGGAGAACAAAAGCTTCACTACCTGTCATCTTGCCCTCAAATCCATTCCAGATAGTTAAAAATTTAATATTTTCCAAAGAAAGAGCTATATCATTAAAAATACATAAAAATTTATATTTTCTTCAAGTGACAGAGGGCTTTTGAAGCATGATGCCAATAAAAGAAGCCATAATGGAATGATTGATAGATTTAACTATGTAAAATGTTTAAATATCAGTGCATATTAAAGGGCAAACAAAATTTTAATTTTGGCACAACATTTTTATATTTTGCTACAAAATTAAAAGGCAAACAAAAAAATTAAATTTGGGACCAGGCGCAGTGGCTCACACCTGTAATCCCAGCACTTTGGGAGGTCAAGGTGAGTGGACCCCCTGAGGTCAGGAGTTCGAGACCAGCCTGGCCAACATGGTGAAACCCCATCTCTACTAAAAATACAAAATTAGCTGGTGGTGGTCTTAGCTACTTGGGAGGCTGAGGCAGGAGAATCACTTGAACCTGGGAGGCAGAGGTTGCAGTGAGCCAAGATGGCACCAATGCACTCCAGCCTGGGTGACAGAGCAAGACACCATCACAAAAAAAAAAAAAAAAAAGGAATTTGGTAATAGCTATTACCTACATATATGTGTGTGTGTGTGTGTGTGTGTGTGTGTGTGTGTGTGTGTGTGTGTATGTGTGTATGTATATATGTATATATATGTGTGTGGGTATATATATATATATATATATATATACACACATATATATTCATAGCAAATATTTATTGAGCTTCTGCATGCCACAACCGTGTATCTGAAGGTAAAATAGAAAGCAAAAACAGGAGCCGTGGCTCATGCCAGTAATCCCAGCACTTCAGGAGGCTGAGGTGAGTGGATTACTTGAGGTCAGGAGACCAGCCTGGCCAGCATGGTAAAACCCCATCTCTACTAAAAATACAAAATTAGCCGGACATGGTGGTGCGCTCCTGTAATCCTAGCTACTCAAGAGGCTGAGGCAGGAGAATCTCTTGAACCAAGGAGGCGGAGGTTGCAGTGAGTCAAGATCGCACCACTGCCCTCCAGCCTGGGCTGCCCTCCAACCTGGGTGACACAGAGAGACTCCGTCTCAAAAAAAAAAAAAAAAGGCTGGAATATAGCAAGTGACTAAATACAGGAGAGCATTCCAGTAAGAGGAAACTACATGTGCAAAAGCCCAATGGTAGGAGGGAGTTTGATATATTTGAGGGACTGAAATAAGGCCAAAATCACAAAAGCGCTGAAAACAAATATGAGACTGGCTGAAGAGGAAAACAGGGGTCAGAAGTCACAAGCCTGGCCAGGTGCAGTGGCTCACGCCAGTAATTCCAGCACTTTGGGAGGCCAAGGCAGTAGTATCGCTTGAGCCCAAGAGTTCAAGATCAGCCTGGGCAACATGGCAAAACCCTGACACTACCAAAAAATACAGAAATTAGAGAGGCATGGTGGTGAGCACCTGTAGCACCATCTACTTGGGAGGCTGAGGTGGGAGGATGGCTTGAGCCTGAGAGGTGGAGGCTGCAGTGAGCCGAGATCACACCACTGGACTCCAGCCTGGGTAACAAAGACAAACCCTGACTCAAAAAAAAAAAAAAGAAGAAAGGTACTTGAAGGACTTTGATTTGCTGGCTGATATGATCAGATCTGAATTTTGTAAAACCTTTCTGACTGACTCAAGCATCTGCAGTGAGTTTCTGTCTCAGTGCAGGCAAGAGCACTAGGAATTTGGTCTAGTGTGGTGCTAGTGAAGATATTGACAAGTGAATAGATTCAAGAGGAGACACTTTTTTATTTTTATTTTTTGTACAGATGGGGGTCTCACTGGGTTGCTTAGGCTGGTCTCAAACTCCTGGTCTCAAGCGATCTACCCCCTCACGGCCTCCCAAAGTGTTAGGATTACAGGCATGAGCCACCACGCCCCATGGAGAGATAATTTAATGATAAACACACTGGAGCTTGTTAGGATTAGGGAGTGAATGACCAGGCATGGTGGCTCATGCCTATAATCTCAGCACTTTGGGAGGACAAGGTGGGTGGATCACCTGAAGTCAGGAGTTCATCACCCGCCTGGCCAACATGGTGAAACCCCATCTCTACTAAAAACACAAAATTAGCCGGGCATAGTGGTGGCCACCTATAATCCCAGCTACTTGAGAGGCTGAGGCAGGGGAATCACTTGAACCGGGGAGGTGGAGGTTGCAGTGAGCACGAGATCATGCCACTGCACTCTAGCCTGGGTGACAGAGCGAGACTTTGTCTAAAAAAAAAAAGATTAGGGAGTGAAGGAGGGAAGGTAATTATCTACTGTGCCAGAATGTGAGAGTGGCTTATGAGTTTTATCTTAAACTCAGGAGGCTGAGATGGGAGGATCACTTGAGCCCAGGCAGTGGAGGCTGCAGTGAGCCATGACTGTGCCACTGTACTACAGCCTGGGCAACAGAGTGAGATTCTGTCTCAAATATATATATATATACACACACATATATATATATTTATACTTATATATAAATATATATATGCCTCTACTATATATATCATATATATATCGTATATGTATATATATATCAAATATATATATCAAATACATATATATCAAATATATATATATATATATACACACACACACTACTCTGTTTAAAATATGTGAGAGATTTGTTTAATACCTAAATGAATGATGTTAGGCTTCATCATCAGGGTTTGTTAAGAAATAAAAATTGAAAGTAAATTTAAATATCAAAATGATACAATGTTTGTAAAGTGCTTAGTTCAGTACCTGACACAAATATTCATTTCCTTTCTTTTCTGCTTTATTCAAGTAATACTAAAGGCTAAGGCTATTGGAAGATTATGTGGGTTGGGCAAGGCAGCTCACACTTGTAATCCCAGCACTTTGGGAGTCCAAGGTGGGAGGATCACTTGAGGCCAGGAGTTTGAGACCAGCCTGGGCAACATAAGTGATACCCTGCCTCTAAAAAAAAAAGAAAAAGAAAAGAAATGAAAGGTTATGTGCAATTGATGTTGGGTGTTCTGCTTTATCAGTATTTGTTTTAATCAAATAAATCAAATACATTCTACGTTCAGTTACTTCCAATCTATGTCACCTCTTCCATGTTCTTTTAGTACTTATACACGTCTATTATAATAGTATGATTCAATTAATATACAGATAATAGGCAACCAAATATTTTACAAAATACTATTCAGTAGTTTTGGTTATAGTATCTTGTAGAAAGATATTCAGGATACAATTAAACATATACACACATTATAGGTGAGAAAATAGATGCATGAAGAATGTAACTTGTTTAAGGTCAAGAATATAACCAAAAGGAGTAGCAAATAATGTCTTTTCTTTCTAAAAGTTTGCCATAGCTGAAACACAACAGGAATCAGCATGCTACTTGACATTATAAATGCATTCCATCAGGTGCCCAGGCATATGAAAATTAGGTGTTCCTGCTTTATTCATAAGTTAGACATCAACTAACATTACTCTGCAGCAAATTCCTCTACACAAGGAAATCTATCTAAATCCTTCCAAAATGTCCTAATAAGAAAATAAAATAAGTAGAATTAAAGCTGTACTAGGCTAGGGCACATTTATATTACTGACAACTATAGATTATTCAGTAATACCTCTCAGTGCACCAGTAAGCAGAGAGCATGGAGAGCTAATAAAAGTAATGAAGTCTTCGTAGTACGTGAACTCACTGCTATTAAATCTCTTCTGAGAAATAGGATGAGCCTGCCAAGTTTGTTGGGAGGAAGGCTGAATGTGTAGGCTGTTGAAGTGAAAATAAGTAGAGCCATACGGCAATGGTGGCTGAGAGAGATAATGGCATTAATGCCCAGAAACTGAGTGCTTTACCTAGCCTTCAACTTTATTAGGAAGCAACGATGACATAAAACTGGATAGGGTTTATCACGTTTGTACTTGTCAGCTAAATCTACAGATAAAAATTATAGTTTTATAATAATCCAAAGCTTGAGTGTACCATGTGGCTATCAATATTGAGGAGCCAATAGAGGTATAGCTACATAACATAAACGTTATATTTTTCATGTGATGGCTGACCATCATTTGCCATGACTGTTTAAGGAGAGGAAAGCCCATTGAAGCATCCTAGTTACTCAGAATCCCTGAAAGGCCATGATGATGTTGAGGTCTATAGAAAGTGCTACTCAAGCCGGGCGCGGTGGCTCACGCCTGTAATCCCAGCACTTTGGGAGGCCAAGGTGAGTGGATCACAAGGTCAGGAGTTTGAGACCAGCCTGGCCAATACAGTGAAACCCCGCCTCTACCAAAAATATAAAAAATATCTGCGCATGGTGACGTGCGCCTGTAGTCCCAGCTACTCAGAAAGCTGAGGCAGAAGAATCGCTTGAACCCGGGAGGCAGAGGTTGCAGTGAGCCGAGATCACGCCACTGCACTCCACCCTGGACGACAAAGCGAGACACCATCTCAAAAAGAAAAAAAAAAAAAGTGCAACTCAAGTTGTGGGTCAGTCAAGGATTAAGCAGACAACGCAGCATGCCGGTACAGTATCCTGAGGTAGTAACAGTGTGGCACATCTACCACCTCTAGCACTAAAGGGTCAAGGGAAGGGAAATGTTACTGGAATCCAGAGAGAGAAAAGACTGTGCAGAAAAGATCACGCTACAGGAACTGTAACCTTCAGAAGAGAGACAAAGTCTGCTGCAGCTACTCTACAGGGAGGGAGATGGAGGAGTAAGGCCCCAACCCCTCTTCCCTCTGCTCTCCAGCAGGGGCCGCCCATTGACTGAACCCAACCAAAAGCCAGGGGACAGGGGAGTCCTGGGAAGTGGTCTCGGGGGCACTGAGCAGGCTGGATGGAGTAGGAAGGATAAAGATCTGAAGGGGTAAATGGAAGATAGCCCTACTGTCTCCCTAGTTTTGCCTAAGTAATTATTTTATTAATAATTCCCTATATTATTTGCTTGGTTTTCTCTCCAGGAGGAACAGTTCCAACATAAGAGTGGGTGAAGCACATTAAACCCCAATAATCAACTTCCTTAAGCATTTCCAAGTAACATAATCTCCTACTTCCCTACAAAAAAAAAAATCAAAAATTCTCACTTAAATCCCAGGAGATGTTTATTTTCATCCTACAAAGAATGTCTGTTGTTGAGTGATGACGTTTCTTTAAAGAGAATAATTAAAGCTCTCTGTTTTTTTTTTTCCTTTTACAAATCAGGTGAGCAATGTACTCACTCTGAACAATGACAGTGTTTTGGCTGCTTGTGAACCCTGGAAATATTGATCAGTTAAAAATATTCGGACTTGCATCTCTTGAATTTGCTTACTGCAGCCCTTCTTCCTGGTGGGCCGGGAAAGCACCAGCAATTTTGTTATCATGATAAATTACCCTCCCTGGTAGGTCACTCTTTTTTACCTAAAGTCACAATTTGCTCCTTCCGTTAGGTCATAACCTGATTTTTTTCAGGGTGACAGATTTATTGCTTGCTTTGTGCTCCAAAAAAAAAATCACCAACATTGCTCAAAATATAGTCCTGTCACAGTAACTTTGTATATTTCCCAATGGGAATGAGACTCAGCATGTATATTCCAGTTTGAACATGGTAGAGTGGGCATTCCCACGTTTCTCTGGATTGAAGCTGGGAGGACAGTACTTAGGTTTAAGTCACACTGCCAGTGTAAGGAATTGATAAGCAAGTATTAATATTTGTTGACAGAGTCTTAGGGGATCTTTTCTTCTTTTTAGGAAACTCAAAAAGCCAACCAAACAGCTATTCTGATCTCCAAAGCAAGCCTTTCTCATGGCTGGGATATTTTCCTTGGCCATTACGGAAGTGTAAATCCCCCGTAAATGTCCCTAAACTTGAGAATGAAGCTGTGATGCCTTCGTGGTTCAGTAAGATCATGTAGCAGAGCTCTCACAGTGTAATGTGGACTAAAGTTATGAACAACAAACAATTCCAGGCCTGGTCCATAAAAAGAAACCTACACTCGGCCCTCCATGCTTCCTTCATCAACCTGCCTGCTGAGGGTGCTGCAAGTCTCCAACCCGCACCCAGTCCCACTCCTGCACCGCACACTTTCAAATGCAGTTCTTCCAAAGAAAGTCCCAGCTCTGTCCACACTGGGGCCCCTAATCTCAGCTGAGTCTTTAACACAGGCCAGCATTCTAAGGTCTATTCCTAGTCAGCTGACCACTCCTTCTTTAACCTAAATTCATCCTCCTCCCCAGACAACTAATCCTCTCCTGATCTCAGTCAACAGCACCACAATCATCAGAAAAATCCTTTAGACGCTTCCCCCTCCCTGACTCATCCACCTGAAAAGTTACATCTCCTAAATATGCCCCAGATCCTTCAGGGTGTGGTGTGATCCAAAAGTGGAATACCATTCAATGGTTTTAAAAAACACTAACAATAAATGAGTAAAAAATAGCTGCATGTTTCATTATAGATAAACCTCAATAACATAATATTGAATGAGAAAAGTCACAAATAAATATATATTGTATGGCCGGGCACAGTGGCTCATGCCTGTAATCCCAGCACTTTGGGAGGCCGAAGCAGGCGGATCACCTAAGGTCAGGAGTTTGAGACCGGCCTGGCCAACATGGTGAAACCCGATCTCTACTAAAAATACAAAAATTAGACGGGTTTGGTGGCAGGTGCCTGTAATCCCAGCTACTTGGGAGGCTGAGGCAGGAGAATCGCTTGAACCTGGGAGATGGAAGTTGCAGTGAGCTGAGATCACTCCAGCCTGGGCAACAGAGCCAGACTCTGTCTTTAAAAAAAAAAAAAAAAAAAAACACGCATATGGTATGATTCTGCTTATATATAGTGTGAAAACAGGCAAAATAAAGCAGTATTTCACCTGTCATGAATGGCATTCTATGGCAGGTTGTATGACAAGGCCAAATATAGGTGGCCATTGTCTATATGTTAGGGACTGAATGTTTGTGTCCTCCAAAAATTCGTACGTTGAAACCTAATTCCCAATGTGATGGTGTTTGGACAAGGTGGAGCCTTTAGAAGGTGATCAGGTCATGAGGGTGGAGCCCTCATGAATGGGATTAGTGCCCTTAAAAGAAGTGGCCAGCAAGCTTACTTTCTTTCTGACAGATGACAATTTAATGAGAAGACAGCAGTCTACAACCAACCATGCTGACATCCTGATCTGGGACTTCCAGGCTCCAGAGTGTGAGAAATAAATTTCCATTGTTTATAAGACATCCAGTTTATGGAACTTTGTTATAGCAGTTCCAAATGACTGAGAAAATACTCCTTCTTCTCTATATTATTACTGGTTTCTCAAAAATAGAACCTACCTAGTTGCAGTGAGCCGAGATCGCACCGCCACACTCCAGCCTGGGAGACAGAGCAAGACTCTGTCTAGGGAAAAAAAAAAATTGAAACTACCTAGATGGTTGACACTAGTATCTACACAGGTAGATGAATGGAACACAGAAAACCTCGTCAAACTCCTTTATTTGATGCCATAAAAACTAAAAACCTCTCCAAAGTTATTACTTTACTTTCAAAATGAATTAAATTTAATATTATGGTAGGTATACATAACTCAAGGGATTAGTATTCTCAGGCTCATTCTAGAGCATGCTTTCTGCATCATCTTTGTAAGCATTTATTAAACTCCTACTGTGTGTCAGGCACTGTGCTAGCTCTAATAATACAAATATAACAGAACCAAAAAACTTTCTATTTTCAGGGGATTCACTGCCCACTGGAAAGGGGACAAGGAAAGGACAACAAACATTTAAAAATTAGAAGACCAAGAAGAAAATGCTATACTATAAGTGTCTAATAATGGAAGTGCTATAATAGAGTTTCTGTGAGAAAAGAAACAAGCAGGCCAAAAAAAAAAGCACTTAATTCTTCCCGGAAGTAAATCTGGGAAGGCTTCACTGTAAGGATTAGTTTTGTTTCGTTTCTGTTTGGGGTTTCTTTTTGTTTCTTTTGCAGATGCATACGAGTTCACAGGTAGGAAGAAGTGGAGGGATACTTTCCAGAAGCATGCAAAGCAAAACCAGCATAACACATTTGGGAAATGAAAAGATAGGAGAATCTGGCTGGGTGCAGTGGCTCACACCTGTAATCCCAGCATTCTGGGAGGCCGAGGCGGGCAGGTTGCTTGAGGCCAGGAGTTTGAGACTAGCCTGGGCAACGTGGCAAAACCTCATCTCTACCACAAAAATACAAAAAATTAGCTGGGCATGGTGGCACACGCCTGTAATCCCAGCTACTCGAGAGGCTAAGGTAGAAGATCGCTTGAACCCAGGAGGCAAAGGTTGCAGTGAGCAGAGATCCCACCACTACACTCTAGCCTGGGTGACAGAGCGAGACCCTGTGACACAAAAAAGAAAGAAAATATAGGAGAATGAGGCCAGTCATGGTGACTCATACCTGTAATCCCAGCACTTTGGAAGGCTGAGGCAGGCGGATCACTTGAGGCCAGGAGTTCGACACCAGCCTGGCCAACATGGAGAATTCTTGTCTCTACTAAAAATACAGAAATTAGCTGGGCATGGTGGCAGGTGCCTGTAATCCCAGATACTCAGGAGGCTGAAGCACAGGAATCGTTTGAACCGGGGAGGCAGAGATTGAAGTGAGCTGAGATCGCACCCCTGCACTCCAGCCTGGGCGACTGTCTCAAAAAAAAAAAAAAAAAAAAAAAAAAGAAAAGAAAAAGAAAGAAAGTAAAAGAAAATATTTAGGAGAATGAAATCAGAATACGAAGGGTATAATATGACATGTCCTTTGATATTGCAGACCATTGGTCTGCTAACTACAACCAGTTTTATAAATAAAGCTTTACTAGAACACAGCCATGCCATTCGTTTACATATTGCCTATGGCTGCTTTCACACTACAGTGACACAGCTGAGTAGTTACAGTAGAGACCCTTGACCACAAAGCCCAGAGTATTTACCATCTGGTCCTTTACAGAAAAAGTTTGCCAACCCTTGAAATAATGCAGAACAACATAATGGCTGTAAGAGAGAGCACAAAGGCATAAATCCCTGTTCGCCCTGTTTTCCCTACACTATGCCATTCATTCATGGCGTCAAACATATGGTACATATTGGGCAACTTCTATCCATTAAAAAAGATTACCTAATTTCTGTAGAAAAATATGGTTTCTTCATAAGAGTTGCTTGAGATTTTCAAGGATCTTTCCATGTAAGTCCTGAATGATAAACACAAGGGTTTCTGTTTGTTTATTTAAAGTACAGGCAGAAGTCTCCCTATGTTACCCAGGCTGATAGGCATCAGCCACCACACCCAACCCACAAGTTGGTCTTAATTACCTTTATTCTTGTTTTCTTTTTTCTTTCTTTTTTTTTTTTGTGATAGAGGTGACAGCTTGCTGGCAGCCCTCACAGCCCTTGCTCGCTCTCGGCGCCTCCTCGGCCTTGGCGCCCACTCTGGCGGCGCTTGAGAAGTCCTTCAGCCCGCCGCTGCACTGTGGGAGCCCCTTTCTGGGCTGGCCAAGGCCGGAGCCGGCTCCCTCAGCTTGCGGAGAGGGGTGGAGGGAGAGGCGCGGGCGGGAACCGGAGCTGCGCGCCGCGCTTACTGGCCAGCGCGAGTTCTGAGTGGGCGTGGACTCGGCAGGCCCTGAACTCGGAGCCGTCGGCCCCGGGCAGTGAGGGGCTTAACACCTGGGCCAGCAGCTGCAGTGCTCGACTTCTTGCCGGGCCTTAGCTGCCTCCTCGCGGGGCAGGGCTCGGGACCTGCAGCCCACCAAGCCTGAGCCTCCCCCCACCCCGCCATGGGCTCCTGCGCGGCCGGAGCCTCCCCGACAAGCTCCGCCCCCTGCTTCACGGCGCCCAGTCCCATCGACCACCCAAGGGCTGAGGAGTGCAGGCTCGTGGAGCGGGACTGGCAGGCAGCTCCACCTGCGGCCCCAGTGCGGGAACCACTGGGTGAAGCCAGCTGGGCTCCTGAGTCTGGTGGGGACTTGGAGAATCTTTATGTCTAGCTAAGGGATTGTAAATACACCAATCGGCATTCTGTATCTAGCTCAAGGTTTGTAAACACACCAATCAGCACCCTGTGTCTAGCTCAGGGTTTGTGAATGCACCAATCGACACTCTGTATCTAGCTACTCTGGTGGGGACTTGGAGAACCTTTGTGTCTAGCTCAGGGCTTGTAAATGCACCAATCAGTGCCCTGTCAAAACAGACCACTCTGCTGTCTGTAAAATGGATCAATCAGCAGGATGTGGGTGGGGGCAGATAAGAGAATAAAAGCAGGCTGCCCGAGCCAGCTTTGGGAACCCGCTGGGGTCCTCTTCCACGCTGTGGAAGCTTTGTTCTTTCACTCTTTGCAATAAATCTTGCTGCTGCTCACTCTTTGGGTCCACACTGCCTTTATGAGCTATAACACTCACCACGAAGGTCTGCAGCTTCACTCCTGAAGCCAGCGAGACCACGAACCCACCAGAAGGAAGAAACTCCGAACACATCCGAACATCAGAAGGAACAAACTCTGGACACGCTTCCTTTAAGAACTGTAACACTCACCACGAGGGTCCGCGGCTTCATTCTTGAAGTCAGTGAGACCAAGAATCCACCAATTCCAGATACAATACAGTCTCTGTCGCCCAGGCTGAAACTCAGTGGCATGATTACTGCTCACTGCAGCCTCGAACTCCCCAGGCTCAGGTGATCCTCCCACCTCAGCCTCCCAAGTAGCTGGGACTACAGGCATGTGCCACTAAGCCCACTTAATTGCAACTTTTTGTAGAGATAGGGTTTTGCCACTTTGCCCAGGTTGGTCTTGAACTCCTGGACTCAAGCTGTCTGCCCACCTCAGCCTCCCAAAGTGCTGGGATTACAGTAACGAGCCACTGCGCCCTAATTATCTTCATTCTTAATCTGACTGGGGCCTCTGTGGATTCTAAATATTCGAAGTCTTTTTGTTTCAAATCAATCCAACTTTGGTCTTTAGCTCAATATCAGTTATCAGTAAATAAATATTTTAAAACACAGTTTTCTCTGGACATTAAAAATATCATATTTTGCTACACGAAGCTTATTCCAAAGTTCTTATAATAATTGTTAAAAGCCAAATGATCAGGCTAGGTGTGGTGGCTCACATCTGTAATCCCAGCACTTTGGGAGGCTGAGGCAGGAGGAATGTTTGAGTTCAGGAGTCAAAGAACAGCCTAGGCAACATAGCGAGACCCTGTCTCAACAAATAAACTTTTTAAAAATTAGCCGGGCGTGGTGGTGCATGACTGTAATCCCAGCTACTCAGGAGGCTGAAGTGGAAAGGATCACTTGAGCCTAGGAGGTTGAGGCTTCAGTGAGCCGTGTTCGTGCCATTGCACTCCAGCCTGGGTGACAGAGCAAGATCCCGTCTCAAAAAAACTAAAAGACCAATTGACAGAAACAAGTATTTAAGTTCTCATTTATAATAATCCTTTTATAGTTCATTTCTTTTTATAATTATTTTTTGTCTTCTTTCCTTTTGTAGTTTATGTGTGTTAATTATTTACACACATGTGTGAGCTGTGCCTCCCTCAAACCTTGTTATGATGTCTACATATTTATTTATCACATCAGACACCTGTGTGATAGGTGTCTATCACATCAGACACCTGTCTGATGTGATAAATAAATAATAAATTCTCAGCCGGGTAAGGTGGCTCATGCCTGTAATTCCAGAACTTTGGGAGGCCGAGGCCAGTGGATCACCTGAGGTCAGTTCAAGAGCAGCCTGGCCAGCATGGCAAAACCCCGTCTCTACTAAAAATATAAAAAAATTAGCTGGGCGTAGTGGCAGGCACCTGTAATCCCAGCTACTTGGGAGGCTAGGGCAAGAGAATTACTTGCAGCCGGGAGACAGAGGTTGCAGTGAGCTGAGATCATGCCATTACACTCCAGCCTGGGTGACAGAGCGAGACTTTGTCTTAAATTAATTAAATAATTAATTAATTCTCATTTATTGTTTCAATTTAATAAATAATTGAGTAATAGCTAATATTAAATAAGTGTCTGTGTGCCAAGTCCTGAGCAAAGCACTTTATGAAGATTATTTTATGTTATCCTCACAGTAACCCCATGTGGTAGGTCTTATTAGCATTTCCATTTTTCATAGTCTGTCTGCATTAGGGCTTATGTATTCAGATCAATAAACATTTCTGGTGCACATGTTATGTGCAAGGCACTGTCCTAGGCATTTTGTAAAGACTGCAACAAAAGTGGTGATATCACAAGATAGTAAAGAGCTATGAGATATCACAGGAGAAATACAATTGCCTTGGTAGCTCCAAGACAGGAGTGACCACATCTCTAAGGGAATCCGGAAAGGCTTCACTAATCAGATGATAATAGATTTGGGCTTTAAAACCAAGGAAGCATCTCTCCTTTCTTCCCTTCTCCATGCAAACCACAGGGGCTCTGCCACCGGCCTTTAGCAGAGACACCGCTGCAGCAGAATGCTGCCCACACAACTCCATCTGGATTTTTGGCACATGATTTTGAATCTCCATTTGCCCAAGCCATCACTCTTTGTGACTCTGACTTTGTGTTTCGATTCTGCTTCTTGGTGGTGTTGCCTACTCATGAATTGGTTCCTGACTATGGCCCATTCCAACCTCAACCTGTCTACGTCCCCTGGAAAGAACAGATAGGACTCAACACATCATGCCTATATAGCTTGTCAAGTTCTTCAAAGTGTCTTCCTACCTAAAGAAAGATACGAAGATTTTCAAGTCTATTATCGTGTCACTGAAACCAATTATTAAAAACTTTACATAGCAAGAAATACTGGATTGTATTTGGCAGTGGTTGTTTTAGGAGAAATATCTGGGGCACATAATAACACCCCGACTCCAACCCACTCGTATTTTTTCAAGTTACATTTTGTAGATGATCTGTAATAACATGCCATCAAAAAAGAAATACTAAAGGCTGGGTGTGGTGGCTCACACCTGTAATCTCAGCACTTTGGGAGGCCGAGGCGGGTGGATCATCTGAGGTCAGGAGACCGAGACCAGCCTGGCCAGCATGGTGAAACTCCATCTCTGATAAAAATACAAAAATTAGCCAGGCAATAGTGGCATGCACCTGTAATCCCAGCTACTGAGGAGGCTGAGGCAAAAGACTCGCTTGAGCCTGGGAGGCAGAGATTGTGGCAAGCCAGGACCACGCCACTGCACTCCAGTCTGGGTGACAGAATGAGACCCTTTCTCAAAAAAAAAAAAAAAAAAAAAAATACTTGCACAGGAATCAGCAGAATTTTCCAAGGTCCCATCCAAACCACTATGTACATATGCATAATCTGAGTATCAGAATTCCCTTTCTTCTGTTGATCACCCTTTTGTTTTGTTTTGTTGAGACAGAAACTCTGTTGTCTAAGCTGGAGTGCAGTGGCGTGATCTTGGCTCTCTGCAACCTCTGCCTCCTGGGTTCAAGTGATTCCCGTGCCCCAGCCTTTTGAGTAGCTGGGATTACAGGCACATGCCACTACATCCGGCTAATTTTTGTATTTTTAGTAGAGACGGGGTTTCTCCATCTTGACCAGGCTGGTCTTGAACTTCTAGGCTCAAGCGAGCCTCCTGCCTCAGTCTCCCAAAGTGCTGGGATTATAGGTGTGAGCCACCTCGCCCCACCTGATCACCGTTTTCTTTTTGTGGCCATTAGAAGCTACCAATGAGACAACTCAGAAGATGTCATGTTCAGAGAGCTAATTAGAATGAACTTTGCTACTTTTTGACTTACTTGAAGAAGCCTACCTTGGGCAAGAAGTTTCGGAGAATGGGAAATGATTCCATGAGCAACATGTCAGAATTTCCTCTAACTCCATTCATGTCTCTTCCTGGGCATGATCAGCTCACAGGGAAGTAAAACAAACGCTGATCCGGTAATAGTGGGCATTGAGAAGTCTGTAATGAAAGTATTCTCTCCTCATCCTCATCACTTAGGGAGACCGTATGGTCTAATGGAGCGATCAGTAAACTCAAAATAGAAAGATTTGAGACCAAGTTAGCCATTAAATTATCATAAGACTCACCTAAGTTAATCCTGCAGTTTCTTCCTCTGTAAAATGGGTGGGGAGTGCGGTACATGATCTCTGAGATTCCCTTGTGGTTTTAACATTCTCTGACTAGGTTACTTTGCATTCTAGACATGCTCGTTCTCTTTTTTTTTTTTTTTTTTTTCTCGAGACAGAGTTTTGCTCTTGTCACCCCGGCTGAAGTGCAATGGCATGATCTTGGCTCACTGCAACCTCCACCTCCTGGGTTCAAGTGATTCTCCTGCCTCAACCTCCTGAGTAGCTGGGATTACAGGTGCCCGCCACCATACCCGGCAATATTTTTTTTTCTTTTGTATTTTTGGTAGAGACGGGGTTTCACCATATTGGCCAGGCTGCTCTCGAACTCCTGACCTCATGTGATCCGCCGCCTCAGCCTCGCAAAGTGCTGGAATTATAGGCATGAGCCACTGCCCCATGCCAGACATGCTTATTCTCTTATGCTACCCATCAGGTTGGCTTCCCTCTGTACAGTGGAAGAAATTCTTAGAAAGGCAGAAGTTAGATTTTAGGTCAAAATCTTTAGTAAAGATTAGATTTTTCTCTCTGTGGTCTAAGATAAGACAAGTACCACCTCTCAATTTGACAGGGACAAATTGACTTTCTCCATGATGACCTCAAATCAAACTCATAATGTGCTTATCAGGTGCCAGATAATGACGCCTACTGCAAGCTACCCAAGCCTCTCCTTGTTTATTCACAGGTTACTTTCCTAAATGAGGCCTTCCCTGGCCACCCTATCTAACAATACATGCCCAGAGGCCCTAGCCTCACCTTGGCTTTATTTTTCTCTTGAACACTTGTCATCATGTAACATATGATATATTTTACTTTTTTTTTTTTTTTTTTTCAGATGGAGTTTTGCTCTTGTTGCCCAGGCTGGAGTGCAATAGCATGATCTCGGCTCACCGCAACCTCCGTCTCCTGGGTTCAAGTGATTTTCCTGCCTCAGCCTCCCAAGTACCTGGGATTACAGGCATGCGCCACCACACCCGGCTAATTCTGTATTTTTTTTAGTACAGACGAGGTTTCACCATGTTGGTCAGGCTGGTCTGACTCCTGACCTCAAGTGATCCGTCTGCCTTGGCCTTCCAAAGTGCTGGAATTATAGGCATGAGCCACCGCGCTGGGCCAATAATTGCTATTTTTAAGAGTAGCACATAAGCTGGGCACGGTGGCTCACGCCTGTAATCCCAGCAGTTTGGGAGGCCAAGGCAGGCGGATCGTCTGAGGTCAGGAGTTCGAGATCAGCCTGACCAACATGGAGAAATCCCATCTCTACTAAAAATACAAAAATAGCCAGGCATTGTGGCACATGCTTATAATCCGAGCTACTCAGGAGGCTGAGGCAGGAGAATCACTTGAACCTGGGAGGCAGAAGTTGTGGTGAGCCGAGATCGCGCCATTGCACTCTAGCCTGGGCAACAAGAGCAAAACTCCATCTCAAAAAAAAAAAAAGAGTAGCACATATTAGGCTATCTGGCTGGCTTCATGTCCACTTAGCCTCATCCCAACTGACACTATATTTTCTCTTTTTTTGTGAGACAGTCTTGCTCTGTCTTGACCAGGCTGGAGGACAGTGGCACAATCTCAGCTCACTGCAGCCTCTGCCTCCTGGTTTCAGGTGATTCTCCTGTCTCAGCCTCCCGGGTAGCTGGGATTACAGGCGTGTACCACTGCACCTGGCTAATTTTGTATTTTTAGTAGAGATGGGGTTCCACGATGTTGGCCAGGCTGGTCTCGAACTCCTGATCTCAAGTGATCCACCTGCCTTGGCCTCCCAAAGTGCTGGGATTACAGGCTTGAGCCAGCTCGCCTGGCCTTATTTTTTCTTTTCATAGAAACAGGCTCTCACTATATTGCCCAGACTGCTCTCCTGGGCTCCTGGGCTCAAATGATTCTCCTGACTCAGCCTTCCAAGTAGCTGGGACTACACATGGGTGTCACCATGCCTGACTCCAAGTGTCACTATTCTAGTCCAAGCTGACATCTTCTGTTACCTGACATTTTGCCACAGTTTCTTAACTACTCTCCTTTCTTCCCCACCTCCTCACAATCTATTCTCTATATTGCACCCAGAATGGTTTTTCTAAATCATAGATATAATCTAACTTTTTTAAATGGGCTTCCTGAGTCCCTGTTGTCTTAAGGATGAAGATCAAATTTTTGGCCAGGCATGGTGGCTCACACCTGTAACCCCAGCACTCTGGCGGGCCAAACTGGGCAGATCACCTGAGGTTAGGAGTTTGAGACCAGCCTGGCCAACATGGTGAAACTCAGTCTCCACTAAAATACAAAAACTAGCTGGGCATGGTGGCGGGCACCCGTAATCCCACCTACTAGGGAAGCTGAGGCAGGACAATCACTTGAACCCAGGAGGCAGAGGTTTCAGTGAGCCGAGATCATGCCACTGTACTCCAGCCTGGGCGACAGAGCAAGACTCCCTCTCAAAAAAAAAAAAAGTACAAAAAATTTATTGGGGGCCAGGCGCAGTGGCTCACACCGGTAATCCCAGCACTTTGGGAGGCGGGCAATCCCTTGAGACCAGGAGTTCAAGATAAGCCTGGCCAACATGGCGAAACCTCATCTCTACTAAAAATACAAAAATTAGCCCGGTGTGGTGGCATGCACCTGTAATCCCAGCTACTCAGGAGGCTGAGGCATAAGAATCACTTGAACCTGGGAGACAGAGGTTGTAGTGAGCTGAGATTGTGCCACTGTACTCCAGCCTGGGGACAAAGGGTCAATAAATAAATAAATAAATAAAATGTACTGGAGAGTAACACCTGTGAAGAAAATGGAGAAGAAGCCAGGTAGGCAGAAGGAGATGTCAGGCTGAGATGTGCACCTGACATTCTCTCTGCCAGCTCATCAGGGAGAATGAAGCAAAGAAGGCCCATTAAAGGAACCCCACCTTGGGGAAGAACACTGGACCACGTAGGCCTTGTTTAGTCATTGTCTGGAAACCATTCCAAAAGTTTGACCCCAACTCCAAAGCTGAGGCTGGCTCTGACCAAGTCCACCACTGGAGCTATCAGAGAATGGAATTCCACCCCTGGCAGCTAGATGACCAGCCTTTTCTTGAAGATGTATCTGAGCAGCACCTGTCAGAGTCTACCACACCAATGAAGCTATACAGAAGGGTTTGCCTGGGGCTTTGAAAGCAGTATCAAAAGATGGGTTCCAAAAATAGTTTGAGCACTGACAGCATCGTTGCATTAAGTAAGCTTCTCCCAAGATAATCATTTTTGAGGAAAGGGTACTTATTTGAATACATTGGCCTGGCCTATTTGATTTTCAAAATTTAAGCCATATTACTTCAGAATCATTACTGCTACATGTACAAGATGTCGAATTCTTTTTTCATTTTATCAACAGAAATTACTAGAATTCCTGAATGGACCATTTTTGACCTAATATTTGTGAGGCTTATAAGGTATTTTTCTTTTTCTTTTTCTTTTTAGTTATTTCTGCACAGAAATTTTTAACATCTTGCATAAAAATAGGAATAGGTAAATTTTTATCATAATATGCTAATATAATCTAATTTGAATTCATGCCAACCAGACTGTGCAAAACATAGATTATATAATGGTAATAGTTTGATAAATGAGTAGAATAAAGTGTCTGGGCACGGTAGCTCACGTCTGTAATCCCAGCACTTTGGGAGGCCTAGGCGAGTGGATCACCTGAGGTCAGTTCAAGACCAGCCCGGCCAACATGGTGAAACGCTGTGCTGTCTCTACTAAAAATACAAAAATTAACCAGGTGTGGTGGTGCATGCCTGTAGCCCCAGCTGCTCAGGAGGCTGAGGCAGGATAATCGCTTGAACCCAGGAGGCAGAGGTTGCAGTAAGTGGAGATTGTGCCATTGCACTCCAGCCTGAGCAAGAGAGCAAGCCTCCATCTCAAAAAAAAAAAAAAAAAAGAGAGAGAGATTTACTAGAAAATTCAAGCATTTTTGTTTTTGGCATTTTATGTATATATTCAACTTGGTAACTGAAAATGTAAAAATAAGGGTTAGCTGGGCACAGAGGCTCACACCTGTAATCCTAACACTTTGGGAGGCCAAGGCATGAGGATAGCTTGAGCCCAGGCGTTCAAGGCTGCAGTGAGCTAGGATTGCACCACTGCCCTACAGCCTCGGTGACAGTGCAAGACCTTATCTCTGTTTGTTTGTTGTTTATTTTTGTTTTTTTGTTTTATTTTTTAAAAGCCAATAACATCTAAAATAAGTTTTGCTAAATTTTTGGAAACTGTAGGCAATAGAAATAACCACAAATATTTCAGAAAATCAATATTCTTTTTTATTTTTTTTGAGACGGAGTCTCACTTTGTCGCCAAGCTGGAGTGCAGTGGTGCGATCTCAGCTCACAGCAACCAGGTTCAAGCCATTCTCCCACCTCAGCCTCCCGGGTAGCTGGGACTAGTGCGCCATCACACCCAGCTAATTTTTGTATTTTTAGTAGAGACATGATTTCATCATGTTGGCCAAGATGGTCTCGATCTCTTGACCACGTGATCTACCCGCCTCAGCCTCCCAAAGTGCTGGGATTACAGGCGTTAGCCACTGCGCTTGGCAGAAAAATCAATATTCTAAGTGAGTTGTTTCATGGGACCTACATTAGAAGATTCTATTTTAAACATTTTGTGTGGAAACACTATGTTCATATTAAGTTAGCAGTTTCACTAACCTTTAAAACTTATATAGCAAAATAGTTTAACTATTGCCAGAGTTTTATTTCCACATCATTAAGTATTTTGCAGTTTCCCTCCTAAATTAATTATCTTTGTAATTTGTTTAGTCCTTTTTTTTTTTTTTTAATTCTTGGCTTTTTCTACTCCCTATACACATTCTCAAACCTTGTTTTCTTTTTTAATTGAGACAGGGTCTCGCTCTGTCACCCAGGCTAGAGCACAGTGGTGCAACCATGGCTCACTTACAGCCTCAACATCCCAGGCTCAAGCAATCCTCCCAAGCAGCTGGGACTACAGGTCCATGCCACCATGCCCAGCTAATTGTTTTTATTTTTTTGTAGAGACAAGGTCTCACTATGTTGCCCAGGCTGGTCTCAAGCAATCCTCTTGTTTCAGCCTCCCAAAGTGTTGGGATTACAGGTGTGAGCCACTGAACCAGATCTCAAACCTTATTTCTAAAAGAATAGATTCTACATCTTCCCTCACAAGAAAAGGGTTCTGTGGCTTGTCTATATTTGTCTTGGTTGGTTTGTTTTTTTGTAGAGATGGGGTCTCACTGTGTTGACCAGGCTGATCTTGAACTCCTGAACTCAAGAGATCCTCCTGCTTCAGCCTCCCAGAGTGCTAGGATTATAGGCACGAGCCACTACATCTGTAATCCACCTATATTTGGAAAACAAAAATTGTCTAGGGGAGATGAGCAAAATTGATTAAGCCAAACAAGCATGTGCTGAACCTGACTCTATACAGAACTCTGAGGTATGGAATACCCGGATGCACAGACTAGCATCTGGCCTCTAGCAGCTTGCAATTTAGTGAAGGAGAGAAAGACACATATGAAACTTAAAATACACCTTTATAGAAAACTGAAAATGCCTGTGGTATAAACATGAGCCTATCAGAAAAAAGAAGAGGAGATTTTAACTTTAAATATGGGCCTTTTAAAATAAATGGCCCACGCAGTGGCTCACGCCTATAATCCCAGCACTTTGGGAGGCCGAGGTGGGAGGATCACCTGAGGTCAGGAGTTCGAGACCAGCCTGGCCAACATGGCAAAACCCCATCGCTACTAAAAATACAAAAAATAGCCAGGCATGGTGGCAGGCGCCTGTAATCCCAGCTACTCAGGAGGCTGAGGCAGAAGAATCGCTTGAACCCGGGAGGCAGAGGTTGCAGTGAGCCGAGATCACGCCGTTGCACTCCAGCCTGGGCAACAAGAGCAAAACTCCATCTCAAAAAATAAATAAATAAAATAAAAATAAAATAAATGGCCCTAAATTACAAAAAATAGAAAACAGATGACTTTTGAAGGTGTGGTTGCAAAATGAATCTTATTATCATCATCATCACCATCTTCATCATCAAAAAATGATCACTATGTGGCTATCAGTCCATGATTATTTTACAAGGTTCCCTGGGTTGTTCCCTGATTATTTTACAACCCCTGCGGAGGTTGCAGTGAGCAGTTGTTCACACTTTTGGAAGTCCTAGGCCTCAGAAGTCATATCATCTCTTTCAGATGTGTAAATTCACTCTAGATTAGCACATTTCAAATAGTTCTCCACATAATGGTTAAACTCCTTCTAAAGCTGTGGTTCCTGTCTCAGGAGAACATTATTCATTCAATCACCATTTACTGAAAGCCTACTAGGTGTCAGGCCCTCAAGAAAAAAAGTCATATCAATTCTCAGGGAGTTCTTCTTTTCTTCCACAGTACAAAGCCCAGTTTGCAATTAAATGTGTTTGTGGCCAGGCATGGTGGCTCACGCCTGTAATCGCAGCACTCTGGAAGGCCGAGGTGGGTGGATCACCTAATGTCAGGAGTTTGAGGCCAGCCTGACCAACATGGTGAAACCCCGTCTCTACTAAAAATACAAAAATTAGCCAGGCGTGGTGGTACATGTCTGTAATCTCAGCTACACAGAGGGCTGAGGCCGGAGAATCACTTGAATCCGGGAGGCGGAGGTTGCAGTGAGCCAAAATCATGCCATTGCACTCCAGTGTGGACAACAAGAGCAAAACTCCACCTCAAAAATTAATTAATTAATTAACTAAAACAAATATGTGTTTGTGGAGTGATTATTTATTTGAAGTCTGGCTCCCTCATCACACTGTAACTACCTTGAGGCAATATACTAACTTACAGTACTGTGAAATCATACTGCCTGGGTTCAAATCCTAGCTTTGCCACTTACTTGCTCTGTGACTTTGGACAAGTTACTCAGCCTCTCAGCACTTCAGTTTCATCATCTGCAAAGTGATACTAGTACCTACCTCTTAGGGTAATTGCAAGGTTTAAACAAAATATGATCCATGGCCGAGCGCAGTGGCTCACGCCTGTAATCCCAGCACATTGGGAGGCCGAAGCAGGTGGATCACCTGAGGTCAGGAATTCAAGACCAGCCTAGCCAACATGGTGAAACTCTGTCTCTACTAAAAATACAAAAAGTTAGCCAGGGGTGGTAGCAGGCACCTGTAATCCCAGCTACTCAGGAGGCTGAGGCAGGAGAATCACTTGAACCTGGGAGGCAGAGGTTGCAGTGAGCCAAGGTCTCGCCATTGCACTCCAGCCTGGGCAACAAGAGTGAAACTCTGTGTAAAAAAAAAAAAAAAAAAAAAATAGGCTGGGCGCGGTGGCTCACAGCTGTGATCCTGGTACTTTGGGAGGCCGAGGCAGATGGATCATGAGGTTAGGAGTCCGAGGCCAGCCCGGCCAAGATGGTGAAACCCCGTCTCTACAAAAGATACAAAAATTAGCTCGGCGTGGTGGCTGGCGCCTGTAATCCCAGCTACTCAGAAGGCTGAAGCATGAGAATCACTTGAACCTGGGAGGCGGAGGTTGCAGTGAGCACAGATCGCACCACTGCACTCTAGCCTGGGCAACAGAGCAAGACTCTGTCTCAAAAAAAAAAACAAACAAAAAAAGAAAACCCCATAAAGCCCTTAGTGTAGTGCCTGCCATATAGAAATGCTTAATAAAAGGTATTTTTAGGGCAGGAAGCTTTCATCTTTGCTTACTAGTATAGTCCTTGTGACTGGCACCCACAGGTACTAAATGTTCATTTTGGTCACGTAAGAGGACATAGAGTAGCTACAGAAATCACTGTCAAATTCCTTAATTCAGTCAACCAAAATTTGAGTGCTTACTATATGCCAGGCACTGTTCCAGGCACTGGGGGTACAGCAGTCAATAAAACAGTCAAAGATCCCTGTTCTTGTGGAGCTTATAATATAATGGAAGAAAGGCCACAAACATAATGTATATATTAGGTTGGTGCAAAAGTAATAGCAGTTTCTGCCATTAAAATTTGCAAAAAACAGCCAGGCATGGTGGCTCACACCTGCAATCCCAGTACTTTGGGAGGCCAAGGTGGGTGGATCACCTGAGGTCAGAGTTCGAGACCAGCCTGGCCAACATGGTGAAACCCCATCTCTACTAAGAATACAAAAATTAGCTGGGTGTGGTGGTACACCCCTGTAATCCCAGATAGTTGGGAGGCTGAGGCAGGAGAATCGCTTGAACCTGGGAGGAGGAGGTTGCAGTGAGCTGAGATCACGCCACTGCTCTCCAGCCTGGATGACAGAGTGAGACCCCCATCTCAAAAAAAAAAAAAAAAATTGCAAAAACTGCAATTACTTTTGTACCAACCTAATAGAAAAGCTATAGTTGGCTGGGCACAGTGGCTCATGCCTATAATCCCAACACTTTGGGAGGCCAAGGCAGATGGATGGCCTGAGCTCAGGAGCTCAAGACCAGCCTGGGCAACATGGTGAAACCCTGTCTCTACCAAAAATACAAAAAAATTGATGGCACACACCTGTAATCCCAGCTATTTGGGAGGCGGGAGCATGAGAATCTCTTGAACCCAAGAGGCAGAGGTTGCAGTGAGCCAAGATTGCCCCACTGCACTCCAGTTTGAGCAACAGAGCAACTCTGTCTCAAAAAAAAGAAAGAATTAGCCAGGCATGGTCACACCTGTAGTCCCAATTACTGGGGAGGTTGAAGTGGGAGGATCGCTCGAGCCTGGGAGATGGAGGTTGCAGTGAGCTGACATTGTGCCACCGCACTCCATACTGGATGACAGAGTGAGACTCTGTCTCAGAAAAAAAAAGAAAGAAAGAAAGAAAGAAATGCGCCAGGCACAGTGGCTCACACCTGTAATCCCAGCACTTTAGGAGGCCGAGGCAGGCCGATCACAAGGTCAGGAGTTCGAGACCAAGCTGGCCAACATGGTGAAACCCCATCTCTACCAAAAATACAAAAATTAGCTGGGTATGGTGGTATGCGCCTGTAATCCCAGCTACTCAGGAGACTTGAGGCAAGAGAATCACTTGAATCCGAGAGGGGGAAGTTGCAGTGAGCAGAGATCGCACTGCTGCACTCCAGCCTGGGCAACAGAGAGAGATATAAATGCTACAGTTGTTTCTTGTTTTGTTTCGTTTTGTTTTTGAAGTCAGGGTCTTGCTCTGTTACTGAGGCTGGAGTGCAGTGGTGTGATTATAGCTCACTGCAGCCTCAAACTCTGAGGCTCAAGCAATGCTCCCACCGCAGCCTCCCAAAGTACAGAATTACAGGCATGAGCCACAGTGCCCAGTAAAATGCTATAGAATGTTTGACAGTGACAGATGCTAAAGGACAAAACAGCATAGGGTAAGGAGGATTGGAAGTGTAGGGGAATGGGTTGCAAGTTTAAATAGGGTGGTAAGGGTAAGCCTCCTTGACAAGGTGCTATCTGAGCAAAGAGTTAAAGGAGGTGAAAGAGCAAATCTTGCAATCATCTAGGTAGGGAATAGCCAATGCAAAGGACCTGGAGCAGGAGGATGTCCAGCCAAAGAGCAGCCAAGGGGACAGTGGCTTGAATAAGAAAGATGGCAAGTACAAGATGAGATGAGAGAGTTAAAGGTAGGGTGAAGGAGAGGCAAAAATCAAGTAGGTCCCTGTAGATACAGACCACTGTGAAAGCCTTGGCTTTTACTAGGTGAAATGGGAGCCCCTGCTGAGCAGAAGAATGACATGTTCTGTCATATATAGAGATGTGGATATATAGATGTATATTTAAGAATCCATTCAGTTGTTTTCCTGATAATAAATTGGTAAGGAAAGGAGACCAGTTAGGCAACTATTATTTAAAATAAAAATTTTTAAAAAACAGATGGAAGATGATGGTAATATGTACCAGAGTTGATGGTAAGTACTCAGATTCCAGGTGTATTTGGAAGGTAGAGTCATCAGGATGTCCTGACAGATTAGTGTGAGTTATAAGGGGAAGAGAATGAGAAGGATGTCACCGACTGAAAGGATGAGGTTGGCATCAACCCAAGTAGAGAAGTCTGTGAGTGGACAGAATTGAGGTGGCGAGGAGTCGGTGGTCCTGAGATCAGTTTTGGGCATGTGAAGTGGGGGCTATTAGATATTCAAGTAGAGAAGCTGAGCAGGCATTTTGCAGTAGAGAAGCTAAGCAGGCATTTTGCAGTATACAGGAGAGTTCACATGGAACTTGTAAAAGTGGAGGGAAAGATGGAGGAAAAAATAAAATCGTGAATGTTATAGGATATGAGCAAAATGCTACCAGAGCTCAGAATAATAAATGAACTCTGCCAAGGAGGGATGAGGGAGCTTTAAGATCTTGAAGAATGTGCAGGATTCCTGAGTGAAGAAAGGAGAAAGGGCGTTCCTGAAAGAGGGAAGAGCCAGGAGTCAGGAAGGGGACAGGGAGAAGCTTCCATGGTTGAAGCCTCGACAAAGGAAGGCAGCAAGGGCCAGGGAGAAGACATGAGTGAAGATTTTAGCCAGATTATAAAGGGATAAACCAAGTTAAGGGAGGAAAAAAAATGTCAAAAAACTAACATGAAGATCTATGTTCCTGGTGCTCTGCTTTTTGCTTTATATGTCATTTAATTTTCATTGTCTATGATCATTTAAAATAACACTTCAGACCAGGCACTGTGGCTGACGCCTGTAATCCCAACCCTTTGGGAGGTTGAGGCAGGAGGATCAATTGAGCCCAGGAGTTTGAGGCCAGCCTGGGCAGCATAGAAAGACCCTGCCTCTTAAAAAAAAAAAAAATAGGCAGGCACCGTGGCACATACTTATAGTCCCAGCTACTCAGGAGGCTGAGGTGGGAGGATCACTTGAGCCCAGGAGCTCAAAGCTGCAGTAAGCCATGTTCATGCCACTGCACTCCGGCCTGGGCAAAAAGTAAGACCCTTCTCAAAAATAAATAGATAAAATAAAATAATGCTTCAGTTCTTCCTGATAAAAAACAATGAAAGAAAAAAATTAAAATAATGCTAAGGATTGACATTTCTAATGAAATCAAATATCCAAGAGGGCAAACAATATTATTCACTCCTGATTTGGTGAATTTTCACCCATAACTTAAATATAAGAACAAACATTCTTTACCACTCAGCTCATTTGTCCTTCTATAGTAAAAGTAGAAAAGAGGTTTTCTTGAAAGGAGATTAAAAAAAAAGAAAAGAAAAGAAAAAACATGGTTGCAGACGCCTGTAATCCCAGCTGCTTGGGGGCTGAGGCAGAGAATTGCTTGAACCCAGGAGGCGGAGGTTGCAGTGAGCCAAGATTGCGCCGCTGCACTGCAGCCTGGGCGACCGAGTGAGACTCCATCTCAAAAAACAAAAAAAAAAAAAAGAAAGAAAGAAAAAAAGGAGAAAAGCAGTCTATAGTAGGCCACCTCTGTGAGTCAGTCAGAATTCTCTCAGGGTTGTCTTTCTCAAAGGAGAAAATCACATAGAGGAGGAGTTAGAGGAAGGCTGTCTTTTAGATTTTTCTACCATTAATTTATTCAGCTGATGTTTATTTTATTGAGGGCCCTTTACTGCTAGGTATTATTGAAAGTATTCATTCAAATGCAAAGAAGAAAAAGTCTGCACGCATGAGGCAAATTTAATGTTCTTCAACACTATGAGTATGCAAAATGATCCATTCAAAGGCTGGAAATCCAAAGCCAGGCACGATGGTTTACGCCTGCAATCCCAACTACTCCTGAGGCTGAGACACAGGAATCTCTGGAACCCAGGAGGCAGAGGTTGCAGTGAGCCGAGGGAGACTCCATCTCAAAAAAAAAAAAAAAATTAACTTAAAAAATAAATAAATAAAACAAAGCCTAGAAATCTGAGCATTCCCAAGGGTTAGTTAGAAATAAGTGATCTGTTTTTTTAAAAAAATCTATTTTGTAGCCCGGCGCGGTGGCTCACGCCTGTAATCCCAGCACTTTGGGAGGCTGAAGTGGGTGGACCACGAGGTCAGGAGATCGAGACCATCCTGCCTAACATGATGAAACCCCGTCTCTACTAAAAATACAAAAAATTAGCCGGGCGTGGCGGCACGCGCCTGTAGTACCAGCTACTAGGGAGGCTGAGGCAGGAGAATCGCTTGAACCTGGGAGGCGGAGGTTGCAGTGAGCCAAGATCGCGCCACTGCACTCTAGCCTGGGAGACAGAGCGAGACTCCGTCTCAAATAATAATAATAATAATAATAATAATAATAAACATTAAAATTAAAAAATCTATTTTGTTTGTTCATTAGTCCCATTTAAAATTACCCAGTGCAGAATGTGAACCACCTAGTCAATTTGACTGCTTTCCTGAGCATCAACCTGTAAGAAATCAAGACAGAAGATAATTCTCATAAAAATTCCCTCCCTAGGGAACTCCCGGAAAGAAATTGTCAGAACATGAGTTTTCTAGTTAAAAGGAAACAATGTTGCAACTAACTCAAATCAATAAATGACTACCTCCATCATCCCTGTAGCCACGTGTGTGGAAATATGCTGGCAGCACAGCCAGTATTTGTGCTAACATTAGCACACTCAAGGAAAATCAAACTGTGCTCCTTAAGGCTGTCAGGCCCTCTTAAAAGCTTTCCCCTCCCACGATCTCTTAGATGAGACTGACATCTATGCAGAGTAATGGAAGAAGGCAAAGTCCTTTTTCATCTCCAAGGACTATGGCTAATAATGGCTACTCCCCAGATAATTGTATATAGTATCTGCCTAGATTAACAAACAGGAGATTGAGTAAAATCGAGGAAATCCAGTAGATGACACAGCCAACCTTTCCGGAATCAGGATCTTTTACATTTAGTGTTCCCTCTGCCTGAAACCCAGTTTTCCCCACATATTTACATAGCCAGCTGCTTCTCACTGAAGCTCCCTGGTGGGGCCTTCCCTGACCACTCCTTCTAAAGCAAGATCCACACGCCTGCCTTCCACAGTGATGTAACCACCCATCTGATAATAACCACACGCTTCTAAAAATCTTGATTCTTTCTTTTTGCTCTCTATCCCACTTGAATATAAATCCCACGAGAGCAAGCACCTAGTTTGTCTAGTTCCCTGCTGCAGGACCAGGTCTCAGACAGTGCCTGGCAGGAGGTGGGTGCCCAGTAAATATTTGTGATCTAATGAGCAAATGCAGGACCTGAGTAACCCGAGGCAGCGGGCCTACAGTGCCTGAAGTCTGAAGACCATTTCTCAATTGCTTCTTTTTTTTTTTTTTTTTTTGAGACGGAGTTTTGCTCTTGCTGCCCAGGCTGGAGTGCAATGGCGCAATCTCAGCTCACTGCAACCTCCACCTCCCGGGTTCAAGCGATTCTCCTGCCTCAACCTCTCAAAGAGCTGGAATTACAGGTGCCCACAACCACACCTGGCTAATTTTTTTGTATCTTTAGTAGAGACGGGGCTTCACCATGTTGGCCAGGCTGATCTCAAACTCCTGCCTCAGCCTTCCAAAGTGCTGGGATTACTGGTGTGAGCCACCGCGCCTGGCTGCTCCATTTTAATGGGTTAAATCCCCCATAAGCAAGTTAAAAGCAAGTATTGTGGCAATTAACTAGAGAATTCAGATGCAAAAAAAAAAAAACAAACCACTTTGACCTCAAATATCTGTTTCAAGAGAACGTTAATCTTTCAGTTCCTTAAATTCTTGACTTTACTTTGTATGTGTAAATCTGGCTAGAAGCAGCTTCTTTTCTACTGACAGTGAGCAAAAGATTTTTTTCTCCTTCCTCAATAATTGGGGAATTTTCAAGGCCAGGTGTGGTGGCTCACACCTGTAATCCCAGCACTTTGGGAAGCCAAGGCGGGCAGATCACTTGAGGTCAGGAATTCGAGACCAGCCTGGCCAACATGGCGAAACCCTGTCTGTACTAAAAATACAAAAAATTAGCCAGGCGTGGTGGCACGTGCCTGTAGTCCCAGCTACTCAGGAGGCTGAGGCAGGAGAATCGCTTGAAGCCAGGAGGCAAAGGTTGCATGAGCCGAGATCACTCCACTGCACTCTAGCCTGGGCAACAGAGTGAGACCCTGTCTCAAAAAAATAAAGTAAAACAATAATAATAATAAACATTGAATGTAAAGAGAAAAAAAAAGAGCAGGAAAGAGAGAGAACCAAAAATGTAAAAATTAATCCTATCTGAATCCATTAGCTGAGTTTCCCTGAAAGTGCTAGTGTCCTTACGAGAGGTGTACAATAAACATAACATCATGAGATGTAGTATTCACCTTGAAACTCAACTTTAAATAGTTCCTGAAAGAGCTCCTTTCTTTATGACGTCCCAGAATCTTAGAAATAAGGCATTTGATCAAAAGAAGGCATTATAGACTCCGAGTTCCAATGGCTTAGGGGTACCATAGGAAAACAATGTGTCAAGCCTCTGCAGGACAATAGGGTCCTGCTGGCCACAGGTGATGTAATTTAGCTTCAATAGCCTTTGCAGATCCGAGGCCCACGGGAGAACACTGGCCGGCAGCCCATGTGTGAGCATGCGGGCTTTTCCTCTTGAACATATTGCATGATTATGGAACAGTCCCTGGAGGATTGAGACTTTATAAACAACAAAAATAATTTTGACAGCTGGCGACAGAAATAATCACTTCTCTTTGTATTTCATTAGTATCAATGTCCACTTTGTTTGTTAATGTTCTTTCAAAACAGAAAATCTGCATGACTCAACTCAGCAAGTATATGTTATACTTTTTTCTCTAGTTAGCAACTGACTATTCAGAGTTTGAAGGTGGACAAGATGGTCACAGTTGTCTCAAAAATACTCAACTTTCCCAGATGGAAGAAATTTGGAAAAATTCAACAGAATGTCAAAATGTTTATAAGAAGTCTGAGATGAGAGAACTTTGTGACACAGAACAGATAGACAAAATAAACAAATGCAGTCCTTTGCCACCTCTTAGGTCTCATTACAAACCCCTTGAGTCCCTGAACTGTGGGCCTGAATTTTCTCAACCAGGGAGAGAGTGGAGGTGAACCAAAAACTAACACCAAAAGTGTAAGGAAAACCTCATCCTGACTGAGATCTAACCTGCTGCCTCCAGCTGTTGGGTTTCCAGGGACCTCTGCATCAGCTTGCCAAATGTTGAACTGTAAGTGCCCAGGTGGCAGGAAATAGAAGCACTGTAACTTGCTTTGCAGAGTAAAACACTGACATATGTGACTATTTGACAAATAGAACTTGGTGAGTGAAGGACACATCATGGCTGAGATGATATATTTTAAGGTATATTTGAAAGATGACAACCCAGTTAACGAATAACAGAAATACAATTTTTAGGCTACCACTAGTCAAATTATTTCTTCTTTTTTTTTTGGACAGGGTCTCACTCTGTCGCCCAGGCTGGAGTGCAGTGACGTGATCTCTGCTCACTGCAAGCTCCGCCTCCCAGGTTCACGCCATTCTTCTGCCTCAGCCTCCTGAGTAGCTAGGACTACAGACACCTGCCCACACGCTCGGCTAATTTTTTTTTTTTTTTGTATTTTTAGTAGAGACGGAGTTTCACCGTGTTTTGATCTCCTGACCTCGTGATCCACCCATCTCTGCCTCCCAAACTGCTGGGATTACAGGTGTGAGCCACTGCGCCCTGCCTAGTCAAATTATTTCTAAGAGTACGGTTTTAAAGAAGCAGAGATGAGCTTTTAGGCCAGGAGCAGTGGCTCACATCTATAATCCCAGCATTTTGGGAGGCTGAGGTGGGTGGATCACTTGAGCCCAGGAGTTCAAGACCAGGCTGGGCAACATCATGGTAAAACCCCATCTCTACCAAAAATACAAAAAAAAAAAAAAAAAACACAAAAAAATTAGCCGGGCATGATGGTGCACGCCTGCAGGAGAATGGCTTGAAACCAGGAGGTGGAGATTGCAGTGAGCCGAGATCGTGCCACTGCACTCCAGCCTGGGCAACAGAGCAAGACCCTGTCTCAAAAAAAAAAAAAAAAAAAAAAAGCAGAGATGAGCTTTTAAATTACAGATTAAAAAATTAGGCCACACCTGTAATTCCAGCACTTTGGGAGGCCATTGCGAGAAGATCGCTTGAGGCCAGAAGTTGGAGACCAGCCTGGGCAACATGGTAAATCCCTGACTCTACACAAAAATTTTTAAACATGTAAAAATTACCCAGGCGTGGTGGCACATGCCTATAGTCCCAGCTACTCAGGAGACTGAAGTTGCAGTGAGCCATGATCCCACCATTGCACTCCAGCATGGGCGACAGAGCAAGACCTTGTCTCAAAAAAAATTAAAATAAAATAAAAGTTCACCTTGGTTATCTCAATTTAATTTTTTTCTTTGTACAGGTATCTGGTTTATTTAAGTTGTGATCTTCCTGAGAAACAAATCGAAGTCAGTGCAGACCAGCATTGTCCAACAAACAGAACTTTCTGGCATGATGGAATAGCCCATAGCTGCACTGTCCCCTCATGTGGCTATTTGAGCACTTGAAATGTGTCTAGTGTGACAGAGAAACTGAGGTTTTAATCTTAATTTAAATTTGTTTAAATAGCCACACGTATTTAGTGGCTACCATACTGGACAGTGCATGTCTAGACCAGTGGTTCACAATTGAGGGCAATTTTTAGTCCTCAAAAGCAGTCCTCAAGGGGTCAGAGTTGTGTTGCAGGAGTAGGGGGAATCACAGCCTGTCTTCAGCTGGTGGACGACCCCTCCAGCCATCCAAGCTCCCGTTTTCCCACTACACATGGGCCTACCTGTGTAGACCTGTGTAATTTAAATTTTAATTTAAATTTGTAAGAGAAAGAAACCTATATAGATCTATTAGTTTCTCGTGTTTTCTTTCTTTCTTTCTTTCTTTTTCTTTCTTTCTCTTTCTTTCTTTCTTCTCTCTTTCTTTCTCTCTCTTCCCTCCTCCTTTCCTTTCCTTTCCTCTTTTCTTTCTGACAGGGCCTCGCTCTGTCATCCAGGCCAAGTGCAGTAGTGTGACCACCGCTCACTGCATCCTCAACCTCCTGGGCTCAAGTGATCCTCCCACCTCAGCCTCCGAGTAGTGGGGACTACAGGCATAAGCCACTGCACCAGACTATTTTATTTTTATTTTTTTGTAGAGACAGAGTCTCGCTATGTTGCCCAAGCTGGTCTCGAACTCCTGGATGCAAGCAATCTGCCAGCCTTGACTTCCCAAGGTGCTGGGGTTACAGGCTATTTTTACTGTCTCTTTTAGGGCAGTGAAATTACTTTGTTAGTATATGATGTTATACAGGTGGATACCTGTCACATTTATCCAAACCCACAGAATGTACAACACCAAGAGTGAACCCTGGTATAACCTATGTTTGCGTAATAATGATGCATCAATGTTGGTTCATCAATTGATTAAAAGGCTTTTTTTTTTTAAGAGCAGCTTTAGGTTCACAGCAAAATTGAGTAAGTACAGAGATTTCTCATATACCTTTTTCCCTCACACCTGCACAGCTTTCCCATTATCAATATCCCCCACCAGAGTGGTACATTTGTTACAATCAATGAACCAACATTGAGGCATCATTATTACGCAAACATAGTTTATACCAGTGTTCACTCTTGGTGTTGTACATTCTGTGGGTTTGGACAAATGTAACAGGTATCCACCTGTATAGCATCATACACAGTAGTTTCACTGCCCTAAAAGTCCTCTGTGTTTCACCTTTCTTGTGTTCTTAAAAATCCAAATGAACCTCTCACTGTTATCCTGCTCAAGAAAAAAACAGGGCAAAGTTCCAATGAATCTAAAATGATATCTAGCTTTCAATTTCAAAGAGCTGTTGAATAAGATTAATGAGTGAATAAACTTAGTTTTCCTTTCGTTACTCAGGGAAAAAGTCTGGTATTTAAGGCTATTTGTAGTTAGACTCAAATTTCCTCCCTCTAACCTTCTCTCCACCAGCCTATCTTAGCTAAATTGATGCTGCTTCAGCACATTTTATTCTTCCATGTCCCTTTATTTTCTCTATTTTTATTTTTGTAGACAGGGTCTCACTCTGTTGCCCAGGTTGGGGTGCAGTGATCTTAGCTCACTGCAGCCTTGAACTCTTGGGCTCAAGTGATCCTCCCACCTAGGCCTCTTGAGCAGCTAGGACTACAGGTGCACACCACCACACCCAGCTAATTTTTTATTTTATTTTATTTTTTTATAGAGATGGGTCCTGCTATGTTGCCCAGGCTGGTCTCAAACTCCTGGCCTCAAGTGATCACCCCACCTTGGCCTCTCAAAGCACTGGGTTTCAGGCATGAGCCACCATGCCTGACCTCCTTTATGCTTCTTCTTTTTTTTTTTTTTTTGAGATGGAGTTTTGCTCTTGTTGCCCCAGGCTAGAGTGCAATGGCATGATCTCGGCTCACCGCAACCTCCACCTCTCGGGTTCAAGCGATTCTCCTGCCTCAGCCTCCTGAGTAGCTGGGATTACAGGCATGTGCCACCACGCCTGGCTAATTTTGTATTTTTAGTAGAAACAGGGTTTCTCCTTGTTGGTCAGGCTGGTCTCGAACTGCTCACCTCAGGTGATCCACCCGTCTCGGCCTCCTAATGCGCTGGGATTACAGGCATGAGCCACAGCACCGGGCCCTGGCTTCCTTTATGCTTCTTTAGACTACTTCTCACCTGAATGCTCTCCATTCTTCCCTCCTCCCCACTCATTTATCTTTTAAGAGCCCGTTGTGTCCAGCCTCACCTAGGAAGCTGCTACTGATTCCTCCAATCCACAGTGATGCCCCTCCCTGTGTTCTCTGAACTCTCACTGTTCCATCATTTGGTTCCAGTTTATAAACTAGTTTTTACTGCTAGTTAAATTTTCATATGTGTAAGTCTTGTTTCTCCAGCTGAATTGTAAACATCTAAAACACAGGGGCTCTGTTCTCCTCTCAAAGGAGGTCACAGTTTCATGCAAAGAGATGTAGATCACTAAATTCTTGGCACTTTTGACTAAATGGCATCTACCTGAGTCCATGGTATTTCTACTATAAGAAAAGTAGGAAAGTGGCTGGGCAGAGGCTCATGCCTGTAATCCCAGCACGTTGGGAGGCCGAGGCAGGCGGATCACTTGAGCCTAGGAGTTCAAGACCAGCCTGGCCAACATGGCAAGACCCCATCTCTACTGAAAATACAAAAAAATTAGCCAGGCCTGGTGGCAGGCACCTGTAATCCCAGCTAATTCGGAGGCTGAGGCAGGAGAATCACTTGAACACAGGAGGCAGAGGTTGCTGTGAGCCAAGATTGCACCACTGCACTCCAGCCTGGGTGACAGAGCAAGACTGTCTCAAAAAAAAAGAAAGAAAAGAAAAGTAAGTAAGCTGGACAAGTGCAGTGGTGTACACCTGTCCTCCCAGCTCCTCAGGATGCTGAAGTAGAAGAATTGCCTGAGCCCAGGAATTCGAGTACAGCCTAGGGAACATAGCAAGACCCACATCTCTTAAAAAAAGAAAAAAAAAGGTAGATAAGCACAGGAGACCATGAAGACCATCCCTTTATGCTTCAGCTGAACTCGAACAGAGCCGAAAAGCTGGATCACATCAATTCACTATGGCTAATCCAGACTTATCTCCAAAGAAAGCTTCCCAACTGAGATCTAAACACACTAATTCTAGCTTCACTAGGTGATTAAATGACCTACAGCTACCCAGGCTAGCCTTCCCTCAACAACACATCCAGCTGGTTTACCATGTTCTACAAACAGATTATTGGAACTGTATATGGAGGACAAATGATCAGCACTAGGGCAAATTTCCTCTGACACCAACCTGCCCTGACAAGCTTTAATGAAAGCCGGCTCTTGGTTGTTCTAGAAAATAAGTACTTTTACACTATTTTTGTACAAACAAATATATATATATATTTTAGATGGAGTTTCGCTCTTGTTGCACAGGCTGGAGTGCAGTGGCACAATCTCGGCAACCTCCACCTTCCAGGTTCAAGCGATTCTCCTGCCTCACCCTCCTGAGTAGCTGGGATTACAGGCATCCGCCACCACACCCAGCTAATTTTTTTGTATTTTTAGTAGAGACAGGTTATCGTCATGTTGGCCAGGCCGGTCTTGAACTCCTGGCCTCAGGTGATCCGCCCACCTTGGCCTCCCAAAATGTTGGGATTACAGGCGTGAGCCACCGCAACATGCCACAAATATATTTTTGGCATAATCTCTCATGAAGCTCTATAGATGTGGAAACAATTGTAACATAAAAGGATTCAATTGAGGAAGGTGTTTGTTTAATGAGGAGAACCTGTCTTGGTTGACATAAGGCCACTTTCTGCTTAAAAGCTATTTTAGTGCAGTTGTGAGAAACCCCCTCTTCTTGTTCAAGCCCATTCCTTAGAAGAAAAGAAAATACGATTGGTGATCATTAGCCAGTTTTATTTTATTTACTAAGATAGGATTTATAGCTTTCAAGTAAAACTAAACTCCTGTGCACTACCCACAATTACCTTGTGACGGAGAATAAGGATGCCAAGCTTCACTGTAAAAACTGGACTCTTTCAAGACAGTGAAAATTCCTGGACACCACTGGCTCTAATGACTGAAAAGAGATGTCTAAATCACAGTTCATTACTGAATATAACAGTTGCATAACAGAAGGTAGCGTTTGAAAAATAAATTATCATAAAACAACAGAAAAAGGAAGATTGGGGCACATGTTCTCAGGATCTCCTGAGGGCTGTGTCATGGGCCATCGTCACTCATATTTGGCTTGGAATAAATTTCTTCAAATATTTTACAGAGTTTGACTCTTTTCATAGACAACTTTAATAATCATTAGTAAAGATAATTTTGTTATTAATAAAATTTTTTAAATCTTCAAAACTTAATGTAGACATTTAGTCACTTTATTAGTCAGATAGGTCAAGTACTGTATTTACTAAATATTTTAAGGCCATAAACTATTACTTCTGTAATATTTCTAATAATTGTTTGGCTTGTTTATGAACTTATATTTTAGAGCCATTCGATTTTAGGCTCTAAACCAGGGGTGTCCAATCTTTTGGCTTCCCTGGGCCACACTGGAAGAAGAATTGTCTTGAGCCACACATAAAATACACTAACGATAGGTGATGAGCTAAAAAAAGAAAAAAAATTTGCAAAAAAACTCATAAAATTTTAAGAAAGTTTATGAATTTGTGTTGGGCCGCATTCAAAGCCATCCTGGGCCGCATGTGGCACACGCTCTAAACACATGGCTGTGATAAGGCCTGGGGACATATAAGATCTTACCTGGCCCAGCTGTTCCTCCTGGCTGTACTAAAAAAAGTCTGATATTATCTCTACAGCTTTGTTCTTTGTCCTGGGCTCCACATCTAATAGATAATCACAATTACTTACTTCCTAGGTTTTCACTAAAAATAAGGATTACTGGCCAGGCATGGTGGCTCATGCCTGTAATCCCAGCACTTTGGCAAGCCAAGGCGGGCAGATCACTTGAGGTCAAGAGTTCAAGAACAGCCTGGTCAACATGGCAAAACCCCCTCTACTAAAAATACAAAAATTAGCTGGGCGTGAATGACACGTGCCTGTAATCCCAGCTACTTGGGAGGCTGAGGCACGAGAATTGCTTGAGCCCGGGAGGCAGAGGTTGCAGTGAGCCAAGATCGCACCACTGCACTCCAGCCTGGGCAACAGAGTGAAACCCTGTCTCAAATAAGTAAATAAAGGTGTTTGCTTTTTTAAAAAAGAAAAAGAACTATTATCTTCAAATGGCATTAAGATAACTAGATAATTCGGTGGATAGGAGAAAAGACAATGATTTATCTTACTATGAAATATCAGACACCAAAATAGGATACTTAAAATAGTTTTAAATCCTTAAAAATTAGCAGAAAACCAAGCTGGGCACAGTGGCTCACACCTGTAATCCCAGCACTTTGGGAGGACAAGACGGGCAGATCACCTGATGTCAGGAGTTTGAGACCAGTCTGACCAACATAGTGAAACTCTGTTTCTACCGAAAATACAAAATTAGCCAGACATAGTGGTGGGCGCCTGTAATCCCAGTTACTGGGGAGGCTGAGGCAGGAGAATTGCTTTAACCCGGGAGGCAGAGGTTGCAGTGAACTGAGGTCATGCCACTGCACTCCAGCCTGGGCAATAGTGCAAGACTCTGTCTAAAAAAAAAAAAAAAAATTAGCAGAAAACCAAACACATATGATGATAATAAGTTCCTCGGATCTGATGAAATAGAAGAAAATAGAAATGACAGAAAATGAAATCAAATAAAATATTTAAATTTCTGGATAATAAAAAGTTCAAGATTAGAAGAAAATCAGATAAATCTCAAAACAAGGAGTGTTATCAATATCTCATCTTAATGTTTAAGAATAATAAATGTCCACTTTGGGAGGCCGAGGCAGGTGGATCACTTGAGGTCAGAAGTTCGAGACCAGCCTGGCCAATATGGTGAAACCCTGTCTCTACTAAAACTACAAAAATTAGCTGGGTGTGGTGGCAGGCACCAGGCTTTGAGACTCCAACTCAAAAAAAAAAAAAAAAGAATAACAAATGGCCAGACATGGTGGCTCATGCCTGTAATCTCAGCACTTTGGGAAGCCAAGGTGGGTGGATCATTTGAGCTCAGGAGTTTGAGACCATCCTGGGCAACATGGCAAAACCTCATCTCTACAGAAAATACAAAAATGAGCTGGGTGTGGTGGCATTCGCCTGTAGTCCCAGCTACTCAGAAGGTTGACATGAGAGGGTGGCTTGAGCCTGAGAGGCAGAGGTTGCAGTGAGCTGAGATCTCACCACTGCACTCAAGCCTGAGAAACAAAGACAGACCCTGTCTCAAGATAAAATAAAATGAAATTTAAAAAGAGTAACAAATAAGAGTTAGCTATTGAGGAGGCTGAGGTGGGAGCCTCACTTGAGCTCAAGAGTTTAAGGCTGTAGCTGGGCGTGGTGGTTCATGCCTGTAATTCCAGCACTTTGTGGGGCTGAGGCAGGTGGAACACCTGAGGTCAGGAGTTTGAGACAAGCCTGACCAATATGGTGAAACTCTGTCTCTACTAAAAATACAAAAATTAGCTGGGCGTGGTGGGGGGCGCCTGTAGTCCCAGCTATTTGGGAGGCTGAGGCAGAAGAATTGTATGAACCCGGGAGGCTGAGGTTGCAGTGAGCCAAGATCCTGCCACTGCACTCCAGTCTGGGTGACAGAGCAAGACTCCATCTCAAAACAAAACAAAACAACAACAACAACAAAAAAAAAGAGTTTAAGGCTGTGGTGTGTTATGATTGTGCTTATAAATATTCACTGCAAGCTAGTCTGGGCAACATAGCAAGGCTCTGTCTTTTTTTTTTTTTTTTTTTTTTGAGACAAAGTCTCACTCTGTCACCCAGGCTGAAGTGCAGTGGCTCCATCTCAGCTCACCGCAACCTCTGCTTCCCGGGCTCAAGAGATTCTCATGTCTCAGCCTCCTGAGTAGCTGGGATTACAGGCACCCACCAACATGCCCGGCTAATTTTTGTATTTTTAGTAGAGATGAGGTTTCACCATGTTGGCCAGAAAGGTCTCCATCTCTTGACCTCGTGATCTGCCCACCTTGACCTCCCAAAGTGCTGGGATTACAGGCATAAGCCAGTGCACCCAGCCTATTTATTTATTTTTGAGACAGGATCTTGCTCTGTCAACCAGGCTGGATGGAGTGCAGTGGTGCAATCATGGCTCACCGCAGCCTCAATTTCTGGGCTTAAGTGATCCTCCTGCCTCAGCCTTCCAGGTAGGTGGGACTATAGGCATGTACCATCATTCCTAGCTAATTTTTTATTCTTTATTTTTGTAGAGATGAGGGTCTTGCTTTGTTGCCCGGGCTGGTCTCCACTTCCTGGCCTCAAGTGATCCTCTACCTGGCCTCCTAAAATGCCAGGATTATAGGCCTGAGCCACCAGGCCCACCCTGCCCTACTTTAAATTTAAATAGCTAATGGCTATCGTATTGGACAGTACACATTTAAAGAATTTTTATTCATTGCTAGATTGAGTACTTGTTATCTTTTCACACTTGAGCTTCTCATCTCCAGAACTAAAAAAATTATCTTTATTAAACATATACATATTAAAACAACCTCACTGGCTGGGCACAATGGCTCATGTCTGTAATTTTAGCACTTTGGGAGGCCAAGGCAGGTGGATCCCTTGAGCCCAGGGAGTTTAAGACCAGCCTGGGCAACAGAGGGAGACCCTGTCTCTACAAAAAGGTATTTTTATTTTTTAATTTTTATTTATTTATTTATTTATTTATTTATTTATTCATTTATTTATTTTGAGATGGAATTTCCCTCTTGTTGCCCAGGCTGGAGTGCAGTGGCGCAATCTCAGCTCACCGCAACCTCTGCCTCCCAGGTTCAAGTGTTCTCCTGCTTCAGCCTCCCGAGTAGCTGGTATTACAGGCATGCGCCACCACGCCCAGCTAATTTTGTATTTTTAGTAGAGACAGGGTTTCTCTATGGTGGTCAGGCTTGTCTCAAACTCCCGACCTCAGGTGATCCACCTGCCTCGGCCTCCCAAAGTGCTGGGATTACAGGCATGAGCCACCGTGCCCAGCCCCAAAAAATTCTTTTAAAAAAATTAGCTGAACACAATGGCACGTGCCTGTAGTCCCTGCTACTCAGGAAGCTGAGGTGGGAGGATGACTTGAGCCTCGGAGGGGTGAGGCTGCACTGAACCATGATTGTGTCACTGCACTCCAGCCTGGGTGACAGAGTGAGACCCTGTCTCAAAAAAAAAAAAAAAAAAGGTAGGACTTATCTGTCATACCCATTACTCACAGCACTTGGCACAGTGATAAACACACCAGAGGCTGGGCACAGTGGCTCACACCTGTAATCCCTGCACTTTGGGAGGCCAAGGCAGGCAGATCACTTGAGGTCAGGAGTTCAAGACCAGCCTGGCCAACATGGCAAAACCCTGTCTCTACTAAAAATACAAAAATTAGCCGGGACTGGTGGTGCGTGCCTGTAATCCCAGCTACTCGGGAGGCTGAGCCAGGAGAATTGATTGCTTGAACCCGGGAGGTGGAGGTTGCAGTGAGCCGAGATTGTCCATTGTACTCCAGCCTGGGAGACAGAGCAAGACTCTGTCTCACAAAAACAACAACAACAACAAAACAAACAAACAAACAAAAAACAACAAAAAAACCCACAGGAGACACTCTACAGAATACTTATGGGATCAATTGGTTCTTAAAAAAAACAAATTATTGGCCGGGCGCGGTGGCTCACGCCTCTAATCCCAGCACTTTGGGAGGCCGAGGCGGGTGGATCACCTGAGGTCGGGAGTTCAAGACCAGCCTGACCAACATGGAGAAACCCCATCTCCACTAAAAACACAAAATTAGCTGGGGTGGTGGCACACGCCTATAATCCCAGCTACTCAGGAGGCTGAGGCAGGAGAATCGCTTGAACCCAGGAGGCAGAGGTTGCGGTGAGCTGAGATCGTGCCATTGCACTCCAGCCTGGGCAACAACAGCGAAACTCCATCTCAAAAATAAAAAAATTATTTATAGCTGGGCATGCTGGTTTATGCCTATAATTCTAGCACTTTGGAAGTCCAAGGTGGGAGGAATACTTGAGGCTGGGAGTTCAAGACCAACCTGGCCAAAATAGTGAGATCCCCTCTCTAATAAAAAAAAAAAATTCTGTTTATAAAAAGAAAAAAAAATTTTTTTTTCAGAGACAGGGTTTCACACTGTTGACCAGGCTGGAGTGCAGTAGCGCAATCATGGATCACTGCAGCCTCAATCTCCTGCGCTCAAGCAATCCTCCCATCAGCCTCTGGAGTAGCTGGGACTACAGGCATGGACCAGTATGCCTAATTAATTTTTTTTTGGAGACAGCATCTTGCTCTGTTGCCCAGGCTGCAGTGCAGTGGCATGACCTCAGTTCACTGTAATCTCTGCCTCCTGGGTTCAAGCAATTCTCCTGGCTCAGCCTCTCAAAAAGCTGGGACTACAGGTGCCCACCACCACACCTGGCTAATTTTTATATTTTTAGTAGAGATGGGGGTTTCACCATCTTGGCCAGGCTGGTCTCGAACTCCTGACCTTAAGTGATCTGCCCACTTCAGCCTCCAACAGTGTTGGATTACAGGCATGAGCCACCATGACTGGCCTTTTTAAAAATTTTGTGTAGAGACAGGATCTCACTGTCGCCCAGGTTGGTCTCAAACTCCTGGGCTCAAGCAGTCTTCCCTCCTTGGCCTCCCAGAGTGCTAGGACTGCAAGCATGAGCCATAGTGCCCTGTGAAAAAACATGTTTTGAAGTATTTCACTGCTAGTATTAATTGATGCATCACTGAAATACGGCTCCTTAGTTGCCTAGTTAGCATCAAAGTAATATAAAATGACTTTATTTATTTATTTATTTATTTATTTATTTATTAAGACGGAGTTTCACTCTTGTTGCCCAGGCTGGAGTGCAATGGTGGCGTGATCTTGGCTCATTGCAACCTCTGCCTCCCGGGTTCAAGTGATTCTTCTGCCTCAGCCTCCTGAGTAGCTGGGATTACAGGCACCCTCCACCATGCCCAGCTAATTTTTGTATTTTTAGTAGAGTTGGAATTTCACCATGTTGGCCAAGCTAGTCTCGAACTCCTGACATTGTGATCCACCCGCCTTGGCCTCCCAAAGTGCTAGGATTACAGGCGTGAGCCACTGCGCCTGGTCAGAAAAGTGACTTTATAGTCAAGAGATGTAGGAAAACCTAGACATTTTCTCACACATCTACCGCAATGCCTTTTGCAGGAGTTAAAGAATAATTCCCACTTTTTAAAAGTCAAGGGTACAACACATGAGTTGTCATTATGATTTTAGTCTGTAGGCAAAGCTATGAAGGCAGATTTTTACTGGGTACAGACTGCTGGGGATGGCCGACCAAGTCAGTGTACTCTTTATAATATTGTTATTATTACTGATAACTATGAGAGTGAATGTTTCTTGATTATTGTTCTATGCCAGACATAGTTACACAAGTGTTAAATCGAGTAATTTTCACGGCTTCACAATATTCCTGTAAGGTAAGTACAGCTAGAGCACCCCTAATCCAAAAATCCAAAATGCACCCAAATTTGAAACTTTTTTTTTTGAGACAGAGTGTTGCTCTTGTCGCCCAGGCTGAAGTGCAATGGCTGGATTTCGGCTCACTGCAACCTCTGCCTCCTGGGTTCAAGCAATTCTCCTGCCTCAACCTCCCAAGTAGCTGGGATTACAGGTGCCTGCCACCATGGCCAGCTAATTTTTTTTTTTTTTTTTTTTTTTTTTTTGAGATAGAGTTTCGCTCTTGTTGCCCAGGCTGGAGTACAATGCTGAGATCTCGGCTCACTGCAACCTCCACCTCCCAGGTTCAAGTGATTCTCCTGCCTCAGCCTCCTGAGTAGCTGGGACTACAGGCATGCGCCACCATGCCCAGCTATTTTGTATTTTTAGTAGAGACGGGGTTTCTCCATGTTGGCCAGGCTGGTCTCGAATTCCGGACCTCAGGTGATCTGCATGCTGTGGCCTCCCAAAGTGCTGGAATAACAGGTGTAAGCCACAGCGTCCAGCCTAATTTTTGTATTTTTAGTAGAGATGGGGTTTCACCATGTTGGCCAGGCTGGTCTCAAACTCCTGACTTCAAGTGATCCACCCGCCTTGACCTCCCAAAGTGCTGGGATTACAGGCGTGAGCCACCATGCCTGGCCAAATTTGAAACTTTTTGAGTGCCAGTGTCATGCTACAAGTGGAAAATTCTACAACTGACTTCATGTGATGAGGTTGTAGTCAAAACACAGACAAAACTTTGTTTAATGAATAAAATTATTTAAAATATTGCATAAAATTATTTTCAGGCTATGTGTATAAGGTGTATATGAAACATAACTACGCTTTGTGTTTAGACTTTAATCTTGTCCCCAAGATATTTCATTTTATATATATATATACACACACAAATATTCCAAAACTTTTTAAAAAATCTGAAATCTGAAACACTTCTGGTCCAAAGCATTTCAGATAAAGACTACTTAACCTGTATTGCTATTATGTCATTTTACACATGAGGAAACAGAAGCTCAGAGATGCTAAGCAATTTACCTGAGACCACACAGCTAGTAATCAGGCAGTCTGGTTCTAGGGCCAGAGCTTCACATTCTGAAAAGCACAACATTTGAGAGAGAATGGGGGACAGAGGAAGCTGAAAGCAGAGATAAAGCTTGACCTACCCTCAATTTCCTCAGAATTTTGTTTAGGACAGAATTTTTAGCTATGATTTATTCCCTCAGGGTCAGCCCTAAGATAGATAAAGCCATGTGATGAGAGGAAGTCAGGTCTTTCCAGAATGTGCTATAGGTTTTTTGTTTGTTTTTGTTTTCTTGAGACAGGGTCTCACTCTGTCTCCCTGGCTGGAGTACATTGGTGCCATCATGGCTCACTGCAGCCTCAGCCTCCCGAGCTCAAGCAATCCTGCCACCTCAGCCTTCTGAGTAGCTGGGACCACAGACATGCACCACCATGCCCGACTAATTTCTGTATTTTCTGTAAAGATGGGGTTTCACCATGTTGCCCAGGCTGGTCTTGAACTCCTGGGCTCAAGTGATCTGCCTGCCTCAGCCTCCCAAAGTGTTGGGATTACAGGCATGAGCCACTCCATCCAGCCTTATATTTTTTATTAATAACAGTGTTTTTGCTGGTGGAAGTATTGGTTGAGTATCTCTTACCTGAAATGCTTGGGACCAGGAGTGTTTCAAAATTTTTGGATTTATTTCAGATTTTGGAATATTTGCATTATATACTTACTAGTTAAGCATTCCTAATCTGAAAATCTGAAATCCAAAATTCTCCAATGAGCATTTCCTTTGAGTGTCAAGTTGGCACTTACAAAGTTTCGGATTTTGGAGCATTTCGGATTTTTTATTTTTGGATTACAGATGCTCAACCTATAGCAGTAAATGACCCAAAGGAGAAGATTCTAATTCCATTTCTCAACCCATAGTCCCCCAAGCAGATACAGCAGGAAAAAGACAAAATGAACTAAATGTTTAAGTAGCAAACATATAGTCATTTCAGTTGGGGATGGAAATTCCATGTGTAGGAAGCTTAACTGAAGCAAAGTTGAAGGTAGCAGTTCATAACACACTCTTTACTACTGTAACTGCTCAACTTCATATAATAATAACCAGAAAACTTGCCAAATGAATCAGATTTCTGGATATTTTTCCTTCTCTTTATTTCATTTTTCTTTTCTTGTTTTTTGAGACGGAGTCTCGCTCTGTCGCCTAGGCTGGAGTGCAGCGGCACGATCTCGGCTCACTGCAACCTCCGACTCCCTGGTTCAAGCGATTCTCCTACCTCAGCCTCCTGAGTAGCTGGGACTACAGGCGTGCACCACCACGCCCAGCTAATTTTTGTATTTTTAGTAGAGACGGGGTTTCACCATGTTGGCCAGGATGGTCTCTATCTCCTGACCTTGTGATCCGCTCACCTAGGCCTCCCAAAGTGCTGGGATTACAGGCGTAAGCCACCGTGCCCAGCCTTCATTTTTATTTTCTACCCCTAAACATGAAATCCACCCTGAAGTGTTTAAGACAATCAGGTGAATTCATTCATCTGCTCTAAATTTTTCACTTAAAATCATACCAATTTTGGCCAGGTGTGATGGCTCATGCCTGTAATCCCAGCACTTTGAGAGGCTGAGGCAGGAGGATCACTTGAGCCCAGGACTTCAAGACCAGTCTAGGCAACATAGTGACACCCCATCTCTACAAAAAAATTAAAAATTAGCTGAGCATGATGGTGCTGCCTATGGTTTCAGCTACTCAGAGGGCTGAGGTGGGAGGATCACTTGAGCCGAGGAAGTCGAGGCTGCAGTGAGCCATGATCTCGCCACTGCACTCCAGCCTGAGTGACAAACTGGGAACTTGTCTGAAAAAACAAAACAAACAAAAACCCAGGTTTTCCCAAACCACAAATGAGATCAGTTCAAATTTCAGCACAACTGTGTATGAGGTGCTATGCATTCAAGAGGCTGCAAAGAATTACAAGCCATGGACCCTTTGCTCCTGAAATTCACAAATAGCACAGGCTTTCTTAAGGAATTCAATTTTAAATATACAAGAATAAATAAGAATACAAAAGAATAACAAAATGGCACATTATATACTTAATTGCTAGATGAGAGGCACAGACAATAAAGTTGACAAAACAGTAATGAAGTGTATTAAATAATTTAATCAAAAGCAGCTCATGTATTTGTGAATCAGAGATTTAGCTCTGAAAACAATTACTGGGGAAAAGCCTCATGACTCAGAGAGTAAAGTCAGGTTTGAAACCAATAGACTGTGGCTTTTGCTAACTTCTAGATGGTGCTGAACCTATCACTTAGTCTCACTGTGTTTCTATTTCTTGATCTGAAGACTGAGCTCAGTAGGTTAAGCCAGCCTATATAGACACTGAAAAATAATTTATGTATTAGAAAGACAGAAAAAGGCTTTTCTAACATTAAAGAAAAAAATTGACACTATGCCATGAGTTCAAGTGATTCAAAACAGGATGCGGAAATTAAACTCCATGAAAAAATAAAAATTAGTAACTATGAAAGACCCCAAACTGGCTACTATGTTAGCCACTGTGCCCAGCCGACTGATAGCGTTTCATAAAGCAATCCAAGTAAGAGTCAGTTCACTACTCCAATGAGATAATCCTTTTATTTTACATTAAATCTTTTTAAAATTAGTTAAGCACCCAGGCATTATCTAGATTGTAGAGCTTACTAGAAAGCTACTTTTTTTTCTTCTGATTGTCACTCAATTAAAAAAATGGAAGAGAAAATTCATTGAAGTAATTATGAATCTAAGTAGGCAGCGTTTCGGTTACTCTCTTTAGTCCTTTCTATCACTTGAGAAAATAATGTATCCTTTGTAGCTTGTAACTTTCTCAAGGACCTCTAGTAAGGGTCCTGGAAATAGGTACCTAACATCAAATGATGCCTTAATAGACACCAGTATTGAGACAGATTGAGATTTTCCTCAATGAGTACAAGGAATTGCTACAATTTAACTTTATTTTCAGCCAAACCGACTTAGGAATGCGTTATGTTTTTCAGGGACACTGGAATGTCAACTCAACAGTGTTATCTGACATAGTCAGGTCAAGGCAAATTATCTGCTTGGTCTAGGGGCATCCTAACCATCAACTCCCAGGTCCTTAATAACTGAGTTCAACTGAGTCCTTTTCTTGTTTCCTCTAAGCAACCAGTGGAAGCCTATATAATTCTCATCTTATAAAAGAATTCATTTAAAGGCGGTTTGAAAGTTAATGGTTAAACCCATTGTTTGTGGTTCCATGAATATAGGTCACAATAGTAACAAGCCTTTAGACAGAAAGTACATAAAGAGGTAGTGAACAGTTCAGGACCTTATTACAACATGTCTATCAAGCCCAAAGGGGCAAACAATGTGTCTGATTGATTTTTTTTTAAAGGGGGGAATCTCACAGACAGCTCAGCTCTCATTATTCCACTAGCCTCTAAACCTTGCCCCAAATTAAGACTGGAAGTTGAAGCAAAAGCTTTCTTGATTCAACTCCCCAGGACAAAAGTCACAGTTACATTCAAGGTTCTCATCCTTCCTCCCATAGGTTCAGCTGCTTGAGATCTAGAAATGTCGATGTGTAAATTATCCCAAGGATGGGTAGACTTAGGGAGAATAAAACAAGACCCACCTACTGTGCCCCCAGCAACACAATTCTATATTTATTTATTTATTTGATTTTTTTGTTTGTTTGTTTTGAGACCAAGTTCGCTCTGTAGCTCAGGCTGGAGTGCAGTGGCATGATCTCAGCTCACCGCGACCTCTGCCTCCCTGGTTCAAGTGATTCTCCTGCCTCAGCCTCCAGAGTAGCTGGGATCATAGGCGCATACCACTGTACCTGGCTAATTTCTTGTATTCTTAGTAGAGATAGGGTTTCACTATGTTGGCCAGGCTGGTCTTGAACTCCCAACCCCGGGTAATCCCCCCGCCTCAGCCTCCCAAATTGCTAGGATTATAGGCGTGAACCACCGCACCCGGTGGAAAAATATTTTTTTTTTAGAGACAGGGTCTTGCTGTGTTGCTCAGGCTGGAGTACATGGTTATTCGCAGGTGTAATCATAGCTCACTGTAGCTTCAAACTCCTGGGCTCAAGCAATCCTCCCACCTCAGCCTCCTAAGTAGCTGGGACTACAGGTGCCCACCACCACCCTCAGCTAATTTTAAGAATTGTTTTGTAGAGATCAGGTGTGGTGGCTCACTCCTGTAATCCCAGCACTTTGGGAGGCCGAGGTGGGTGGATCACGTGAGGTCAGGAGCTGGAGACCAGCCTGGCCAACATGGTGAAACCCCATCTCTACCAAAATACAAAAAGCAGAGCGTGGTGGTGGACACCTGTAATCTCAGCTACTCAGGAGGCTGAGGCAGGAGAATCGCTTAAACCCAGGGGGCAGAGGTTGCAGTGAGTCGAGATCGTGCCACTGCACTCCAGCCTGGGCAACAGAGCGAGACTGTCTCAAAAAAAAAAAAAATTGTTTTGAGAGATTGGGTCCCACTATGTTGCCCAGGATAGTCTCAAACTCCTGTCCTCAAGTGATCACCCTGCCTCGTATGCACTCACACAACTGTGCCTGGCTATATATTTTAAAAGAGATTAAATCCTCTCAAGTTTACTCATTTTAATCATATTTTAAATTTTAAATCATATTTAAAATTTTTATTTATTTTTTCAGTTAACCATTAATCAAAGGGAATCATTCACATTTAAAGAAAGAGTATAGGCCAGGCGTGGTGGTGCATGCCTGTAATTCTAGCACTTCGGGAGGCCTAGGTGGGCAGATCACTTGAGGCCAGGAGCTTGAGACCAGCCTGGTCAGCATGGTAAAACCTCATCTCTACTAAAAATACAAAAATTAGCCAGGTGTGGTGGCACATGCTTGTAATCTCAGCTACTCCAGAGGCTGAGGAACAAGAATCACTTGAGCCTGGGAGGCAGAGGTTGCAGTAAGCCAAGATCAAACCACTGCACTCCAGCCTGGGCGACAGAGCAAGACTCTCTCAAAAACAAACAAACAAACAAAAAAATAAGAATCAGTGTAACAAATATTTAGATAGGGATATGTTCATAGGACTAGATGCAAGTTATATTTTTAAATATAGTAGACTGATCACTCAGCTTATGCTCCGACTAGCTGTGTCTAAACCAGCCCAGCCTGCGAGATGTTCATCGAATGCACAGTTACTGAGCACCTCTTGTATGACACATACTGAATGTAGTCCTGAGGATAGGAAGAGCAAGGGTTAGTTATGTGGTTATGTGGGAGACAACAATATGATGATACAAGCCACTATTGTATTACCAATGGGCTTCAGAGAATCCAAATGGCTGGTATTGAGTGACTTTAGATGTAATATTAGTTTGGGAAATAAAATTACAGCATCAGGATCAGGCGTGGTGGTTTGAGCCTGTAATCCCAGCACTTTGGGAAGCCAAGGTGGGAGAATCACTTGATCCCGGAAGTTCAAGGCCAGCCTGAGCAACATAGTGAGACCCCATATGTACAAAAAACACCAAAATTAGCTGAGTGTGGTGGTGCACGCCTGTAGTCCCAAGTACTCTGGAGGCTAAGGTAGGAGGATTGCTCGAGCTGGGAGGTTGAAGCTGCAGTGAGCCAAGATCGCACCACTGCACTCAAACCTGGGTGACAGAGCAAGACCCTGTCTCAAAATCAAATAAATAAGTCTGGGCAAAAAAGCGAGACTCCGTCTAAAAAAAAAAAAAAAAATTCTTCAAACACAGAGATCCTTACTGTGATGCTTTGTGGTGGTGATAAACTATAAGGATTGATGGTCAGGTGAGGGTAATGCTCTCAAAGATGCTCCTGTGGCATGAGTGCATCTTGGTTTCCATTTTGCTTACAGCACCTTGCACAAATTAGAGTACTTGGGCCAGGCACAGTGGCTTATGCCTGTAATCCCAGCACTTTGGAAGGCCGACGCGGGCAGATCACCTGAGGTCAGGAGTTCAAGACCAGCCTGGCCAACTTAGTAGAGACAGGGTTTAGCTCTGTCTCTACTAAAATACAAAAAAATAATCCGGGTGTGGTGGTGGGTGCCTGTAATCCCAGCTACTTGGGAGGCTGAGGCAGGAGAATCGCTTGAACCCAGGAGGTGGTGGTTGCAGTGAGCCAAGATCACACCACTGCACTCCAGCCTGGGTGACACAGTGAGAGTCCGTCTCAAAAAAAAAGCAAAAACAAAAAACAAACAAATTACTCGATAAATATGAACAATACCAAAGAATAAATACTTAAATATCAGCAGCTTGGTTATCAAGTCTAACAAATTGAACACCTATCTTTCTTGGATTTCACCTTCTCTCTCTTGCTTACTTTTGGCACTAAAATATCACAAGGCTACCAAATGCTATCATTAAAAACAAAAACAAAAAAAAAGCTGGCCAGGTGCGGTGGCTCACACCCGTAATCCCACCACTTTGGGAGGCCAAGGAGGGCAGATCACCTGAGGTTGGGAGCTCAAGACCAGCCTAACCAACATGGAGAAACCCCGTCTCTACTAAAAATACAAAATTAGCCAGGCATGGTGGCGCATGCCTGTAAACCCAGCTATTCGGGAGGCTAAGGCAGGAGAATCACTTGAACTTAGGAGGCGGATGTTGCAGTGATCCAAGATCGCACCACTACACTCTAGCCTAGGCGACAAAGAGGGAGTCTGTCTCAAAAAAAAATAATAATCAAGCCAGGCATGGTGGCTCGCGCCTGTAATCCCAGCACTTTGGGAGGCTGAGGCGGGTGGATCACCTGAGGAGGTCAGGAGTTCCAGACTAGCCTGGCCAACATAGTGAAACCCTGTCTCTTCTAAAAAGACAACGAATTATGGCTAGGCGCGGTGGCTCATGCCTGTAATCCCAGCACTTTGGGAGATGAAGGCGGGTGAATCATTTGAGGTCGGGAGTTCGAGACAAGCCTGAACAATATGGAGAAACCCCGTCTCTACTAAAAATACAAAATTAGCCGGGCGTGGTGGTGCATGCCTGTAATCCCAGCTATTCGGGAGGCTGAGGCAGGAGAATCACTTGAACCTGGGAGGCAGAGGTTGCGGTGAGCCGAGATTGCTGCCATTGCACTCCAGCCTGGGCGACAAGAGCAAAATTCTGTCTCAAAAAAAAAAAAAAAAAAAAAAAAAAATTAGCTAGGCGTGGTGGCAGGCGCTTGTAATTCCACCTACTAGGGAGGCTGAGGCAGGAGAATCGCTTGAACCCAGGAGGCGGAGGTTGCAGTGAGCCGAGATCGCTCCATTGCACTCCAGCCTGGGCAACAAGAGCGAAACTCTGTCTCAAAAATAATAAATAAATAAATAAATAAACCCAGAAACATGTGGAGGAGGAAAGTCAGGGAGCTATTGATATTTTGTCAAAAATATGAGAGAATAGTAGAGAGATTTAAAAAAATTGAGGACTTTTTTTTGGCCTGGATTATACTTTCTAGCCTTTCGTTTTAAAATAAATCAGAAATAATAATTTTATGAGCAATTTTAATTAAGCCTAATACACTTTTCTGTTTCTAAAATTACAAGAATGCTTTGATCTTAAAAAATTTTATACTACTATACCTATTTTTCTTTTTTTAATTTATTTATTTATTTATTTATTTATTTATTTATTTATTTATTTATTTTGAGACGGAGTCTCACTCTGTCACCAGGCTGGAGTGCAGTGGCACGATCTTGGCTCACTGCAACATCTGCCTCCCGGGTTCAAGCGATTCTCCTGCCTTAGCCTCCCGAGTACCTGGGACCACAGGTGTCCACCACAACACCCAGCTAATTTTTGTATTTTTAGTAGAGATGGGGTTTCAGCATGTTGGTCAGGATGGTCTCCATCTCTTGACCTCATGATCTGCCCCCCTCGGCCTCCCAAAATGCTGGGATTACAGGCATGAGCCACCACGCCTAGCCTTTTATTTATTTTTTTTGAGACAGAGTCTCACTCTGTCACCCAGGCTGGAGTACAGTGGCACAATTTCGGCTCATTGCAGCTTCCCTTCCTGGGTTTAAGCAATTCTTGTGCCTCAGCCTCCTGAGTAGCTGGAATTACAGCGGTGCACTCCCTCACCCAGCTAATTTTTGTATTTTTAGTAGAGATGGGGTTTCCCCGTGTTGGCCAGGCTGCTCTCAAACTCCTGGCTCCAAGTGATCCAGCCACCTTGGCCTTGCAAATTGCTGGGATTATAGGCAAGAGCCACTGCACCCAGCCCTATGCCCATTTTTCTAAAATGCTAGGGTTTTTCTTTTTATGCACAATGGTATTTTTAGTAGAGACGGTGGCTTAAAAATTCTGGATATTTTATCTGTCAGTTTTTTGACTACTCAGTTCAAAATCAAGATATTGTAGAGATTGAAACCCAGGCAGGCTGGGAGCAGTGGCTCATGCTTGTAATCCTAGGACTTTGGGAGGCTGAGATGGGGGGATCACTTGAGCCCAGGAGTTCGAGACTAGCCTGGGCAACATGGTAAAACCTCATCTCTATAAAAAAAAATGCAAAAACTAGCCAGTCATGGTGGCACACACCTGTAGTCCCAGCTACTCAGGAGACAGAGGTGGGAGGATTCATTGAGCCCAGGAGATCAAGGCTGTATGCAGTGAGCCATGTTCTTGCCACTGCACTCTGGCCTGGGCAACACAGTCTCAAGGAAAAGAAAGGAAGAAAGAAATAAATAAAAGAAAAAAGGAAGGAAGGAAGGGAGGGACGGAGGGAGGGAGGGAGGAAGGAAGGAAGGAAGGAGGGAAGGAAGGAAGGAAGGGAAAAGAAAAAACCACAGGCAGCTGGATGTGCCATGTGATGGGCTTTCTTTCTCTTCTGGACAGGCAACAAAAATTGGGACCAACTTGGCCATATCTCAGGGAGAAAATGGGCCTTGTTGTTAGCCAGTCCCAAATGCCAAAAGATTCATTCAGGTCCTGAAGACATAGGGCAGGTACAATGGTCTTCTCTTTTCTGTGGTTTCTCTTAACAATAGAAAAAGAAAAAGAAGAAATCTTAAACCTGGTGCAACTAAATGGAAAACCTTGCAAATCTCCTGATAAAACGATTTGGGGACTCTGGGACGATGAAGGTCTCTTTAACAAATCATAGTGGACTTTCCCAAAAGCCTGATACTCAGCAATATCTTGAACAAGATTTTAGAAGATTTGAGGCAGAGATACAAACATGTTTCCACTAAGAGAAACATTGAGCTGTTTAAATGTGTTGTTGCTGCAAGAGAATTTTGTTTTAATGTGACAGTTTTGGCAAAAAAGATTTGATGGGAGTTGTTTGCTCTTTGAAAGCCATTAGGGGAGAATCTACACCTGCTGGTTTTCAGAGATGAAATGGCAAGAAATAACCAAGTTCTTAACATTAAGCCAGTGTAAAAACTCAGCCAAATCAATTTCAGGGTACGAGCTTTTCCTGCAGTATGGTGAAGGCAAGCCTTCTCCGGGAGGTGACGCCTTTGGAGAGGCCTACCCAGATGCCGGGGCAGAGATAGCTGAGGATGGCCATTCCCCTGTGAGGTCATCACCCACTCAATCTCAGCTCTGTTGTTGATTTGTTACTCTGACTTTTACAACATCACCACTCATGCCTGAGTTTTTCTACTCATTAAGTGGAGGTAATAATATTTGTCTTTTCTGCCTAGTACAATGAGGAGTATAAGCAAATGGAAGGGAGGTTTTGAAATCCTGGCAATCTAAAGGATGTTCTTCAGGCTCCCTAGAACACATCTGAGTAGAAAATGTGTAAAATATACATAAACCAAATCAAGTCATCCAGAGCAACATTAGGTAAGATTTTCATTCCCAAATTAAAAATAGAAAAGAAAAGCAATGATAAAAATTAAACACTAGCTATTTTGCAAAGTTATAAAACTGTAAAATTCCAAGAGAGTATATTAAATGTTTTTAACACATGTATGTGGGGGGTCACATGCTAGCCATAGAGACAGATCTTAAGGTAAGCCAAGAAGAGGAAAATATTTAATGTAGATTACAAGAGCTATAAAGAAAAATTCTCTAAAGTTATAAAGCATAAAACATTTTATTTTGGATGTAGAAAAGTATTAAATATTCCATAAAGGGCTTTAGAATCATTTTTCTCTATTATCCTTTCAGAGATCTGATAAGGCAGATTTATAATTGCAATCAGTTACACATGAGGTAACTGAAGTTGAATAGAGGAAAAAATATCATTGTGAAAAGAATTCAAACAAGCTTTTCAATTCTATTTCTCAGTCTCTGGGTATAACAAATGAAATTTACTTTCAAGCTTGCCAATTTATTGCAAATTCAAATAAGAGACTAGATATTTAGAACCCGGTTTAGAAATGATTTTAAACACTATTTTTTAAAGAAGCTTCACTTGAAGCACATTATATGTAATGAAGTATTTTGAAAGTGTTAACACAATAGCAATTACCATAAAACTTTAAAAGTTGTCAGCACAATAGGTCTCTTGTGCCTCTTAGTGACTTTAGGACTAACACAGATCATTATAGCAATTCAAAATTGTCCAACTTGGTGTGGCACGGTGGCTCACGCCTGTAATCCTAGCACTTTGGGAGGCCAAAGCAGGCGGATCACTTGAGGCCAGGAGTTCAAGAGCAGCCTGGGCAACATGGCAAAACACTGTCTCTACTAAAACTACGAAAATTAGCCAGGCATAGTGGCATGTGTCTGTAGTCCCAGCTGTTTGGGAGGCTGAGGTGGGAGGATCGCTTGAAACCAGGAGCTGGAAGTTGCAGTGAGACCAGATGGTGCCATTGCACTCCAGCCTGGGTGACAGAGTGAGACCCTGTCTCAAAAATAAAAAAAAATTGTCCAGCCATCTTCTAGAACAATGACAGCTATCAAACTGAGGATTAAGATGAGGTACAAAGTACTTTGAATCCCTAAATTGGGCCAACTTTTGATAATGCTTTTACTGATGTCAGATAAGATGCATACAAAACACCTCATTTGTTATCAAACTACTTTGAAACCCACTCTTTAGGAAAATAATTTTAGTCTCCTAAGTCGTTTCACATGTGCAAGCATTTCCTGCAGACTGGTTGCCTTTCGCCTTCCACTTTTACACTTAGACAAATCTCACATGCCTTCACTGATCAAATAATTAACGGATGGGTACTTTCTATAGAAAATATAACTTCAGGCCGGGCAAGCCGGGTGCAGTGGCTCACCCCTGTAATCCTAGCACTTTGGGAGGCCAAGGCAGGTGGATCACGAGGTCAGGAGTTCGAGACCAGCCTGGCCAACATGGTGAAATCTCATCTCTACTAAAAATACAAAAATTAGCCAGGCATGGTGGCATGCGCCTGTAGTCCCAGCTACTCGGGAGGCTGAGGCAAGAGAATCACTTGAACCTGGGGGGCGGAGTTTGTGGTTAGCTGAGATCATGCCACTGCACTCCCACCTGGGCAACAGAGCGAGATTCCATTTAAAAAAAAAAAAAAGAAAAGAGAAAGAAAATAAAACTTCAGGCTGGGCTCAGTGGCTGACATCTGTAATCCCAGCACTTTGGGAGGCTGAGGCGGGTGGATCACGAGATCAGGAGTTCGAGACCAGTGTGACCAACACGGTGAAACCCCATCTTTACTAAAAATACAAAAATGAGCCGGATGTCATGGCATGGACCTGTAATCCCAACTACTTAGGAGGCTGAGGCAGGAGAATCGCTTGAACCCTGGATGGGGAGGTTGCAGTGAGCCGAGATAGCACCACTGCACTCCAGCCTGAGCGACAGAGCGAGACTCCATCTCAAAAAAAAAAAGAAAAAGAAAATATAACTTCAGTGTTTGTAGATGAGAGATACATGTATAGCCCAGAGTACATGAGGATGCCTACTATGCTTTGCCAACCACACCTACTTCTCACAAGCTGAGGCCAAATCTGTGAAGTCAGTGACACTCTCCAAGACTCTAAAAAAAAATCCCAGTATACACTGTCCTCCGTCACCAGCCCACTCTCTATATTTCATTTTATGCTTTATCAACTTGATATCAAGACAAGAACTGCAAAATGGTCTTTACCAAAATTGTCTTTTCCACAATTCTTCCCAAGCAAATATTAGGGTTTTTTTTTTTTCCTATTAAAACATATGTAGGTTTAAAATATATAAACGATTGCTTAAATCAATTTCAATCAATAGTTTTCTGGCTCTAGTAAAAAAAACGTTCACCTTAGGATACATAAGTAGTGTGCAAACAATGGGGAGAAAGTAATGACTAACATTCACTGATACTATGTGCTAGGCTTTTGATAAAATTAACTCGCTTGATCCTCACAACTCTAGGACATAGGTACAATTACTATCCTTATTTTGCAAAGAAATTGAGGCACGGAGCAGTTAAGTAACTTGCCCAAGGTCATCCAACAAAGCTTAGCTTAAATCAATGCAGCAGCCCTCCAGAGCCAGCCTCCTGAACCCAGGCACTATTTGTACACACAGAGAGCGAGAGAGAGAGAGAGTTCTTCAACTCCAAACTAGCACTCTCTTTTCTGTTTGATACTGGGAATGTAACTTCTTTGTGGACATGCAGGGGACAATGTGATCTAAACACACAAAACACAAGTAGAGACAAAGTTAATTAATATATACTATAGGGCTGAGTGCAGTGGCTCATGCCTATAATCCCAGCACTTCGAGAGGCCGAGGCAGGAAGATCTCTTGAGCCCAGGAAGTAGCGACTGCAGTGAGTTATGACTACACCACTGCACTCCAGGCTGGGTGATGGAGTGAGACCCCTGTCTCTAAAAAGATATAGATATAGGGCTGAGCATCATGGTTCACGCCTAAATACCAGCATTTTGGGAGGCCAAGATGGGAGGATTGCTTGAGGTCAGGAGTTCAAGACCAGCCTGGTCAACATAGCAAGAGCCCCATCTCTAAAAAAATTAAATTAAATTAAATTAAAATACAGACATAGATATAGAATAGCCCCAGCATTTCCTTGGTCATGAGGAACTGGCCATTTTCTCCTAGAGCAAATGTGTTTGGTTCCTTGACAGATTCCCTCATAATCTCTCCTTACTACACAGTCTTAGATTATTGAGAAGAAAACACCAGAGGGGGTGTTTACAGTCCAGTGCTCTGATTAAAGATGGGTTTATATGGTTATATGCTAATGACATATGGATGACACATCACAGCTGATGGGTCGTAATGGAGCACTCAGAACTTCGGCATCTCATTTAATCATCACCACCATCCGTCCAGTGAGCTCAGCATTATTATACTTGGTGTACAGACAGGCCATATTGTCCAGTACACAGAAAAACTGGGATTCCTATCTTCTACCTCCAAAGTGGGTTCTTCCCCTCACCACGGGACTTACTGCGACAGAAAACGAAAAACCAAAACCATGTAACCAAACAACTTGGAGCATCTGTTCTACCCATGTTTTTAATCTGTCCACATATTCCTCTTCTGAATTCCATGAAAAATGACTGGTTTTCAATTCATTTGGAAGTTAGCTATATATGGCCTTGGTATACCACCTCTATTATTTTATTGCAACTTAATTTGCATATGGGTATATTATTCCCCTTTCAGTAATAAGTAACACACCATTCCTCACTTGGCTTTTTCCTGTTTTCACCCATCCCACAAGACTCAGGTCTTGCATTACTTACTCCCAGAAGGCTTCCTTGCCTCATCCCCACCTTGAATTTGTGTTTGGTGCACTTCCTGGGCCTCCACAGCCGCCTGAGTTCATCCTCATAAGGCCAGGCACAGTGGTTCATGCCTGTAATCCCAGCACTTTGGGAGGCCAAGATGGGTCGATCATTTGAGCACAGGAGTTTGAGACCAGCCTGGCCAACATGGCAAAACTCATGTTTGTTTGTTTGTTTCTTTTGTAAAGAATATTTTTACAGTCCTTTTTTGATATCAAGTTGACACAGCATAAAATGAAATATAGAGAGTGGTCTGGTGAAGGAGGACAGTGTATCTTGGGATTTTTTTGTGGGGGTGCCTTGGGGAGTGTCACTGATTTCGCAGACTTGGCCTCAACTTGTGACAGAAACCCGTCTCTACTAAAAATACAAAAAGTAGCTGGATGTGGTGGCACACGCCTGTAGTCCCAGCTACTTGGGAGGCTGAAGTAGGAGATCACTTGAACCTGGGAGGTTGAGGTCACAGTGAGCCGTGATCACGCAACCGTACTCCAGCCTGGGTGACAGAACAAGACTCTGTCTCAAAAACAAAATAGGCTGGGTGTGGTGGCTAAGACCTGTAATCCAAGCACTTTGGGAGGCTGAGGTGGGCGGATCACTTGAGGTCAGGAGTTTGAGACCAGCCTGGTGAACATGATGACACCCCGTATCTACTAAAAATACAAAAACTAGCCAGGCATGGTGGCACAAGCCTATAATCCCAGATACTCTGGAGGCTGACGTGGGAGAATCGCTTGAACCTGGGAGATGGAGGTTGCAGTGAGCCGAGATCGCACCACTGCACTCCCGCCTGGGCGACAGAGCAAGGCTCCATCTCAAAAGATAAAAATAAAAACCGTAAAATGACAACAATAAAAAAAACCCCACTGCACTGATTTCACTTGCCTCCTGTTTTCCCCAGAAGGGAAAGTCCTTACCTTTCTCCCGGAAGGCTTTTATTTCTGAACCTCCAGTGCCCTACACAGTGCATGCCATGAAGCAAACGCCTAAGTATGTTCCTGTAATCAGGTAATAAATAACCATGTGAGAGTCCAGAGCTGCAGGCTCCACTCCTGGCTCTGTGACCACATGTGGGCTTTTCAGTGAGGCCCTACACACCTCTGGTTATCAGGTTCTTTAACTCTAAATCAAGGAGGCTGAACTGAAACTATGATGACCCTTTCAGCTCCAAAGTCCCACTGCTCTGTCATTCTGATTCTTTGTGTCTCCCACAAAATCTAGGACAACTCTGGAAGGACACAGTAGGTTCTCAATGAATGTCTATTCATTTGACTGTAGTAATCCTGGATAGTGGATGATGGACTTAAAAAAAAAAAAACAGCCCAACGCTAAAATTTTCTGTAGCTGCTGGGAGTCCAGCTAGATATTCTGGATAACAGACACAGTGGGGACCAAATACCCTGAGAGCAAGGAAGTAAGATGTGACTGCAGATTTGCTTTTGTTGCAGTTTGAGTTTTTTTTTTTTTTTTTTTGAGATGGAGTCTCTCTCTGTCACCCAGGCTGGAGTGTAATGGTGCAATCTTGGCTCACTGCAACCTCTGCCTCCCAGGCTCAAGGAATTCTCCTGCCTCAGCCTCCTGAGTAGCTGGGATTACAGAGATGCCCCACTGTGCCCAGCTAATTTTAGTATTTTTAGTAGAGATGGGTTTTCACCATGTTCCCCAGGCTGGTCTTGAACTCCTGACCTCAGGTTATCCACCCACCACTGCCTCCCAAAGTGCTGGGATTACAGGTGTGAGCCACCGCACCCAGCCTAATAATTTTAAAAATATGGCCCAAAGGCTTCAGATTTATGGCAATCAATCTTAGGTAACTTATTTGGATATGCACTTTGTTCAAGTAAGTGAGTGAACACACAAAAAAAGTTGGAGAGGGATAGAAAATGAGAGGAGAAAAGAGGAGAAAGGATTCAAAGTTGCAAACTTTAAGACAAATCAATCAGAAAGTAGATATCAACACTGCAGAAGGATTTTCCATTTTACACAAGGAATACAAGCTTGCATTGAACAGTAAATAGGATGTTTTTATTTTGCTAAATTTGGCTTACATCTAAATTTTTAAAAACAAATCCATCAAATAAAGCAAAGTATGTATTTAATTACATTTGCAAAAGTTTATCTGAATCATTTCCAGTTGTTAAAATAGCTACCATGAGTCCCATGCCATAGCTCCATTGTATTGCTAGATCACTTAAAAATTGAGGTTGACCTTTTGTGTGTTTTGGGGGGTATTTTATTTATTTATTTTTTCAATTTGACTGTCATTTTATTTATTTATCTTTTTTTTTTTTTTTTTTGAGATAGGGTCTTGCTCTGTCACCCAGGTTGGAGTGCAGTGGCACAATTATAGCTCACTGCAGCCTCAAACTCCTGGGCTCAAGCAATCCTCCTGCCTCAGCCTCCTGGGTAGTTGGTACTACAGGCATGTGCCACCATACCTGGCTAATTAAAAAAATTTTTTTTTTTAGATATGGGGTCTCTTTATACTACCCAGGCTGGTCTCAAACTCCTGGCTTTAAGCAATCCTCCTGCCTCAACCTCCCAAGGTAGTGGAATTACAGGTGTGAGCCACTGCTGTTTACCTATTTTTTTATTTTTAAAAATGTATATTAAAAAAATTTTAATACATATGAGACACTTCACAAATTTGTGTGTCATCCTTGCACAGGCGCCATGCTAATCTGCTCTGTATTGTTCCAGCTTTTAGTATATGAGAACTATTTTTTTTTTTTGTTTTTCTGAGACAGTCTCACTTCACCACCCAGGCTGGTGTGCAGTGGTAGAATCTTGGCTCATTGCAACCTCCACCTCCCGAGTTCAAGTGATTCTCATGCCTCAGCCTCCCAAGTAGCTGGAATTACAGGTGTGCACCACCACACCTGGCTAATTTTTGTATTTTTAGTAGAGATGGGGTTTCGCGATGTTGGCCAGGCTGGTCTTGAACTCCTGACCTCAAAAGATCCACTCTCCTTGGCCTCCCAAAGTGCTGAGATTACAGGCATAAGCCACCACACCTGGCCTGAGCACTATTTTTTAATTGATACATATTAGAGATTCATATTTCGGAGTACATGGGATAACTTGATACATTTACACAATCAAATCAGGATAATTGGGATATTCATCACCTTAACTAGGAGCATTCAAGTTATTCTCTTCTAGCTATTTTAATTATTCTATCCTGGCCGGGTGTGATGGCTCACCCCTGTTATCCCAGCACTTTGAGAGGCCGAGGAGGGCAGATCACTTGAGCCCAGGAGTTTGAGACCAGCCTGGGCAACATGGTGAAACTCCTCTACAGAAAAATACAGAAATTAGCCAGGCTTGGTGGTGCACACCTGTAGTCCCAGCTATTTGGGAGGCTGAGGCTGGAAAATTGCTTGAGTGCAGCAAGTTGAGGCTGCAGTGAGGCCTGATTGTGTCACTGGACTGCAGCCTGTGTGACAGAGGGAGACCCTGTCTCAAACAGAAACAAAAACAAACATAAAATGTGCAGTCAATTAATGTTAACTGTAGTTACTCTACTGATCTATCGAACACCAGGTCTTATTTCTTTTAAGTGTGTATTTGTACCCATTAATCGACCTCTCTTCATCCCCCTCTCCCTGCTACCCTTCCCAGCCTCTGGTAACCACCAATCTACTCTCTATCTTTATAAGAGCTACTTTTTTAGCTCCCTCGTATGAGTGAGAACATGAGCTATTTGTCTCCCTATGCCTGCCTTATTTCACTTAACATAATGACCTCTAGTTCCATCCATGTTGCTGCAAATAACACAACTTCACTCTTTTTTTTTTTTTTTTTTTTGAGATGGAGTCTCGCTCTGTCACCCAGGCTGGAGTGCAGTGGTGTGATCTCCGCTCACGGCAACCTCAGCCTCCTGGGTTCAAGCAATTCTCCCACCTCAGCCTCCCGAGTAGCTGGAATTACAGGTGCCCACCACTACGCCCAGCTAATTTTTGTATTTTTAGTAGAGACAGGGTTTCTCCATGTTGGCCAGGCTGGTCTCGAACTCTTGACCTCAGGCAATCTGCCCACCTCAGCCTCCCAAAGTGCTGGGATTACAGGCATGAGCCACCACACACGGCCAACTTCACTCTTTTTAATGGCTGGATAATATTCCATTGTGTATATAGGCCATATTTTGTTCATTCATCCATTGATGAACAGACCTTTTCTAATTAAACATTTTTAGAATATAAGAATAAAGGCCGGGCGCGGTGGCTCATGCCTGTAATCCCAGCACTTTGGGAGGCCGAGGCGGGCAGATCACAAGGTCAGGAGATTGAGACCATCCTGGATAACACAGTGAAACCCCGTCTCTACTAAAAATACAAAACAAAATTAGCTGGGTGTGGTGGTGGGCGCCTGTAGTCCCAGCTACTCGGGAGGCTGAGGCAGCAGAATGGTGTGAACCCGGGAGGAGGAGCTTGCAGTGAGCTGAGATTGTACCACTGCACTCCAGCCTAGGTGGCAGAGCCAGACTCCATCTCAAAAAAAAAAAAAAAAAAAAAGAATATAAGAATAAAAGACCTAATTATGTGTTTAAAGGTATTCTAGAAAAACAGTGACTTGCACATTCAAATATAATTATCATTGCCTCTAAGATTATTTATTGTCACAGTAGAAAGTCCCCCGTAACATACACACACACAAATAATGTATGATTTCTAGCTCTATGTTTGTCACTGGTGTTAACTGAAGTCTTGCTTGAATTTTCTATTTAAACTTAGAGAATGTTGTTAAACACAAAACAATCATTAAAAAAAAACTAGTAAGAAAACTAATGGTCAAAGAATTATTTAACATGCTCGTATAGTATAACATTCTTTACTAGAGTTAAGTGAAATAACTTGTTAAGGCAAAAGCTTATCAAAGTGGCATCTTTGACAGGCTCAATCTTCCTAAAAGAAGCCATAGGGAATAGTGGCTAGGGGCAAAAAATAAATAATGGAGTCTCCGTTTCTTCCACTTACGATCTCTTCACAATCTCTCTGTGCCTCAATTCTTTTTTTGAGACAGGGTCTTGCTCTGTTGCCTAGGCTGGAGTGCAGTGGCATGATCTCAGCTCACCACAGTCTCTGTCTCCTGGGTTCAAGCGATTCTCATGCCTCAGCCTCCCTAATAGCTGGGACCACAGGCACGCACCACCTGCTCGGCTAATTTTTGTATTTTTAGTAGAGATGGGGTTTCACAATGTTGGCCAGGTTGGTCTCAAACTCCTGACCTCAAGTGATCTGCCCACCTCGGCCTCCCAAAATGCTGGGATTACAGGCGTAAGCGACTATGACTGGCTGTTCCTCAGTTCTTCCTTCATTTTTAAAATGGGAGTGATGATAACAGTAGTACCTTACAGTGTTGTTGAACAAATTAGTTAATATAAAGTGTGTAGGACAGCGTCAGGTCCCCAGTAATTCCTATTTAAATGTTTGCTTTTTTTTTTTTTTTTGAAACAGAGTCTCACTCTGTCTCCCAAGCTGGTGTGCAATGGTACGATCCTGACTCACTGCAACCTCCGCCTCCTGGGTTCAAGTGATTCTCCTGTCTCAGCCTCCTGAGTAGCTTGGACTACAGGCGCACACCACCACGCCCAGCTAATTTTTTTATTTTTAGTAGAGACAGGGTTTCACCATGCTGGCCAGGATGGTCTCGATCTCCTGACCTCGTGATCTACCCGCCTCAGCCTCCCAAAGTGCTGGGATTATAGGCGTGAGCCACCGAGCCTGGCCAACATTTGCTATTATTATTAGTGAGACAGAAGATAGGACTGGAATATTCAAATGAGATAATATCTATATATAAGGACAATATACATTTTTATTCTACTTTCTGCCAGCTCTCTGTGAATGTTCTGACAAGCCCAATTTTCTTTTATCTTTCTTTTTGTTTTTATTTTTGTTTTTGAGACAAGGTCTCACCCTGTCACACAGGCAGAGTACAGTGGCCCAATCACAGCTCACTGTGCCTCCATCTCCCAGGCTCAAGCCATCCTACCACCTCAGCCTCCCAAGTAGCTGGAACCACGGGCGATTGCCACTACACCTGGCTAATTTTTCTTCTTTTCTTTGTAGAGACAGAATCTTGTTACGTTGCCCAGGCTGGTCTTAAACTCCTGCATTCAAGTGATCCTCCTGCCTTGACTTCCCAAAGTGCTGGGATTATAGGCACGAGCCACCATACCCAGCCACCAATTTTGTTTCCTTTCTGCAATTTCTCTGTGCATTATGACAATGACTGCCCAGGTCATTATGGTGCCCTGGTCAGTTGGTGGCAGTTTTTACAGCTTCTGTATTGCTGGCATAAAATCCTAGGGAAATACAGGCTTTCTAAGCTTTTTGTATGGCTTCAGGTTTATTTCTGGTTACCAGGGCTTTCGCCTGTTGTACATCATATTTTAACACAGTTGGTTAAGAAATGGTGGTTCGTTGATAGGTGTGAACTCAAGCTAACCCACCTCAATGATCCACCTACATTTCTCTTGCCTCATTGCATGTAAGCCTCCTTTCTGCCTCAGGATGTTAAGTCCTCCACAAACAGACTGTCCCATTCCAACTCTGCAAACTCTGTCCTGCCTACTTATGTGAAATTAATGATCGCTAAAATGTCATAGGTGTTACCGAGGGCAAGAGAAAAATATTTAAGGGACATGGCACACAGTATTGATTGCTTACCCCAACCTATTCTCTTTCTTCCTTGCCAACAGACACCCAATTTTTCCTCTCTAGAAAAGTAACCCTATAAGGCCAGGCAGGCGTGGTGGCTCATGCCTGTAATCCCAGCACCTTGGGAGGCTGAGGGGGGGGTGGATCATCTGAGGTCAGGAGTTCGAGACCAGCCTGACCAATATGGTCTAACCCCTCTACTAAAAATACAAAAATTATCTAGGCATAGTGGCGTGTGCCTGTAGTCCCAGCTACTCACGAGGCTGAGACAGGAGAATAGCTTTAACTCACGAGGCGGAGGCTGCAGTGAGCCAAGATTGCACCACTGTACTCCAGCCTGGGCAACAAAGCAAGACTCCGTCTCAAAAAAAAAAAAAAAAAAAAAGGAAAAAAAAATGGAAAAGGAAAAGAAAAAGAAAAGTAACCCTATAGTGAGCTCAGCTCAGGGATAAGTCCTGTATATTCTAATGGCCATTCCATTCCCCTTCCCAGTGACTGGTTTATGGGGTGAGCATGTGACTAGTATCTCATCAATGACATAGAGAGGAACCTGGCTGGGCGTGGTGACTCACCGCTGTAATCCTAACACTTCGGGAGGCCAAGGCAGGTGGATCACTTGAGGTCAGGAGTTTGAAACCAGCCTGGCCAACATGGTGAAACCCCAACTCTCCTAAAAATACAAAAAAATCAGCCAGGCATGGTGGCAGACACCTGTAATCCCAGCTACTCAGGAGTCTGAGGCAGGAGAATTGCTTGAACCTGGGAGGCAGAGGTTGCAATGAGCTGAGATTGCGCCACTGCACTCTAGCCTGGGTGACAGAGCGAGCCTCCATCTCAAAAAAAAAAAAAAAAAAAGGAATCTTCCAGGGGGTTTATTTGGAGTATTTCTTTTCTGGACTGAAAAAAGAGGGCCAGACACGGTGGCTCATGCCTGTAATCCCAGCACTTTGGGAGGCTGAGGTGAGTGGATCACAAGGTCAGGAGATCAAGACCATCCTGGCCAACATGGTGAAACCCCACCTCTACTAAAATATAAAAAATTAGTTGGGCATGGTGGTGCATGCCTGTAGACCCAGCTACTCAGGAGGCTGAGACAGGGGAATCGTTTGAACCTGGGAGGCGGAGGTTGCAGTGAGCCAAGATTGTGCCACTGCACTCCAGCCTGGTGACAGAGCAAGACTCTGTCTCAAAAAAGAAAGAAAAAAAGAAAAAGATAAAACAGAATACCAAATACCCTAATTTCTTGCATTGGATATTGTTTTTGTTGTTGTTGTTGTTCCAATGTGATTCCTAGAATTGCTGCAGCCACTCCGCAACAACGAAAGCTATCAGAGGATAAGTCAACATGTTGACAACGGCAGCGACAGAAAGAAATAGGGTCCTGATGAGGTCACTGAGCCATGGATTAAGCAGCACTGGGGCTGCCCCACTTTTGAACGTCTTATTGAGTGAGGGAGAGTATATTTTTCTTATTGTTGAAGATAGTTGTCTGGGCTTTCTGTTACTTGAAACTTAAGAAAACCAAGGGCGACTGAGCAGAGTGGTTCATGAGGATAATTGCAGCACTTTGGGAGGCAGAGGCAGGCAGATCGTCTGAGTTCAAGAGATTGAGACCAGCCTGGGGAACATGGTGAAACTCGATCTCTACAAAAATATACAAAAATTAGTCAGACATGGTGGTGCGCGCCTGTAGCCCAGCTACTAGGCAGGCTGAGGTGGGAGGATTACCTGAACTCAGAGGTTGAGCCAAGATTGCACCACTGCACTCCAAACTGGGCAACAGGAGTGAGGCCCTGTCTCAAAAAGAAAACCAAAACAAAATTGATGTCTTCAAGAGGAAAATAACCTAATGATATGCCTGCAGAGTAAGACAGAGAGAGAACATGAGCTGCTTAATGATGGATTCAAGATATATATTTTTTAAAAATTTAAATATACATTTTAAACTAAAAAATTTTAACAAAAAAAGAGGAGTTTCATCATGTTGCCCAGGCTGGTCTAGAATTTCTGAGCTCAAGCAATCGGCCTGCTCCAGCCCCCCAGAGTGATAGGATTACAGGTGTGTGCCACCACAACTGGCCAGATTCAGGACATATTTTAATCTATTGGGGGTTTTGTGTGTGTGTGTGTGTTTCTTTTAATTTTTAAAATATGGAACGCTTCATGAAGTTGTATGTCATCCTTGCGCAGGAGCCATGCTGATCTTCTCTGTATTGTTCCAATTTTGGTATATGTGCTGCTGGAGTGAGCACTTAATCTATTGTTTTAATTGAAAAAATAACCTGTCCAGGCGAGGTGGCTCACACCTGTAATCTCAGCACTTTGGGAGGCTGAGGTAGGCGGATCATTTGAGATTGGGAGTTCAACACCAGTCTGGCCAACATGGTGAAACCCCGTTTCTACTAAAAATGCAAAAAGTAGCTGGGTGTGATGGCATGCACCTGTAATCCCAGCTACTTGGGAGGTTGAGGTGAGAGGATTGCTTAAGCCCAGGAGTTCAAGGCTGTAGTGGGCTATGATTCTGCCACTGCAATCCAGCCTGGGCGACAGAGTGAGACTCCATCAAAAAGAAAGGAAAGAAAAGGAAGAAAGGAAGAAAGAAAGGAAGAAAGGAAGAAACGGAAAGGAAAGGAAGGAAGGAAGGAAGGAAGAGAGGAGGAGAGGGAGGGAAGGAGGGAGGGAAGAAAGAGAGAAGGAATAACCTGCCCGGGCACAGTGGCTCACGCCTGTAATCTCAGAACTTTGGGAGGCCGAGGTGGGCGGATTACCTAAGATCAGGAGTTTGAAACTAGCCTGGCCAACATGGTGAAACCCCCGTCTCTACTAAAAATACAGAAACTAGCCAGGCATGGTGGCAGGCACCTGTAATCCCAGCTACTCAGGAGGCTGAGGCAGGAGAATTGCTCCAATCCCAAAGGCGGAGATTGCACCATTGCACTCCAGCCTGAGTGACAAGAGCAAAACTCCATCTCAGAAAAAAGAAAGAGAGAGAGAGAGAGAAAGAAAGAAAGAAAAGAAAGAAAGAAAGAAAAGAAAGAAAGAAAGAATAACCTCTCCTTTTACTTACATAAAGGCTGATTTTTTAAAATAATCTCTCAATAAACTGTGTAAAGAATATTTAGTGCTGCACTGAATACAAAACTGAGGACTTTATTCAAAGATGGTGTAGACCAAAGTCACATTAATTTTTTTGTTAAATGCCTCTAATTCATCAGATAGCCAAATCAGAAGTCAAATCTGGCATCCATCCTTTATCATAAAGGTATGGAGCTTACCTTAGGCGTTACTATGAAAAGAAATTCAGTGTCAATTGTTCAAATAACTAGCCCATTAACTGACTCCCCAAATCTGATACAATGATTAGCTGCAGACAAGCCTAACTAACCGCAGTACTGAGACTGGATTTGGGAAAGAATGCAAAAGTGTGTTTACTTTTAATGAACTAACTAAAGGGAAAGCATTCCTTAAACCTCCCTCCAGTTGGGCAACCACTTTATAAAAATTAAAATTTCATCATATCAGAACAAAGAAATGCAGAATCAGGGCCAGCAAGAATGTGCAGTTATTTGTCATTCTGCTCTAATTCCTCTACCAAAATGGACTACTCATGGCCATTTTACTAGAACTGTGATTAGAAAGCTTGGGCATCTCAGTTAAAAAGTGCACATTGGCCAGGTGCAGTGGCTCTCACCTGTATTCCCAGCAATTTGGGAGGCCAAGGCAAGAGGATAACTTGAGGCCAGGGGTTCAAGACCAGCCTGGGCAACATAGTGAGACCCCCCGCATCTGTACAAAAATAAAAAAAAATTAGCCAGATGTGTTGTTTGCTTGCTTGTAGTAGGAGGCTGAGGCAAGAGGATTGCTCGAGGCCAGGAATTCGAGGCTGCAGTGAGCTGTGATCATGCTACTGCACTCCAGTCTGGGTAACAAAGTGAGACCTTGCCTCTAAAAAAGAAAAAAGAAAAAGCTCATGTCTTTAAAGTAGTTTGCTCCTGGCACTCTAGGTTGTGGTTCTCTTGAAGCCTATATATTTGGGATTGTACAAAATATATTCTCAAGCATTTTAACTTTTAGCTTGTCAACTGTTGGAGTTTCAGGATTCACATCTCTTATTTAAAAACAAAATAGGTTTCAGTGTTGTCATATACCTGGTTAATGTCACCTGCCTGTTTAATGGACACTGTACTTCCTTTCCACCATTTATTATAGAAAATCCCACCCCTTGTCCCCTGTGTCTACTGATTGTCCTCAATTTTCTGTTCACTGATGATTCAGAAGCAAAGAGATGATGGATGTAACTCTCAGACAGCCTAAGCCTCACAACTGGGGAGGAAAAAGGGCATGACCACTTCATATCTTTAGCTTGGTACACAGAAACCAGGTTCTTTCTACTGACTCTCAAAGGACGTTCTGACCTTTTTGATTTGGTTTCCTACTACAGGATTTGTCTAAGATCACCGTATAGTACTACAAGAATGTCAATAACCATCTGCCAAACTATAAAAGGAGAAAAGACTAGGAGCCAAACTGGCTATGTAATTTACCATGGTGAGTGACAGGACACACTGACCTTATTTGACAAACCCTGAAGCCAGATCTGGTCCCAGCTCAATAAAGAAGAGAGTACAGCAGAGTGATGAGCACTCGAGCTCTAGGACTAGATAGACCCATGAATCTCAGCCCCAGTCCCTCCTAGCCAGTGGACCTTGGGGGAAATAATTTAATTTAAAACTCTTTGCTTTTCTTGTCCCTTTTTTTTTTTTCTGAGACGGAGTCTCACTCTGTCACCTAGGCTAGGGTGCAGTAGCACAATCATAGCTCACTACAGCTCGAACTCCTGGGCTCAAGCAATTCTCCCAACCACAGCCTCCTGAGTAGCTGGGCCTACAGATGTGCACCACCACACCTGGCTAATTTTTGTATTTTTAATAGAGACAGGGTTTCACCGTGTTGGCTAGGCTGGTCTCAAACTCCTGACCTCAAATGATCTGCCTGCCTTGGCCTCCCAAAGTACTGGGATTACAGGTGTGAACCAGCATGCTCAGCCTAAAATTTCTTTAATAGAGAGGAGCTCTCTCTCTGTTGCCCAGGCTGGTCTCAAACTTCTGGGCTCAAGTGATCCTCCTGCCTCGGTTTCCCAAAGTGCTAGGATTAGAGACATGAGCCATCCAACCCAGCCACGGTAACTGTTTTAAACAGCGGGATATAAAACAATATACACAATATGTTATAGTTTTGTCTATATTTAATTTAGGGTTTTGCTTTTGTTTTTTGTTTTGAGACAACATCTCACTCTGTCACCTAGGCTAGAATGCAGTGGAGAGAACAGGGCTCACTGCAGCCTCAACCTCCCAGGCTCAAAAAATCTTCCTGCCTTAGGCCCCTGCCTAGCTGGGACCACAGGTTCATGCCATCACACCTGGTTAACTTTTTTAGTTTTTGTAGAGATGGGGTCTCATTTTGCTGTTCAGGCTGCTCTTGAATTCCTGGGTTCAAGTGGTCGTCCTGCTTTGGCCTCCCAAAGTGCTGGAATTACACGACCAGCCAATATTTAAATATTTAAATACACAGATATCTCCTAGAAGAAAATACTTTAAAACATGATCTCAGAATGTCAGGATTACAGGTGATTCATGTATCTTTCCTTTTGCTTGTCCACTAAATTGTTTTAATCTCTTTTTTTGCATACAGACTTTTATATAAATGCATAAATGTGATCATAAATTTATACTTTATTTTCTCCTTTTTTGCTTGATTCTTTCACTCATGTAGTTGCTTGATTGCTCATGCAACAATAAATTCTTCCCATGAATACTTCACTTTTTTTCCTTCTAGAATATGAATCCTGATATTTCACTCTTTTTTTTGTTCCAACACAAGGTCTCAATATCCCCCAGGCTGGAGTACAGTGGCATAATCACTGTACTCACTGTAGCTCACTGTAGCCTTGAACTCTTGGGCTCAAGTGATCCTCCCACCTCAGCCTCCCAAAGTGCTGAGATTACAGACATGAGGCACTGCACTCGGCCTATTATTCTTTTTTTTTTTTTTTAAGTGGCATTCAAAATGAAAAATATCTGGCCAGGCATGGTGGCTCACACCTGTAATCCGAGCACTTTCGGAGGCTAAGGCAGGTGGATCACCTGAGGTCAAAAGTTCGAGACCAGCCTGCCCAACATGGTGAAACCCTGTCTCTACTAAAAATACAAAAAATCAGCTGGTTGTGGTGGCAAGAGCCTGTAATCCTAGTTACTCGGGAGGCTGAGGCAGGACAATCATTTGAACCTGGGAGGCAGAGGTTGCAGTGAGCTGAAATCGTGCCATTGCCCTCCAGCCTGGGCAACAAGAGGGAGACCCCGTCTCAAAAAGAAAAAAAAAAAGAAAATGAATGAGTTTCATTTGGGGCATTATGCATATGTTTACTGAAGGACATATATAAGGACACAGTGCATTACCAACTCTGTTTACAGTTCTTTGAGTTTCTCCAGTGTATACCAGCAATATTAATATTGATAGCAAATGTATTGGCTGCCATGTTCCAGGCATACATACCATTAAATTCACAAAATAATTTGTCAAGCATTATAATAGCATTTCAAGCAATATAATAGCATTGAAGTCAGACATGGATTTGAGTCCAGCTCTATCAATCATATACCATCTGTGTAGCATTGGTCAAATTACTTAAAATTTTCAAGCATTAATTTTTCTCATATATAAAATAGAGGTAAATAAATTTTTTTTAAACTAAGTGATAGAACGTATGTAAAGCACTTAAAAGAGCGTCTGGCATAATTATGTGCTCAATAAGTGTAGAAATGGCCAGGCACAGTGGCTTATGCCTGTAATTTTAGCACTTTGGGAGGCTGAGATGGGAGGATCACTTGAGGCCAGGAGTTCGAGACCAGCCTGGGCAACATAGTGAGACCCTCATCTCTATTTTTTAAAAAGGCAAAAAGAAAAAATGAAGATAAAAAAGTGTAGAAATAATATGTGAGTGTACAGATGTAAAGAAGGCTTGAAAATGTAGTCAAAAATCACATTTCTATTTACAGAGCTGTTCCAATTCTAATGTATCCTAATATTAGTATAAGTAAAATAAAGTTTTAAGATCATTTAGTATGATCTTAAAGCTTGAGATTATACTAAATGGTCTTAAAGCAAAAAGGCACAATTTTTTTTTTTTTTTTTGAGACAGAGTTTCACTCGTTTCCCAGGCTGGAGTGCAATGGCACGATCTTGGCTCACTGCAACCTCTGCCTCCCGGGTTCAAGCGATTCTCCTGCCTTAGCCTGCCAAGTAGCTGGGATTACAGGCACGTGTCACCACGCCCAGCTAATTTTGTACTTTTAGTAGAGATGAGTTTTCTCCATGTTGGTCAGGCTGGTCTCAAACTCCCGACTCAGGTGATCCACCCACCTCGGCCTCCCAAAGTGCTAGGATTACAGGCATGAGCCACCACATAAGCCTCTTTTTAAAAAAATTATTAGGTAAATATAGAAAAAGTGGATAGGTCGTGACCTTCTGAAAAATGCAAACGGATCAGGAAAATCTAAAATGCTAATATTTAGTATCAAAATAATGCTTGAGGGTATAAGTTGTCAGATTCATGGAAATAAAAAAGGTAGAAACTGAGCCTATGTTTTTGAAACTCTTTTTGGTTTTACAATTTCATATAGTATAAAGTGACCTTTTTAAGTATCCTCAGTGTCTTTTAATTAACTCTTTCTTTCTTTTTCTTTTTCTTTTCTTTTTTTTTTTTTTGAGATGCTTTGTCACCCAGGTTGGAGTGCAGTGGCCACATCCGCCTCCTGTGTTCAAGCAGTTCTCGTGCCTCAGCCTCCCAAATGGCTGGGATTATAGGTGCACACCAACACACCTAGCTAATTTTTGTATTTTTAGTAGAGCCAGGGTTTCACCATGTAAAACGCTGGCACACACCTGTGCCACACACCTGTAGATCTGTGATTAGTCAAAATAGCATAAATGCAGATATGTTATATGTTCTATTATATTTAAGAAAGAAAGGATAAAACCAAAAAGGAAAGAGTTAATTGGCTGGGCGTGTTGGCTCACGCCTGTTATCCAGCACTTTGGGAGCCGAGGCCGGTGGATTACTTGAGGTCAAGAGTTTGAGACCAGCCTGGCCAACATGGTGTGTGCCACCATATAGCTAATTTTGTTTATTTTTTATAGAGATGAGGTCTCATTATGTTGTTCAGGCTGGTCTTGAACTCTTGGGCTCAAGTTATTCTCCTGCCTAAGCCTCCCAAAGTGCTGGGATTACAGGTGTGAGCCATCATGCCCAGATACATTTTTTTTTATTAAAAATAATATTATTTGTATTTTCTTATTTCGCAAAAGACTGAGAGGGCAAAAAAAAAAGTTGATTAAAATCACTGAAACATAAATCAAAATTGAGTTATATAGCCCCATGTAAGTTTCACCCATATGAAATATTTCAGTCTAGAGGAAAATCTATTATTTGAATGATTGTTTTATTTATGTAGTCTGCCAGACTATTAGGTAATATATAACATCCAGTTTCATGAATTAAGAGTGCCTGAGATGGCTGGGTGTGGTGGCTCATGCCTGTAATCCCAGCACTTTGGGAGGCCAAGGCAGGTGGATAACCTGAGGTCAGGAGTTTGAGACCAGCTTGGCCAACATGGCAAAACCCTATCTCTACGAAAAATACAAAAATTAGCCGGGTATGGTGACATGTGCCTGCAGTCCCAGCTACTTGGGAAACTGAGGCAGGGGAATAGGTTGAACCCAGGAGATGGAGGTTGCAGTGAGCCGAGATTGTGCGGCTGCACTGTAGCCTGGACAACAGAACAAGACTTTGTCTCAAAAAAAAAAAAAAATGCTTGAGATCTATTTTGTTGCTTTGTGTTTTAATAATAATTATGCTGTGATTCCTAGGGAAATCACTTTGGATATGCTACAGTTTCCTCTTTTAAAAACAATTTAGATCATTTAGTTGTTTGCTTAAATGTCTTTAAAGGCCTTAAATTGAAACAAAATGATATTGAGTTTATTTCTTGTACTCTAAATAAAGATATGAACTATGAGCCATCAGACACAGATCATAGATTGTGATAAACATGGGGAACTCAGCACAAGCCTACAAGAGAGTAAAGTCTTAAACATTCAATTGCCAAAAGATTGACTAAGGCTCTGTTTAATTATTGGTGTTATAAAAAGTGAGTAATATTTACCTGGCCATAATCGTATTGTGTAAAAGTCACTTATCTTTCCTGCCAGGTGCCACATTTCTCACAGTTATTTAAAAGAATGAGAAGAAATCTTTACTCAGTCACTCCTTTCCAAAATGTACCATTCCATCATCTTATATAATTTGGCAGAGGAGAGGATTATTAAGAAAGTTGATAAAAAATAAAAAGTGCCAACCCTAGCTCAGGTTCTGTACAAAATCAGTGACAAATGCCTATGTTAGCAAAGGGTACAAGCAAAAATGCACTACTAAGCAATGCTTTGGCAGTAACTAACTGGTTCAGTACTTATAAGACTTCTGTTAAAAACTCCTCCATATCTGATGCAATCAGTCTATTTGAATGATGAAAATTTTAAGGTGTTTGTTGTTAATAAACCCATATTATAAACATACTGAAAGGGCCTTTCTAGTTTGTTCATGCAAGGGGTTAATGATAAATCCAATTTTGCAGGAATATCAATTCCTAATAGATATGTCATAATGTCTTGGAATAGTGTTGTCACGAAGTTTACACTGACTGTAATTCATTAACTAAACTTTAACATCATCATGCAATATGGGTTCAGGTGACATTGTTGAATACTTTTTGGATTTTGGCAAAGATGCCTTAGAGTCATTAGTTATCTGTCAATAATTTACGAATCCTTTCTGAAATCTGTTAGCAAATATTTTTTATCATTATAAACATATTCTTGTAAATGTGAGTCATTAGAAGTATTCCATGTTGTGGTATCGAATGAGTTCAATGGGGTAGTGAAGGTGTTTAAAACAGAATGTTGTAATGGAAAATGCCCACACTTGCCAAATGGAAAGGGTCAGATGATACCTTGATTGAGAAAAAATAAATACAAAAACTGAGGGTGTGATTTGTTTTGTGTCCTCCCCCCCGCATGGCCAGAACATAAATTGCTTGTTAACTGTCACTGAGGCTGAGTCCCAAGCATCTGTTATTTGTACCACATGTGAACATTACTCTAGCCTCACTTTCAGAAAAATATGTTCATTTCTCACAAAGTACTGAGTACGTATTTCTATTCAATCAGCCTGATGGATAAGCTTCAAAGGACCAAAGTAACTCATTAATATAATGTTTCCTCAACAAGCCAGTGAGTTTTGTAGGAAAGCAAGAGAGTGACAAATGGCAAATAGTGTCTTTTAAAGATTCTGTTAGGAGTTATTAGGCAAGCTGGTAATACTACCACCCCCAATTTTTTGTACATTCTTAAAAATAATTATGTCTGATTAGAGGCAGACAGTATAGCATGAAATTCAATCTTTGTGCTATTACATGCTTTGTTAACCATGTACAATAAGGATGAGAAAAAAAGCAAATCACTTTATTTTTGGATTTATTATTATTAATAATTATTTATTCCTTATTCCTCATTATTTATTATTTCATTTATTATTTAAGAGATAGAGTGTCACTATATTGTGCAGGCTGGTCTCAAACTCCTGCCCTCAAGTGATCCTCTTGCTTCAGCCTTTCAAAGTGCTAGGATTTCAGGTGTTAAGCCACCGTGCCCAGCCACAAATCACTTTATGATGCTGTTTAATTATATGAATCCTATGAGGTCTTCTATAAGGTCTCTAATAGTGTATGTGACTAGGATAGAACTGGTGTCAGAAACAAAACCCAAAAACAGAAACTTTCGTATGTCTTCTAAAATTCCACTAAGGAAGATGTGTCTTTCACTTAAGATCCCAAGTCACAAAGCCCATAATCACTTTTTTTTTTTTTTTTTTGAGATGGAGTGTCACTTTGTCACCCAGGCTGGAGTGCAGTGGCACGATCTTGGCTCACTGCAACTTCCGTCTCCTGGGTTCAAGCAATTCTCCTGCCTCAGCCTCCAGAGTAGCTGGGATTACAGGCGTGTACCACCTTGCCCAGTTAATTTTTTGTATTTTTAGTAGAGACAGGGTTTCACCATGTTGGCCAGGCTGGTCTTGAACTCCTGATGACAAGTGATCCACCTGCCTCAGCCTCCCAAAGTGCTGGGATTACAGGTGTGAGCCACTGCGCCCAACCTCCATATTCACTTTTGATGACACGTTGAGTACTTTCTTTCTCTGACATGATACTGAGTACTTTATTTCTCATTTACATCTTACCACAAAAACTACTGGATTTCATCATTTTTGTCATTTTTACTTATGAGGAATTCAAGCCTTAAAAAAGCCAAGCATTACTTTGCCACCAAGAAGGAGGCAAAGTACAAATGGAAGCCCTGAGCTTTCTGACCTCAAATCCTAGGCTCTTAACCACCCTGCTACCCTGCCTTCATTCTTACCATGATCTCATAATTTGTGCTTATATAGGCTGCATTCAGCAACCCAAACTGACTGGTTTCCTCAGGAAAACTGTCAGAGCTACAACCAGTGCATTGAGAGGATCCGATGGACTATGTAATTTTATGGACTGAATGATATGAAAGGCCTCAGGAAATGTGTATCCAACACTTTGGCAGGTGTAAAAGAAGACCTACATATTTCAAAGCAGTTACAGATGCAAAATACGTCCATAGAAATATATGTTCCACACACTTGGAAGGCTAAGGCAGGAGGATCGCTTGAGCCCAGGAGTTCGACACCAGCCTGGGCAACATGGTGATATACTGTCCCTACAAAAAAATACAAAAATTAGCTGGGCCTCATGGCTCACACCTGTAATCCCAGCACTCTGGGAGGTCGAGGTGGGTGGATCACCTGAGGTCAGGAGTTTGAGACCATCCTGGCCAACATGGTGAAACCCCATCTTTACTAAAAATACAAAAATTAGCTGGGCGTGGTGGTGGGTGCCCGTAATCCCAGCTACTTGGGAGGCTGACATAGAAGAATCACTTGAACCCGGGAGGTGGAGGTTGCAGTGAACCGAGATCATGCCACTGCACTCCAGCCTGGGTGACAGAGTGAGACCTTGTCAAGAAAGAAAGAAGAAAGAAAAGAGAAAGAAGGAAAGAAGGAAAGGAAGGAAGGAAGGAAGGAAGGAAGGAAGGAGAGGGGGAAGGGAGGGGAGGGGCGAGGGGAGGAGGGGAGGGGAGAGGAGAGGAGAGGAAAGGAGAGGGAGAAAAAGAGAGAGAGAGAGAGAAAGAGAGAGAGAGAGAAGATGGGGAAGGTCCCTTCTGGGTTTCCATCTAAAATCAAAGAAGAAATCATTGGTTTCAATAATAATATTTTAAAATCCACCCTATGATTTTTTTTTCTTTAAAAGAAAAATATCAATCTAAGAAAATAATACCTAACATGGTGTTAATGAAAAGTAGGTTGGATTGGTTATGTGTACATAAGAACTTAAAGCTCAAAGGAAAAACAGCACGTATACCAGCATGTTGACCTGGCTCCGCTGACAGCCAGGATTACCAGTTATTTCACTTGGTGTGTACCAGTGCTACTTGGAAACTACCCACCTTCCATGAGCAGGTCTACTCAATAAAATCTTACTTTCATGAGGCTGTGAGGATATCCAAATGGGGACATTTCTTATACTCAGAAGACCACAAGTCACGAATGTGGCCACTTCTGATTCTGACTTCAGGGGTCACCCAGACCCCAAGCCACCCCAACCCGATAAAGGCAAGTTCACCTTGGGCAAAGTTCAGAGCCAGCAGCACAGCTGAAAGGCAGTGGACAGCACTTTCAGATGCTGTATTCCAACATTTCAACTGACATGAAGTGAGGCAAGAGGGGAAATAACTAACAGTAATCTGATTAAAAAACAAAAGAGAAAAAAAAAAGGGCCTGGTGTGGTGGCTCATGCCTGTAATCCCAGCACTTTGGGAGGCCGAGGCGGGTGAATCACCTGAGGTCAGGAGTTCGAGACCAGCCTGGCCAACATGGCAAAACCCCATCTCTACTAAAAATACAAAAATTAGCCGGGCATGGTGGCACGTACCTGTAATCCCAGCTACTAGGGGGGCTGAGGCAGGAGGATTGCTTGAACCTGGGAGGCGGAGGTTGCAGTGAGCCAAGATTGTACCACTGCAGTCCAGCCTGGGCAATGGAGCAAGACTCTGTCATTAAAAAAAAAAAAAAAAAAAGGACTGGCCTGGGTTTACAGGTAGCTCACACCTGTAATCTGAGCACTTGGGGAGGCTGAGGCAGGAGGACTGCTTGAACCCAGGAGACCAACCTGGGCAATACAGCAACACACTGTCTCTACAAAACATTTAAAAAATTAGCTGGGTGTGGTGGTACACATCTGTAGTCCTAGTTACTCAGGAGGCTGAGGCAGGAGGATTGCTTAAGTCCATGAGTCTGAGGTTGCAGTGAGCTATGACTGTGCCACTCCATTCCAGCCTGGGTGACAGAGTGAGATCCCATCTCTAAATAAATTAATAGACCATAAATTCTGTAATGTGAATCTTTAGACAAAGACTGCTAAATCTATCATCTGATATATGAAGTTTTATTACAACAAATGTTTATATATTGAGTTAAAAATTATCTGTACCCATACACACAACCTGCATTTACTTAATTTAAAAGGAGTGTCAATATTAAAATTGAGGATTTTGGCCAGGTGCGGTGGCTCACGCCTATAATTCCAGCACTTTGGGAGGCCGGGTAGATCATTTGAGGTCACAAGTTTGAGACCAGCCTGGCCAACACGGTGAAACCCCGTCTTGACTAAAAATGCAAAAATTAGCCGGGCATGGTGGTGTGCCCCTGTAATCCCAGCTACTGGGGAGGCTGAGGCGGGAGAATTGCTTGAACCCGGGAGACAGAAGCTGCAGTGAGCCGAGATCGTGCCACTGCACTCCAGCCTGGGCAACAGAGCGAGAACCCATCTCAAAAAAAAAAAATTGTTATTTTGTTGTTATTGTTGTTTTTGAAGACAGAGTCTCACTCTGTTGCCCAGGCTGGAGTGCGGTGGCATGATCTTGGATTGTGTTCTTCCAGGGTTGCAGAGAGAAGTGCAACAGCGTCTCATTGCAACCTCTGCCTCCCAGGTTCAAGCAATTCTCCCGCCTCAGCCTCCCAAGTAGCTGGGATTACAGGAGTGCACCATCACACCCAGCTAATTTTTGCATTTTTAGTAGAGATGGAGGTTTCACCATGTTGGCCAGGCTGGTCTCGAACTCCTGACCTCAGGTGATCCGCCTGCCTTGGCTTCCCAAAGTGCTGGGATTACAGGTGTGAGCCACCATGCCCAGCCTAAGAATAATAACTTTATAACTATGAAAAATGTGTTACATATTCACCATTTTGCCAGCATTAATCTCAAAGCATAAGTTTTACCTTTTGGGGATAAAGAGATAGATTGTGTTTTAGCCATATGACCAATGTAGAAACAAGCTAAGGTTAACTCCTCATCTAATGAATAGGCCCGATAAAAAAGTTGGTTGACCACAACATGAATAAATAAATAACCATAAGCTTGGAAATGCTACCTGTAGTATTTCAGAGTGTCGATCACATTTGTAGTCATCACTTAAAGAATTAATGTCTGCCAATGTTATCATCTAAAATGTATTTACAGAGGTCAGAAGAGCTATGTCTGTCCTCCTCTATGCAAAGAGGTGATGACATCAAGGGGTATGTCACAAGCCAAAGTTTAGTTAGCCTAAGTTAGTTAGCTGGTTTGCAGTTTTTATCCACTAAGTCTGATCTTCTGACCCCTCAGTTTTACAACTTTCCACTCTCTGTGCTGCATAGCACCTCTCCACTTCTGAGTTAATCATTTCTTTGCCATTATCTGGCAAGAATTCTTATCTCTTTTGCTGTCACTTTATAACAGGGTCCTCTTATCAACCTGCATAGAGTCATGTGATGAGTCAAAGCCTATCAAAAGTTTCCATTCTTCTGATTAGAAACCATCATGAAACTGGATACATGGTTTACAGCAGGTCACTAATGTTGGAAAAAGTACAGAGTCCAGGGAAAGACTTGCTTGTAACTTTATGAATTCTGGATTTTTTTTTTTCCTTTGCTTTTTCTTAACTTTCACTAAGGGTTACTGTAGTCTGATGTGTCCTTCCCAAGGCCACGAAATTTGACAAGCTGCACTTTTCTTTTGCTCAATGATTTCTGCTTTAAGCCAAAGAACTGCCTATAATTTCACTAAGAATGTCTTCTAATTCAGATACTGGGGATTTACAAGAGTCTTTAAAGCACGGACTTACACCTATTGGTAAGTAGGAGTTTCTCTATTGATCATCTATTTATTCTGCTACTACATACATATAATTTAATCTTGTTGATGGATTTTGCATTTTAAGTCATGGCTTTTCCTATTATGTTTATTAAAAGCACACAATAAGCCTATGTATATATATCACACATTTATCTTTCTTGCAGTTCAAAAAAAGCAAATGGATATTTCAACATATGAATATTATTCATTATATCTAGTGTTTACTGGTGTCATTCTAATACCCTAATCAGCCAGAAAATATAATTTATACTTTATCAATTTCAACTTTAATATTTTCTGATAATTTTTAATCAGAAATAATAAGCTAAAATTTGAACAATTTGAAACAAGTTAATCATATTGAGTGATCATTGATCAAACTTTAACAGATAGCTGTCAAGTATTTGTTACTTTTCAACCCACACAAAAGTATGGTGTCTTATTCTCTGCTTATACCGTAAAAAATTTTCATTTTATTTTCCTGGGGAATGAAAGTCATGCCCCCACCTCCAAAAAAAAAAAAAAAAAACCAAAAAAACTAGACCATCATTAGTAAAGGATTTGAAGAGCTACTGTTTCTCGCAACAATTAGTATATTTTGTTTTTACAAACAGAAATAAGTAAATAAAGCTACTATTCATTTAAAAAATAGAGTTACAAACTTATGAATTTTATAGCAAGACTACATTCAATTAATTCTAAAAGTAAAGGACTGAAGGGAAGTGATTCCCAGTGATCTGTAATTATTTGTCTGTTGGAAGTCAGGCCCTTCTGCCTTTCCCCAGTTTTTGAAGGACCTGTGCCTTTTCTGGCAGCATTTGCCTAGGCTTTCAGACTGGAATTTCCCTCCGAATTTGCAGGGGCCTGTCATGAGCTCTCTGAGTCTCAGCTCCATTATAACAAGAAAGAAAATCAAGGCTTGAGTTTTTCCTCTTTTTTCCTTCCTAGTCAGCTGACTCCACAGAATGCAGTGGAGTCACAGATTGCTTTTTTTATGGGCCAACTACACCCTAAAGTATATCACTTGAGGAAATGTTTACCAAAAATGTTCTATACTTACGAAAAAGAAAACATGGGGAAGGTAAGCAGGGTGTAACACACAATCAATTGTTCTGCAGATAACACAGAAAATACAGGCACAAGAAAGATGAGAGAGCAGCACACAACCATTTCGCATCTTTTTCGTCGGGCAGAACCGCCGCGGTGCGCAGGCAAGGAGTCCTTCCCGGCAGCTCCGCGCAGCTCCGGTTCCGCGTCCGGGGCCGCAGCTAGAGCGCGCTCGGGCCGGAGACGCGGACTGCGCGCGCACGGGGGACGCGCGCTCGGGGGCTCGCGCCCGCGCGGGCGGTCTTGGGCTCCTGCTGCGCGCAGCCCCAGCTGGCCGCTGCCAAAATAGAGTTGAGCTGGGTCGGGAGACCACGCACGCCGATCCCTCACAGTCTCCCCCACACCCCATGGGTGAATTAAAGAGGGTAAGGTAGGGGAAAGAGACGCTGTTGCACTTTTCTCTGCAACCCTGGAAGAACTGTGTTTCCAGCTACCGCACGCGCAACTCACATCGCAAGGGACCGAGGCGGTACACTCTGAGCGTAAACAGAGAACACCTGCAGCTCTGGAATCGGTCCCACCGCAGAGGGCTGGGAACCGGAGGACTGTCGGTCCAGCCCATAAGGGGCTGCTGGGGACTAAACCTCAAGAAAAGTACCGAAGAAGGCTCTCCCCTGGCCTCAGCGAGACTACCCCAACATCCTAAACCTGTGCAGGCACTTCCGGGCGCCGGATTCCGGGATAACAAAATTCCAGTCAATTTGCCGGTAAAAGAGACCTCTTTCAGGATCTTGTTCGCAGCCACCCGCCCCTTCCCAACCCAAGCACATCCCCTCCGCCTCCTGGTATTGCAGCCCCGCAGGTGGTTGTGAGGTGTCCGCACCTGCAACATCTTAGTGACCCTGAGGCGGCTGTGGCACCGGGAGACAATCTGTTTACCTCGTAGCCTCCACGAGGGTGCTAACGGTCGTTCCCAGGGTGAATGGCTGGACGGAGCCATCCAAAGGGCTGAGGGAGAGGAACAGAGGGCGGTGAGGAGCCTTCGGACTGAACTATTGGATTGAAGGGCCTGACCCGATTCCTGAGGGAGAGATGCCCCTTGAATGGGTCTTTCTGATTGCCCAGGGTAGCCCCACTGGGAAGAACCCACGGGTGCAGCTGTAGAGAGTGTCTGAGGGTCTCGAGGGTAGCTTTCAGATGGCAAATTGCAAGTTGGGCTGTGTTGAGTGGTTCACAAAACCGAGCCCGGTGTATGTAGACATCAGTCAGGGTTTACAATTCTATATTTAATTCAGTTGTGTTGTACTAGGAAATGAGCCTCCTTTTGTTTAAAAAGCTGTCTCCATGGTTTTTAACTAGGGGCTACATCTTGTATGCACACTGATGGTTACATGAAAGTTTTGTATAGATGTCTGTGCTTGTATAGAAAAGCAGAATTAAGATAAAGTTGTTCCTTCTGCCTACCTGCAAGATAATCATTCATTGTAGTGTAAAAGCAGCACACTCAGGTTATAACTAGATTGTTCCCTTAAAGTTAACTAACTCTGGGACACTGGCCAGACTCTTGGTTTCTGGTCTTGGTTTACTTCTTTCTCCCAAGTGGGATGATTCTATTGAATAATATGCAGTACTAACTTTAGAAGCTTTTTATACTTACCTATATCAAGAAAAGAGCCATATCTGTGTGGTAGGAAATGTTATACATAAAACAAATATTTATTGACCACTCCCACAGTGCCCAATATTATGCTTTGATTCATATTAAATTTCCATAATTCTTCAAATTAACTGCATTTGCAGAATATTTTATGCACTCAGTATAATATTGCATATTATCCACAGAAGGTTATGTCTGCATACTTAGGGGTACATGATACACAGTGCAAACACTGTATTGAGTCTGTAATGTGAGTCTTGCTATCTGGTCCCCTGAACACTCTGAGTCTGATTTTATTTCAGTGATAACCTCCAGCAAGCTCTGTGCTCATAAGGATCTCTGAAAGTAGACGTTTCATCAGCGGAAAGTGTGATAGCCATTATGTCACCCTAACCTCCAGCGAGCTTTATTTAGAATGCCAGCCACACAAGCCCATGTTCTGATTCTCATAGTTGGGGCTTAGGCTGCCAGTTTCTTCTATGAAGCTAAACTCTAGAGCCTCCCTTCTTTCCATGCCCGAGTCCATCTCCAAAACAGTGCTTCTCAGATTCCTCTTTTCTGGCCTGGATCCACAGGTAGTGACCAGAGTTAACAGAGTTCTTGGGCCAGGCACAGTGTCTCAAACTGGTAATCCCAATACTTTGGGAGACTGAGGATGGAGGATCACTTGGGCCCAGGAGATCCAGACCAGCCTAGGCAACATAGTGAGACCCAGTCTCTACAAAAAATAAAAAAATAAATAATTAGCTGGGTGTGGGTGTGGTGGCATGTGCCTGTAGTCCTAGTGACTAGGGCTTGGGGGTTGAGGTAGGAAGATCACTTGAGCCAGGGAGGTTGAGGATGCTGTGATTGTGCCATTGAACTCCAGCCTGGGCAACAAAGTGAGACCCTATCTCAAAAAAACAAAACAAAACAAAACAAAACAAAAAAAGGATTTCTTTTTCTTTAACACCTTTTTTTTTTTTTTTTTTTTTTTTGAGGCAGAGTTTCACTCTTGTTGCCCAAGCTGGAGTGCAATGGCATGATCTTGGCTCACTGCAGCCTCAGCCTTCTGGGTTCAAGAGATTCTCCTGCTTCAGCCTCCCAGGCAGCTGGGATTACAGGTGCACGCCACCACGCCTGGCTAATTTTTTGTATTTTTAGTAGAAATGGGGTTTCACCATGTTAGCCAGGCTGGTCCCGAAATCCTGACCTCAGGTGATCCACCCACCTCAGCCTCCCAAAGTGCTGGGATTACAAATGTGAGCCACCACACCTGGCATCTTTAACACCTCTTCTAACAAACCAAGAGAGATTTATAGAGGAAGGGAGAACAGAGGCTTGTTAATGCTTCTCTCCTTTACTTGACCCCTCTACCAGACACAATGTCTAGGATTATCTTGGATTCAGCCTTGAGCATAAGTTGAGCTAGAGAAGGGCACATTGTCAGACTTCCACCTACAGGCCCAACCCAATCCCCACCCCCAGGGATGCACTAGGCAGGCAAGACAACTTCACTCCGCAGCTCTAGAGTCTACCTTAGGATAGAACTAGTTCTTTGAGTTGCACTTCCTCACGCTTCACCTTATTGGAACAGACTTCTTGGAAAAATCCAGTTGGCTTCAAGGAACTTCAGGAGGGCATTGTGCTCTGGGGAGGCCCTGGGGAAGTGTTGAAATGTGACCAATATGATCTTGAGAGATCAAGCTTGAGAAAACCATGTGAACTGGAACTGACCAGGCAAGCTGATAAAGGTTGTCTCTTCTTTAGTCTTTTGGGAAGCTGTTATGTATGTTTTTGTGTGGTTGATAAGTAAGAAAAGATATTTGGAGTGTAACTTTTAAACACCAAATAACCTGAATGCAGATGACCATGAGCACTTATATGAGCAGTTTTATCTGGTGATAATGTAATTGTCCCCAAGGACTTTGTCAAGCCCTGCAAGACAATCAAGTTAGCAAGCACATCCCACTGGAAGGTGATCCTAGAATGGTTAGTGATTCCCTTTTTACTTTCCTTACAGAATGATGAGTTTGAGTGAAGCTAAGGGGAAAGACAAAGGGGAACTGATATATATATATATATCCAGCGTAATATATTTCTTTCCTGGCACTGTCTCATTTAACTATAAAGTTTACTTTGTTAACCCAATTTTACTGATTAAAAAATGGAATCAGAGGTCAAGCAATTTACTCAGCTTGTCAAGAGAATGAACTGTAAATAGAACCCAAGAAATATTCTGAAATACATACTCTTTCTCCAAAGTGGTAACCACTTGTTCTTGTTGATATAAAGGAATTATGATTTAATACAATGTTGGTCTATGCAGACTTTCCTCCAATGGACATTTCGAGCTTAAGAAACATATTTGTAAGTGGCTTTTTAATCTTCATTTCCATTCCACGGTAGAAACCATATTTGGATCCTTCTAGAATTCAGAAGGGTGGCACAGGGAGTGGTGTATGGAAAGCAGAGTGGAAATCACATCTGGGAGGACTGAGGTCTGAGTGGGGTGGGACAAAGGCACTTCTGGTCCCCTACTCTGGAGTTTCCTGGAAAGGATCTCTGGAGTTTGGATGAAGTTTAGCTTGTGAATTTGTGGTGTATGGTAACAACTCGCAGGGTTACCAACAGATGGTGAGAAGGAACTGAGAGGAAATTCAGAGCATGTACTTGTTATAGAGTCAGTGAGTATGAGGAGGGCAGGGAAATCACTCAAACTGAGTGACTGAATTAGATAGCATAAACAAACATACTGTTGTACCATGAGAGGAGGGGATAGGGAAAGACAATTTAGGTGTCAATTAAAAAAAAAAGCACTTTTGACAAACCCAGCTGTGCCTCTTGCAGTGAGATATGCTAGTCCCACACCCATGCTAGCATTTTTCACGGTAAGTGCTGGATTCCTTGCTCAGGGTTTGGATGCCTGCAGCCTCTGCTTCCCGGCCTTCTGCAAGCTCCACCTGCTCCAGCGGCCTCTACAGGAATGGAAAGAAAATTGGTCGGAATCCACTGCTGGGTCCTGGAATCAACTTCCCAGTTTCCAGACAAGAAACTCTGGAGAAAACAAGTGAATCTCTCTCAAGCCTTGGCACACACTGTACACCATCTCGTAATCGCGAAAGTTATCACCATGTTGGAAAAGCCCACGCCCTTCTAATTGTGCAACCTCTGTAACTGCCCAGACCATAACACTTTCCCTAGTTCCACGCCCCATGCTTGAGTGTGACGGTACCACTGTTAAGTCTTGCCTTTCCAAGCTCCCACTTTCTTTGCTGACCAAGTGAGACCCAAATTGCTGGACTCCGCACCTCTGCGGTCCCGGCACTCTTTGACCTTAAGAATCAGAAGCTCAGGCAGGGGCTTTTCTGAAGGAAGAAGTTTGGTTGGATCCATCCCCTCGCTGCAAAAGCCGAGGAATTCTGAAGCAATGCAGGATGTTTCCCCTTCCATCAAGAAGTTTCCAGTATCGCCGGATACATTTAAATGGCAGCCTAGAATAATCTCGTGCTAAGGATTTTGTTCCTGACCCAGGTTGAAGCGGAGGAGAGGGTGTAAAGGATGCAACTGCAAGTGTTCAGCTAGTTTCACAAGGTGCTTTGTGGCCTACTAGCGCCGGGATCGTCGTTCTGTTGGCCCCGAGGCTGGACAGAATTGATTCCAATGGATGGAGTCCCAATAGTTTTGAACTGGAACTGGCTCAAATTTCCATTTCAATTACAGAGAGGAAGAGATAGATTAGACCACCTACCCGAGATTATTTCCCCTGCCCCACTCCTTTCTTAAGACCGGATCTCCCTGTTACATTCTTCTAAGGGCACCGACTATACCCTGGCGGGGCACTCCAGGACCCCTGGGTTGGGACAACGTGCTGTAAAGAAAATAAGTGAAAAGGTTCTTCAGTGAACTCTTTTTATACAAAGAGCCGTAGATTCCGATATCCAGGCCAAACTCTCCAAAAAGCCCTCCTTTCCTCTGGGGCAAGGGTGGGAGGTTGCCCGGGGGGGTGGGTGGGGGGTAGGTTGGATTACCCAGATAATTGCTTCGGCTTTCGTTTTCCTCCGCGATAAAAACCGCGCCACGCCAGATCGAGATACTCTCATAGTGATTGTGAATCAATCGCCATCCTGCTCTAGGGGCTGATGTTGATGTCTTAAGTAGTTATTCACACGTGCAGCAGAAAGGCTTTTTTTTTTTTTTTTTTTTTTTTTTTTTTTAAACAAGGCACGACTGCTCACCTATTCAGGTTTGCTTTTTTAAAGCTTCGATCAACACGACGCTCCCTGGTAATTCCTATGGCTGTACTGAAATTTAACCCGTCTGTTTCTAATACAAAGCGCTCGGGATGAGGGCGGGTGGAGCCTACGGGCGTGGGCGGGTAGCCCAGCCCTCTGAGCCAGGGAATGAAACTGGAGTTCTGGCTAAACTTTTCAGAGAAAGGCAAAAGCAGCTTCTGATGGGTTTTTCGGCTGGGAGGGGCGGAAAAATTAGGCAGACCCGGAGCTCCCGTAGGCTGAAAAACTTGCTCCTCTTCCCCCTCGGGCTATCCTGGCCTAGTAATGGAGATCTGAAAAAAATCTAGACTTCTTTCGGGGTCTAAAAGGTAGATATGTGGGACGAAAAAAGTAATTGTCCTGGTTTCTTAAAAAGCACCAAAAAGTGGGAATGGAAGAGAAGACGGGAGAAATTGTTTCGAAGGAGGAAGGTATTGCAAGTTTTGTGCAAGTTTGGGTGGGTCATCTACCCAGGCGCGCGGGGAAAGATGTGTCTGCCACACCTTTTGCGAGCCCAGGAAACTTGAACCGCTCCTGAAAATCCTGATATTTTTTCCCGCTGCAGCCCGCACGGGTCAAGCGCGCGGGGGCTGACCAACACTTTCCAGGTCAGGTCGAGTTGATTGCTCCCAGCTCACGCTCCGAAATGCGGTGCTGAACCACGGGAAGGAGGGGGTGGGGAGGAAGGCAGGCAGTTGCATCCTCGCGAGTGGGGAGTGCGAGGCCTCCTCAGCTCCAGCCAGCTGGGTGAATGGGGCGCGCACGGCCCCGTAACGCCGAGCGTGGATAAAATATGCTAGGACTGCGCTTCTCCGGCTCATCAAGGCTGCGGGAGCCTCCCCGAGCCATCATCCTTCGTAATTGCAACCGTCAATCAACACTTTAAGACAAAGTCAGAACCGGGAAGGGCGAGCCCTGGAGACCTGTCTCGTCGGAAAGAAGGAGGTGGAGGGGAGGTGGGGGAAAAGGAGAGAAGTTTGCCAGAAGTTGGCAGAGGGAGTGCAAAGAAATTGAGAACGCGCAAGGTAGTTGAGCAGAGCTGTCCCCCGGTCTCACCACAGACTCCCAGGCCTCCCGGGTTCTAGTCTCTGGTCTCCGCCACCAGTTACAATTCCCGCAGCGGTAAGTACGGGGTGGGTTCCTAAGTGTGCTTACACTAAGAGGTACAGTGGCAGTTGCTAAGATGTCCCCGGCGGAGGATGAGATGCGTCTGTCCACCCGCGGTAGGTGTATTTATGGGTCAGTGCAGACCACCGCTGGCGCCGGCGTTTAGACCACACAGACCCGGTTCCACCTACTTACATCTCAACTGCTTTCCCTTCCCGCAGCCACTTGGCTGTCTTCATATTGTGGCCTCGGGAACCCAGAACCATTCTCAAATAACCCATCTTAGACACCGCAAACTCGGGTTCCTCCTCCCACAGCTTCCTTTCGGAGAGGGCTTTCTGGGGGACGCCCAGACCCGTCCAAGGTCACTGAGCTAGCGGGTCCCCGGCTTCAACAGGGGTCCCTTGCCCAGCAGAATTGAAGGGTCAAAGGACCAGAGTGAGTGCTCAGAGGGAGGAGGGAGTTCTGAGGGAGAAGAAAGGGTGCACTTGGAGGGCAGTAATGAGCTTGACGCTGGAAGCCTGGTGCCGCCGCCCCTGCCTCTGCCTCTTGGATGGAGACCCAGCTGCTTCCTTAAATCCCTTGCAGAGCTACCTGAGGAAGGTTTGTGTGCCCTCGGGTCTCTGGCAAGAATCAATTCCAGTGGAAGATTCCTTGCCTTGTCCACTGCTGGCGGGGATCTTGACATCCTTCCAGGGGATCTGAAATAGGGCTGCCCCCAGGGAGCGTTTCCCATCGTCGAGTTAAAGGCCTGGAGCGCCGAGGGCTTAGGCTTCTGAGCTAGGAGTTCCCTTGGTTCTTAGGAAAGGTCGTTTTCTCTCGCTCGAGACTTTCTGCTCTTTCAGTCCCCCTCCATTTCGCTGCTACGCTTAGGTTTTGGCCTGGACTAGACTTTCAAAGCAAAGGAAAGGGCTTCCCTCCGTGATACAAGCTCCTGCGTTAATTTTTTAAAGCATGGATTTTTAAAACCCAGTCCCCAGCCACCGTTCCCTCCCGCACCCCTCCCATTTTGTGAGGATTTTTCTTTCCTGGAAAGTCCACCTGTGGAGAGATAAATGAGTGCCAGCTGGCCTTTTGCCACCACCACTCTCCATCTTTCGGGGATGTGGTGGGAGGGTAGACTGGCATGGACCAAGAAGTCGCTAGTGTGGCCTAAGCAAGTCCCTTCTGGCCCTGGCAGCTGGCGTTATGAGCATGGTCACAAAGCTTGTCTCACTAGGTCAGCCTCAGCCTCAGGTTCAGCCTCAAGCCAAGGCAGGGTTTCTTGATACACTACAATTTCAAGGTCCTGTCAGACCCTCTTTCAACTTCTTTCAACTCTCCTAACTTCCCCCGGCTTCACCAAGCAGAGGTGAAATCACCACCACACACTAGGGGTTGGAGGTTTCCTCTTAGGACCAAGCGTTTGGAGTCCTGCATCCTTGCCATGCTAGGGTCTGGGAAAGGTGCTGTATCATAAGTGCACCCATAAATTCTTCGCATTGCTGTGGGAGGAGGTTCTTCTTAATTAAGGCTTTGAAATAAACTGATTTTCAAAGTTCACGAGCAAAGCAGGGCAACCACTGCAGTGAGCCCTGAAACTGACTCCCTTTCTTTATTTTCTTAGTTCTCAGTGATACTTAAAACAACTAGGAATACTGAAATGTAGTGACAGTGATACTTGATACTATCACAAAAATTGGAGCTTTTGGCAACTTCAGCCCACTTCTCCATACAAACTAATGGACAGGCCTTCATAAGTTTAAATGTTTCCACGAAACCTGAAGTTGCTACTAAAGCTGAAGTCTAAATAACTTTGATCCTGAATATATATTGAAGAGCAAAATGACAAATCAATTAAGAGTCAGTAGTACCTGAATTGCCAGGTGTGGGTGGGTGATGAACAACCCATTTTATGTACATTATGCACTGCAAAGATTGGAATAATTTCCAAGTCACCAAATACCGGATTGGGCAGTTTCAATGTGTAATCTCTATACCATTCAAATAGAATAAACTTAGATCTTTTGAGATTCAAATTCACCCCCTTGTGGGTGGACTCTGATAATTACTTCGTTGCACAGCAGATTCTAAATATGAGGCATTTCGCATGCAGTCAGGAGGCTGGAAAGAATGTTTTTCATCTTGTTGGGAGGAGATCTGAAAACTTTGAAGATGCGGCTGGGCTGGTGGTCGAAGAGCTTGCGTAACAGATGGTTCTTTAAAACATTTTTTAAATGCTGGGCCTCGGCCTCAAGTGGATGGTCCCATCAGACAACAGAATGAAAAAGTACAGCCTGGACTGATCCTTGTATTCCGTGTGGAAACACAGGTCACTAAAACTGGAAAGTCTGTCGCTTAGATGATCTTGGGCTCCAGTCGAGGGTCTTTTAAAAGTGAACGAAGGGACTAGGGAGCAGACTGGGGAAAGAGGAGTCGCTGCCCCTTCCTCTAATTCTATGAGTGAGCTCTTGGCTTGTGGCCCGCCTCTCATTGAGCTGACCCTCGGCCCCTTCAGGGCGCCGGGGCCCACGTGTCGCCTCTTCAGGGTCTCAGTGCCCTGGGGAGTTGAAGCTGGAGGACCCTTGACCGCAGACCAACTCTGCATGTAAGAACGGTCAGCTAAATTTTCTCCTTTCAATGGTTTAAGTGGGTGTTTAACTCCCTTCATCTCCTCATCCGACACACTAGCAAGGGCACACGCCCACCCGCGCCCCCATCCCTTCTTCTTGCTTCCCCTCAGATCGAGGAAATTGCCGCTCTGGCTGCTTCTCCTTCGCCGCCACGCTCAGACAGAGGTCGCTTCTGACTAGCTGTAAGACCCGGCTGCATTTACATCCCCCCGCCCCGGGCCAGGGTGGGGTGGGAGGGGGTGAGGCGGGGTGAAGAGGTTGGGGCAGGCCGGGGGACTGGAGCCTGAGCCTCATCCTTATTGGCTGGCGGCTAGTGTCCGACCTGAGTCCGGAACCCGCGTCCGCATTCACTGTCTTCACCCCTCAATCCAGCCTTCCCCCAACCCCTGGCCCTACTTACCTCCTTCTCCCCCTCGTCTTCCCCCCTGTCCTTCCCAGCACCGTCACCCTCGGGGCTGGGAAGGGCCGTTCTCGGTCCCGCGCGGGGAGTGGACCAGGCAGGAGAGGGAGGTTGGAACTTCACAACTCCACACTTGCGATAGTGAGCAAGAGAGAGGCAGAGAGAGATAGGGGGAAGGGGCGGAGAGGAGGGGAGAGAGAAGGGAGGCGAGAGAAAGAGGAGAGAGACCCCTGCCGATCCTGAGCCAGAGGGCGGTGGAGGGAGGGGAAGGAGTCGCCCGAGCCGTCCGGGAGCAGTGGCAGCGGCACAGCCGGGGCGGCAATAGCAGCCCCGCGGTCGCCTCCGCTGCCCGCCGGGAGCTCGGCGGTTCACGGCTCCGCGCCCCGGGCAGCTGCGTCCTCGCCACCGCCGCCGCCTGCGCCCTTGCGGAGCCGAACCAGAGGGCCGGGACGCTGTCTTCCTCGCCTCCTTTTTTAACCCTGACCTCCTCCTCGCAGCTTGGGGGCGGCTCCGGAGCTGCGAGACCGGACAGGGCTCAGAGGTCCTGCCCGGCAGCCCCGAGGAGGCGGAGGCACGCTCCGGCGAGGCGAGAGGGTTGGGTTAGCAGGCATCCCGGTCGCCCCTTCCTTCTTTTCGCCGGAGTTGAATCTGTGCTGCCCGTGTCCAGGTGCTGGGCTTCCGGACCGACACGGATCCCCCATCCCCGCCCGCGGTCGCCTTGTCATGCTGCCCAAAGTGGAGACGGAAGCCCTGGGACTGGCTCGATCGCATGGGGAACAGGGCCAGATGCCGGAAAACATGCAAGGTAAGGAGGCGCCGCGCGGCGCTCCGGCTCCCGCTGCTTCCCCACCCCCGGGCTCGCCCTGCAGGCTTCAGCCTCCCGCCCCGCGCGGGCGCGGGAGTAGCCCCGCTGGGCGCTCGCAGCCGCGGGAGTCAAGCCCCCTCCCCAGGTGCAGGCATAAAAGTTTATGGCTCTTGAACAATGCGGGGCAGAGGTTTTTCCAAGCAACGTCTAATTGGCCGCTTCTAATTAAGGAAAGAGAGGCTTCCAGCTCTATGGCAACCCAAGCAGGGCAGCTTCAGGCTAAAGGTACTTTAGAATAATAAGATCATTCTAAGAAATGGAATGTCTCACTGGACACCCGAACAGGTTCTCTGTCATTGGAATTGGTGTGTACTGTACTTCAACCAGTACTCTTGTGTGGAGGGAGGCGACCCAGTCTAGGAAAGTCAACTACAGAAAGAGGTGACCTCCGAAAGGATTGTCTTAGCGCTATTAGAATACATGTGACCACACCAAAAGCCCAGGCGGACACCCGCAGCCAGCTCGGATTTGGACAATTCAACATTGCTGGCAGAACTGAAGGGAACAAGTTACCCCAACCCCATCCCCTGTACGCGTAGTGCTGAGTGAGTTGGGGGTGGGAGGACAGCGGTTCGTTTATTGCCCCCTTTTAAAATCTGAGATCTGAAAATATGGAGGTCCCATTCGTTTTCCCAGCTCTTGATTGCCAACAAAAAAACAAATCCCGCTGGCTACATTTTCTCCTCATTCCAAAATAGCAACCCTATGGCTTGTATTAAGCCCTTCAGAAGTTTATCTCATTTGCTCTGGGCCAGGGAGGGAACAATGCTAGGAAAAGTCACCGGTGCTCTTCCATCCTCGCCCCTTCCAGGGTGCAGGATGTGCGGGCCGGCGGGCCTGTGATCCCGGAACGCTTCCTGCCATCCCCTTGCGCGAACTTGAAAGGACTGGGAGGTGTTGAGAGCAGAGTTCAGGGCTGGTGCACTCTGCGGTGCTGAGTGGGCGGCGCGCCCGGGCGCTCAGGCCGGGGGACCTGTAGTCGCCCTACCGCGGAGGGGAAAATACGTAGCTGGAGGGCGTGCGCCGTGCGGGTTGTGATCCGTTACCCCATCGGTCATCCTGGGGTCTCCCCAAGCCTCTAGGTAGGGCTGTGAGAGTCCCCTAGAGCTGAAGCCCCGGAGGCTGACCTGTGGGTCTGGCTGCTATGGGAACCCGGTTGGTCCAAAGAAGCCTTTCTTCCGGGCACCTGGAATTCCAGTTTAGTGTGGGGCATCGGGGAAGTGGCGCTGGGGGGCTGGGTTGGGGGACCTCAGCCGGCAGCTCCGGAGAGGGCCTACCCTTGGGGTCGCTGGGTGAGGCCGGCACGATTCTTGGCTCCAAAAGGAAAGTTTCTGCTTCTTGTTCTGGCGCGAGAAGCCAAAGACTTATTTTGAGAGCGGAGAGAGAAATGTTATTGGTAACGTTTTCTTTGGAAAGTTCGAGAGGGGTCTTCTGGACACACTACCTAGTGCCCCCAAACCAGAGAAGTAGTTTTTCTTTGGTGCCTGGGCTCAGAAGTCGCCACTCACTCAGCCCATGGTTCGAAATCAGCATGGGAAGCGCCGGGGCAAGGCTTCGTCGGAGACTAGAGGCCTGCCTGTCGGGAGGAGCCCCTGGGGGATGGGGACCCCATTCTCCTGCTTGCTCTGGTTCCCACCTGGGACGCCTCCGTAGGAGCCCAGAAAGACGATCCACTACATGGTCCCGGGACAGAGCAGCGCGCCCAACTTTGAGGGAACTTTGTGCGCCTCTCTGAGGCCCTAGCTTTCCAAGGCACCGCCGTCCGTTCTTCTTTCCCTAGACCGAAACTGGGGAAGAGTGTGGGCGCTTCTTTGCCCCGATGAGTTCGCCTCCCCAAACGCCTACTTCGGCTGCACCAGAGCATCTGGGAAACTCTGAAAGGTGCCCAGGCCTCACACAGCAGCGTCTCCCTACTCAGCCTCTGTCTTTGGGTTTTTTCAAGAGAGTCTCTACCTCATGCCTCGGTCTTTCTTCGATGTCGGGTCCCCGAGGTAGGCACGGAGTCCCTCTGAAAGCAGTTGCCTATCTGTGCCCCTTTGGTGTAAAGTTAGAGTTTACTTTGTTGGGGGAAGGGGAGGTAGAAAAGATCACAGTTGGGAAAGTGCGCTTTTCGCCTTGTTCCTAAAACATGCCTCAAGACTGTCATCGCGATTGTTAGGAGAGCTATCAACGTCTAGGGGCTATAAAGGAATTTCTGAACCCTCGGCCCTTCCCAAACCCCCAGGTTCCTAAAACCCTAGTGGGGGTCTCTTGGGGCTGGGATTCAGGCTGGCACCGCTGGGAGGACCTCGCCTAGCATCCCTTTATTAATATTTCACGAAGGCAGGCTCCTGCCTTCTCTGGAGCCTCTTTTCTCGGAATGTTCCCAAACTCTGGCTAACTCACTCCCCTGTGAGCCATCCTAGGGCTCTGTGGCCCGGGAAGAGACGCGTCAACTCCGCGGGTCTGCGCGCAGTCCTTAGCCGCAAAGTGCTGCAAGTGACCCCCCTGACGGCCCTTTCCGACCGAAGAGCTCGGGAACCAAAGAGAAAAAAAATAACTTTATTTTCAAAAGAACAAGTCATCACTGCGGCGATACTGTGGCGGAGGACTTTGGCGATGGGGTGGGGGCTATTTCTCTTTCCTTTTTGGTAAACAAATCAGAGGAAACTTCTGCCCGGCCGTGGCTTTCCATCCCCCACCTGCCCCACCCCCTGCAAACGCCACTGATTAACTTAAAACAAACTCGGCTGCGTGTTTGTGCGCCGTTGGGTAGCAGGAGGTAGAGCCTAGGCGAGAGCCTGGTGCGCCCACGGGTTTCGCCGAAGAGTGCCCGGGGGAGTGCGGGCAGGGTCCCGGCTGCGCAGACCTGCGGGTGCCCGCCCACCCGCGCCCCGCGCTCCCATACTTGACCTGTGTGGATGTGGAGTCTCCGGGAAATACCGGATCAGGCACTTCCTGGGGTCTCCTGGTCACTGCCCTTCCTGTGCATAGTTTGTCATCTTTTTAGCTGCGAAGACGCCTTCGTGGGTCTGCGTCCGGAGCAAGGCGGTTACCCGATCCCGGCAGTGAGCCGCGCCGCGCGTCGTGGCGGCCTGATTTCTGTTTAACTTTAATAGGGCGATCTCGAGGTGTTTATATTTTGCTATGATGATCGGAAACATGTGAGGTTCATTACAGGGCTTCAATACTTTGAAACCAAAACCCTTCTGTGTGTCTTTTACTCTTCTGGTATTTTTCCCCGTACGGGCGTCCTCTATTTTCTTTTTCCTTCTTTTTATTTTCACAGATTTTCAAACGTAAGGAGATGAAAGTATCCAGAATAGAAAAGTACTGTCAATACGGAACTGAATGTTTCGATTATCTAACAGATCTGAAAGTTGGGAGCCTCAGGCTGTTTAGTTAAAGTGGGCTGCTGCTGAGAAGCGGGTTTCTGGGGCTTCAGTTTCTCTGTCGGACAGAGTTTGCAAATTGGTGCTGCTGTCCCTGTAAGCAAGGTGCACTTGCAGCAAACCACTTCAAGAGGGAGGGAATAAAGCCTGCGCTTGTTTCTCTACCTTAGGCGAAGGTGACATTTTGGAATTTAACTTCATAGGGATTTAAAAGAAATTCTAAACTGTCACCTTATGCAATTCATGTCTCTATTTGTTGCTTTGTGGAGTTATGAGACTTGTGTTTAAAAGCGGTCAGTTTAAAATGTTAACAAAAGAAGTTGGAATTGTTTGTGGCACATGGAATTATATGAGGTCCATGCTTATTGATGACAAAAGATGTTTTACTTGTAAAAATAGTTCAGTAAGACCTTGCTAAAAATTGTTTTTATTTTATATTTTACCATGTGATATTTGCCCAGCAATCACCAAAATGCTTTTTGTTGCAGGATTAACACCTACATGTAAATTAATTGAATATGTGTATACATTTCTCTTTTTGTTTCAGTGTCTCAATTTAAAATGGTGAATTACTCCTATGATGAAGATCTGGAAGAGCTTTGTCCCGTGTGTGGAGATAAAGTGTCTGGGTACCATTATGGGCTCCTCACCTGTGAAAGCTGCAAGGTTTGCTCACACATTGCTACCTGAAAAATATAATGTCCAACACCAAAATAAACCAGTGGATTACTTCTTTTAAGCTAAATTTAGGCTCCTTTTTTAAAGACTCAACTAAAAATGAGGGAGAAAGAGAGAGTCTTAGGGAGATGATTCTTAGAAGTGTGTGTCTGATTTAGTTCAAAAGGCAAAGAAATTTATGCTGTTTAGAAAACTTTGCCAGTCTCATGGTTCTAAAATACTTTATTGTAGTAAAGTGATATAGCTGTAGAAAGACTTCCATTTCTAACAGTCCTAAATATTGATTTTGCTTGACTTATATATATTTAAAGCATCGTTGTTCTTGAAAGGGAATATGACAAACTATTTCCCAAATACATTTTAACTTCAGAGTATTTCTGTGCTATAAGTCTAAACATTCTTTATCCACAGACATAAAAGCCTAAATTCCCAACTGTGTGATTTCATCTTGATTTATTCCAAAATAATTTTAAGGATTTTTTGAAATTTATATCATAAAGACCAAGAAATCAGATTTTAGTTTTTAATATAATAATTTTTATAAATATATGACCTATTTAAGTGCATGGATTTTAATATGTAAAATATGCTATATTGTTACCAAAAATATAAATTATACTTTAAGAATTTATCTCAGGACTTTTTAATACATTCCCAGTAAATTCAATATTCACTATTTTTCAAAGTTTTTTTTGTTTGTTTGTTTTTGTTTTTAAGTGGAAAACTCAGTACAATTACTTAAACCACCACCAGGAAAATCCCTCCATTCTCTATAACAAAGTAAGAATGTTTCTCTTTGTGGCAAGTGGGTTAAATATGAATACTATCCTGGTAAATCTCATATTATAAAGCTACACATTTTATTTTTGATTAATTCTTTTATATAAAATATAAGGAAAGCTCATACCCTGTGTGCTACAATTCAGCTATCTGTGATACATGCTTTTTCCTTCCATTAGTTTTGCCTTTTTAAGAACAGTTCCCATACTTGAATGTATTCCAGTGGAATTATGAGCATTTTCCCATTTTACTCTTTAAATCCTTTTGCTTTTAACTATCCAGTGTTGACATTTGTTAAAAAAAAAAAAAAATCTGAGGTGTTTTGCTATTCAGTTTTTTCCACTGGCATTTTGCAATGGTTTATCACTGAAATTATATCAGACTACTTAAAAACAATGCCAGGACTTCATGAGTACCTCTATCAGGAACATGTGGGATAATAGGAAAATAGATTAAAAAAAAATTTATCTATATAGAGTGTATTTTTTCTGACTGTTGGGATAAAATGGTGGGTAGCCAAATCTCCCCAGGATTTGACGTAATTCTTCAAGAATAAAACTGATGCCAGAAAAATCTCCACCATGGCCTGGCACAGTTTGGGAAGGTTGATGTTGCTGAAATGTAAAATAAACCACAGAACCACATAAGGGCTCAAATAGTGCAATGAGAGGATTTACTGGTGATTTTCTTAAAATGAAACAATGGAAAAGACGGGTGTTAGATTTATAATACGTCTCACTATTTTCTCTGTCTTATAGGGATTTTTTAAGCGAACAGTCCAAAATAATAAAAGGTACACATGTATAGAAAACCAGAACTGCCAAATTGACAAAACACAGAGAAAGCGTTGTCCTTACTGTCGTTTTCAAAAATGTCTAAGTGTTGGAATGAAGCTAGAAGGTAAGATTCTTCTAAAGACTACTGCCTATTAAAACTCTCCAAGGACATGAACTGTAAAACAACATTGTACTTATAGCATGGTAACATTATTTTCCCAGCATTTTAACACTACCGACAATACTGTAAGATCTTTCTATGTTTCATCTGCAGAATAGTCTGAGTCTCATTTAATCATGGTGAAATCTACTAGGAAAAAAATTTAAAATATTAGTTGTCTTTCCCCTGCCCACCCCCTTTTTTTTAGTCTGGGGAGCAGATGCATTAGACACAAAAAAGGGAAAAAGATCAGGTTATGAAAATAAGACTAAAGCAATCCAACTGAAAACAAGAATAATTTGTAAAACTATTAAAAGTAAAATATTCTTTGAGTTTTTAAATCAAGATACCCTTGGAAAAGTTTGATTTCAATTCTTTTTAAAAGAGGTGTGCTTGTCACAAGTGTTAACTACTAATTTCATGATTCTTAAGAGTTAAAGCCTTTAATGGTGAAAAGGAGTTTCTCATGTAGGATATTATCTTTGATAGTGTAGAAATGTATTTTTTTAAAAGATAATGACTGAGGCTGCAAAATAAAAAATTGAGAATCAGGAAACATGAAAAATAACGAACTATTAAATCATTAGCAAAGGTCTGAAAAGAACAAGAAAGTGGCTCCTGAAAAGCCACACTTGAACTTTGTTGAAAGAGCAGACCCTATACTACAATGTACAGATTGGCAGGCAGTAAAGTTAATATGTGACTGCTGTAAATAATTTGTAGTTCATGGACTACTATGGTATGTTGCTGCTTTCTAGCCTCTGACCTGCTTGCTTTCCATGGATTAAATATACTGCAAATAAAGCAATAACAGGGATACATATCACCGATGGTGCTAGATACAAGAGTGCATTTTATTTGATCAATGAGGCACAGGCTATTTTTATTTGGAACTTTTCTGTTATATGGAACTCATACTTGATAGAAATACTAAAAAAAAAAATCATATAAATCTGCTGAATAGCTAACACGCTTCTTCCGAACAGAGGTAGCCACTTTGGTTATTATGAGGACTGTTAATGTCAGTATCATTTTTAAGAGATCATGAAAGGAAATAATTGATGCTTATTAATTTTCTTATTACCAATCACTATTATTTCCCAAATAGCAAAATATTGTGGTAGATGCTTACTACATACAGTAAGAGACTCAGAAGATAAGTAAATGTTGTGATTTTGCATGATGTCATTTAATTCCTTTTCAACAAAAATAATAAGGCTGCATTTCTTTACCTTAAATAATTAAACTTTCTTTTTTTTAAGTTAAGCTTTCACAATTGTAAATCACTTGTGGTACATGCTCATGCTTCCTTAGGAGTGATATGAAACAACTGAATATTCAATAAATTATCATCCAGATGAAAAACTCTTTATAATCTTGTGCAATATTCTGTATACTTAGAATTTACAATAAATTTTTAATGTGATACTAATCCAAGATAAAAAGCTCAAAAACTTAACCTCCAGCAAGTTCAATATGTCACAAGCTATCAGAGGTCTCTAGTTTCTGTCTAATTGCCATTGGCCACTATGGACTTAGAGGGAACTGCTAACTAACTTATTAGTCATGGCCGCAGACTCCACACACCACTGTCGCAGAAGACTCTCTTGACAGCTTCTGAAATGAATTTGTTTTAATTATGTCCAATTCTACTTAAATTAAAAGCAGTAACTGGTGGTCATCTGATGTGGGCTCATCAAGTCCAGGTGAACATGATTTTCCAAGAACATGTCCCCACCCCTTTTGTTATTGCAACAAGGTGGCCAAAATGGCTTTCAGGGAGGAAGGTATCTTGTGGGAAAGTATTCACAATTTAATCCAAAATTGGGTAACTCAGTTCCACACCCCTGCAAAAGAAAACCCCAAAGCAGTTTGGGTTTCCATAAGGAACTGGCATAATAAAAGCATATACTCTTAGTAGAACGACTGATACTCTTTCTTAGCAATGTGAAATATTTCTTTTCTTTTTTTTGAGACAGGGGTTTCACTCTTGTTGCCCAGGCTGGAGTGCAGTGGTGTGATCTTGGCTCACTGCAACCTCCACTTCCCGGGTTCAAGCGATTCTCCTGTCTCAGCCTCCTGAATAGCTGGGATTACAGGCACCCACCACTACGCCTGGCTAATTTTTTGTATCTTTAGTAGAGATGGGGTTTCATCATGTTGGCCAGGCTGGTCTTGAACTCCTGACCTCAGGTGATCCACCCGCCTTGGCCTCCCAAAGTGCAGGGATTACAGGTGTGAGCCACCGCACCACGCCTATGTGAAATATTTCTATGTCTAACAAAAATTATGAACTCTCCTCCATCCACAAAAGGGTTAATATGTCCCTATGTGGCCAAAGTATTTTTTTGATGACGACACACACTTGGAGGAAGGAATTCATAAATAAAGAGGACATGGTTTTTTGGGAAATCTTTGTGGGCTATTGTAACGAAAACAACCACACACATACCACTTCTTGTCGATTTACATTTCTAAATATCTGAAGAATGCTAATAATTTGCACCTTATTTATACCTTTCCTTCCTTCCCCCCACCCCACCCCCAACAGCTGTAAGGGCCGACCGAATGCGTGGAGGAAGGAATAAGTTTGGGCCAATGTACAAGAGAGACAGGGCCCTGAAGCAACAGAAAAAAGCCCTCATCCGAGCCAATGGACTTAAGCTAGAAGCCATGTCTCAGGTGATCCAAGCTATGCCCTCTGACCTGACCATTTCCTCTGCAATTCAAAACATCCACTCTGCCTCCAAAGGCCTACCTCTGAACCATGCTGCCTTGCCTCCTACAGACTATGACAGAAGTCCCTTTGTAACATCCCCCATTAGCATGACAATGCCCCCTCACGGCAGCCTGCAAGGTTACCAAACATATGGCCACTTTCCTAGCCGGGCCATCAAGTCTGAGTACCCAGACCCCTATACCAGCTCACCCGAGTCCATAATGGGCTATTCATATATGGATAGTTACCAGACGAGCTCTCCAGCAAGCATCCCACATCTGATACTGGAACTTTTGAAGTGTGAGCCAGATGAGCCTCAAGTCCAGGCTAAAATCATGGCCTATTTGCAGCAAGAGCAGGCTAACCGAAGCAAGCACGAAAAGCTGAGCACCTTTGGGCTTATGTGCAAAATGGCAGATCAAACTCTCTTCTCCATTGTCGAGTGGGCCAGGAGTAGTATCTTCTTCAGAGAACTTAAGGTATGCCACCAGCTATTACAACTTACAGCACCCCTTTTAAGAGAGACCTAACTATGTTCCTAATTAATACATTCTTGGTGCTGAAAATATGTGTTCCTTAATTTTCTACTTTGTATGATTTACAGAGTAGACGTAATTTTATTACCTTGACTTCAGGACTGTGGCAGCTTAAATTTATGGGGCTTTGATTTTGTGTAGCTCTTAGTTTGGGGGGGCTGGCATTTAACATAAAGTATAGGAAACTCGGGCTTTTTTTTCTAAATAGTAGAATATCTGTATTCCTTTTAATTCAGATGGTTTGTGGCTTAAAACATTTCAAGTCAATGTGAAATAGCGCCTAGTAAACTATTTTTCTTGAAAATTACCATGTAAAGAGCTATATTATAATGGTGTCATCTTGAAGGTTTCTTTTGAAGGAAAAAATGCCAACATTTAGTAGTGTTTAGACTCTAAGGAATGAAAATGATACCACTGGTTAGTAGTATCAAGTAGGTATTTACTACTGTTTGCCTTGACATTAGGTTGGTAAAGCCTTTGTTTTCGTAGCAGATTCCAATAGGATGTTTACTGTCATTGGATGGGGAATGGGCAAATGGTGAGTGCTAGTTTACTTGGTTTGGGTTGTAGTTCTCATAATCTATGTCTTGTTGATTTTAGTGGACTGGTACATTGTAAACATAGTACTTGTTTGTATAGGGATCTATGTTTAAATTAATAATTATTTTATTTCCTGAAACTTAAGTCTGAATGAATGTGAGAAAGTTATTTAGAAGTTTGGAATCTAAGAGGGGCTACCAAAACACATTTGGTAGTCAGTGGTTTCATTCCTATTTTAAAAGTGAGTCTTGAATTTGATTTCCAAGTATATTTTGTCACAAAATCAATTTCTTCCTTTTGCTGTAACGGGGAGAGATGTGGCTGCTAAATATCTGTGACTTGTGATTACCTAGGACAGGAGATTGATTGTAAAATTTCTGAGAGAAGGAAAATGCAAAGCCGACTTTTAATTTTAAGAGTTACTGTTAAAAATCGTCTGTGTAAGTAGATGGTCTGGGGAATGTGGAAGCCACATGCAAATGGAAAATAATGCTTTCATAGCAGTCTACATTAAGCACTGTTCTTTGTACATGGAAGCAAAAAAGTTACCTGAACAGACCTAAATAAGTTGATAAAATTCCATCAGCACGCTGTTAAGACTGTGGACACATCCAGCTCTTTATTTCCACGTCCTTTATTGCTACGCTTAAAAATGGCTGAAGGATATCTCAGGCTGCAAAGGGCAAGCAGAATGCACTGCGTTAGCACAATTAGGCCAGATATTTTCCGAGTATGTGTTAGGGTTTGTAACCACTCTATGATAATCAGAACATTTTTCATGAAAAAACAAACCATGCAAACACTTTCCTGATATTCTTACATTCAAAACTGTGTCCTTAATCAAACAGGTAAAGTATTTGAAAATGAAAATTAAAATGATAATTTTAGATACTGTCGAAAGGTTAGGTAATGTAAAAATGAGGAAAACACAGACTTTTTACAATCAAATGAACTGCTTAATAATTATGTCTTCATAGGCAGGTTGTTAGATTCTCTGAGCCTTGGTTTTTCTCATGTGTAACTTGTATATGTGGTGTTTGTGGAGGAGTATTGGGAGCACAGATGTAACTACTTATATTGAGGAGGTTTTCAAAGGAAAATGAGAATATGCAGATAAAGCACCCAGTACCGGGAGTCTGGCATATACTACATACTCAGTAAAGTGTGGTGCTGTTTTAAATTGATATTACTGGGGCCGGGTGCAGTGGCTCATGCCTGTAATCCCAGCACTTTGGGAGGCCAAGGCGGGCGGATCACCTGAGGTCAGGAGTACGAGACCAGCCTGACCAATATGGAGAAACCCCGTCTCTACTAAAAATACAAAAAATTAGCCGGGCTTGGTGGCACATGCCTGTAATCCCAGCTTCTAGGGAGGCTGAGACAGGAGAATTGCTTGAACCTGGGAGGCGGAGGTTGCGGTGAGCCGAGATCTTGCCATTGCACTCGAGCCTGGGTGACAAGAGCGAAACTCCATCTCAAAAATAAATAAATAAATAAATTGATGTTATCACTGTTGTTTTATGAAAAATGTGCAGAATCTACATAATTTTTATATTTAGGATCAAAACAATGCAATTATAGTCTCTTAGTTTAACATTGGCAAAAACTATTACATGTGTTATAGAGTAGTATGATTTTGTTATAATTAACAGTTATTAATCAGTACTAATTAAGGACCTAAAATTGGCCAAGGGGTAAGTTGGGTATAAGGTAAAAACAACGTTGAATAAAACAACATGTTTCCTCTCAGAGTTTATAATAAGACAGTTTCATAAATAATTATTTTAAAAAATAAAGACAGCCGCAGAGAATAAAAATATATTTTACAAATCAACAAGGAAAGAAATAATGCATATTATTTTCATGTAAAAAAGGAAACATGAAGTAAATACAGCTAGCGGCTGTAAGGCATTAAGAAGGCTGGGAAAACTTTTTCCACTATTCCTCTCTTTTCCCTCCTCTGTGGATAAATTTTACAGTGACTTCTTTATATAGCATGAGGTTAAATATTTGGCTAAAACATAAATATCTTTGAGAATGGGGCATATAAAAGCATTTTTCAATCAATTACGGTGTTGTTTAATGCATTTATCAGTCTTTCATAGAATACGAAAAAAGGAAAAGGGAAAAAAGTACAAACGTGAGGGTCGTCTACAAGGGGTGGGAGATGTTCCCAGAAGAGAAAGATAATTTTGACCCACTTCACAGTTTGCCTTGGGCTTACTTTGACCAGGAGTGATTCAAGTATTTTTTGGTGAACAAAGAGTAGAATTCAGAAAAACTTAAGGATAGTTTCAGTAGAGAGTTGGGAGGTGACTATTGACATTTGGAAGAATTCCTTTTCCTTTCGTTTATAAATTTACTTTGTCAGAAAGCAAACCAACTCATTTGAAGCCAGGATTGAGACATCTCTAGGGCTGTGGCTTTCAATTTTTTTAATCATGACCCACAGTAGGAAATGTATTTTATGGCAGGACATAGTGTACCAAACACATCACACGGGCGCACACACACAGAGATGCACAAACATACAAACACATACACACAACTAAACCAAAGTTTCACCAGATAGTACATAACCTACAAGCCACGCACTCTGATATTTTCTATCTATTCTACTTTAGTCTAATTTATTTCATGTTTTTAAAAAAATTCTGGTCACGACTCACTAAATTGATTTCACGGCCCATTAATGAGGCATGACCTGCAATTCAGGAAAACTTGCTGCTCTAGAGGAGGTTTTATCGGCCATCCATTGGCGTTGCCTACCTGCTACAATTAAGGATAATAACTCCGGAAAAAGGTCTCTTCCTCCTGGCGTGGCCTATAAGACATCTTTGAAACCCACAGCCTGAGTCCCCACCCTATCTTTCTGTAAAGGTTGTAATTTTAAAATATCATTTGGGAAGATAAATGCTCTTTTTTATTCAATTTGATTTTAATTATTTTTGTAGAGACAGGGGTCTCACTCTGCTGCCCAGGCTAGTCTCAAACTCCTAGGCTCAAGCAATCCTCCTGCCTTGGCCTCCTGAAGTGCTGGGATTACAGACAGGAGCCATTGTGCCTGTTTTATTCATTAAATATCTGTCCTTTTCCTTGGTAACTTCACAGCAAATTACCTATCAAGTGATATACTTATTGGACAGATTTTTTATACCTCTAAAACCCAAAGATGAAAAATCACATATTTGCTCCTAATTAGGCAATTTTGAAATGACCTCTTTCTCACTCTCTTTTTTTTTTTGAGACGGAGTCTTGCTTTGTCGCCCAGGTTGGAGTGCAGTGGTGCGATCTTGGCTCATTGCAAGCTCCGCCTCTTGGGTTCACGCCATTCTCCTGCCTCAGCCTCCTGAGTAGCTGGGACTACAGGTGCCTGCCACCACGCCGGCTAATTTTTTGTATTTTTAGTAGAGACGGTGTTTCACCGTGTTAGCCAGGATGGTCTTGATCTCCTGACCTTGCGATCCGCCCGCCTTGGCCTCCCAAAGTTCTGGGATTATAGGCATGAGCCACCGCACCCGGCCTACCTCTTGCTCACTCTCTCAGGACAAATTACACTCTCTACCACATAGGAAAAAAAGAGAATTTCATTTGTTTACTAGTTAAGGGAACAGAAGGGCCAGGAAATTTGGTAGGTTGTTTTGTTTTTCTATACATCTACAAGGTGCAAAAAAAGGTATTCTGGTTTTCATTCAAAAGATTGGAATGAAAAAGAAGAAGTTACAACTCCCCAACTCTCATAGAAACCGTGGAATTTCAGAGCTGGAAGATGAAAGGGAAAAGGGCTAGAGGACACATATAAGCGAGCTGCTTTGTTTTTTTAACACACTTGTAAAGGACAATTCTGGTCTTCATCCAAAATAATGGCTTGAGAAAGATGAAATTAATACTCTGAAACTTGTAGCTTTTGCAACAACAGATGTGCATCAAAAGATACTCATTGCCTAGAAATCACAAGGTTTTTCAGAGCTAGAAGAGATCACTGAGATCATTTGACCCTACCTCTTTTTACATATGAAGAAACTGAGGCAGAAGGGAATGTAATCTGCCCAAGATTATCCAGCTACTGAATGGCAGAACTGGGACTGGTAGATTCAGGTTCAAAGAAGCAGTCCTCTTGTACGCATTCCCTCATCCCCCCCAGCATGCACACGCACACACACACACACACACACACACACACACACACACAAAGAGGCAGTGTAATCTTTGACTCCAAAGAAAACAGTCCTTTGCCAGTGAAGCTAAAGCAAATCTCTAGGTTATCAGAAGCCCATCACTACCATCCAATTACCAAATCACTAATAATCAGTGAGACAGATTTTCCCTGAGTCCAGATGACCCCGTGGGAGTGAATGAGTCACTTTAAAAAGCTACAATAATTCTTTCAGGCCACTGGGGTATCATTCAGTACAGTGGATTCAGCACTTCTGGGCCTTGAGTTTCTGAAGCATTCTCTAGTGCCCTACCCTCTGCGGATAGTTTACTCTCCAGGTGAATCTGGTTCAGTGACGGCATATGGGCTGTGCTCTGCCGTTAAAGCGGCCAAACACGATTATATCCTGTGCTCTACTAGAAGCTGGGCATGTTCAGTATGGGTTTCTTGTTACGTATGCTTGTCGAGATAGCAGAAAAAGAATGCAGGGAGCTCACTTTGGCAGCATATACAATAAAATTGGAAAGATACAGAGATTAGCATGACCCCCTGCACAAAGATGACACAGGCATTCATGAAACTGTCCATAAAAAAGAGAACACAGGATGGTAACCGGGTGATAGGTGAGCCACTAATAAAATTTTCTGATCTTTAAACCAAATCTGTTGAGTGACCTATGCTCTTGACTGTTTCCTTGTGTTTTTAGAAATTAAGAGCTAATTCGAGACTTTTGTATTCTGCTGAAAGAGCTGTCCTTGTGAGTCAAGAAGATTGGCTTTTTTTTTCAGTTATTTTTTTTTTCACCTGTGTCTTGAATATCTCACAAACACAAGAGCAGTGAGAAAATAATTCCCACTTTGTTAAACAACTAATGAATCTGGAGGATCTATTTGATCTTCTAATGAGACCAGATGTCTTAAGAGAATTCTGGGAATGGATATATAAGAACTTCCCCTCGGTGAATGATTCTGATACATGTACGTATTAAAAAAAATCTAAATTAATCCTGACTGAAACTCCCAACTAGCATTTCTGTGGAAAATAGGTCTCAGAGACTCAGGGAGTTTGTGCCAAAGGAATTTAGCCATGCTGAAGTTGGTTTTTAAGTATAGCTTTATCTAAAGCGAGGGCACAAGGGGAGGAGCAAACCTTCTTTTTTCTCTAGCCAATTATGGAAGCTATCTGAGCAGCATTATTTATCTATTTTTAACATTCTAGATCCTTTTTCCTAAATCACAGTTACCTTTCCCAATGCAGGCCTATAATCTCAGACTTTATTGAATCTGCCCCAATTTTAAGCTATATTCTTTAGTAAATTTACTTAGTCCTACTTTTTTTTTTTTAAGACAGGGTCTCTCTCTGTTGCCCAGGCTGGAGTGCAGTGGCATGATCATAGCTCACTGCAGCCTTGACCTTGTGGCCTCAAGCCATCTTCCCACTTTAGCTTCCCAAATAGCTGGGACCACAGGCGCATGCAACCACGCTAGCTAATTTTTTATTTTTTGTGGAGATGGGATCTTGCGACGTTGCCCAGGCTGGTCTGGAACTCCTGGGTTCAAGCAGTCCTCCTACCTTGGCCTCCCAAAGTGCTGGAATTAAGGCATAACCCACTGTGCCTGGCAGCCCTACTTTTTTTTTTTTGTGACGGAGTTTCACTCTTGTTGCCCAGGCTGGAGTGCAATGGTGCAATCTCAGCTCACTGCAACCTCCACCTCCCAGGTTCAAGTGATTCTCCTGCCTCAGCCTCCCGAGTAGCTGGGATTATAGCGCCTGCCACCACGCCTGGTTTATTTTTGTATGTTTTAGTAGAGATGGGGTTTCTCCATGTTGGTCAGGCTGGTCTCAAACTCCTGACCTCAGGTGATCCACTAGCCTCGGCATCCCAAAGTTTACAGGCGTGAACCACTGTGCCCAGCCAGCCCTACTTTTCTATGGGAGAGAAAGAGAAACTGAGAGAGAGGATCCTGCTCGGTGTCTACCACATTTACTTGCCATATGGCTGTTCTTTGCCTTCTCCTGAGAGTTGGGGTCAGGAATCATGGGTCCAACACGAGCACTCCTCATTGCCATGTGATGTCACAGAGCAATAGCCACTTTACTTACCTTTGTTTTCACTTCTCTGGATGCAAAGTAGCTAATCTGGGAAGCACAAGGATGACACAAAGAAAATAAACATTAAAGTTTGTTTTCCAGTCAAATTTTTCAATGAATGAAAATTTTCCAATCAAAATTTGATCTCAAGGCACATTAAGCCATCTATTGCCAGTTCTCATACTCATCACAAAGTTGCCAGAATGAAATAAATCGAACCTGCATAGGTTTACAAGGAAATGATAAAACTGGTTTTTCTTCCGCTGAAGGTAGATATGAAAGTGTTCTGTCTTTGTGAATTTGGAGAGAATGTTGGAATCAGCAGGTTTGATTCATGGTCTCTAAGGTCTCTTCAGGTGTTAAGCATCTGCTTTTATATCTTTTTCCAAGCAGACCTGAAACAGAAGGCTTTGGTGTGGCTGATAGTGTTGGATGAGAATTTATGTTATTTCAGCCTTTCTTGCTTACATACGTATATTGCATGTGTCTATTGTAGACTCAGAAAGCCATTATCTTTCTTCTTGCTTTCTTCTGAGCTTTCTTCTTGCTCACAATTCACTGAAAGAATCAGCTCTTCTCAGTCAATGCCTGTTTGTGCTATGGCCAACTCACTGTGGGGCAGTGGAACATGCCCACTTACTGTGGGGATGTGTATTGTTCTTTACTGGGATATCTTGAAAGTACACCAGTCACCTCAAAACTCCCATGCATTAGTTACTTCTACTAAGGTAAAATTTACTCTCCCTAAAATTTACTGTTTTTAATGTACAAATGATAAAACAGCTCTTTCACACTTTAAAATTCTCTTGTGTCCCTTTGTAATAAACTCCTCTCCCCACCCCAGTCCCTGCCAATCCTGATCTGTTTTTGTCCTTAGAGTTTTTTTTGTTACTTTTAAAAAGAAGTAAATTTGCTTTATTCGTTGAGTATACATTTACAAACTGCAAACTCAGTTTAAGCTCCCTGAAACTTATGGTTTCAGCGTAGTTGAGCACTAATAGTTTCCATGGAAACATATCCTCCATGGGGCGCTGGGATATTTGGTAAGAGAGTAGTGATGATCATAACTTCACACTGGGTCTGCTTGTTCACATGTCTTATGAGCGTCCTGTTCGTATTAACCTGTATGTTATCTACTGGAACCATGGGGAGAACATGAGAATAGCGAGGCACACCCAAGAAATCCATGTTTAACTAGCTTGGCCATCGTCAGGTGTCTGAATCTGAACAGTGAGAGTAGGACCACACTGCTACCGCATACCTGACTGCCTCATTCTGTGTCCCTCCTGTTCGATATAGTCTGGTTTTGCAAACTGAGGCTTAAGCCTCGGCAGCCAAGAGCAAGCCCTTGTTCCTGTTCTGATGAGGATGTACTGAATTATTTTGTATTCAGTTTCCTACGATGACCTTCTCTAATTACACAAAAGAAAACATAATGAATTTACATATCTTTGGGTCAATTTATGAAAAACCATTCTTTTCAGTAATACAAGTCCTTTAAGACCTGTTGGAAAATGGTACAGACGTGAGCATTTTCCTTGCTCTGCTCTAGGTCATATGGTAAAGGAGAAGAGAAGTAACTTTTCTTGGGTACCCACTAAGCACCTACTCTAGTGCTAGGTGCTTTCAGGCCATTTTCTAGTTTGATCTTTAGGACAGTCCAGTGATGAGAGCACAGTGTATGGTCATTTGGTCAGAGTGGGAGTAAAAGACCATCGCTCTCGTATAACATGTTCTCTGTGGAGGATACGTCCGTCAGTCATAATGACTCATAGAGATGTCAAGTTAATTGATTCGTAAAAGTTTGCTAAATCAATTTTTTTTCTTTTTTTTTGAGACAGGGTCTCACTCTGTCGCCCAGTCTGGAGTGCAGTGGCACGATCTTGGCTCATGGCAACCTCCACCTCCTGCATTCAAGTGATTCGCCTGCCTCAGCCTCCCGAGTAGCTGGGATTACAGGCGTGCACCACAACACCCATCTAATTTTTGTATTTTTAGTAGAGATGGGATTTTGCCATGTTGGCCAGGCTGGTCTCAAAACTCCTGACCTCAGGGTGATCTGCCTGCCTCGGCCTCCCAAAGTGCTGGGATTATGGGCATGAGCCACTGCGCCTGGCCGTAATTGTGCTTTTTTTTCCTTTTTTCTTTTTTTGAGATGGAGTTACACTCTTGTTGCCTGGGCTGGGGTGCAATGGCACAGTCTCGGCTCACTGCAACCTCCACCTCCTGGGTTCCAGCAATTCTCCTGCCTCAGCCTCCCGAGTAGCTGGGATTACAGGCATGCGCCACCATGCCTAGCTAATTTTCGTATTATTAGTAGAAACAAGGTTTCACCATGTCAGCCAGGCTGGTCTCAAACTCCTGACCTCAGATGATCCACCCGCCTTGGCCTCCCAAAGTGCTGGGATTACAGATGTGAGCCACCACGCTCAGCCAAATTGTACTTTCAGTAAAGTACTTTACTGTTTACAAAGAACTTCCATATACATTTTTTTGGTCCTGGTCTCTGTCTTTCATTTTGGGAGCATGGATGTAACTGGCCTTTCATCAATGGTTCAGTAGTGTTGTTTTTTAAAGCCTACAACAGAACCATCTCCTATGAATTGACTATCACCTGTCTAAATGCCCTGTTTACAGCATGTTGTACCTGCAAGAGCAGGATATTTAAAGTACTTTATAATTGATAATTGCCATTATCAATATGCTCACCTCTTTACCATATTCCAACAGGTCTTAAAGGACTTGTATTATTTTTTACCGAAGAGAGTGGTTTTTCGTAAGTTTACCCGAAGATACATACATTTATTATGTTGGTTTTTTGTTTTTTTTTGTTTTTGAGACAGAGTCGCACTCTGTTGCCCGGGCTGGAATGCAGTGTCGCAATCTCAGCTCACTGCAGCCTCCGCCTTCCCGGTTCAAGCGATTCTCCTCCGTCAACCTCCCGAGTAGCTGAGATCAGGCACACGCCACCATGCCCTGCTAATTTTTGTATTTTTAGTAGAGGCGGGGTTTCACCACGTTGGCCAGGCTGGTCTCAAACTCTTGACCTCAGGTGATCCACCTGCCTCGGCCTCCCAAAGTGCTGGGATTACAAGCATGAACCACCGCGCTGGGCTGGGTTTTGTTTTTTGTTTTTGTTTTTTTTTTTCATATTAGAGGAGGCCCAGACAGGTGCGGTGGCTCATGCCTGTGATCCCAGCACTTTAGGAGGCCGAGGTGGGAGGATCACCTGAGGTCAGGAGTTCGAGACCAGCCTGGCCAACATGGTGAAACCCCTTCTCTACAAAAATTATGAAAATTAGCCCGGCGTGGTGGCACTTGCCTATAATCCCAGCTACTTGGGAGGCTGAGGTAGGAGAATCACTTGACCTCAGGAGGCGGAGGTTGCAGTAAGCCAAGATCGCACTACTGCACTCCAGCCTGGGCGGCAGAGTGAGACTTTGTCTTAAAAATAATAATAATAATAATTAGAGGAGACCATCGTAGGAAACTGAAGACAAAATAATTCAGTATGTCCCCATCAGAACAGGAACAGGGTCTTGTTGGTTGCAGAGACTTCAGCCTCATTTTGCAAAACCAGGCTATATATAATTGGAGGGGCACAGAATGAGGCAGTCAGGTATGCATTAGCAGTGAGGTCCTCCCCAGCTTGTGAATACCTGGGTAGGCTTACCTTATCTCCCAACCTCCCAGTGCTCGGCACTGGTTCCTACTGAACAATCGGTAGAAGCAATTTTGTCAGCTTGTCTGCCTAGAAGTAGCCACATGCTTGTTTGCTGAGAATAATTAGGGTCCCTGCTTATTCCAGTACTTATGCTTTTCCAGCAGGCACACAGATTGCTCACAGATCTTATGGAAAGGCTGCCAGTGTTACTTCCTCAGTGTTGGGGAGGTAGAGCCCACTAAGCCTGAGCCCCCTGTTCCCTGTCTGCACACTGTCATACAAAGTCACAGAATAAGTTAAACACATACACACATGCACACAAACACACACAGAAAACATGACTCATATGTGACATCCCTCAACACACTTTTGAAGGACTTTGCCCTCTGAACCTATATGGTAAAATAGATCTTTTTTATTTTCCAGGATAAATAAAGAATGATTTTGCTCTGACCTATTCTTCTGCAGCTTGGGAAGTAGATCATACAAATCTTTGAGAGTTCAACATCCATTTGCAGAATGGCTCCATGGAAATTGGCCATTTAAACTATTCTTCACGTTAAAGACATTAAGCTCTAACCCAAGAAAACCACCCACAGCCAAGAACAACAAAAATGACATAAACCACGTCACCTAACCCAGCAGTTAGGTATTTCTTGAATATCTGATACTTAAAACTTAACTCCCCTCTACACCTGTGTCCTCTCCATACAGTAGGCTAACATCAGGCAGCCAGTGGCATGGGCGCCCTGGCTGGCTTCATGGGGCACACTAACCTTGCACATCATTTTCTTTATCTTCTCCTCTCTCCTCCTTGTCCACTTTTCTTCTGTCCCAATTCGCTTTTTCTTTTCTTACTTCATTAACTCTTTTTCCTTTCCTTCTAATACCTCAGGAAGCACGCTTAGGCATTACCTTGTCCTCAGCTGCATCTTCATTTACCCTTCAGGTGAAATGTGGTTGAGCAAGGAAGGCAACTCGTTCCCTACAAGTCTGAGAATGGGTGGAGCAGGCAAGAGAAACGGTTAAATAGACCCCAGAGAAGGGCTGCAGTTAATGATAATAGGATTTCTATCTGTCCTTCCACTGTACCAAGTGACTTCCACACAGTGGCATTTTCCAAGGGTGAGTGCAGAGGGAGTAGCTGCTCAGCTTGGATGGGTATGGGCAGGAGAGGTTACTGAGGCTGCAGGCTTAGCAAGGTGAGTATGCATGGATCCCACGAAGTCAATGCAAAAGCAATTTGAAAATCCCTGCTTTTCAAATAGGTGTAAGGGTTTCTGTCCATGACAAGGCTGTTCTACTTCAGTCTTTTAACCATGTATCCACACAGTCCCAGAGATGGTCACTAGTGTCTTCCTCACCTTTAACTTCCTCCTTGGAAATAATTTTCACATGCTACGTTCTTGACCTACCAGGACAAATTCTATGAATTCTTCACGTATGTGTCCTGGGAAGGAATAGCCAAAAGCTTTGACAAGAATAACTAAGTCTGGGCTGGGTGTGATGGCTCATGCCTGTAATCCCAACACTTTGGGAGGCCAAGGCAGGTGGATCACGAGGTCAGGAGTTCGAGACCATCCTGGCCAAGATGGTGAAACCCCATCTCTACTAAAAAAAAAAAAAAAAAAAAAAATACAAAAATTAGCCTGGCATGGCAGCGGCCACCTGTAATCCCAGCTATTCAGGAGGCTGAGGCAGGATAATTGGTCGAACCCAGGAGGCGAAGGTTGCAGTGAGCCAAGATTTGCGCCACTGTGCTCTAGCCTGGCCAACAGAGCAAAACTCCGTCTCAAAAAAAAAAAAAAAAAAAAAATTAAGTCTGAAGTACCCAGGACTTGTTGAAATGCTGCCTGATCATTTCTCTCAGAAAACTAACAGAAAACCACATTATTTTGAATATTTGGAAATGTCAATGTCACTCAGAGTGCACAACATTCGGGATTAACTTTTTTTTTTTTTTTTTTTGGAGACAGAGTTTTGCTCTTGTTGCCCAGGCTGGAGTGTAATGGCGTGATCTTGGCTCACTGCAACCTCTGCCTCCAGGGTTCAAGCGATTCTCCTGCTTCAGCCTCCAAAGTAGTTGGAATTACAGGCGTATACCACCATGCCTGGCTAATTTTGTATTTTTAGTAGAGACAAGACTTCTCCATATTGGTCAGGCTGGTCTTGAACTCCCGACCTCAGGTGATCCGCCCACCTCCGCCTCCCAAAGTGCTGGGATTACAGGCGTGAGCCACTGCGCCCGACCCGGGATTAACTTTACAACCAAACTTGATCCAACTTCTAATTCTGTAAGAATACCATTTCTTTACATGACAGATGGAATAATTGGCCAATAGGTCTAAAGTCTGTCCTTTATTGTGCAATAAGAGCCTCGCAAAGGTGGAATGCAACCTGAGATCTTAAGGTCCTGGTCTCTGTCTTTCATTTTTGGGAGCACAGATGTAACTGGCCTTTCATCAATGGTTTAGTAGTGTTCGTTATTAAATTCTATAACAGAACCACCTCCTATGAATTGACTGTCACATGTCTAAATGCCCTGTTTATAGCATGTTTTACCTGAGAGAGCAGGATAATTACTTCATTTAAATTAAAAACATATTTTTATGGGAATGACCCATGGTAGACACTGGATACATGTTGAATTAACGTGCTCAAGACATAAAGGACGGATACAGATTTCTCAATGGTAAAGGCAATATGTAGACATCTTTGCTTTACTTTTAAGCAACATTCCATAGATATTGTCAATAACCTGAAAATTCCCAGAATAATGTTTTAAATGACTTCTTAATTAGCGTTCCTTATTTTCATACAGGCACACTCATATTCATTTGCTAAAAACAATTATCTGCATGCACAAGTTCAGGGTCCCAAATAATTCTCCCTGGCAGATTTTGTGTGTGTGTGTGTGTGTGTGTGTGTGTGTATCTGTGTCCATGTGTGTATCGCAGTGTTTTGAGTGCATATCCTGTTTTCACACACATTCTCTGAAATGTTGGCTCATTCTAAGGGCTGTTGTTTCATTTCGATCACTGTATCCTGTGGACTCTGAAACTGCTACAAATGCTTCTTCACCACACATCTTATCAGCACAGTTGTGTGCCTTTTTGATCTAAAGTTGTGATGAATAAGAGGCTTTACTTGTTGCCTAATTTTTAAAAAACTTACCAAATATTACATTTCCCCTTATAAAATAATGATATAGATTAGTGTTTGTGCAGAAGTGTTGGCAACAGAATTCTTCAAAAGTTTTCCGTTGAGTGATGAAAAGCTGTTATATTATTTTGACTAGCTAATCAAATGTAATTGGGGAGCTTGAAGTGCCTTAGATTTTCCTTGTACAGTTATCAAAGCAGGAAATGTAACTCGCAGAGCTGATGAAAGCCATCTCTCATGGTATTCTTTCAATTATAGATCTTACAGAGCAAATGAAAGAAAAGCTCTACTGCTAAAAACTCAGAGGCTTGAAATGCCCCTTAATGTTAACTGCTGTATTAGCTAGTTAACACATTATTATGTACTTTAATTGATTCTTACTCCAGCTTTGGAGAAAAAAATTATGGATCTGTTTGGCATGTAAATTAAGGTGGGGGGAAGACACCTGAGTGCAATAACAGCACTATTGCTATTAACACTTAGTTCAAGTAACATCAGATACCTGCAGTGTAAACAATGGCCCTGGTTCACTTTGGCGTGTTTTTTTTTTTTTGAGATGGAGTCTCATTCTGTCACCCAGGCTGGAGTGCAGTGTCGCGATTTCGGCTCACTGCAACCCCTGCCTCCCAGGTTCAAGCAATTCTCCTGCCTCAGCCTCCTAAGTAGCTGGGATTACAGGCGCATGCCACCACACCCAGCTAATTTTTGTTTTTTTTTAGTGGAGACAGTGTTTCACCATGTTGGTCAGGCTGGTCTCGAGCTCCTGACCTCATGATCCACCTCCCTCGGCCTCGCAAAGTGCTGGGATTACAGATGTGAGCCACCGCACCCGGCCTAATTTTTGTACTTTTAGTAGAGACGGGGTTTCACCATGTTGGTCAGGCTGGTCTCGAACTCCTGACCTCGTGATCCACCCACCTTGGCCTCCCAAAGTGCTGTAATTACAGGTGTGAGCCACCCCGCCCGGCCTAAAAGCATTACTATGTTGCACTCATCTGTTGGTATTCCTGCTGATGAGTGTTATTGAAGGAGTTTTATTTGACCATTGAGAATTGCTTTTATGAGTTTATCAATGAAGTGTTATAATCTAGTAAAAATAACTTCATTTCAGTCATATTTGGAAGGGTCCAGCTGAGATTTTTAGCTTTTGAAAGGATCAAACCACATTACACCTGCATTTTACTGGGGTGTAGTATTTTTCTTTGTTGTTGAATCACACTCTTAAAGCTGCCCCTAAAACATTTCAGCCATAAATGGGTAGTCCTGACCTAGGATCAGGCCAAATTCAAATTTTATTCACATATTCATTTATTCACTCACACATTCATCAAACATTTATCAAGTTTGTACTGTGTGTCAATCCCTATGCTAAATTGCTGGAGACATGACAGAAGCAAGTGCTGTAATCCCAGCACTTTGGGAGGCTGAGGCAGGAGGATCACCTGAGTTCAGGAGTTCAAGACCAGCCTGGCCAACATGGCAAAACCCCGTCTCTACTAAAAATACAAAAAGTAGCTGGGTATGGTGGCTTATGCCTGTAATCCCAGCAACTCAGGAGTCTGAGGCAGGAGAATTGCTTGAACCTGGGAGGTGGAGGTTACAGTGAGCCAAGATTGCACCATCGCGCTCCAGCCTGGGCGACAGAGCGAGACTCCATCTCAAAAAAAAAAAAAAAGGACGAGAGCCGTCTTCACTTTACAAGTTAAGTCTTCATGGCAGTTTTCTCAATTAAAGTAGAACCCCTCCTGACATTGATGCGGCACTAAACACAATGGCAAACTCTGACCCTGAAATCTTGTGCAAGTACTTGGTTATGACAGCACACTAATAACCCCAGCCCTGTTTACACCAATGTTTAAGATTATGTTTGAACTGGAAAGGACAACTTAATTCCCATAGACAACAAGGTGAGAGTAAGGGAGGGTTCAGGGCGGCATCACTAGGAGAGAACAGCTCGTGTAAAAATACAGAGGCTTTGGCATAGCACTTCTTGGAAACTTCAAGTAATTCCTATGGCTGGAAGGACAAGGATAGGGAAGGGGCAAGGGGTAAAGCTGGACAGGTGAGCAGCTCATTTATACATACGGTTCTAATATGGATTTTATTCAAAGCAAAGGGGAGCCACTGGAAAAACTTAAGCATCGGGGGCCAGAAGGATTGAAAATGTACCAGGGACATATGCCCACCACATAATGTCATGATTTCGGTCCTGGTATAGGATTTTCCTTAATTGCCAGCATTTAGCTTAAAGTGCATTTAAATATTGTTTTGTTTTTAATTTACTATCTAAACTTGTACTAAAGGAGTTGGTATCTTTTATGTCCTTAGTTATTTTTGTTATTGTCTCCAACAGACCTTTTTCCTCTAGGTAAATTTTGGTTATTGATGACATGTATGTATTTGAGGTCCTGGTCCTTGTTTCATATTTAATTTAAAGAAATGTAATGTTTTAAAAATTATTTATTTATTTATTTATTGTAGATATGGGGCCTAGCTATGTTGCCCAGGCTGGTCTCAAACTCCTAGGCTCAAGCAATTCTTCTGCCTCAGCCTCCCGAAGTGTTGGGGTTACAGGCTTGATCCACCATGCCCAGCCTTCAGATTTCTTCAGTATAACATTCTTTTTGACCAGAAAGTTTTCTTTTTCTTTTTTAGTTTTAATTTTTTTATTGTTTTGAGACAGAGTCTCACTCTGTCACACAGGCTGGAGTGCAGTGGTGTGATCTTGGCTCACTGCAACCTCTGCCTGGGTTCAAGTGATTCTCTAGCCTCAGCTTCCTGAGAAGCTGGCACTACAGGTGTGCACCACCACATGCAGTTAACTTTTGTATTTTTAGGAGAGACAGGGTTTCACCATGTTAGCCAGGCTGGTCTCTAACTCCTGACCTCAGGTGATCCACCACCTCGGCCTCCCAAAATGTTGGGATTACAGGCGTGAGCCACCATGCCCAGCCAAGTTTTTCTTTTTAACCTTGAACTGATTTATTGCTGATTATTTCATAGTTATTATTTTAATGACACCAAATCATCCTTCCAGTATATGCACACATCGAGGGGGCAGTCTAGCCCAGTGTGCCTAAAGTGATTCCACACTAGCTTTTTAAAATTACATATTCCCAAATTCTACCCCAGACCTGATGAATTGCTCATCCATTCATATATTTATTAATTCAACATACATTAATTAAGTATCCAGTATGTGTCAAGCCCTGTTCTAGAAGTGGGAAGAAACAAGTGAGGAGGAAGGGAGCAGTTAGAGGGGTTCAGAGAAGACCAATGTGAAGAGCTGACATTTCAGCTGAAATCCAAATAACAAGAAAGAAAACAGCCTTGATAAATCTGGACACACAGCACTACAGGCACAGGAATAGCATATGCAAAAATCCTGAGGTAGAAGCTAGCTTAATATTTTCAAGAAAATAAAGGAAGGTCACTACCTAAAAATCAATGATTGTGGGGGAAATAGGGCTCTTGAAAATGTCAAAAAGTTTGACAAGGTCCAGCTCCTGGAGGGCTTGGATTTTATTGTTTGGAATAGGAAGCCATAGGAGGATTTTAAGCAATGGAGTGATTTCATCGAATTCTCAGTAGAAAAACTATTGCACTGGCTGCAGATGGGAAAAAAGTTGAAGGGAAGCAAGAGAGTATACAGGAGGTCCATCACCCCAGGGGAGAGATGGAGAGATGGTGGCTTAGATCAGGGCAGGAGAATGGAGATGGGGGAGAAGTTGATGGACCCAGGATACATGTTGAGGTAAAGCTGATAGAATTTGCCAAAAAGACTTTGAGAGAAGATGAGGCAGGCAGGACTCAGGTTTTTGGCTTAAGCCTTTGGGAGCCATTTGTGGAGAAGGGGAACCAGACCATCTAGGGGAAAATCCTGCACATGTTCTAAAACTTCCCTAAACAGATAGAGCCAGGTGCCAGAGCCAGTTCTCAGATGTCACCTTTGGGAACTATTCATTTATTCTAATCCTTATTTTTATTCAAGAAGGCACAGCTCGACCACTCCACGCAGATATAAATTCAAGCTCTTCCCAAAGATTTCTCAGGGGTGGGGATCCTCTATACATTCCCTGCCATCTATTTAATTAATTATCTTTTTTTTTTTTTTTTTGAGAGGGAGTCTCACTCTGTCACCCAGGCTGGGGTGCAATGGCACGATCTCGGCTCACAGCAACCTCTGCCTCCTGGGGTCAAGTGATCCTCCTGCCCCAGTCTCCTGAGTAGCAGGAATTACAGGTGCCCACCACCATGCCCAGCTAATTTTTGTATTTTTAGTAGAGACAGGGTTTCACCATGTTGGTCAGGGTGATCTCGAACTTCTGACCTCCAGTGATCTGCCCACCTCGGCCTCGGGATTACAGGCGTGAGCCCCCATGCCTGGCCCCTGCCATCTATTTTAAAGTTTGGCAGTAGTCAAGACATTCTTTTATGTACAACTTAAATCCTTCCTTCTGCATCACGTGTCATTCCCTGTGGACCTGTCAATAGAGATGGAACACGTGGCTACCCCTTGCTTCATCATAACCCTTTACATGATGACTTGCTGAATTGCAGCTATGTGAAAACCTAAAAAATTTAGACATTAGGGAATCTAAATTTATTTCAGTAATTAAGACAGAGGGGTATAACTAAGACTGATCACCTATCTATGCAGCCATAAAAAAGAACGAGATCATGTCTTTTGCAGGAACATGGGTGGGGCTGGAGGCCATTATCCTTAGCAAAGGAACACAGGAACAGAAAACCAAATACCTCATATTCTCACTTATAAGTGGGAGCTCGCTGAGCGCGGTGGCTCACGCCTGTAATCCCAGCACTTTGGGAGGCCAAGGCGGGGAGATCACTTGAGGTTGGGAGTTCAAGACCAGCCTAACCAACATGGAGAAACCCCGTCTCTACTAAAAATACAAAATTAGCCTGGCAGGGTGGCGGGTGCCTGTAATCCCAGCTACTCACGAGGCTGAGGCAGGACAGTTGCTTGAACCTGGGAGGTGGAGGTTGCTGTGAGCTGTGATCGTGCCATTGCACTCCAGCCTGGGCAACAAGAGTGAAACTCTGTCTCAAAGAAGAAGTGGGAGCTAAATGATGAGAACTCACGAACACAAGGGAACAACAGACACGAGTCTGCTTGGGGCTGGAGGGTGGGAGGAGGGAGACAGCAGAAAAGATAACTACAGGGTGCTGGACTTAATACCTGGGTGATAAAATAATCTGTACAACAGACCCCCATGACAAGAGTTCACCTAGGTAACAAACCTTCACATGTACCCCCGAACCTAAAATAAATGTTTAAAAACACACAAAAAAGACTAAGTGCCTATGCAGACACCAGTGTGCAAATTCAGTTGGCTACGTATGCAGAGAAATAATGGCTGAGAACATTTAGTGCTTCCTCCCTTGAAGTTCCTGATTCTGAGGTTGGCTCTGAGCTCAGGAAACTTTGCACTCCTTGTATTTAAAGTGTGAAATATTACCTTTAAAGGTATTTTTCTCCTTCAGTATGAAACCTATAGATGAATTTCATCCGATGTTTGCATCAGTGTCTTGGCATAGACCCAATTTGTTTTCCTTTGTTGTCCTTTTTATGAGGGTAAAGTTGCTAGTTATTTTAAATATTTTTTGTAAGCTTTATCTTCAATTCTTTAATGATCTTTGTTGCTTTTTAAAGAACTCTTTCAACTTTCTTTTCTATAGTAGCACAAGAATCCAAGCTATAGTCTTTCCAAGGCTTCTCTCCTCCTGGGGCAGAGCAGTGTCAGGGTTTGGATTAGAAATCAAATCCAGGGATTTATCTACAAAATTACAGATGAGCATAAATATGTCATACATATCAGAATCAATAACCCTGCTAATAGCAATGAGTGTTTCATCTATTATAATTCTTCAGTCTCCCAATATTCCAACAGGACTTAGTTTCCCACTACTTCGAAACTTACTTAATTTACTTCTAGTCATTTGGAAAAAAAAATTGATAATATTTTGTCTGATATCTTTGAAGTTGAAAAGGCTTCTTGCCAGTTTACTTATTAGCCCAAGTCAGTGGTCCCTTGCAGCAGAGATTAATCCCAGCTTTGCGGACTCTAAATTTTATACAATTTAGGAAGCGCTCAGTGAAAAAGACCACAAAAATCTCTTTCTTTTGCACATTTTACAAAAACATTAGACCTGGAGCATACACATTGCTTGAGTCCCTCAAAAAGCCATGGGATTTTCTGTGCAAGTAAAGGCTGCTGAAGCTGAAGCTCATTAGTTTCAGGTAAATCTGCTTCCGATTTGCAGTTCTGCTAAGGTATTTCTTGTGTAGAATATCATTTGGGCTAGGAGGAGGTAGAAATAAAGATAGAAATCTACACAGATGATGATATTTTAAAATTTGGTAAAATAGGATTTAAGTCTATACTACCCAAACTGACTGAAAATAAATATTAACCCCAGACATCTGTAGTGAGTTTTTCTTTCTAAAAATAATTTCTCATTGACCCAGGGACTATCAAGAAAGTCATGCCTGGAGACTAAAGAAGTAATTTTTCTCTGAGCTAAGTTCAGCATTTATAGCCTCATTAGACACTCTGTGGTTATTCAGTCTTAAGCATTCCACCTTCTCCTAAGCTCACCTAGACTAGCTGATACCAGGCATAGTCCCATTAGTTCAATTTCACTCTCCTTACCCTAAGAAATTTTTAATATGTATATCAAACAAATTTAAATGGAAAATGCTGTAAGTTCTCTTTTAGTTCTGATGAAGAATTTATAAACAATTCATATTCTTTTTTTTTTTCTTTTGAGATGGAGTTTTGCTCTTGTCACCCAGGCTGGAGTGCAATGGCATGATCTCAGCTCACTGCAACCTCCACCTCCTGAGTTCAAGCAATTCTCCTGCCTCAGCCTCCTGAGTAACACGGATTATAGGCATGCACCACCATGCTTGGCTAATTTTTGTATTTTTAGTAGAGACGGAGTTTCACCATATTGGTCAGGCCAGTCTCAAACCTCAAATGATCCACCCACCTCAGCCTTCCAAAGTGCTGGGATTACAGGCGTGAGCCACCACACTTGGCCAAACAATTCATATTCTACAATAGCAATATAGTATTGCATATAGATACAAGTTTTACTATTATCTAATTAGGAAACTGTGGGGTTTCCTATGGTAAGATTATAAAGTATGTCATAAAGGTTTTGGAGGTCCTCATACTGCAGAAATTTAATTTTTCTATTCGTAAAAGGAATCACATTAAAAACTACTAAATTATCTTACATTTCCTATTTGATTTTATTTACCCAGTCTTGCCCTTCATGCCAAAGTAAAAAGATTAGAATTCTTAAGTGACTAATTAAGAGGAACATTGGAAAACATAATCTCTAATTATGTCTCAATATTACACGTGTCCATGAATAGTTATCTCTAAGATGAACTCCATTTGGCTTTAAAATAGGATGTTAGAGATATTTTTATGAAAAGTTTGCTCTCCAGAGCTGTAAGTTCAACATAAATTTGGAAGGCTAAGGGAAAGTTTTTTTTTTTTAAGTCGTCTTTATTCACTTCTAATTTTGCCCGAAAAATAAAGTGACATCCTTAAGTACTTTTCATTTGTGAGGTAGTTTGACTGATATAAATTGTGCAGGGTAGTAGTTTTGTATACAGTTGGTTTTAGGTAATTTTTCCCAGGCATCTACTTTCCTGTTCATAATAAGCTGTCAGTATATGTTAGTTAAATGAATGGATGGCAGAGCCCCTTTGTGCATTTGCTGTGGGCTTCGGCTTTCTCGGTCTTTTGGTTTGAGGAATAGTTAAGGCACACAGAGAAGGTAGCCTAGCAAATCTTATAAGCCAGTCATATTTGGGAGTGTCTGAGGATTTTTATTTTTAAATCATCTACAAGTCAAGAATATATACTTTAAATGAAATGATCAGCCAGGTGCTGTGGATCACACCTGTAATCCCAGCACTTTGGGATGCCGAATTAGGAGGATCACTTGAGCCTAAGACAAGGAGTCTCAGCATAGTGACCCTGTCTCTACAAAAAATTTAAAAATTAGCCAGGTATAGTTGCATGCATCTGAGGTTTTAGTTACTTGGGAGGCTGAGGCAGGATGATCGCTTGAGCTGAGGAGGTCCAGGCTACGGTAAGCTGAGATTGCACCACTGCACTCCAGCCTAGGTGACAGAGTGAGACTCTGTCTCAAAAAAAAAAAAAAATCACTCACTGTTCCTGCATAATAACTTTTAATCAAAAATCTGTTCCAACCCCCCAGCCCCATCCCCCCCACCAAATATATACACAAACCTGATTTAGAGCTGGTTTAAGTGGCTGGCTTTTGCTCTGTGTCAATGTGCCACGCCTGTGTATGTACCTGAGCAGTTAGGATGCATAGCAGAGTTTCAGTTTATATGTGCAGGCTCTCAGGTAAAAGGGAGAATTCTGGAAGAATCTGCAGGGAATACTAGAAACGTGTTGGCAATACTTTATAAGAGAGAGTAAAAATGAATTTATCTTTTGAAATGGGAGCAAAGCTACCTATTTTTCCAGATATATACGTCCTTTTACAAGTCGTCCTTTTTAGAGCAATTGACTTCTTTGGTTTGAAATTATTTACCCAGATGGCTGCCTAACGAGAATTTGAGATTAGGTCAAATCATTTGTAGGACTATTTTGATTAATGTTCTTTGATTTCTAAATCAAATGTACCAGACCAAACACTTTCAAAGAGAGGAATTAATATCCACAAAATATTATTTCATATGCTTTTGCTCTAGGTTTTTCCACAGCTTTCAGCCCTGTCTCATTTCACCTTAGGAGGTAGAGAAAAATAACTAACACATCAATAATTAGTTTAGACCTGAAAACACTCTGCTGCACAGCTGTAATGTTTCACAATGGTTTCTGAGCTAAGAGGTGTTTATGTAGCATCAACTTTATCGAAACAAAACCCTAGGTAAAAACACATTGAAATGGCACTTAAAACAACAACAGTGCCCAAAATCTGTTGTTTCATTACACTTGAGTATAAGGCAAATCTGGAAGTTAAATTGTCCCATATTGAGAATAACTGAATAAATGTTTACATAATTGCTCCCACTTTTGCTGAATCTTTTGGTTTGATCAGGTTTAGAGCAGAGAGGTAAAAAATACATTTATTAAAAGAGAGCTTTTGAGATTGAATGCTCTAATTAACTGCTAATTACTTCTCTAACTAGGCTATTTTAGATTAAAAACCTAACTGTCTCAATTCTAGTGGATTTTGAGGTTGTGATGAAGAGCAGAGCCGATATTCAGTGGGACCACAGGATCAAGCACTGCCTGTGTTACTCAGTATTTCTCTGCTCAGAGACAGAACCAATTATAATATTTAGCAGATTTTTTTTATTGGAAAGTCTTAAAAATTGATCAGTTTTAAAATAGATGCACACAAACTACCTTGAGCTTTACTTTCTGATGAAAACAATCTATACTATATGATAAAGAACAGATAGATATGGAATGCTGGTTCAAGCTGACAAAATATGCACTTTTGTTGTCTTAGATCTAGTGAGGAAATTGATTCATGTTTGGTATGACTATCTTCACAAGGAATTGCTTATAAAGAGGTAGGGCCTAACTCATTTATATAAATCGAGGTAAAGGAATACCAGGAGTAAATCTAGGAAAATTAATTTTTCTGTTTTTAGGTGCTTCTAATACTGGGAAACCCTATTGGTTTCAAAGGGAACTTCTAGGTGAGACCATTTTTAGAGAACTTGTATTCCAGCAAGCAATTTTTTATGGAGCAGAGGAAGCATTTTTAATTATTATATATTCTAACCATATTATATAGCAATCAGATAAATTTAAAGTTATAGTCTGTTGATTAATAAATTCATGGTGGGTTGGCTATAATAGCAATTTTGCTTCAGTATCTAAGACAAAATTTGAATGATTTGAGAATGCATGATTTACCTCATAATGTGACACCCTTTTAATCAAAACACCCGAAGGCCAAATAATTAGATCTTGTATAAAACTTGGAAAGAAAACACCGTTGTATACCCCTACCCACCATTGAAATCTGTTTTTAGTTAATAAGGAAGTGGGAGTAAAATATTTGAGTGAGCCTATATATAGGCTCTCATGTATTAAAAGAAAAGCTATTTACAACTGATTTGTTGCTAAATAAAATCTTGGATGAACACTTTTAATTACTAAAAAGGTAAGGTTACAATAAACACAGGAAATATAAATGAATAAAGTGTGCACAGAGTCATGCTGCTTTCAGGACTATAAATAGCACCTCCATCTCTGCTACTATTATTAGCAAGTATGAACAAAAGAAGATGTCCAGAAATAGAAAGGGGAAGAGCATCTCCATGAGCCTTGTATTCCATGGCATAGGAAATGTTTCTAGCAAGCCCGTGAATTTAGAGGGTTAATTGATTTTTAGAAAGGACATTTCCATGCTGTCAATTTGCCAAGGAAATTCTTTTACCAGCATGTTTGTAAAATTGGCAGGCTGATGTTTCCTCTAGGTGACACAAGATGTGATGAAGAATTTTATCTTTACTTCCTTACGAAAATCAGCGTTGATTGCTTGCCTTTTTGTTAACTTATTTGGTTACTATTAGTTTGCATCTACAGAGGATCAGTTAACATAGTTGAAACTGGAAGAACTAGTGCATCGTGAACAGCCCTGAACCAAAAGTCAGGTTTCAGTTTCACCTGAGCCACTAATGTGCTCTATGACTTTGGTCAAAGCATTTACATACATATATATATATATATATATATATATTCCCCTTTATATATATATATATATATATATTCCCCTTTATATATATATATATATTCCCCTTTATATATATATATATATTCCCCTTTATATATATATGCGCACACATACTGCTGTCCCTTGATATCTGTGGGGGATTGGTTTCAGGACCTTCCACAGATATTAACATCTGAGAATGTTCAAGTCTCTGGTATAAAAATGGCACAGTATTTACATATAACCTCCCATGTACTTTAAATCATCTTAAAATTATAATACCTAAGAGAGTATAAGTAGTTGTTACACTGTATTGTTTAGGGAATAATGACAAAAAAGTCTGTACATGTTTAGTACAGACACAATTTGTTTTCCCCAAATACTTTTGATCCATGGTTGAATCCACGGATGTAGAAGATACAGAATCACAGATACGTAGGCCCCACTGAAACACACACACACACACCACACACACACACATATGCACACACATCTTCTCTGAGCCACAGTTTCTTGATTAATTAATATAGCAAACATATATGGAGCGCCTCAATATGCCAGGCACATTGCTAAGCAGCAGGGATACGAAGTCGGTTAAGATACCCAGTCCTTGCTTACTAGCCTCGCACTGCTGGGAGACAGACTTTTGAACCTGTAATTAGAATGGGCAATGGGTGTATAACAGAGACGATAGCTGTTATAAGAACACAGGGCAGAGCTTTTCTGTCTGTGGAGGGGGCACCAGGGAAAACTTTGCAGAGATGGTGCCATTTGAATCAACTCAATCTTAAAGAATTCCTCTTGAATTTTTCTTCAAGACTGATTTGGATGAAAATGGCTATACTTGGTCCTCGTGAGGAATCAATGACATAATAAAAGTATGCTAAAAAGCATAAAAAACAATATAAATAGTCTATTAGTAATGAAATGATTCATGGGCATGAATATTACAGATCTAGTTCTAATTTTTGATTGCCTGTTTATTAATGTTTTTTTCTTTTTGATAATGAATTATGAGTGCAGTTATTTGAGAACTGATTGTAAGACTGTAGTTAAAAGTGGGAGAGGCCAGGCACAGTGGCTCACACCTGAAATCCTAGCACTTTGGGAGGCTGAGGTGGGAGGATTCAAGACCAACATAGCAAGACCCTGTCTTTAATCTAAAAGAAAAGAAAAAAAAAAGAAAAAAAAACAAGAAAGAGAGAAAGAAAGAAGAAAAAGGGCCGGGTGCGGTGGGTCACGTCTGTAATCCCAGCACTTTGGGAGGCCGAGGCGGGCAGATCACAAGGTCAGGAGATCGAGACCATCCTTGCTAACACAGTGAAACTCCGTCTCTACTAAAAATACAAAAAATTAGCCAGGTTTGGTGGCGGGTGCCTGTAGTCCCAGCTACTCGGGAAGCTGAGGCAGGAGAATGGCGGGAACCCAGGAGGTGGAGCCTGCAGTGAGCCGAGATCACACCACTGCACTCCAGTCTGGGCGACAGGGCGAGAGTCCATCTCAAAAAAAAAAAAAAAAAAAACACGAGAGAAACACAAATCTCAAACACTTTAATTTTTTTTTTTTAAATCACTATGGACTGGAATTAAAAAAAAAACTTCTCCAAATATGGATATATTTTCCCATAAGTAGTCATGATAGACTGAATGATTATTTTTTAAATAGTTACATTTTTAGGGGTTTACACGTGAAATTATGAAGATATGGAATTTAGTAATAATTCTTTTTAAAAACATGTATTACTTATTTATAAACTATATGTGTATTCTGGTGAAAGATTGTCCTCTAGGAAAAATAAGTCTTAGAATTATTTCTCTCCAGTAGGAATTTATTATTGTCCTATCTTCAGCCAGACAGCTCTGTGGTAATTTCATTTGGTGATCTCTTTAATAAATATTTTTTGGAGTGCCTATTTTGTGTGATGCCAAATGAAGTAAACAGTGTTTTATGTAATATGTTCCAATATATATTTTTTAGAATGAACCATTTACCAAGTATACATAAGTCAGACATTGACTGCATATCCCACTGAACATTTCCATTAATATAAGTGGAAAAAGGAAAGCCGCTTTGCAAAAAAAGGAGGCTTTTTTGCTTCAGCAATATGCAAATTAATTTGAAGCATGCCAGTAGTTTTAATATAGGTTGATTCAGAATTACCATTGTGAATAACATTCACTTCTATTACTGCTTTTGTTAAAACTAAGCGCCAAAAAAGGAAGCCTCTTTGCTTCAGCAATATGCAAATTAATTTGGAGCATGCAAATAGTTGCAGCATGCAAGTAGTTTAGAATTAGACTTTCATTAAAACTAAGTGCCACACAGAGAAGAGGTGTAAAACAGAGTAGTAATCTGTTGCGTGCACTTGAAGGGTTCTTGAAAGACGTGCATAAACCGTTACCGTTGTAGCACAAGTTGAGCAGCAAAAGCCAAAGTCGCACATCTGTGTCTTGTCGCCACCTCTCCACTTATCCACTCATGCTGGCTTTTCTCCCAGCAGCTCTTTGCCCTCCTCCTTTTAACACTGTGGGCTGAGGTGAGGATGTTCTAGTCAAGAGTCTTTACGAGCCTTATATCGCCAGGCTTTCAGAAAATGTGAAGCATGGTAGTGTGAATTTAGAAAAAATAAAAGTGTGTATAAAAGCTCTTCTGTTTTCTTTTCTTTTTTTTTTGTTAAGAAACAATAGTGTTTATTTATCATGTTTTGCTTAGAATTCCTTTGGTATTCTGTTCTCTTGATTTTAACAAGAAGCTAAACTCAATAACATCTTTTAAAAACAAAACAATTTTCGGTTGAGGGTGGGTGAGGAAGTTATATGAAGATTGAGTGGGAACCTCAACCCAAGGACATAATAGACAAGAAACAGTTTTTTTCCTCCCCTTTCTTCAGAAGTAGTCTTCCGCATGGTTTAATGTGCTAACATAACCCCGGTTCCAATATTTCAAAAGATACAGAACTTCCCAGCATGATGATAAAGTTTTCCTGTGTTCCAATAATAAAACCTCAACGTACCAGTGATTTCCAGTTCCTTTGTGGCTCAGCAACTTGTGAAGACCAACTAAGTCCTAAGTACCCAGCCTGCAGTATCAGTGTGGGAGTCGGAAACAGATGTTCACGGGACAATGCCATTTGTTGTCACTGTCGATACTATGTGGCAACTTTCCCAAATGAAATTGTTTGTGGATGGAAAAGAATGTAAGCAGTGATTCATGCCCAGGAATTTTTTTTTTTTTTTGTCTGCAGGCTAACCGTATCTTATTTGTTTTAAATCGCAGAGCATTAGTGGATTAAAAATTTTAGGTTAACTTACTATTATAGTATCTTTTTCATTTTTTGTCCTGTACTTCTAAAAGGAGTGACTAATTTAGGTAGCTTACTGAGAATAGTAAATACCTTACTTGATTTGAGAATTCAAAAGCAGCTGACATCTTTTCAGATTTAGTGTTTTAACTATTGAGTAGGTACAGAGTTGCCATTTAAATGAACAGCATGACTTGCTTAGCATTTTTGTTAATAATTTGGAGGTTTGGAGAATTCAAAATAAACATTAAGTAGAAACATATTTTTTGGTAATAGGTGGCATTGCATGATCTTGGTTTGAGATTTTCATAAATATTACAAAGGAACTTCCACTAACTCACTCACTGTTAGAGATAATAGATTAATTTGTATAAATTAAATATTAATTATAGAGAAGTTTAAAATGTACTTAAAATGAATTTGATACAACAAAGCTACTTAAAAGTTAGGTAGACCATGTCATGTGACATGTATACAAACTATCCTTTTTCAAGAAAAAACCTAACAAGCGTTTAAGGCATAATATCTACTACTTTAGTGCCGTTTTTATAAAACATAAATTTTAATCTACAAATGAAAGTCTTTTAAACATTTATTCATACCAACAGATGCCTAAGGCCAGAATTATAAAATGTTTTATGTTGTTTTAAAAACATATGTATTTCTCATAATTAGGTTTCGGCATCACAGAAAAATTATTTTAAGGGTCATACAACAAAATCTGACTTTTAAACAACAGCCAAAGGAAAGATTGGTATCACATGTAGAGGAAGAGGTCCTTAATTAAGAAGCAAATTCCGGAGTTTCAGTAACTCATTTTCACTAGCTAATGTTTAATAAATTGTATTAGGTTAGTGCAAAATTAATTGCGGTTTTTGCCATTAAAACCACAATTAGGTTGGGCTGGGTGGCTCAAGCCTGTAATCCCAGCACATTGGGAGGCCAAGGCAGGTGGATCACCTAAGGTCAGGAGTTCAAGACCAGCCTGGCCAACATAGTGAAACCTCGTCTCTGCTAAAAATACAAAAATTAGCCAGGCATGGTGGTGGGTGCCTGTAATCCCAGCTACTCGGGAGGCTGAGGCAGGAGAATCGCTTGAACCTGGGAGGCGGAGGTTGCAGTGAGCCAAGATAGTGCTACTGCACTCCAGCCTGGGTGACAGAGCAAGACTTGGTCTCAAACAGAAACAAAAACAAACAAACTGGCAATTAATTTTGCATCAACTTAGTAGTTGTGTGGTTCCGTCTTCCTCGGACTTCTTTTTCTCATTTGCAAGATGGTACGTCAGTCTGGATGACCTTTAGGGCTCTCGCAGTTTTTGATTCTAGTTTAGGGCTTTGACTTCTGTTCTCTAGCAGTCACTGTTAACATTATTTGAGTATCTGATGATAGCTTGTACTAATTTTCCCAGAAAAATGCATAAAACAGAAATTTTGCATGCAATCCCAGGGCTTCATGGACTCATTGAAGCCTAGTGATAGTCCCAGGTAAAGAAGCTAGTTAAAGAAAGTTAGTATCCTCACGTTTCTGTGAAGATTCAAGCAAGCATTTCAAATTGCTCCAAACGTGGGCATCAGAACTTTCTGATTATTAAACAAAGTTGATTGTTTTTATTTTCTAACATATCTACGTTAGAAATTTGGCATTGATACCAGCACACTTGGAGAAGGCAAAAACACATGAGTTGGTCCACTAAAGACTTCAATAGCACTTGGAAAGAGATACTCGTGTGTGTTATGTATGGCATGTCAAGGGAAGTTACCTACATCCCAGCTACCTTGCTTTAGAACAGGAAAGGAATGAACTAAGGTGCACTTGCCTGTCTCAACCAGTGAATCAAGACTGATTGTTTGTAGTTATTTTAATTTATGAAAAATTCAAAATTTAATGCTACAGAAAAGACAATGGGCCTAGGGAGGACTATGTTAAAGTCTTGTTCATTTTCTAGACCCAACAGAGAATACTTGAATGCACAGAACAACTGAGGAAAATCATACTTTAAGTAACAAATACAAACTAGAAATTAATTCTTTCATAATTAAGACTATTTCAACTATTAATTTTCTTCCAATATACCCCTCTACTTTTTTTAGCCATTTATGGGTCATTCTACATTTTCTTAAGTTCTAATATGATCTGGAGAATGTCTTGGACTTCTTTAAAGTAACTTCATGCATGTGCTCTCATTAGATCCTTTATTTACTACCTTACTTTAATGTTATACATAATACATAATAAACATGTGAAATTCATTTTAATGAATAGTGTAAGCCTCAAAAAATTTACTTAACCACTTCTTTGACCTAGCAAATTTATAAGCGATAGTAAAACTTTCCTTTTACCTTTACAATAATAGCTTTTAAGTACTCAGGCTGACAAATTCTTCATGGACTCACTTTTATGTTTTTCAATTTCTATTAATTTCTCTGTATTAAAGTTGAATTAGATGGATTTATGTTGCCTATTCCTGGCATTCATAGCAACTATAAGGCATGATCAAGAAAACAGAAATTCTAATCCTCATGTTACAGAAATGGCCCCAATTCTACTTGACAGAAATGATTTCAATTAGGGAGTCTCTGGGCTACCTTTTCTGTTTCACCAGAACAAATGTTATTGATATAAGGGGAAATCCTTGGATACCATATAACCTGCTCACTCTATGGAGCAGAGTTACTTAGAGTGCTCCGAATCCCATCTTTGATCTCTGGCGATATTTTTCTCTGTTATGTCACTGAGGTCACCTGGCTCATGTGTGACAAACTGCCTGCATAAGTCACAGTGCCAGTGGCAGAGATTTGTAACCATGCCCCTGGTCCATTGCCTTTGAATTATTTCACAGGCCCGCTGCTTTACATTTACACTCTGTCGGAAGATGAACAGGGGAAGGGAGTAAAATCAAGGGCAGGGTCTCATCCTGAAGGACAAGGGGAAACAGGTGGAAGGTTAATGGCCCTGGAGCGATTCCACAAGCCTCTCAGGCTTGATATATGGGCCTGGGGCCTAAAACGGGCATTGGCTTTCAAAGATATATTATTTCATTTGAGGAGAGACATTCTGGAGTTCCTGCATTTGTCTGCTGATAGATGATCCTCTGTCCACAATTGGTTATGGCGTGTGAGTTTTCCTTGGGCCTGCTCCCATACATAAAAATTTTGCTGAGCTCTCCAACCTTTTGCATGCCTTTAGGAATGGGACCGGTGCAAGCCCACTGGCAGGCTGTTGGATTTTTTTGCTGCTATTTTAGTAGTTCCTTTTGAACCGTGAGGCAAGTGGGGAATGAAAGACACTTCTGTTCATTCATACATGACTTGATAAGGGTGGCCTTGTTATAAAAAAAAAAAATGGTGAAAGGGATGTTAGGAATCAAACATATGTGTCATTTTGGGAAGACAGGCTCAGTCCAAAATTTAGTCATTTGGGTTTCAAAAAGTTGCTTACATAAAAGCTAGATACTATCAAATAGCTTTTGACTTTATTACTGTTTTGCACTCCCCAGGCTTTTAGCAAATGGCTTACTCTATTTTTCTTTATTATTTCCAAAAAGTTTGAGGTGATTTGGAGAAAGAAGGAGAACAGACAGTTGGAAAAAGGTGCTTTACACAGAGATCCATGATTAATTTGCCTAACAAGAACCATCAGGCAATGCTACCAAGAAATATGTCTAATGGCTCAAATGTTACAATCAAATAGAACTGGTCACTAGATTAATGGAACCAGTCACCCGAATTAACCTTGTGTGGCCTCTCAAAGTTGTACTATAGAGTCTAAGACTGCAAAAATCATTTGCCTCAGCCTCTTAATGTTCATAGACTTAATATTCATGAAAATATTTGGATTCTAATATGCTTTGATTTATAGTATTTTGAAATTTAATTATTAACTCTGGTTTGAGATATATATATATAAAATCTTTGATTTTATAGTTCCTGGTAATTGTGATACTAGCTTTGTCAGAGAGAGAATGCTTATTTTATGGCAAGCATTAAGGAAAAATGAGCTCTGTAAACTCACTATCTAAACAAAAGGCGATTTTTCTTTCCAGCTCTTTTGTGTTCCATTACCCTTGTGTTTGGTGAATTCTCACACCACTGTATGAAATATCAAAATCCTATTTGTGGACATTTTATCTCGAATAGCTTTGTCAAAAACAAATTCTTCACCTGGAGAAACTTTCCATTATCATCACAGATACACTGGCATTTAACTACAAGAAGTTAATATTGGACAAATGATCAGATAATATCTGAGTATCAATAGGAATTTCATTCTTGGATGAGAGGCAACAAATTGCAAATACTTTTCACATATATTTACAAGGGATCCTTATCACAATCCCTATTCATATTGCCCTCAGTAGAAACATGCAGCATCTGGCCATTGGCCCCTGTTAATAATGATTACACAGATGTCCTTTTCTTTTCCTCTGGAATATTGCAAAGTAGAGGTTAGACCAGAAGCAAGAAGACTGGAGAGGCATGTTTAGTACCTGCAAGAAGATATTTAATAACTTTCTTAGAGGAAAGATTCAGAATCACCAGTTACATTGAGTTGAATGAGGAGCATTAGCCGTCAAAAGAATCTGTTTTTCCACTTGTTGCTTGGATAAATGGATAAAAGCCTGCCAAGGACTTCAGTCCACCAGCTGAGGGTACCATAGCTAAAATACTCCCAACAGAAGGGCAGGTCCCAAACCACACAGGCATGCTTTTCAATCACAGAATAAAATGTAGTTGTTTTCGTCATTTCAGCTTGTGACCTAAATGCCTCATTTTCATGTTTGAAAAGTTACCAACTTTATTTCAGTCCTATTTCCCTTCCTCTGTGGTATTTCCCAGTCAGTAGACCACAGTCCTGTGGGTTATATCAATGCCTAAAGCAGAGATCAAATCAAAGCATACCACATAACTGGTTAAAATGAAAGCTCATTCCGAATTAGTAAATAATGCCCGCCTGTCTTCCACATCTGTCAAAGTCTCCCAGCTCAGATGGACACCTCCATAAGCTGATCCATAGGAAGCCAAATACTTGCAAACAGCCTCTTAATTGCTCATTTGCAGTTGGACAAAATGCTAAATGCAGAAAGACTTCAAAGGCAATGGAATCTGCATTGAAAACAGGATCTCAATACACATAGTCGCTTATTGTTGCAAAATTAGAATAACAAATGTTCCCAGCATGAAGCCAACATAAACTTGCCTGAGTATTATTCAACCTGAAACATAGTCTACCTTTTTTTTTTTTTTAACAGCAATAGAAGAGGCATACTTAGCACTCTGTTTGTTATTCTATACTGTTCATTTTAATGATATATTTAGGTCTCCCTGACACTTTGTATTTTTACGTGTAATTACCCATATTAAAAAAAAAACACCACTCATTAGTGTTCTGTTCTACTGACTTAATTATGCCCCTTAATTAAATCTCAGCTAACAGGGGGTCACCGCAGTGTCAGTGGGATTTGTCACTGTTTGTCAGCAGGTGTCTGGTTGCATCTATTTCTGGTTTTCGTATGGTTTGAATCTATTTAAGAACTTGCTACAACCCCGTCCTCCCCTCCACACCAACCCCAAATGCCAGAGACAGCATTCTCATTGGAGGGAAGAAGCAGTATCTATTTGACAGGCAACTGCTTCCCAAAAGCTTGTTTGTAAGAGGAAATTTTTGTTTTCATTACTCTAGAAAAAATCTCCTGATTAGGGGAAAGATGCTTAAAACAGACTTGGATAAAACAGATGCACTATTTAAAAGATGAATAGGTTTACATTCTAAAAATTATGATCATATTTTTGTATACAATTCTAAAAGTTCCTTGAAGAACAAAAAATATATTTTGTTGCTGCTGTTATGAGAAGAACATCACATTAGGTGTTTTGCATCATCTGGCCATTGGTGTCTTTGTACAGAGTACTTTGTATCAATTATTTGGTTCACGTTTTTCATTTTAAGAATATAAAACAAATTACAAACATATGAGTCAAACCGAAAAAAATGTCTTTTGTGTGACTAATGTAGGGTCAATAGGAATTTAATTCTTGAATGAGAGGCAACAAATTACAAATACTTATTATTTGGAATGAGTCTTAGTATTAAGACTTATATGTCTTCACATTTCACATTAGAATGTTTTAAACTCATGATTTTAGTATATTAATTAAGGGAGATATAATTCCCATGTTTCTGTATATAATAGGCATCTAATGTTGATCTGAATAATTGATTAGTCCAGTCAGGCTTTTATAATTAGTTGTCAGCTTTTCAGTGTAAAGCCCTCAAAACACCTGCTGTGCATCTACAAAGGTCTTACATATTTATTAGTGTTTTTAACCTAAAAAGGCATGCAACCTACCTGAAAAGCATTTAATTTTTTTTCTGGAACTAAGATGACCCTTCCAACATATACCCTAAGAAACTAAGGCTATATGTCTCTGAGTTTTTCAGTCTAGAAGATTTTGGACTGAAATTCTGATTTTTAAAAATCATAACACTTATCTTTATTTAAAGATAAAAATGTCACAGTTTTTCTATGGAAGTTTTTCAGAACTCATATTTCTAATAGTAAGGTTAAGCAAGACAATGGGTTACAGATATCAAACTATCAACAATGTAAAGTAGTTTTGAGACTTCACTGTCATTATTGTATAAGCAATTTTATTTTTCTGGGTTTACCTACAAATGTGGTAGTCACAGAAGAAGAAAAATAATTTAAAGAAAAATTTATAATACTCAGCTTATTTATTTCTGAAATTCAAATCAATTCATTTCATCCTAAAAAGTTAACTCCAACTGGCTTTTCTTAAGTAACAAATGTCATCATTTGCTGTCCAAGTAATTTTCAATACAATGCTCATTTGATGTTGCCTCTAAAGTTCTTATCACACAAGTAATAAGTAATCCATACATTACATATATGTGTACATTTTAAAAACCATTTCAAATGGTGAGATAAGAATTTTTATGCATTTTATGGATTCCTGTACAGCCTCCTCATTGTCATTAGATAATGAAAGGCTTCGCCATGTGTGTATCGTAAAGACCTACTAAGCAATATGAACTCTCCAGATTGCTTTACATTTACACAGTTGAAGTATATATATATACAGTATTGTACAGTATTGTACAGCAATATTGTATAGCAATGTACAGTATTGCTGGGCACAGTGGCTCATGCCTGTAACTCCAACACTTTGGGAGGCTGAGGCAGGTGGATCACCTGAGGCCGGGAGTTCAAGACCAGCATGACAAACATGGAGAAACCCCGTCTCTACTAAAATACAACATTAGCCGGGCATGGTGGCTCATGCCTGTAATCCCAGCTACTTGGGAGGCTGAGGCAGGAGAATCGCTTGAACCTGGGAGGTGGAGGTTGCAGTGAGCTGAGATTACACCATTGCATTCCAGCCTGGGCAACAAGAGCGAAACTCCATCTCAAAATAATAATAATAATAATAATAATAATAATAATAATAATAAAGTACAGTTTAAATACCATAGGGTAGGTCAGATATTCTTAAGATTCCTTCTTTCATTCAGTAAATACTTATCAAGTATTAGTCGTATGCCAGGTAACATTATAGGACTTAGAGATTCAACATGAAGAGCATAGACAAAAATCCCTGCTTTTGAGGATCATATTTATATCTATTTTAGTGACTAAGAGCATTTATTTAAGACAATTGCACTCATGTAATTAAAAAGCACTTATAATCTGGCAAGCTAGCCTAATCTTAGCAATGGAATGTTTCTGCTCTCTTTCTGTTTAAGCCTTCAGGAGATCATACCAGTTTTCCCAACTGGCATATGGTGAGTTCAAGTACATTTCCCACATATGCTCAGGGATTATCTTAATTGTATTCCTTTCTGAAGCTTGGAATCAAGGGAAAAAAAGAACAATAATGATTTAGGGAAAAATAATAGTTTTTTAAAGGTAGATTTATAGTTAGTAACTTTATATAGGTGAACTGATCACAGAGAAGGGTGTAAATCATCTGAATAAACAATGGATTTTCACACTTACTAGAATCTCTAAGAATAATATTTTCCATATTACAGCTAAATGAGACCCATTATGTATGCTTTCAGATAAACTCACAAAGCTCTTACCCATGTAAATCTCATAGATCTGCCATTATTCGTAATGAATAACAAGTTTTATCATGCATTTTCATTAAAAATGCATTAATCCCTTTGTAGTAACCTCTCCCTAATTCATTGATTCGATAATACAAGAACAGTAAACATTTCTGGCATAACAAAAATGTGGTATCAAAGCATACTGTATCCATAAATACAAAATGTAACAGGAAAACAAATACATTTATCAAAGGAGGATCAGGTTTTCCAGCCACTAAATAATGCTATGGTCGAATACTGCTACAGTCTAATACATTAAGAACTCAATCATAGTGCCGCATTGTGAGCCGTTTGTACCGGATCTGATTCTTCCAGATTAAATGACTTGTTGAAACTTGAAGATGAAAGACAGGCAGAAGTATCCGGGGCTCTACCCTCAGGAGGCTCCAGGGTGGGTTACTGCCAGTGGGGGACTAATGCTTCCGTCTAGTGGAGATAGGAGGAGGAGGATCAGAAGTGACATGTATGTACCCTTTTTTACTTGTAGATTATTTACTTAGCTCGTTTTAGGCTCTGTGTCCTCATCTGTAAAACATGGCATTACCTCTTTCAGGTATTTTACTGGGGATTAAATGACTTAACACAAATTAAGTCCTTGGTAGATAGTATATATTCAAGAAAAGTCAATTTCCTCCTTCCTTTATTGATGCTTAAAAGCCCCTGGTGCTGTATTTGATTGATTCAACAAATACTTGGGCTTGGCACAAGGCACTGGCTATACAGTTACTTCCCTCTTATCATCACCATAGAAGCCTCCTGATGTGGAAATTAGGCAGGCCTTGGAGTCACACTTGGCTTCAAATCCCCTTCCATTTGCTTCCCATAAGCTCAGCATGTAACTTCACTGTCCTTCTCTAAAAATAGGGGTAATGTATAACTTACGTGGTTATCTAAAAAATTAAATATTTGTAGAGTGCAGTGTGCTAGAATATCTGGATACAGAGAGATGGATTAGAGATGGTGTCTAGAGCACAACAGAATGAAGACCTATCTCAAAAAAAAAAAAAAAGAAAAGAAAGAAAGAAATGGTCTCTACCCTTAAAGAGGGGGATACACATGTACAAAACTGTGAATCCCAATGCGATTTTTGTGGGGAATGTGTTCGAATGCTGTTCCTGAACATATATCTCAGCATTTCCAAAACAAAAATTACATTTCAGAAACTCAGTAGATAAGAAACATCTGCAAAAGACCGACACAATTTATCTTCAAACTAACAAATGTGTTGATCTATGTGCATTTGATATCTCTATACTTATATAGGATGCTAGGAGACAATTGTTTTAAGTCTGTGTGGTGCTCATTTTCTTTGCGCCTAATGTAAGAGCTGTTTGGTCCATAGTCACCTCTGTCCATTCTAGAATAGAGGGTGGTGAGATGGGGGGTGGTGTTTTTACTCGTGAGTCGTTTGGAGATTATCAGGCTAACTACGTGATAAAAGATGCTGAAACACTGGTTTGAGTTAGGGTGGAGAAAATGTGACCAACTCCCAGAGTCCAGTATGATTCACTTACTGTTGTTAAGACTTTCTGCCTTCCTTTAATTACTATGTCAAACAAGCCTTATTTATGCCAAACAATTAAGTCTATTATTAATGGAGAGGTAAGAGGGTGGGGAGAGAATGAGTTCCGGAAACTTTTTTTTTTTATTTTGAGAGGGAGTTTTGCTCTTGTTGCCCAGGCTGGAGTGCAGTGGCACAATCTCAGCTCACCGCAACCTCTGCCTCCTGGGTTCAAGCTATTCTCCTGCCTCAGCTTCCCGAGTAGCTGGGATTACAGGCATGCGCCACCATACCCAGCTAATTTTGTATTTTTATTAGAGACGGGGTTTCTCCATGTTGGTCAGGCTGGTCTTGAACTGCCAACCTCAGGTGATCCTCCCACCTCAGCACTCCAAAGTGCTGGGATTGCAGGCATGAGCCATTGCGCCGGCCTGACTTCTGGAAACTTTTTTAGAAATAAAAGACTCAGCTAATAGACTACGATATGTTGAGTGCAGTGATAGAAGTTCCCTAAGGAGAGTAAAATCTCAACAAATGTGAGTCCTCTTTTTCTCTGCAATCCTGACCTGTGCTAAAATTGGGGACAAGGCCGGGCAAGGTGGCTCACGCCTCTAATTCCAGCACTTTGGGCGGCCAAGGCGGCTAGATCAACTGAGGTACGGAGTTCAAGACTAGCCTGACCTACATGGTGAAACCCCTTCTCTACTAAAAATACAAAAATTAGCTGGGAATGGTGACACATGCCTGTAATCCCAGCTACTCAGGAGGCTGAGGCAGGAAAATCACTTGAACCTGGGAGGTGGAGGTTGCCATGAGCCGAGATGGTGCCACTGCACTCCAGCCTGGGATATAGAATGAGACTCCTCAAAAATAAAAATAAAAAATTGGGGACAATATCGGGTAGACAAATTTTAGTTTCTAAAGTAGCTGAAGGGTCTTTGTTCAGGTGGTTTCTGCCTTTCAGCTTTGACCTTTATCTGCCTTGTTGCAGCCCATGCATACTCTTCCTCTTCCAATATTCATACATCCACAAATGTCCCTCTCCCTTCAACACATACACCCTTCTTCACCAACACACACACACACACACACACACACCCTTCCTCTTAAAGCTTATTCTCAAGAAAGGTTTAAGTTTGTCCTTTCAGTTCAATAGCCATCTTTCCTCATGGAGTTTGTCAGGTCCCTTCTTTTGTAATTCTCCTACTTGTACTCTCCATCCACTTTATTTCCCTTTTTTTTTGAGACGGAGTCTCACTCTGTCTCCCATGCTGGAGTACGGTGGTGTGATCTTGGCTCACTGCAACCTCCGCCTCCTGGGTTCAGGCCATTCTCCTGCCTCAGCCTCCTAAGTAGCTGGGACTACAGGCACGCACCACCACACCTGGCTAATTTTTTTGTATTTTCAGTAGAGACAGAGTTTCACCGTGTTAGCTAGGATGGTCGCGATCTCTTGACCTCGTGATCTGCCTGCCTCGGCCTCTCAAAGTGCTGGGATTACAGGAGTGAGCCACCGCGCCCGGCTTTATTTCCCTTTTATCTGTTCTTTCATCCCTTAGTCACATTTTATTTTTTTTATTTTTATTTTTATATATTTTTTGAGATAGAGTCTTGCTCTGTCTCCCAGGCTGGAGTGCAATGGTGTGATCTCGGATCACTGCAACCTCCGCCTCCTGGGTTCAAGCAATTCTCCCACCTCAGCCTCCTGAGTAGCTGGGACTACAGGCACCCACCATCATGCTCAGCTAATTTTTATATTTTTGAAGAGATGGAGTTTCACCATGTTGGCCAGGCCAGTCTTGAACTCCTGATCGTAGGTGATCTGCCCACCTGGGCCTCACAAAATGCTGGGATTACACGTATGAACCACCATGCCCGGCCCCTTGCTAACATTTTAATTTTGTTTGTTTATTGTAATTAGAGATGGAGTCTCACGTGTGGCCCAGGCTGGTCTTGAACTCCTAGCCTCAAGCAGTCCTCCCACATTGGTTTCCCAAAGTGTTGGCATTAGAGGCGTGAGCCATGGTGCCCAGCCCCTTGTTTTTTTTTGTTGTTGTTGTTTTTGTTTTTGTTTTTTTATTGAAACAATAAAAAACTCCTCTCCATCTCATCCCACTTGCTCTTGTTGCCCAGGCTGGAGTGCAGTCGCGCGATCCTGGCTCACTGCAACCTCCACCTCCCGGGTTCAAGTGATTCTCCTGCCTCCGCCTCCTGAGTAGCTGGGATTACAGGCATGTGCCACCACGCCCAGTTAATTTTGTATTTTTAGTAGTGACAGGGTTTCTCCATGTTGCTCAGGCTGGTCTTGAACTCCCGACCTCAGGTGATCTGCCCACGTCGGCCTCCCAAAGTGCTGGGATTACAGGCGTGAGCCACCATGCCTGACCGCCCAGCCCCTTGTTATTTAAATCTTTCCTCTTCCACTGGCTCTCATCAGTCCACATGAATGTGCAAAGCTCCCCTCCTGAAAATAGAACACCACATTACATGGGTCTCCCTGTCTGTCACCGTCCTACCTTTTCTCATCATGACACCTTTGCCCTTTTCTCCACCTCTTCTTTTTGGTGTTAACACAGCCAATACTGTAGGACTGCAGTGCTAAAGCCGGGCAGCAAGCTCACTGCATTTGCACTTCTCCATGGGAAATGCCTCTTGTGAATCTTAAACATCATCAAGGAGCTTAGCCACATCTTCTCAGCCCTCATCCTCTCTCCCCATTTTAATCCTTGGCCATCCTTGAAATTCCTTCTGGCCCAGACTTCTTGGTCACTACTCAGTACTCCTCTCTGAGTGCACCTTGCTAGGTTTCTTCACTAGCTCCTCTCCCTCTACCCAATCTTAAACAATATTTTTTTCTAGTTTTCTCTTATTGGTTTCCTTACTTTCTCATCCACACATTCTTAGTGATTTCTCCCACAAACACAATTATGCCATACTTTCTCTCGCAAACTCCACAGCAGCATCGTGAATTGCTTGCTGAAACATAAATGATCATCACCTCCAATAAGCCTCATTTAGTTCTGCAACTTTGGGTTTTGTTTTGTTTTGTTTGTTTTGTTTTTTGAGACAGAGTCTTGCACTGTCACCCAGGCTGGAGTGCAGTGGCACCATCTCGGCTCACTGCAACCTCCACCTCCTGAGTTCAAGAGATTCTCATGTTACAGCCTCCCGAGTAGAGACTGGGTTTCGCCACTTTGGGCAGACTGGTCTCGAACTCCTGTCCTCAAGTGATCCGCCTCAGCCTCCCAAAATGCTGGGATTACAAGCATGAGCCACCACACCTGGCCTGCAACTTTGTACAACTTTCTTTCTTTCTTTTGAGAAGGAATCACACTCTGTCGCCCAGGATGGAGTGCAGTGGCACCACCTCGGCTCACTGCAGCCTGCGCCCCCAGGTTCAAGCTACTCTTGTGCCTCAGCCTCCTGAGTAGCTGAGACTATAGGCGTGTGCCACCAAGCCCAGCTACTTCTTGTATTTTTAGTAGAGATGGGGTTTTGCCATGTTGCCCAGGCTGGTCTTGAACTCCTGGGCTCAAGGGATCCATCCTCCTCAGCCTCCCAAAGTGCTGGGATTACAGGCGTGAGCCACTGCACCTGGCCCTGTTTCTTTCTTGCACTGTCAAACAACACATTCTCTGCAGTTATTATCCTGGGTTGTCTGGTTTGATCATATCACTCACAACTTTCTATTGCATATGCAGAAAAAATTAGAATTCCTCAACCAGGTATCTCATCATCACTGTCTTCCTCTCCATCTCGTCTCACCTGCCAAACTCAAAGCCATTGATTTGACTAGTCTAAATGTAGGCCTGGACGTATTTGACATGGGGACTATTTGAAATGGGGACTATTTGAAATGGGGACTATCTGGCAAAATCTGGGATGGGATGTAAGATGATCGCAATTGCACACTCACTCCTAGCCTGGTTTCTGTTAGTTATATGTCTACCCCCTCAACTCTTTCCAACCTCTTTCTTGTCACTGTTTCCTCTCACAAACTCTAGCACAGAGTTTTGAATTTGGTAGTTACACCACAAAATTTTTAACTTGTCAGAAATTCATTTATGATTATATGCAAATGACTTGTGTTGATTTAAAGCAGTAGTTCCCACACCTTTTGGTCTCAGGACGCTTTGCACTTCTGAAAATGAGGACTATGGAGACCTTTAGTTTATATAATGTATTGGGAGTTAAAAACAGAGATATGGTTACAAATCAAGCATCCACAAATACACATTCCATTTGTCACCAGAGTGATGATGTCATTACATCCTGTAGCCTCTGCACACTCCTGACAAGTGGAGGGTGAAAAGGGCAAATAACATCTTGGTGTAATTGGAAAAATAGTTGTAACCTCTTGACTCCCTGGACCATACTCGTAAAGCCACTGATTTAAATATTATCACTCCTATGGGTGTCTACTCTTTCATTGGGATTAAAGATTGATGCCAAATGAATACATTTTCCAACCTTGAATTTTCAAATCAGTAAGTAAGATCAGGGACATCCAGGGGAACAAAAACCCTTCTCAGTGTCCTGGGATTTCTCTCCCAGTGGCTGTGAGACTGTACTCCTGGAGGTAGGGGGCATCAGTGAGACCAGGGCCAGTTTGAGGACAGCACAGATGTCTCTAGGTAACTGACAAACAGACACAGGTTTCCCTGAGTGTCAGCCTCTGCCCCCTCCCTAACACACACTCACATTCACGTACACAATAAATCACCCTGGAGTGCGATGGAAATTCCAAGAACTTCAGCATTGTCTTAACCTGTGTTCTGGTGCCATCCTGAGCCTTGACCACATTGACTGGCTTTTAAAGTAGGTGCCATTGCATTCATTCTTCTGAGATCAATATCCCTCTGGGTCTCCCCAGCAGCTATGGTCTTTCTGCTTGGCCCCAAGACAATTAAGAGAATTAATGGGGAGACCATGTCCAAATAAAAGACTGGAGTTATTGCTTTAACGTGCAGCAACTCCAGTATTTGCATTAAATTATTATTTGCTTTGTAATATTTGATCAAGCTAGGGTTAGGGACTAGACTGACTTTTATAGAAGAGTGATGCACTCTAACAGTGACTACTATTTATTGAGCTCAAGCCTTAAGTTCTATTCATTTATTAGCTCACTAAACCCTTACAACAAGGGGAGTGGGGAGGGTCAATATTAATTAGAATTTGACTGCAGCCAGAATAAACTAAAGCTCAGGGGGTTTAGTTATTTGCCCGAGTTCACACTGATCTGCTGGCCACTGGTGGAGCCTGTTTCTGTACCAGACCTGTCTGATTTTGCACCTCCTTACCCTTTGCTCTCTTTCTTTTTTTTTTTTTTTTTTGAGACAGAGTCTTGCTCTGTCACCCAGGTGGGAGTGCAGTGGCGTGATCTCGGCTCACTGCAACCTCTACCTCCCAGGTTCAAGCGATTCTCCTGCCTCAGCCTCCTGAGTAGCTGGGACTACAGGTGTACACTACCATGCCCAGCTAATTTTTGTATTTTTAATAGAGATCGGGTTTCACCATGTTGGTGAGGATGGTCTTGATCTCCTGACCTCGTGATCCACTCGCCTCAGCCTCCCGAAGTGCTGGGATTACAGGCGTGAGCCACTGCACCTGGCCCCCTTTGCCATCTTAGTTATTGTTCTCATCCCATATTCCTGTGTCTAACATTTTGGTGTGTGAGTGTGTGTGGAGGACTGATGTGCACATGTGGAGTGGGGAGCATTGGTTTGCTAGAATTTTCTAGAGCTTTTTATTCAAAGTGCGGTACATGAACCACCAGCATTGGTTTCATTAGTCAGCTTGTTAGACATGTAGAATCACAGTCCCCCGAACTGCTGGATCACTGTGTATTTTAACAGGACCCCCAGGTGAACTCTAAGTGTGTTCAAGTTTGAGAAACATGGATCTTGAGCACAGTTGTATCTCTCTGAACTTTTTTGAGAGAATTAAGTGAAGCCATTAGTAGGGTTTCCTGCATAGACACATATTCAACACCTTTAGTAAAAAACAAAAAGCCCGCTTCTTAAAAGAATATGCTTTACTTTGAAAGTTTGCATTTATGCTATCTTGTCTATTTAATGCTATATAATTTCAGACATAATATAGTAACTCTACAAGACCTCCTTCCCTGTATAAAAAGACGCACTATAAGTTTTTGTAGTCATCTTTGAGGTCTGTCTGTAGTGTGCTTTATTAAAAGCGAGCAAATACTGAAGGATCCCATTTAAGTATGTGGTCTGCGGTGGAGTCTAATTTGTACCACTAGGCAAAGGTCACACAGAGGAGCTCGTTAATGCACTTACTCCGGGATGAAATCAATCTCCATACTTCACCATATTGATCTGATAGCTCATTGGCGCTTCCCTCCGTGAACTGGTTAGCTCACGTGTGAATGGAGAGAGATAGATAGCTTTCTGGGCCTGAGAATTCTAGCTGGGGTGCCATCCAGGGCAAAAGGTGGATGTTTTTACATCCTCATTTGGGTGGCCCTTTTGGTTTCTGGTGTTAGGCTCTTGTGCTGGTATATCAGTTAGTCAGAAAAAAAAAAGGTTTTAAAATAAATAAGTTGCTTTTCTACCATGGGTTTATTCTTTTTCTTCTGTAGTTTTTATGAATCATGTGTGCTCAAAAGTATGGATCACATTTATCTGAATACAGGCAGATGACTTGCTTTAAAGTGTAACATTGATATTACTAAAAGACAGGTCTTTTTTTTTTTTTTTTTTTTTTTTTTTTGAGATGGAGTCTCACTCTCTCGCCCAGGCTGGAGTGCAGTGGCACAATCTTGGCTCACTGCAACCTCCGCCTCCCAGGTTCAAGCGATTCTCCTGCCTCAGCCTCCTGAGTAGCTGGGATTACAGGCACATGCCACCACACCCAGCTAATTTTTGTATTTTGTATTTTTAGTACAATTAGACTTGTAGTTTTAGGGATTTCACCATGTTGGTCAGGCTGGTCTTGAACACCTGACCTTGTGATCCACCCATCTCAGCCTCCCAAAGTGCTGGGATTACAGGCATGAGCCACCACACCCGGCCAACATAGGTCATTTCTTAATGAAAAGATAACCTGCTCAGTGCAATCTTCAGGACTCAGGAGTCTCCCCTATGTTCCTTTTTGTCAAAACTCAATGCTATTGATGTATATATGTGGTCATTTAATTGCAGAAACACCAAGGAAGTAGGGCTTGGTGAATCCGGCTCATAAAACACACACATGGGTACTAATTCCTTGAAGAAATGGGCCAAAATAATTCTAGAAATGAGGTAGAAACAAGCCAACAAGCCAAATATTTCCAATTTTTAAAAGATGTATAGATTCCAGATGCAAACTGGATAAAAGCAGACTCAGATCCCTTCTAACTTTGAGACACGGTTTTCCAGAGAAACTATGAATATTGAGAAAACAGCAGCCTCCAAAGCCGCCAAGACTTGATATTTTCATTACGCTTGGTTACAAGCTCGTTGAAAAGTGTTTCCGGTTCATCCTTGAATCTCTTCCAATCTAAGCACAATGCTGTGCACATGAGCAGGTGGCTTTGTAGTCTATAGACTCCTCCTAGACTTCCTTTTCCTAGATTTTAAGTCAAATTTTGCCTCGAGGAAGAGTTTGAAGCTCGAGTCTGAGGCAAGTATCTAGCCCAAACTTTCGCAAAATTGAATTAACCTCATTCTTTGGATGGGTATTTCTAAATTTTTAAAAATTTCTTGGCCGGGCACAGTGGCCCACGCCTGTAATCCCAGCACTTTGGGAGGCTGAGGCGGGCGGATCACGAGGTTAGGAGTTCAAGACCAGCCTGGCCAATATGGTGAAACTCCGTCTCTACTAAAAATACAAAAATAAAAATACAAAAATTTGCTGGTTGTGGTGGCACATGCCTGTAGTCCCAGCTACTCAGGAGGCCGAGGCAGGAGAATCACTTGAACCCGGGAGGCGGAGGTTGCAGTGAACCAAGATCACGCCACTGCACTCCAGCCTGGGCAACAGAGTGAGACGCTGTCTCAAAAAAAAAATTGGTTTTTTTTTTTCTTTTTTTGGAGACAGAGTGTTGATCTGTTGCCCAGGCTGGAGTGCAGTGACGCCATCTCTGTTCACTGCAACCTTTAAGCAAGGGGTTTAAGTGAGTCTCGTGTCTCAGCCTCCAGAATAGCTGGGGTTACAGGCGCGGGCTACCACACCTGCCTGATTTTTGTGTTTTTAGTAGAGATGGAGTTTCACCATGTTGCCCAGGCTGGTCTTGAACTGCTGGACTCAAGCAGTCCATTTTTTGCAACCTCCGAAAGTACTAGGATTACAGATGTGAGCCACCACGCCCAGCCTGGATGGGTATTTCTAAAATACACATCTATTAAATGCCACTTTTTTTTTTTTTTTTTTTTTTTTTTGAGAAGGAGTCTCGCTCTGTCGCCCAGGCTGGAGTGCAGTGGTTCGATCTCGGCTCACTGCAAGCTCTGCCTCCTGGGTTCATGCCATTCTCCTGCCTCAGCCTCCCGAGTAGCTGGGACTACAGGCACCTGCCACCACGCCTGACTTATTTTTTGTATTTTTAGTAGAGACGGGGTTTCGCTGTGCTAGCCAGGATGGTGTCGATCTCCTGACCTTGTGATCTGCCCGCCTCGGCCTCCCAAAGTGCTGGGATTACAGGCGTGAGCCACCGCGCCTGGCCAAATGCCACTTTGAATGTCAAAATATGACTGTTCTTCAGATGAAAAAATAGCCTTTTTAGACACCAGGCACCAAAATAACTTTCAGAAAAAGTAGTGTTCTTCTAGAGTTCTCATAGATAGAAAAGAACATAAAGGAATATGTTAAACATAACAAGAAGACTGGACATATTTGTAAGATTCCAAATCTTAGGATATAATTCTGTCCCCAGCCTTTGTGAAGACAGATGGTCACAATGAGGAAGAGGGTATAGTTTACCCTTCAATCAGGCTCCATCTGACCTCCTTTTTAATAAAAAGAAAAAAAAAAAAAAGATCTCACTGTTTCCCGGGCTGGAGTGCAGTGGTATACTCATAGCTCACTGCATCCTCAAACTCCTATCCTCAAGCAACCCTCCCACATCAGCCTCCTGAGTAGCTGGGACTATAGGCATGTGCCATCATGCCTGGCTGAGCTCTTTTTGAGTAATTGAAATAGCAATGAGATGCCCAGAGTCCTCAGTTTGAACTGCTGTGTTCAGCCTAGTGAGAAATGCATAGGCACTTCAGATAAAGTGGCATGAGACTTCAGGGAACAAATATAGAACAATGCTGCACAAATTCACCTGACCTTGAGCACCTGGCTGGATGTCCATTGGTGAATGTTGTTAGATACTGTCTCCTACGAATGGGTTATGATTACTACTTGGTATCTTCTAAGTAAAAGTCCTTAACCATCACCAAGTAATATATTTTTTTTTTGAGATGGAGTCTCACACTCTCGCCCAGGCTGGAGTGCAGTGGTGCCATCTCAGCTCACTCCAAGCTCCACCTCCTGGGTTCACGCCATCCTCCTGCCTCAGCCTCCCGAGTAGCTGGGACTACAGGCACCCGCCACCATGCCCAGCTAATTTTTTGTATTTTTAGTAGAGACAGGGTTTTACCACGTTAGCCAGGATGGTGTCGATCTCCTGACCTTGTGATCTGCCCGCCTTGGCCTCCCAAAGTGCTGGGATTACAGGTGTGAGCCCCCGCGCCCGGCCAGCAAGTAATATTTTTTAAAAAATTTTTTGGCAGTGAAAAGTCTAATGAGACATAAAGAAATAATAGGAAAAGTACTACTAGATGGGCCTGAAAATGCTTTGGTTCTCTAACTTGTGTGTAATGGCCAACATCATTAAGACAAGGACATGTGACAGACTAATTTTGAAAATTTATTCTCATGTTACTGCATTTTTGTTATTCTAGTTATCAATCTACACCCATACCACAATGCTGCTTTATTTTGTTTGTTTGTTTGTTTGTTTTTGAGGTGGAGTCTGTCACCCAGGCTGGAGTGCACTATCTTAGCTCATGGCAACCTCTGCCTCTGGGGTTCAAGTGATTCTCCTGCCTCAGCCTCCTGAGTAGCCAGGACTACAGGTGTGCGCCACCATGCCTGACTAATTTTTGTATTTTGAATAGAGATGGGGTTTCACCATGTTGGCCAGGCTGGTCTTGAACTCCTGACCTCAGGTGATCTACCTATGTCAGCCTCCCAAAGTGCTGAGATTACAGGCGTGAGCCACTGTGCCTGGCCTGTGCTGCCTTCCTGACACTCAAACACAACAGGGTATGAGTTGTATGATCAGCTATGGAAAACAGACTGTGGTATGTATGTATGACTGATATGTGGTAACAACCCTTCTCTAGGCCTGTATCTGTCTACACAAGCAGAAACTGTTGGTCAGTTCAATTAAAAAATTAACTGATTTAATGAGTTGGCTGAATTACCTTATTGTTTGACATGAGTCAACCAGCCCACTCCAGCAAAACAGCCAACCAACTCAGTCACTCTGTAGAAGCAGCGTGTCATTGAACAACCAAACACACAGTACATCGTGCACAGCATAACGATGCTTCATAAATGATGGACTGCATATATGATGGTGGTCCCAACATATTATAATAATGTATTTTTACTGCCCATTTTCTAGTAACACAAATACTTACCATTATAAGTATTGCAGTGTAGAATAGTAACATGCTGTACAGGTTTGTAGCCCAGGAGCGATAGACTATTCCATATAGCCTAGGTTCATGGTAGGTGCTACCATCTAGGTTTGTGTAGGTTCACTCTCTGCTGTTCACACAAGGATGAAATCACCTAATGATGCATTTCTCAGAACATGTCCCCATCATTAAGCGAAGCATGACCTGCATGCATGAGTAATTATGTGTGTGAGAAGCCATGAGAATACCTCTAGAAACACAATTCTTCTTTCTCTGAAAAATGCTTTCCCTCAAAGAACAGTGCATGCTCATGGAAAATGTAAACGATTTCTTTCTATAAATATCAAACCCATTTTCTCTGTGATTCATATTTCAAATAAAACACACACAAGATCAACACTTAAATTGGGTATTATTTCTTTTTTTAAAATAAACCTTTGTCAGAATATTATTTCTTCTTTTTTTCTTTTTATTGCCACTCCTCCTCTCCAGAATATTATTCCTACTGTGTGAAATCCAAAGGCAATGGGAAGGGATACAGTTCTGTCTCTCTCCCTTCTTACAAGGGAGACAAAAGAACTCCCTTCGTCACTCACCTCTGTTAGAAATGCATTCCTTTAATACAAAGAGTATTTCTCCCATTTTATGATGAGAATAATTGGGAAAAAGAAATTCAATACTTTATCTTTCACTTCTCAGCCACCTTTGGGGAACTTATATTTTGTATATCAGGATGGCTGTGCTATGCATAACTTCTTACAGATCTTGATATGCTATCTTTCATCATTATATTCAGATATAAACCCAATAGTTGTAGAGATTACTAACAGTGAGTAAAGGAAAGGCTATCTAGAAATATGGAAGACATAAAGGGATTGTCTTGGGACTGACCTACAGAGTCCTTGCCTCATGGGGACAGATTCAACAGGGCAATGCTGACGTCTTAGGAAGGGAGTGTGTAGGCGGTGTGTATGTTGGGTGGGAATGGGAAAGGCAGTATAGTATCATAGCCTGCATATTCTTCTCCTTTAATCTAGAATAGGAAGAATATGAAAGTAGAGGTAATAAGAAATATGCCATAAGACACACCCTCTTCAGACAGTGCAAAAGAGCTAGGTGTGGTTTTGCTAAAAATCTAGCTAATGTGATTCTGATTTCAAAATCATTACCTTGCAGCTTGTGTAGAATGTTTTCCCCTGTTTAACTGGCCAGGACAAGGAAACTAAAATATTTGTCAAAACTTGTGCCTTACAATGTTGTAAATGATGTTTCCATGTCCCTCCTTTTGAGATTTAAGCTATCTAGTGGGAGTGGGTGCCCATACTCCACCCTGCCGAGCTGTAAGCAATTGTAAGAGGGGCCACTGACAACTTCACCTCTGAGTCTTCTGGGACTGAGACCCAGAATAAATGCTAGGCCTCAGTTCATCTCCCAAACAGAATCACTTTCTCTTGTTTTTCCCCCAAATCGGAAGGAGTGTCTATCTAGATTTTATGTCCAGATAATTCCAAGGTTCTATCATTTGGTATCTATGGTTTTGTATTTTGTAAACTTCCAAAGGACTTCATTTCCCAAATCACAAATTTCTTTACATTTGAAATAGAGAAATCAAATTATCATTAATGTATTTCTTTGCAGGAAAGAAACTGGGCAATATTATATTTTAAAAAAATAACTTACAGAAAAAAATAGGAAGATTGTTCTTTACTCTTATATGAAAGAGGCATAGTGAAAGAGCACTGGGCTTGGATTCAGAACACCTGGATTCCCATCCTGTTTCTGGCACCTGAGTAGCCTTATATAAACCACAGCCCACCTAGCCTGAGTTTCCTCTTCTATAAAATGATGTAGTTGAACGAAATGTAGCTATCAGATACTTTCAGCATTGATTCAGCAAATATTAATTAAGCACCTGCGGTGAGCCTAGTACCAGGGTGTGATTCAGCATGTAACAGGATGGGGGTGTCCCCAGTCCAGGTAATGAAAGGGTAGACCATTCACAGTGTCAAAGACAGAAAACTAGATAGGACCTATTACTCTTAGCATGCTATGTTTAGGGCACTGGCATAAATATTTCCCACTAAATATTCTACACTATCTAGAAATTTTTAACAAAGCAAAAATTGTTGTTTACCTAGACTTAATCTTTCTGTAGTTTAGGGCCAAACTTCGACTGTTGGAGCTCCATCTTCAATTGCTACTACTTTCTATGAATCCATTTCTGGGAATCTCTGAAGGCATAGACTGACTGTACACTTAGCACTGTGACATTAAGGGGACATTTAAATTGTGTGAAGGGACAAGTCCTCTACTTGTCCCTGGGGAACTGAGCAGAGGAATTCTCCCAGGAGCCTTTGTACCCAGAGAATTCCCATCACTGAACAGTCCTTAGGGACCTCTCCTTTACCTCTGCCCTAATTTCGGTTGTACTTTTGGTGAGTAATATTTAGGCCACTCGAATTCTTTTCTCCTTTCTTTGGCCAACTGCCTGATGGAAGCAGCCAGCCAAAAAGGACCCAAGGACATTTTAGCCTCTATAAGCCTTTTTTTTTTTTTCCTGGCTTTGTAAAGCAACCTATGAAGGAAGAAGTTGCATTAAATGACCTCAAGGGAGCCACGGAGCATGCCCTCTGGAATATCCCTCACCTTCTCCCTTTCTTCTTAATCCTACTATGCCAAGGACCTTCATTGTGCATCTATTTTACAAGCTGGAGGGCAACCAAAATCTTCCTTAATTTATGCCATAATCACTGATATCCAGATGATGGGTCTGCTGCACACCTGGATTTCTTTTATTTTATTTTATTTTTTGAGATGGAATCTTGCTCTGTCGCCCGGGCTGGAGTGCAGTGGCGCTATCTCAGCTCACTGCAACCTCTGCCTCCCAGGTTCAAGTGATTCTCCTGCCTCAGCCTCCCAAATAGCTGGGACTACAGGCACGTGCCACCATGCCCGGCTAATTTTTGTATTTTTAGTAGAGACGGAGTTTCACCGTGTTAGCCAGGATGATCCTGATCTCCTGACCTCGTGATCCACCCACCTCGGCCTCCCAAAGTGCTGAGATTACAGGCATGAGCCACCGCGCCTGGCCACACCTGGAATTCTTTTTTGGCTGATGGCATTGTTGCCTTTAAGGCGGTGTCTGGAAAATGAGAATTACAAACATAACCTCATTATGCTATTAGAAAAATGACCATCATATTCACAACTGCCTTCTTGACATTCCAAGCAACCCAGAGGAAAATATATCAAGCTGAGAAGGATTCTGTTTTTATTACTTGAATATTATCTGCCAGGTTAGACATGTGAGAACATTGCTTTAATTATACATAAGAGATTTCTAAACTGGAGAACAGGAAACAGGTAGTGGTCATAAATGAAACAATACCCAGAAAGAGAAGGCACTGGAAAATATTTCTCATTAATCTACTTTAAAATATTTCTTTTCTAGTTCATGAACATTTTGCATCACCTGAAATATTTTCCTTCGTACTTCATTTAGCATCTTTCATATTTTGCCTTTATTTATTTATTTATTTGGATTTCAGTTTAAGTATTTTTAACAGGATGTCTGCTATGTGGTGTTTTTAATAGGGTGTCTGTTAAGTTTTAGTTCTTTGCCCAAAGTTACCTGGTTAGTGAGAATACCAAGATGGGTGCCCAGGTCTCTGAGCTCCAAAGCTATGCATTTCCTTATAGTGTTTAGCAGCCCTGGCATCTGCTATAATGGAGCCTAAAATATATGCATTCTCTCCATGTCTGTGTTGTCTTGGTTTATCTTTGTAATAAAACAGACCATTAGAAAGTTGTGCTCTAGGACCAAATCGTCTTGGCTCTTCTTAACATTGCCATCAGCGTACACTGAGGGCATTCAAAAGAACACTCTCTGTGAGGCTAAATATTGTATCTACTGTGGGGATATTGTTAGAGCCCTGTTTACATAATCTGGAATTCTCTGTCTTGGAAAAACCCACAAATTTTGCTCAGGAGTCCAGTAGTAGGAGAAGATGTTTTGCAAAAAAGTGCTTTGATTGTTATCTCATGTACAAAAAGAAATCATGTCAGTAATGGGCTCTGGCTACAAGGAACCAAATTGTGGCTCATTTCCAACAACTGAAACAACCCTTATGGAGCTTATTTTGGGGCTGATCCTGATCCTTGGCTTTGACTTATTTTCCTGCCTTTATTTCCCTTTATCCTCATGTCTTCATTTATCCCATTCATCTTATATGTGAGTTTATTCATCTCACATGTAAACTGCTTCCAAATCTTTTCTTAAGGATGTGACATTATCCATATCTATATATGCATACATACAGATATTTACTGTTGAATTATTGATTCCACAGAGTGTAATACTTTGTATGCTTCCTGATGCACTAAGTATTTTGCAGGGCTATGTCTTGTTGGTCCAATTCATTTATAAGTTCCTTGAGGATAACAACTAGGTGTTATATTCATTCAAGTCTTGAGAGTCCCCAGCACTAATATATGTTGTTCGCTTTATTGTTGATTGGAGTATATCCACAATCTGAGAAGATAAATGATTCCTAGGTTAAACATGCCCTTGTACAAATCATCCTTTTTCATACCAGTGTCAAAAAATCAGGGGCTAGGTAGGCTATGAAGTTTGTCAATACACGAATTGCTATGTTCTTTACTTTGCAACTTCATGAAAGAGTCACCCTACTGCACTAGCTGAATCATCATGTTGAGCACAACTCTTAAGGGAAGTATGGGAAAGCTAACCCAGGAGTGGCAGAGACCTCCTTTTCCTCCTCTATCTTAACATGTGTACATGCTTTGACTTTGAAGCAATGGAATGTGATTGATTCCATAAGCCACTTTCAAAAATAGTCCCATTACCTGTTAGTGCTCACCTTAATCAGATCATATAAATTATATGTGGCTATATATGGAAACTTAAGAAACAGAAAAGTCTACCAGGACTGCGGTGACAAAATTCCTGAGTCCCCAGATATGATGAACTTATCATTAGTTTGTAATTAATTGATATTTCAACAAGAAGCTTTTTGAAACGTGGTTAAGAGGAAGAATAAAAGCTGGCCAAACTTTGTCCTTTGGTTTGATAAATTCTGAGAATGTAGCTATAATTCTATGCAAAAGAAGCAGACTAAGTTACATTATATACCCTGGTGATTATATGTTTCTTCACAGTGCTGTTTAACATTTACATACAATACTGTAAACCTCAAAGATGTCACTCACTTATGTAATTACCTCACAGTTATATAAATGAAAAACCTGACATTTAATAAGTGACACTAGCATATCTTTATATAAAGTAGTGTTACATTTAACATCCCTGGGGACTAGGTATATCGTGTATACCATGCGGATGGATGTTCTGGATGAATGAAACTTAACTTTGGAAACATTGCACTTTGAAAGAATTTTTAAAATTTTTGATAAAGACTCTCTAATACAAATCGCACCATTCCATGACTTTTTAAACAGAGGATTTGATAAGCCTGTTCCCAATGACTTGTCATGGTTGTGAATGCTCACTGTTGGACCCTAGGTTACAGAGTGGTTTCTTTAGCGGTTCCTGAAGTCTAGGCCTCTGACTTCCTGTACTGAGTGACTCTGGATTGAGCTGTTCAAGAAGCAGAGGACCAGCCTGTTTTGCTTTCTGTCTACCCCTTCTGCTGACAGCTATCATGTTCATTTCCCAACTGCTGTGCTATTCGTTCACTTTACACCTAAACATGTGAACGTTGGGCAGGACCGAGGAGGCCCTGCTTCCATGGAGATTAAGGATGTCAGCAGAATGACAGCCACTAAACTCCACCCCTACCTCTGCTTTACTTCCAATTTTACTTCCCTTTACTCCCATTCCCAATTTATGAAGTTCCCAAAATCTGGCCCCAAGACAATGAAAGCTTATTTTGTACAATTTAATTTTCAGTCTATATGCACTCAAGTTTTGAACCGCTTACTCTAAGAATTTTGCACAATCCAAATCCATTAATGCAGGTTAACATATTACAAAAGGTTACATGAATATAGGAATGATAGTATGGGATGGAGTTGATCAGGGAAGACTTCCTGAAGGAGGCGCCTTTTAGAATGGTTTCTCAATGCATTGATGGATATTTTAGGTAAGGTATAATGCTATATGCCTTGTTGCTAGGACCATGAACTCTTCAGATATTGGCTCTGCTGCTTATTTGCTGTGTGACATTTGGAAAGTTACTTAACTTTTCTACCTCAGTTTCCTCATTGGTAAAATGAGGATTATAATAAGTTCTGCTTCATTGAGTTGTTGTGAAGATTAAATGAGTTCATGCATGTAAAACTCTTTTTTTTTTTTTTTTTTTGAGTTGGAGTCTCACTCTGTCACCCAGGCTGGAGTGCAATGGAGTGGTCTCGGCTCACTGCAACCTCTGCTTCCCAGGTTCAAGCAATTCTCCTGCCTCAGCCTCCCAAGTAGCTGGGATTACAGGCACATGCCACCACGCTGGGCTAATTTTTTGTATTTTTGGTAGAGAGGGGATTTCACCATGTTGGCCAGGCCGGTCTCAAACTCCTGACCTGATCCACCCGCCTTGGCCTCCCAAAGTGCTGTAATTACGGATGTGAGCCACCGTGCCTGGCCTGCATGTAAAGCTTTTAGGACAGTGCCTGAGAGTACAATGTAAGGGTTTCCCAATAGTGGTAGTAGAAGTAACAAGTCATAAGAAAGATGCCTACAGCAAAGAGGCAATGCTTACCAAAGAACTAGGATGTAATAAGAGCTGAAGTTGACATGGGAAAGGACATTTAAAGAAAAACTTCTCCATCTTTTTCATTATATGGCTCATATTTAAAAAATAATATTTACATGTCACAGCAGTATCAACAAAGCGGGTTGCTCGCAGTCTGAGGCAACTGCCCTCAGTTTCTGGCTGCTGCAGGCCAACCTAGGCTAGAGGAGAAGGAGGCATACGGATAATCTATTCCCAGCATATACTGATTAGGGAGATCTGGTTTAGTGAAGATTTTCGAAGAGAAGTCTAGGGAATTTGGAAGAGGTGATTGTCCAAAGGAACAGTGTGACCAAAACAGATAGTTGTAGTAACTGTATATGATAAAACAGAACAAGAGGGAGAAGTATGGAGATGGTGTAGGTCCAGATTCTGGGGGACTATTGGGCGTGACGTACATGGGAGATGAAATGAATGAAAACTGGGGTTTGGTGGGAATAGAAAAGAGAGAGTCCAGATCTGGCAAAAGGAGGTTAGGGGGAGGTCCTTTGTGCTGCATTGGAGAAACATGGAAAGGGGCCAGCATAGCTCAGTTATCCAAGGAAGTGTTGATAGATAGGACTTTGTATTATGGAACAGCAGCAGCACAATTAGAAAGCACATTGGAATCACCCCCAGTTATCTCTGGGCAGGGAAGAACTTCTGGTTATAAATCTATTGAGTATTGCAACAATTGACTAGGGCGTTTTACTGGCTCTTAGTTCTCTTGTACAGTAGTGTTTTTAGTGCTTGTTTAATCATTGTTAATGTGAAATCATTTTTTCTTGGACTTTGTAGCAGTTTATTATAGAGGTTGCAGATAATCATCAGTGTTCTTTATGAAAACAGTAAAGGATTAATGCAGTTGTGTGTCTGTCCTGCCCAGAGCAGGTTCTCATTAAGATATGGTAAGTTGATTTTGATTTGTTTGGGTTTTAATTTTTCTCTCCCCTCTTCAGAACAAACTTCTATAAATGTCATCATTGTTACAAAAAGAGATGGAAATTCATCTTTAGGGATTTTTTTTTCTTTTTGCCAGAAAGAAAAAAAGAAGGAATAATAGCTGGACTTAATTTGTAATGATTCTGAAGCATCTTCAAAATCATTTTCTTTCCTTTTCTATTTATTTTTTTTGAGACAGAGTCTCACTCCGTCACCCAGGCTGGAGCGCAGTGGCGCGATCTCGGCTCACTGCAACCTCCGCCTTCCGGGTTCAAGCAATTCTCCTGTCTCAGCCTCCCGAGTAGCTGGAATTACAGGCACGTGCCACTATGTCTGGCTAATTTTTGTATTTTTAGTAGAGATGGAATTTCACCATGTTGGCCAGGCTGGTCTCGAATTCCCGACCTCAAGTAGTCTGCCTGCCTCGGCCTCCCAAAATGCTGGCATTACAGGCGTGAACCACCATGCCTGGCCTTTTTTTACTTTTTTGAGACAGGGTTTTGCTCTGTTGCGCAGACTGAGTGCAGTGGCATGGTCATGGCTTACTGCAATCTTTACCTGCTGGGCTCAAGTGATCCTCCAGCCTCAGCCTCCTGAGTAGCTTGAACCATATGCGTGTGCCACCATGCCTGGCTTTTTATTTTATTTTTTTGTAGAGATAGGATCTTACTATGTTGCCCAGGTTGGTCTTGAATTCCTGGATGCAAGTGATCCTCCTATCTCAGCCTCCCAAATTGTTGGGATTACAGGCATGTGGGCCACCTTGCCCAGCCTCATTTTTTTCCCTACATTATACTTTGTTCCAAGAGCATTCTAACAGGAAACACTGAGAGAGAAAAAAAAAGTGATTCTACAAGTTAAAACCTGCTTCAGCACATCCTTCTCTGACCCCCTAGGAAGCCTCCCCAAGAAATGGAATGGTATAAACTACTCCCGTTTTCCTTGTGCATATGGCATTATAATAATGGATTCACACTTCTGTCTCCTCTCATTGGAGTGTGAGTTTCATGAAGGCAGGGATTGTATTTTAATAATCTGTTTTCCCTCAAGTTTCTAACACAAGACCTGACACACCAAAATTAACGATCAGAAATAAGAAATTAGTTCATATCTACTTAAAACTACCAGTCCATATTGTAGAATGTTTTCTTTAAAAATCTCTTTCTTAAAGTTTAATCACTGGCCAGGCTCCGGGGGTCATACCCATAGTCCCAGCACTTTGGAACACCAAGGCAGGAGGATACCTTGAGTCTAGGAGTTCAAAACCAGTCTGGGCAACATAGTGAGAACTCGTCTCTACAAAAAAGAAAAAAAATTAGCCGGCATGGTGGTGAGTTCTGGTGGTCCTAGCTACTCAAGAGGCTGAGATGGGAGAATTGCTTGAGCCCAGGAGGTCAAGGATCTATGACGTCAATTTTAAAAAGCCTCTGCAATAAGGAAAGTAAAATAACAGCTCACTTGCTGGACTATTAAAAGGGAAATGGGAGGGGGCCGCAAAAAGGTTTTGATAGGCTAAATGTGGGCTTGACAAAGATCTACACATTTTTCTTCTAATTGTTGGCCAGATTCACTCTTCTTTTTTTTTTTGAGACAGAGTCTTGCTGTGTGGCCCAGGCTGGAGGGCAGTGGTGCCATCTCGGCTCATTGCAACCTCTGCCTCCTGGGTTCCAGTGATTCTCCTGCCTCAGCCTCCTAAATAGCTGGGATTACAGGCACCCGCCACCATGCCCACCTAATTTTTTGTATTTTTAGTAGAGACGGGGTTTCACTATGTTGGCCAGGCTGGTCTCGAACTCCTGACCTTGTGATCTGCCTGCCTTGGCCTCCCAAAGTGCTGGGATTACAGGCGTGAGCCACCATGCCCGGCCTAGATTCACTCTTCTTATGAAAAAGTACAAGTTTCTAATGATTAACTTTCTGGGTTATGGGAAGTTGTGCTTCATAACAATATGGGACTTGTATTCCTTTACACTCTCATCTATAATATCAATATAAATAGTTTCTCTGATAAGTAACTAGGTTTCTGAGATAAGCCCTTCCTTTTATTGTAGCTGATAACACACGATTATATGAGGTGGTATTGCTAACCACTAGTGAGAGGTTTTGCTATATAATGTGGAACTTAAACTTCTTTGGTCTTCTTCCCAGAACTGCCTAGATGCCACTCTAAATTGTTTATTGACAGCATTAATACCTGGAGAATTTGCTTAAAAGAAGTAGATTATTTTTCTCCCCTTCCTTTTTCTACCCACACCCCCATAACTCTGTTTTTCTTAAAAAACAAAAAATCTTCAAAATTGTCAACATTGCTCAATTGTTGAGAACAAGGGAACAAGCCAGGCATCACATTTACCCTATTTTTTTTATTCATAGAGCTGCGTAAAAACTATGTTATCCAAAGCACCATGAAGCTGCACACTCACCAATTTCAAGATAATATAAAATACCACATAATCAATTATGGAAAATAATGAAATGGAATGTTGGCATAGAAAACCTCCTCGGAGAGTATTAAAACAAGGAATCAATTGCTCGAGTGGCGGGGGCGGCGTTGGGTGTTAAAATTAACAATCAGTCAAGTCTTTACCAAGGGCCAGCTGTGGGTGCAGACCTGCAGGGCACGTGTGAGAAGGGTCAGATGCAAGTTGCTGAGGTAGTCACTGCCCTGTAAAGATTGTCATTAATTCTACAAACAAACAATGAAAGAGTTGTTTGCTTATGTTGTGGGCTAGATGCACAAGATACACAGAAAACTGCAGAAGTGAAAGTAATTCAGTCATTTGTTCCTTCATTTAGCAAGCATTTATTAAGTGGCTTTTTTTTTTTTTGCCAGGCACCAGGGAAGACACTTGGGAGCTGTAGCTTCAGAATCCGTCCCTGCCCTCAGGGAAGGCAGAACAATAAGCAAACAATCATAATACTTTGCGAAAGCAGGGAGATTATAGGAGATGCCGTGTTAGACACAAAGGAAGACAGGATAATGTGAACAGCACAGAATACAAAACAAAAATGAAGTACTAATTACAGAAAACAGACAGGCTCAATTTCACCTATTCCTGCAATTTTTAGAGAAGCAGAGGAACAGAGGATATGCAGATTTTGAAGTGTGTCCTCAGCATCCTAAAAGAAAAGAAATCTAGGAAAAGTCAGACTGTTTTTTGCTTGTTTTGAGACAGAGTCTTGTTCTGTCACCCAGGCTGAAGTGCAGTGACACGATCTCGGCTCACTGCAACCTCTGCCCTCTGGGTTCAAGCAATTCTCCTGTCTCAGCCTCCCGAGTAGCTGGGATTACAGGCGCCTGCCACCAGACCTGGCTAGTTTTTTAAGAGACGGGGTTTCACCATGTTGGCCAGACTGGTCTTGAATTCCTGGCCTCAAGGGATCCGCCAGCCTCGGCCTCCCAAAGTGCTGGGATTACAGGCATAAGACATGGCACCCGGCCTCAGATTGTTGTCTTACAATTTTAGTATGGCTTAATTGTGGCAAGGTCTTGTTACCGTAACTATTTCTGTCAAGTTATATATGAAGGACAGGAACCATCAAATGCAAATGAAGAGGAAGACCCCTTGATGAGATGGCTCTAGAAGACATACGTGTGTGTGTGTGTGTGTGTGTGTGTGTGTGTGTCAGGGTCTTGCTCTGTCACCCAGCCTGGAATGCAGTGGCACAGTCATGTCTTACTTCAGCCTCAACCTCCTGGGTTCAAGCAGTCCTCCCACCTCAGCCTCCGGAGTAGCAGGTGTGTGCCACCACACTTAGCTAATTTTTACATTTTTTTGTAATCTCCCTATGTTGCCCAGTCTGGTCTTGAACTCCTGCACTCAAGTGATCCTCCCACCTCGGCCTCCCAAAGTGTTGGGATTATGGCTGTGAGCCACCACACCTGGCTGACATACTTCTCTTAATTTTCACCCACCTTTTCTCCTTCTGTTCATGGCCAGAAGATAGTCTCAGTTCTTCCATTTTTCCACCTGCAAAATGGGAATAATAAATTTTCTTGTATAAATAGGTTCTTAAGCTGGAATCCTTTTTAGGTGTCCATAAATAGACTTTGGGGATTCTACAGTCCCCCACCCACTTAGAAATTTGATGCAACATTAACATGTATGGTAATTGTTTCTGGGGAGCCAATTTCAAAGTAAAGTATTTTGGGCTTCCCTGAAATAAGTGCTAAATAAACAACTAATACTTCACATCACAGAACAACATAACAAAACCAAATTACCATCATAGACTAATAAATCTGAAATAAGATGCTGATAGTGTATGAGAATATAATAAAACCCAGAGAGAGCAAAGTACACCTGGCTTTGAAATCACTCCTTAGCACCTGAGAGGATCAGTTCCTGGAATCTGCTGTGTATGCAATGACATGCATATTGCTAGGACGTTAGGCCACAGCTCCTTGGGTCAGCTGTGGGCAGGGAACATTTGGGCAGATCTGCATAAGCTGCTGCCCACCACCTGGATTGTAAAACCACATGCCATTCTGGAGACTTTCCTTCAAAGAAAAATGTGAACTCTCACTGTCCACTAAACCACTAAATACTGTTTGGGTGAACATTCTCCCGCACCAGAATCATTTTCAAAAAGGCAGTGACTGCGTTTATCTTGTCCACCCTTATATGCTAGGGCCTGGCACTTATAACCACCAAAGAATTGGCTCTCAACAATAGCTATTTACTTAATGAATGTAACTGTTTTGGTCAGAACATACTGGTTTGAAACATTTCTGATGGAGATGTGCTGGGGGATGCCTTTTCCTGATCACAGAGCTTGATTATAGCTTCAATTTCTGTAAGTAATTTCTTTTTCTCTTCTAAACAGCACTTACATGATCCTCCAGTTGGGAGCCTTCTGTTAGTTGTTATTTCTGCATTTGTGTGTTGCTTTACACTTCACAAAGGGCTTTCCCATCCATTATCTCATTGCATCTTCACAAGACTTGCCCCATATATTTTTAGCCGAGAAAATATAAGGCTGGAGAATTAAGTAGCTTGGCCAAGCTCTCATAGCTAGAAAGTGTGGAACTGTGCCTCAAATCCTTGTTTTTGCTCTGTGTTTGGTGGTTTCTTGAGCTCACTGTGTCCTGAAATTGTGGAAATAAAGTTAGCCAGAAACTCTTATCACTACTAATATATCAGTGACAGCTATTCAGAGTCTTATGGAATGGCCACATAAAAATGAATTTGATAAAGTGAATTAAATGTATTTGTTTTATAAAATTATAGAGCCTCTTGATATAATTTGGAGACAGCCTAGATTGTGAGAGGGAGAATGAGAATTCTTATTTTGAGATGGAATCTTGCTCTGTCACCCAGGCTGGAGTGCAGTGGCATGATCTCTGCTCACTGCAATCTCTGCCTCCCGGATTCAAGTGATTCTCCTGCCTCAGCCTCCCAAGTAGCTGGGATTACAGGTGTGCACAACGATGCCCAGCTAATTTTTGTATTTTTAGTAGAGACAGGGTTTCACCATGTTGGCCAGGATGGTCTCAAACTCCTGACCTCAGGTCATCTGCCCGCCTCAGCCTCCCAAAGTGCTAGGATTACAGGCATGAGCCATTGTGCCTAGCCAATAAGTCTTTAGACATACCCCTGAACCTCTCTGACACCCCTGTTTTCTCATCTGAAAAAATGGATACCAGTTCTGCTAACTTCAAAGGCATGTTTTGCATGTCAAATCTAAAATACACAAAACTCTTAAAAATATTACACAACATATAAATGGCAGTTGCTTTTTCAATAATGTATAGTGTATGTCTAAATATGGCCATTGCATTTGGGTACACCAAGGTTTTTGTCCGGTAAACATCACAAAACAAAAAGTAAACTGATACAAATAGCTATAGAAATGGATAAATATGCTGTCCATATTTAAATACGAGGACTGGACATGAGACAGATGTGCATTTGTCATTGAAGAATGCAGTTCCCTGGCGGGGAAGGTGGAACGTGCATAAGATCCCCATTATAATGTAGCACTTTTCATTGTAATCCTCATAGCAACCTTGTCAGGAAGATACTTACTGTTCTTGGGCCCGTTTTTCAGATCAGAAAACTGAAGTTTAGAGAGTTTGTGGCAAAATTGTCCAAATTATAAAAGAAATTCCAGTTAGCACCGACATCATGCTTGGTGAGTGTTCTCTTCAGTCCAGCACAATCGGACTTTCAGTTAACACTGGTTACAAAACGGGCTGTGTGTCTTTGTCTCCAAAAGTCCTATGGGCTGTAATGCTAATTTTCTTTTATATGAATTCTTTTGGCTTGGCAGTTTGCTAATATCTGTGTACTATTTCAGCTTCACTTTAATGTACTGTATTCACTTTTAGATACATAAGCATAGGCAATCTGGGGTCATTCTAATGGAGCCTACTCAGGACAACCTGAGGCACCTGGACCTAACTCTAATAGCTCTATTAATGTTAGGTAGACCAGTTTAATGGAGTGCATTCTCCTAGCAGTTCATTGATTATAAATACTTAGCTTAAGTACCTACGTGTGTCCTAAAAAAACTATTTGTCCGAATGAAAATCCTGATTTTCAGGAGCAGTGATATGAATTCTGGGCACCTGTGCTTCAGTGACCATGGGTGGAGACTTTCTTGTTTATATGTAGTCCTCTTATGTTGAAAATTACACAAAAACAAAAAAGTAGTGAATAACAGTGTCATTTTTTGTTTTTTTTGTTTGTTTGTTTCTATTTCTTTTGCAGGTTGATGACCAAATGAAGCTGCTTCAGAACTGCTGGAGTGAGCTCTTAATCCTCGACCACATTTACCGACAAGTGGTACATGGAAAGGAAGGATCCATCTTCCTGGTTACTGGGCAACAAGTGAGTGTAGAGACCAAAAAAAAAAAAAAAGCATCTTTTTATTAAGCATGTTCAGAATGGCCGGAATTTAACTAGGTCAGAAGCACTCTTGTGCTTTGAAAGGGAGAGATTGGCTGCCAATAATTTAGAAAAGATGACTTGGTGCACTCTGTTCCTGCTCTGATTATTATAGTTAAACTTGTAAAAGCAAACATAATCATGAACATTCTGCTGCTTCCAGTCTGCTGGGACTGAAAGTCCTGCTTACAAGGGTCCGAAGAACTGGTAAATGAAACGTAATGATTAGTACCCAGGTTTTCTTTTTCCTCGAGCTTCTGCTTTAACCCAAGACACTTGTTTGTCAGCTGTTTTAAAACCTTATAACTTGTGGAGTCCTTACTATTTTGGAAAAATATTGGTGAACGAGATGGATTTGGATGTCATGAATAATTGAAATAGTTGGTATAAAGGCAAATGAGAAGGGAGGGGAATTTCAGTTTTCAAGATCCAGTCATTCAAATGAAAGATAGAGAGAATAAAATTACTGTTAGGTCCTACACCTTTCTGAACAGATGTTTGTTCGATCAACAAAAATTTATTGAGCATCCTACTCTGTGCTAGTTACTTTTTGGGGGCTTTGGTGTATATTAGTGAACAAAATAAAAAGGTTCCTGCCCCTGCGGAACTTAATGTTGTAGCAGGGAGAAGCTGACATTAAACAATAATCCTAAGAAACAAGCCTGTAATATGTTAAAGGTCAAAGTGCTACTGAATAAAAGAAAAAAAAAAAAAGGAAAGAACCAATGAAAAGAAAATCAACACTCATCCACAGACATGTGTTGCAGTGTGACCCATAAGTTGCACTGTGAAATAGGAATGGTTGGTTTGGCTTTATTGGAAATGTAACATTTGAGCAAAGTCTTAAAGGAGGAGAGACAGCTTTGTGAATGTCTTTGGAGAGAGTCTACTTAATAGACCTAACTGCAACTTTACAGGAATTTAGGCAAGTCTCTCCAGTTTCTTAACCCTCCGTTCTACAACTGATGTGCTATTTAAATAAATGTGTGGGACACAGTGATTCCTTCAATCCTTTGGGTCATACCTATTCAGGGTCCCACTGCATTGTTCAGCAATGGTGACTTCAGTACTCGGCACCATGATCTTTTATGTTCAGCCATAAATGTTTATGTGCTGTGAAACCACAGCAATGCTATTTGGAAATGAAGGGCTGTCTCCACATCATTTGCTGTATTATTAATAAATCAAAATTTCCCAATCAAATTAAAAGCAAGCACTATTTCAGAGTTTTTGCAAATTGGGTCAATTCAAGCATCTCCATCACTATCTGGTCCTTGCTATCTGCACCTCTCAGGAGAAAAGCGTTGCAGAGGAGAAAATAAAGTCTCAATGGGTTTGACTTCCTGTGCTTTCAAATTTTTTTTGGCATTTTCATTCTGGGACCCAAGTCTTTGGAGAAAATGTACCCATTTTCAGAGTCTAATCATTGGGTGTGCCTCCCACCTTCACCGAACTAGGAGCTGCATTGGAAGTACAAGACTGGGCCCACTAATTAATTTGATTTCATTTCCTTCTGAGTTTCAGAAATGAAATGGGTTTGTGCCGTTCTTTTTCTCAAAGCACTTCCATTCCTGCTCTTTAGAAATATTTCTTATTTCACATTTCATTTTGCCTTAAGTGCTGCCCGTGGGTGAGGGTAATTACTATTTAAAAAATAGAGAAAAGTGCATTTCTTGCTGTCTGATTTTCAAAACCAAGAACAATCAAGGAATGGATGGTATTATAGTTTTTTGGATCAATTACTGGTGCTTTGTGTTTTGTCATCAGAACTGAATGAGGAACTCCATGGTGGAGAAATAGTTATTTCCTTATATGTTTCCTGCAGCCTGGATTCTTCCAGCTCCCCTCCCCACTCTTTAAATATGTTTCCTGCAGCCTGGATTCTTCCAGCTCCCCTCCCCACCCTTTAAAGTGTGCCACAGGTCTGTCAGAACCCCTCCCTTCACTTTTTTCATCCAGTCCAGTGGCTACCCTAGTAATGATTAATTGTAATCAGACATTCTCATTTATGGCAATTATGGTAGACATGTTTATTTTCTTTTGCGGAATATCTAGACAAAACGTTTTGAATTTATCTCTGTGCTTCTTGCGTTTCATAGGATGGAAGCAAAAGTGCTGCAAAGGAAGACTTCAAAAGCCTGTAACCTCTCTATCAGAATGAGACAGATATCTTAAAGCAGGGTCATATACATGTACTTCTTTTATATCCTCACAGTACCTAGCACAAAGCTGAATATGTTGGGCACATGATACATATTACCTGATTGAACTAAATGAGAACTATTGTATCTCTCCTGGTTGCTTGATTAAAACAAATTAAGTATAATTTTTTTGAGAATTATAAATACTTCCCTGAGTGTAAAAATGGGAAAATTAGATTTTTGCTACAACAACATTACTTTGTGTACACAAATTTTAAGAAGGTAGTTAAAACAATGATGAGTGGAAGGAAAGGAATATATTAAGTATAAGAGTAAAGCAATATGCTAGAGGAAAAGAGGATTTATAAAAAAGAAAAGAGGCCGGGCACAGTGGCTCACGCCTGTAATCCCAGCGCTTTGGGAGGCTGAGGCGGGTGGGTCACTTGAGGTCAGGGGTTCGAGACCAGCCTGGCGAACATGGTGAAGCCCCATCTCCACTAAAAATACAAAAAAATTAGCCTGGCATGGTGGCATGCGTCTGTGGTCCCAGCTACTTGAGAGGCTGAGGCAGGAGAATCGCTTGAACCCGGGAGGCAGAGGCTACAGTGAGCCAAGATCGTGCCACTGCACTCCAGCCTTGGCAACAGAGCAAGACGCCATCTCAAAAAAAATAATAGAAAAGAGGTGGAAGCTAGAAGATATATATATATATATACACACACACACATACACACAAATATATCTACATATATACATATATATACACATATATATACACACACATATATATGATATGAAAGTTGAAGGAGGCAGAAAAAAAAGAAAAAAAGAACTGCTTCCTGTTATGTTTATAATCCAATAACAATTGAGCTGTGGTTAGAGTATATTTTCTTCACTAGTGCAGACCATGTGCTCTCTGGTGTGTGTGTGTAAAATTCACACATACAGGTGTAATTTAGAATTGGAACAACCTGTTTTCGTGTCTCCATTCCAAAACTTCCTGGCTGTGTCATATTTAGCAAGTCGCTTTACCTTTTGAGGTTCAGTGTCCTCACCTGTCCAGTGGCAACTATGATGTTATCTACCAGAGAGAATTGCAGTAGGAATTACAGGAAGTATTCTGTGAAATGCTGACACAAAAATTAGAAGTCATCAAAACTAGGCCAGCGCAAGGGTGACATTTATGGAGTCAACAACCCCACGAAGAAAGGACTATTATCCCTCTTTGGCAGATGAGGAACCAAGGCAAAGAAAGATGAAGTGGTTGATTCAAGGTCAAGACCCATCTAGTAAGTGGCAGAACAGATGGTCAGATCGAGGCCAACTAGTGCTAGAGTTTGTGTTCTTTACCAACATGCCATACCGTTTATCTGATTAACTCACAGATGCTGCAGAGCTTGCCTTCACGCCGGCATTTAATATGGTCTTCATGTGTAATTCCAGTGCATGACAGACTCTATGGAAATTCCAAGCAAAACAAATTCATTTCCTTTTTTATTGAGACTAAATGGATATGCTTTTTTTGTGGTTTAGTTAGTTAGTAGTTTGTTTTTGGGGGAATTTTCTATATGGCATTGTAAGCACATTGTTACAGTAGATTTAAGTTATTCACAAGCAATTTTAATGTGATTGTTGCTTAGTGTTATGAAATTATTTTAATATTAAGAAAAAACTAAAACTATGAAAAAATCACTCATAATGCCACCACTTGAATCAACTTTTTGTTGAATTCTCTTCCAATCTTTGGGGGAAAACATGTATCTTAAAAGAGGATTTTTCTCATTTTTCTAAATAAAATAACTCGCCTGCCCCAGAGACATATTGACCTGCTATCATGGATTTGTGTGGAATGTGAACTTTCAAACACTGCTAGAAGTGTGTTTCCATGAAGCACTGTATTGAGGCCATGTTGTTGATATCATGGGAAAAAGTAAATGGTATTACCCCAATACAGCATGCAAAATTCCCCTAAAGGCAGCTTGGTACTCACTTGTAGGAGATAAATACATTTTTTAATTTAGTTAAAACAAATGCTTCTGATGGCCTGATAAATGAAGGGAAATCAAAGATGTAAGGGGAAAAACATTAGACACAGCTCTGCAGCCAATAGTGATAAGAGGCATAATTCATCCACCTAATTAATGACTGCCCTTTGCATAGTGCTTTTCACTGTGTACTTTCACAGGTAAGCCCCATTACACAGGGTCAGAGAAAGTGCGGGGAAATTTCAGAGGAGGAAGTGCAAGGAGAATAAGATGGGTGTTCTAAGCTGTCCAGATGATTCAGCTTCTATAAGGAAGTGCCTTACCCCTAAAGTGAGGATATTTGATTGTACTCTCCTTTGTAAGTTGAGGAAAACACCATTGCTTAAAATCCTTCTAGGTCAGAGGAACAGTGACAGGCAATTACTAGATGAAACTTTAACTAAACTCGCCACCTTTTTCAGCCTCAGCCAGAAGAAATACAATTCACTCATTATAGATTTCCAGGTTTACTTACAGTATTTTCTCAACTGCCCTGTTGAGAAAATGATTACTTCTGAAACAAATGAAAATGTTTATACTGAGTATTTTGAGATTGGCAAATAGGAATATTAAATATGCCTCAGTCCACAATATCAGGAATGAAGTCCCAACACAAAGGGAACACCAGACAGTGATTTTGTTTCACCTTGAAAGCATGTATGTCATGTCTACACATTGCTTTATAGTGACCCTTTGGACAGACAGAGGAATGCAAGACCCCAGGTGTTCCGTAGCCCAATCTTCTGGCTTTTTCTTACTAAACACAGCTCACTGTAAATAATGTGGTGAATTTGTCATAGCAGAGAAAAAAGAAAAAGACTAGCCTGGATTTTAAAAAATGAGTGACTATCCAGGAAATTGCTCCTTGGAGCTTGAAAAGAGAAGAAATATAAAATAGCACAGCCTTTCTCTTAAGCCCAGTGGCTCACAAGTTTGCTTAATAAATGTTTGCAGAATTGAACTATGTCTGTTCATAGTTCATTCAGAACTAGAGAAACCAAAATAGCCCCACTGCAAAGAGCAGCCCAGGACACCAGTACATTGTATATTGAAATGAGGATTCAGTGTTTCACTTAACCCTGTAAGTTAGCTATTATGTTTTAATTGCGTCTTTGAATCAGGCATCTACATAAATGTATATTAAATAGCCTTGTTAAGCAAAAAGGAAATTATGATTATCAGTAATATTAAGCACTTCAAATGTTCTATATAGTCGCAACTTAGTTATGAAAAGAATTATTTCCTATCCAATATTTTAAAAACTACACACGCACATATGCACACATATATCTATGTATGTATAAAATAATAATGTACTTTGAAGTGGGGTCAGGTTTTAGTATTTGCATATTGTTGCTAATTAACAGCCACTGTAACATCATCCTAAGGGAAAGGTCTACTGGCAACTTATTATCTTCTATTATTGTGTATCATATTAAAATGACAGGCATCTTATAATATACAAGTCATCAAAATTTCAGTGATTAGAATTAAAAGCAATTTAGGTAAAACTGTTTTCTACTTTTTCATGATGAGTGAAATTTATCTAAAGGGGACATCAGTTTAGAGTATTGCTTCAATATCTCCCTTGAATTTAATGACACAAAGATTACATGTAAGAGAGCAAAAAATTAATTTTACTAAGTACATAAAAGACAAGGCCAACTGCTCCTGAAATGAGCACAAACTCTGCATTCAACAATGAAAATATAATTATGTTTGTAATAAAATGTAAGGAAGTTGGAGATCTGAATGTTGTTTCAAGAATAAATCACCTATCCTTCTTTAGAGCTGTGCAATTTGATAAATATCCTTGAAAGAAATGTTTTCTAAGCCCCCATTTAATAAGCATGTTTGAGCTTTCAAATTAGCATGTAAATAAATGTATAGTTATAAATTTGTTGGTAAACCAATTGATTTTTTGAGGTCCATCTCACTAAAGGTCTCTCACTAAATATATAATCCTATGAAACAGATTCCTTTCCGTTATAGTGTACTACATTTTCACATATGAAATTCTTGTATTTGAACTTATTATTATACACCTGTTAGAACTATACACAACAATATTTAATTAACTCCATCTTAATAATGGAAAATTAATACCAACATATTTGTGTTTCATTTTAGTATGGTCTTCCTGATTCAGGCCTTAACTAGTGATTTTTTTTTCTTTTCTTTTTTTTTTGAGAGAAGTCTTGCTCTTGTCCCCCAGGCTGGAGTGCAATGGCGCAATCTCGGCTCACTGCAACCTCCGCCTCCTGGGTTCAAACGATTCTCCAGCCTCAGCCTCCCAAGTAGCTGGGATTACAGGCACTTGCCACCACGCCTGGCTAATTTTTGTACTTTTAGTAGAGATGGGGTTTCACCATGTTGGCCAGGCTGGTCTCGAACTCCCGACCTCAGGTGATCCACCCGTCTCGGCCTCCCAAAGTGCTGGGATTAGAGGCATGAGCCGCCGCACCTCGCCTTTTTCTTTTTTTTTTTTTTTTTGAGACAGTCTCACTCTGTTGCCCAGGTTGGAGTGCAGTGGTGCAATCTCAGTTCACCGCAACATCTGCCTCCTGGGTTCAAGCGATTCTCCTGCCTCAGCCTCCTGAGTAGCTGGGATTACAGGCATGTACCACCACGCCCAGCTAATTTCTGTATTTTTAGCACAGATGGGGTTTCACCATGTTGGCCAGGCTGGTCTTGAAGTCCCGACCTCAGGTGATCCACCCACCTCGGCCTCCCAAAGCACTGGGATTACAGGAGTGAGCCACCGCACCTGGATCTTAACTAGTGGTATTTACTACAATATACTTTGTATATATTAAGCTACAGCTACAGCGCATTCCGTTGATTCCAAGCTTAAATTGTTAATCTTGTCCCATCTATGATTCTTGATAATCATAGAAGTGAGAGGTACCTTATTATCATCACCTAACTTAACTGCCTTACTTAAAGATAAGGACACCAAGGGATGGAGATTTATACGTACTTGTCCAAGGCTCTTCGTTTGTAAGAGGCAGCATTGGCTCGGGTCTCTTACCTAGTCTCTGGCTTTTGCCACCACTGTTGTACCATCAGGCCTTCCTGCTCTCATTCACTCATCTATCCCATTAGTCTCAGTAAAATTTGTATTATTATTATCTGAAGTAGTTGACTATGTGCAGTTTTTAAAGAATTTATAGCATAGGCACCTTTTTAAAGTAAGGACTTTCCTTGAAGTAGAAAGTTCCCCTGTAAGAGAACTGGCAAAATGATAGTTGAGACGTCACTTTGTGTGCTCTGCAAATAATCCCAATGTGCCCCACAGAGTTCAACAGTGTGTCCTGCCTCCTTCCAGCTCAGGGTTCAGGTTGCCCAGGTACTGACCCTTCTTTCACACATTCTGAAACAGAAACCACAGGAGTTCTTACAACACTTGATGTTTAAATTTAGTGCGTAGATGCCAGCACCTGGCTAAAGCAGGTAGACAGTGCTGTACATGATGCAAGAGCTTTCCTCTAACACACATTAACTGTGGCTTTTTCATGCATAGTTGACTCTATATAAACTGATTGACACCTTTGGGGGTCATCTTTCCTCTGACTCATAATTTTTCTCACTCTTGAAAAAGGTTTCTGTACACCCAGTATTCTCTAGTTAAAGCTGAAAATTCAACTCATCATATTTACACAATAAAAAAAATCCATTCTGCCTTGTTTTTAATTGCAAATTCTACTCAAGGGACTAGTTCTCCTGCTTAGGAGGCAGCCCTGTGCCTTCTCCTAGAGAAGCAAGTGCAGTCAATTATGGTAATGAAATGTCAATAAATATAAAAATTTAATACAGTCTGCTCTGGGTGAGTGGCAGATGAGGACTTGCCTCCCAGACAAATTTGCTGCTGCTGCAAATATTAAATGCACCTAAAAGAGTATCTGGTTGCCTGAGAGCTCTCCAGTAAAAAAAGGATGGGAGCGTCAGGTACCAACTGGGCTTTCCCATTATGCTGTAATCGCAGCAGCAAAGCCAGTGCTATCACTGACAGCCATCCCAACATCTTAACTTGTTATAAATTGAACTTCTTATGTCCCCATGAATAATCTAAGATTGGTGCCTAGCAACACTTTTTTTTTTGAGACGGAGTCTGGCTTCTTCCCCCAGGCTGGAGTGCAATGGCACGATCTTGGCTCACTGCAACCTCCGCCTCCCAGGTTCAAGCAATTCTCCTGCCTCAGCCTCCCCAGTAGCTGGGATTACAGGCACATGCCACCACGCCCAGCCAATTTTTGTATTTTTAGTAGAGATGGGGTTTGGCCTTGAACTCCTGGCCTCAAGCGATCCGCCCACCTCGGCCTCCCAAAGTGCTGGGATTACAGGCATGAGCCACCGTGCCCGGCCAGCACTTTTTTTTTTTTAATGAAAAGGGAAATAAGCCTTTTCTTTTTTTGCTTCCAGACAACGGAATTATTCTCCTAAATAAAGTTATTGCTGTCTTTAGAGAGAAACACATTAATCTGATGTAATCTAATGTAATCATCTGAGAATAGCAGTTTTATGTCATGCTTTTTAGGAAACAGAAAACTAAAGAATAATTTATTTGTATTTATTTTAAATTTTTAAATTAACACTTCTGCTGTTCTATAAAGAATAATTTAAATGTGATTCTTTCATCATCCACAAACATCCAATCTTGAACTATGATTACTTTAAAATGTAGTCTCATAATACAAGTAGAAATATATCTGCCTTTATTTTCCTCATGCACTAGTTAATATTGTATATACATAGAACACTCTCCTGGATTCACTTTTCATGGACAGTATGTTTTTCTTTCACCTTATTCATGAGAGTTAAAATTTTTTATCTTATGTGATGATGTAATTTCATAATATAAAAAAGGCATATATACTTGAAAAATTTAGGTAGCCAAAACCTCTTTCCTACAAAGCTTATCAAAAGTGATTATATTTATCAGACATAGTAATTCTGATGCATTTTAGAATCATGGAATGTGCCTCAAACTACTTGCATGGGGAAAATCCCTTCTGTTATCAATCTGTATTGTGGCCAGGCATGGTGGCTTGGGCCTGCAATCCCAGCACTTTGGGAGGCCAAGGCCAGAGGATCACTTCAGCTCAGGAGTTCAAGACCAGTCTGGTCAAATAGTGAGACCCCACATCTCTATTCTATTTTAAAAACCTGTATTGCAATCTGATTTTACCCATAGTTCTTACGACTCAGGTGAAATACATATTGCTGATTCTGATAGTCCTTAAAACTGTGATTCTGTATTGCAGGTGGACTATTCCATAATAGCATCACAAGCCGGAGCCACCCTCAACAACCTCATGAGTCATGCACAGGAGTTAGTGGCAAAACTTCGTTCTCTCCAGTTTGATCAACGAGAGTTCGTATGTCTGAAATTCTTGGTGCTCTTTAGTTTAGGTAAGAAATCCTTTTCTCATGCTGTGCTCAACCAACGATTGCTAAATGATGTTGAAGTTCAAATATCTTGTGGTCCATGTATGTTTTTGTTCTATCAATATAATGCCCTTCCTGTCAAATTATGAAATCTTCAAACGTGAATATATTTTCATATATATTTCTGCATGATGCATAGCCCTTCAGTGGATACGTTGGGGAATGGAAAATGAGTTATTCAATTGACTCATTCAAATGAGTCCTGGTTTTTCTTCCATAATATACAGATAAGCAATAACCAAATAAAGCTATGACAAAGGTTTAAAACAGACAGCTTAGGAAAGATGTATGGTATCAAATTTTAGCCATCTTTCTCCCATTGGTAATTTCTATGTGCCTTTCGTTTCAACTTGCTATTTACTTCTGTTTTTATTCTTCTAAAATATGAATCGTAATTAAAAACCTGTATTTAAATCTCTATCGGGATTAACTAGAGAATGTTTATAACCAGATGCACCACTATGCAAGTACAAAAGATGACAGTTGTCAAGGGGAAAGGATGATTCTTTAGGAAAGCTTTGGAAAAGAAAGATAACTAAGCAAGACAGATTAGCTAAATCAAGGTTCTCAGTGAGTCAGTTGAGAAAAATCACCACAGCTTGGAATAAAAAAAGGATTAAGGAGATGGATTTTTATTGACTTCAAAGGAACAGATTTTCCTGTCTGTCCCTTACTTGATTTCTGTATTTTGTTGGCTTAATAAAGCCAACTTAAATAAACTTTTTGCCAAGTCCATTTATTACTTATTGGCAGACAGCTGAGGGAGGCAACTTCCCTTGAATGAAAAAAATGCAGAAATCAGATTCACCAACATATGTTTTTTCTTTAGTCTTCAGTTATAAGATAGTTGTGAATTCATATTCTAGGGAATAAAACAATAAAACAAACTGCAAAGTAAAACAGATGTGTCTACTCTCCAAATTTGGTACTTTATTTTTAAAATTCTTCTTGACAGGACTGCACAACTGTTGCTAATAAAGGGGTAGTTTGAAGTAATAGAACCAGAGTTAATTTTTCATGTATAGTCAACATTTAAAATAAAAAGAGCATTTTCATATTTTGGAAAATGTGATAAATACAGCAAAAAGAAATGTTACTGAAAATTTAAATGGACAACAGAATTTCATGGATGTAACGTTCAAAGGTTTACAATGCCAAGACTGGATCCTGTGTGGTTTCTGTATTAACCACAATAAAAAGGAAAGTTCTGTTCAAGTAAGTCTGCATCTTTTACCCGAGAACAGTGTTTAGAATGTTAAAAAGGAAGATAGCAAGCATACGCCTGCTTGCTGTAATCGCACAAATTATTCTGGTTTATGTTAAGATCTTAGTCTTTTAAACTAGTGCATTTGATCACTAATTAAATGGAAAATGTGGTAATATATGTATAAGAAACTGTATAGCATCTTAGTGATAAAATATTTACAGGGTCATCTCATTTCAATGGTATTTTAAATTAGTTGAAGAAATGTATTACATTTGAAGATGTACATATTAACCATGAGCCATCTTTAGTTTTCAGCACTTTTAACTTTCCTTCATCATCTTCCAAAATTATTATATTCTCTGCTAATACTATAAGGAGGGGGTTGGGCTAGATCTGAGATGCTTTCAACTTTTGAACCTCAAAAATTATCTTCCTGAACAACTGGGCCATGTATTTACCAGAACTTTAGTCATACACTCTGATGTTTAATGAGCACTTCGATTGTTTCAGGAGCCCAGTACACCAGTGAATAGCTGGCCTAAATGTCCATTAAATCCATGTCTATTTGTTGCTTAAGGAAGAAAGGAAAGCATGGCTTTCAGATCAGAGGCAAATAGAATTCTGGCCGAGAGTCTATTTTTTTAGAGAAGCAGGAGAAAAGTAACCAGTAGTAAAATTCAAGTAGTTTCTAATTTGTGAGTGGAAAAACTTTTTACTCTGTAGAAACAGTGGCTAATCAATTTTTTGAATTTCACCTTTATTGAGGTATATAGATAATTAACTTTAGGTGCCTCAGCTAGCCCCAAATGCTGGTTTTACCTGTGATTAAGGGTGAAATCATACCAGAGTCACTCTTGAAAGTTAAGGCCAAGTCCTAAGCTGGTACCTGCTGTCCCAGATGCTCCTCCTGAGCCTCGAGTCCCCTGAGTCTGAAGCCTGCTATATTTTTGTCTCAGCCCAGCCTTGAGACTCTTTGGTCCTGGAGAAAAATGAAGATTCTGTGGACTAGTCAGAGGCCAGGGTCTATTCTGAGAGATGACTGCAGCAGTATTCTCCTGTGAGAGATGAAACAGTGTTTTCCAGATAGATTTGGTGAGAGAAGGTGGGATGTGGTCCCAAGCGGGTGCAGCGTTCCAAGCTAGAAGCACTACCAGTGTGAAAGCTTAAAGGCAAGAGAGAGCAAAATGAGTTTGGGGAACTGTTAGTTGATGGATACGGCTTGAGGGAAGCAGCAGATGTGGCTGGAGACATAGACAGGAGCCTGGACATGGACATGAAAGCCACAGATGCATTCAACACATACTCATTGAGTGCTTACTATGTGTCCAGCACTGAAGAAGGCACTGGGGCTATAGTGGCAAGAAGAAGTAAGTGCCATGGCTTTCATTCTCTAGACAATTAGGAAGTATAGCAGTGTTCTTAAGGCGACGGGGATGCGGTGAATAACTTAAGTCGATTTGCCTTTCTGGTAGCAGCATGGAAAGTGGACTGGACCAAGAACAGTGCTAGAAACCCTGTTTTCAGAAGTTTTATTTTTATTTTACTTATTTAATTTTTTTTTTTTTTTGCTTTTATTCCTGGCATGCTGTGATTTATTTTTAGAGGTGGTTTTTTTTTTTTGAAACGGAGTTTCACTCTTGGTGCCCAGGCGGGAGTGCAATGGCATGATCTCAGCTCACCACAACCTCCGCCTCCTGGGTTCAAGTGATTCTCCTGCCTCAGCCTCCTGAGTAGCTGGGATTACAGGTGCCTGCCACCACACCTGGCTAATTTTTTTGTATTTTTAGTAGAGACGGGGTTTCTCCATGTTAGCCAGGCTGGTCTCGAACTCCTGACCTCAGGTGATCCACCTGCCTTGGCCTCTCAAAGTGCTGGGATTACAGGTGTGAGCCACCACGCCTGGCCTAGAGGTGGTTTTAATACTCCATGTGGTTGGACTGAGATGAAGGATACAAACCAGTTATAGGTTTCAAGCCACAAGATGTGGCAGAGTTGAGAGGGAAAAGTCTAGGGTGTGTTTGGGGCTTCTGGATGTCTAGCTGGAATAGAAACATCTACAGGAACAGTAACTGATCAGTTGATTCAAAGCGGGTCCCAATAGCAGTCATCACTTTCTAATCTAAAAGTCATTCTTCACTAAAGTTTGTTACTGCTGACACAAAAAGCTCATGACAGGACTCAAAAGAAAAGTACAGTGGACTCAAGTCCTTCTAGTTTGCTCTCTGACGTTTCCCCCCTCAGATTGTATCCATGAGCAGACATCAGTTGGGTAAGCTGGTCAAGAAAGGAAATAAGTAAAAAATGCCCTCTCAGCACATTTCTCTGTGTATAACATCATAGATTCTGTAGGCCCAATCTCTGTTAGTTGTTAGTTTTAATGTTTTCTTTACATTTCTAGCACAATGCTTGGTACATAGTAGGGACTTACAAAATGTTTACTGATAAAAATAAATAAATGGGCCAGGTATGGTGGCTCACACCTGTAATCTCACCACTTTGGAGGCCAAGGTGAGAGAACTGATTGAGCCCCACGGGTTTGAGACCAGCCTGGGCAACATAGGGAGACCCCATCTCTACAAAATAATTAGCCAGGTGTGGTGGCAGACACCTGTGGTTTCAGCTACTTGGGAGGATGAGGTGGGAGGATCAGCCAAGATCGTACTACTTCACTCCAGCCTGGGCAACGGATTAAGATCCTGTCTTAGAAAATTAAAAAATAAAAATAAACAAATAGTTTGAAACTTAAAGCGAAGCCTTTACCGAAGCAACTCGTGATAGGTAATAGGAGGTGGTTTAGCTAAAAGCCGTATTCAAATACAGGTTATTTTTCAGAGACCACTTTTTCCAAAGAACTCTCTAATAAATAACTCCTCAAAATTAAATTATTTCTGTTATCAGTTTGCATTCTCCCAGTTTATGAGAGGAGATGTTTATTCATAAGCTCTTTGGGAAAGCTAACGTGAAGAAAAATTAGAAAGAATATTACTGACTAAAACCAGGTGGCAAATGCATTTCTGTTCCAAGCAAATGCAAGATGATAGGCTTTCAGCCCATGTTAAGTAATAGTAGTTAAGACAATGTTGTACAATTCTTTCTTGGCATTGATACAATCCTGTTTCCAGCAAAATGAATGGAGAAAATGTTATATTTGTTCATCATGATAGCTCTTTGCTTCATACTAAACTTCCAAATTTTGAATGTGACATTTGATTATACACATCCCAGGTAAGTTTTGTCCTCATGGAGACAAACACCCCAGGGAAGATGGGTTATGGTTGCCTCAGGGAATGACTCAACTGGCCCAGACAGAAAAGCTACTGCATGCTAAATGTCCTCACCAGCCTGTCACCTGATCCTCATCTGCAGAGAAGCAACGGGCATAATTCAAGAACAAAACTGATTGAAGAGTTGCTTGTTTCATCCACAGGTTCAGTTCAGGCATTCTGTAGTGTCTAGTCATGATTTCTTTATCTTAAAATAATTAAGAACATTATCTTAAATTATAAAAGGTCATCTAAGCAAGTACTATAATGTCTCAGAATAAACAGTATTGTTTATTAATAAAAAATGTGACTTGAACACAAGTTGAAAGGGATTTTCAAAATGGATGGGTAAGACCTTCAGGGCTTGAAAGAACTTTATTTTATTATTTATTCTTCTTAATTTTAGAGACAGGGTCCTGCTCTGTTGCCCAGGCTGGAGTGTAGTGGCATGATCATAACTTTCTGCAGCTTCTAACTCCTAGGCTCAAATGATCCTCTCGCCTCAGCCTCCTGAGTAGCTGGGGCTACAGGTCACACTCATTGCCTGGCTAATTTTTTAATTTTTTTATAGAGACAGGGTCTCACTATGTTGCCCAGGCTGGTCTCAAACTCCTGGCCTCAAGCAATCCTCCCTCCTTGGCCTCTCCAAGTGCTGGGATTGCAGCCATGAGTCACAACATCTGGCCCTCCCTTGAAAGACCTTTAAAATCATAATTTGGAAGGAAAAAAACAGTATTTCTAAGGCAGAGCAGAACATTTTTCTCTTTGTTGTGGCTACTTTAAACTGTATAAGTCTGACCCCAAACAAAGTTGGGGGCAGGGCTCTATGGTTGTTCTGGTTTTCTCTTTTTATTCTTTTATTTTTTCTGTGCTAAGTGAAATGTTCTTGTTTTCTTAGTGAAGCAAAGTTCTTTTATCTGTCAAATTAATAAACTGTAAGGTTCATGAACACAGTGTATGTTTTACTCCTCATGTACTGCCTGGCATATAGGCTTTTAATAAATATTGCTTTCATGAATGAAAGAATGCCTTTCCTCCCAACTTCTAGATTAAAAAGAAAAAAATAATGGGAATTGAAAATAATTAGCTAAAAAAAATGCAAGCACAAAATTTGAAGAAAGAGAGACTAGAAAACAGATTCTATGGATAACTATTAGAGGATTTGGCATCTTCTTTTCCCCTTTAGAAAGTAGGGAGATAAGTCTTCACATTATGAAGGGGATTTTTTTTTTTTTTTTTAATTTTTAGTACAGACGAGGTCTCACTATGTTGCCCAGGCTGAACTCCTCAAGTGATTTGCCTGCCTCAGCCTCCCAAAGTGCTGGGATTATAGGCATGAGCCACTCTGCCTGGCCTATGAAGGGGATTAGTATAAGTAATGTAGAGACTAAACTGAGTCCCTCCTCTTTGCAAATAAAATAATAAATGAAATTAATTACTGATGATCAGCATTTAGGTTCTATTTGAAGTTGTAACACTAACAGTGTCAAACACCAAAATGAGCCATAGAAGGAAGTGGTGGTGATGCTTTTCTTCAGTAATGTTAATAATAAAATGTCCTCAGGTGAATAAATCACTTAGTTTCTCTCTTACAGAATGAAGAGACCTAAGAGAACATTCTCCTCCAGTTTTGTAATTAAAAAAACAAAACTAGATGATTTATCCAACATTTTAGGTTCAGATCCAGGTCTAGAACTAATAACCCCAAATGACAGTCAGTACTTTTTCTGATTCAGCCTACTTTCCTCTTCGGAGACATTGGATCTCATCAATGAGCATATTAAAAATACTGTGTAAAGAAGACCTTTGAAGACACAGGTTTGAACTGTGTGGGTCCACTTCTGCTCAAAATTTTTTTTTCAATAAATACAGTCAGCCCTCTGTAGCTGCAGGTTCTGTGTACAAATGCAAGTCCAAAATACAGTATCCAAAAGGCCGGGTACAGTGGCTCATGCCTGTAATCCTAGCACTTTGGGAGGCCAAGGCGGGTGGATCACCTGAGGTCAAGAGTTTGAAACCAGCCTGGTCAACATGGTGAAACCTCGTCTCTACTAAAAATACAAAAATTACCCAGGTGTGGTGGTGGGCACCTGTAATCCCAGCTATTTTGGAGGCTGAGGCAGGAGAATCACTTCAACCCAGGGGGCGGAGGTTGCAGTGAGCTGAGATTGTGCCATTGCACTCCAGCCTGGGCTTCAGAGAAAGACTCTGTCTCAAAAAAAAAAAAAAAAAAAAAAAAAAAAAAAAAATATATATATATATATATATATGGTATCCATCAGATGCAAAATCCACATATACAGAGGGCTGACTTTTCAGATCTGAAGGTTTCACAGGGTAGATGGCAGGACTTGAGTATTTGCAGATTTGAGTATAGGCAGGGGTCCTGGAACTGATCCCCCTTGTATACCAAGGGAGGACTGTACTTACTAAGACACTATTTATTTATTTATTTATTAAGGCAAAATGATATAAGAAATTAGGACAGTCATCTGAAGAATGTGGACAAAAATAAAAGCAATATCTATTGGTAGAAGCAGAGAAATACTTCACCTGAATTTCCAATTTTTATTGAATATGCTAAGTAATTATATAGCTCTTAATTCACTCAGTTTCTAAATACCGTCATCCCTCAGTATATGCAGGGAATCAGTTCCAGCACCCCTGTTTATACCAAAATCTGCACACACTCAAGTCCCGCAGTCGGCCCTGCAGAACCCGAGCATACAAAACATTGGTCCTCCATACAGGCAGGTTTCGTATCTGTGAATACTGTGTTCTTATCTGTGTTTGGCTGAGAAAAGTCTGCATAAGATGTGGACTCACGCAGTTCAAACCTGTGTTGTGCAAGGGTCAACTGGATATTGTCAGTTTTGTTTTTCTCTATGTGAACTCTGGGTTTCAGAGCTCCAGCAAGCTCCCAGAATGCATTTGCCTCACAGCTTTGGTACCTCTTTCTTAAAGACTTCCTCCTTGTAGCTGATTGTCACCTCTTAGGTATGACGTTTTCTTTGGACCATTCACTAGACATTAGGAAAGCCAAATGATCATAGCTTTCGTTATATATATGTCTATTTTAGGATGTATTTTAACTGCTTGTGATGGTAAAAGGAAAAATAATAACAAAACAAATAGTCATTCTTTTCCCCTCTGACAGTCACTGGCATTAAAAATCCTAAAGTAGCCAATTGCATCTCTAAGATTTAGGTGGACGAGCTCCCTGGGGCAGGGCAGGGTGGAGTGGGGGTGGTGGGCAGGCAGAGAGGAGTGTAGTAAGTTTGTACATTCTGTTTTCAAGTACAGCCGTCCGCTTTCCTGAAGGGTTCAATCATAACTCGGCTCTTGCAATATGACACTGACATTGTTAATAGTAAATAAAATGTTTACTAGCTGAAAGATTTGGATAAAAGTCTTTTAGATAGGGAAATTTATTTGCAGTGGTTAGTTTTCCAATAGTCTTTAGTTTCTGCTATAGGAATGTTTTTCTTATTTGAATTTTGTCCATTATTTCTTCTGCTTTGACATTTAAAGAAATATCTAATGCTTCTTTTCCCTTTACTTAAGTGTGTGCCATTTGTCCTCTGGCATTCAATATCAGAACCTGGCAGAGGTTTGCTGTCAAAGCTCCCTATAGAGTGGTTGGTAAGGCAACATGCAAATAGGGAGACTGGCCCCATACCCCAGGCCCAGTCAGGACCTCTGCCCAGAGCTTATAACTCCAGCACAAGCCATCATATATGGGAACTCTGTCTCATCACTTTTGAGACTCTCTCTCTCTCTGAATATATACACACACATACATACACACACACACTTCATTTGAAAATGAAGGCTTTATAAACAAGCCAAGAACTGCAGAGCAACTACTGATCTCACATCTCACTTAAGAGACAACAGAGATTTGTAGGAATAGCAAACATTCAGCCATTAAGTGAGGCATACAAAAGGCTGCTGTGTTAACATAGCCCAGAAAACCACGGCACTTCAATCAGAACGTCTTTCTCCTTGTCTGTTTTTCTTTAAAAGAGGACCCTTCCTTTTTGTCCGATAGGAAGTACTATTCTGAATCTACCAGCAAGGCTGGCATGTGCTCTCTTATAAAAGGAAAAGACTTCACCATGCATAGCCTCTTCACCCTAACTGCTCAGTTGTTTGCTACCCCTGGCAAGGATGTTCTAATTGTGCAGTGGAGGGTGTGAACTCGTTGCTTTAACTGCAGTTCCATTAGCTAATCGGAGTCCTGATGTCAGTGTGACATTGTGGTGTAAATCATGAAGGGGTTTTTCTGCCACTTCCTGTGGAGAGAAAACAGTTTTGCAGGATCACCTGATGATTGGCCATTGTGGGGTTGTCTTCTTGAAAAAGAAAAGTTGTTCTGACCTGGGCTGTGCTCAGGATGCCTACATTTTGCCTTTGCTAAGCGATGAACCCCCCAGAAAGGAAGTGTATGGGGGGCACTGTTGGAGTCTGAGTGCTCCCTTCCCTCAGCACTTCTGGAGAAGCCTGGAAATACTGTAGACACAGTTTTGGAGAAGAGAATTCAAAGGGCTTACAAAAGGAGAGTACTTTTTTGTCCACTTCTCTAGAAGAGGCACAGCAACTTGTTGAGTTTGTGTTGTGTTGTGTTGTTTTTCTGCCACCAAATTAGGTGTTCCTATTGTGTGGGAGGTGAAAAAGAGAGCACAAATCTATTAATAAGTAAAGCAACTGAAACAAAGGGAAAAATGAATCCCCATTTTGCTTTTTTGCAACATTACATCCAGTTAATAAAAGAGGCTTACAAATCCAACAGAGATCTGCTTGCAGGAACTAACTAGGAAGAAGAAGAAGAAGAAGAAGAAGAAGAAGAAGAAGAAGAAGAAAAAAAAAATCCAACAGAGAAATTTGATCACTGATTTAAATTGTGTTTGCAGTGCCTAAAGCAAGATGAACGATTCATTCACTGTAAGTCAGAAGGTGACAGTACCAGGTGTACCATTTGCTATATGGCAAATCTACAGCTGCTCTAGAAAGTGAAATAGCAGTGCCTGTTCTTATCCCTTAGTTGACTACCTCATCACTGGAAGTGCTGTAAGAGCTTCAGAAGGGTGGAAAACTAGTAAAAAATGTCCAATTGTGCATCAAAATTTATGCTTATTAATTCTGAAATAAGCATTATAGTCTAAACATCATAAAATTCTTTTTGCTTGGTAGCTGCATAAAAGTTGGTTTTGAAACAGCAAAACCTGATTTTCCTATTATGTGGCAATTCTCCTTCCTGAAGCTGGTCACAATATTTGCTTTATTGCTGGCTTCCTCTAAATATGATTACATACTCACCCACACACACACTGCCACTGGCTGGACTGCAAAGCCTAGTGAAGCAGAACATTTACCTCACATCTTTACCCAAGAGCATTGGTTAAATTGTTCTTCATGAAGTCAGATAAGCAAAAGAAATATCCCAGGGTTCTTCGTACAATTAGCATTCATTCTCAGTGTTTACCTTTTCATATGTAATATTCTAATTTAGAAAAACACTCACTAGACACTTGTCAAATAACTGCACATATCTTCATACTAATGCCTTGCTGATATATATGCACCTGAGGGTAATGCTGGCAAATAAGCATTTCCTAAAATTTATGTAATCATTTGAAATTCAGAAAGGATTGATTAGCATTCAAGAGATGCCACTGTTCAATATTTACACCATAGAGATTTGGCAGAAGCAAATAATGGCATATAAAGTTGATGCTTGTCTTAATTAAATGCAGTATAATAGGTGTTGTGGATTTTTTTTTTCTTCCAGTGAGCAAAGCAGTTTAGCAATGACCAGATGTAATTCATTTTGGAGTTCTAAGTTTGAACTTAATCAATATGAACTTACAGCCATGGAAGAAGTGATTATCATTTGTTATTTGCTGGCACAAGAATATAATTGCCTAAATAGCATTTATTTAAGCATATTTCTGAATACCTTATGCCTAAAAATATTTGTCATATTTTAGCTGTTAATGCTTATCTTGTCATTTTGCTAACTACTGCTATTTAGTGAGATGATTTTTCAGAGACATATTGGCCAGGCAAGCTAGGAATAACCAGCAAGAAAAATCAAGTGAGAATGCCATGTGCTCTTGGTTGATGTTTCTCGCTGCTTTAGCTGTGTCAACCACTCTGTTCAAATCTCAGAATAGAGTGGCTGTCTTAGTACCAGCTCAGAAGAGCGTAGTTGGTTAACGTGGTTAGCCCAGATGCTGCACTCTAGTGGACTCTGGACACCCCAGGGCCTCAGGTCTGTTCTACAATGGACCAAATCAGTGACTCACATCTGAGTCTTGCATTAGATCTTCTTTCTAGTTTACTGATAAAAATCTGATAAGTCTTATCTTGAGTTGTGGCTGTGTTTGGTTAAGAAGGTTAAATTTCAAACAGACCAATCCAAAGCCAGGAGAGAAGAACAAATAGAAGTACAAGGCCTCTCATCAGTATTGAAACATTAAATCACACAAAATATATTGAGTGGCCACTATGCAGAACCATTGTACTAGGCAAGCTATGAAATGACAACATAGAGTCTTTTTTTTGTTTGAGATGGAGTCTCTCTCTCTCCAGCTGGAGTGCAGTGGTGCAATTTTGGCTCACTGCAACCTCCGCCTCCTGGGTTTGAGTGATTCTCCTGCCTCAGCCGCCTGAGTAGTTAGGATTACAAGTGCCTGCTACCACCCCCGGCTAATTTTTGTATTTTTAGTAGAGACGGGATTTCACCATGTTGGCCAGGCTGGTCTCAAACTCCTGACCTCAAGTGATCTGCCCACCTTGGCCTCCCAAAGTGCTGGGATTACAGGTGTGAGCCAATGTGCCCGGCAAGAACTGGCAATATATAGTCTTTCCAAAGAGAAGGAAACTCCTGTGATACAGAGCTGCATTTTGGATCCCCAGGACACTGTTCTGAATAAGGCGTGGTACACCAAGCGAAGAGTCCAAAACATGCCATGCCATCAGCAATGCTGCATGCATCTCTTGTCTTTCTTTCTGTTCCTTGTTTTCACTGAACTAATGCACGTTCCACACACATGCTATTCTCCTTGATTACATTTTATTAATCAGAAAGCCTTTGTCAACCCCCATGTTACATAAATCTCACAGCAATCAGAGGCTTCATGCCTCTTCAGTTTCCCAACTCCTCTGAAAGGAGATGATTTTTCAGAGACATATTGGCCAGGCAAACTAGGAATAACCAGCAAGAAAAATCAAGTAAGAATGCCATGTGCTCTTGGTTGATGTTTCTTGCTGCTTTAGCTGTGTCAACCACTCTGTTCAACTCCTCTGAAAGGAGTTGGGAAACTGCATGGGATCACCTCCAGGAGCCTTAGCAAGGGGCACTGTCCCTAACACCCACATCCCAAGTTACCCAGATTTTGGACAGCACCAATGTGGCCTCAGCCCTGGAGGAACTGAGTCCCAGAACATCAGCATGGAAGAGAACCTATGCTGTTGCTGAATACAAACACGTCTTATTTCTGAGTAAGAAAATTTAAGCTAATGGAGGTTAAGTGACTTGTACACAGTCATGTAGAGTCAGGATTTGAACTGAAATTTTTGAACTCCACACGCAGGAAAAGAGCACAGATATGGATTTCTATATTACAGAAATAGTGCTTTTGCATTTGTTTCAAAATTAGACTTACTATTTCTTGGCCATCCTTTTCAACTAAATCTAAAATTTTCATTGTGAAGTGTAAAAGTGATTTCCCAGAAACGTGGGGAATGTACATTGCCTTTTGCTGCCTTAGGACTCAGCTGTGCATGCTGCATGCTGGGTACCCTGAACTTTGGAGGGCAGAATCTCTCCTACAGTCACTCACACTTTGACTCTCTCCACTTTACTCTGGGTACATGGAGCTCTGTGCCATCCATAAAGGTCAGTGTGTCCTGAGTGGCCATGCTGGACTCAAATTGGGCAATTCTGCCTAATCCCTCAGCAGGAATGATCATATTCATTTTGTCCTATCTTGGTTATACAGTCAAGCGTTATATAATGATGTTTTGGTCACTGATGGACTATATATATATATATATATATACACACACATATATATATATACACATATATACACACATATATATATACACATATATATACACATATATATATATACACATATATACACACACACACACACGTATATATGTACATATATACATTATATATATATGGTCATATATATGATAGAAGACTATAATGGAGGTGAAAAATTCCTATTGCCTAGTATTTACCCTACTATATACTTTGAAGTTATTTTAGAGCATATTCTTTATACCTATGTATATAAAAGAAAACTTACTATAAAGTAGCCTCAGGCAGGTCCCTCTGGGGGTATCCAGAAGAAGGTATTGTTATAGGAGATGACAGCTCTATGTGTGTTATTGCCCCTGAAGACCTTCCAATGGGACAAGATATGGAGGTGGAAGACAGTGATATTGATGATCCTGACCTTGTATAGGCTTAGAGGCTAATGTGTGTGTTTGTGTCTTCATCTTTAACAAAAAAAGTTTAAAAAGTAGATAAATAAATTTAAAAATAGAAAAAAGCTTATCGAATAAGCATATAAAGAAAATTTTCATACAGCTGTACAATGTATTTGTGTTTTAAGCTGTGTTATTACAAAGAGTCAAAAAGCTTAAAGAAATTGAAAAGTTTATAAAGTAACAAAGGTATAGTAAGCTATGGTTAATTTATTACTGAAGAAAGAAAAATATTTTTTATAAATTTAATGTAGCCTATGTGTACACTGTTTATAAAGTCTGCAGTAGTCTACAGGAATGTCCTGTACCTTCCCACTCACTCACCACTCACTCACTGACTCACCCAGAGCAACTTCCAGTCCTGCAGTCTCCACCTATGATAAGTGCTCCATACAGGTGTGCTATTTTTTATCTCATAGACTGTATTTTTACTATACCTTGTTTTCTATGATTAGATGCACAAATATTCACTGTGTTACAACTGCCTTCGATATTCAGTACAGTGACACGCTGTATAGGTTTGTAGCCTAGGAGCAATAGGCTTTACCACATATCCCGGGTGTGTAGTAAGTTTGTGTAAGTACACTCTATGATGATCGCGCAACGAAATCACCTATCAGTGCACTTCTCAGAATGTATCCTTGTCATTAAGCAACACATGACTGTGTATATAAGAATTGATAGCACACCTGAAATAATCCTTTCTCTGTACCATTTATCCCAAGAGAAAGTAATTATTATAGTAGTGTTAATACTGCTAACATCTATGTAGGAATTTTTAAGTGCAGATTTATTTAATTTTTAATTTTTAAAATTGTGATAAAATCTACATGAGATTTACCATTTTAACAATTTTTAAGTATGCAGTTTAGTGGCATTAAGTCCACACACATTGCAACTGTTACCACCATTTGTCTCTAGAACTTCCTGTCTTCCAAAATTAAAACTGTGCTTATGAAACAGTAAATTCCCAATTCACCCACTGCTCAGCCCCTGCAGCCGTCATTCTGTTTTCTGTGGAGAACATTTTATTTACAAAGTACCCTATTCTTATAACATTATCCTTTACACATAACACAACATTGAAAGTTTAGTGATTTTATAATACAAAATGTGACTGGACTCAGCATGGCTAACGTGCTCATGACCACACAGCTAGGCATCTGAGAGAGCCCATGCTCCAAGCCAGGGCCACTGATTCCAGATCTGCTGTCGTCACTCACAGGCAAGGAAGTCTTTTGACTTGGGGCCTGAAATAATAAAGCATGAGGCCAGGTGCAGCGGCTCACGCCTGTAATCCCAGCACTTTGGGAGGCCGAGGCAGGTGGATCACCTGAGGTCGCGAGTTCGAGACCAGCCTAGCCAACATGGTGAAACCCCGTCTCTACTAAAAATACAAAAATTAGCCGGGTGTGGTGGCATGTGCCTGTAATCCCAACTACCCGGGAGGCTGAGACAGGAGAATCGCTTGAACCTGGGAGGTGGAGGTTGCGGCAAGCCAAGATTGCGCCCCTGCTCTCCAGCCTGGGCAACAGAGCAAAACTTCATCTCCAAAAAAAAAAAAAGAAGAAGAAGAAGAAGAAGAATGCATGAATGAGGAAAAAGAGAGGCGTTCATGACAAGTTTCTTACTATTGAGGTGATATGGCCTAATGGTGATGACTGCAAACTTGAATTCAGATTCTTGTTCTATTGTATCCTTAGGAACGTGTATCACCTCACTTTTTTCCATCTGTAAACTTGAAATAATAATGATCTACCTGAAGCATGATTGTGATGGTTACATGCAATAATTATTAGGAAGAACTTACCATAATGGCTGGCACATAGTATTAATAAGTGATTATTACTCAAAACATCTGTGAAAGTCATAGAAATGAAGGCTGCTTATCGGGAAATGCCTCTTCTCAGATACAATCTTTGGTTTACAGATTCTGTGAAAAAGATCTTTCTCACGTCAGCAATAACTGATACATTAATTCAGTACCAAGCCATAGTTTGAAATCTTTGATCTACTAACCAAAGGCATCATTATTATCCTTGATGTTTTGGAATATGTCAGAGTAAGCAGACTCAAGCCGCTTCACTTTAATTCATCTATCATAAATCCCAAAATCAAGCCAAGGTCTAATAATAAACAATTAGGCCTCTTCCTAGGTTGGTGCAGGCCCTAGATGATGAGAAAGTGGAATGGCTAGGCTCACACCTGCCCTCTGGGAATGCCTATGCTAGGAAGCTCTTCACTTTTTTCTTTCTTTTTTTTTTTTGGAGATGGAATCTCACTCTGTCACCCAGGCTGGAGTGCAGTGGTGCAATCTCTGCTCACCGCAACCTCCGCTTCCTGGGTTCGGGCGATTTGAACACACACAAGAAAGAGCACAGATAAGGATTTCACTTAACATCATGCCTGGAATAAAGTTCATATTAAAAAACAATACTCAGTATGTTCGATTATAATAGCTACATCTTATTGTCCTGTATGAGCAGAGTACATTATACCTGTTGTTTCTAATCTTCATAAGCAAGCCTTCGATGAAAGTATCATTTGCCATTCCTGTTTTACTGTCTTTCCCTAAGATCAGAGAAGTCAAACAACTATACAAAATTGCTGAGCTAGTAAGTAATAGAACTGGGATTTGCACACTTTAGTCATCAAAGTCTAGGTTTTCTCCACTATTCACTGCTACTTTTCTGGTTCATTGATTAAGTATGTAGATCAGAAGGCACTATACCAGTGCTTGTCATTTATGATGAAGCTAACCCATTCTAAATCTGATCCTTCTAGATCCTACTTGAAAGTACAAGGGCTGAGTAACAATCCTGCCTTCTTAAATGCTTAATAATTCCCCCTCATCAACATGCCATGGTTTCAGTCAGAGCTGCTTTCTATTGATCGGTTTCAAGAAGTATCACAGCTTTTATCACCACGGTCAGAAGCACTGCTGAAATTATAGGGTATTTAATCCCTTATGCTGGCCTACTTACTCTAAGCAGATTTTCTTTTCTTTATCTTTTTTTTGAGACAGAGCCTCACTCTGTTACCCAGGCTGGAATGCAGTGGTGTGATCCTGGCTCACTGCAGCCTCAACCTCCCTGGTTCAAGCAGTCCGCCAGCCTCAGCCACCCAAAGTGCTGGGATTACAGGCATGAGCCACTGTGCCTGGCCAGATTTTATTTTATTTATTTATTTATTTATTTTTGAGACAGAGTCTTGCTCTGTTACCTAGGCTGGAGTGTAGTAGCACAATCTCGGCTCTCTGCAACCTCTGTCTCCCAGGTTCAAGCAGTTCTCCTGCCTCAGCCTCCCGAATAGCTGATATTACAGGTGCACACCACCACACCTGGCTAATTTTTTTTTTTTTTTTTTTTATGTTTTTGGTAGAGACGAGGTTTCACCATGTTGGCCAAGCTGGTTTCGAACTCCTGACCTGAAGTGATCTGCCCACCTTGGCCTCCCAAAGTGCTGGGATTACAGGCGTGAGCCACCACACCTGGCCCAGATTTTACTTTTAATATGAAGAAACATCTGCTGTCTAAATTCCTATCCTCTTACAAATATTTACTGTGAACAGAATTTGATAATTGATTGAAAATCATTACCAGATTATTAGCCTAGATTATTAGCAGATTCTCCCTTTCCTAATATTGCCAGCATCAAACTCAATGGAGTGAAAGAAGAAGGAATGAAGATTAAAACATGAATTTGTGTACGTTTTTAAGTATTTTAAGAATACCAAAATAAAAGTGTCATATGAATTTCTTAGTATGTTTCTGATATAGACAGGATAGAGTTTAGTAATTAGCAATTTCTTCTAATTTTTTTTAAAAAAAGTTTATTGTTGTTACTTGCTACAAGAAATTATGGGACAAATTGGATAACCACATGTGCTGGCATTTGTCCAGGACAGCCCATATCAAAAGGGATTGGGGTCCATGATACTGTAACAGTATCATTTCTAATTATAACTTCAAGGAAATTCCTCTCTCAAAGAGGTAGCTAAGAAACTTATTCTTGTCTTACAAAAGAATAGGGTTTTTAGGATTTAAAAACAGGTTGATGTGCCATTTTTCCTCCAACTTATGTATTTTAGATTCTATTTTGATTTTCACTGATCCATGGTATTTCGTTATATAATGTACCCCACAGTTTATTGATTCATTCTCCGATTGGTGGATATTTATTACAAACAATGTTAAAAGAACATTTTTCTCCATGTCTTCCTGTAATATATTGTTGGACAATCACTCTATTGTTGGACAATTACTTGCAACTCTAGAAACTGTCAAAGTGTTCTCCAAAGTAGCTGTACCAAATTACATTTCTAGGCGTAGTAAATGAGAGCTTCTATTTTTCCATGTCATCACCAGCACTATAATACAGATGCTGTCATTATTCTGTTTTAATTTGTATTTCTGATTACCAGTGATATTGAACATCTTTCTGTTTCTTTGAAGTACCTGTTTATCAATGTTTTTCCATATAATTTTTGCTTTTTAAATTTTCTTAAGAAATCCTTCCCAACCTTGGAGGTCTTAAAGTACATTCTCCTTTAATTTTTTTCCAAGTGTATTAAGGCCTTGCTTTTCTTAATATGAATCTTTAATGTCCAGAATTTAATTTTGTGTATGGTGTGAGGGGGAGATCTAGTTTTTATTTTATTTTTCTTAAGGGTAGTCAGTTTTTCCCACACTGCTTACTGAATCGCTTGTCTTTCCCACTGTTTTTAATGCCACCTCTCTTATGTATTCAAGATCTGTATATGTGTGGGTCTCTTTCTGGACTTTCTACTTTGTTCCTTTGGCCTATTTGATTATCTCAGTGCTAATCTCACATGTTTTATGCATTTTTATAATAAATCTTAATATCTGCTTGAGTAGTCCCTCCACCTTTTATTTCAAAATAGTCTTAATTAGTCTTAGGCTTTTGCTTTTCCACATGAATTTTAGGTTTGGCTTGCTGTTGTTCCACAAAGAACCCAGTGGGGTCTTGAGTAAAATTGCATTGTATTTAGAGATTAATTTGGAGAAAAATTATTTTCTTGGGAGTATTGAGACTTTCCCGTTCATGAACATAGTTCATCTTTCCTTTAGTCAGGTGTACTCTGATGTCCTTCAATAAAGTCATACAATTTTCTCCACAGAGGTATTGTACATCATTTGTTACTAATTTATTCTAGCTATTATATAGAGTTGGTTTTTATAATGCAAACCTTTTCTGTAGTTAATATCCATGTGGCTGGATATTTTTATATTGCATTTTTATTTAACAAATCTACTAAATGCCCTTATTATTTGAAATGGCTTTTCTGTAATTTATCTTCAACCTTCTGTGTAGACATTCATAGTCTGAAAATAAATACAGATTTATCTTTTGCTTTTCTGGATTCCATTTCTGATCTTATTTTGTTGGTTAGACAATATTGACTTGGTGTGATAACAGGTACTCTTGTCTTATTTCAGTCTTTTATAGGAATCATTCTAAAGTCAAATGACTTGATATGAAAAGTGTTGTCTATTTTAGTAGTCTTCTTTTTAGTAGAAAAAAGAGAAGAAGCTATTGATCTTGGAGAGAGATCCAACAGCTATTTTTTCTTTGCCTTTTATTTCAACAAATTATTCTCTTATCTTTTGTTATTTTATTGTTCTGGTTCTAGCTTCTTCAGTTGACGATTTTATTCATCTAATTTTCAGCCATACATTTTCATTGTTCTTTTGTTTTGTTTTGTTTTGTTTCTCATTTGATGAAAGCATTTAGTATTAGAAAGTTGCCTCTTGGCACAGCCATAGTTGTATTTGTGGAAGTTTTGATATTGGAGACAGACATTCAAGGCTGCTGTGGGTTTATGCAAGTCACTGTACAGAACTCTAGGGGGCACCACTCACACTATAGTATATATCAATGCATCCCTAAGAGTTGTGTGGTACACAACACCAGTAGCCCTGTCTGGTAGCCCTACGTCCAGTGCTAAATATTTTGTCATCTCGATTGTAATCGAGATTTATTTCACAATGGGTTTTAAAATTTCCAAACAAATGGAGGTTTTGATTATCTTTTTATTTTTGGATTATAAGATGATTTCACTATGAGGTTATGCATATTACTGAAACTTTCTTTTGATGTGATATTTAGTTAATTTTAATAAATATGGCATATATGACACAGTCTCAATTTTAGATGTCAGTATTTATTTCTTTATATCATTATTGATAAATTTGTTATATCTTCTGTGTAGATTATTTCTTTTATTATTATCGTGTGCTTCTTATTTTCTTTCTTTCTTTTCTTTTTATAGAGACAAGGTCTCACTATGTTGCCCAGGCTGGTCTCAAACTCCTGAGCTCAAGTGATCCTCTCGCCTCAGCCTCCCAAAGTGCTGGGATCACAGGCGAGCACCACCACACCTCGCCACTTATTTTCTTTTAATGTTTTGATCTTTTAAATCTGCTTTGTCTGATATTAAGAATGTTTTATCAGCTTTTTAAAATTAAGATTGACATCTTTTTTCCCATTCTCCTTGTTTTCTCCTGTTCAGTTGATTTAGTGGAGTTTCTTGTGTTTCTGTGATTTAGGTGGTTTTCCTGTAAGCAGCAGATGTCTATATTTTATTTGGCTTTTCTTTAATCTAGCCTACAATCCCTTTAAACTTTTAAATTTGAGATCATTTTAAATCTACAGGAAGTTGGATGTTAAGATACATATAGGGGAGTCCCAAGTACCCTTCATCCAATTTCTCCAATGGCAACATCTCACATAACTATCCTCAATCTAAAAATCAGAAAGGCAGGGCGCAGTGGCTAACGCCTATAATCCCAGCACTTTGGGAGGCCAAGGTGCATGGATCACCTGAGGTCAGGAGTTTGAGACCAGCCTGACCAACATGCAGAAACCCAGTCTTTACTAAAAATACAAAAATTAGCCGGGCATGGTGGCACATGCCTATAATCCCAGCTACTTGGAAGGCTGAGGCAGGAGAATTGCTTGAACCTGGGAGGTGGAGGTTGCAGTGAGCTGAGGTCATGCCATTGCACTCCAGCCTGGGCAACAAGAGATAACTCCATCTCTAAACAAACAAACAAACAAACAAAACCAGGAAAATGGCATTGGTATAGTCTGTAGACTTTACCAATTATTCAGTTTGCATATTTCACCAGTTTAAATGCACTCGTTTGTGTGTTTGTATGTGTTGGGGGGTGGGTTCTGGCAATGTTATCACATGTAGGTTCATGTTACTACCAACATAATCATGATACAGAACTTTTTCATCACCACAAGTTTCCTTTGCGCTAGCCCTTTTATAGCACCCACCCCTCCCTCCATTCTTAACACCTGACAATCACTAATCTCTTCTCCATCTCTGTAATTTTGATATTTCAAGAATGTTATATAAGTATATAGTATGTAACCTTTTGGAATTGGCATCTTTCACTCAGCAATATTCCCCTAAGATTCATCCATAAGTGTATCAATAGTTTGTTCATTTTTATGATTGTGTAGTGTTCTTTGGTATGGATATACCACAGTTTGCTTAACCCTTCACTTATTGAAAGACATTTGAGTTGTATACATTCAGTTTTGGGGTACTACAAATAAGCTGCTATGAATATCATGTATGGGTTTTTATGTAAATATAAGTTTTCATTTCTCTTGGATAAATGCCCAAGAATGCACTTGTTGGGTCATATGGGAAACATAGGTCTATAATCTATTTTTTAAGAGGTGAGTTTGATCTATTTACTAATAAACCATCCTAGTTTTTGTATGTAGGAAATGTTTTAAATTTGGCCACTTCTTGGAAGATAGTTTAGGTGAATATAAAACTTGAAGTTGACAATATAGTCTCTTAACACTTGGGAAGTCTTTTGGAAGTCTACTGTCTTTTCTTTTTGATAATTTTTAAGGTTTTTCTTTATTGCCAGTGTCTTATATACTTTTACTACAAGGTGTCTGAGTATACCGGAAGTGCACATCCAATTAGAGGGCACTGAAGAATTCTGCTATTCTCTTTTCATATGTCACTTCTATGCAAATCCCTCTGCTAACTCCTATCAGGCATATGTTGGAGCCTCACAGTCTACTGTGTCTTCTAGTTTTTAAGCTTTTTTCCCCCTTTTATCTCACTGTGCTGCTTTTTGCATAATTCCCTCTTCAACTATATCCAGTCTAGCACATATACCATCAACTTAGTGTTTTGAATAATTGTTTTTTGTTTTAAAGACTTCTTTTTTTTTTTTTTTTTTTTTTTTTTTTTAAGATGGAGCCTTGCTCTGTTGCCCAGGCTAGAGTGCAGTGACACGATCTCAGCTCACTGCGACCTCTGCCTCCCGGGTTCAAGTGATTCTCCTGCCTCAGCCTCCTGAGTAGCTGATATTACAGGTGCCTGCCACCACGCCCGGCTAATTTTTGTATTTTTATAGAGATGGGGTTTCCCATCTTGGCCAGGTTGGTCTCGAACTCCTGACCTCGTGATCTACCCGCCTCGGCCTCCCAAAGTGCTGGGATTATAGGCGTGAGCCACTGCGCCCAGCCTAAAGACTTCTTTTTTTTAAAAAAAAATTATTATTATCATTATTATCTTTAGAGACAGGGTCTCACTCTGTCACCCAGCCTAGAATGCTATGGCATGATCATGGCTCACTGCAGCCTCAAACTTCTGGGCTCAAGCAATCCTCCCACTTCTGCCTCCCACATAGCTGGGACTGCAAGTGCATGCCACCATGTCTGTCTTGCTTTAAAGATTTCTAATAGACCTGTTTTCCCATTAATGTTTAAATTTGGCTTCTATTGTTTCATTACGTATCTTTTAAATTTTTTCATTTTTTCCTTTTTAATTAATCAATTTATTTATTAAGATTTTTTTCTTCTTGCCTTGTCTTATGGCACTGATATCTTTCTTTTTAGATGAATAATATCTCTATTTCTCTCTTAAACACCTCAAGCAAACTGATTTTGAGGTTTTTGTCAGATTCTTCCATAGAAATAATTTCTTCTGGAGTGAGTTGATGTTTTATTTTTGCTGACTTTTTCCTTAGCAATATATATCTTGCTGTATATGCTGTATGTAAAAAGTGTGTGTGTATGTGTGTGTGTGTGTGGTTTTTCACATTATTAGTTGCAGACTTACTTTGAGTAAGACTTTTGGTGGCTGCTCTTGTTTCCGTCTCTTTCTCCTGTCTTGTGTTTTCTTTGCTACACACACTGTGCTCACTCCTCTGCATTTAGCATTTCTGTATTAGCTTCTGTCTGACTCTATGAGATCCTGAGTCCAGAGGCAAGTCCTATATGGTGTTTAGGCTTCTGCACTGTGGTCATACTGAAGATACTTTAGATCCAGTCACAGAGGCAGTGGGGGCCCTGCTTTAACTCCCAGTCCGGGGATATATTTTTGCCCTGCTACCTTGCCTAGTTCCACAGCTTACCAAATCTATAGCTTGGGCAGTAAATTAGGATTAGTTTTGTTTTTTTTTTCCCCCTTCTTTCATTCCTTCTAATAGCCTCCTTTTACAAAAGGAGTGGAAGTTTGGAACTCCTGCCCCAGCCCTGCGCCATGCTTTACTTTAAGCAAGACCTAGCTCTGGTTGCCACATGCATGGTTGCCACACTTTAGGCCCCAACACCCTTCAGAAGCTGGACTCCAGCTACTGTTCACTGGACTCCAGCTATTGTTCATAATTTTTTTTTTTTTTTTTTTTTTGAGATGGAGTCTCACTCTGTTGCCCAGGCTGGAGTGCAGTGGTGCGATCTCGGCTCCTGCAACCTCCGCCTCCCGAGTTCAAGCGATTCTCCTGTCTCAGCCTCCCGAGTAGCTGGGATTACAGGCGCGCGCCACCAGGCCCAGCTAATTTTTTTATTTTTAGTAGAGACAGTTTTCACCATGTTGGTCAGGCTGGTCTCAAACTCCTGACCTCATGTTCCACCCACCTTGGCCTCCCAAAGTGCTGGGATTACAGGCATGAGCCACCATGCCCGGCTACTGTTCACCGTTTAAATCCTGGCCACTGCTCTGCATTTCTGCTCTGTTTGTGACAGAGATGTTGACATTGTTTGAGCCTAGCTATGTCCTTTTCTCTCCCTTTGTATTTTTCTGTCATTGATATGTTTGTAACAGGAAGAGTGCACCAAAATGAGAATTCACCACAATATTTTGACAAGAAGCACAGCATAACTCTTCTGTTTCCAAAGAGCCTGAAATGTTTGAATCCTCCCATCACCACCAACCACCACCGCCACCATCATCCCAGCACTGTTTCTCTCTCTCTCTCTCTCTCACACACACACACACACACACACACACACACACACACAGAACAACACTCAAGGCCAGGATCTCCTAAAGCCTTGTGCCGTGGGTCTCCGGTCTGCCTTTCCAAGTTTGTGTCTCACCATTCTCCTTGCCCATGTCAGCACACTGTTGCCCAACAAACTGAGCAATTTGATCTTCCTGGAGCCTATTCTATATCTTACTACTTTGGGGCTAGTTTGTGTTCTGCCTCTCTTCTTGAAATGCCATTCAAAACAACCCCCAGTCTTTCAAGCTCAGACAAACTCTTCCTCTATGGAAAGACCTATCAAATCTGCCATTTGGGAAAGAATTTCCCTCTTCTATTAACCCATTACATTGTTTCCAATTTTTATTACATTTGCCATGATCAAAATACCATTTTAAAACATCTTACCCAGTCTCAAACACTTAACATAGTCTTATACTGAAGATGTTAACTGTTTATTAAGAAACTCTTGTGTACTAGATGCTGTCCAAGGCCTTTTTAGATACATCGTTATCTCATTTAATTCCTTCACCAATTACGGTATGAGGTGAAATTTGCTCATTTTACAGATAAGGAAATTGAGCGTGAGTAAGTCTTACCCAGGTCCTTATGAAACTAGCAGATTCCTAAGACCTCTCTGAGACCTACTAAATAGGAATTGCTAAGGATGGGGCCCAGGAATCTGCATTTTAACCACCTCTTTATATGATGCTCTAGCACTCCTACTGTTTAAACCTCGTTGCTCATCAGAATCATCTGGGGGTTGAGGGAGGTGGCTTAAAAATATTCAGAACTGGGCGGGCGCAGTGGCTCACACCTGTAATCCCAGCACTTTGGGAGGCTGAGGCAGGCGGATCACAAGGTCAGGAGTTCAAGACCAGCCTGACCAATATGGTGAAACCCCATCTCTACTAAAAATACAAAAATTAGCCAGGCGTGGTGTCACGTGTCTGTAGTCCCAGCTACTCAGGAGGCTGAGGCAGGAGAATCGCCTGAACCCGGGAGGCGGAGGTTGCAGTGAGCTGAGACTGAGACACTGCACTCCAGCCTAGGTGACAGAGCAGGACTGTCTCAAAAAAAAATTTTTTTTAGAACTACCAAATTGGAATTTCCAGAGTAATGGCAATTTTTTTTTTACCAGTTTCTCAGATGAGTATGAAGCAGGTGGTTCACCAATTCCTGTGTGAAATATACCTAGGCAAATGTCAGAAACTGGTAGGCCATTGATAGAATTTGTGTGTGTGTGTGTGTGTGTGTGTGTGTGTGTGTGTGTGTGTGTGTTATAAAGGTGACTCAACATTTAAAATCAAGAGAATCCACATAAAATATGAATTCCAGTTTCTTTCTAAAAAATTAGAAGGTCGGGTTACACTAGGTTCTTATGTTGCAGGTTTGTTTGATTATTTTTTAAAGGCAGGGTCTTGCTCTGTTGTCCAGGCTGGAGTGCAGTGGCAATGGCCATAGCTCACTGCAGCCTTGAACCCCTGAGCTCAGGCAATCAGCCTCAGCCTCCTGAGTAGCTGGGACTACAGGTGCATGCCACCACACCTATAGGCTATCATGTTGCAGGTTTCTAGGTGCCTTGATACTTTGATGTCCCTAATAATGAAAGTAACTGCAAGAAGGGCAGTCAGTTTATGCCTGAACATAAGGAAAAATTCATATATTAGGAGAACACTGTACACAGATATAAGTACACCAGATAAATGAATATAAGCTTTACTAAAGATTCATTACCAAATACAATTTTACTCTTCAAAAATTTTACTTATCAAAAATTTATTGAAGATACCTCATAATCTCTTCCCTTTAATAAAAATTAAAATGTAAATGAAATAAAATTATAGGATTCCTAAATATTAAAGACTACTAAGTACAAGAAACAAGATTAGTAAATATTAACAAGGTTACTAAATATCAACCATGAGATTCTTGAGTTTCTAATTTGCCATTCACTTGCAGAAGTTCACCTGTGAGTTTTGCATTGGTAGATAAAGAAATTCATCTACCTGCTACAATTGGCCTCAGATTCTAGGTGAATCTGATCTGTCTACAGCACTCCAAATATAAAGAAGAAATAATGATAGTTTCACTTTCTGTAACCCTACTCAGTGGATTCTGTTGCTCTACTTGTTTAGCTGTAACTACTGTCAGAAATTTTCTGTGGAGGCCAACACAGGATAGTCGGTTTTTTAATGTGATACAGTTGTGATTGTAACAGGCTGTATAAATAGCCATCAGTGGGTACCATGGAAACCACCTGGAATTCTTTATCTCTGTCCTAGAAAGTACTGGAGCTTTTGTACAGCAACTGAAGACATATTTAAGATCTTTCCAAGTAATAAAAAAGGTCTTTGTGCATTTTAAACATTAAATAAAATTAAATCACAAATAATTATTAAATAGCAAATTACTAGGTTAGGCCCTTTCTCTAGCTCTCTGGGAATCATGGTTTTCAGACCTATGGTTCTCAAACTGGGGCTGGAAGTCAAAATTAATGAACAAATTACCCCAAATATTCTTAGTACTTTCAAAAATTTATTTGGAAATTACACATTTGTCTGCTATAAAGTTGCAAAGGCTAAATAAGTTTTTACTGATTAAAAATTTACATAATAATTTACTTATCAAAAAATTACATAATATGACTCATATTCCCTTGTAAGGATACATAAGGATAGAGAACGGAAAATGTATCCTTATGTATGTATCCTTATCCTTGTATCCTTTTTTTTTTTTCTGGTTCCACTTTGTTTTTATTCACTGAAACCAATAAAAGAGTTGAACACAGCAAAACTTGGAACAACAAGGAATTAACTGGGTGGCAGCAAAGGGCACCAAAAGAAAAGATAAATTGCCCAAAATAAATAAGGGCTGGTGAGGAAAATAAAAAATGTTTCCGAAAAAAGTGGGCTGTGATGCAAGGTACTGTGAGATAAAGAAGCAATTGTTTCACGCAAAAAATAGAGGGGGGCACCTCGCTGAAGCCAGCGAGGCCGCTGCACCACGTGGTGTCAGGAGACCTTAGCAATGGCCCAGGTTCGCTGGCTGCATCTGCTGTGCCAGGCGCCTACTGTGCGCTCCTCTCCTCATCCAGCAAAGCTCGGCCTACATGGAGGTTTGCTGACTCCCCCAGGCCACCTTAGTTCCTCTCGGAGTCTGTATGGGTCTGGGCGAGATGCAGGCAGCTTATCTGTTTATGGGGCTGCCTCCTCCAGTACACGGAGAGCTCTTTGAGGCAAGGGACAATTTGATCTGTTTCTTCATCCTTAAAATTTCTGCTGCTTTTGCTGTTTCTGTGATTTCCTTGGTTTCTCCATTGGTGTGCTTAAAGCGATCTCCTCTACACGAACGCTAGGGCAGAGCACATTTTCGCACAGGCAGCGCCGCAGCTTGCCCTGGATCTTGTCGATTGAGTTGAAGTCGGACACGTGGAAGACATGGGTGGACTTGGGCTCCGAGGCGATCTCCTCCAGCTCCTCCCTGAGCGCCTCTCCCACGTCCACGGTGAAGACGCGGATGCCGGCGCGAATGCCGGCACGGATGCCGGCACGGTGGGCAGCCGCCGTGGCGTCCAGCACCAGGTCCTGGCTGCAGCCATTGGTGAGCAGTATGGCCACCTGCTTGTAGGCGCAGTCCCCGGAGCGGTGGCCGGCGCGCGGGGAGAAGCTGCGGGCTGTGATGTGGTGCAGCGCTTCGCCGGTGTTGGTGTTGCCCTGTGGTAGGCGATGCATCGGGCGGCCGCCTTGACCTCCTCCCGCGAGCCGAAAACGCCCAGTTCGAAGGCCACGTTGGGCAGGTCGCTGGAGCGCACGGTCCCCATGCAGTCGGGGCCCGCCTCGAAGGTATCCACCAGGTTGACTACCCACTGCTGCACCTTCTCAAAGTCCTCCTTGCCCACGCTGGAGGAGGTGTCCAAGAGGAAGACCAGATTGTAGTGGACGCTTCTGCAACCTGTCCGTTGGGCCTATCAGCCGCCGCCCCGACTCCACAGCGGCAGCATCCAAAGGAAGCCGGCCACAGCATTCCCTCGGAGGGCAGCCATGGCTCTCCTGTTCTTGGGGACAGGCTTTTCTTGGCCATTTAGGCCAAGAAAGACGCAGTTAGGGCCTACTGCAGCATGGCCTAGCAGGGAGGCACTCGGGCTGCCAGCAGGAGTCCAATCCTGGGCCCAGGCCCACTGGAAGCAGCAGCTGGGAGAAGACACCAGCCCCAGGCAGCCCCCTCCTGGGGGTCACCTGCCAGCAACTCGCCCACTCTCCCCCCAATAATCTCACAAACTCAGACTCTAGACAAGACTTGCAGTAAGTCTGGAGGCTTTCCCCAGGCCAGGGGGCCAGAGAGGATACATACATAAGGATATGTAGGGGAAAATTAGTCAAAAATAAAGAAGTTAAGTGAAGCGCAAATTTGAGGGAAAAAAACTTTTAAATAAAAATCTCCCTGGTAAACTTCAAATTCACTAAAATCATTTCTATGTGGATGATTTTCTCTTTTCTTTAATATATTTTAGTAGCTAAATAATCTACACAAATGAGATTTAAAAATTGAACTCCAGACAAATGGAAACGTGAAGGATCCTATGAGCATTTCCTGTCCTTATAAGGGTGGAGGTTTTTTCTTCTTCATCTTTTTGTCTCCAACTCCTAGCCCAGTCTTTGGCATGCGGTACTTTTTTTTTTTTTTTTTTTTCCTTTGAAACCAAGTCTCGCTCTGTCACCACGCTGGAGTGCAGTGGCACAATCTCAACTTAAAACAACCAACAACTCTTGGGTTCAAACAATTCTCCTGCCTCGACCTCCCGAGTAGCTGGGATTACAGGCACCTGCCACCATGCCCAACTAATTTTTGTATTTTTAGTAGAGACAGGGTTTCACTATGTTGGCCAGACTGGTCTCAAACTCCTGACCTCAGGTGATCCATCTGCCTCGGCCCCCCAAAGGCTGGGATTACAGGCATGAGCCACCTCACCCGGCCACACGCAGTACACTTTTAGACAGAGTCTACTTTGCACTTCTTGGTGCTGTTTACTGGCACACATATTCAAAAGAGTGACCATGGCTGATGAGTGTGGGTCGCAATAACTGATGCGTGGCCAAAGGTGTTTCCCACAACAGTTGGCTTTGATTCACCGTGTATCTTCTGCACTGGCTACCGTGTAGTTATGCCTTGCCCTTCATGGGTCCTGGGATTACTTGACTGCTGCCGAGGCTAACAGCCTCTTTTTTATTCTGATTGTGACCCATTATATTAGTCTGTTGGCCACTGACTCACTAGTACTTGGAAGCAACCCACAGCTATGTTGTCACATCCACGTATTCCCCTCAACACGCAGCAAATTGGGGTGAGACCAAGGAAAGGCCCATGCACAAAGGAACCTGACAGCTGTCAGCAGTAGCACCTGAGGCCAATTGTAGGCGGTAATAGCACACACTCAGAAAACCATACGCCAGCAGTGTGTGTGCATCACAATGCCGGGAGTGCACATATTGTGGGCTCCTCATCAACAGGGAACTCATCCTGCATTGCTTTTATATCCCAACTGTACTTAGCACAAGACTAACCATACAGTAGGTATCTGTGCCTATAATGATTTCACCAATATTTCTACATATGAACTACTATTCATCATTTAGGGTCTCACTAAATGTTGCTTCTTTGAAGATATTTGCTTGAATCCCCTATGGCATTTTGTAGTTACCTCCATGCAGTAATGATAATATCCAAGTCATTCGTTCCAGAGTTTATATCACTTATGTAAAGCGTATAACTCCAAAGCTTTGCAATAGGTGTTCAAGCAGCATATAATGGATGGATGGATGGATGGATGGATGGTTGGTTGGATGGATAAACATTAATTGCTTAGAAGCCAAGTGGAGCAATTTGAAGGAGCACTCTCTCCTATACTTCTTGTTTTGTTATGTCAATTCATGAAATCCCCAGAATGACACATAAAAGGAAACCAAAATCAAATTAAAACTTATGAACCTAAACCATCTTGTGTCATCCTTGGTAGACATTTAGTGGAGGAAATATGAAATTGTACTATTCATTCAAGGAGTTAATAGGTAAACCAGTTTATCCATCACTAACTTGTTTTTATAGCATCAACATGGTGTAAAGACAAAAACAATCTTGAACTCTAGTAACTATCATCTATATTTAATGCCTCTATGCTACAACAGTAAGACTCTGGATGATTATCAGTACCACTTAGAATTAGAGCTTCTTGTTAAATAATTCATACATTTGATGGGGAAGAGCTTCAAACAATGCTCAAAGCTCCAGTAATTAATGGGCTAATTACGAGATGCTTGTAAAATGGCTTAAACACTGAAAGTTCAGTGTAGGTATAATTGTTTTAGAGTTAACCCTGTGTATTTAAATGTCAAAAAAAATATTCAGTGAAGATGAGTAGAGGGTTGGGAGAGAGAAGAGAGATCATAAGATATCACACCAGTTTAGAAGTCTTCACTATTGATTTAAGATTTCTAAAAAGGCTCTGGAAAGGCAGAATGCAGGCCTTCCTAATGCCCCAGGCATTTTCCAACCATGTCTCTAATCACATAAGAAGAACATCACCCATGAGTCATAGGACTCTGGGTACTCTTAGAGGTCAGAAACCGCTGCAGTGCAAGTCCTTTCAGCCTAATCGCCTCTTCACTAGCAACGCCCAGGTTCCACAAGAGTGCTCTGTTTCATTCCAGGACCCGTGGGAGTTAAGAATTGAAGGTAGTTGATTTTTTGGTTGGTTCATTTGTTTGTTTTTCCTCCCTGTTGTTTGCTGTTCTCAGAAATGACCTGCTCTCTGAGCTTTCTTGGAGTGTAAGGCATTTCAATTCTAGAAAGGTGGGGCTGGGAGGAAAATGGTCTCCTTGACTGCAAACCATCTAGCTGAAATGTCTTTCACTCATCCCACTGGAAGGGGGAAAAAAAGCCTTCTTTAGAAGATGAAACATTGTCTTGTGTCTTTTAGCATCGTTCTGGGCAGTCAGTCTGTTAGGACATATTGGGCGATTATAGGACTGTCTTTTTAGAGAAAGCCATGGGTTTCAAGTTAGCAGGAACCATCTATCAATTCTTAAGATTATGCCATGATTTACTGTCAGAGCATCATGTATTCTGATTTTCTGCCTCCCATGAAACATTGTGCTTTCCTTTTCTATTGATGTATCAACTATAATAGTTACAAGCAGCTACAGAAAAATCAATAGCGAGCTTTCATTACTGTGTACATCAAGTAAAGAGCCCCCCGCTGCAAGAGCACAACTTGTTAGATGCTCACCATGGAAGGTGTACAACACTCAACTGTTTTTTTCCCAGACTGCATTAGAAAAATCAACTATAGAAAAATTATAAAATAGTATCATATTCTACATGGAAGCACAGAGACCCTATAAAATCTCTCAAAGGGAATGGACAGGAGGCATTATCATGTTTCAAAATGAGCACAGCATTTCCAAAGTGAATATAAAGGTATTTAATGCGATTCCTACGTGGTTTTTGTTTCTGGTTTTCTTTTGCATTTGTCTTCTTAAGGTCATCAGGATAGTGGGAGGAAATACTGAATTAGTATTTACTAGATTGACTGCGTAAGCAGAAAGTCACCACTGGCTGAAGTGCATGCTGCAATAGTCATGCGCTCAACACCCAGCCAAGCAATGAGGACCCTAAGAACTGTGTGAATACAGAGTAATATTACCAGGGTCTTAATCAGATCCAGGAGTCCCAGACATACATATGCAAAGTTTTATTCTCTTTCCAAGCACATGTTGGAAAAAGAAAAAGACTTAGGATTTTAAAGCAACAAATACCTTTATTTGCCTTTGGGAGCACATTAGCTACCAATTAGTGCATGTAAATTGAGACTGCTGAAAAAGAGAATGTATGAACTGATAGTCTGGGTGGGGGACTCTCAAGGCCTCAGAAGTTCTCTAGCATTTCAGCATCAATTTGGGCAACATAAAGAGATTTCCAAAGCAAATCCTAACAAGTCCTGAATCTGAACCATGTACAAATCATAAATCCCATGGAATTCCCAATCTTAACATGTGCAATGAATGTATTCAGATCTATATATTTAAGTAATTAGTTCATTACTTTCTGATAGTTATGATCTACATAAAGGTTTTCCATATGTTACTGTTATGATCCAAGTCCAAACTCCAGTTATTTTTTATCTTTAGAGATAATATATTTAGCAAGAAGGCAAAAACGTGCCTGATAATTTTTATGTTCATATAAGAATGTTAAGAAACTACAAAAATGTGTTTTGAAATATTACAGTAACAAACAGGAAACAAACTAAAACCTTGAGTACCAGGTTAACTTCCCCAAAATACCATTTTAAAATACTGATGAATTTGAACAAGTGGTTTGATTTTTGGGCATCTGTTTTGTTTTAGGGGAAGGGAGGAATATTTAAATGATAAAATTTTCAAATATCCCATTTTTTTCATAGTTTTCCCAACTTTTGTGGATTTTTTTTCTATTTCGTTTTTCTATGCACCCAAAAATTATGTGAGAATTTTGCATTTGCCTTTGACATTCTAACAACAGAATGAACTGCCATTCAGCTATGGTCACTACATTGAGAGTTTAATGCTCCAAAAGGTATGCTCTGCAAGGACTGTGAAAAGATTAATTAGTCTTTGCTGGTTTCATCAGAGGATGCTGAGAAACTGGCAACAGGCTCTCTCCTGCACCACAGCCCAAGAGGAAGATCCTCTTTTCCCCAGCAAACCAGGTAGCAATGACATCTGCAAGGTTAGCCTTTCTATTTGCCAGTGTCCCTGACAATTAAAACAGTGAAAATAATTCATGCATTGCCAATCTTAATTACACTCTTGCTTTCGTTTATTCCTTTTGCTACTTTCCTGGCTGGTGTTTTGCATGTTACTTATATGCAGTAGTACTTATCTAAAGCCTACTTTAGAGTAGTTGTCCTTACAAGAAATGGAAGTCTAAGTAGAGTGGAATAGCATTTGGATGATTACAGATTCTCTGTGAATTCAGCTAACACTTTCCTCAAGGTAGCACTCATGCTCCTGTTAAAAGTACATTCTTTCCACATGCTTTTTTCACATAGTTAAAAAGAAATCCTTCCATGACATACTGAACCCTAATACCAAATAAGCTGGTGCTTCCCCTGAGCCACATAGGAGAATGTTGGCTCTGAGAATGTCGCAGCATCCCTGCACTGCTGTGATGTGCAGTCAACAGAGGGTACGAGCTCTGGCAGAAAACCCAGAACAGGATATTATGCACAGTAGGGGCTTTCCAACCCAGCTGTTCCAAGCCCTATAGGGTCAAAATGATGGGGAAATCCAGAATGACAGTAATTATGCCATCAACCTTACGGCTCCCTGCCAGAGAGGTTGCTGGTTAGACATCTATACATCTAGTAGCTGTTTAATACATTTTTTAAAACAGGTATAGTGAAAGAATGCATTTTAAGCAGGAATTGAAAATGTACTAAGAATGAGACAATAATGTATGAGCAAGTACTTACTTTGTTTCTTACTTTAGGTAAGAAAAAATAAAAGGAAGGAGGAAAGGTATGGAGGGGGAGATAGAGGGATGGAGGGAAAAGAAAAGGAAAGAGAAGTAGATAGAAAATCAAACACAGATGAAAGCAAAGACAATTATGATTATAATTATTTCATTCCCTAATCATGTAAGATTTGAATTTTCTAATTAAGAAAAAAGAACAAAATTAGTTCATATGTCAAAAAGAGGATTCTAAAATTGCACTGACATAAATGTTATTCTGTGATTCAGTTGCATTCTTAAATTGGTGTGTTATTTATGCAAATTATGGTAAGAAAAATAATTTTGGATATTTTTGTTTTACAAATATATTTTTCACTTTCACCACATTATTTCCAGAAGTATCTTTCCTTCCACAGGGGTTCCCTGTCTGCTCTTGCTTCCTCCAGCTCCTCAATATATGTACCTTTCAGGGTTGTTTCAGCAGTCCTGAAGTTGTGTGTGTGTGTAAGCATGATTAAGAGTACTTTTGTGGGAGTGTGCTATTGCCAGCCTCACAGATGGTGTTATTTCCTGTGTTAGACTTCCTACTTACTGATAGCTGGGCTCACACTTGACATCCTCTCTTAACTGCCTCTAGACCAAAACATGCAAAGTCTTGCAGTGTGGGAGGGAACCTGTGGCTGTGCATTGGGTTCAGTTGATAACAATAATCACCAGCCCTGATGAGTCACCAGAGAGCAATGGGGTGATACTCAAGTACCAGAGAGATGGTGGTGGTCTCTGGTGGCCCCACCACTGTCCACCACTTGCAAGTAGATAAACTGGTCATTAAAGGAGCTGTGGAGAGCCAGATGCAGTGGCACATGCCTGTAGCCCCAGCTACTGCAGAGGCTGAGGCAGGAGGAACACACAAGGCCAAGAGTTTGAATCTGACCTGGGCAACATAGTGAGACCCCTATCTTTAAAAATAAAGAAATAAGTAAATTTTTAAAAAGAAAGGCATTATGAGAGTTTCAGCAGAACATTTAGGAAGGGTCTTCTAGAGATAATGATGGACAAGTCAGTAAGCTGCTTGTTCACACACTAATGTCCAGTTCATGTTGACTGCTATCTACCCACGTCTTCTCTTCTGGCACCTGCCTTAGTGGCTGGAAGCTCTCTCAGAAGCTTAAAAAGATGCTTTTATTTTACCTACCCAACAAGGTTTCTACGCATTCCAGCCTCCAAGGAGGGGTGGTTCCCCTTTGTGAACTGAGATTTAGGAATATCTATGTTTACAACTCCGGGACTAAGATTCAATAAAGCTTCAGGAGGGTGGAAGTGCAGCTTGTGAGGGCAAAACTTTAGAATCCAGTGGACTTCTTAAGGTCATCTGAACAGTGAGAGTAAGTACTAGGCTCTTATCCCACTTCCACCACCAACCAATGCAGAAGTGGGATTAAGATTGATAATCCTGAGATAGCATTAAATGTTTTGATACAGGCATGCAATCCATAATAATCACATCAGATAAACAGTTGTTCTGTGCACACAATCTAACATTTATGCATTTTTTCTTTAAAAAACCTTTCTGCATCCAAATGGCACATTCATTAAGTTTAAAATGAAGCACAAAAGATAGAGATAAAATGAAGCAACTCTATAATTATATAAATTATAAATCTTACTGTAATAATTATACAGTAGACTTGGAGAAAGACAGGCCTTTCAAGAATTGGTTTTTAGAGATGTGTCTAATGCCTTAAAGAAGTGTTTGCTTTAAAATCTTGAAAAAGCCTCATGTAGAAGTGAGATGTTGTAAAGTCATCATTGGCTTTGGCCACTGCCAGGTCGACTACCAGTTTGCTATTTGTGATGTATTTCACTATTTTGGAACTTACAAAGCTATTCCTGATTTCCTTCTGTTAATGGAGGATTAATGACAATGCTGAATCCACAGATAATAATAAAAAAATTTTTTTTTTTTTTGGACAGTCTCACTCTGTCACCCAGGCTGGAGTGCAATGGTGCGATCTTGGCTCACTGCAACCTCCACCTTTTGGGTTCAAGCGATTCTCCTGCCTCAGCCTCCCAAGTAGCTGGGATTGCAGGTGCCAGCCACCATGCCCAGCTAATTTTTGTATTTTTAGTAGAGACGGGGTTCCGCCATGTTGGCCAGGCTGGTCTCGAACTCCTGACCTCAAGTGATCCACCCGCTTAGTCTCCCCAAGTGCTGGGATTACAGAGGTGAGCCACCGCGCCTGGCCCAAAAATCAAATTTTCAACAGTTACTTAAATCCACTACTTCCCAAGATGAAAGCTTTATTACCAACTGAAACTTAGAGAACTATGAGTGGTCGTGGGCTGCCTCTGAACTTGCTGTGGGTATATTTACTGAGCCACCATGGGGGTCATGTGAAGAGTCTAGGGTTTTGTTTTACATCCTTAACACTTCAGTTTTGAAAATCCCTATAAGACAGTAATAGTTCTATAGGGTAAACTCCAAAGAGGGCTTCTGTAGGGGGCATAGGAGTGGCACCCACAGTTGTGGGAACGTCAGCAAACCTGCATCCTCCCTCAGGGGAGAGGTCAGAGCAACTCAGAATATTATGACTACTGAAACAACTTTTTGACTTCACGATGCTGCAAAGCAATCCACATCCAGTAGAAACCATACTTCAAGTACCCATACAACCATTCTGGTTTTTCTGAGACGGAGTCTCACTCTGTCACCCAGGCTGGAGTGCAGTGGCGTGATCTCTGCTCACTGCAACTTCTGCCTCCCGGGTTCAAGCAATTCTCCTGCCTCAGCCTCCCAAGTAGCTGGGATTACAGGTGCCCCCCCACCACACCCGGCTAATTTTTGTATTTTTAGTAGAGAGGGTGTTTCACCATCTTGACCAGGCTGGTCTTGAACTCCTGACCTCGTGATCCACCCGCCTCGGCCTCCCAAAGTGCTGGGATTACAGGTGTGAGCCACCGCACCTGGCCCATTCTGTTTTTTAGTTTCAGTACAGTATTCAATAAATTACATGAGATACTCAACACTTTATTATAAAATAAGTTTTTGGTTAGATGATTTTGTCCAACTGTGGGCTAATGTAAGTATTCTGAGCACATTTAAGGCAGGCTAGGCTAAGCTATGATGTTCAGAAGGTTAGGTGTAGTAAATGAATTTGTGATAATATTTTCAACTTACGATGGGCTTATTGAGACATAACCCCATCGTAAGTTGGAGCATCTATATTGCCGACATCTTAACAGAGCCGCTCTCTGTATATGCTGACTGATACATTAGGCTTGGGATAAATCATATCTGACCTTTCCTTATAATAGCACTGGGTGGACTTCAAAGGTGGAAGAGATATTTCTTGTTCAATTAAGTCATCATTGCAGAAAGATGAAACAGATGATACTTTATAAGCCAGGCACTGTCCTACCTTGTGGTAATTCCTATTAAAACACATTTAAAAGATTAGGAAACTGAAACTTAGAGCAATTTACTAATTTCAATGTCTTATGGCCAGTGCAGTGTTCACGGATTTAAAATCACTTCAATGCAAGTATCAATAATTCTGCTAAATAATCAGGAGTTGACTATAATTAATCTGCAAAAACCAAACAATTTTCCCCACTTGAATTAATGATTTCTGGGTGTGAAAGGGAATGGTCACCACATAGTCTTAGTTTCCTTCCATGCAAACCTTAGAATTGAGCATAGCACTTACGAAACCAATATGATCAGATAATAAGATATCTTACTATTATCACTGTCTTAGCAAAATCTGTCATTACACTGAAAAAAAAATAGGATAGCTTCTTTTGCAAATGTTTCAAGCTCCAAAAGTTCTTAGAATAATCTTTCTTGTTATTTTCTCTGCCACATGGTTACACAAATACAAAACAAATTGGAAATATGGATTTTCTGTCTTTCATATACAAATACATATCCCTGAGCAATTGAATGAATTATTAATTTGTTTTGTCCAAAAATGGATAAGTATTTGGCTTTAATGATCTTGTTAGGCAACTAGTTTCCCTTCCCTTATAGTTCTCAACTCCAGAGACCCTCTCTTTTCATTTTTCAAGCAAATAATTCAGAATCAGTGTTGATCCACTGCATGATTTTTCCCCCTTCATTTCAACCTCTGATCTTACTGAGCAGAATTTTAATAGCTAAGGGAAATGATGTAATAATAAGTAACAAGTATATCTAGCTCTTAAAGAGTAGCTTTAATTTAACTCTACAAACTCATAAAATATTGGATATTTAGAATGAATGTAGATAGTAACAGTTCTCATATGGGCATAAAATTGCAAGAATTTTACTGATTGTGATGTATTACTTTTAGCACAAATAGAATGTACCAAGTACAATAAACTTCACTAATTCAGGACATTTCAACTTGGCAACAAAAAGCTCAATTTATATGTACTTAAAGAAATGCAATTTTAGTAACCTCAGTCTAATGCTTAATTAAAGTAACATGTTAACACAGTGGGGCACAATTAAAAAGGAGTTGGGAGCATCAGCTATAATATTCAAATACCTAGTTTTTTTCCAATCCAATTAATCTATTTTGTGTGTCTGTCTCAGAAAGGATAGTACCAGACCTGCCAAAGGTGTTGGCGGGAGTGAGATAAAGTAGATGCAAGGGGTTTAATAAAAATTCAAAGAATGACATAAATATAAAGTATTATTCTCAGAGATTACAATTCACAATTAGCCTGCATTTTATAAAATACCTCTAAAACATCTTCAACATTTAAAAATTGGATGTTAAAATTGGTGATACATTAATAATACTCTTCATTCCTTGAATTTCTGATTCTGTTGCTGACTTTAGATAGAATTTATTTTTCATCAGTTACATACTCAAAGGCTAAAACAGGAAGGCATTCTTTTTTGAGACAAAGTCTCACTATGTCACCCAGGCTGGAGTGCAGTGGCGTGATCTCAGCTCTCTGCAACCTCCACAGAAAGGCATTCTTTAAACTTCTTATCCAAAATAAACCCAAATACAATTTCCGAAGTAGCATAGAGTTCAAGTTGCTGAGTCTTACCTAGTGAACCATCAGCCAACACTGTAGAACATCATGGTGCTGCCATATAGTGTATTTCTTGCTGTTAGGAAAGCAAAATTCCCTATCCTATTCTGCATTCTGGTATTGACCTGACCTTAATATGTTTGATTCTTTTTTTTTTTTTCCTAATAGGGACAGGGTCTCTGTCACCCAGGCTAGAATGGCCCGATCACAGTTCATTGCAACCTCAAACTCCTGGGCTTAAGCAATCCCCCCGCCTCAGACTCCTGAGAAGCTGCATGCCACCACACCCAGCTATTTTTTTTTTTAATTTTTAAATTTTTTGTCAAAATGGGATCTCACTATATCAGACTGGTCTCCAACTCCTGGCCTGAAGCAATCCTCCTGCCTCAGCTTCCCAAAGTGCTAGGATTACGGGTGTGAGCCACTTACTGTGTCTGGCCATGTATTTGATTCTTTTAAAATCATGAATACTTGTTCTTTCAAACAACAAATATATTATAGTCATATCTTGGTTTCCAATTTCTGTTTAAATTAACAAGATGAGAATTGAGGCCCAGGGAATCAGAGGTTCTCCAGATGTTTCCCTTCATTCACATCTAATCCTACCCCTCCACAGGAGGTATGAAACCAACTCATTGCAAAGATGTCACCCAGGGCCACATCACCCAGGGATACTGGGGTTGGGCGAGAGCATAACGGGACAGTAGAGACCTCACCTAACTTTGCCTTCGTGCTTGAGCACTAAGGTCAAGCAAACGTTTTATGAAGTTTCCTGCCCAGTCAACTGCTGAGTAATATACATTATACCAAATAAACTGGTTATTTTGTAGAGATTGTTGAATGCTTTCGTTCAACATTTTCATTTTGAAAAGATTTTTTAAATTATTTATTATTATTATTATTATTATTATTTTTGAGACAGAGTCTCGCTCTGTCCTCTAGGCTGGAGTGCAATGGTGCCATCTCGGCTCACTGCAACCTCCACCTCCCAGGTTTAAGTGATTCTCATGCCCTAGCCTTCCAAGTAGCTGGAATTACAGGCGCGAGCCACCAGCACCCGGCTAATTTTTGTATTTTTAGTAAAGACGGGGTTTCACCATGTTGCCCAAGCTGGTCTCGAACTCCTGACCTCAGGTAATCCTCCCGCCTCAGCCTCCCAAAGTGCTGGGATTAGAGGCATAAGCCACCATGCCTGGTCTGAGAAGATTTTTTTAAGAGTGTTCTGCTGCTCTTTAGTTTCATGTAAACTTATTTTCCCCATGGCACCCTCCTCACTGTCATCCATGTCCCTTTTCTGCGTGAGCTGGTATCGCTTGCTACCCTCTAAGACCTAGGGGATAGAAAACAATGGGCTCTAGCCTGCCTTCTGCAGGGAGCAAAGCCTAGAAACAGGAAGCTGCTACAAGCAATCCCAACTGCACTGTGTCCATGGAGTATCATGAATAGTTTACACGAAGAGGATTTCTTTAAAATGCTGAATTATGAAGGAGTATTGATTGTGTGAGTAGAAATATCTAGAAGACTACATCTTTTGTCTTCTAGTCTAATGCTCTGACATGGAGAAGTGTTTCCAGTCAACGGTTTATTCTGAAGATAGCACCTTGTCCACTAAATGCACATTACATTCTCAAATTTACCTTTTTAAAGATTCTCTTTGAAATAATCTCTCCAAAAGTCAGTAAGAAACATGTCGAGCACTACCAAAGCTGAGAAAGTGGAGCTGAATCGGGCTCTTAGCCTCACTCACACAAAATAATATTTTAATTGGCTAAGCTAATATTTGATCCAAGTTCATAAAAGTTTGAAATCAAATAATTAAATGCAAATACAGTCTTCATCCCAAAGACGATAAGAATGCCTTTAAGCTAATATTTTTAACAAGAACTGTTCCACAGCGCTCTCTTGTAAATTTTATCATACCTGAGGCAGTTTTCCTCATTCGATTAGCTGGAAAGCTGAATTTATCCCGAGGCAAACCAGACATCTAGTATGGGCTAAATTCAACAACTGGAGCTTAAATTTGGCTTAATATATCCCCACTTGGATCTGCCTGTTTAATTCTCTTTCATATGATAACGTTGGTTTATTCATAGTCTTGACTTGCCACCTGAACAAACTGAACCTCATATCTTATTCTAAGAGAATAAAACTTTGCAAAAACCACCAAAGTTTCTGAATGGAAATCAAATACAAAGTGATGCTCAAAAACTGTTTCAGGACGTGAGTACAAAAAAAAAAAAATAGTGAAGAGGTTTTCTCTGAGGGAGGGCTGCTCTTTACGAATGTGGATGTTTCCTATGCTTTGGGAGCAGATGGTCTTTAGCAGGATAAGGACTAAGACCTCCAAGACCAGCCAAGGCAGCTGCAATTGTGTCTCAAGCTTGAAATTCTGCATGCTACCTATTTTATCAAACACCGTATGTATTTGGCCTTATTGTTAAATCTATTTTAAATACAACTTTATTTGAGGTTTAGGGGCAAACTAGGAAATTGCTTCATCCTATATCCCTTTAAATTCTGTTTCCTGGCTCAGAATATCCCATCGATTTCCAGCCAGAGGCCTTATTTTTCTTTGATTTTCCGTATATTTTAATGTAGTTTTCACTATCATCTGATATGCAGAAGTTGATACAATGTACGATCTGTTTCATAAACCCCTTTAGTATAGCATTCTGTCCTCATTTTTATCCCTAAGAATTCTAGAATGCAAATTGCAAATGTGTATACAGAGGGAAAATGGAAGTGTTCTATGCCCGTGATGTGGTCCCTAACACAGCTCACAGCCCCAAAATACAGGCTTCCTGAAAATACTCAGATTACCACTTCACAACATCAAACATATCAAATGGTTTTCCTTCTACTCATTGAGCTCAATTACTTCAATTTTGAATCAAATTACACTTTTTCTAGAGACACATTATAGGAAAAGAGCTTTGTTATATTTGAAATTGGTTAGGAATTTAACAAGGTGAGGAACTTTAAAATTGCTTAAGAGTCTAATAGCTGGGGGTATTGATACATAGAAAGTGCTCAATATATTTTTATTGAATTAATTTGCATATGCTTTGTATTCATGGGCACTGAATACAAATTAGCCAATTCAATAATAAATGCATTGGTTGTCTTTTATGTGTGTGGTGCTATACCTGTGTGGTGTAGGAAATAAGAAACATAAGTCAGAATCTCTGCCTTCTGAGAGAATGCAATCTAGCAGGAGAGGCAAGGCATAAACCAGTAACCGGAGAATCCAGAAAAGCTTGCCTGGGAAGATGCAATTGCAAATATGTGGAAGATGTTCCACAGACAAGCAAGCAAGAAGACTGGCGTGTGAAACAAAACGGATTCTCTTATTCGACAAATGTGAACTGAGCTCCTCCTTTGTCCAGACATTATGCTAGGCCTGGGAAAGGTTATAATTAACAAGAGAGACATATCCCTGTCCTCATAATTGACAGTGAAATTACCATGTAATACCCAATGCCCTGCATGATGGGCAAATAGAGTGTGCTGTAGACTCACAGCAGAGAGGACTTCAAGGAGGCTTCCTGGACGTAATGATATCTGCGCTGAGGCCCAGGAGATTGGTCAAAATTATCCAAATAAAGGTTAGGGGAAGAAAGTTCCAGGTACTGGCCAGGCACATTCAAGAAACTGAAAGAAGTTGGTGGGTGGGGTGAAATAAAACGGGATAGATAAACAGGCCAGATAAATGTGTTTAATCTTTAACCCAGGGTAGTGGGGTGCCATTGAATGATTTTAAGCAGAGGGAACTAGAGGACATAATTGGATTCACATTTAAAGTTATCACTCATGCTGTTGTGAGGAAAATGCATTTGGAGGCGGGGACAATATTGGAGGAATCAGTTATAAGGAACAGAGGCGAGTTACGGTTGCAGCAATGGAGAATAAAGGACAGATTCAAGACGCAATTAGAAAGCAGAGGCAGCAACTCGGTGATGGCTGGATTGGAAAAGAAGAGGAGAGGGAGGAGTCATGAATGAATCTGGGTCTCAGGCTTGAAATCCCAGGTAGATATTGGGTAACGGGATGGATTCTTAGTCCAATCATTGGTATAAGAAAAGCAGGAGAAGGAGCAGGTTTAGAAAGCCAGACAGATTGAGCTACATTTTAGACACTGAGTTTGAGATGTCCCCTGGCTATCAGGTAGAGACATCTAGTAAATAGTAAACAGTCATATGTACAGAACCAAATAAAGTTATATGCTGCAGTCTTCCACATGGGTCACTGAGTGAGCTGGTGAAAGCATTGAACACACTGAAATAAAATGTTCAACACATGGAAAAGTCCAAAGGATTTGAGAAAAACAAGCAGGCTTGGCACTACAAGCCAAAGCACCCAGCCAAAAAGTCCTCTTTGAATCCATTTCCCAAGAAAGTACAATCTATAATGGAGTTTGTGCTTTTCACTTGCTGTTATAAAACAATTCTACACAAAATAAAAATAAAGTTGGCCATGAATTTGATATGGAAGAATAGCAGCATGTCAAAGGCAAAAAAAAAAAAAAAGAAGAAGAAAGAAAAGAAAAAAAGAAAAATGTTGGTTTAGGGCAAGAATTTAAACAAAAAAGCTTATTCTCATATTTCCTGAGGATCTCCTCTGTGCTGAGCACTGGCCAGGCACTAGGAATACAGCTGCACATAAGACCAAGTCTCTGCCTACACGGCTTTCATTCTAGCATTCTAGTGGGGGTGACGGGCAATTTTGTTTATTGTTTTTTTTTTTTTGAGACAAGATCTCACTCTGTTTCCCAGGCTGGAGTGCAGTGGCACTATCTTGCTTCACTGCAGCCCCAACTTCCTGGGATCAAGTGATTCTCCCACCTCAGCCTCCCAAGTAGCTGAGACTATAGGCGCAGACCATCACACTCACTAATTTTTGTATTTTTGTAGAGACAGGGTTTCTCCATGTTGGCCAGGCTGGTCTTGAACTCCTGGGGTCAAGAGATCCTCCAGCCTTGGCCTGCCAAAGTGCTGGGATTACAAGCGTGAGCCACTGCACCCAGCTTGGCAGTTTTTAAAATTAGACAAATGTATGCATAATGTAAGGTCAGTCATGAACAAGCAATAATAAGAACACATCATTTAGGGATATAAGAAAACAGGTGATATTGTTTGGATCCTTGTCCCTGCCCAAATCTCATGTCGAACTGTAATCCCCAATGCTGGAGGTGGGGCCTGGTAGGATGTCTTTGGATCATGGGGTCATGATCCAAAACACCAGGTCCCTCAGGGCCTGGTGTTGTCTTGGTGATAGTGAGTTCTTGCCAGATCTGGTAATTTAGAAATGTGTATCACCTCCCTACACATACTCTCTCTCTCTGGCTCCTGCCTTCACCATGTGATGTGCCTGCCCCACCCTCACCCGCCACCATGATTTTAATCTTCTTGAGACCTCCCCAGAAGCTGAGCAGATGCCAACACCATGCTTCCTGTAAAGCCTGCAGGTTCATGAGCCAATTAAACCTCTTTTCTTTATAAATTACCCAGTCTTAGGTATTTCTTTATAGCAGTGCAAGAACGGCCTAGTGGAAATACAGAATTCTGGATTATGATCACCTCTGGGGCATCAGGAATTCGTTCTTGGGAGGAACACACAGATAGCCTGAAGGGCTCTGACCATGTTCTGGTCTTCCTGATGAGTGGTGGATTCATAGGTATTCACTATACTATGTTTAAAAACTGACATATACATTACATTTAAAACATTAATTATAGTAAAATATGCACAATGTAAAATTTACCATCTTAACCACTTTTCCATAGATTTTAATAGACTTTTTTTTTTTTTTTTGAGACAGAGTCTTGCTCTGTTGTCCAGGCTTGAGTGCAGTGGCATGATCTCAGCTCACTGCAACCTCCACCTCGTGGGTTCAAGTGATTCTCCTGTCTCAGCCTCCTGAGTAGCTGGGATTACAGGTGCCAGCCACCACACCCGGCTAATTTTTGTATTTTTAGAAGAGATGGAGTTTCTACATGTTGGCCAGGCTGGTCTTAAACTCCTGACCTCAAGTGATCCACCCGCCTTGGCCTCTCAAAGTGCTAGGATTACAGGCATGAGTCACCGCACCTGGCCAACTTTATTTTTTAGAGCAGTTTTTTTTTTTTTTTTTTTTTTTTTTTAGACGGAGTCTTACTCTTGTCACCCAGGCTGGAGTGCAATGGCACAATCTCAGCTCACTGCAACCTCCAACTCCCGGATTCAAGTGATTCTCCTGCCTCAGCCTCCCGAGTAGCTGGGATTACAGGCATGCACCACCACACCCAGCTAATTTTTATATTTTTAGTAGAGACAGGGTTTCACCATGTTGACCAGGCTGGTCTCAAACTCCTGACCTCAGGTGATCTGCCCGCCTCGGCCTCCCAAAGTGCTGGGATTACAGGCGTGAACCACCGTGCCCAGCCCTGGAGTAGTTTTAAGTTCACCACAAAATTGAGCAAAAGGTACAGAGACTCCCCACATAACCCCTGCCCCGCTACTGTCAGCATTCCCCTACCAGCACAAGCCTCCCCTACTGTCAGCATTCCACACTGGAGTGAAACCTTTACAATGAATGCCGCTACATTGACACATCCTCATCACCCAAAGTCCGCTGTTCACATTAGGTAGGTAGGGCTCGCTGTTGATGTTGTACATTCTATGGATTTGGACACACGTAATGACATGTATCCACCATTACAGTATCATACAGAGTAGTGTCACTGCCCTAGAAGTCCTCTGTGCTCTGCCCAGTCATCCCTCCTTCTACCAACTACTGGCAACCACCCATCTTTTTATTGTCTCCATAGTTTTGTCTTTTCCAGAATGTCACACAGTTGGAATCATACAATATAGAGCCTTTTCAAAGTGGCTTCTTTCATTTAATAATACACATTTACGTTTCCTCCATGTCTTTTCATGGGCCAACAGCTCGTTTCATTTTAGTGTTGTGCAATATTTCATGGTCTGGATACACCACAGTCTAACCATTCACATACTAAAGGACATTTTGGTTACTTTCAAGTTTGGGCAATTATGAATAAAGCTGCTATAAACATCCCTATGCATGTTTTTGTGCAGACATACATTTTCTTCATAACCATTTAAACGTATACAGTTCAGTAGTGTTAAGTTCATTTGCATTGTTATACAACCAATATCCAAAATTCTTATCTGACAAACTGAAACTCTATACCCATCAAACAACAACCTCTGTTCCTCATTCCTGCCAACCACCATTCTATTTTCTGTGCCTAACAAATTCATTTGACACAGGTGCCTCTAGGTGCCTCTTAAAAGTGGACTCATAAGCGTTTCCTTTTTGTGACTGGCTTATTTCACTTAGCATAATGTCTTCAGTGTGACAGAGACCAGAGTAGCCCACCATTCCCTTTGAACATTGGTATTGTACCACAAAATCAAGTGGTTTTCAAACATTTTTGATCCGTGGGAGCTTTTTTTCTAAACCATGTATACAAAAAAAGTCAAAAGTGGAGAAATTCTTATTTCTTAGCCTTGGCACCTGTACAATACAATTGGAAGGGGTTGGGGTGGGGCTTGTCCAGAGAAGTCCCCACAAAGGTGCCCCATAACACTAGACTGTACTCAGTCTCCATCGTGAGACTATTATTTATAATAGTGATTTGTGGCATTTAAGATGTGAAATTTCCTTCAAAATCTCAAACATTAAGTTGTGTTACATGCCAATTTAAATGTCAAATGTATATTATTTCATTCAAATTATCTGAAAACCATTCATTCGCATATCATGAGACCCTTTAGAAACGGAACTACTTGACTAACCAGCACTTCCCATTCTCCAACTCCAGCAAGTGACAGAAACTTGCAGGCATTGACACAATAGGGGAAAAAAAACTCCAGGACTTTAAAATAATGAGCCCTGCAGGGTTCAGATTCCTGCTCCGCCCGAGGGAAGTCTCATGGTAGAGCATACAAGGACTTTAGAGTGAGACAGGCCTGGTCATAAATTCAAGATCTTCTTACTAGCATTAAAATCCTAGATGAGCTTCTCAACCCCTTTAAGCCTCTGTTTTTCCACTGGGAAAATGATATTAATAATAACTTCCCCATAAGATTCTTAAGAGGATTAAATGAGAAAACATATGTTAAAGACACTTGTCACATTAATTGGTGTTTGGTAAATGTTATTTCCTCCCTCATTCTTACTGACTTTGAGATCCTGGGAAAGCCATTTAATCCCTCTGATTCTTAATTTCATCATACCTATAACACCTTCTAGGATAGAATCCTTTACAATTTAGCTTATCCTGAATCCCACTCCTAGGCCAGTTTTCTACATACTCTCACTAACTCCTGGGATTTCACCCATCACCCATCAGCTGTACACTGATAAGTCCCAAATCTATACCTCCAGCCCAAGCCTTTCTCTTGAGGTCTAGACCTTTATGTCTGGCCATTTCCTGGACATCTTCACCCAATATTCCATGTGCCCCTTAAATTCAACATGGCCATACCTAGACTCCTTAAATATTGCTTCTCAAATCTGCTGCTCCTCTTGGTGACAGCCACCACCTTCTTCCCTTAACAGACACCTGGAAGCCATCCAGGACCCTCACTCTTTCTCTCTGTCTCTCCTATTTTTTATTAACCCAAGGCCAGCAAACCCTGTTGCATCAACCATCTTGATGCCTTTCAAGTCCCTCCCCACCTCCTTGGCCGCCGTATTTCTCATCTGTGTTCCTGCAGCAGGATCCTGGCTGGTCTCCCTCCATGAGCCTGCTCTCCCCTCACCCTCCTGCACACACTAGTCCCTTCTACACACTTCTGGCAGAATGCTTTCTTTAAATCAGAAAGCTGACCATTTCCCTCTTTCCTAAAACCATTCAGTGTTTCTGCCTTGCTTTTGGAACAAAATCCAGACCATCTGACATGCAGCACTCTTCACAGTCTTAAACCTTAGGGCCCATCTTCATCTTGCCCACCTATTCCTTCTCCACAAAGGCTGAGCTGTTTAACAGTGTACCAAAGACCTCTCTGTTCTTTCCTTCTCTAGGGTTTGTATATAGACCACTGTCTGCTAGGATGTGCGTTCTCTTCCACGCGTTGCTCAGCTCATTCTAACTCATCTTTCAAAACTCCTCAGGTGTCACCTTCCCCAGGGACCCCTCTTTTCTCTTGAACCCTGTGTTAGCTGCCCATCCTGTAAGGGCACTGCTTATCTGTATCACATTAATTGAGCTACTGTACACAGAGACTGTGCCTTTTATTTCCATATCTCCAACACCCAGACCAGAGCTGTTAAGACTGAATGAATAAATGAATGAATGAATGAATGAATGTGTATACATTGTGTATACACGAAGGTATGAAATAATAAATAAAGCATGTTAAGAATGTTTTGTAAACTACAAAGCACCAATCAGTTGTAAGGGCCTGTTATTTCTGTGTACATATATAGTATATACACTTTATATCTACTTTTTTTTTTTTTTTTTAAGAGACAGGGTCTCACTCTGTTGCCCAGGCTGGAGTGCAGTGGCACAATTACAGCCTACTGTACTTGAACTCCTGGGCTCAAATGATGCTCCTACTTCAGCCTCTCAAGTAGCTGAGACTACAGGCACACACCACCACATCCAGCCAACTTTTTATTTTTATTTTTAGGGGGAGACAAGGGTCTTGCTGTGGTGCCTAGGCTGGTCTCAAACTCCTGGGCTGAAGCAATCCTCCATTTTTGTAGACAGCTCCTGCCAAGGGCAGCATTTTCTTATTATTAATTTGCCTATGAAAGCACAAAATTATACATTCTAGTTGGTAAAAATAACTCTTGGGTTAGTGTGTGTGCATGTGTGTGTGTGTACACACCTATATTATTCTAAGGGACTTATGGGAATGAATTTAAAATCTTGAGTTTCAGATATTGCTGGAAACTGGAGACAGAATCTCAGTTTAGGTGTCAGCACCAAAATTATCCTGCCCTCCCCTCCCCAATCCCTAAACAGCCCTGATTTCTTTTTAAAAGTGAACTTTGTTCGTATGAAAAGAACGAACATGTTCTGCAACTTCCAGAAGTTCTTACAAAATTAGTTATGCAGATTATCCATATTTAGCCCTTTAAAAAATAATTTTGAACATTAGCTCCTTACAGAAAATCTATTTTCTTTCTCCTTTTCTAGAGGAAAGGGCCTTCTGAGGGCAAATCGTGTGACAGTTTATAGATTGTCATCTCTCTAAAGACCTCAAGGAAAAGAAGTATTTTCTATGTGCAAAACGGTACCTCTTTTTTCCACCTTTATGTCCTTTAAAAGATTAGATAAACCAGCTCGCACCTGTAATTAATCCCAGATAACTCCCAGTTACTGGGACCGGGAGTAGCTGAGGCCAGAGGATCGCTCAAGCCCAGGAGTTCAAGGCTACAGTGAGCTACGATGTCACCACTGCTTTTCTGCCTGGGTGACAGAACGAGACTCTGTCCCTATTTATTAAAAAAAAATCAGACAATAATATTAGTAATTTTTAAAAAATAAAAAATATTTAAAATCTTTAAAAAGACAAAAAAGACTAAGGAATTTTTTCCCACTTTTGAAAAATTAACAAAGATAATTACCTTATCAGCAAAAGTCAACACACTCCATGTGAGCCTCACAGCCCCCAGCCCCCTGGCTCAGCAGAGGACCCATTTCTGAAAAAGTGTGTTGAATGACAAGGTTTATAGGCTGCACCATTATGGCAGCTACCAGGGAGGCAGAGAAGAGTATCTTCCTCTTCAGAGAGAGCCTGAATGTTGTGTGTGACTGAAAAGTCAGTACTATAATATATTCAAGAAGACCTAAGGGTTTACTTTCCAATAAGGATGGAAAAAATCTGAGCACCCCACTGTGAGCTTATCGTAATGCTGCTTCATATAAAAAGTTGGTAATTAGTCCCTGAGTGAATAAAGTAGAATAGATGATAACAGATTGATACTAAGAGAAGCACAAAATGCTCTCGCCAGTCATCAAAATTTAAAGGCTATAGAGAAAGGGTTGGGGATGCCTCTGTCTGTTTACATACTATTTCCAACTCAGAATTTGTAATGATAGGGTTTATTAACTGGTGTTTTTAAATTGTATGAAAATGAAGCTTATATAAATTTCAAAGGAACGCACAGAGTGCCAAATGCAGGAGCCTTTGCAATCCAGCCTAAAATGCCACAGAAGAACTGGTGGAAATTTTTATCTCATATCCATCTCTTTTCCTCCAGCTGGGGGTCTTTTGCTAAAATCCAGATGTGGGACAATGCTATTTAATATGAGAACCAAACAGCAAATTTCAAAAACATGTATTTCTGGGAACTCCAGAACATGTAATCATTTGTCTAGATTTTGGTTTTTTTAATATAATTTAATATCAATTCACTTGTATATTTCTGTTGTTAGAGACTCCTGCTATAGATGAGTTCAGACTCCCAAGTTGCCAGCTACTATCCATTACTTAATATGGAATAGGACTTGATTTTTATTGGAGGGACATTCCAGAGAAAATGGAAATCAGGACGATTTCAGTGTTTACATTTGGGCCATAGCTTTGCATTAAACATGCTTTCCCTTTCCATCCCCAAGTTCTGAGAATTTAAATTTCTATTTATATGGGATTCATGTTTTAATTTTCATGAAAAAGTATGCATTTTCATCAAAACTAATTCCATGAGTACCGAGGAAACACACTTAAGTTTCTAAACTCTTCCTAAAAAGTAAATACAAGTGAACCACATAAATGAGTGAAAATTCCAGGTCTTCTGGGAGGTGTTATCATTTGTATTTTGGCACTTAATCTCTTCCATTGCTTTTAGGTCCTTGTGAACTATCTGTGAACTACCTCAATTACAGTGGAAAATCCAGGGTCTACCTGTCTGTCAGGTCCAGTCCGCAGCATCCCAGGGACTGATTCCAGTCCAAATGAGAACATAAGCACGTTTCCCTTAACACAAAACTGACCAGTGAAAATCCTCATTTGCAAAACATGTAAATTAGAACTTGATTATTCAGATCACAAAAGGATTCATCACAGGACTTTTTGAATAGAAAAGACTATTACATGTAAAGTACAGTATTTTATTTCAGGGAGAGATCCATTACATATATGCCAAATTTTTGAAAATCAGTTTCTAGTTAGAAAAAGGAAGGAAATTGGCTTGTGAAATAATTTAACAGGTCAAATTCACAATTGTATCAATCTTGGACAAATGCACCAATAATGTGAAGCAAGGAGTTACCGGTGTATTCCCTGGGGATGGCTGAACTAAAGCATATCCCTTATCCCCAGGAGCTTACGGTCTGCATAGGGAAACAGACAGTTAAATAGACAGAAGCCAGCATCAAGGCAGGCAGCAGAGCAATGATCCTGGAATGGCATGGTCAGTAAATGAGAGGAATTCACTCAGAACTTCTTCAGGATCATTGCCATGTGTATAGATGTAGAAACAAAATAGACATTCGGCAAGTAAGAATCTTTGGGACAATTAGCAGCATATGTTTTATTATTTCATGATAACATTCATCAAAATAGCTTAATGGGATAATTAACTCAGGCATGTGGATTCAATTCTGATCAGCTTTAGCAAAAAATAGTATATTTAGCCAAAATATGAGACACCTATATATTTTCCTGCCAGAAGGAAAATTGCACATATTTCCCAAGTTTTGGGGGAAAAGGGTGTCAGTTTGGACCAGTATTCATAGAAATTAACCATCGAGGCTGGACGCAGTAGCTCACGCCTGTAATCCCAGCACTTTGGGAGGCCAAGGTGGGTGGATCACTGGAAGTCAGGAATTTGAGACCACCCTAGTCAACATGGTGAAACCCCATCTCTACTAAAAATATAAAAATTAGCTGGGTGTGGTGACACAAGTCTGTAACCCCAGCTACTCAGGTGGCTGAGGCAGGAGGATTGCTTGAACTCAGGAGGTGGAGGTTGCAGTGAGCCGAGATCGCACCACTGCACTACAGCCTGGCAACAGAGCAAGACTCTGTCTCAAAATAAAAAAAAGAAAGAAGTTAACCATTGAATGCTGAGCTGAAGACTCTAAATTATCATTCTATAATAGTAAGTGGATAAACCAAAACTTATGATCTAGCCTTTGTTTTATGTTTGTTGGTAGTTTTCTTTCTTTTTGTTTTTCCTTAACAGAGCAGCATAGTTTATCACAGAATGTTAAAACTGGTTCTCAAAAAAATACAATTATCAAAAAAGGAAAGTTTCAAACAACTTTCTAAAAAGGGTATTCTTCATTTTTCTTACATTTTACATTCATTCTATGCAAATTTCTACATCCTCTCTATTAATCTCTGACTGTTACTAGCTTTGCTTGCTGGTGAGAGTATTTTTCACTGTAGCGTAAAATAATACTGCATTTCAAATTTTTAATAGTCATGTTTTAATCACTATAATGCAAAACAAATGTAGATTTTTCTATCATGTACCAAGGTAGGACATATTGAAGGTATTTCTGATTGTTTATATTTTGCAATTTTGAACCAAGTATGACTCTGGATACATAGCCATACTTATAAATATTTTTAAGTAACTTAAAATCATTTTTAAAATATATTAAATAAGACAGGTGGAATATGCTTTACTAACTGTAAAGTGCCGCATGGGTAAAATGTCCAGAGCACACCAATGTGGTTGCCAATTTAAATGCCACCGGAAGACTCAGAGCTCCTTATTGTGTAGTATTTATGTTTGTACAACTCATCAATGAATAATCAACTATGTTTGAGTCTGCCATCTCACTTTGAAAGAGATATGGTACCAACTCACTACATAACTATTTCAGTACTAATTCCTCACTGTTTTTAATTTGGGTCAGAGACTTGGGGATGGAAAGGGGAAGCATGTTTAATGCAAAGCTATGGCCCAAATGTAAACACTGAAATCGTCCTGAACACACTTCAACAGCGAATGTATGACAGCCCAGTGTAAAGCCATTTAGAAATAACAAGATGGACATGTACACATATGTAGGTTAAGTTCAACAGTATATAATGCCCAAAACAGTATATAGTGGGTATGAATTACTTGAACCGAGTTTAGTATCTTTATCCTTTTAGTCATAGTACTGTGTGGTTTTCTCCATATTCTCTTTCTTATTTATTTTTGTCCAATTAGAAAATAAAGCAGGGCAGGGTGGCTGCATCTGTTTACTTTCTGAGCATGGGTGTATGTAAACACACACACGTATCTGTCTATTTTTTCCAGAGGCTTCTATGTACACATCATATAAAAGTCATACTGTTAACATAAATCAACCCCAGAAGAGAAATTCCAGCATACCGTTTTCCCTTGCCTATTGTCTGTGTGTGTGTTTGTATGTCAGTCTGTCTTTTTTTATTCTGGCTTTCTCTCTTATTCAGTATTTATAAGGACCTTTAGGGCAGATGTCTAAAAACAACTGCATAGTCATCAGGAGTTAGGCGGAATGAAATGCCTTTGCTCATCTTCTCTACATGAGTGACCAGAAGAAAAAAAAGAAACACAGAGTATCAGACTTTAGAAACTACATGCAGGTTAAAGGGCACTGACCATCCTGGCTTGTGTTCTGCCTAAAGGACAAGGCTCTCATTTGATAAAGATCATTAGTCACCAAGATATATATTTTAGAGAGTTCCCAGTAGCGAATATTCTGTTGGCAGTCACTGGAGTGTACCAGATGGTTCATTAGCATAGGCTAGACAAGTCAAAGACTTTCAGAATCATTTAGAAAATGTCAAACAGAAACAAGAATCCTGTCACTTTTTATTAGAATTAACTACATCATACCCTGGACACAGATTTCACCTTGGGTCAGAAAAATTAATACAGAATTATATGAATTGTGTAATATACTGGGTTAAGATAGGTCTTTCTCCAGGGACTCATTTGCTGGCAATATATTAAGATCCCTCTACTTTAGGAATCCTCAATCCTTTCCTTTTGTAAGATATGAAAAGAGTTGACCTTGCTCAAAATCCACTGGTGTCTAATTGATTTGAGGTATATGCAGAATTTCAACAAGACATTCTTCTAAAGCTCTTTTGTGATCCTTTTCCCAGGAAGTTTGGTGAGTGGGGTTTACTGAATATTCAGCAGCATGTAAAGTATGTTTATGTCAAAAGGAAAATACATCCATTAATTGAACACATTGCTTTAGTAAACAGGAATTGAAATGCTATTGAAATGTTGCTTTTTTTTTTTTTTTTTTTAATGCAGATGTCAAAAACCTTGAAAACTTCCAGCTGGTAGAAGGTGTCCAGGAACAAGTCAATGCCGCCCTGCTGGACTACACAATGTGTAACTACCCGCAGCAGACAGAGAAATTTGGACAGCTACTTCTTCGACTACCCGAAATCCGGGCCATCAGTATGCAGGCTGAAGAATACCTCTACTACAAGCACCTGAACGGGGATGTGCCCTATAATAACCTTCTCATTGAAATGTTGCATGCCAAAAGAGCATAAGTTACAACCCCTAGGAGCTCTGCTTTCAAAACAAAAAGAGATTGGGGGAGTGGGGAGGGGGAAGAAGAACAGGAAGAAAAAAAGTACTCTGAACTGCTCCAAGTAACGCTAATTAAAAACTTGCTTTAAAGATATTGAATTTAAAAAGGCATAATAATCAAATACTTAATAGCAAATAAATGATGTATCAGGGTATTTGTATTGCAAACTGTGAATCAAAGGCTTCACAGCCCCAGAGGATTCCATATAAAAGACATTGTAATGGAGTGGATTGAACTCACAGATGGATACCAACACGGTCAGAAGAAAAACGGACAGAACGGTTCTTGTATATTTAAACTGATCTCCACTATGAAGAAATTTAGGAACTAATCTTATTAATTAGGCTTATACAGCGGGGGATTTGAGCTTACAGGATTCCTCCATGGTAAAGCTGAACTGAAACAATTCTCAAGAATGCATCAGCTGTACCTACAATAGCCCCTCCCTCTTCCTTTGAAGGCCCCAGCACCTCTGCCCTGTGGTCACCGAATCTGTACTAAGGACCTGTGTTCAGCCACACCCAGTGGTAGCTCCACCAAATCATGAACAGCCTAATTTTGAGTGTCTGTGTCTTAGACCTGCAAACAGCTAATAGGAAATTCTATTAATATGTTAGCTTGCCATTTTAAATATGTTCTGAGGGTTGTTTTGTCTCGTGTTCATGATGTTAAGAAAATGCAGGCAGTATCCCTCATCTTATGTAAGTGTTAATTAATATTAAGGGAAATGACTACAAACTTTCAAAGCAAATGCTCCATAGCTAAAGCAACTTAGACCTTATTTCTGCTACTGTTGCTGAAATGTGGCTTTGGCATTGTTGGATTTCATAAAAAATTTCTGGCAGGAAGTCTTGTTAGTATACATCAGTCTTTTTCATCATCCAAGTTTGTAGTTCATTTAAAAATACAACATTAAACACATTTTGCTAGGATGTCAAATAGTCACAGTTCTAAGTAGTTGGAAACAAAATTGACGCATGTTAATCTATGCAAAGAGAAAGGAAAGGATGAGGTGATGTATTGACTCAAGGTTCATTCTTGCTGCAATTGAACATCCTCAAGAGTTGGGATGGAAATGGTGATTTTTACATGTGTCCTGGAAAGATATTAAAGTAATTCAAATCTTCCCCAAAGGGGAAAGGAAGAGAGTGATACTGACCTTTTTAAGTCATAGACCAAAGTCTGCTGTAGAACAAATATGGGAGGACAAAGAATCGCAAATTCTTCAAATGACTATTATCAGTATTATTAACATGCGATGCCACAGGTATGAAAGTCTTGCCTTATTTCACAATTTTAAAAGGTAGCTGTGCAGATGTGGATCAACATTTGTTTAAAATAAAGTATTAATACTTTAAAGTCAAATAAGATATAGTGTTTACATTCTTTAGGTCCTGAGGGGCAGGGGGATCTGTGATATAACAAAATAGCAAAAGCGGTAATTTCCTTAATGTTATTTTTCTGATTGGTAATTATTTTTAACAGTACTTAATTATTCTATGTCGTGAGACACTAAAATCAAAAACGGGAATCTCATTTAGACTTTAATTTTTTTGAGATTATCGGCGGCACAATCACTTTGTAGAAACTGTAAAAAATAAAAGTATCTCCTAGTCCCTTAATTTTTTCATAAATATTTCTGGCTTTTGAGTAGTGTATTTATATTGTATATCATACTTTCAACTGTAGACAATTATGATGCTAATTTATTGTTTCTTGGTTTCACCTTTGTATAAGATATAGCCAAGACTGAAGAAACCAAATATATGTGTTTACTGTAGCATGTCTTCAAATTAGTGGAACTTAGTTCAGGGACATAGAAGAGTCTTAATGAATTAAAATCATTCACTTGATTAAATGTCTGTAAATCTTCATCATTCCTACTGTAGTTTATTTAATATCTATTGTAAATTATGTGACTTGTAGCTTCCTCTGGTTTTCAAGTAAACTCAACAAGGTGGAGTCTTACCTGGTTTTCCTTTCCAAGCATTGTAAATTGTATACCAAAGATATTAGTTATTACTTCTGTGTGTACAAAGAGGATTATTTTATTATGTTTATTAATCACCTCTAATACTCATCCACATGAAGGGTACACATTAGGTAAGCTGGGCGTTGACTCATGCGCAGTCTCAGTCACCCGTGTTATCTTCGTGGCTCAAAGGACAATGCAAAATCGCCGATCAGAGCTCATACCCAAAGCATTACAGAGAACAGCAGCATCATTGCCCTCCCCAGCTGAAAAACAAGTTGGCTAGAAGATACATGGAGAGGAATGGTGTGGTCAACAGTTAATGAAACGGTTCTATCATGCATGTGTAATGTGGATGGAGACAATTATAAGATTTGACTATAACTATTTGGAGGGTCTTTAACATTGCCAAAAAAACAAATATGTTGATTTTTATTTTATTTTATTTTTTATTTTAAGAGGCGGGATCTTGATCTCACATGTTGCCCAGGCTGGCCTTGAACTCCTGGGCTCAAGCATTCCTCCTGCCTCAGCCTCCCCCATAGCTGGGACTAGGGGTGCATGCCAGCATACCTGGCTACGTTGACTCTTAAAATCTATGTTCTCTTATTTTAAAGATACAGTGCTCCCCACTGAAAATTAAACCTAAAAAATGTCACATATTGGTATGTTGTTAACCTGGTAGATTAAATCATGAGAATGATTAGAAAGACGGGCAACACAGCGGGTTACATCCACACTGCTGATCACACCAACGACAGGAGCTGATAAGCAAGAAAGCGTCACAGCCAGCGTCTGTTCACCCAAGGTTGACAAGTGAAGTTTCTCTAATGTTGATTGTTAGCCGATTTGTAACCTGGCATTTACTTAGCAACTGCCTTATCAATTACAGGATTTGCCGGTAAAAGCAGACTCAAATATAAAGGTTTTTGGCTTAACTTGGTTTATTATAGTTGCTCTATGTTTGTAAACAGACAATCTCTAATGTCTGATTATTTGTATCACAGATCTGCAGCTGCCTTGGACTTGAATCCATGCAATGTTTAGAGTGTGAAGTCAGTTACTTGTTGATGTTTTCTTACTGTATCAATGAAATACATATTGTCATGTCAGTTCTTGCCAGGAACTTCTCAACAAAATGGAATTTTTTTTTTCAGTATTTCAATAAATATTGATATGCCCAGCCTGATAATTTTTAAAAGTTTTTATGTTGTCCTCATTCTATCGGATACTAAAGCTTCTAAATAAGAGACTTGACTAGGAGTGAAATCAAAAGAATCCCACAGGAATAGATACTTTTCCCTTTAGATAACTTCTAGAGTGGTTGGCTGTCCTTCCATGGATACCTGAAGCATTAAATTCAATCTGAGCATCATCTCTACATGTGAAACAAAGTATTTTATATCATTTACTGTTATAATCAATAAGCAGAAAAATCTTAATAGCATCTCACTTTTTTGTAGAGCTTATGTTGTCCTGATAACTTTCCCAAGTGCTTTCTTAATTCACTTGGTCCTCAGAACAGATCCAGGAGGTATTATTATTCTCATATTAAAGCCCCTTGCACAAAAGGATTTGATACACTAGTCAGAGGAGTAGCGGGAATTTGAACCTAGGCAGTTTGACTCCAGAATCAACACTCTTAAACACTACACCATTCTGTCTCTAGACCAGGAGGACACTTCAGATTTGCTTCAAAAGGCAAAGATAGGCCGGGCGCGGTGGCTCACGCCTGTAATCCCAGCACTTTGGGAGGCCGAGGCGGGCAGATCACCTGAGGTTGGGAGTTCAAGACCAGCCTGACCAACATGGAGAAACCTCGTCTCTACTAAAAATACAAAATTAACCGGGCATGGTGGCACATGCCTGTAGTTTCAGCTATTTGGGAGGCTGAGGCAGGAGAATCCCTTGAACTCGGGAGGCAGAGGTTGCGGTGAGCTGAGATCGCGCCATTGCACTCCAGCCTGGGCAACAAGAGCAAAACTCAGTCAAAAAAAAAAAAAAGGCAAAGATATTGGAGAAAATCAGACATCAGGTCACCTCAAAGTATATAGATATTTATCAATAACCCAAACATAAAGCCTTTATACTTTATGGATGTTAAGCCTAAAAAGTAAGATGCCCATGTTCTAGAAATTAGCCTCCTTCAGTACCATTGTGGCTTTGCAGATGTTTAAGGCAATAAAATAACTATGAAATCCATTTTCAAAATTAATAAAACCTCTATTACAAAATAGTGTAACAGCCACAAAACACTTAACAATGTTTAGGAAACATTACGGTCCAGCCTCCCACTTTACACTCCACCCTTCCCATCCCTACTCTGGGCCAAGATAAGCAGGAAGTGCTCATTCTTTCCCAAGCAGATGCCAATTTTTCTTAGGATCCTACAAAAAGATACCATGGAGTCCAACCCAAAATACTGCACTTAGAGTCCAGTGAGTATGAAACTTAAACTTATTTTATTTTTATTTTTATTTTTGCCCAGGCTGGAGTGCAGTGGCACGATCTCAGTTCATCAACCTCTGCCTCCAAAGCTCAAGCAATTCTCCCACCTCCACCTCCCGAGTAGCTGGAACCACAGGCATGCACCACCACACTCAGCTAATTTTTTATTTTTTGTAGAGATGAGGTCTTCTTATATTGCCCAGGTTGGTCTCGAACTCCTGGGCTCAAGTGATCCTTCTGCCTTGGCCTCCCAAAGTGCTGGGATGACAGGCATGAGCCACTGTCCCTGGCCAAAACTAAGATTTTTAAGCAACTAAATAGCGGGCTACAAAACGCATCCCCCTTTTCAACCTGTAACTAGAAAGAACTTTTTAAATTATTCTTGCTGACATTCCATGAAATATGAAAATACATATTCATATTTAAATGAACTATAATTATCATACAGAACAGTGTAGAATTTGATAAATATTTACATATGTATACATCCAGGTAATCATCACACAGGTCAAGCAAGATAAAGCACATGGATTTTAAAAAATGTTTTTATAAGCGGTTATATACTTTAAAAAAAAAAAATTGGTGGAGAGAGCGTTTCTCCAAAGCCCAACCTGGCAATTGGCAGGGCTCATTCTGATGAGTACAGAGGCCTCCCTTCCACGCACGGAGATGCTAAATCCATCAGCATGAGGCAGCCTCTAAGAAAAACCGGCCCATGCTGATATGCATTTGATTGTTATATCTGATATTCAAAATAACTTTGAAGAGGTTCGTACTTTTAACTAAGTTTGACGTTCAGTTTGAAGCCATCTCTGATGTATATTTTTATGAGAAACATGTGGAAAGTTTGTTCAACATAACGCAGGTCAAAATGCTACAATACTTAGTGATTTTGACATTTCCCTGGAATAATAAAGACCAATTTTCCTTAACACTGAACAGGAAGTGTATAGTTTAGTCACTCAAAATAAATATTCTTGCAATGCTTTATTGCTGTTTCATGTAGGCATTTGTTTTATGTTAAGTTAGGAATTAATAATTCAGTGACTAACAGACTGTGATTGTGGTTTTGTTTGTAGAAAAGCTAAGAACCAATCTAAGAAACATTGTATGTTTGTTGCTGGAAAAGAGAGAAAGGGGCAAAGGGGGATGAAATTAGACTAATTGCTGAGTATTCCCTTGAGTGAGTTTGAAACTAAACTATCAAGAAGGGAGGAGGCTTGAAAGCACTGGAGTCTCCATGCCCTTCCTGAGTTGATGGGAGCACAGATCAGACCTGAGTCGGCCCCAGAAGGCACTGGGGATCCTGGTCCAAGCTCCATAGACACCAGATCAGATCCCAGACTGTTCTTAGGATCATGTTAGTCACAGCCAAGGAGAGACAGGAGTTGTCCTTCCAAGGAGACAAGGTGTGGATGCCTGATTCGTGTCTAACTTTTACTTTGCAGAGCACGCCCACTCTCTCGTCTCACCTGACCCAGCAGCAGCCCCCTGTCCTCGGTGGGCTTGGGCACCCTACCCCTCAGAGTGTGAAGCCCAGCCCAGGGAGCTATGCGTGGGCTGGGGCCTCTCAGTACTTTAGTAACAGGAATTGAAGTCCCTCCCGCTCCCCTGCCACCATGGACATCTCCCGCACGGAAGCCGTCACAGGCTGTTCTTCCTCACCTCTCCTTCTTCCCACATGGCCTCAGTATCCAAGCCCTACCAGTTACTTTTCCTATTTTTCTCCCCAGTCAGTCTCCCCCTTCCTTCCTTGCAGATTTGGAGCAGGCCTTTGGCATTTCTTGCCTTGAATTATGCACTAGCCTCTGGGCTGATCTGCTATCAATCTGAACATACCCCAAACCTCACTCCATAGAGCACCCAGAGCCATCTCCCTAATTCAAAGCTGATAATGTCATTCGCTCACTTACAGTCCTCCAATGCCTGGTATTTTCAGGAAAAAGTCAACTCCTACTATGGCATCCAGGTCTTTCCTGGCACAGCCTCTGCCTACCTTCCCAGCCTCTGCCTGCCTCCCAGCCTCCCCTTCCAGCCTCCTTTCCAGGCCCACTGGTGTATCAACCACACCATGAGCACAGCCTGCTCCTTCCTGTTCACTGTTCTCCAATGGTCTAGCCAAAAAAAACCAGGCTTAGAGAAGCCAAGGCAAGGAGGCTGCCCCTCCCCATCCAGTACACCCCCATCTCTGGGGCCCCCAGATGTCTGATGTTCATTATGCTCTGGTCTCATTGTGTTTGTTTCCCAGGGTGGCCCTTCTAAACTGTGAGCGAAAGGTCAAGAGCAGTGACTCAGTCATTTATAAACCACTGGCCCAGTGCCTGGCATAGAGCAGGCACGGCACATGATTTCCACAAAAGAATCGAAGTTTCCCGAGTTGTGGACCATACTGCTCCCCAGTGGTCTCCTTGACTTGACCATGTACATCTTCATGGGGCCCAGACTGGGATAATCCAGTGTCCATCCAATATGCTCTTCTATCTCACCCTGTATCACAAACATATTTTATGTTTGCTTCAGGGGTGATTCACATGTGTGACTGCATGTCAGCTCCCACTCTAAGTATGTTGTTCATCCAAAAACTAGACAGTGAAAGTGGCATCACGCCATTCATATGAAATGTTTAGCGTCATTACACAACATCAGAAGAAAGAGCTGCGAAGGGGATTAGAACTGTGCTTTGTGGCTCAGAGAGTAGAAACCCGTAAGGTAGGTAAATATTTTGAAGGGGAAGATTTTGACACAATGTGGAAAAAGAAAGCTTAATGGTCAAAGCTGTCCAAAAATGGAACTAACTATATTAGAGGCTGGTGACCTCCTAGGAACTGCTCCACCTGAGGCTGGACCTGACAACAGTGTTGGGGATGTGACTCCTACATGGAGTGGCTGGGTAATGTTTAATGACCCTCCAGAACTGACAGTCTAAGATTCCAGCAGGGCCAACAAAACAGACAGGTCTAAACCTTCAGGAAGGTCCTCTTTGCTCACTTCTCCCCGCAGGGAAGATTTGCTTGTGCTATTAGAGTCTGCTAGAATGGCGAGATACTGAGAGGCACAATCCAACCAACTCCAGAGACCTAAGTATATAAGGGAGAAATTCATGAAGCTTGTTTTAGTATTTATTTATGATGCATGAGAAAAATCACAGCCTGCCAAACATGTTAGACCAATTCATGTTTACAAACAGGAAAGAGTTAGCATTCTGAAAATGTGTCTACCTTTTGGAAAAATTGTATTCCTGTCTTTGCCTCTGCTTCTCCAGTATCTGATATGTAGTGGGAAGAAGCTCATGGTCAAGGTGCTGGTTCCCACATGCATATACCTCCTCTGTGTGAGGGTCAAAAACATTCTCTGGTTAGATGATGTCACCTAGGAACATTGCTGGTGCTTGTCCTCCCAGCCCTTCCTCACAGCTCACCCCACCATCTGATGAAAGACAGCCAATTGAAAAAGTTGCACTGGGCTGGGCGCGGTGGCTCATGCCTGTAATCCTAGCACTTTGGGAGGCTGAGGAGGGTGGATTACCTAGGGTCAAGAGTTTGAGACCAGCCTGACCAATATGGTGAAACCTCGTCTATACTAAAAATACAAAAATTAACCAGGCATGGTGGCATGCACCTGTAGTCCCAGCTACTGGAGAGGCTGAGACAGGAGAATTGCTCGAACCCAGCAGGCAGAGACTGCAGTGAGCCGAGATCGCGCCACTGCACTCCAGCCTGGGCAACAGTGCAAGACTCCATCTCAAAAAAAAAAAAAAAAAGAAAAGAAAAGAAAAAGTTGCACTGGAGAAACCCAGAACATCCATAAAAATGTCTTAATATTTTTATTAATTTTATTTGTATTAATTAGTTGAATAAAAACAATGTATCCCATATCCAATATTTCTCACTTGAGAAATATTAATTGTTCCAGGCAATGATCTAGTTGAGGAAATGACCCAAAGAACACATACTAGAGAGATTTCATGAAAATAATAGCATCTATGTTTAAGCACTACGTGCTGAGTTTTGAGTGCGATATGCTATGGCAGACAGTTATCTCCCCAAAATGTATCCTCTCTTTTTTTCCTGGACACACAGCTGCCCAGCTGAAGACTATATTTTCCGGCTTCCTTTGTAGTGAGGCACGACCAAGTGAGTAAGATGGGGCTGTGGCAATGGGATGTGAGCTGAAGTGACAAGCATACCTTTTCAGTCTTCTCCATCGGTAAAAGCGAGTCACTTTCCTTAGTCGTTGGCGCCTAGCCCTTTCCCTGGCTGGACCCGAGGTGCAGACAGCAATCCAAGATGACCAGTGATTGAAGAGCAACAAGAAAGCTGTAACCTTGGGTCCCTGAATGGCCTGGTAGTGTCCACAGACCAGCCTCAAGTGACAGAGAAATAAACTGCTCTCTTATTTAAGCCACTATATCTTGGGGTCTCTTTATTTCCAAAGCTTAGCATTTACCTTAATATGCAAACATGATTTCATTTAATCCTCATAACGACCCCTTCTTGTGACTATGAAAACTGAAACTTACAGACGTACATAACTTGTTCAAAGTCCTGCAGTTAGAAAGTGACAGAGTGAGGGTTCAAAAACAGTTCTGATTCTAAACCTCAGGAGTTCGGAACCTGAACCACTTAGCTACAGTGTCTTCCTGAAAGCACACACCAAGGTGTCCTGTAGAGTCAACATTCACTCCAACAACTGAGCATTTTCTTTAGGACCTAAAAGAAGCAGGCTGGGCATGGTGGTTCATGCCTGTAATCCCAGAACTTTGGGAGGCTGAGGTGGGCAGATTACCTGAGGTCAGGAGTTCGAGACCAGCCTGGCCAACATGGCAAAACCCCATCTCTACTAAAAACACAAAAATTAGCCAGGTGTGGTGGCACATGCCTATAATCCCAGACACTTGGGAGACTAAGGCAGGAGAATCACTTGAACCCAGGAGGCGGAGGTTGCAGTGAGCCAAGATCACACCACTGCACTCCACCCTGGGCAACAGAGTGAGACTCTGTCTCAAAAAAATAATAATAACAAATTAAAAAGAAAAGAAGCAATAGTGACAGATACATTTCTAATAATTGCAACACCAAATAACTAGAAATTTTCTTGACCTTAACAAGAGCCTAGACAAGCACAGTTATAACCACAGACATCCAAAACAAGGGTCAGCTGCTCAGTGCCGTGGGAGCATTGACAACACAGACATTCTATGAGTCTTACATAAATGAGAATTTTGAGGTGGTGACCTTTATTTTCTATACCACCTCAACGGGAAACATTGGCATAACCACCACTTATTAGCCCTGACTATGTTGTAACTATAAGAGCTATACTAATTTTTATACCTTGGTTTGATTAGTAGTTTCCCTGTTTATTTTATCACAAAATCACTTGAGCCATGTTCTCTATACATTAATTATTACAGACTACACAAATAGAAAGCAATTATGTTAGAAGAGAAAACATGTTGTGTCGATCATTTCTGCTCACATTACTTTGCCATCAGTGCAGTTAGCAAGGTACTGGCTGTTTAAAAAAATTTTGTCCCAAAGATTTTCCCCAGAAGTAAATTAAGACTGCCAAAAGGTCTCTGCCATAGAGGTGGAACAAGCTTCTATAAATAAGTGTGGAAACACGTGTTACATTCCCCCTGAGTGTTGCTGTAACAGGCTTTATTTCGCCTCTGCTCTTGCCTTGGGGCCTTGTGTTATTTGAGTGTCAAATGTTCCTGCAACTATTGTGTGGCCTGGATTCCAGCCAAGCTCCTTGGGCAATGCCCGATCAGTGCTCACTCATCCTCTCTACTTCCCTTAAAGAAGTCTTAAAGTGGCACAACCACCTGGGGAGAGAGAGAAAGCCTGTCATCTCTCGCTCTCTTTTTTTTTTGTTTTGAGACAAGGTCTTTCTCTGTTGCTCAGACTGGAGTGCAATAGCATGATCATGGCTCACTGCAGACTTGACCTCCCAGGCTCAAGTAATTCTCCCACCTTTGCCCCCTGAATAGATGGGACCACAGGTGTGCACCACCATGCACAGCTAACATTTTGTTTTGTTTTGTTTTCTGTAGAGACAGGGTCTCCCTGTGTTGCCCAGGCTGGTCTCAACCTCCTGTGCTCAAGAGATCCTCCCACCTCAGTCTCCCAAAGTGCAAGGATTACAGGCATGTAATGGATTAATGCAGAATCTAGGAAACAAAACATAGAAGAGATGGATTGTTAAACTCCATCTCTCCCTTTTCGTTTCATCATCTGATTTTGGGGAAGAACCTGCCTTTCCTCAACCTACCAGTAAAAGAAAAGGCAATAAAACACACCATTATCATGGGTTTATTTCACATCTTTAAAAATAATCATCTTGGCTAAACTAAGCAAAAAATAAAAGTGGCATGACAGTGGTTTCTGCTTTTTGTGCTTCTTTTCTGTTTTTGCTTTGTTTCATTTTAATGTAAAGGAAACTCAAATGAGGAGCTTGTTTGTCTTCAACACTAACATTCAGGCTCTTTATCCAGCCATATTTGTGCCTGAAGTGTTATTAGCCAAAGATAATTTTACAGAAGGTACAAGATTTAAATGTGGATGCTGCTTACAAAGGCATAAAAGGCTGAATAACAGATGACTGCTGGGACATGAGAAGTGAGAATCAAAAAGCCAAGGAAGGGCCACCCACAGATAGAGAAAAGAAGACACGGCAGGGGACGGGGGTGGGAGCGGGTGGAGCCAAGATAGCCGAATAGGAACAGCTCCAGTCTACAGCTCCCAGCATGAGCAATGCAGAAGACGGGGGATTTCTGCATTTCCAACTGAGGTACCAGGTTCATCTCACTGGGGAGTGCCTGACAGTGGGTGCAGGACAGTGGGTGCAGCACACCGTGCGTGAGCCGAAGCAGGGTGAGGCATTGCCTCACCTGAGAAGCTCAAGGGGTCAGGGAATTCCCTTTCCTAGTCAAAGAAAGGGGTGACAGATGGCACCTGGAAAATCGGGTCACTCCCACCCTAATACTGCGCTCTTCCAACAGGCTTAACAAACGGCACACCAGGAGATTATATCCCACACATGGCTCGGAGGGTCCTACACCCACGGAGCCTTGCTCATTGCTAGCACAGCAGTCTGAGATCAAACTGCAAGGTGGCAGCAAGACTGGGGGAGGGGTGTCTGCCATTGCTCAGGCTTGAGTAGGTAAACAAAGCAGCTGGGAAGCTCTAACTGGGTGGAGCCCACCACAGCTCAAGGAGGCCTGCCTGCCTCTGTAGGCTCCACCTCTGGGGGAAGGGCACAGACAAACAAAAGACAGCAATAACCTCTACAGACTTAAATGTCCCTGTCTGACAGCTTTGAAGAGAGTAGTGCTTCTCCCAGCATGCAGCTTGAGATCTGAGAACGGGCAGACTGCCTCCTCAAGTGGGTCCCTGACTCCCGAGTAGCCTAAATGGGAGGCACCCCCCAGTAGGGGCAGACTGACACCTCACACGGCCAGGTAATCCTCTGAGACAAAACTTCCAGAGGAACGATCAGGCAGCGGCATTTGCAGCTCACCGATATACGCTGTTCTGCAGCCACCGCTGCTGATACCCAGGCAAACAGGGTCGGGAGTGGACCTCCAGTAAACTCCAACAGACCTGCAGCTGAGGGTCCTGACTGTTAGAAGGAAAACTAACAAACAGAAAGGACATCCACACCAAAAACCCATCTGTACGTCACCATCATCAAAGACCAAAGGTAGATAAAACCACAAAGATGGTGAAAAAACAGAGCAGAAAAACCGGAAACTCTAAAAATCAGAGCGCCTCTCCTCCTCCAAAGGAATGCAGCTCCTCACCAGCAATGGAACAAAGCTGGACAGAGAATGACTTTAATGAGTTGAGAGAAGAAGGCTTCAGAAGATCAAACTACTCCAAGCTAAAGGAGGAAGTTCAAACCAATGGCAAAGAAGTTAAAAACTTTGAAAAAAAATTAGATGAATGGGTAACTAGAATAATCAATGCAGAGAAGTCCTTAAAGGACCTGATGGAGCTGAAAACCATGGCACAAAAACTACATGACAAATGCACAAGCCTCAGTAACCGATGCAATCAACTGGAAGAAAGGGTATCAGCGATGGAAGACGAAATGAATGAAATGAAGGAAGAAGGGAAGTTTAGAGAAAAAAGAATAAAAAGAAACGAACAAAGCCTCCAAGAAATATGGGACTATGTGAAGAGACCAAATCTATGTCTCATTGGTGTACCTGAAAGTGACGGGGAGGATGGAACCAAGTTGGAAAACACTCTGCAGGATATTATCCAGGAGAACTTCCCCAATCTAGCAAGGCAGGCCAACATTCAAATTCAGGAAATACCAAGAACGCCACAAAGGTACTCCTCGAGAAGAGCAACTCCAAGACACATAATTGTCAGATTCACCAAAGTTGAAATGAAGGAAAAAATGTTAAGGGCAGCCAGAGAGAAAGGTCGGGTTACCCACAAAGGGAAGCCCATCAGACTAACAGCTGATCTCTCAGCAGGAACTCAACAAGCCAGAAGAGAGTGGGGGCCAATATTCAACATTCTTAAAGAAAAGAATTTTCAACCCAGAATTTCATATCCAGCCAAACTAAGCTTCATAAGTGAAGGAGAAATAAAATACTTTACAGACAAGCAAATGCTGAGAGATTGTGTTACCACCAGGCCTGCCCTAAAAGCGCTCTTGAAGGAAGCACTAAACATGGAAAGGAACAGCCAGTACCAGCCACTGCAAAAACACACCAAATTGTAAAGACCATCAAGGCTAGGAAGAAACTGCATCAACTAATGAGCAAAATGACCAGCTAACATCATAATGACAGGATCAAATTCACACATAACAATACTAACCTTAAATGTAAATGGGCTAAATGCTCCAATTAAAAGGCACAGACTGGCAAACTGGATAAAGAGTCAAGACCCATCAGTGTGCTATATTCAGGAAACCCATCTCACGTGCAAAGACACAAATAGGCTCAAAATAAAGGGATGCAGGAAGATATACCAAGCAAATGGAAAACAAAAAAAGGCAGGGGTTGCAATCCTAGTTTCTGATAAAACAGACTTTAAACCAACAAAGATCAAAAGAGACAAAGAAGGCCATTACATAATAGTAAAGGGATCAATTCAACAAGGAGAACTAACTATCCTAAATATATATGCACCCAATACAGGAGCACCCAGATTCATAAAGCAAGTCCTTAGTGACCTACAAAGAGACTTAGACTCCCACACAATAATAATGGGAGACTTTAACACCCCACTGTCAACATTAGACAGATCAATGAGACAGAAAGTTAACAAGGCTATCCAGGAATTGAAATCAGCTCTGCACCAAGCAGACCTAATAGACATCTACAGAACTCTCCACCCCAAATCAACAGAATATACATTCTTTTCAGCACCACACCACACCTATTCCAAAATTGACCACATAGTTGGAAGTAAAGCACTCCTCAGCAAATGTAAAAGAACAGAAATTATAACAAACTGTCTCTCAGACCACAGTGCAATCAAACTAGAACTCAGGATTAAGAAACTCACTCAAAACTGCTCAACTACATGGAAACTGAACAACCTGCTCCTGAATGACTACTGGGTACATAACGAAATGAAGGCTGAAATACAGATGTTCTTTGAAACCAATGAGAACAAAGACACAACATACCAGAATCTCTGGGACACATTCAAAGCAGGGTGTAGAGGGAAATTTATAGCACTAAATGCCCACAAGAGAAAGCAGGAAAGATCTAAAATTGACACCCTAACATCACAATTAAAAGAACTAGAGAAGCAAGAACAAACACATTCAAAAGCTAGCAGAAGGCAAGAATAACTAAGATCAGAGCAGAACTGAAGGAGATAGAGACACAAAAAACCCTTCAAAAAATCAACGAATCCAGGAGCTGGTTTTTTGAAAAGATCAACAAAATCGACAGACCGCTAGCAAGACTAATAAAGAAGAAAAGAGAGAAGAATCAAAGAGACTCAATAAAAAATGATAAAGGGGATATCACCACCGATCCCAAAGGAAATACAAACTACCATCAGAGAATACTATAAACACCTCTATGCAAATAAACTAGAAAATCTAGAAGAAATGGATAAATTCCTCAACACATACACTCTCCCAAGACTAAACCAGGAAGAAATTGAATCTCTGAATAGACCAATAACAGGCTCTGAAATTGAGGCAATAATTAATAGCTTACCCACCAAAAAAAGTCCAGGACCAGATGGATTCACAGCCGAATTCTACCAGAGGTACAAGGAGGAACTGGTACCATTCCTTCTGAAACTATTCCAATCAATAGAAAAAGAGGGAATCCTCCCTAACTCATTTTATGAGGCCAGCATCATCCTGATACCAAAGCCTGGCAGAGACACAACAAAAAAAAGAGAATTTTAGACCAATATCCTTGATGAACATTGATGCAAAAATCTTCAATAAAATACTGGCAAACCGAATCCAGCAACACATCAAAAAGTTTATCCACCGTGATCAAGTGGGCTTCATCCCTGGGATGCAAGGCTGGTTCAACATATGAAAATCAATAAACGTAATCCAGCATATAAACAGAACCAAAGACAAAAACCACCTGATTATCTCAATAGATGCAGAAAAGGCCTTTGACAAAATTCAACAACGCTTCATGCTAAAAACTCTCAATAAATTAGGTATTGATGGGACGTATCTCAAAATAATAAGAGCTATCTATGACAAACCCACAGCCAATATCATACTGAATGGGCAAAAACTGGAAGCACTCTCTTTGAAAACTGGCACAAGACAGGGATGCCCTCTCTCACCACTCCTATTCAACATAGTGTTGGAAGTTCTGGCCAGGGCAATCAGGCAGGAGAAGGAAATAAAGGGCATTCAATTAGGAAAAGAGGAAGTCAAATTGTCCCTGTTTGCAGATGACATGATTGTATACCTAGAAAACCCCATAGTCTCAGCCCAAAATCTCCTTAAACTGATAAGCAACTTCAGCAAAGTCTCAGGATACAAAATCAATGTACAAAAATCAGAAGCATTCTTATACACCAATAACAGAAAAACAGAGAGCCAAATCATGAGTGAACTCCCATTCACAATTGCTTCAAAGAGAATAAAATACCTAGGAATCCAACTTACAAGGGATGTAAAGGACCTCTTCAAGGAGAACTACAAACCACTGCTCAATGAAATAAAAGAGGATACAAACAAATGGAAGAACATTCCATGCTCATGGGTAGGAAAAATCAATATTGTGAAAATGGCCATACTGCCCAAGGTAATTTATAGATTCAATGCCATCCCCATCAAGCTACCAATGACTTTCTTCACAGAATTGGAAAATACTACTTTAAAGTTCATATGGAACCAAAAAAGAGCCCACATTGCCAAGTCAATCCTAAGCCAAAAGAACAAAGCTGGAGGCATCATGCTACCTGACTTCAAACTATACTACAAGGCTACAGTAACCAAAACAGCATGGTACTGGTACCAAAACAGAGATATAGACCAATGGAACAGAACAGAGCCCTCAGAAATAATGCCACATATCTAATATTATCTGATCTTTGACAAACCTGACAAAAACAAGCAATGGGGAAAGGATTCCCTATTTAATAAATGGTGCTGGGAAAACTGGCTAGCCATATGTAGAAAGTTGAAACTGGATCCCTTCCTTACACCTTATACAAAAATAAATTCAAGATGGATTAAAGACTTAAATGTTAGACCTAAAACCATAAAAACCCTAGAAGAAAACCTAGGCAATACCATTCAGGACATAGGCATGGGCAAGGACTTCATGTCTAAAACACCAAAAGCAATGGCAACAAAAGCCAAAATTGACAAATGGGATCTAATTAAACTAAAGAGCTTCTGCACAGCAAAAGAAACCACCATCAGAGTGAACAGGCAACCTACAGAATGGGAGAAAATTTTTGCAACCTACTCATCTGACAAAGGGCTAATATCCAGCATCTACAATGAACTCAAACAAATTTATAAGAAAAAAAACAAACAACCTCATCAAAAAGTGGGCGAAGGATATGAACAGACGCTTTTCAAAAGAAGACATTTATGCAGCCAAAAAACACATGAAAAAATGCTCATCATCACTGGCCATCAGAGAAATGCATATCAAAACCACAATGAGATACCACCTCACACAAGTTAGAATGGCGATCATTAAAAAGTCAGGAAACAACAGGTGCTGGAGAGGATGTGGAGAAATAGGAATGCTTTTACACTGTTGGTGGGACTATAAACTAGTTCAACCATTGTGGAAGTCAGTGTGGCGATTCCTCAGGGATCTAGAACTAGAAATACCATTTGACCCAGCCATCCCATTACTGGGTATGTACCCAAAGGATTATAAATCATGCTGCTATAAAGACACATGCACACGTATGTTTATTGAGGCACTATTCACAATAGCAAAGACTTGGAACCAACCCAAATGTCCAACAATGATAGACTGGATTAAGAAAATGTGGCACATATACACCATGGAATACTATGCAGCCATAAAAAATGATGAGTTCATGTCCTTTGTAGGGACATGGATGAAGCTGGAAACCATCATTCTCAGCAAACTATCGCAAGGACAAAAAACCAAACACCGCATATTCTCACTCATAGGTGGGAATTGAACAATGAGAACACATGGACACAGGAAGGGGAACATCACATACCAGGGACTGTTGTGGGGTGGGGGTGGGGGGAGGGATAGCATTAGGAGATATACCTAATGCTAAACGACAAGTTAATGGGTGCAGCACACCAACATGGCACATGCATACATATGTAACAAACCTGCACGTTGTGCACATGTACCCTAAAACTTAAAGTATAATAAAAATAAAAAATAAAATAAATAAATAAATAAATAAATAAATAAATAAATAAATAAGAGACCAGAAGACAAGGACATAGAAGGGGCAAGAGAATGAGCTGAAAGCATGCAGGGCTTAAAAAAAAAAAAAATGAAAGAAAGAAACGTAATGATGAGGCTGCAACACTGAAACACCCTAGCCAGGTGCGGTGGCTCATGCCTGTAATCCCAGCACTTTCGGAGGCCACAGCAAGTGGATCACCTGAGGTCAGGAGTTTGAGACCAGCCTGGCCAACATGATGAAACCCTGTTTCTACTAAAAACACAAAAATTAGCCAGGCATCGAGGTGGGTGCCTGTAATCCCAGGTACTCAGGAGGCTGAGGCAGGAGAATCACTTGAACCTGGGAGGTAGAGGTTGCAGTGAGCCAGGATCTGGGCCACTGCACTCCAGCCTGGATGACAAAGTGAAACTCTAACTCAAAAAAAAAAAAAAAAAAAAGAGAAAAAGAAAAAAACACCTGTGAGCTAGGATTGACCGGGGACAATAAGAAATGTAATTTTTTTCCTAAGATTAAAACTGTCCTTGTATTAATTACCTCATCCTGTGGAAAACTCTGTGGGTAGATAAGGTATCAGTGTGTTGGGAGCTGATATTAAATGATTACATATCTTTATATTTAACTCGACTGAAGCATCCTCAGAATGTTTGTGTTTATTTTCATAAAGTGCAGTTGGAGCTTTGCACTTCAGATCCAGATACTATTAACTACCAGAGTCAAAGGAAGGGGTTTTCCATCTACACTTCGATTTACAATCCACAGAGATGTCAATGTCCTGTGTTTCAAGCACAGCAGAAAACTTTCCCAAATATAATGTGACATGCAACAAAGTCTCAGAGCAGAAGCAAAGATATGAGAGAGGACCTAAAACACAATGGTAGGGGCGCACTGTTGTAGTCTCAAGAAAGGGACTTCAGGCAGGACGCGGTGACTCACACCTGTAATCCCAGCACTTTGGGAGGCCGAGTTGGGCAGATCACCTGAAGTCAGGAGTTCAAGACCAGCTTGACCAACATGGAGAAATCCTGTCTCTACTAAAAATACAAAATTAGCCGGGGGTGGTGGCGCATGTCTGTAATCCCAGCTACTCCGGAGGCTGAGGCAGGAGAATCACTTGAACCCAGGAGGCAGATATTGTGGTGAGCTGAGACCATGCCACTGCACTCCAGCCTGGGCAACAAAAGCAAAACTCCATCTCAAAAAAAAAGAAAAAGAAAAAGAAAGGGACTTCAGGGGAACGTGGGACTACAAACATTTTTATATGTTTGAACACAATTCATTGTGATTACGTAGGAATAGGGAAAGCCAAAAACTACTAATTTTGTTATCGGTTAGTAAAATACCCGTTATTAATAACCTGTTTGCTTCTGAGCTCTCCAAACAGAATAAAGCCATGTGCCCTTCCTTCTGTCCGTCCATCAGGTGTTTGGGAATGGAAAACAGCTCCAATCATCCATCCCATCAGTGCCTACACGGGGGTGGGATGGTGGGTTGTGGCATCAGCAGCTCAGGTGGTCAAGGCCTCCTTCAGCCCTTGGTTGGGAGTGTGGAAGATGGGATTGACAGTGGCTTTATAAACATGGAGGAGGGGCATCTGCCACTTATATATCTGGGAACACCCCAGAGAAACCATCCGGCTCCCAGGGATGGAGGGTGAGAGGAAGGAGAGGGCAACAGGGAAGGCTCTCCTCTTCCCCTGCCCTCCACTGTGTTACCAGCCATCCTGAAATCAGTTTATTATGCCCCCCAAATCAAGTACCCTGCCCATTCCCAGGTTGCCAAATCCTACTCTGTGTCTTCGCTTAGACAATTTCAGATATCTACTGTTCTTGGTCAGAGGAAAGTAAACAGGTATTTACCCATCTATGGTCTGGAAATTAAGACCTGGCCCAGATGCCCAAAAACAGTAATCCTTCCTTCCCTCTCTCACCCCTGAGTTCTCCCTCCTTATTTTCTAATGACTTACTTTGCTTTCAGAGAGAGAGAGAGACAGAGCCAAGCTTACAAAATATGTCACCAATCTCCTAGCATAAATAGGATGCACATCTCAGTAGTGTAATGTGTCAGCACATGGGAAGAATTAAAAGGGAATTAGAAGTCTACTGAACGTCCTCTGTTTCTTCCATCATGAAGTTTTAGGGAGCCAGGCACTCCACCAGGGATCCTAAACCTGCTCCCAGCTTTAACTTCTTTTAACTTGATACCTACTCATAATGATGCTCAAAAAACATTTCTCAGATTGAATCAAATATTTAAGTGCTTTTATCCTGTTTTAATGTGTATTTGAAAGCAAATAATTTGAAAAGCAGTATTAATGATCTTGTCACCGTGAAAAAGGAAGATTCCTTTTTCGTGTCACGATGAAAAGATCTGATTCGTATTAAAATCTTCCTCTTTACCTTTCTTATAACTACTTTAAAAGAGAATGTAATCATTTAAAATTATATTTTTGCTGATAATTTCTGGGCCAGTAAATTCTTGATTATCTAGGATAAAGCAGATATGACTTGAAAAATAATTCTTAAAGCCACTAAGGTCCAACACATGGAAACCTCCTTTTCATTGTCTATCCGTTCACCATGAAAGTCTATATTGCTTGAAAGATAGAGTGAGCAAGAGCCTTTGCACCTAGATCCAGACACTATTACCTTCATCAGCCCTGGAGATTATTACATCACAGACAGCATAGTTCTTTCTTAGTTGGACATTTTGTTTGGTCACTTGTTAATCTGAAAATCCAAGTGAGAAATACCTTATTTCCTCAAATCTAAGATGCCAACAATTGTAAGACACACCATTATCTTATGCACCACTGAAAAGGAAACGTGTTTCTGATATCATTGAAAGGTATACGATATATCCTGACTTGAAGGAAGTTAAACAGTGAGAAATGTGTCTTAGGAGTGGTGAGATGAAGCATTACTTCCCTGGCTACAGGTTCTTCACAGCCACGTTCCGGAAGCCCGAATGCTCAGGCCATGGCAGGATCACGGCACCAACCATTCCAACCATGACTAACAGAATCTAAAATTACCAATGGATTTCTTAGGGTGTGTCTATTTATTTCCTTATTCGACAGATATTTCTTTGTACCTAGCATACATGTTAGACACTGTCGTACCCTAAGGGTTCACAGTCTAGAGATGTATGACTTTGGTTTAGGCCAGGGATCAGCTAACCATGGCCCATGTGCCAACTCCAGCAGACCTGTTTTTGTAAGCTATTGTAACAAAACCACACCCGTATGTTTAAGTAGTGCCTGTGTCTGCTTTTACAGTACAATGGCAGCGTTGTCACCACAAAAACTACATGTTACCTGCAAAGCCTGAAATATTTTCGATCTGACCTTTTACAGAAAAAGTTTGCTGATCTTTGGTTTAGGTTATAGTTTGGGACTATAGTTGGGTCACTTTAAAAACCTTCAATTTAAAACAAATATCCTATCCATTCAAAGTGGCACAGACTGTTTAAAAACATAAACTGGGCTGGGTGCGGTGGCTCATGCCTGTAATCCCAGCACTTTGGGAGGCCAAGGCTCCTGAGGTACCTCCTCACCTGAGGTCAGGAGTTCGAGACCAGCCTGGCCAACAAGGTGAAACCCCATCTCTACTAAAAGTACAAAACTTAGCCAGGCATGGTGGCGGGCACCTGTAATCCCAGCTACTGGGAAGGCTGAGGCAGGAGAATCACTTGAACACGGGAGGCGGAGGTTGTATTGAGCCAAGATCGTACCACTGCACTTCAGCCTAGAAGACAAGAGCAAGACTCCATCTCAAAAATAAAATAAAAAGGTAAACTAGGCAGGAAAGAGAATAAACAAGGAGGATAGGACACACAGAGACTAAGCACTAGGGATTATTTAAGACCTTTTCTTTCTTTCCCTTTGCCTCTAACATATAGTCTTCTGAGTATTATATGACATCGATAAGGACAGAAAGATCTGTTAACCTGACAATATTGCAATTTATTAGCAACTCCGGTATTCAGGTTTACAAAGAAAGAATTGAACACTTGTAGGTAACATCTGATGTAGTGACAATGGACTTGAGCCATTCTCCACTAATCTTCATCAGTGACATCCTCTCAACACCGACCCTCTGTGCTGTCATTCATGGCTTTATTCAACCAATATTTATTAAGCAATTACTATATGCAAGGCTGTTCTGGGCACTGGGGATAAAACAGTGAATAAGAAAAATCCCCTACTTTACGGAGTTTGAATTTTAGTGGAAAGATACAAAAATAGATAAAATAACTAAGTACTGTATCAGATGATGGTGATAACTGCCATGATAAAATATAAAGCAGGATCAAGCGATAAAAAGTGACAGTGGAGGGTTAGGTGAAAGGGGTGGCAGGAGACCAGGGAAGGACTCTCTGCCATTTGAGGGAAACCTGAAGAAGGAGGAAATAGGCCATTAGGATATCTGGAACGCTTTCTGGCAGTGGAATGAATCCATGCAAAGGCCTTGAGGCAGAAGCATTGCTGGCCAGGCTTGAGAAACGTCCAGGAAGCCTGTGTGCAAGCACAAAAGAGAAAGACAGTAAGGCGGGGGCCAGGCGCAGTGGCTCATGCCTATAATCTCGGCACTTTGGGAGGCCAAGGCGGGCAGATCACCTGAGGTCAGGAGTTCAAGACCAGCCTGCCCAACATGGTGAAACCCGTCTCTATTAAAAATACAAAAATTAGCTGGGTGTGGTGGAGGGTGCCTGTAACTCCAGCTACTCGGGGGTCTGAGGCAGGAGAATCACTTGAACCCAGGAGGCAGAAGTTGCAGTGACCCGAGATCACACTACTGCACTCCAGCCTGGGCGACAAAGCAAGACTCTAACTTGGAAAAAGGAAGGAAGGAAGGAAGGAAGGAAAACAAGGGGAAAGAAGAGAATAAAGTTGGAGGGGGTTGGAGGCCAGGCCATGGAAGACTTTGTAGTCTTCAGCAAGGGCCTCAGTGTCCTTTAGTGTAAGAGGGGAAGCCATTGGATGGTTTTGGGCAGAGGAGGGCATGATCTGGCAACTGAGTGGGGAAGAGACTGTCGGGAAGTCGGGTGGAAGGAGGAAAACAAGAGGAGGCTAGTGTAATAATTCAGGCAAGAGATAAAGGTGGCTTGGTGTAGAGTGATCATGAGAAAAATAGAAAAAAGCAGTCACATTCTGGGTACATTCCAAAGGTAATGCCTAGAGGATCTGCTAATGAATCAGATGTAGAGTCTCACAGTAAAAGAGGTGAGGAAGTTAACTCATTCTTTGTTACGGGCAATTGACATTTGCTCATTTCTATATAAGATGTGGATAAATTCATGTTTAGAAAAATTGTATATGAACTTGGTAACATAATCTAAGCAAAAATGCATGCTTGTCATACAGATTCAACTTCAAGGCCAATTGTTCAACCTGCTCTTCCAAACACATGGCCTTCCCTAAGCCCCTTCCTCTATGAGGAAATTCTGGAGATCCTAGAAATTCTGGGAATTTTGTTATTAGGCATACTTCACTCATCCTCGCGGGCTTTATGTCACTTTTATGAGCAAAAATTTCCTGTATCTGCAGTAGTATCAAATGTAAATGACAATTTGTATTTTTCATTACAAATTACTCCTAAAATTAGCATACTAGAGTTTTAATAAACTTTTAAAATTGCCTTAGACTACTTTAATATTCAGAAAAGGCATTAAAAATCGAATGACTAGGTCGGTCGCTGTGGTGCACGCCTGTAATCCCAGCACCTTGGGAGGCTGAAGCAGGCAGATCATTTGAGGCCAGGACTTCGAGACCAGTCTTGCCAACATGGCCAAAACCCCGTCTCTACTAAAAACACAAAAATTAGCTGGTCATAGTGGTGAGCGCCTGTAATCCTAGCCACTTGGGAGGCTGAGACAGGAGAATTGCTTGAACCCGGGAGGCAGAGGTTGCAGTGAGCAGAGATTGTGCCACTGTACTCTAGCCTGGGCAATGGAATGAGAATCTGTATTTTTAAAAAAAAAAAAAAAGACTAAATTATTGTTTTTATTTTTTTTGAGATGGAGTCTCGCTGCGACGCCCAGGCTGGAATGCAATGGTGCGATCTCAGCTCACTGCAACATCCGCCTCCCAGGTTCAAGCCATTCTCCTGCCTCAGCCTCCTGAGTAGCTGGAATTATAAGTGCTCGCCACCACGCCTGGCTAATTTTTGTATTTTTAGTAGAGATGGGATTTCACCATGTTGGCCAGGCTGGTCTCGAACTCCTGACCTCAAGTGATCCACCTGCCTCAGCCTCCCAAAGCGCTGGGATTACAGGCGTGAGCCACCATGCCTGGCTAAAATAAAATTGCATTCCTTTTAGTTACCTCTAGTGGTGCTTTTCAAACCTGAAGGTGGGCACAGATCACCTGGAGACCTTATTAAGATGCAGATTCTGATGAGCAGGTCTGGAATGGGGCCAACATTCTGCATTTTTCACAGGTTCCCAGGTGATGCTGATGCTGCTGGTTCTCAAACTACGCTTTAACAAGCAGAGACATATAAGTGAAGGCTAAGAAGAGACACTTTTTTTTTAACGAAACAGTTAAGTTTTGTTAAACTTAACTGTTTAACGAAACAGTTAAGAAACCATTTATTCAAGGAATATTTATTGAGTACCTGTTAAGAGTCACAACATGTGATAGATGCTGGGCTTTCTCCCTCTGAGAGAGAAATTTCATTAAAAAACAATTATAGCAGCCATGGGTGCCAGGATAGATAGGCTCTTGGGGGACCAAAGAAAGGGTGGGGCAGGATGAGGTGCATAACTAGAAAGACCATCCTGAAAAAAACGGCATGTGAGTTGTGCCTTGAAACACAGGAGGAAGAGGCCACAGAAGGGAAAGATGTTTCTTATGTAGAGAGCTGCAGGAGCACAGGCACAGCTCTGAGAGCTCATAAATCCCTCTGTAATTGCAGGTTGTTCAGCCAGACTGGAAGGCAAGTGCCTTGGGGGGAGGGTGGAAAATGAAGCAGACGATGGGCAGCAAGGAGGACTGAGAGGCTGGAGGCACCTGAAGGTGGTGAAACAACCCTGAACGATTTTTTTTCCAGAAGAGAATCAGGTTTGTATCTTGGAAAGGCCACTCTGGCCACAATCTAGGATAAGGGAGTAAAGAAGAGGGGCAGATGCTCTAAGAACCATTGAAACACCGGAGCCTTGTATCTCACTCACAAGATGAAACATACACATTTTAAAACAAGTAAGCAGCTTATATGACCTTACTTGCATAAATAGTATACCCAGTACCTGGTATGGAAATAACATATCAATGATTTCCAAATAGTCATCTACTAGTGCTTGAGGAAAAAAGGTTTATTCTATAAAGACAAAAATGTTTAACCCAATACAATTAATTTGCTTTGTAAAGCTTTAAGAGTAAAATTCAAGACAATCTCTGCCCTAAAAATCACAAATTCCAAATGGATACATCAAATCAAGCATGATGCAAATGATAACTTCCTGCCTGCTCTTCATACTGCTGTGTCGAGACATTGTGTGTAAGCAGGTGCTAGGGTGGATGGATGCATGGTTTGCTCTTAGCACTAAGAGCCTGCAGCATCAGCTAAAGATTGCAAGCAGCTCAGGTAACTGTGGGGCCGATGAAACCATGTTACCACTTACGTTACTGTTTGAATTCCTGTGAACTTTCAGTGTAATGAATTTAGAGGAGGGTAAATAATTCCAAGACTGAAATCTGCCTCCCAAATTGGAAGCGATAGACAAATTCTGCCTCCTGAACCAAGAGAGAATAAAAGGAATTGGCAGACAAATGGTCAATATCCTGAGGCAGTGCAATTTGTCCGCAGCAGACAGGAGCAGCCTTGGGACAGGGAGGCCCAGAGGCTCAATCAGAAACCACTGTGTGGCCCTCGCGTCAAAAAGCCTGGCCACCCTGGGCTTTAATCCAACAGGGTGAGAATCAAACTGTGGAGAGAAAATCTAAATAAACATTAGACTGATTAAAAAAATCAGACATCTAAATCAATGATAAGCAATTTTTAATATGGAAAGACCCAAGCACTACTCCATGCATTCTGTTTTCCCTTGTGTTGAGGTCACATTAAAATTCCAAATTGCATTTTGATTCTACGAAAATAAGGAGAATAATAATAAAAGTAGCAAGAACTGTTGTAATAGCAACCATTGCTCCCATTTGCCTAGTATTTTAAACTCTTCTAATGGATTAATTTTATCAGTTAATTTGATCTATTCCTGAGAATAATCTAGAATAATCCAGGCAGGAGTGATTCTCCACCCATTTTACAGAGAAGAAAACTGGCACTCAGGAGGCTGAAGTAGAAGAATTACTTGAGCTCAGGAGTTCGAGACCAGCTTGGACCCTGTCTCTAAAAACAAACAAACAAACAAATAAATAAAAAAATTAAAGTTGGGGTTTAAAGACAAGAAATTTGCACCAAATCTATCATGCTAATAGACTTTTTTTATTCCCCACTCTGTGTGACATTTAGTTCTTGAGAAATTATAGAGCAAACCTTCATTCCTTCTAAGCAAGTTTGTGCTTTTCAAGTATAAACATTTATACCACCAAAAGTATTGGCAATTTTTAACTTCTGTATTCCCACAGGTGGCAATTCCTGCTTAGATTGATTGGCTTCCACACTCCTGAAAGCCATTTCCTTTCTGAATCACAGCATAGGTGGCAATAGTTAATAAACAATTTAGAATGCCATATAAAAACACAGCCGTCTGTGCTAGAAAATCAGCATTGCAGAATTATGAGTCCAGCCTAATAGACATGATGAGGGCAGTGGTAGATGGGGGGTGGCATGGCACGGGGCACTATTGATACAGACAGGAGACATGGAAATACTGGGTAGAAGAGGGCGATTCCTCGGCAAAAGCCCCACCCTCAAGCCTGGAAACCCGTGGCCCTAAGTGGGAACAGGCATTCCTGTTTTGCACCCAGGAGTTGCCTTTTCTCCTGCCACATCCCCCTATCCTATACTCATATAAACTCCAAACCCCAGGCTCCATGGGCAGACAAGCAGACAGGCAGATGAACAGAAGAGCAGAAGAGTGGCAAGATGGTGCAGCTGAGAGGAGAGAAGAGAAGGAGCATCTGAACGTTGAGAGGAGTTCTGCTGGGGACAGTCAGAGAGGAAATCAGCCACTGGATGGCCAAACTTCAAGGGAAGATCATCTTCCCACTCCATCTCCTTTCCAGCTCCCCATCCATCCAACTGAGAGCCACCTCCACCACTGAGTAAAACCCCTGCATTCAATATCCTTCAAGTCCATGTGTGACCTGATTCTTCCTGGATGCTGGACAAGAACCTGGGTGCCAAGAGGGCACTGAGCTGGTTAACACTTAAGCCATCTGTGGACAGCAGAGCTAAAAGAGCACTATAGCATGCCCACTAGGGAGTCACAGCGATCCACCTCTAGACACTATTATGGGGCCAGAGTCCAAAAAGCACTGTCCCCGGTTCCTGTACCTGCCCATCTGCATGCTCCCTCTCCTCTAAGGGGTTTGAGCATGCACAGAAACTGAACAGTGAGCCACACCCCTGTTGCACGTCCTTCAAGGGGGGGTCAGGGAACTCTCCATTTCACTATGTCCAGAGAAGAATCCCCTGAAGACAGGCAAGACCTCAGAGAAGGCAGGCTGGACTTCAGCCCACCTGCAGGTATGAAGATGAAGTGGGGAGCCTGGACACACTTTTTTCTCCATAGCCATTGTGATGGCTTGGAATGGAGGTTCCATTGCAACCCCTTTTCCTTCCCTAGCCTTCAGTTTTCACTGAGTTCACAGATCCTTCCACTAGGCTTTCTGGAACTGTTAATCCTTACCTGGCACACTCCCTGAATCCTCAAACTTAGCAGAATGTTCTCGCCTCCCACTGGTCTTCATTGGAACCTTGAGGTCAAGAGTTCCACCTCCCCACAGCCACCACAGTTCCTGTGTTGGTTAGTTTCATGTGTCAACTTGGCTAGGCTGTAGTGTCCAGGTACTTAGTAACATTGATCTAAGTGTTTCTGTGAAGGTATTTTGTAGATGTGGTAAACATCTACAATCAATTGACTTCATGTAAAGAAATTACCCTCAATCATGTGGGTGGGACTCATCAAATCAGTTGGAAGGCCTTAACAGCAAAAACGGAGGCTTCCCAGAAAAATAAGAAATTCTGCCTCAAGACTGTCATATCAACTCCTGCCTGAGCTTGTTGGCTTACCCTACACATTTTGGATTTGCCAGCTCCGAGTGCATGAGCAATTCCTTAAAATAAATCTTTTGGGGTGTGTGTGCATGCACGTGTGTGTGTGTGTGTGTGTGTGTGTGTGTGTGTGTATGAGTGTCTGTTCCTCGTGGTCACTTTCAGACCTTTACTTATTCATCCTTTTGCCAAGCCACAAAAAGACATCAAAGACAAACACCTATTCCTCCAGGGCTAGTCCTTCACCCCTGCCATGCACCTGCTTGCAGAGGAGCTGCTATCCTCTACCAGCTTCTCAGTCACTCCTCAGCTCTCAGGAAAGAAGACTCTGGCTCCTGGATCACAACCTTCTGCAGCACCACCAATGATCTACAGGTGTATTGGGTTGGTGCAAACATAATTGTGACTTTTGCCATTACTTTCAATGGGAAAAACTGCAATTATATTTGCAAGCGCATGTTTTGTTCACCAGTCCTGGTCCAACGCCAAATGCCTACTTGACTCCTTTCTTGAATGTTACCTCTTGAACACCTCAAATGCAGTTTGTTCAGATTCAATGGGCATAGTCTTCCCTCTACTCCCAGTTGTCTTCAAGGGTTCCCAAGTTCAACATATGGCACATCCACCTATTAAGTTATGAAAGCCCAAACATGGAAGCCTTTAAGCTTCCTCTCCCTCATCCCCTTATTTCTGACTCATCACCAAGTCTCATGGATTTTATTTCATAAATACCTCTCAAATATATCTAAATGGCTTCATCCCCCCACCAACAACCTAGTCTAGGCTACCATTCACTCTGACTTAGACTACTGCATTGGCCTCTCAAAATGGCGCCTTTGCTACATGGGTGCCCAGATAATCTTTTCAAAATGCAAGTCTGATCATCTTCTCTAATGAACATCCTTAACAGATTTTGCTGATAGGATAAAGTGAAAAATCCTCGCCTGTGGGGTGTGGTCTTGCCTCCTCTTCCAGCTTTATTCACAACCTGCCCTCCCTCCACTCACTCGACTTCAACACACTGGCATCTCTCAGTCCCTCAAGGTCATCCTGTGCTCCTCTCTACGTGGACTTCTCAGAACCCCCTCTTTACCTGTGTAAATCCTATTCATCCTATAGGCCTGCTAGTTCACATCCTCTAGGAAGTGGAGGCCAAGATGGATTTAGAAGTGCAGGAGAATTAGCAGGGAAAACTTCCTTGAAGGATGAAGGGGAGGGAGCTGGCATAAACCAAGAGAGCCTTTGAGCATGATGAAGGTCTGATGCTTGGGAAAGGAAAGAAGGGAGGAAAGAGGGCTGGATACAAAGAGCAGCAAACTGCTCTGAGAAAGTCTCAGCCAGGTTGATGGCTACCAGCATCCGTGTGGCCTCGGCCTGAATGTTGTGCTGGATCCCAAAGGTGCAGCAGCTGGAGGCTGCCGGCCAACTCACTTCCCTCATCAGGTCCTCTTGTGTGACACCTCCATGCCTGCCACAAGACCTCAGCTCAAACTTTGTGTGTATTTGAAAAAAAAGTTTTTCTGTGTTTAAAGTTGATTCCTTAGATTACTATAGATTATCACATCAAGATGTAGAAGCATTTTAAAGATTCTTAATACATGTTATCAAAATTCTCAATCATTGACAAAAGACTAAATTACTTTGCTCTGTCGCCCAGTCTGGAGTGCAGTGATGCGATCTCGGCTCACTGCAACCTCCGTCTCCCAGGTTCAAGAGATTCTCTTGCCTCAGCATCCCAAGTAGCTGGGACTACAGCCACCCACCACCACACCCAGCTAATTTTTGTATTTTTAGTAGAGACGGGGTTTCACCATATTGGCCAGGCTAGTCTTGAACTCTTAACCTCAGGTGATCTGCCCGCCTCAGCCTCCCAAAGTGCTGGGATTATAGGCGTGAACCACTGCACCCAGCCACTGGGCTATATTTAAAATGACAGTTAAAAGGAAGGGTGGGCTCACATTTGTTGGGATGGCTATTATCAAAAAGACAACAGGTAACAAGTGTTGGCAAGGGTGTGGAGAAAAGGGACCCTTGCATGCTGTTGGTGGGAATGTAGACTAGTGTCATTGGTGGAAATAGTGGAAAATGGTATGGATTCCTAAAGAAAGTACAAATAGAGCTACCATATGACCCAGCAATCCTACTTCAGGGCATAGTCCCAAAGGAAATGAAATCACCACCATTTCAAGGTACCTGCACTCTTGTGTTCATTGCAGCTTTATTCACAGAAGCCAAAATATGGAAACTAGCAAAATGTCCATCAATGGATGAACGAATAAGAAACTGTGGGGTATGTGTGTAATATGTGTGTATATATATGTAATATATATGTATTACATATCTATAATGGAATATTATTCAGCTTTTAAAAAGGAGATCCTGCCATTTGCCAAGTGTATGAACTTACAAAACATTATGCTAAGTGAAATAAACCAGACACAGAAGGAAAAATACCGCATAATCTCACTTATATGTGGAATCTTTTTTTAAATGTTAAGTATGCAAAAACAGATAATAAAACAGTGGTTAACTGGGGTGACTGGAGGGAGAGGGAGGAAATGGGGGAAATGTAGGTCAAAGGATACAAAATAGTACATGTGTAGGATACGGAGGTCTAGAAATCTAATGTACAACATGAGGACTATGGATGATAACATTGTATTGTATTAAATGTTTACTAAATGAATATATTTTATCTGCTCTTGTCACAAAATATAGGTAACTGTGAGATGATGGATATGCTAATTTGCTTCACTACAGTAGCCATTTTACTATCTTCCTGCATCTTATAACATTATATTGTATAACTTAAATGTATACAATAAAAATTTATTTTTATTTTTAAAATATAATAACATTTTTAAATGAATGGTTAGAGAGGGGGTTTTGGAGTTGAGAAAAAAATTCATATTATATCCCATTTTCTAAATATTCTTTAAAAAATCTCAGTTTTATAGAAAGATGGGAATTATAAATATGTGTGCTTGCTGTTAAGCAGAACTCTTAACCCTTTCGTTCAGTTTGCCTTGTAACTAACAAACTTCAAACTAGAGATTGAGGTTTACTTAAGATATGATTCTCCTGCCTTTTCTAACAACTCTTATTTTAAGTCTCCGAAAAGGAAATAAAATCAAAGATGAAATCAAAGGTGAAGGGGTAAATATAATATAGTTCCTGCCCCTGAGGAGCTTAGAGCTTAGCCAGAGAAGAAGACATGTAAATAGCTAACCATATACCACAACACAAGGTGTATTATTATAAGGTGAATAAAGAGCTAATGGAACATAGATAAAAGAGGAATTCATTCAGCCAACACAGAAAGGGAGAGGAAGAGGAAACAGAAAGAGTCACAGAAACGACACGCAAGCTGGACTTTGAAGAATGAAAAATTCACCAGGCGGAAGGCATCACCGACCCAGAAATCAGTGTGCACAAAGTCATGGAGGAATGACAAATGTGAAAAGCCACAAGGGAGTGGCTGGAGGCAAGGTTGGAAAGGTAACTAAAGACACAGAAAGTTTTGCTCTGGTACACTAACAAACTGTGCATTCTCCTCTACAAGCAATATGAGTCTTTAGAGGTTTTGAGTAGGGAAGGGACATGTTGAGAGCTGTGTTTTAGAAAGATCATGCTGGCAGCAGTATGGAGGATGGAATGAAGTGGGCTGAGACTAGAGGCAGAGAGACCAGTTAAGCTATTGCTATTGCAACAGTCAAGGTCAAGAAGAGTTAAGAGGATTGAATTAAACCAGAGAGCAGTGATCATTGGAAAACACAAAAATAGATTCAAGAAACCTTTTGTATATGAGGTTGGGTCTTAAGAATCAACAGAAAGCATAACTCCGGTTTTAGATTCAGTGGCCAAATCCGTAAATGGACTGGCTGCACACAGCCAGTGTTTCTGGAAACAAGGCCTTGAGAATCTTTTTCCAGAGATATGGTGGAAGCATTTTAAAGCTTGTCATTTGCTAGTTCAGACCCTAAGGACTTAAAGAGTTAATGACATCTTCCTGGTTGACACCAGTATAATCTCAAATCTCACAATGGTTCATTAAACATTGGGTTTATAGTATGAAATCTTTTTAATGACTTGGGATAAGATTCATGCCATTTTTATAAGCAGAAATTTGGCTGAGGGGTGTTATAATAGGGAGAGTAAGACATAGACACGATCATTCCAGAATGTGGACCGTCTGGCGCTTAAAGCAGGGCCAGCAAGTTAACAACCACACTCTCTTTTTGCTCATAATATTTCTTTCTCATTTAGGTAAGTAACTGAGGTTTAGTTGCTTCACTACTTTCAAGAAGAACGAAATGATCTATTTATTCCAAAAACGGGATCTAAAAATGAAATTATAGTCCAGAACCAAGTATGAATATAGATTTCAGTTAAACTTGACCAGTTATTGGGTTCACTGGGGTCAAGTGAATTGGATGGGTGGCATGGACACTCTGTAAGAGGCAGTCTCTTACAAAGTGCAACAAAAATCAAAGATCTGGACTAAAGGTTTTGGTATATTGTCCACCATTGGCTTTGAGAGACTTTTTATGGATAATTGAGAGACATGTGCCATTTTACCACACACTCATATTTGTGATGGCCTGACAGACACCTCTTCTCTGGATGTGTCACTGACCTCTCAAAGACAACACCTTATCCTATTACACCAGGGGCCAACTCTTCCTCCAACCTCCCCATAGCGATTGCTGGCCTGTCATTTGTTGCCCTCGCCCATCTTGGATTTTTCCCTTCCCCATCATACATACGAGTCAGTTACCCAGTTACTCTATGATTTTTCCCTTCCCCATCATACATATGAGTCAGTTACCCAGTTACTCTATGAATTCTTCCTCATCTGTGACTCATTTGCCTTCCTACTGTCTCTACCTAGTTTTTATTCCTGATTCCTCTCCCCTAGATAATAGTTCTCTAGCAAGCTCTTAACCCTTCAATCTCCTCACATTCCTATCCACTAGGCATTCTACCACAAATTAACCTTAAATTATTTTCTAATTCTCTAATTTTTATACAAAGAGCAGAGCTTTAGAAAGTTCAAAAATAGTTTTATGTTTCATCTCTTCTACCAAATAAATTCTAGACCCCTAACTCAGATAGTTTAAAACCCTACAAATCTGACTCCATGTTTTGTAGGGCATTAAACCAACCAAGTCAATGGTCTAGAATTTATGGCCCTTCACCCTAAATGCCAGCCCAAGTTGCACCACTCCTCCTGAGTCAGACCTTACAATCCTTCTGTGGCCATGATCCTGTGCAAACTAATCCTCTGCCAAAAATACCTTTGCCCTCCCCACCCCTCAAAATCCGTGGTCTATTTCCATCATGTTACATTGAGTAAAAAAAACCCAGGAAACAAAAATGAATATGTGAGTACAATGGTAGAATCCTGCTTCTTCCTTCTTGCTTTCTCCATTTATCTACCCATCAATCTATCTGAAATAAAGAAAACTGGATTTTAAAAGATATACGCCAAGTTGTTAAAAGGAGATTTCTCTTGATGGCACAATTCTGAGTGTCTTTTTTCATTTTATTATCTAATTCTCTAATTTTTATACAAAGAACACATTTACTTTTATAGTAAGAAAAATTCTTCCTTGTTTTGGACAAACTGTGATAAAAAGAAAAAATTGTTAAAAAGTAAAAAAAAAGAAAAATGTGTATTAAGTTTTTAAACAATTATAATTTAAATTGAAAAAAAGTGTGTCCATCCTTCAAAGCTCTACTCACATGGAGAGCTGCTTTGCTAAACCTGTTTTTTTGAGATGGAGTTTCACTCTTGTTGCTCAGGCTGTAGTGCAATGGCACGGTCTTGGCTCACTGCAACCTCCACCTCCCAGGTTCAAGCGATTCTCCTGCCTCAGCCTCCCAAGTAGCTGGGATTACAAGCATGCGCCACCACACCCAGCTAATTTTTGTATTTTTAGTAGAGACAGGGTTTCACCATGTTGGCCAGGCTGATCTCAAACTCCTGACCTCAGGAGTTTGAGGTCCGCCCGCCTCAGCCTCCCAAAGTGCTAGGATTACAGGCATGAGTCATCACGCCTGGCCTAAACCTTTCTTGATGATTAAAGATGTGCTTAAATTCCCTTTCCTTCAACCTCCTTAGTAGCTTCACACACACACAAGTAGTAACTGTAATGTTGTTAAGACCACAGGCTTTGAAATCAGACACACACCATGTAAAATCACTTTCACTGTTGTTATGGGCTGAATTATGTTGCCCCAAAACTCGTATGTTGAAACCCTAACCTCCAAAACCGCAGAATATGACTATATTTGGAGCTAGGGGCTTTACAGAGGTAGTTAAGGTTAAATAAGGTCATTAGGCAGGCCCTAGTTCACTCTGACTGGTGTTCTTATAAGAAGAAATTTGAACACACGAGAGACATGAGGGATGTGCATGCACAGAGGGATGACCATGTGAAGAAGCAGCAAGAAGGCGGCCATCTCCAATCCAAAGAGAGAGGCCTCAGAAGGAAACCAACCCTGTCAGCACCTTGACTAAGCATTCTCTTAGGCCAAAACATTCTAAATTCCCACAACTCCCAGGTCGGCTCTTTGCTGCTCTACCCCAGTCAAAAGCAGCACCCTAGGACAATAGTGTGCACCCCCTTGCTCCATCCTCCCTGAGCCTCTGTGTTAGAAATCAGTTCTCCCCAAATACATAGTTAACATAACCCATTTTTTGCTATTATTTTCACAGAAAGTTAACTTCCGAAAGCCGGAACATTTTTATGAGTATCTAATAAGCCACTTCCAAATTGCATTTAGCTGAAATTGAAAGTACAATCCAATTTATTTAAACAGAATTTCTTACGAATGTACTTGAAGAGAAGGCCAGTAAAATAGGGCTGGAAGAATTTCCCTTGGATCCATTATGCTTCCCTTTGCCTACCCAGAAGTCAGGAACTTTTGAGTATTAAGGACAGAATGTTCAGCATTCTAATAATTAACTGAACATAATCTGGAAATGAAAAAGCGGGGGAAATTTTTTTTAAACTCTCTCGGAAAACAGAAATAGTGCACTTAGATCCTTCAGCACAGATTCACAGCTGAACTGCAGTTACCTGCATATACTCGGCTAAAAAAGAAAAAAATTAAAGACCATGTACTAAAGCATTTTCTATTAATTACAGCATTTAGAAGATACGTATCCCCTATTTTAAAATTTAAACCTATTTTTCATTTTTATTAATCTATTTGGGGGTTTTTGGTTTCCTAACATGGATGATGTGGCAACATGTAGCTTAACTCTTACATTGCCAGTTATTTTTGTTTCTCTCGATTCTTTTCTTCAAAATCTTATGTCTTTTCCATCATTTGGGAAGTTCTATCAATAACTTTATAGTTGAGCCTGGTGCGGTGGCTTACACCTATAATCCCAACACATTGGGAGGCCAAGGTGGGAGGATTGCTTTGAGCCCTGGAGTTTGAGACCAGTCTGAGTAACACAGTGAGACCCTGTCTCTAAAAAATATACAAAAATTAGCCAGGCATGGTGGCACATGGCTGTAGTCCCAGCTATTCAGGGGGCTGAGGTGGGAGGATCACTTGAGCCCAAGAAGGTCGAGGTTGCAGTGAGCTGTGATGGCACCACTGCACTCCACCCTGGGAGAGAGAGACCCTGTCTCAAAATAACAACAAACAAACAACAGCAAGAAAAAACAGTTAGATATTCTTTAAATATTTTCTTAAAAACTAAATTTTGAGAAGACATAGATGTACCTAAGTTATAAGCATAATAAAGAGTCTTAGTGTTTTCATAGGGAAGAAAAGCCAACATGATAGTGTAGAGACAGTGAAGGCTGGGACCCCTGCACTTAGGGCTCCCTGGATTAAAGCCTGTGACAGAGCAATTCTCATCTTTAAAGTTCCCTAATGACTAATGTGGATTTTAGTAATTATTTAAGGGCCCCGTAAGGAGTGTAAGAAAGATAAAACCCTAATTCCAAGACTGAAATTAAATGGGTATCATTTCATGAGGAATTTGAAAAAGCTCTTTGAAAGTATGCGAATGTAATATGGAGGTATTGAATTTCTTCCCTGTGACTATTTCATTATATTAAACAATCCATAAAAACTGTAAGTAATGGCAGAGATGAGACTACTGATTTTTCTCGCTTGATTTGTCCTGAGTTCGCGTTAACTGAGCATAAGAAACTCCCGTTCCCTGAATTGGGCACTGCCATGCAGAAAGTTTTACTGCAGCAGTTGAAGAGGAGTTTTAACACGTTGCACAGACGTCCAGTCTCTGGGACTGCTGAACTGTAATAAACTACACCATTAAGTGAAACATTGGATGGAGAAGCTGGCTCATTGGGTCGGCGGTTACAGTTATAAGTAGCTCCTTGGGATGCTAATAGATTAAGACGAGTGGTTTAAACTTCCAAGACAGACCTCCCGCTTTAGTAAACAGCAGAGTAACAGACTTACATAATACCTCAGGCAGTGTGCATTCTGGTATAGGCCCAGCCTCTAATTGTGTGACCTTGGACAGCTAATTTTGCTTCCCTAGACACCCCAGTCCCTTCATCTGAAAATAAGAACGTATCATGGGATCATCTCAAGTGTATCTAGAGCTCTACTGTTCTAGGATTCAACGACTGGTAAATCTACAAATATAATATTACATGATCAGGATTAAATGAACTCTAATGGGCAAAATGCATGATGTAGTCATCCAAATGCTAATATTGTAATGTGGATAGAAAGAACAGATTTTAAGTTCACCAAAAATGAAATCAAAATGGACCAGACATATTAATAGGAGCTCAACTTCATTTGTAATTTTAAAATGCAAATAAATACAATGAAATACCATTTTCACCTATCAGATTAGCAACAATGTAAAGTTTAAAGATATTCAGTGGTGACTGAGTGTGGGGAAACTGGTACTTTTAATGCTGTTTATATGAATGGAAATTGGTGGTCTTCTCAAAGGTCAACTTGTTAATATGTATCCAAAGTTAAAATACAGTCACGCTCACATAACAACGAGGATATGTCTGAGAGATACATCCTTGTGCGATTTCATCATTGTATGAACATCATAGTGTACTTACACAAGTCTAAATGATACAGCTTATTATATATTATATACATATAGGCTGTATTGTATAACTTATTCCTCTTAGGCTACAGACCTGTGCAGCATGTTACTGTATTAATATTGCAGGCAATTATAAGTATTTGTATATCTAAAAATAGAAAATATACAGTAAAAAATACAGTGTAAAAGATTAAAAATGGAGGCCGGGAGCAGTGGCTCATGCCTGTAATCCCAGCACTTTGGGAGGCCAAGGCAGGTGGATCACCTGAGGTCAGGAGTTCAAGACCAGCCTGGCCAACATGATGAAACCCCATTTCTACTAAAAATACAAAAATTAGCCAGGCATGTTGGCGCTTGCCTGTAATCCCAGCTACTCGGAAGGCTGAAGCAGGAGAATCACTTGAATCCAGGAGGCTGAGGTTACAGTGAGCCAAGATCGCGCCATTGCACTCCAGCCTGGGTGACACAGTGAGACTCCATCTAAATTAAAAAAAAAAAATTAAAAATGGTACGTCTGTATAGCATAGGGCACTTATCAGGAGTGGAGCTTGCAGGACTAGAAGTTACTCAGGGTGAGTCAATGAGTGAGTGATGAGTGAATGTGAAGGCCTAGGACATTACTGTACACTGCTGTACGTTTTATAAACACTGTATACTTACGTTACACTAAATTGATTTTTTAAATGTTCTTTCTTCGATAATAAATTAACCTTAGCTTACTATCACTTTTACTTCATAAATTTTACTTTTTTTCAAACATTTGACTCTTTGTAATAACACTTAGCTTAAAACACAAATTATACAGCTATACAAAAATATTTTCTTTCTCTATATCTTTATTCTATATACTTTTTTCTGTTTCTAGAAATTTTAAGTATTTTTTACTTCTTAAACTTTTTGTTGTTTTGTTTTGTTTTAGCTACAGGGTCTGCTCTGTCATCCAGGCTGGAATGCAAGTGGCACAATCAAGGCTCACTGTAACCTCAAACTCCAAGGCTCAAGCAATCCTCTCACCTCAGCCTCCCAAGTAGCTAAGACTACAGTCATGAGCCACCATGCCTGCTTGATTTTTTAAAAAAAAATTTTGTAAAGACAGAGTCTCACCTTGTTGCCCAGGCTGGTTTGAGCTGCTGTCCTCAAGCGATCCTCCTGCCTCAGCCTCCAAAAGTGCTGGGATTACAGGCGTGAGCCACCATGCCTGGCCAAATTTTTTGTTTAAAAACGAATACACCAACACACACATTAGCCTATGCCAACACAGGGTGAGGATCATCAATATCACCGTCTTCCACCTTTATGTCTTATCCTACTAGATGAATTTCAGCAGGCAGTAACACAACACGGAGCTGTTGTCTCCTACGATAACAATGTCTTCTTCTGGATGCCTCCTGAAGGACCGATCTGAGACTGTTCTTAAGGAGGTATCACTCTTTTCAGAAAGATGCTCATGGTGGTTTGTTTCTTTTTTCATGTTAGATTTGTGTGAGTCTATCATGGGCTACATTATGAAGGCTGTGACTTCACCCAGCAATAGGAATATTTTTAGCTCCATTACAATCTTGTGGGATCACCCTTGTATATGAGGATTGTCATTGACCAAAACATTGTTACGCAGCGCATGATGGCAACATATCCTTGAACACAAAATTTCACTTCTGGGAATTTAGCTTATGGATATACTTGCAAAAGCACACTAAGCTATGTGTACATTCCTGTACATTTTCAAAGAGAAAGTTTATATCATTTTGGTCATGTTAAAGACTTGGGACCGGTGGTTATATTCCTGTACACATAGCATAGTGTGCTTTTGCAAGTATATCCATAAACTGACAGGACAGAATTGTTTGAAAAACAACCATGAATATAACATAAATGCTCATTAACAGAAAAGTGGTTAAATAAATTATAGTATATCATTTTATGAAAAATTTTTTTTTTTTTGAGACAGAGTCTTGCTCTGTCACCCAGGCTGGAGTGCAGTGGCGCGATCTCAGCTCATTGCAACCTCTGCCTCCCAAATTCAAGGGATTTTTGTGTCTCATCCTTCTGAGTAGCTGGGATTATAGGCATGCACCGCCATGTCTGGCTAATTTTTCTTTTCTGACGGCGTCTCGCTCTGTCGCCCAGGCTGGAGTGCAGTGGCGCGATCTCAGCTCACTGCAAGCTCCGCCTCCCGGGTTCACGCCATTCTCCTGCCTCAGCAACCTGACTAGCTGGGACTACAGGCGCCCGCCACCACCCCCGGCTAATTTTTCGTATTTTTAGTAGAGACGGGTTTTCTCCCTGTTAGCCAGGATGGTCTAGATCTTCTGACCTCGTGATCTGCCCACCTCGGCCTCCCAAAGTGCTGGGATTACAGCTGTGAGCCACTGCACCCGGCCTAATTTTTGTATTTTTAATAGAGACAGGGTTTCACCATGTTGGCCAGGGTGGTCTCAAATTCCTGGCCTCAAGTGATCCACCCGCATCAGCCTCCCAGAGTGTTGGGATTACAGGCGTGAGCCACCGTGCCTGGCCCATTTTATGGGATATTATGCAGCTGTTTTTTTGTTTTGTTTTGTTTTTTAACTTTGTGTGCTGATAGGGAACGATGCCAAGAATATTATTAAGTGAAAACTCATGTGGGAGAGCAATATGCATAATATGATACAACTTGTGAAAAAAAAAGAAAAGAAAAGAAAAGAAAGAAAGGAAGAAAAAGGCCAGTCTGCGCCCCGGACCGACTCTCCTTCCGTCGGAACGACCCTCCTTCCGCCGGAGCCGCGTGGCCTCATGGAAGGCATGGAGGACGCCGGAGAGGAGGCCGGAGAGGACGCCGGAGAGGACGCCAGAGAGGGTGCCGCAGCGCCGGCAGCCAGGGTGCACTTCCGCGTGGCGAGGTTCATCATGGAGGCAGGTGTCAAGCTAGGGATGCAGTCCATTCCCATTGCCACTGCTTGCACCATTTACCCTAAGTTCTTCTGCGAGACCATCCTGGACGCCTTTGACCCTTACCTGATTGCCATGTCTTCCATTTACTTGGCCGGCAAAGTGGAAGAGCAGCCCCTGTGGGCTCATGACATCATCAGTGTGTCCAACAGGTACTTCAACCCAAGCAGTGAGCCCCTGGGATTGGACTCCCGCCTCTGGGAGCTCCGGGACAGCATTGTGCAGCGTGAGCTTCTCATGCTGAGAGTTCTGCGCTTCCAGGTCTCCTTCCAGCATCCACACAAGTACCTGCTCTACTACCTGGTTTCCCTCAAGAACTGGCTGAACTGCCACAGCTGGCAGCGGACCCCCGTTGCCGTCACTGCCTGGGCCCTGCTGCGGGACAGCTACCACGGGGGGCTGTGCCTCCGCTTCCAGGCCCAGCACATAGCTGTGGTGGTGCTCTACCTGGCCCTGCAGGTCTATGGAGTCGAGGTGCCCGCCGAGGTCGAGGCTGAGAAGCTGTGGTGGCAGGCGTTTAGTGACGACCTTACCAAGCCAATCATTGATACTATTGTGTCTGATCTCATTCAGATTTATACCATAGACACAGAGATCCCCTAAGGCCCTGGCCCAGGCCTGCCCAAAGAGAAGCCCAGGATGGTCAGCTGCCTGGGGACATTGCCACCACATCGCTATGATGGCTGGTCCCCAGAGGACCAGCTGGGAGGACTGGTTGTGCTGCTGGAGAAGGGCTGGTGAAGGCGATGACATGCTGCCGCTTTGACAGTCCCTAGCAGTCACGGTCCAGATGATGATGGTAGCTGTGCCTCCAGCGGGCAGGCCGGGAGCACACTGGGTGCAGCTGACCCAAAGGAGCCACATCTGCTTTTGTCCTTTGAGAGGACTCTGACTACAATAGAGGCATGATGCCAATAAAAGGAAAATCATGTTATCGATGACACTGAATCCCTAGGGATTTTTTTTAAGCCAGATTTATAGCGAGAATGAATGTGCAATGTGGCTGAAATCTATTTTGTGTAAAAAAAGGTGATGCAAGTCAAAAAAAAAAAAAAGAAAGAAAGAAAAAAAGAAAAAGGCCAGGCGCGGTGGCTCATGCCTGTAATCCCAGCACTTGGGGAGCCGGAGGCGGGTGGATTACCTGAGGTCAGGAGTTCGGACCAGCCTAGCCAGCATGGTGAAACCCTGTCTCTACTAAAAATACAAAAATTAGCGGGGAATGGTGGCACATGTCTGTAATCCCAGCTACTAAGGGGGCTGAGGATGGATGGATGGATGGATGGATGGATGGATGGATGGATGGATGATTGTTTTCAAAGAGAAATTTTCTAGAACTATTTACCATTTTGGTCATTTAAAGACTTGGGACTGGTGGTTAGAGGATGGGGGACACATCTTTTGTTTCTCATTTGATTATACTTTCTATTTGAATTTTTTTTACCATGATCATTTACATGAATAACCACATGCACTCTGATGCCTTGCGGGGGGGATGTTAGCCCTGAGGCCAGTCTGGACCCTGGCTGCCAGTGTGGCATACAGGAGATGATGGGACTCTGTGAACACAAGCACCACTGTGGTTTGAGTATGTCCCTCAGAGTGCATGTGCTGGAAATGTGGTCCCCAGTGTGGCAGTTGGAAAGGTAGGGACTTTAAGAGGTGATTAGGTCATTAAGAGGAATTAATGCTACTCTCCAGGGAATGCGTTATTTCTCATGAGAGTAAGTGAGCTCTCACTCTCTTTCAGGACTGGATTAGTTATCTCAAGAGCACGTTGTTATAAAGTGAAATAGTCCCTATGTTCTGCCTCTGACTTCTTCCTTTCTGCCATGTGGTATGCTAATGCTGTGCTCTTGGACTTTACAGCCTCCAGAACTATGAGCCCAGTAAACTCTCCTTTATAAATTACCTAGTCTCAGGCATTCTGTTATAGCAACAGAAAACACACTAAGACCTCCCTTCTGGTGCACACCTTTTATTTTTTCCCTTCCCAGTATTCCTTTCCCCTTCTTTTAGTAACAGGACCCATTTTCCTTTCTGCAACTGCTTTTCTTCCACCTCTCAGTCCATGTTTCAGGTTGGGAACTGGACTTTGACCCCCAGTTCCAAAGGTGGGCCTTGACCTTGGGCTGGCCAGGGCACCACAGAACTATCACAATGGCTTCAAGGAGGGGCACTGGCTCAAGCATGACCAATAAGAACATCCTCCAGTACTTCAGCTAGTGCTCCTGGACCAAGGCTCTCCCCTTCCCTCTAAGTGCGGGAGTACTAGAACAAATGTCTGGAACTGCTTTGACCATTGTTGCCACGACTGGGTGGATATTTTCCTGAAAATAAAGCAAAACAGAGGAAAGCAGAGCTTATGTGATGAGAGACAGATTCCTGTGGACACAGAGCACCTGGATCCAGCCATGCAGAACCCTTCTTAATTGCTTTTCTGTTATCTTAAACTTTATATGAGCTAATAAATTCTCATTTTTCCTTGAGCTGGTTTGAATTATTCTATTAATTTCATCCAAGAGTCTCTATAAATGTAAGCACCTTAGTAATTTCTTCAACAGCCAGCAGAGCCCATAGTGCCTTTTTAAGCCTTTGCCCAACGGTGTGGACTCCCAAGCAGCAGCACTTACCGTAAATATTTTTCATCATTTTGCTTGTGGTTTCCTTATGCTCCCACCCAGTCCTAGTACAGGGTCGAGCAGAGAGCAGAAACTCCTTGAAATGTTTGTTGCATGGGGCAATCATTCTAATTTTCAATATCCTAACATTGCCTCTGTGTAAGACACAAATATGTCTTAAATATATGTAAGACATGAATACTTTTTGTGCCTATTTTTTTTCTTACATTTTGGGTCTTTGCAGATATTAAAACTTTGGAATAGATGATGCAGAGCATAGATTCCTAAGCCTCAACTCTTCTTGCAAAACTTGAAGGACCAAGCTTTGCAAGAAGAGTTGAGGCTTAGGAATCTATGCTCTGCATCATCTATTCTGCTGCTCTGCCGCAGACCACACAAAGCCTTACTCAAACCTGCTACTCTAATGCTTGATGTCTGTATATTTATAAATTACTATAATAAGGCGAGAATTATAAGGACAGAAAAAACCTTTAAGTGAGCAGCCCAATTTATTTTTTCTTTTATTTCTCTCGTTCTTGATTTCTTTCTAGTTTGTTACCAAATTCTTAAACATTAGCAATTTAAAATATGTTCGAAATGGAAAAAATTGAAAATGGCCTGTTCTCTGAAAGTTCCTAGTTCGTAGTTGTAATAGCTGTTCAACATCTTCTTGTAGCCATAAGACAACTGCAGTTCCAGGCGTAGAAATCCTGATCCTGTTTCAGTGGTCAACACTCACTAAATAGTCTCTTACTACCCAAGAAACTGCTGTATGTCACAGGGAAATTCAATAAACAAGGTACACATCAGTCCATTGCATCTGAAACAGCATATTCACTACTTATCACTCAAATGTGAATTTTTTTTCTTTTTTGGAGATGGAGTCTCACTCTGTCACTCAGGCTGGAGTGCAGTGGTACAATCTCAGCTCACTGCAGCCTCCTTCTCCCGGGTTCAAGTGATCCTCCCACCTCACCCTCTCGAGTAGCTGGGATTACAGGTAGCCACCACCACACCTGGCTAATTTTTGTATTTTTAGTAGAGATGGGGTTTCACCATATTGGCCAGGCTAGTCATGAACTCCTGGCCTCAAGTGATCCACCCACCTTGGCCTCCCAGAGTGCTGGAATTACAGGTGTGAGCCACAACACCCAGCTTCAAATGTGAATTTCTAACCCATATGCAAACACAACCATCCCAGAAATGTGACTGGCAGGAGGAACCCTCATCCCTCAGTGGAAGATGTTCCCATTTATCTCCTCACAGATGTCACCACCACATGCCCTACTTAGTGGCCAGGAGTTCAGTGAGACGCTGCTCACCACATTAATTCATCAAGAGCAGGGTCAGCGCTGGCTCTGGGCACCCTGCACCCGCTCACCCTCTCACTGTGAAAGTTCACTGCCAGCCACCTCCTCAAACTGTCCATAAATCTTGGGAGATTTGGGGGCTCTGCCTGGGGCTCACCCTAAGGAGACACCACACTTCCTTGCCACACCTACCACAGACTCAGAGTCATCCAACAAGACCTGAAACAGAAAGTGACAGTTACAACGAGACACCTTACGAGGGGGTGTGGTGTGCGCAGTGCACAGTGAAGAGGCATCTGTTAGCTCTGGACACACCTCTCATCCCTTTGCTGCAGGACAGGTTGGCTGTGACCCACAGCAAATATAGTATGTAACAGCAGCCCTAACTGTGTCTGGCTGTCATGACTTGCAGGAGTCCTGGGGACCAAAAAGGCTGTAGCCTTCGCCTTTCAGTGTTCGATCTTTTGGTATCAATAAAATCAAAGGCAGACACAAAAGGGAATTGGAAAACCCAAGAGGAAAATACCACTGATACATTTCACTCAGCTGTTCCTACGGCTCCATGCCTTGGTCCATTCAGGCTGCTGTAACAAAGTACCACAGACTGAGTGGCTTACGAATAACAACAATTTATTTCTCACAGTTCTGGAGGCTGAAAATCTGAGATCAGGGTGCCCTCATGGTAGGGTTCCGGGAGGGCCATCTTCCAGGTTGCAGAAAGCCGTCTTTTCATTGTATCCTCATATGGTAGTAAGAGGCTAGAGAGCTCTCTGGGATTTCTTTTATAAGGGCACTAATCCCATTCATGAAAGCTGCACCCTCATGACTTAAACTACCTCCCAAAGGCCCGACATCCTAATACTATCACTTTGGGGGTAATATTTCAAAAAAGAAATGGGAGGGGGACACAAACATTCAGTCCATAACACTCCATGATACTTATACAAGGCAAAGCCTGGCCTTGGTGGCAGCCCAGTGGATTCCAGTTGTGTGTTCCCAGTGATGGCTGGAGAAAACACTGAACCCAAGAATAATGAAATGTTGGCCATGGTGGCCTACAAGGAAAAGCTACTGGCAATTGAGCCTTGATCCTGTTTTCAGGATCAAGATTTGAGAATTTTTTGTTAATGCTATTTAGCTCAAAGGTATGCTTTTCTCAGTTCTGCTCTGCATATAGTTTCTTGAATCCACTCCTCTTTCCCTCACTTGCGTTGCTGCACCTGCCCTCTGTGCTGTCAGTTCTTCCTTACTTAGGTCCACCCTGCACACCACCACCTCTACCTGAATAGCCCCTCATCTGAATACATGGAATCAGGCAGACCTGTATTTATTCATGTTACTCTCCTCAACCCATAAAATATGTTAGCATTATGATCAGCAGGTCACCACCTGCTGAGATCACTTAAAAGAGTGTGTGCATGTGCGTCTGTGTGTGTGTATGCATATAAAGAGTCTGTGTATATATATATATATTATAAAAACAGTACAGTATATATTGATCATATTATGTAACTGATTCTTCAGCATCTGCAGAAAAAATCTCAAAGTCCCTTGTCAACTCACTACCTGATTCTCCCTCATCACTCATGAAACCCCCATTCCACTGTACTGCAGCTCATACTACTCCATTTGCCCAGAAAGCCTCCTCTTTTTTATTTACCTCAGTACTGAACTGAAAGCACCTTGAAGGAAGGAATCATTTTATACCCATCTAACTTGATGTTTGAGAATAATAGGTGATTAATTCTTGGATTGACTGATTGATGACTTCTCTTCAGCCTTGTGATACACAGCTCAGAGTCCATTGCTTCCATAGGAGCTCATCGCCCACCTGCCTGCAGGGATCCCTTCCTCTTTTGAACGGGCACCTATTGGCTGTGCAATCCATTCAGCAACACACCATGAGATATCATTCTTTTGCTATTGTATTGTGCCTTTTAAATTAAAAAAAAAATTGGAAAATTTTTGTGGGTATGTTCTATTTTTTATGAGTTTATGCTTAATCTCTTCAGGGACCATATAATTTTTTTTCCCTACCACCATCTCTAAAGTCTTAAATAGGTCTCACAAAAAGTACAAACAATATTCATCCACTATAATTTAGAATATTAGTATTATTAATTCTAGAATATTAGAATTAATTCTAATTATGTATCTTGTTTACTTATAGGTAATTGATATTCATTATTAATTAAAACCAAATAGGTTTATTTTTACATGCTAGAATTTTGTAATTTCACATTTTTTTACACTGGAAAGTCAAGCTTTCTCTTTTCATCTTTTAGCAATTGTGAATGACACATGAAACATGACCTTTTGGTACTGAACTTAGTACTTTATAGTACTAAATTTATAATACTAATTATAGTACTATAAATAGTGCTAATTATAGTACTAATTTATTTCTAAATTGAGTACTTTATACACAATTTAGAAATTGAAGTGTAATTCCTAAGATTAGGAAAGATACATCGTCTAATTGGTCTTTGATATCTGTCCATGTGCATATGAGGATGTATTATTTTGTGTCTCACCTTTTATGGTGGCCGGCCTTCAAGATGGCCCCCAGGGATTCTTGCCTCCTGGTACTCATGCTCCAAGTAGTCCATAGTCTCTTCCCACATTGAGTAGGGCTGGCCTGCATCATCAATAACGTATCGTACAAATGATGGAGTGTGATCTCCAAGGCCAGATCGTAAAAGAAAAGACATTGCAGCTTCTCCCTTGCTCTCTCTTGGGCCACTCACTATGGGGAGCTAGGTGCCATGTCATGAGGACACACAAAGAGGGGTCCACAGGACAGGAAGTTGAGGCCTCTTGCCAACAGCCAGCACTGAATTGCCAACCATGTGAGCGAGCTACTTGGAAGCAGACCCTCCGCATCGGTGGATGTCAGCGGCCTCAACTGTACTTGACATCACTTTTTTTTTTTTTTTTGAGATGGAGTCTCACTCTGTTGCCCAGGCTGGAGTGCAGTGGTGTGATCTCAGCTCACTATAACCTCCGCCTCCAGGGTTCAAATGATTCTCCTGCCTCAGCCTCCCAAGTGGCTGGGATTACAGGCATCTGCCACCACACCCAGCTCATTTTTGTATTTTTAGTAGAGACGGGGTTTTGCCATGTTGGCCAGGCTGGTCTCAAACTCTTGACCTCAGGTGATCTGCCCACCTCAGCCTCCCAAAGTGCTGGGATTACAGGTATGAGCCACCACGCCTGGTCAACATCACTTTGAAAGAACTGGAGCCAGAACCATTTGTGTTCCTAACCCACAGAATTGTATATTATGCATGTTCACTGTTATTTTAAACTACTAAGTTTTGGAGTAATTTGCTATATTTTACTATATGACTAATATATCTGAAGATAGAAATTTTTACTTAATGTAAATAATAAAAAGAGAGTTTCTATGACAAACTAGAATGCTGTAAGTACAGATCAAAAGAGTCTTGTGAAAAGACAATCAGGGAAAAACAAGTTTCTTGTAGTGAGATGGATTGAGTGAACTTATATCTGAAATATGAAGAAAATACTTTAAAACTCAAGCAAAAAAAGAAAATAATATTGAAGACTTTATTATTTGAGGTCTTACTGATTTGTTTGGTTTGAGAAAAGAGTCCAGGATACACATAATGACCGTGACAGGTAACCACAAAAAGCTGAAGGGGTTGCCTGTGTCACTGCCCTAGTCCAAGCCAGTGTTCTCACCCAAACCATGATACAGTAAGAGCCTCCCACTAGTCTCCCCACAACCTCTACTGCCACATGTCCACACTGAAGCCAGAAATGTCTTTTTAAAATTTTTTTTTTATTTTTTAGAGATGGGTTCTTGCTACATTGGCCAGGCTGGTCTCAAACTCCTGGCCTCAGGTAATCCTTCCATCTCGGCCTCCCAAAGTGCTGAGATTACAGACATGAGCCACCACGCCTGGCCCAGATATATCTTTTCGATGTCTGCTGAATGTCACCATTCCTTCAAAAAATATTCCCTTGCCCCTCAGATGAAGCCCTTGAGTAGGGTCTCAGGACTGCATGCTGTGGCCCTGCCTTCTCCCCCAGCTTCCGTGATCTCTCTGTGCCCTCTAGCTCTACAGGCTTTCTGGAAGTCCTCCAAGTTTGTCGTGCTCCCTCCCACCTCTGGGCCTTTGCACATGCTATTCCCTCTGTCTGGTACACTCCCCAGGTCTCACCTCCAAACCACATCCTCCCCTTGAACTCTCCTCAGACTCTCATCTTTATCTCTCAAATCTCCGTGCCATGGGCAGCCTCTCAGGGAACCCTTTGCTGATGCCCTTGTCCAGGCAAGGATCTCGGTCATAAGCTAGTAGGGACCTTATACCTTTCCCTCCCAGCTTTGGCTGAGTGAGCAATTATTTGATTTTTGTGTCTCCCACAGCTGACTGTGGGCAGAGCCAACCCTACTGGGTTTGTGCCCTGCACAAAGGTGCCCAGCCCAGGTCACTGTCCAGTAAAGTCCTGCCTGGGCTCTGCCTGCCAAGCTCTGCCTAGGTCTGTGTCACACAGTTTTTGGTTTTTCTCTTGGGGAGATGAGGGGTGGGGATGATAGTTTATACTGGATACTCCATGAGAACAGGGGTGGCTTCTGATTTAGGTCACCATTGAATCCCCAACAGTTAGCATAGGGAAGACACTCAGCAAATATTGCCTTAATTAGTTCATTTAGTAATTAAGGGCCAGTTCAGTCAGGACTTATCTTAATTTGAGGACTGTCTAAATTTTTCTTGCCTCTAAGTACCATGTTGCCCTAAATTACTCGTACTCCATTGCCATCCCTCGAGTATTCCCTAACCACAAATTCCTCTGGGAAGGGAAACACTAAATCAATAACATCTTAATGTGAGTTAATTTATCCAAGATTAAAAAGTCAATTGCTTTACAAGACCCCCAGAAAATAAGGTAAAGAACATGTGAGTTGTAAAGGGGAAGAAAGTTCTAGAAACCTCCCAATATTTTCCAGGCTTTGAGCTTTTTCTCTGACAAGAAATAGTTATAATAAGTCATAAGCTATAATTCCTTTTCACTGTAAAATGAAATGGTTACTTAAAATTAATTAAGTTTCTACCATATAGATTGATCAAGATGTTAGCAACCATATTCCTTTTTCCCATTCTAACCTTTCCATAACATACTTTCAACCAGGAATGGATCTAAATTGGGGGGGGCCTGAAACTAGTATAATTCAGGGATCTTCTTTAAGAAAAATGTATAAAAGTACAAATACAAAATACCCATGATGGTTGTGGGTACAAAATACCCACAGCTATCCCAAATCACCCAACATGGGAAGAAGTATGAGAGTGGAGTGGTATGGTTAAAATTTCTCACCAAATGTCACACAAATATATGACCACGTGAAAATAAATGTAATCACATACAACCGTGTGACACACACACACCCTTCCCCCGGAGGCTCAGAATGGGTCATGCATGGAAGGAGCCCTGCAAAGTCTGCCTCGGCATTCAGTAAATCCTAGTTCAGCTCTCTCTCAGTCTCTTCTAATTCCTGTGGAGAGGGCCCATTTCTTATTTTATACACATGTGTCAAATGTCTTTTTCAGACTCCTTTTGTATTATTTTCTATCTCATTTTTGTTTAGCTCTGTAAAACCTTATGTTTGAATCTTCACTATGGTCAATTACACAATAAACGAGTCTTTTGTTTTTTAAATAAATAAGTCTTTGGTTTTAGTCATCTTTGTTGAGCCCCTCCTATGTACCAGGCTGTGGTAAGCCCTGGGGATACAGCCAGGAACATGAGGGGCAGGGTCCAAACTTTCCACTGGTAGTTGTAGGAGAAAGACAATAAACAGATAGATAAACTATCAAATATTAGGGAGTGAGAAGACGAGAACAGCAGGGAATGTGGTCAAGAGTGAACAGGTGATCTGGGACAGCCTCTCTGAAAAAGTGGCATTTCAGTGGCACCTGAGTGACAAGAAAGAAACAACCACACAAAGCTGGTCAATTTCATAGATTAGTGCAAAAGTCCGTTGATTTGTGCAAAAGCAACGAGCCTGTTCAAGGAGCAGAAAGAAGACCAGTGAAGCCCCACAAGAAAGTCCAGGCTTTGGAGGCCAGGGTAATGAGTTTGGATTTTATTCTAAGTGCAGTGGGAAGTTTCTGAAAAGAACTAGGGAAAAATGATGACATGACATTTTACATTTTTAAGTAATCACTCTGGCTACTGTGTAGAGGATGGATTTGTAGTGGGAGCAAGAGTGGAAGCAAGGAAGCTAGGGAGGAGGCCTTTCAATTGAACAATAGGGGAGCTTGGGGCAAAGCTATGCTTTTGGTCACCAGCAGAGTCCCCCCTACGCGGGGCCACTCCTCCCTCAACCACTGTTTAGGCATTTGGTAGGACCCTGAGAAAATACAAAAAACAACTGCCAAATACCTGTCTAGCATTGCCTATGTTTTTCCAGATCTATTTTTCCAAGTATCTTCTCTGCATATTGTATACCTAAAAGGATGGAGGATGAGGGAGGGTATGGGAGAAGACAGGAAGCCAGCTCACTCCCAAGTTTTTCTTTAAAGATAGAAAAAATAATTCCTAAATTGGGGGCACAAAATTAGAATGACCCCACCCAACCCAGCTCTAGAGTTAGGCAGACATAGACTCAAGTCCTGGCTCCACTAGTTATCAGCTATGAGACCTCACTTTACTTCTCTGCACCTCAGCTTCCTGATCTCTAAAATTGAGTTTGTTTATAGTATTTCAGTGGGGATTTAATGAAATCATGCAAGTAAACCACATTGTTTGTTGCTAGGTAAAACATAGGCATGTTCTTCTTCCCCCGCGTGAAAACTTGGCCCCAGGCACAGGTTGCTAATGCAGTCACAGCAGACGTCTTTGTTGCCCTTCACTGTGATTCAACCCCACCATTCTTGAGCAAGTCTTTGAAGCCCATCCAATCTTAACAGAACTGCTTTTGTGGGTGAGACATCTCTAAGAAGTTCAATTGTGTTTTGGACCAAAATCATTTGCCATTCTTCTGTTCCTAACACACGGGTCTCTGTGTGTTGATCTAACAAATTGGTAGTGTTTTGAGTAATACATCATGAGGCCAATGGCACCTTAACGATGTATTACATTAATATATCATCAAAGCCATGGCATTGTTATGATATATTACTTTAATACATCATTGGAGTGCCACAGCTTTAATGATGTATTACTCAAGACCATAGCAACAGCTAGAAAGATCAAGATAAGTTTTGTATTTTTAAAACTTATTCTCAGTAAATATAATTTTTTTTTAAGTTTCCACAATAAAATATGTGTTCAAACGAAATACGAGGATGCAAGGCCTCTGATAAGTAAGCAACGAGATGCTTCCTTGGTCATCCTCCTCCCACTGTCTACTACGTACCTGGCTCCTAAGTTCATTTTAAACCACTTTATCCAAATCTCCTAAAAGTAATATTGCTACTGAATTTATGATTCTATAAGTATCCCAGGGATCTCCAATTTAATGTTACAGCTGCACATTTATAGAGCAGTTGTTTTTCCAATGGTAGCTTAAGCATTTTCTACCCACCTTTCCAAAGGATTCTACACTGTCCAGGCCAAAATGTCCTTCAAGAAACTCTTGGGCAAGTTTGATTTTTTGTATAAGATGTCTGAATCCCCTGTATCTCTAACTTCTCCTCCTTGTTGGCATATCAGTGTGTGTGTGAGAGAGAGAGTGTGTGTGTGTGTTGTATATAACATTGTATGTCCTCTCTGAGAGATTTCCAATATGTAAGACGGATTTAGAGATAGACCTAAATCTCAGATCTTCCATGTAACAGCCTTAAGCATTCACTATTTTTAGCATAATGAAAGTTGACCAAGAAATTGGATTACTGGAGTTGCACCAATTGCAACAGTATCAGTATCAATAAAAACAGGAAAATGTTTTAGTCCGTATCCTCATGACAAATCTTGACTGTCTAACAAGAGTTCCACTCACTTGAAAATGGTTTGAAGAGCAATCACATGCTTCCTGTGTGCGTGTGCATGCACACACACACACAAAATGGGAGAACAAGACATTGGGGCCAGAGATCTGACCTCAAAGCAAGCCTTCTTAAGAAGGCCCTAATATTCTAATACTCACACTCCCTTGAATTCAATTGTTAAAATTTAATTTTCCAGCCTGGGCACCACGGCAAAACCTCTTCTCTACGAAAAATACAAAAATTAGCCAGGCATGGTGGCGCATGCCTGTAGTCCCAGCTACTTGGGAGGCTGAGGCAGGAGGATCACCTGAGCCTGAGGAGGTCAAGGCTGCAGTGAGCCAAGATTGTGCCACTGCACTCCAGCCTGGGTGACAGAGTGAGACCTTGTCTCAAAAAAAAAAAAAAGTTTAATTCTTCAGAAAATTCAGAATTCGTGTTATTTAGGGAGGGGTAATGCAGTTCTAGGCAGAGGTGACAGCCTGCTTCTGAAATTTCTAAGACATAGCTTTATACTGTCAGTGTTTTTCACGTTGTGAAATTTAGAAGCACCCAATCAACCACTCTGCAACACCCCGATTTCTCTATCCTGGTGTCTTTCACTCTTTTCACAGCTTTGGCTCAAATCTGTCATACCAGATTCCTCTGAACACCTCTCAGGCAGGAAAGCCTTTTCTCATTTCGAGTGCCTGACTTGGGAATTGAATTCTCTCACCCTCTTTTCTCTCTTCATCTAGGCTGAAGGACTGCAAGGGAGCCAGCTGCATGAGAATAGATTAGGCGAGAAATGATGATTCAGCACCCACGGCTTCCTGCCATGTGCTAAATGATCAGTTTAGTCTCAATCAGCAGATAAAGAAAAGGCCCGGGGAAGGGACAAGAAGATTCGCCCTGGCAAAGGGAAGAATGACAAAGATCTTCGCATCAGAAATGTGAGGTTTGCAATAAGATGGTACTGAAGAAAAAAATGTGTCAAATGGTTTTTGTCGTTTGTTCTTGAAGGTAACCAGAGGCAGGAAGCCTTGTTGCTTATAAATCACAATTAACCACAGAGCTACAAGGGGCCTCTGAGATTAGACTCAATCCCCGATTTTACAAATGAGGCACAGGAAGTGCTGGGTAGCACCTGCGATTCCTGGAGCACCTTTAGAGAAGTTCACAAATTACATTCAGTGGCGATCAAACAGGAGCATACGTTTTTCTCTGCCCAGAAGGGCCACCCCATCCTCATCATCTGTACTTAACCCAAAATGCTCAGTCTAAGTCCCACTTTCTCCAGGAAGCCTTCCTGACTCACCCAAGCCTGTGATGACTTCCCCCTGCCTCTGATCCCCTATAGCTGACTGTCCCTTCATTTTCATTATCTGCTACTTTGTATTATCATTTTCCCTTTCTAAGATGTATTTGCCCAATAATTTCAAGTTCAGAAACTTTGGAAAGGGTACATGCACCTGCCCCGGGCAGGCAGAAGAGTGGTGGGAGCAGGTGAAGACACAGCCTTTGGGTTGCAGGAGCAGGCATGCTGCAACATGCTGTGTGCTTCTCTTGCACAGCACCTTCACAAAGCAGCTGTTTAATACAGGCTGTCCATAAAGTCAGGAAACAAATCATATAATACAATTCTTAGTAAAGATTGAAGATGTTCCTAATGCCATCCTGTATATTTGCCTGGGTCCAGACTTTGTGGACCACCTGACTATGTTGGTTATTTGTACAAATGAAGGAAGTTCTGACATAAGTTCCTGAAATCAGAGTGCAAAAGAAAACGTTTGTGTCCCAGAACTTCTGGCTCCTCTTTTCACCATTCTACTATAATCATTTCTTTTTAAAGTTCTAAGTTGAAATGGTACCGTATCACTTTTATGTATAGTCAGGTATATGCAGATATAGTTAGATATATAGAGATATATACAAAACTGCAGTTTTATCTTTCATAAATAATAGTTTAAAATACACACTAAAATAAAGACTACAAAATACTTGGTAATTTTCATCTGGACTCTTCATAGAAAATTAGAAATCAATGGATTTTTCTGGAACTCTTATTGGGAAACAGATATTTCTATATGCAGTCTCCTAAGGAGACTTGTCTTTTTGTACACACATAAACGAGTAATTACTTCTAGTACACAAAAGTTCACACTCATCAACAGAAGACTCTGCCTTAATTCCAACTTTTCCTGCAAACCATTCAGATAATCATTCAGAGTCAACTGAATTTTCATGATATAAGAAAAGGCACATTCATTGCAAAGCATTCATCTTTAAATTTGTAAAACATGTCCTTGTGAGATGATATTTTCAAAAAGGATCTGCCAGCTACTCTGTTAATGTATTGCATATATTAACAGAAGACTAAATACCATAGTTTTCCAATCTAGCAAGACTGCACAATGAATCAGTTTCACTAAACCTAATTCCATTCACCACACCGAATGTGTGCCTTCAGCCCTTGGAGTATTCCAACGCACTCAAATGCTTGACAAGAACAACACGAAAATTGAGTTTCCCGTCAGGGTCAGGATGTTGCATTTTTGCTTCACATACAATGAACAGATTCCTTTCCTTTTTCACTTTCCAATGATTGTGTGTGTCAGGCAGATACAAACAACAGAACTCTGTACTTCCGAAATCTCAGCATCAATGCATACATTAAATGGAACAAAGTGATGCCCACGTGACACTTTTCTGAGGCAAAACACTTCTCCCCAGGAAAAAAAAAAAAAACGTGGTCAGGCATTATATGTTTCCCCAGTTACCCTCGTCTCTTCTTGACCTTCCTTCCTGCTGGTGCTATATCCTTTGTTACCAAGATAACTTGTTTATAAAAGTGCTGTATCAGTTACTGAAAACAAGTGACACATGATTTACCTGGGGTGTATTACAAAAGTAAATGCCAGGATCGAGCAAGAAACTACAGACTCTCCTTTCTGAACATTGACTTCTATCATGAAGAAAATTTGAGCCTATAAAACTGTCACTAGGATACAAGAATTACCCCCAGAGTAAAAGTTTGCTATGAAAACTACAAACATTTTAAATTTCTTTCCTCCTTTTATGCTCTGTAATCTCTCGTGATGATACACTGTTTCTGGAATTTAAAAATGGATTCATGGGCTGGGCACAGTGGCTCATGCCTATAATCCTGGGACTTTGGGAGGCCAAGATCACTTAAGGTCAGGAGTTCGAGACCAGCCCGGCCAACATGGTGAAACCTTGTCTCCACTAAAAATACAAAAATTAACAAGGCTTGGTGGCACACACCTGTAGTCCCAGCTACTCAAGAGGCTGAGGCACGAGAATCGCTTGAACCCAGGAGGTGGAGGTTGCAGTGAGCCGAGATGGCACCACTGCACTCCAGCCTGGGTGACTGAGTGAGGCTCTGTCTCAAAAACAAACAAACAAACAAACAAACAAACAAAAAGGATCCATGTATTACATTATTAAGTGCAATTAACACATCTTGTAAAAACCCACCCCTTTACTCCATTCACACGGCACTATGCAATCCCCATAATAAGCTCTGTTCTCATTCAAATCCTGACCCTGGCTTAGGTGATTCCTCACCAAAATGCTGTCTTTTCATCCTTTGTCTGGCCAATTATTACTTGTACCTCAAGTCTCAAATTAGGCTTTGCTTACCCCAGGAAGCCTCTCTCAATAGTCCAGCGCTTGACGAGGGTAGATGATTTTCCTACAGCCCACTGCGCTTTTCCTTATCATACCATCTATCACCCTTCATCGTAAATGTCTGCTTCCTTCTCAAGCCCCCTCCCCAGGCTGAGGTTTCTTGGGGACAGGTACTCCATCTTTCTTACTACTATACACTCAGCACTTAACAGTGCTGGGCACATAGCAGACACACTCACTACATTTTTCTGGAATAAGTGAACATGATGTACTCAATTTTTAGTACATACAATGAGAGGAGTGGGGAATTATTCCTACACAAATAGCTGAACCTCGATTAAATTCTGCTCCCCGTCATCCAGCATGTTCCAGTTCCCTGTCCTCTCTCCATTCCTTAAAGAGACATGGCTGGCCTGGCGCGGAGGCTCACGCCTGTCATCCCAGCACTTTGGGAGGCCGAGGTGGGTGGATCACCTAAGGTCAGGAGTTCGAGACCAGCCTGGACAATATGATGAAACCCTGCCTTTACTAAAAATAAAAAAATTAGCCGGGCATGGTGGCACGCACCTGTAGTCCCAGCTACTCGGGAGGCTGAGGCAGAAGAATCTCTTGAACATGGAAGGCAGAGGTTGCAGTGAGCCAAGATTGCACCACTGCACTCCAGCCTGGGAGACAGAGAAAGACTCCATCTCAAAAAAAAAAAAAGAAAAAGAGAAAGAAAGAAAAAGGAAAAGAGAGACATGGCTCTTTCTTGCCTAAAATTTCATCCTCCAGGTCTTCATATGGCTGGATGTTTCTTGCCATTCATATCTCAGCTTAAAGGTCAGTGAGGCCTCCCCTGGCCTTTCAGTCTAAATGCGCTACCGAAGCATTGGGTATTGTTTCACCTGTCACACTTCTCTGCATGGCTCATATTACTACCTGATCTTTTATTTCTACATTTATTGTGTCACTCCACCATCATTAGAATGTTAGCTCAATGAGTGTAGAGGCTTCTCTGTCTTATTCACAGCCATGTCCCCAGAGCCTAAAACTTCATTGGCACATAGTAGACGCTGAATGAATGAATGAATGAATGAAGGATTGAAGTATCGAAAAATTTAAACAATTAAAAATCATGACCCAGCACTGTGGGAGGCCGAGGCAGGTGGATCGCTTGAGCTCAGGAGTTTGAGACCATCGTGGGCAACATGGAGGAACCTCATCTCTATTAAAAATAAAAAAAAAAATCCCCCAGGCTTGGTGGCATGCACCCGTAGTCCCAGCTACTCAGAGGCTGAGGTAGGAGATTTGCTTGAGCCCAAGTTCAAGACTGCAGTGAGCTATGACTATGCCACTGCACTCCAGTCTGGGTGACAGAGTAACACCCTGTCTCAAAAAAAAAAAAATTCATGAGGCCAGGTGTGGTGGCTTATGCCTATAATCCCAGCAGTCTGGGAGGCCAAGGCGGGAGGATCACTTGAGGCCAGGAGTTTGAGACCAACCAGGGCAATGAAGCAAGACCCCATTTCTACAAAAATTAAAATAATAAATAAATAAATAAAGTCATGAAAAATTCCAGACATGCTTAAAAATCAGCTAGAAAAACCACTAGGTTTACATGACACCTACTGATAATAACATTATTCACTTTGCATTCTTTTACACCCAAGTCACCCTGGAGTATACTAAGGCTGTTACACTCTGAAAGGAAGGAATAAACTCTAGGTGACATTCAGCAGCTGTCCAGGTGATGGCTGAGGAGCTGACCTGGTAGAAGGGGAGCACTCCTTGGAGAAAGGATCTTCTACCTGTACCTGAGCACATAAAGAAGTGAGGATCTACCCAAAGAAGCAAAAAGGAATCTCAATTCCTGACAAGGATCGATGTCTAGAATGGACAAGTTTCTTAGCAAGAAGAACTATGGAGAAGTTGAGTTCTTACAGGAGCCAAAAGGACTTGAGTTTTACCAGAGTATCTCAAATCAACCAACAGGTTCAGAAATTTGTACTCCTAGGTATTTCCTGGATTTTGTGAGACATAAATGCAATATCTAGATACATATGCCTTCCACTAGGGAGACATTAGAAACCTTTCTCCTCTTGGAACCTGTCCACAGGTTCCAAGACCTGGAGCAGCACCCAGGAGATACAATGGCATGAAACTCCTGCTCTGAGGACAATCTTTGATCAAGATTACAAAACACATCACTTTTGGAGCTTAAGAGGAAACCTTTTATCCCTCCAAAAGCATCCAAAACCCTTGAAAGTTACAAGGCACAGGAAAAGTCACTGTCACAACCCCTGAACTAGTAATGGTACAATTATAATTACCCATCCCAAGCTGAAATGAGTGATACTGCATGGACTGACCGGGGTTTGAATCCAGACTCCTCCACTTACTGTGTGAACTTGGCCAAGTTCCTTAACCTCTCAGAGCTACTATTTTTTCCATCGGTTATAAAATAATGGAATAATACTCTTTCAGGGTTATTGGCAGGGCTAAGTGAGCCAAGGTGTATCAGGCCCTTAGCAAAAGAGAAAAGGCTTAATCATTGGTGACTATTGTAATTATTGCTGTCATTTGTAAATAAAAGTGGTTGTTATAGATAAAAATATTGGAGACTAGAGAATTGTGGCTCAGAACTTTTAGTTATGTGAATCCATTTACAAAAGAGCTACCAAAGAATAGTTCAAAGTCCAAAGCTCAGATTGCTACATGCTAATTCTTTGCCATACCCCTTTTTGAGAAATCTCTTTGAAATTTTGGGTATATAAGCTAATATGGCATGTTATGAACAATATGTTATTGCTTCTCTAAAAGGAATTATATTGTATATCCGCAGGATGAGACTCACCACTCTTAGGCTATAATTAGTTCATGTCCATTAAATAGCAGTTGCACAACTTCCTAGTAATTTACTGGTAGCCTAAATTATAAGGCTGCTATTTGAAAATGTTTTTGCCTGAGTCATTTTTCCCTCTCAGTCTCACTTAAGTCTGGGTCTCTTAAACTAGAATAGGAATTAGCTGCTTTTTGCAGATCAGAGAACAGATTCTGAAATCATCCATATTACGATATCCTAAATTTCACCAAGGGAAAGAGAAAGTTTATGTGACAATCAAGAAAGATTATGGCAAACAAATTCACATGGAATTGGCTTTAACAAACCTTTTTCATACCTCCTCAGAAACAACAGTTGTAAGAAATATCATTAGTTTGTGTGTGTAAGAAATATTATTAGTTGGTGCATGACATTTCATGTTAAATTGATTATAAAGACATCGATTAGGTACAGTGTACACTGTTGAGCAATAAAATTTAAATCAATGACAGACGCTATCCAACAATCTTTAAAGAGAGCAGCATCACTTTTTAATAAGAAGAAAAAAAGGAATGCTAGGATTGATATCACTCTCAATGCCATTGCAAGAAAATACACTTTTGAAAATCTTAAAAAGATACATTAGGAAAGTGAAAAGCATAGCAATCATTCAAAAAAGAAATAGTATCATATAAAAATGAAATGTATTTGCATTTATTCAGAGAATCTAAAGCAAATCAATACTACATCAATTACAGGTACTAGAAATTGAACAGTAGCTGGTTAACAAAAGAGCATTTACACTATTCTTTAACATGGCATTGGACAACATCACCACAAGCACAACCTGAAAATTGAGTGAAAAGCAAACACACTGATTGTCCTATCTGATCTGCACCCATAAACTGTATCTGATGAATTTTAATGACATTAAAAAAACCGATGGGTAACAATATATTAACCCATCAGTGATAAGGGGCTGACTGGAGTCAAAGCCCCTGCACTTAAGGGTCAGACACCTGTTTAGAAAAATACCACTGAGATGGTCAAGAGGGGCCTTGTTCTCAATATTCTCCATCAACTCTGCCACACTTGTACAAGTTTCATTTACATTTTCTTATCCAATTACATCTTGCTCAATTCCTCACTACAATTTATAGCAAACTTTACAAAGCTTTTGACCTGTATCATCTTATTAAGCTTTTATGAAAAATCAATGGAGTTCCATCATCTCACGAGGCTCTTCCTCACACAGTTGTCAGTGTGAGTGGAGAAGTCTATTTATCCCCAAATCTGGAGAAGAGGTACTTATTTACAAGCTAGGCTCCAGTACGTAGGAAATTATTTTATTTTTCTAAAATACAACATTTTAAAGAATTGCAACCTTGTAAAAATGAGCCTGAAAGGAAAACAAAAACAGCCAGTTTTTAATCTTCTGTCTTTCTTTAATGTGCTCACGGGCTCTTCCCAGAATAACGCATCATTCTCTGGACCAAGAGAACTCAGGAAGCCGACATGCCGAGACAGCTGAGTCACTTGAGAAAAAGAGAGAGACCTGCCGATCGCCTCCAAGAAGAGAAAGAAACTGTCCTGGAGCCCAAGGGACATGCCATGCTGAGGAGCTCAGACACACACGCGCCTCCCTGCCTCACCCACCACTTCCTATGGAGGGCTTTTTTAAAGGTTCGCATTTTTAAGGAAGAAATGGCAGGCTGTCTCTTATTACTTTGCCAATCAACAACGTAAACCCTTCTCTTCCTCTGCTTCCTCTCCGAAAGGTACCGGATTGGGTTCCAGAAATTTTTAAAGAGAAAATTCAAGCCAATTTAATAATTGAGTCAAGAACTAGTTGTAGAGGCCCAGCTTCTCATCCTGCCCAGATTCACTGAATGGCAAATACTCCACACAGCACTGTTTTCCACCTGCTCCCCTGAGCCCAGGATCTGTGCATGAGGCCACCTCCGCCCGGACCCCTACACATGGCTGCCCTATGGGTTCCTCACACTCAGTTTGTCCAAACCTGACCTCGCCGTCATCTCCCCAGCCTCTCTCTACAGATAGTTCAGTGTTCTTACTGCCATTCCCCTGGTAACTTGGGCCAGAAATCTGAAAGCCAGCCTAGAATCCTCTTACCTTCCAAATGTTGCATGAATCTGTACCCTCTCTCCCCACCCTACTCCTGATCACCAATTCCATCTTTACAATCAACACAATAGCCCCCAAAATCTCTCCTACACTATCACAAATTGCTTCCCAACTGCTCTTTCTGCCTGCCTTCTTGGCCATATAAATGCATAATAGACTCTGATAATCTGGCTAGAAAATGTAATTCTGACCATACACTCGTCTCCACTGCAATCCTTCTGAAACTCCATCAGTATCAGTCACATTCAGCACAAGGCCCAGCTTTTGTGGGAAGCCAAACTTCTCAGTCATGGGCCTACAGCTGCCATTTCCTGAAAGCTCTGTATATACCAGGCCATGGGTTTTTGGTTTTCCACATAAAATGCTTCCCCACAAACATAGGGAATCATAGACTCCTTGCAAAAATGACTCCCTCTCGAATCCTAGGATTTGGAGACTTCAGTTTGGTTTCTGTTCAGATTGAAAATACAACAAATGACAAGGAACTCTGAAATCCACACAGTATCTTGCCTTTGCCAATAGCCTCTGCCTCCCCTTCAACTTTAAGAACTGTAGTGACCTATCAGAGGGAGAAGCAGAATGCCTAGAAACTCCACCAACATGTAAGCATCAACCTAAAGACTCTACAGGTGGCCAAGGCAAAGGCTCCAAGGAGATCAGAGAGTTAGGAAGACACAGCAGATCCTAAATAATGAGCTAATTTCCTCCTACAAAAATGCAGAAGAGCAGTGCTTAGGCACACATGTTGGTGGCAGTCAGACCTGGGTTCAAGTTCCCCTCTGCCATCTACTAAGTATGAGACCTTGAGCTACATAATCTGTGAGCCTTAGTCTTGTCACTTGTAAATGATGATGTTCCTAAGAGTGTAAAATTCTCAAAGGTTACTGGAAAGACTAAATAAGGACTTGACATCAAACCTAGCACAGAGAGCTCAATAAATGCAGGTATTACTAATATTGTAAACATATAAGCTCAATAAATGCAGTTATTACTCATATATTAGCACATGACCTAACAAGATTTCCTACAAGTTATCATGATTCGCTGTACTCAATAATACCCTTTTTTCTCGATGACCTATTTCTTATGTTACTTTTCTTTTCTTTCTTTTCCTTTTTCTTTTTCTTTTTTTTTTTTTCTGAGACAGGATCTTGCTTTGTCACCCATGCTAGAGTGCAGTGGCTCACTGAAGCCTCAAACTCCTGGGCTCAAGGAATCCTCCCACCTCAGCTTCCCAAGTAGATGAGACCACAGGCATGCACCACCACAACCAGCTAATTTTTTAAATTTTCTGTAGAAAAGCAGTCTTCCTATGTTGCCCAGGCTGGTCTCCAACTCCTGGGCTCAAGCAATCCTCCTGCTTCAACCTCCCAAAGTGCTAGAATTATGGACGTGAGCCACCTCACCCAGCCCCTGTGTTGATTTTCTCAACCCACTCTGTAGCATGCAAAATAACCCTGCTTGATATAACCAGAGAGTCAAACAAAAGTTAAGGTGCATTTTCCAAATGACCCAAGAATCTTTTTTCAAACACCCCTGAAGCTTGACTCTTTTCTGGATTCAGTCCTAGCCCTTCTTTTCTTCTCATGCTTCACGGTGTCTTTGGGAAGCTCATCCACTTCCACAGTATGGTGTGCCTTGTGAGTTAGCTATCTTTTTCCTTTTCCTGACAGAATGTCAGTTCTCATTCAACCGTCCATCTCTCCCTCATGTGCCTAGAACAGTGGGCCCACCCAGAGCTTGGGAGGTGGGCCTGGTCTTAGGCTAATTTGTCTTCTTTGCCAGTGACAGGTTCAGGAACCGCAGTGATCTGTTGACCCAGTAAATTGATTCAGAAATGGGCATGGGACCCATGGTCAGTGTCCTGGAAAAGGCTTCTGTGCATTGTTCTTTTAAGAGAGACATTTCAAAATATGGTCTCTTTTCTGGGGGGCATTGTTGAATGCACCCATTGATGAGGCGTGGAGCTAATGGAACCATCAGCCCCCAGTCAGAGGAGAAGGCAACACAGAGAAGGCATGCAGAGGCCAGAGGACATCAGAAAAGCAAGGCTGGAGCCCCAAGTGAAATAAGACTGACCACCACCTTACCTCTGGTGCCCTTTAATTTTTCTGAGCTGATAAATCTCTTCTGTTTTTTGGGTTGTATTTCTGCAATTACTTGCGGTCCAAAGTACTCTGATGCATATGGCTTCAATTGCCACCCATAGCTGATGAGTTCAAATTTATATCTCCAGCAAGAACCGTTTTCCTAAGCTTCAATCCCATATGCCAGATACTAAGTGACAAAGCACCAACACTTCAAAGAGAAACTGAGCTCAGTGTCTTTCTTCAAAAACCTGCTCCCGCTCCTACATTCTCTATCTCAGTTGATTACCACCACCACCCACCCAGAAACCCTAGCCAGAATCCTAGGAGCCAGCTGTGACCCTTCCTCTCTTGCAGTAGATCTTCTCCCTGCCACCCCCCACCACGTCCAGTGGATCACCAGATCCTGCTGCTTGTACCTTCTACATCACTAATCCATTGTTACCATCTCTTCCCATCCTCATTGCCGTTGCCTTAGTAATATCCTCATCATTTCTCCCCTGGATTAATACAAAAGGGTAATCCATTTCCCCACCCCAGCTTCTCACCATCCAATCCAGAGTTATAACAACAGAATTCTTGAACATGTGTGCCAGGCACTATTAAAGTATTTTACATGTATTAACTCATCTAATCCCCACACCAGCCCTTCGAGTCAGTGTTATACCCTGTATACAAGTAGGAAAACAAAAGCATTTAATGTGACAGGCAGGGATAGGATTCGAACCCACATGGTTTAATTCTTAACTACGAACCTTCCCCTCTCTAATCACATCATCTGATCACCTAAAATCCTTCAGGGACTCCTTATTTTGCTGAAAGAGCCTTCACAATTCAAGCCCTGCCTTGCCGACTGAAGCCCTTTCTTCCTCTTCTCCCGCGTGCACCATAGTTAGTTCTTTACATTGCACTCTTACCTTCACGCTTTTGTACAGGCTGCTTCTTCCGCCAGAAATTTTTATTCCATATTGTGCACACTCACATGACTAATTTTTACTGACTCAGTCAGGTTTCATTTCCTCCCCAACTCTTCCAGGTACAGGCTGAATATCCCTCACCTGAAATGCCTGGGATCTTCTGATTTCAGAAGATCTGAAATGCTTCAGAATTCTGATTTCAGGATCCTATTTATTTATTTATTTATTTTGGGACCAGAGTCTTGCTCTGTCATCCAGGCTGGAGTGCAGTGGCACCATCTCAGCTCACTATAAACTCTGCCTGCTGGGTTCAAGCAATTCTCCTGCCTTATCCTCCCGAGTAGCTGGGATAACAGGCACCTGCTACCACACCTGGCTAATTTTTGTACTTTTAGAAGAGACAGGGTTTTGCCATGTTAGCCAGGCTGGTCTCGAACTCCTGACCTCAGGTGACCCGCCTGCCTTGGCCTCCCAAAGTGCTGGGATTACAGGAGTGAGCCACCGCACCCAGCCCAGAATGTTTTCATTATTCCAATGAGCATTTCCTTTGAGGATCATGTTGGAGATCAAAACGTTCTGCAGTGTCTCAGCCTTGGGATTTTCCGATTAGGGCTACTCAACCTGCACTAAAAGCCAGCACCTAGCACCTACTTGCTCCTCTTGCCTTCACACTGTAATGTGAATGTTGTTACCTCCCCTAATTAAACATTAGGCTCCCAAACTGTGACTTACTCCACTGTGCACTGTGTCCCTAATGAATGGCACATAATAGGTCTAAATAACCGTTCGTGGACTGAAAAAATGTTCATGGCTTTCCAAAGGACAAGAAGTGTGAAGTGTCAAAAGCAAAGTTAGGAAAACTGGCCATTTCTAAGAATTGATTTGTGAACACTACAACTTATTTTACAGCTTCTAACATTTAAAGAATGAATTAAAATGATTTTAAAATACTAAAAATCTGTTGAAACTGTGAGCAATGAAGCAAATAAATCTTATAACAGTCTTTTTAACAAGCAATTGAAAAAAGATAAATTGTAATAATAAGAGAAATATTTATTATACTCCTTCCTCCATGCTAAAGTTACTAGAAATCAAGGCTTGCTTGAGAAAAGAGTCAACAAACATCTTGGCAGTGAGTTGGGAAAGTCAAATTTAGTTAAAATGATATTATCATAAAAAAGAATTGGTCCAGCAGGCCAGTCTTCTGAAACTATTCAGCTCATCTTGATGTACCCTCTGAAGGGAATACAATTTTTCTCTGACTTTAACCTTGATTACCATGGGGAAAAGCCTTAAATGGGATGCCCTTTTGATGATAGATAAAACATGTGTGCTGATGCGTCACGCAACATGAGTGTGATTCTCGAAGGATTTCAGTGTTTAGTCATTCTATGGCCAACAGAGCATCATACTCTATTTTTATGAAACTAAGTTTATAAATATGGCTGATTGTGGAGTACTCATTGAGATACTGAATTTTTACTGCCTTCTAATCAATTAGCCATATAACACAGAATCATGACAATTCGTGAATAATTTTTTAGTAAAAAACAGACAGTAAGTAAGCAATATTGTTCAGTATTCTAAATGTAAATAGTTCTGAGCTGTAGATAATGGGGCAACCTTGGTACAATAAGGACTGTCAGAAAAAAGATCTACAGATGAGTGGGGAAGTAACTTGGGGGAAGTAGCCAAATCATACAGTATTAGAACTAGAAGACCCCTTACAGACCACAAGCCTTTGATTACTAAATACATTCTCAAGGCCCAGTGACAAGAGGGTACCATAATATTCTAGCTACAAGCTTTTTAATTCCATCAAATCTTATATTTGGACTTGGATGTGTTTCAGCCCTAATAAAATAAATGAGTGTTAGAATGTGTGGGAAAAGGCAAAGTAAAACAAAAAAAAATTTTAAGAAAGAGAAAAAGGATAAATAAGTGTTGCATTTTTAATTATTTGCAAAGCCACTAAATCTTTGGTGGTTTTTTTTTTTTTTTTTTGCAATTATATTGGGATATACTCTCTTGACTTTTAATTACATCTTTACTGTGATCACACCATATATCAGGTATGTTACAGGGAGACCTAGTGTCAGATTAATACAATCTTCCCAACTTTAATCTTGTGCTCTTTTATAAATCAGAGTGCAATGTGTTGAAAGATTTCTCCATCAATTACTCCAAAGCAAAAATGTTTCTTAGTGTAATAATTAAGGCAGAAGCTGTAAATAAATATTGTGAATGTCATAGAATCAAAATCATTAATAAGCAAAAATCTTCAATCAGAATGTTCATTTTACCCTGCTTTTTAATAACAGCCTATCAGCAAACATTTTACACACTTCATACTTTTTCATTCCCCAAATTTTTGAATGGCACATGTTACCCAAAACACCCTTGGTTGGCTCATAGGAGTAAGTGAAAAGGGAAAAATTGGAAACTGGGGTGATAATTCAACTTATTGTGGTACTTTTTAAAGAGTCAATAAAATTTAAAAGAAAATGTAACATTGATAAAAATGATATTATGTAATTCAAAAAAATGTTTGAAAAGAAGTAGTATGTTTTAGAAAGAATAAGTTAAAAAAATGGCAAACAAGGGACTCCTTCTTTTGAGATAGAATTAAGAAATGAGCCAGGTGAGGTGGTGCCCTCTGGAAGTCCCAGCTGCGCAGGAGGACTGCTTGAGGCCAGGAGTTCAAGTTAGCCTGGGCAGCATAGGGAGACCTCATCTCTAAAACAATAAAATAAATAAATAAATAAGAAATGAGGTCATCAGAAGATTTTCAGGGGGGGAAAAAACAGAAACCTCAAGTTTGTAGCTTCTCACTACATAAACATGTACTAAATTCTAAATTTGAATTTTTTTTAAGTGTGCCATACCATCTAATGAATGGAAGGCAATACAATGTAGACCTGGCTTTAAGGATCAATTTCAGGGGCTGATCTACGGGGGGACTGATATACAGGGGTGCTAAGAAGTTTCTGCTTACCCTCAGAAATACCTCTCCTACCAAGCAAACTAACGCCTAAAATTTGAGAATTTTATTTTCTTAGCTTAGACTTTTGTCTTCTTTTAAAATACAAATATCCCTAGGAAAGGCTATTAAGCCAAGCATCATTTACACTGGAGTGTGAACTAGTTTATCTTAATCTCTCCACGTGTAGATGGGACAGAAATAACGAAGAACCTGGATACCTATGAGTTAGAAAGAGACGAGATGAACGAGGAGGATGCCGGGTAAATTTCAGCTAATTCAATATTTGGCCAAAGCCAAAGAGATTTCTACATTTTAAGCAATTGAGTAAAGATAAAGTGCTAGCATTTCTTCAAATAACTAGCCAGGTTTTAATTGCTGTTAACCCTAGGTTATATACCCAAGGGCCTGGAAGGCAATAAACTTGGCATCTGTCTTCTCTACTTCATAGACTCCCTGACCAGATTTGTTTTGCAAAGGTCACTTAATTAGTACTCTGGGTAACAATTTTAAGTTAACATTATCTTCTCCTAGATAATGATAGCATTTTGCATGTGCTAAGTAAAACAGGAATTAACAAAATTCCAATGGCTTACTTAGATGATAAATAATGAGCCATTTTAAGGAAGAGCTCTCCTGGGGCGTGCGGAAAAACCTGCCGCTGAAGGCAAGCTCGCCCGGATGTGGAACTCTGCACAGGCATAAACAGGAAATGGAGCAGCTTGCGCTGGGACTGACAGACAGGCTTGGAATGGCTCGTCTGAAGTGGGCATAGTGCTTGACCCCCGGCAAAAGCTGAAGCTCTTGTTTTGTTACTTTTTATTTTCACATCTGTACGGTCCATATTTCCAAAATCCTATCCAATTGCTCTGAGACATTTGTGAAAAATACCACACATACCAACAACCAATACAAGTATCTCCCTAATCCAAATTATAGAGGTGCACATGATGTTTTCATAGCTTTCATGTTGCCTCTTGACACAGTATTTAACAAAATTATTGTCAGTGAAAAGTTCCCAACTCTTAAAAGCTCTCTAGAGAGGGCTGTGCTGTTCCTTGTGTATTAGTATCATTGTGTACGCGCCGTCTACTATACTAGTTTGGCTTTTTATAGACAATATATTTTTCTCTAAACTGAAGCAAGGGATCTGAAACTTTGAATCTCATGTGATTATGCAAGGAAGGAGGCCTATAACCCTATAAAAAAATACAGATCCAAACCCGTTCCTTACCAAATGTATTGAAATGATCCCATTTACCAGAACAACTGTGAAGACAGAAGTTTCCCCATGCAATAGAGATCAATCCACTTTTACTGAGCTCATAAGGAGCCCACATCAATCTTTCTTTGAGGACATACATATCATCAGTAAAATTCAGCTGTGTATCATGGCATATGACATTATTCAATATCCATCTTGATCTTAAAACAAAAGTTCATTTCTGGTGAAAATAAGGCCAACAAATCATATTTTCTTAAACGTTTGAGTTTAATCATTTATGAGATCACGTCTCTTTAAAAAGTCTTCATGGTAATAAAAAAGTATGGTAACAACAAAAATGACAACAAATGATATACGATTATTTTGGGGGTGTGTAAAATTTAACACAAATGTAACATAAAATTGAGTTAAAATGATGTTTATATAGAAAATAATTATTTTAATTAATGAGCTTGCATGTATGAGGGTCTATTTTGTTATACTATGATTTGTAGAGCAAATTAATAAATAGTATTCTTTTAGTATTTACTTATTCGTTTAGCTATGTTATGCCAAGAGGAATTGGTAGTGATTAATAAAGAGGGACAGTTTTTGTAGATTCTTCTTTAACCATAAATAAGCTGGACACCTTTTATATGAGTATTGTTATTAATGGCAACAACAAATCTTTAACAATGTAGGCAGTGTGTCTGGAATTTGTAAAAGAGATGCCATAAAGAGGTCAAAGGAAGAAGACAGAAAAAGTGTGGGTTTATCGCTCATGTATATTAATCCCCAATAAGACAGGATCTGATATCGCAGCATCTTAGAGGAAGAAAACAAAACCATTACTGCGTAAACATCCCCAGTGAGGAGCCAACGAGACTCAGAGGCCCTGTCTGCAGAAGCAGATAGCGGTCACCCACCCATCCATCCATCCATGACACACCCCCATCAGAGAAGAGGGTCTGCTTTGTGTTTATTGGGTCTGGAGCTGAGGCTGCAATAGATGACCAATATAACAGAATGGGGGCAAATCACTTAAAATGTCTGAAATTGCATGACTAGTTGACATTATGCAATTTCCTAACTTACTATTCAACTTCACTTTCCACTAGGTGCTGAGAGCATGAGCATATAAGCAACAGGAGTTTTTAAAAGGCCGCTCTTCAATGCAGACAGAGCTAAGCACCTCAGTAGTGACACAATATAAACTTCACTACATGAAATCCTGGAAGTTGATGTAAACAGCTTTTAATAGCAGTGAACATTTGTTCGCTTTGTTTAGACCATCTGGATGTTCCATTGTGTTCAGTTCAACACTGACTGCCGCCGGGTGACAGTTGATATATGTTAAGTACAAGCAAAGTGCCTCAGCCCACTCTGGGGACCTTAACGAGAACTTTTCAGTGTTTTGTGGATTATTCTGTCAGATCGCAGCCGAGTCGCCTGCATCCTTTATGGCTACATGCCAAAGTCCTCCGGCTTTTTTATCAAAGGAGAGTTTTGCTTTTACTGTTTGAAAGGTTAGGAAAACTATGCCAAAGTTCTTCCAGGCAGCTTGGAGAGCACGAGCTGACAGGAATGATTTCCAATATGGAGGAGAGAATAAAGAGGACCTTGGATCCTAAGAGAAGCCAGGCTTTGCTTGTTTAATATGCAACATGTCTGACAAACAAGCCATTAAAACACCACCAAAGAAAATCTGCCCGATAAACATATAAAGCGGTTAGTTTTCTGAAGAGGAGAGATTATTCCTTAAAAGCACAATCTCCTCCACCCGCACGAACCACTGTGTGGTGTGCAATTGTGCATACGTATGTTTACTTTCTAATGCAAAGAAGCCTCCGCGTGCTTATCCTGATGTTGCACGAAGCAGAATCATTCAAGTGAAAAATGCCACTGCAAAAAGAGAACGAAACAGATCAACATTACTTTGTATAAAGATTACACAAGCACAGTTGGCGCCCTGCAGAGCAAAGAAAGGGCTTAAAAATCTGCCCTGACTCACTTACCAGCCAGTTTGGCTTTATTGGAACATCTGCGAAATGCTAAATTTGCACTTCTGGAGCTCTTCGAACCCACTGCTGTTGCTGCTGCTTGGTGAAACACAGATGAGGCATGATGGAGCTGGGATCGCTTGAGATACAATTATATTTCTGACTTCTTTTTTTTTTTTTTTTACTACATCATTTAAAAATGATTTAATAAATGCAATTTTACCTCACTACAGAAAACATAGAAACTAGATGATGTCCAAGTTGAGTATCCCTTATGTGAAATATTTGGGACAAGAGGTGTTGTAGGATTTCGGATTCTTTTGGATTTTGGAATATTTCATATACATAATGAGATATCTTGGGGATGGGACCCAAGTCTAAACACAAAATTCATTTATATTTCACATACACTTTATACAGATAGCCTGAAGGTAATTTTATACAATATTTTTAATACTTTTGTGCATAAAACAAAGTTTTGATTGCAACCTGTCACATAAGGTCAGGTGTGAAATTTCCTAGTTGCAGCATCAGGTCAGTGCTCAAAAAGTTTCGGATTTTGGAGGATTTTGAATTTCAGGTTTTCTGATTCAGAATGCTCAACCTGTATCATAACAACTTGATCTCAGATTCTTGTTCATGCTGGAAACATAATGATACCTCTTGTGTTTGGTGTCCTGCCAGATCTCAATGAAAAGTCGAAATGAAGGGGAGAAAGTTTATGTATAGGTGAAATCTATGATTGATATAACTCTGGGTACCATGATTTAGATAACATTTGGTTCTAACAAGTACCACAATCGTCACCCTTTCCTTCTTTATCTTAGGTGGCACGAAACAGGTAAGGAAAAGCCTGTAGGAAAGGGGGAAACGTTGAGAACCAGATAGACTAATCTATGAAATGGGGATACTAATATCCCATCATAGATTTCATCTAAGGATTAAACGAGACAGTGCATGCAAAGATGCCTGCTACAGTGAATTGTTTCAACAAATGGTTATTGATCAAAATTGGTCACTAGACAAAAATCTACTGAAAATTTAATTATGTAAAGTCATTATATAGGCAAATAAGGATCTATGACAATATATTTTTAAGATACATTAATAGACAGATAAATAAGTTATTTTTGAGAGAGATCTCTATGTTGTATTGAACAAATTATACCAAAGATTCTTAGTTCCACTTATGGATTAATTACGTGTCAAGAGCAAGACAACTTTTCCAATAGTTTCTAAAGATTGCGTTTATCTCCTAATTTTTTCATGATTACAAATTAAGCAAAAAACCGTGTTCGATAGTTCAAAAGAAAAAGAGCACAGAGAAGATTACTGGAAGAGTATTCTCTGTTACGTCTGGTAAATAAAATATACATGTGTATATGTGTATTATTGCATGTATTGTGCACTACTCTCAGGATAACTTTTGAAGTGCCTAGAACAGTACATCATAGAAGCACAATAAATGTTCATTGAATGAATGAAAAAACCCTTAAGGGTTCTGCATCTGTAATTCTACAGTGCAGCAATCTTGAGTCTTAGCAAACATCAAGCACAATTGTCACAACAAAAAAAAAACCACTATGAGTTTCTAATATAACAATAAACAACAGTAACAAATGACCAAATAGTTAAAATTTTCAGAAACAGAAATTTTCATCAGAACTTAACTGATTTTCCAAAGGATGGTGAAGTAGATGTGGATTAAACAATTATTATGATTTTTTAAAAATTCATAGTCTTTATTGCCTTTGTATCTAACATAATAGATTTCAAAGTGTTTTTATACTCAAAACTTATTTAAAATGACCTATCTTTATGCCCTTTTCTTTGAAATAAAACTTAAAGCATATAGTTTTAAAGAATAACTATAGTTGAATTATTAGAATCACGTTTGTTTTTTTCCATTTACTTTTACCTCTCTCAAATTAAGCCATATCCAAGATAATATATGTAACATGAAGGGAGTGAACAAATAGTTTCTGTGGCAAATTGTGTCTTCAAAAGATGGCCATAACGTCTCCCATTCCAGAAGCTCTTCTGACCTTGGTGCTCCTCTCTGCAAGTGCTGGGGTCTGTGCCCCCTTTCTTTGAACCTGAGAAGACATTTACGACGACCTCAACGAACAATATAGTGAGAATGATGCTGTGCACCTTCTAAGGCTAGATTTCTTTAAATGCCATGTACTTTTGCTTTGTTCTGTTGGAATCCGGCCATCAGGCTGGGAGGAGACGCAAGCTGCCTCACAGATAGGCCCACATGGAAAGTCCCTGGCCCCAGCTCTGGCTTGATTCCTAGATGACATTCAGGACCAACTCACCAACCATCAGAGTGAGCCATCTTGAAAACGGATTCTCTAGCCCCGAGTCAGCTGACCCACCCATGCCACATAGGGCAGAGATGAGATCCAAGCTGAAGATTCATGAGCAAACTAAATAATTTCTTTCTTATAGACTACTATGTTTTGTGGTGGCTTGTTATGCAGAAATACAAAGCACATATAGTTTCTAAGATTAGAATTCTGAGATTCTACAAAGTTATATGTATATTATTTGTAATATTTTGCTTAAGTGGTTGGTAGAGCACAATTAGTATTTGTGGGACTTGTTAGAAATAGGAAATGAGATTTTAGTACTAGAAAATTGGATTGAAGCTCTATCTGAACTTTATATTTCACCTACAAAACATAAATAACATTCACCTATAAGATAGAAATAACAATTTAGGGTTTATTTATGCTTTCTAGAAGCTATCCATAATAGCAGCTATGAAACAACAATGTAACATCAAATAATTTGATTATATAAATATTTCTAAGTCAGTTGGGTAAACTGAGCCAGAGTTTCATTTAAAAAATTATAAGACATTTCCTGAGATGTAAAACTTGGTTATTAATCAAATGAAAGAATATAAATGGAAAAACACTTTGTAAACCATAAATCATTCTACTAGAAGAAGTCAATATTTTAAAACACACACATACAACTTATTATTTCAAAATCTAACAGCTCCAGTTAGACGTACATGATCAGAACATTGTAAATAATACATTTATAAATTCATTAATCCTTTTTAAAATTCCAGACTAATGAAAAATAGTGCATTTTTAAACAGCTACTTTGGCAGCAGGGGATTGGATTAGATGACCTCTTAAAGTTCTCTTCAGGTCCTATGATTCTGAGAAATACAAGCTGTCTTTCTATCTATAGACACCAGTTCACAGAGGATTTTAAATCTAATTCCAATTAGCTAAATTCCTTGCATTATACAAAAACGAAAAAAAGTCCATTTCAATGCCCATATTAATGAAGTAATAATTAAATCATCTTCCATAATAAATGGCATCAATGTAAAGATTATTCATTTCTCAAAAACTGAATATCATTTGCTTCTGATTTTATAAATTATCATTTAAGTATTTTTGATTTTTCAAATGTAACAATCTTTTAATAGCCACAAAAAAAGTTCTATTGTAAATCAACAGACTGCAGTCTTCAAGAGAGCATATTTCTAAATAATCATATTTTATACAGGTCCCAAAAATAAGTAGTAAAAGATTTTTAAAAATCACATCGAGGCTATCTTACTGAGGGGATTTTTTTAAGTGTTAAATGAACCACATTAATATTCATGACTTCATCTGCATAAGCAGTGAAAGAGCTTTATTTGATTCCTCAATTTTCTGTGTAAATAAGTGTTTAAATATTTTCTACCTCAGAACCAACAACAGCAACTCATTAGATACTCAAAAAATTAAAGCAAAACATAAAAAGCAAATTTTGATCAAATGTAGTGGTAGGAATGAGCCAATGATTCAACAGCATCTGTACTATAAAATGTAATGTCACCTAGTTTTTTAAAAAGTGAAGATGCTAATTCTGCTGATGAAGATATTGTTTTTCCCCTCTTGTGCCCTATTCATTATGCAAGGCTGCAGAATATGAAGTGGAGATGTGTGATCCGGGCGATCTAATGATCTCCCACACCTGCTCATCTGGTACGATTTTAATTAACACTCCAAGGAGGTTTGTCAAGAGTAATCAAAAACATTGTCGCTTATAAAGCTGTGGCAAGAAATCAATAGTTTTCATCAGAAAAGGTAAGGTCTGGCATAACTGAACCATTTAATTGCTTCATTCCAATAAACAAAAACTGCACATTTTAATGACTTGATTCGGGAGATCAATATCTAACCACATATTGCATTAAACAGCAACATGTGGTGGGATATTCGTAGTCATTTCCATTCCGAAAGCAGCATTCCTCTTTTTTATTTCATCCCGAGTGGCAATAGGTTGCCGCGCCTATGCGGTGCTATGATTTATATCAAATGAGTGACCTCTGGGGCTGTAAGACTAGAACGGGTGACTAGCTCTCAATGGTAAGCTACTGGCACTTGACAAAGTGCCTGAAGCAGAATGAATTTACTTCTCTTTTCCTCAATCATCAACAGGCTCTGCCCTGACCCCCGTTCTGACTCCTATAACAAGATCTCCTGTCGCTGCCTGAAAAATTTACAGTCGCGTCGACTTCTCATTGAGTTCGAGTGAGTACTTCTGTCACCTTCAGTGAACTGAGTCCGCAGGAGATTTAACTAAACACCAGTCCTAGTTTAAAAACTAAATAAGTGTGTTTCCTGCAAAGCAGGCAGCGTCCAAAGGTATCTGTTTCCAAACAGTACGATATTCTAAAAAGTCAAATTTTTCTTTGTACCACATTTAATTCAAAGCAACATTTGGGTCCCAAAACTCACTTATTCATGTGGTGCCATGAATGTGAAACTCTTCTTAGTACTACAGACCTTAAGAACTATCTGTTTGCTATTGGTTGCCACCAGAAGACTGATGTCCACAGGGCACTGAAGTCATTGTGATGGTTATTTGAAAATAGAAATTCTTATTAACCTTCAGGAAATACTGTATGTAATATGCATACACCAAATACCCTCATGTTCAGCTGTAATAAATACACAGGTATGCAAGAGGAAATAAAGACATCAGATTAAATAACTAAGCAGCCTAATGCATTTGATGCATCTTACTTAAAAAGATATTTTAAAATATATTGTCAATAAGGACTTTAAAACAATGACTTGAAGAAATTTAGATATTAAATATCAGGCTATTATAACATTCACTAGTAAAACCTACACAATAAAGCATAAACCCACATTTATGTAATATACATGACTTTTAACAATCGACTTAAAATAAGCAATCAAAACGAACATTTGCAAACCCGTGTCAACAACAAGGCAATTAAAAGATTGACGTTTGATGGTTTATTCTATCTCACTAAAGCCTTACGCAAAATTTCCACTCCCTCTTTAATTTTCAATTCTTCTACCCTCCCTGCTTCACAGCTCCTGGCTATTGGCTTTTACAATCTGTCCCTAGGGAGTGAGGAGTTATTACCCCTGTCGATGGAAGAGAAAGGGATGTTATTCCCTTGTCACCCTCTTCGGCTCCAGCAGATTCCAAGTGCTGATGTATAGCCTTCATTGGAGAAAGGCGACTGAGATGCTGTTAGTCCTCAGACCTGTCAGATCCATCTACCTGTGCCATTGGCATTACTTACTGGAGTCAGAGTGACACTCGGTGCCCCCAGAGTCAACCAAAAAACTCCAGGAGCAAATACTACACCAGGCATTCTGCTACTATGGAATAAATACCATCACAAATGTCCAAGCCCCTTAGCAGAAAGGATTTTGCATCCTGGCCACAAAGGCAAATGCAAAAGTTTGTAGGCAAAATCCTTCAGAATTGCACAAAGTTTCTTTTGTTAGGCACTGAATATAAAATAAACATTGTGATGACTTATGAAAAAGCTGAGGAAGTCTCCTTAAAAACACTTTTGAGACCAGGCGCTGTGGCTCATGCCTGTAATTCCAGCACTTTGGGAGGCCAAGGAAAGTGGATCACAAGGTCAGGAGATAAAGACCATCCTGGCTAACACAGTGAAACCCTGTCTCTACTAAAAAAAAAATACAAAAAAATTAGCTGGGCGTGGTGGCGGGCGCTTGTAGTCCTGGCTACTCAGGAGGCTGAGGCAGGAGAATGTTGTGAACCCTGAGCCGAGATTGCACCACTGCACTCCAGCCTGGGCAACAGAGCAAGACTCCATCTCAAAAAAAAAAAAAAAAAAAAAAATTTTCGAGATACTGTACCAATTGTTCACATTCCTTTAAATCATTCAATTCCTCTTGTTACTATGATTTCATCATTACATCATGAGAGTTAAGAAACTGGAAATTTCTACTTAATTCATAATTTACAAACCTATATTCTTGTTCTCTCTCTCTCTCTGTCTCTTTCTGTCTCTCATTCAAAATATAAACAATTGCTTCCATTAATTGTCCAAAAATATCACAATATTTTGCATGGGTAGAAAATAGACCTTAATTTCTAGAATTCAGCCATGAGTTCTCCATCCTAAGAAATGTCTTGTCAGGCTCTAGGCTATGAGACTCTTCCAACGAAGATATATAGAACCTTTTATTCTTTTTGTCTTTGGTTTGCACAGCGCATCTGTCCTTCTCCCACCTGTCTTTAAGCAAGGTGGGTAAGCAAAGGGCGCTCAGTAAGAGTCACTGCCTGGCCTGGCCTGCTGGATGAGTTAGGAGGCCTGGGTCCTGATGAGGTTAACGTCAGAGTCACCATGGTCTGGTGCAGTGGGCTCCAAGATTCACACGCCGTGTTAGTAAAAAAAAAAAAAAAAACAAAACAAAACAAACAAAAAACCCTTGAGCTTGCACCCACAACATATGCCTATTTTTTCATCTATAAGTTATATTCAACTACATGTCCACAATAATTACCCAAAATGCTTAGAACGAAATATGCTTCAGATTTTTCCAATTTTAGCAAGATAATAGGGTGCAAATAACATACATTATGTAACACCCCAGTGGGGATCCAGGGCAGCGTCACATAATGAAAACACATTAAGAGTTCTACAAAGAAATGCATGACTATTCTAATTATTCCTACCAATTGCATTAAATAAAGACTATTGCCACACCAGTTCAGGTCAGTTCAGGCTGAATGGCCAAATGAATTACAAAATAACTTCAGATTTTCAGAGCTTTTTAAACATCAGGATCGTGGATAAGGGATTGTGAACATGTACTCTACTAGATTAGGTACAGCATAAAACATTTGCTTAAAAAAATAGATAAAGGGGAATGAGATAAAAATAGAAAAGGAAATTCTAACATTTTCCTTTTGTATGCCCACAGCGCACACACTGTATTTCGGAAACCACTCCATGCTAGTTCCTAAGCAAGGCTACAAGAGGTGTAAGCACAGTTTAAATCCTCCCCGAGCAGAATGAGCTAATATTCAGGGGGCAGTGCCACAGAGCCAGACTTCATAGTTCCCCTTCCTTCTCTCACAGAAAACACAAAACTGCAAATTGTCTACAGTTAAGAGCCAATGCCCAAGCCAGCCCTGCCAGCCCCCTAACTCCTTAGGGGTGCGCCATGCCTTTATAGATAGGCTCACACCCATAATTGGGAAGAAAGAGGAAAGGACGTCACGACTCGCAGGTAAGTACGATGAATTGAAGAAAACAATTCCTTTGCCAAACTGATTGTTGATTAATCACCTAGGGGACTACACTCACAGTTTAAATTTCGTGTTTGTTAAAACTCTTCCAAGTGACCAGCATTCACTAGAATTGACCCAGCCTTACCATTTCTGGTAGTAACATTTTAGTACGAGTCAATAATCTATTTCCCAGAGTGACCTCTGTTATCCCCAAGGAGCCAGGTGAATAAAGAAGCAAAAGAGGCTGAAGCACATCGATAAAGGGTATATTTTTTGCTTGAAATCCTCAGTGAAATAAGTTTAAAATTGTAACACAAAGCACTTTCCACAAGGAGCCACCATTCATCATAAGTGGCTCTTCCTTCAACCCCGATGGCCAATTCCTTGTTCCCTCTTACACACTTGTTTTTTTTTAAATGAGAAGAACCATAAGGAAGCCAAATGAATGATTAATGATGTCAGGGAACACCTAGACTACTCCTAAGTGTTATAATTTCCTTTTCTCTAAATTTTTCCTTTGGCTTATATTTATTTTTCCTCACTTAGAAGACAAGGGTGGTGCTTTTCTGATCATTGATTGCTCACCCAGTGACAATGCTAGAAACCCAAGCGGAGTAGACCCCACCACCACCCACCCCTCCTCACTCATTCCTATCCTGTAACTATGGGCCATCCAGTTTGGGTCAGATACAGACTTCATAGTACCCCTCCCTCCTCTTACAGAGAACACAAAAGTGCAAATTATCTACAGTTAGGAGCCACTACCCAAGCCAGCCTGCCAGCCCCCTAACTCCTTAGGGACGCGCAATGCCTTTATAAATAGACTCGCACACATAATTGGGAAGAAAGACGAGAAGTCTAGTGCAGTGGCTCACGCCTGTAATCCCAGCACTTTGGGAGACCGAGGCGGGCAAATCATGAGGTCGTGCGTTCGAGACCAGCCTAGCCAAAATGGTGAAACCCCATCTCTACTAAAAATATAAAATATAAAAATTAGCCAGGCGTGGTGGTGGGCACCTGTAATCCCAGCTACTTGGGAGGCTGAGGCAGGAGAATTGCATAAATTCAGGAGGTGGAGATTGCAGAGAGCCGAGATCAAGCCACTGCACTCCACCCGGGGCCACAGAGCAAGACTCTAACTCAAAAAAAGAAAGAAGAGTTCACAGGTAAGTATGGTAAAAAATCAGAGCAATCAATGATCAGGGTGGTTCCCCTAAGCCCCTCTTCCAACCACCCTGCCTGGCCCTGGGCCTAATGGACCAAAAAAGTCTGTTGATGAATGAAGAAAGTTTTAGAAGTCACATCAGCTGTGTTCTTATCCAAAAGTGCCTCAGTTTGCCCCTCACAAGCACCAATTAATGTAGCCACATTACCAAAGCTATTTCTACTCTAGACTCAATATTACATACCCGAAGGAATTCTATTTGCATATAATTTGTGCTTACTTAACGTCTGCATTTATAAAAATGTCCTCTGTCTCCTTTTCTTTTCAACAAAGAAGGGCTTTTTATACCAGAATTTTGAGATGTCCCCGTAGAGGCTTGATCACTCTCAAGCAGCAATGAATATGGAGATTTAAATTCCCCAACAAAAATTTTCCTAGGAAAAAAAAAAGTGAGATAGATATCTTTTTTTCTTCTTTGCCTCCATTGTGAATGTGTCTCTTAGCTTGTATTTTTGTCTCTCACTCATGTCTTAGGTTCAGCGAAAATATTACCCATGGCATGTAGATAAGGTCTGACCCAAACTGGATAGCCCATAGTTACAGTGCCTCTTTACAGTGTCAGACTAATTCCAGCCATATTTCCAGGAGGCGAGTCAGTCCCTGTGGATGACGGAAAGACGTACAAATAACAAGTCATCCCACCCAGGGTGCCTTGAGTTCCAGAGTAGCTGTCTGGTAGAAATACAATGCCAGCCACATACGTAATGTAAGTTTTCTTGTAAAAAGGTAAAAAGAAACTGTTGAATTTTTACCAATATATTTTATTTAATTAAAATATTTATATACAAAATTATGAATTAGGTATTTTATGATATTTTTTCATACAAAGTCTTCAAAATACAGAATTTATTTTACACTCACAGGCCATCTCAACTGTTTCAACAGAAATAATTGATATGGATTTAGATTTCTTTTCTTTTTTTTTTTTTTTTTGAGACGGAGTCTCCCTCTGTCACCTAGGCTGGAGTGCAATGGCGTGATCTCGGCTCACTGCAACCTCTGCCTCCCAGGTTCAAGCAATTCTCCTGCCTCAGCCTCCTGAGTAGCTGAGATTACAGGCATGCACCACCATGCCCAGCTAATTTTTTTATTTTTTGGTGGAGATGGGGTTTCACCATATTGCCCAGGCTGGTCTCGAACTCCCAACCTCAAGTGATCTGCCTGCCTCAGCCTCCCAGAGTGCTGGGATTACAGGCGTGAGCCACCATGCCCGGCCGATTTAGGTTTCATAAAATTTCAAATTGAAAATATACCCAAGTTGTTCTGAGCCATACCTAAAGGTTTTTCAATAACAGACTCAAGTTATCAGTTTTTACATTTAAACTTAATTAAAATTTAAAATTCAGTTCCCCAGTCATGACAGCTACTTTATAAGTACCTGATGGCTGCCTGCAGCTGAGTTCGGAACTGGCATGGTAGGTAGTCTTAAAGGAATATGTGATTGGCTGGCAGGCCAGAGAGCAGCTTCCATCGTTTTCTGTTCACCCTGGGGTCTCTTCAGCCTGGCAGACAATCCAGTTTTGATCATGTCCTGGGCTCTCTAAGAGAAATTCACAGCTATTCTGTATGTTTATCATGGGGATACTGTGGGGTGACTTTCAGCACACCATGGAATGTCCCCTCATAAGACCACATCTCAGCCAGGGTTTGAATTGGGAAGCAGAACCACGATAAGCATCATAGATTGAAAGATCTATTATAGGACTTGGACATTACACGGTTGAGGGAGGCAGGAGGTTGAAAGATCAGGGATGTGTCACTAACCGACCCTCCTGTGACACTGGCAGAGGGAGAGAGTGCGAGCTTACAGGGCACTGTAGAAAGCTGGGAACATCTAGATGCTAGAGGCTGGCATGGAGACACTATAGAAGGCTGTTGCTGCTGCACCTGGTGGTAAAGTGGAGTTGCTCTTGTCTTCAGGCAGAAAGAGCTAGATGCAGAGAGAGAGGAGAGCAAAAATAAGTTGGAACCTACTGGCATCTCTGTGTCTCTTCCTCAACTACATCTATCTCTGCTAACCTACAGCAAATAGCTGTTGATTCATTTCTGCTTTCTCAGTCTTCCACCATTTTCTCTTTCAGCCAATTCTGCCCAGAGCCACAGAGGGAAGGGGGTCCTGGGAACTGTGGTTCCACTTAGCCAAGTTGACACAATACAAAACCACCACGGATGCCATAAAGAAGTTGCTCTCAACTCTCAGGATGGGGTGAAATGTTTCTTCTAAGAAAATAGTTTATTTTTATGTCATGAACACTATGAATCACATATCTGGTGGTATTTTTCTTTTGTTTTGACCGCTGGGAAACTCAGAACTGAATTTTCAGACTACTTTTCGTAACTACAGGTGTCATGACATGTGTTTGTTTACATATTAATATTCTCCCAACTTTATTTTTCCAGTTGGCCTCCCCTTCTCTCATTTGTCTGTTTTATCTTGTATATTTTTATAAGTTGTCCCAAATGATTTTTGATGGGGGGAGTAGATAAATAAATGGACGAGTGGTTAAATATAGGCAGATGGACGGATGAATAGATGGATCTGACTGCAGCCAACCTCTCCAACTTGTCTTAGTCAACTCTTTCCTCACACACTGGCCTTGTTCTTCAAACACACCAAGCTCCTCCCATTTCATGGCCATTGTGGTTGTTGTTTCTCCTCATGCTTGGCTGGTTCCTTTGGATGATGTGGGACAGCTTTTTTTTTTTTGAGACGGAGTCTGGCTGTCTCCCAGGCTGGAGTGCAGTGGTGCAATCGCAGCTCACTGCAAGCTCCGCCACCCGGGTTCACACCATTCTCCTGCCTCAGCCTCCGGAGTAGCTGGGACCACAGGCGCCCACCACCACACCCGGCTAACTTTTTGTATTTTTAGTAGAGATGGGGGTTTCACCACGTTAGCCAGGATGGTCTCAATCTCCTGACCTCGTGATCTGCCCGCCTCGGCCTCCCAAAGTGCTGGGATTACAGGCATGAGCTATGGTGCCCAGCCGGGACTGTTTTTTTTATAACAGAACCCCTCGTCTCTCAACCCACACGGTTCCTAGTATACTACCCTATCTCCTTCACCGCTCTTATCTCAGTCCGGCATAATATGTTCAATTATTGCCTACTTATGTATCTATCTTTCTCTACCTTAAAAGGATGTAAGCTCCATGAGAGCCATAACCTTGTCTCCCTACTGCTGAATCCTCAGAGCTAGAACAGAAAGCCTGGCAGAGTGGACTCTCAATACATATGTGATAAAAGAATCAATGAATGGATGAGCAGCCAATCAATCTATTGATACCCACTTTTTAAATAACCTACAATGTGACATTCTAGCTCAACAAATTCACCACTAATAACTTTATTGGTGGGGGTAGATGGAACGTGTTCTGTCTACTTGTGTAAATTGCATAGTCAAAAGGTGAGGAAATTTTGCCTATCTCTCCTTTTACCAGATAAACAGTTGTCAGGAGTTTTCATGACCACTTATGCTTACATCATTATTCCACACTTCTGCTGAGTGAGAGGAATATTGGGATAGTTTGTGTTTATTTTGGAGCTACTTGTTTTGCACCTGTGCTGTAAGCCAATCCCATCCTCATCCAATTCTTCTAACAGAGAAAGCAAAAGTAGATTATGGGAAACCTGGGAATGTTTCCACAAATAATATTTGCCATTGTCATCAATCCTGCCTTTAAAAGGAAATTTGGGCCTGGCATGTTGGCTCACGCCTGTAATCCCAACACTTTGGGAGGCCAAGGTGGGCAGATCATTTGAGGTCAGGAGTTCGAAACCAGCCTGGCAAACATAGTGAAACCCTATCCCTAACTAAAAATAGGAAAATTAGCTAGGCATGGTTGTGAGTGCCTGTAATCCCAGCTACTGGGGGGCTGAGGCAGGAGCATCACTTGAACCCAGGAGGTGGAGGTAGCAGTGAGCCGAGATCGCGCCACTGCACTCCAGCCTGGGTGACAGAGCAAGACTCTCAAAAAATAAAATAAAATAAAATAAAAGGAAATTTTGACATTCCTTCTCTTTATTGGGATAATAAAAGTCAGGGCATCCTGCGGATTCTAGAAATTATCCTTGGAAATTCTTTTTTTTTTTTTTTTTTTGAGACGGAGTCTCACTCTGTCACCCAGGCTGGAATACAGTGGCACAATCTCTGCTCGCTGCACCCTCCACCTCCTGGATTCAAGCGATTTTTCTGCCTCAGCTTCCCATGTAGCTGGGACTACAGACACGTGCCACCATGCCCGGCTAATTTTTGTATTTTTATTAGAGATGGGGTTTCACCATGTTGGCCAGGCTGGTCTCGAACCCTGACTTCAGGTAATCTGCCTGCCTCTGCCTCCCTAAGTGCTGGGATTACAGACAGGAGCCACCACGCCCTGCCTATCCTTGGAAATTCTAATAGGCAGGAATATTGGTGACTCTTTTCAGGTGCATCTAACTTTTACATTAGATGTTGCCCTGACCCGCAGGCATGTCACAAATTAAATGATTTGAGAATATTTGTTGTATAGATCTACATATAGATGTTAGGTTTAACACTTACACTTAGGTAAGAACAATTCTAAGGCTAAGGAACATTAAGGGAACAAGTTCAAAAAAATCTTTTAAAAATGTGTCTACAAGAGGCTAAATACTGTATGATTCCTCTTATATGTGGTACCTAGAATAGGCAAATTCATGGAAACAGAAAGCAGAATGGTGGTTGCCAGTGGCTGGGGGAGGGGAGAATGGAGAATGGCTGTTTAATGGGTACAGAGTGTCAGTCTGAGAAGACGAGAAAGTTCTGGAGGTGGATGGTGGTGATGGTTACACAACAGTGTGAAAGCACTTAATGCCACTGAATTTACACCTGGAAACAGTAAAAATAGGAAATCTTATATGCATGTTACCACATTTTTATAAAAAGGTATCTAGTTGTCGAGTCTGCCTCGGCGCACAGTCATAACTAGCCAATGGAATCGGACAGCACTGCCTTCAGACCTTGCGGCAGGCTGAGTAATGGCCTGCAAAAGCATCCCGTCCCAGTCCCTGGAACCTGTGAATGTTACCATTCATCGCGGAATAGAGTTAGCAGATGTGATTAGGGATCTTGAAGTGGGAAGATAATCCAGGATAATCTAGCTGGGACCTTAATGCAATCCAAGTGTCCTTATAAGAGAGAGGTGGCAGGAGATTTGACACAGAAGAGAAGAAAGCTGTGAGATGCCAGCCGGTGGAAGCGGAGTCAGAGAGAGTGGGTGCCACGCTGCTGGCTTTGAAGATGGAGAACGGGGACAGCGCCAGGGAATGCAAGGAATGTGGGTCCAGAAGCCGGAAAAGCCAAAAAACGGATGCTTCCCCTGAGCCTCCGGAGCCAGTGCAGCCCTGCCGACACCTTGATCTTGGCCCAGGGAAACTGACTTCAGACTTACGACCCCCAGAACTGTAAAAGAATAAATGTATATAAGTTTTAAGCCACCAAATGTGCAGGAATGTGTTGTCATAGAAACAGGAAACTAATACATACATGATGTACATATATTCATATAACAAATATCATTATTTCAATATTAAAACTGTTTTTGATACAAAATGCCTTGTATATTAGGTACATTCCCTTTTTTTTCTTAGAAAGCTTTGTATTAAAGGTGTTATATGAAATGGTATTGGTATCTCGGAATTATAATCAAATAACTCTACTTGGAAATTCAATTTTTAAATGCTCAGGAAAAACCTACCAGAAGCAAACTATTCATAACCTATTTATCACCTAAAATATTATAATATATTCCAAAATGCCTTTCAATCTAAAATCAGATTTCCTTTTAGATGGAGAAGGCAAACAGAATGGAGTTAAATTCACTTAAATTTGCATTTATTTTAGGTTTGGCGCTTACACTCAGGTAAGAACACTTTTAAGACTAAGGAACATTAAGTGGACAAACACTTAGCTCCCAGAGAAAAGCTGAATACCCTCCCAAACCTAGGAAAAGCAACATGAAATCCATCCTAAATCACTGTGGGAAGCCTCAGCACTGAAAACATCCTTCAAGATTATTCAGTGTTCTCAACGTAAGCCTTTGATTCCTTCACAAAAATCTAAAATGATAATATTTCAAGAACAGGCCAGGTACGGTGGCTCACACCTGTAATCCCAGCACTTTGGGAGGCCGAGGCAGGTGGATCACTCGAGGTCAGGAGTTCGAGACCAGCCTGGGCAACATGGTGAAACCCCTGTCTCTACTAAAAATACAAAAATTAGCTGAGCGTGGTGGTGGGTGTCTGTAATCTCAGCCACTTGGGAGGCTGAAGCAGGAGAATCGTGTGAACCCAGTAGGCGGAGCTTGCAGTGAACCGAGATTGAGCCATCGCACTCCAGCCTGGGCGATAGAGTGAGACTCTATCTCAAAAAAACCAGATGGGGCTTTCAATACTGAATTGTGGAAATGTTATGGACTTCTATATGTCAGATTTATATCATTTCCAAGTGGTGACCACTAGGGGCAAACACAGAACATGTTCTCTCCAGTCAGAGATTCATTCACTACCTTCAATGCCACCAGCACCCACCTTCACTGCAGGCAGAAGGTCTCCTCTCCATCCTCTGAAGAGGAACCAGAAAACCACTTCTTTCTCCAAGCTCTGTGCCTCCCGTGGGAAGCCTAACATGGAGATTACACAGATATGTGTAAAATGTTGACATTCAACAGTGAATCTAACAAATAATACTGAGAGTTTCTACTAAATAATTAAACTCTGGCTGGGCACGATGGTTCACACTTGTAATCCCAGTACATTGCGAGGCCAAGGTAGTAGGATCACTTGAAGCCAGGAGTTCGAGACCAGCCTGGGCAACAAAGTAAGACCCTGTCTCTACAAAAAATAAATAAATAGAATAAATTAAAAATTAGCTGGGTATGGTGGCATGCACTTGTAGTCTGAACTACTCAGGAGGTGGAAGGATCACTTGAACTCAGGAGTTTGAGACTACAGTGAGCTATGATCACATCACTGCACTCCAGCCTGGGCAACAGAGTGAGAATGATGATGATGATGATGATGATGATGATGACGACGATAATTAAATTTGCAAATGTCATCTCCTAATACCACTCAAATATGTCTTATCTTCATTTCCATGTCTATCACCCTAATGTAAGTATCATTATTTCACACCTGGTTTATTGCAAGATCCCCTTTACTGATCTCCCTTCATCCCTTCTTGAGTTTCTCTGATTCATTCTCCAATGAGCATCTTAAACTATCTGTACTAAATGTTAATCTTATCACACCACTTATTCCGAGTCCTACTTAAAACCCTTCAGTGGTTTCTCGTTGTTCTCAGGAAGATCAAAATCCTTGCTAATGCAAACAAAGGCCCTCCAAGGCTAACCCTGCCATCCTCACCATTTCATCCTCTCCGTCAGGCTCTCTGCCCTCAGCAACAATGAGTATCTTTCAGTGCCCCAAATGTGCAGAGTTCTCACATATTCCAAGGCCTTTCCTTTCGTGGTTCCTTCAGCCCAGGATGTAGCCTCGGAAACCACCCTTGCTCTCTGCTGGACTAATTGCCAGTGACAAAGGAGTTCTGAGGACTAAGCAAGTCAATATTTTTAAAGCCCTTAAAGCAACATCTAGCAACAAGTAAGGTTTTTTTTTTGTTTGTTTGTTTTTGTTTTTAGATGGAGTCTTGCTCTGTGGCACAGGCTGAAGTCCAGTGGTGCGATCCCGGCTCACTGCAAGCTCCGCCTCCTGAGTTCACGCCATTCTCCTGCCTCAGCCTCCTGAGTAGCTGGGACTACAGGCACCTGACACCATGCCCGGCTAATTTTTTTGTATTTTTAGTAGAGACGGGGTTTCACCGTGTTAGCCAGGATGGTCTCGATCTCCTGACCTCGTGATCTGCCCGCCTCAGCCTCCCAAAGTAAGGTATTTTTTAAATTAAATATTTTGCTAATATTAGTATTATTCCTCATCCATATGGATAAATATGGAACTTAGTCCCATAGATTTCCATAGCAAACCTTCAGACTCCCTAGTCTAGGTCAGGTTTCCTTGTTAATGCACTTACAGAATTGTGTTCGGGGGTTGATCTCACATTGTAATTATGCATTTATGTATGTGGTCACTTAAGCCCATCTTCCTTACTGGACTTTAAAGTCCAAGAGATCGGGGGCTGTACTCTTCATCTCTCTTGTTCCCATGTTGCCTGTCTCTAGTAAAGGTTTAATATGATGATTGTTGAATAAATTCATAGTACTACATAATGTAAAAATGGTTAGACTCATTTAAAGTAGTGTTAATATGCAGCCCCTATGGCATATACAAAATTCACTTAGAGGTGCCCTGGAGAGGGGCATCAAAGAGATACTGAATTTAGTCAGCTCTTGCCACCACAGTGCTGCAGAACAAACTGTCCAAACTCAGTGCTCTACAGCAAAACACTGACTGAGTTTGAGCTCCCCTAAGTGACTCCACTCTAGGTAAGATCAGCTGAACTTGCGTATGGGTTGAGTATAGACCTGTTCCACATGTCTCTCATCCTCCCCAGACCAATGGCTACCTGGGACAATCACTCCCCAGGTTGGATCCCCAGAGCACAAGATCCAAGAGCAATGTGCAAGCACATTTAGGGCCTCAGCTCATGGTACCTCTGCTATTAGTCTTTTGGCCGAGGCAAGTCACATGGCCAAGTCCAAAGTCAACAAGACAGAGAAGTATACTCTGCCTGTGGTGGGAGGGGAGAGGAGGGATTATTTGCTGAACAATAATTTAAATGATCACAGATGGTCATGCTCCAAAGCAATTGAATCTGAGGCAAAATGAGATGCCAGGGTCACTGCCAGCTTGGAGAGACATGCAGCAATTATGAAGTCACTGTGAACAGAGGCAACAAACAATGGTATCAAATGTAAGCCCCAAATTCAAAGTCACAAATAAGAGCCACCACTGAAAATTGATGTACACGGGAGATGCTTCTCGCTTTGGCAACTCTGTAACATGCTCCAGGGTGAATAACAGCTGGGATTTATTTAGCCATGGTAATGAAGCCACAGTAATGAATGCCGAGGAAGCCTTACACCATGACTGGAAGAGTGTAAACAGTGAGCATGCAAAGAGGAAAAAAATGCAAAAAAGAAGAGATAGAGAAGAAATTAAGTGTGGTTAGAACAACAGAATTATGAGTAATTTTTATTATGTTTTGAAGGCTTCCAGGACCTTCTCCTACTATGTCCTCTGCTTCTCCTGGCTTAATAGTCATCATACTTTTTTTTTTTTAATCTGTCTTCCTCTAGTTCCCATACACTCATGAAGGCAAAGACCACAAGTCTGATGCAGTCCCCACTCTATCCTCAGTCCCCTGGTACACAGTAGGTAGCCAAAAATATCCATGGAATGAATACATGAAATTCATAGTTGGATGATATCTAAAATTACCAACTAAATAAGGGATTGCTTTCTCCTGTTTGTCCTATAAAAATAAGATTTTGACTCATTTTTAACAAATCAATTTTAAAATTAGGATTTTCTTTCTTTCTTTTTTTTTTTTTTTTTTTTTTTGAGATAGAGTCTTGCTCTGTTGCCCAGGCTGGAGTTCAGTGGCACAATCTCGGCTCACTGCAACCTCCACCTCCCAAGTTCAAGCAATTCTTCTGCCTCAGCCTCCTGAGTAGTGGGAATTACAGGTGCCCGCCACCACGCCCGGCTAATTTTTGTATTTTTATTAGAGACAGGGTTTCACCATATTGGCCAGGCTGGTCTCGAACCCCTGACCTCATGATCCGCCCGCCTCAGCCTCCCAAAGTGCTGGGATTACAGGTGTGAGCCACTGCACCTGGCCAAAATTAGGAATATTTTACAAGTCATGGTGTCTGCTATTTTTGCTGGATTCTTCTGCTGTCTACTTCTAAACAGCTGCTAATTCTAATATAAGATAATTTTCACTGCAAAGAAATACTATTGAATTTTTTACCGTTGAATTTTTTCTGAAAACAATATCAATTCAGCATATTATTGGTAATGGATACTTTAATCCCAATTTCTACTCATGCTTCAAACTTCAGTTCAGACACCACCACTTCCAGAAAGTCCTTCCAGATGCCACCAGCACCTTCAACCTAAGCCCAAGAGCCCCTCTTTTGTGCTCACAGTAGTGACTGTACACACCTTTTTTTGTGCACTGGCCATAATCTTTCATGTTAGTTACAAATAAACACTTGTTGAACTCTGGGGAATTGGGCACACGTGGTAGGTGAGGCATGTGTGACCTTGGCCAGAATCCTCCGCATCAGGGCTTCTACAGATTTAGACTGGCACTTTTTTGAAAGCAATATGGTACCCTTGAATCAACAGAAGCATTCAATGATGTTCCCCTACTATTGCTTGCCTGACGGGGGTGCTATAGAGACACACACATACTTCTACGGGCATTTAAAATGAGGAGAGATCTAAGGTAAATATAACAATAGCTAATGTTGCAGGGGATTTACACATATTAACTCATTTAGTCTCCCCTACAACACTCAACACTTTCCTATGTGGTAGAACCATTGTTATCATTCCCATTTTGGACATAAGGAAACAGAAACAAAGAGAGGTTAAGTAACATGTTCCAGGTCACACAGCTGCCAAATGGCAGAGTCAGGTTGAAACCACAGCAGTGCGGCTGGGAAGCCTGAGCTCCAAACCACCATGTGACTGCCTCCTTGCTGCTACTGGTGCACGGCAGCTGCCCCCACAACCAGGGCCTTTCTGTTCTTGATTTTAATAATAAATTCACTCAGTTGTTTGGCTTTTGTTTCGGGGGTGGAGGAGAGGAAGATACAGTATTATTTTATAATCAAAGGGAAATAAAACGCTATTTTGAAAAATACGAACTCAATTTGAAAGGTGTTATGGACTAAATTATACCCCCTAAAATTCACATGTTGAAGCCCTAGCCTCCAGTGTGACTGTATTTAGAGATAGGGACTTTAAGGAGGTAATTAGGTTTAAATGAGGTCAAAAGAGTGGGCCTAAGTTGATAGGAGGGGTATCCTTATAAGAAGAAGTAGTTATTTCTGCTGAGAGAGAGAAAAAAAATGGGAAAAGAAATGAACAAAAAAAAAGAGGGAGAGACACCAGGGAACTCTCTCTCTTCACAAACACAGAAGAAAGGCCATGTGAGGACAGAGTGAGAAGGCGACTGTCTGCAAGCCAGGAAGAGAGCCCTCACCAGATACCAACCCCGTCAACACCCTGACCTTGGACTTCCAGCCTCTGGAGCTGTGAGAAAATAAATGTCTATTGTTTAAGCCACCCAGTCCATGGTACCTTGTCAGGGCAGACCAAGTAGACTGATACAAAGGGCAATGTACAAAGAAGCCTCATATTTCCATCCATTACAAAGAGAAGCTAAGGATGAAGAAATAAACAGTAAGGGAAAAAAAAATGTATTGAAACTAATTGGTCAAATAACACAACTCCATCAGGGAGTACCCCGCTCTAAAGTACCTCAAGCTCTGGCCATCGGCAAGAAATATTTGCCAAATATCTACCATCTCTGGCCCCAAGAAGTTAAGGCTTTCATTAGGGCACCATAGCACATATTGACCTAGATGTGAGTGTGGAAATATATAAGACTATAAGACCATATATGCCTAAAAAATGGTACAAGTGTTCAGAGGAGAAATCTTCATTTCAACAATGGTTTTTGGAGTATTTAGAATTTGACATGATTCATACAGAAAGAACAGGTTGCAAGTAAGTGGTCACGTGGAATAAAAAATTTACAACAGGGCAATGGTGGTTGCAAAGCCTAAGCAGCTGAAATGCAGTTGGCATATTCAACAACCCATAGCTAAAAGGTCAGTTCTTCAGAATAGGGGAATGAGTTGGAATGCACACAGCTAAGGATAAAGTGGAAAGGTCAGTGTGCAATTTTGAAAACGGTAAAAAGCAGGTTTCTTGGTATTGAATTTATCGTATATGGGGGCTGGCAAGATGGGAAAGAACTCATACAAAGATGTGTTTGAGAAGGTTATTCTTAGCTGAGCATGGTAGCCTATGCCTGTAATCCCAGCTACACAGGAGGCTGAGGCAGGGGAATTGCTTGAACCCAGGAGGCGGAGGTTGCGGTGAGCCGAGATCGCACCATTGCACTCCAGCCTGGACAACAAGAGCGAAACTCCATCTCAAAAAAGAAAAAAAAAAAGAGAGAGAGAGATTATTCTGGAAGCTGGGTGTAGAGTGGACTAATGAGGAAAGAATCTGGAGGCAGGATGAATAGCTGGAAGACAGAACAATAATCCAAGAATCTTGAATTCTGAGATCTAGATTAGCTGGTGGCAATGATAATCACCAGGAGCCGATGTGAACGGCACTGAATAGGAGAAAGTGAGACCCAGCACGGGCAACAGAGTGAGACCCATCTCAAAAAACAGAATAAAATAAAATAATAAAATTACTTTCCTTACTGACATTGTAAAAATTGATGCTTAAAGCAAATGTTTTTGCCATCACTATTGTTGTCAACTACAAATAACAGTTTTGAGCATCCCAGAAAATGCACCACCGCCAGTAGGCAATGCCACACTGCCCGCACTCACAATGTAAATGTGCCATCAGTGGCCTAACAGACCCCATGGGGTCCTTTCCAGCACTCAATGTTCCATGGTCCTGTGATGCTCAAGTGAGGCTCAAAGCACAAATAGTTAAGTTCAAAGCCTGGCAACTCCCATTCCAGATCCCATTATTGATTGCATTTATCACATGATTTTCTCCTTTTAAGTAAAGACCTAGGTGTTGGAAAAGACTCTGTTCCCTTAAACAAAATATTCAATGTCACTGTTGTGTCCTTACAGATAACTATGACAGAAATAATAATACCTTCAGTAGAGGATTTGCAGACAACCTTGCAATAACTCTGCATTCTCCCAGGGGTCTGTAAGACAACAGGTTGATGATGACTTATCTAAAAAATGGATGGACAACAAATACTTCAGGCAATCCTCCATAAATATTGTTTCCCTCTGCAGAGCTTTCGAAAGGTATTAATGGCAGTGAGTTTGAGATTGTATTTCCTGATAAGAACCTGGAAAGCAACTATACCAGGTAGCCAGTTAAAAGCAAAAGAGTAATCAGATGACATTAGGAACCTGACTGTGTACATGTGTTAAACAGGCAAAAGTGCTTTAAAAGTCAATTCTGAATAAGAAGGCATACCCTTCCTTCCTTTCTTAGTCATCCCAATTACAGCTTCCTCCTTTCTTGCCTTCTTTTGGGTAAACTGAACATTTCTTAATATTCCATTTTTTCTCTTCTATTGAGTTTTTAGCTATACACATTCACTGTGTATAGCTTTTTCTACCTTTAATTTTGCTAATCAGCCAAAGTAACTACTCATGTCTAACCTACCATAAGATATGACAGGCCACTAAAATGCAACTTTGAAAATTAAATGCACACACAGTGATATGTAACATGAACTCCTGTGCATTGTAAAATAATAACAAATGGAATTTTACAAGATTCAACACGAGATTCCAACCAAGCCTTTTATGAGCAAGGGCAACATTTCACCATGCTATTTGTACAGGTACCATTTTTTTTTTTTTAATTTATTCCTTTGGTAGTCAAGAGAACTGGTTTCCATAGAGGACCAGTCTGCAAAGAGAGCATTCAATATATCCAAATAAAATAGTGGATTCATTAAGATCCACCTTTGATTACTAATATGTGCTAACCAGTTAGCTACATGACACTGGGCCAGAAGTCACCTATGCCCCCTGATCCATATAACACTGACTTCTGTGATAGACACATAGGGGCTAAATAGGACATGGCACATGTGTCATGTAGGACGGCAAGAAGGGATTTATTTGCAAAAGACACATAGATCTATGCCAAGGGAAGTCAACCCCTAAGATGAGCCTCTCAAATCCGTTCACATTCTCAGACTATGAGTTAAGTCAACTCAAACCTCAATAAAATGGTACCAGTGACTGTGAGGTAAAATCTGTCATCGCCTTCATTGTAAAAAGGGCCATTGAACCGTGGCTGCTACTTCACCGGCCCTGATTCAACTTCCCTTTAAAAAAAAGATTTCTGCTTAACATTTCTCATTTTCTTCTTCTTAATTTGCATTAGTTATTTCAAAAGAGAAAAACAAAAGAGTAATTGTCTCAAAGAAATGAAATACTCAGGTAAGCGGGCAACCAACAACCACACAAATGTCTGTGAATTGCATAATCAATTCTGTGATTAGGCAGAGGAGAGCTCTGCACCCACATTGATTATAAAATGCAAATCTGAATACAGCTAATCTTCACATAAATATAATAGGTATAGTATTGATTTTTTCCCTTGTGATCATGTGTAAAATTAACTATCTACAGTAATGGTAAAGAAGTAATATATTATTATTTGAAGGTGGTCTGTAATAAGTTAAAGATGCATGTTGTAATGTCTAGAGCAACCACTTGAACACACACACACACACAGTAAGTGTGTATAGCTAAAAACTCAATAGAAGAGATAAAATGGAATATTAAGAAATGTTCGATTTACCCAAAAGAAGGCAAGAAAGGAGGAAGAAAGAAACAAACAAGTTGGAACAAACACAAAACAAACGTGATGGACTTGCATCCAAACATATTAAACACTCTAATTAAAGTGGTGGTAAAAAAAAAATTGTGAGAAATGCATCAGTAACAAGGACATTGTCCACCATTTCACATCCTTTTATTTAAAATAAATCTTTTTTAATATATTTCAATGTCTGTTTGTTGTAGTTTCATATGTGTTACATGGTAATTGGCTCCACATAGAAGAAAAAACTCTCTAGATAATCTCAACTAAGGCTCTATCAGCAAAAGTCCCTCAGTAGAGAGTAACATGGTGGATGTAAGCATACTGAGGCTGCTGCCATCAGTAGAAATGCTTGTTTATTTAACTGATGGCTGCTACCTTCACTGGAGTGCTAGGGACACGGAATGAAATGGACTGGACTTGGCAAAGGGATATGTTATATTGTATACTTCTTTTTGATCCCTAACCGCTCTTGTGAGTTTGAAACATCCACTCGGTGCTTCAGATACTTAAACATTTTATTTTATTTATTTTTTTACAAGGCCACAGCCAACATTGTAACAAATAAGCAAAAATTTTAAAAGAAAGGTTGAGACATTAGTCTCACACACACATACAGAGCTCAATAAATGTGACATTAGTAAGAAAGTTCATATGATGTCTGCACATCTACAGCTAGAGATATTTTTTAAAAAACAGTGTCTACATCTTATGAACAGAATAATATATCAACATTTTTATAGCAAAGCAGACAATTTCTATGATAAATAATTTCCAGTCCCACACAGGCAGGGGCCTTTAAGAATTTCAGCTTTAATAAAAAGAGAGTTTAATTACAAAGCCAGTGAGTTATGATCAACATTCTCAGCCTCCCCCATACAGCTTCCAACACCAGGTACCACAACTGCATACACAAGTAACTACATTTGTATTTCTCTCTCGTTCGAAGGGACAGGGCAAGTCAAAAACTGATTGTGCAATTTCAGGCCCTCAAATAACTAACATTTTCCAAAGAGGGAGCCTTTAGCTGCAGAGGTTTCAACAAACAAGTAATTTAACCCTAAGGTATAAAGAATCCTTTATTGATCAATCAGTACTAGCGAAATGGATCATCTTCTTTGGGTATGATTTTCAGTAACATCGGAGCCACCCTATGCCATCAACAAGTAGCACCACTTTGAAAAGAAATAGGATTTTAGGTAATAATTGCAGTACCACGGTACCATTTCCTTTCTCACGCCTCCCTGGCCAACCCTCTGATCCAAACCACTGCCCTTTCTCACCTGGATTCTTCCAATAACCTCCTAACAGGGTACTCTGCTTCAATCTCTGACCCCTTAGCTGCATTCTTAGCATAGCGTCAGAATGGGCCTCCACAAATGTGAAGTCAGGTCATAACTCTTCTCTGCACTTCACTCAGAGTGCCCCATGACCTATAAGGTCCCTGAACCTGATATTCCCCTCCCCACAACTGCTTTGACCTCACACCCATTACTCTGCCCATCATTCACTCCACTCCAGCCACACTGACTTCCTGGCTGGTCTGTGAACTCACCAGGCACACACCCATCTCAGGGCCTCTGCAGAGCTTCTTCCCCAGACATCCATATGGCACATGCCCTCACCACTTCCAATTTGTATCTAACTGTCTCCCACTTAGTGCCCTACCCTGTCTTTAAAAATTACAAACCAGGCCGGGTGCGGTGGCTCACGCCTGTAATCCCACAACTTTGGGAGGCCGAGGCAGGCAGATCACGAAGTCAGGAGATTGAGACCATCCTGGCTAACATGGTGAAACCCCATCTCTACTAAAAAAATACAAAAAATTAGCTGGGCATGGTGGCACATGCCTGTAGTCCCAGCTACTTGGGAGGCTGAGGCAGGAGAACTGCTTGAACCCAGGAGGCAGAGGTGGCAGTGAGCCGAGATTGTGCCACTGTACTCCAGCCTGGGCAACAGAGCGAGACTCCATCTAAAAAAAAAAACAAAAAACAAAAAAACACTGCCAGCCAGACTTCCACCCAAGAACACCCTGATCCTTCTTATCCCAATATATTTTTTCCCTAGATGGTAGTTATCATCTTCTGACAGCCAAGAATGTTAATGTCTACTATATTATATACTTTTACATAAATATATCACTTACATATTTGCTTATTGTGTTTCTTGTGTTCCCTCATGAGATTGTAAAACCCCCAAGAAGGAAGATTTTAATCTATTTTGTTTCCGGTGTCTAAAATATGGTCATATTCAAAAAACATTTGTTGAGTTTCTTGTGTTTTTTTTTTTTAGAGACAGTCTCACTCTGTCGCCAGGCTGGAGGGCAATGGCACAATCGTAGCTCATTGCAGCCTTGAACTCCTGGGCTCCTGCTATCCTCCCACTTTGGTCTCCAGAATAGCTGGGACTACAGGCATGGGCCACCACCCTGGCTACTTTTTTTTAACTTTTGTAAAGACAGGGTCTTTCTATGTTGCCCAGGCTAGTCTCAAACTCCTGGTCTCAAGCAATCCTCCTGCCTTGGGATCTGAAAGTGCAGGGATTACAGGCGTGAGCCAGCGCTCCTGGCCTTGTTGAGTTTCTGAATCAATAAATGAAAGGGGACATTTTCATCAGGGGTCAGGCATGAAGAGCCTTAAGTGCTGTGATAAGGAGTCTGGACTGGATCCAAAGGGCAAGGGTAAATGATGAAAAAGATGGGTTACAGGGACCTCCAAAATGGTACCACATGCACCCCACCTCCAGGCCTTCACAGCCTTGTCTGGTTCTCCTCCCACTGTGTGCCAGGGTTGGTCTGTGTGACCAATAGAAGGGATGATATGTCACTTCCAAGACTAAGCTCTAAAGACACTGCCGCTTCCATCTTGGTCAATCTCTGTCCCTCAGTCCCCACCCTCTGCCTTACTCACTCTAGAGAAAGCTGGCTGCCATGTCACAACCAGCCCTATGGAAAGGCCCAGTGGCAAGGAAATGAAACCTCTTGCTATTTGCCACATGAATGCATATCAAAATAGATCCTTTAGTCCTAGTCAACAGTTCAGAGGCTGCAGCTCCAGCAGCTGCTTGACTGCAACCTCATGAAAAACAGAGCCACCCAGCTAAATCACTCCTCTCCACTATCCAAAGCCAGATTACTGACCCTCAGAGACTCTGTGAGATCATAAATGCCCATTGTTCTAAGCTGCTGCATTTTGAAATGTTTTGTTACCTTGCAGTAGATAACTAATGAAAGCAATATGAGATGGGAGGTAGGATGGCCAGTTTCAAGGCACAGTATTCTAGTTAAAAAGGCATGAAGACCTCAACAAGGACAGAGGCAGTGGAGGTAAAGAGAATGAGGCTGCCTCAAGGGCTCTCCAGAGGTGGCAGCACCAGGGTTTGATACCTGATGGGATGGGTATCATCCATCCATCCAATCCAATGCCACAATATCATCCATCAATACCAGAGGCATAAGGAATAGGAATCTAGGAAGATGCTCAGATTTCTGATGGTTGTCTGGATACACAGTGAAGCTACTAATCAGGATGTAGGATACAAATCGATCACACACTAATCAATAGTCTCTGGCCCCAACTAAGCGCCACGCTGTGTTCTTGGTATTTCTTCAGCTGCTACCATACAGGCACTTCCTCCAGCCAGCTCGCAGGCAGCTGAAGCATCACCTCCTCTCATCCAACCCAGGCAGAGTTGGACACTCTCTCCTCTATGCCCCAATGTGTATTCACACACTTCTTTCAGAGCACTTTCCTGTGTTTTGCAGTTACCTATACTTTACTCTGTGCTGCCTCAGAAAGGGATTTGTCTTTTCCATCCTTGCATCCCTTGACCTGGCACATATTAAGTTCTCAATACATGTTGGATGGAAAATGAGTGAACAAAATAGCAACCCCACTCTACCCATCATCACAATTACGGAGCCACATTCTGCTCAGAGGAAAACTTCCTTATGCTGGTATTTTAGACCGCTCCATCCAGAATGCCCTTCCAATGGCAACTACACATTCCTCACTGCCTTCCTGATGTGACCATTTTCTCCCAGGATTCCAGCAGCCCAGAATGACCTACTTACAGCCATGGACTGAGGTGGCCTTTTGCACAAAGAAACATGAATAGCAGGCCCTGAAGAAAGGTCTGCAGGTGGGAAATAGAATATTCCTGACCACCAGAAATCAACATTGTAGCCAAGAAGTTGGAGGTGTTTTTCTTCTGTCCCTTTCCTAGGCTGAAAATATAAAATCCATGACCTAAAAATTCAAGTTCCATGAGACATAAGGTTTATCGGTTTATCGTATTGTATGTCTTTACTTACAATGCAACTTTTTTTTTTTTTTTTTTTTTTTGAGACGGAGTCTCTCTCTTGTCACCCAGGCTGGAGTGCAGTGGTGTGATCTCGGCTCACTGCAAACTCCACCTCCTGGGTTCATGCCATTCTCCTGCCTCAGCCTCCCAAGTAGGTGGGACTACAGGCGCATGCCACCACGCCTGGCTAATTTTCTTGTATTTTTAGTAGAGATGGGGTTTCACCGTGTTAGCCAGGATGGTCTCGATCTCCTGACCTCATGATCCACCTGCCTCGGCCTCCTCACTCCTTATATTAAGTCTACTTCTCTTGAGCAAATAATGTATTCACTCAACAACATGGATTGAGTGCCTTCTACATTCTAGAGTCAGAATACCCACCCCTCACTACTACTGAGTGTCATTATGAGTCTTTTCCCACCAAGTCTAGGGTAATCTGAGAAACGGTTTTGCTTCCCCTGTTCAAATGTTTCCAAGAATATTTAGAGATATATCACAATGTCATTTCAAGCAGCACAAGTAGCATACAAAACTGTTTAGTATCTGGCCAGGCACACTGGCTCATGCCTGTAATCCCAGCACTTTGGGAGGCTGAGGCAGGAGGATCACTTGAGGTCAGGAGTTCAAGACCTGCCTGACCAACATGATGAAACCTGACTCTACTAAAAATACAAAAAAAAAAAAAAAAATAGCTGGGTATGGTAGTAGAAGCCTGTAATCCCAGTTACTTGGAAGGCTGAGGCATGAGAATCACTTGAACCTAGGAGACAGAGGTTGCAGTGACCCAAGGTCACACCACTGCACTCCAGCCCAGGCGACAGAGCAAGATTCTGTCTCAAAAAAAATAAATGAAACTCTTTAATATGTGATATAATCCTAGTTTTGCCTATATGTCTGTGTGTATAGCTATATGGATATGTGCCTATATATACATATATAGATAATATACACACACTCAAGACAGAAATAAAATATATCAAAATGTTAACAGGAGGCCAGGCGTGGTACCTCATGCCTGTAATCCCAGCACTGTGGGAGGCCAAGGCAGGAGGATTGCTTGAGCCCAAGAGTTCAGGACCAGTCTGGGCAACATGGCGCAACCCTGTCTCTACACAAAATACAAAAATTAGCTGGATGTGGTGGCATACACCTGTAGTCCCAGCTACTTGAGAGGCTTCAGGGGAAGGATCATCTGAGCCTAGGGAGGTCGAGGCTGCGATGAGTCATGATTGCACCACTGCACTCCAACCTGGCTGACAGAGGGAGACCCTGTCTCAAAAAAAAAAAAAAAAGTTAAAAGATTATATATGTTTGAAGTTTTCCAAAATAAAAAGTTAAAAACTATGTTAACATGGAGATGGCATTGTAAATGAGTATATTTTTCTTCTTCTTGCTTTTCCCATTATCTAAAATATCACAACTTTTAGTGGTATAAATGTCATTTTAAAACACAATATGAAAAATAAATCTAGCAAGTGACTAACAGTAGTTACAGCTAAAGGGGGGAAGGGGAGATAATGAGCTCTTTCAGCTTCATTCTTACCCTTACCTATATTTTCCTAAATTTTCTATAGTGAATGTGTATTATTTTAAAACTGGAAGGTGAAGCCTATTTAAAAATGCAATTAACACACAGACATCTGAGAACATAAGTATTGTCTTGGCAATGGCCCCTACAGCAGACTTTTCTCTTGAAAAATGCGTGCCTCTTCCATTTACTGTTTTTTTCTATCTTGGAACGCCTCTTCTTACATACTAAACAGTTCAAGACTCAGATTTAAATTAAAATCCTCTTAATTAGGTCAGAGACTCTCCTGTTAAGCATGTCTTCCAGGTCACGGGGAGCTCACCTCACTGGGATGGGAGCCAGTCTGCCCAGGGCCGGACCAGCTCTTCCACAGGAAAACATGGATGTAGAGGTGAAAGGGCAATCTGACCTACCAATCCTTCTAAAACCTGTCCAGGATTTGGAACCCTAGACACTCCAGGTTTCTTTCTGACTCCAGCAGGCATTACCCCAATAGTCAGCAGAAAGTGTGAGGACTGGGCCTGCCAGGTCCTGGCACCACCTCTTTCCTCTTGTCACACCCTCTTTGAAGCCCATACACAGGGTAACTTATGTTTGCACACCTTAGAACATGAAATCAGTGCTTCTCCCAACCAGCCTCTCCTCTTCAGGGCTGTCCATTCCTGACAGCACCATTGATGTTGTTCTGTGCCATGTGGGACTCTGAGCCATTCACCTCCTCCATAGATAGAACACCCTTCCTCACGTCCTTTGTCCTGTCAATCTGTTATCCAGGATGAACTCCTCACCTCCCTGATTGCCTTCTTTAACCACTTCTTCCACTCAGTTTAGGGACTCTTCATATTCATAAGGCACAAGGCTCTCCTAATGTGCCTCTTGTGTAAGAGATAAGAAAAACCAAACTGTTTTTCCCACTCTCATACACTCAACACAAGATATTTCACCTCTGATAACCAAAACGTATGTGGGGTTTTCCCCACACATCAAGCAATTCTCCAGAAGACACTAACTGAGTGTCCTACAATTTAACTCAACTCTGACACTCTTTACCTGGTTAAGAGCTCCTACTGGTTAGGAGCTCAGTTCCACAAGGCTGTCTCCCTCTCCAGATGCCAGTTGCAAGCCCTGTGTTGTATTACCTGTACTTCTGACCAATCAGCAGAACTTGAGGATTCCCAAGACCCCTTCCTCACATTGGATTAATTTACTAGGACAGCTCACAGAACTCAGGGAAACAAGGGTGTCTGTCAGGTTTTTCCATCTTCATACATGTCTGCTTCTCCCATGACCTCCACCACCACATCATGACGCAGCATGTGAGACCTCACCAGAAGCTGGCACCATGCCCTTGAACTTCTCAGCTCACAGAACCATGAGAAAAAAAAAACTCTTTTATATATATATATATATATATATATATATATATATATATATATTCTTCATATATATATATATATTCTTCATATATATATGAAGAATATATATATATATTCTTCATATTCTAAAAAAACTCAAGAGAAATACTTTACTTACATTTACCTATTTGTTATAAAGGGTATTGCAAAGGACACAGATAAGCATCCAGATGAAGTAATACAGGGCAAGGTACCCAGGAAGGGGCACGGAGCTTCCATGCCCCCTCCTGATGGGCCACCCTTCAAGAACCTCCATGTGTTCAGCAATCCAGAAGCTCTCGAATCCTGTCCTTTTGGGTTTTTATGGCAGCTTCATTACATAGGCATGACTGATTACATCATTGGCCATTGGTGATCAACTCAACCTTCAGTCCCTCTCTCCTCCTTCAGGGCAGAGGTCGAGGGTGGGGGTTGAGGACAGAAGACTATAAATTCCAACCCTCTAATCACATAGTTGGTTCCTCTGGCAACCAGCTTCCATCCTGAGGCTATCCAGGCCCCACCACTACCCTAAAACACACACATATACCAGTTCATCGTGACAGCATGCAAATACACATCACTTTGGAGATTCCAAGGATTTTAGGAGCTATGTGCCAGGAACCAGAAGCAGAAACCAAATGTATATATTTGGTTATTATACCATAATATTACATCATTATAATTATATCATAATATTACACCATGTAACCTTCTTTTCAAGCATGAAGCCTAGCCCTGTGTTAGTAAGTGTCTCAGGCCAAGCCACTCAAGAACATTGCCTGTGGTCTATAGGATGCTGGATGGCCTTCTTCAAAGCCCAGAGCTTTCAGTATTTGGATAAATGTGGATCCTTCATGGACTTTGTGTGGGCTGCCTGACCACTCAGGCCTTTGTGAGTTGTGCTAAGAAGGGGGCTAGGGTTCTCTCTGCTCTTCAGGTAGCCACGCTAATATACTGTGGAGTTGGAATCAGCATTCGGGTTTCCTGACTGATCTCCGCATCTGGCTTCTCACAACCACCAATCACACAACATTCCCAGAGCTCTCATGGCAGATGTGCTGGCCCCATTCAGGACTCTCAATGACACCGTCCTCTCTGGAAATATTTTATACCAAATACAGCTATTACAATTGTGACTGTAAAAGAAAATAAATAAGGGAAAAACCTCTAGTTCCTGGACAAGTTTCCTTTTGCATGCTGTATGGAGCAGACCCAACTCCCCCAGCCCAAGCAACATTGATAAGAGTTGGGCTGTTCATACCTGTTACAGGAGTTTCCGCCTGAAGCAAATTATTGTTATTACCAGGTTATAAACCCTTAGAAGAATCCCTTAATGGAAAAGCTAACAGCCCATTAACTATAATGAGTGTCATATATAGGATGCGTTCCAGCAGAGGGAAGGCAACTGTGTTATCTCGGTCTTTGAGCAACCCCCGGGCTCATGACAAGGATGGTCGACACCAGACAGTGAGACCCTCCCGACAGGACAAACCACTCTGCCGTTATATGTGACTCTCTGGTCCCTGCATCAGTCCTGGAGAAACCCAGTTTATTTACAAGACCTGCCTTCCACCTTGAGAGAATGCAACACATCTGGGGGACAGTTTACAAAGAGGGGAAGTCAGCTACCGCCATCAGCAGACGTGAGACCGTTAGCCTCACACACCAGGCTGCAAGGCAGGGCCTGTTATCACAAACAAGCTGTTTGCTCACTGTTTGAATCTATTTCTGGAGACTGTTTACCTAAATGAAATTACTTATCCACTGGGGCAGGGTTCAAAGCTCAAAAGATAAGTGCAATCGGCTGTTAAAAAGATCCAAGCTTGGGAAAATGAGGGGGAAAGAACAAAGTCAGATTAATCCCAGGGGAAGAAAGTCTCAATGCCATAGAAATTACATGGCATTCCTTTAGACCATCAATTAATTTTAATTCCAAAAGTTCAAAGGCACTATTTAAAGGAACTAATTAATAGCTAATATTCTCCCCAGGGTGATCTAGTCTGGTTTACAAGAGCAACGGCATTGATGGGCTGAACGTTCGTTCCTTCTCTTGCTGATCATTACAGGTAACGCTAGCCTGAGTCCATGGAGGACAGATCTGGGAATTCCCATGCATGGAATAATAATGACACTTACTAGTCCTTACTCAGACTCTTGCTAAATTTTAGTTACTCTACCTCTGGGGACGTGGCTCACCGCAGTCATCCTTGAATTACGCTCTGTGGAAAAGTGGACCCTAAAGTCGAGGGTACATCTTGCTCTATGTAAGTTCTAGTATTGTTGTTCTTTACATAAGCTACTCTAGGGGAAAGTTCTTATTTGACTTTTTTTAACCTTAGGTGCAGAGTGTTGAGTTCATCATACTCCCACCTCCATTCAATGTCACTGGGCTGTACACGTGCCTTCTCTTTAATATTTTTTAAATTTCCTTTTGATCTTCCTACTCACTCCCATCCTCTCTCCTCCCACACATAGGCTGCTATCCTAAGGTGTTTAATGTTTATTTTGTTTGTCTGGATATCTCTGTCTTGTGTTCATGTATTTTTCCTTTTGCTCATAATCCTCTTACCCAAGTATTACTTTTATTCCTGTTACAATCAGGTCCTTGTCCATCTGCGTTTTCATTGTTTACGCATTGTAAGTAATATCCATGATAGAATATTTGTGTCCTGATTTTTAACATTTCTATAATGAGCTTTTCTTTTCTTTAGTCTTTGATAGACTTTTTTTCTTATCTCCCTGCACCCCCAGCAGGTGACCACTGCTAACAGCATGGGCAGGGTCTATCTCTCCACACGTCTTCAGGATCACTCAATCCTTTAAACTGGTAGTTACAGAAATGTGTGTGTGTGTGAGAGAGAGAGAGAGAGAGAGAGAGAGAGAGAGAGACAGAGAGAGAGAAAGTGAGAGAGAGAGAGAGAGAGAGGAGAGAGATTTGGTTTAATGAACTGGATTCGTAATCCATAGCTCTGTGGCTTGCTATTCTCATCTAAGAATATGTCATGATCATCCTTCCAGGGCAGTAGATCCGGATCTCTGGCATTCTTTTTTAATAGCTGTCTAGTAATTCATGGGATAGATGGATGTTCAGCAGTTCACCCAACCATCCCTCTACTGACGGGCATTTAGGTTGCACACGGTTTTTTATCACTACAAATAAAGCTGCATATTTATGCACGTGAATCCATAAATACTGGGGCTTTTACATCTATAGGGTAGATTTCCAGGAGGGTGCATAAATTTTTTACCTATATAAATGGTATTAAGTTAAATGCCACTTTGTATTTTTTATTTCTTCACTATGTACTATGCTTTTAATATCTATCCATGTTATAATTTGCAGACCTAATATGTTGGTTCTAACCACTGCACAATATTCCATAGTGAGCCCCCAGTTCACTTAACCTATCAGTCTCCAGATGCCTGTATATAATAGCAGCACAGTGGGTAAGGTGCTTTTTAAATACTACTGAAAGGTTAACGTGCTTAAAAATAAAGCACCAAGCCAGGTGGGGTGGCTCACACCTGTAGTCCCACCTACTACAGGGGTTGAGGCAGGAGGGTCACTTCAGCCCAGGAGTTTGAGGCCAGCCCGAACAACACAGAAGACCCCTATCTCTATAAATAAATAAATAAATAAATAAATATAAAGCATCAAATAGAAAACACGTAATTCCTGCTTTTTCAAACTCTCAATAGACTCGATTTTGGAAAACTGTTATGAGCAAACAGGGCACAAGAAAAAGGAGATCACAGGAATGAGGGGACTTGCATTTGTTGAAAATCTGTGTCAAGCACCTTACAAAAATCTTATTTGATTCTCAATGTAAACTTTGGAGGCAATAGTTTACTCACTGACCAGATAAGGAAACGAAGGGCCAGGTAGATTAAATGCATTCCTCGTACTCATGGTGGGACTGGGATTCAAAGCCAAGTCTTCTTGGCCCTTCCCACTACTCCTTGTGAACTGCAACCCAAACTAATGTCTCACTTTTTAGAAAAGGTCTCCTAAGGGGCATGGGGGATGGGTAGGGAAAGTACATGAGTATCACAAGATTGTCGATCTAAAATTTCATCCAAGGATTCTGAAAACACTGAAAATTGATATTCTTCTCAATGAAAATTAATGGACTTAATCTTCCAAAAAGCTTGGAAAGTCTAACCAATTTCTAGAGCTTTTGTGGGAAGACGCTGGTGTTACCAAGAACAGCATGATTATAGGTTAAATTCAGAGTTTTCCTGATTCGGGGAAGAGGCCAGGCCTCGCTCGCAAAGGAAAGGCCTCAGGAAGCCACGTGAAATGCGGTCAGATCATTAATGATGTTGCTGCGCATGGAAGGAGGGTGAAATGAATGCTCTGGAACAACAACAGATTTCTGCCCAGCGTCCTGGGACTGTCACAGGGTTCTTGTTTGGCACTGGACTTTCTCTTTCTAAATACAAGGGACCTGCCGTGGTAACCTGCTGTGGTCAGTTGTGTGGAAGGATCTAGAAACCATCATAATCCAGCCAGCAGCAGTTACTGGGCATGTATGCCAGGCCATGGGTAAAGCACAAAAGAGGAAGATGAAATGATAAATCAAGGATATTAACTGTTTGCATAATTTTTTGCCCCGGAATCCAGAAGCAAAACCGAGGCTTGATGCATTTAGAAATTTTAAAGTGAACTGAGACCCAGCACCTAACCAGCTCGGGTTGCTGGGTCGTCACTCGTGACACTCAGTTTCAAAGGCACAATAAGAGGCAAGGTTAGCTGCCCGGTCCTCTTCCACACCACTAAGCAGCCACCAAACCAGCTTGGGTTCTCGAGGAAAACAGTAGAGATAGAGAGAGGGAGGGGTGCAAGAAATTCAAATCATTTCACCAACGGAGTGTATTAGTCCGTTCTCACACTGCTAATAAAGACCTACCCAAGGCTGGGTAATTTATAAAGGAAAGAGGTTTAATTGACTCACAGTTCTGCATGGCTGGGAGGCCTCAGGAAACTTACAATCACGGCAGAAGGAGCCTCTTCACAGGGTGGCAGGAAAAGGAATGAGTGCTCAGTGAAGGGGGAAGCCCTTTATAAAACCATCACATCTCCTGAGAACTATCACGAGAACAGGGTGGGGGAAACCTACCCCATGATTCAATTATCTCCACCTGGTCCCTCCCACGACACGTGGGGATTATGGGAGCCACAATTCCAGATGAGATTTGGGGCTGGGCGAGGTAGCTCATGCCTGTAATCCCAGCACTTTGGGAGGCCAAGGTGGACAGATCACTTGAGGTCAGGAGCTCAAGACCAGCCTAGCCAACATGGCGAAACCCTGTCTCTACTAATAATACAAAAAAATTAGCCAGGCATGGTGTTGCACACCTGTAATCCCAGCTACTCAGGAAGCTGAGGCAGGAGAATTGCTTGAACCTGAGAGACGGAGTTTGCAGTGAGCCGAAATTGAGCCACTGCACTCCAGCCTGGGCAACGGAGTAAGGCTCCGTTTCAAAAATAAATAAGTAAATAAAGATGAAATTTGGGTGGGGACACAGCCCCTATAGGAAAAGGCAAGTACAACACACCATACAACAGGGACAGAGGTATACAAGCTGTACAATAAAAATAAATACAGAATTGATTCTGCCTGGGGGAGATAAGGAAGACCTCACAGATGAGGAAGACCTCCCATTTGATCTGGGCCTTGAAGGATGAACTAACAGACATCTTAATAGCCAACGCTTATGGCAAGCTTGGTTGGTGACCAGTATTCTCTAAGAGCTTTGTGTGTATGAGTTAATTTACTCTTCACAATAATGTTACGAGGCAGGTACTACAAATGAGAGAAATGAGGTTCAGAGAGGTAATTAACTTTCTCAAGGTCATACAGCTAAGTAAGTAGTAGAATAGGAAATTGAACTTAGGTCTTTTTTACTCCCCAAATCCCAGGTTCCCTGTACTCCCTATGTTCAGTACTCCCTCCAACTTTCCTTCCAAAAACGGAGTAAGGAAAGAGGACTTACAGAGAAGACGGCTTTTTAAAAAGCCTTAGCAGCAAGAAGGTGCCCGGACTTTCAATGAAGGCCACTAGGGGGTGGTAGAGAAGGGAAAAGAAGGGAGGAAATGGGGATGGAATATGGGAGAGGAGGGTGGAGTGAGCCTGGAAAGAGCGTGGAGCCAGGAGTGGAGGGAAGGGGACATGGAGCTCACAAGCATGATCTTCTCTTTCTAAGAGCATCATAAGGTTTTTGTCTTGATTTCAACTGAGGTGAAATTCACATACCATAAAGTTAACTATTTTAAAGTGAACAATTCAGTGGCATTTAATACATTCACAGTGTTGTGCAACCACTACCTCTAGTTACAAAACATTTTCATCATCCCAAAATAAAACCCTGTACTGTACCCATTAACCAGTTGCTCTCCTTTGCTCCCTCCCCAGCCCTTGGCATCCACCAATCTGACTTTTGTCTGTATGGATTTACCTAGTCTGGACATTTCATATAATGGAATTATACAGTCTGGACTTTCGTGCGGGGCTTCTTTCACTTAGCATAATGCTTTCAAGGTTCATGTTGTAGCATGTATCAGTATTCCATTCCTTTTTATGGCTGAATAATATTCCATTTTATAGATATGCCACAAGTTGTTTATCCATTCACCTGTTGTGGACATTTGAGTATTTCTACCTTTTAGCTATTAGAAATAGTGCTACTGTGAACATTTGTTTATATCATATGAGTTTTTAAGCTGATCTAGGCTTAAGAAAGACAGGAAAGAATTAAGAGCAAATGAGACCAAATTGGTGAACAATATGAACAATATCTAGAACCAGCAATGAGAGTCCGAGAAAAGTGGAACAATTTGAGACAGCATTTAGAGGCAGAATTGGCAGGATGAGCCATGCATTAAATGTGATGTGGCAAACAGATGGCAGGTGGGGAAGAAAGAAGCATCCAAGAAGACTCTATAGTGTCAACCCTTGCCAGTGTGGTGATGATGCAGTCATGGAGTGAGGAAAAACAAGACTGGAGTTTAGATAGTGAATTTAGAATTGAGTTTGGAGTACCACTGGCTGCTTCAACAGATATCCAACATGCAGTCAGCACTCCCACTCAGGAGAGCATGCTTCGTTGGACCAGCCAGGAAGGAAAGGGTGTGCAGAGCTAAGAGATGAGGCTGAAATGCTGGGAAATCCAATGTAAGAGGACAGCATGGTTCTGAGCCATTGTGTTTGCTATTTGCTCTTTCTGGAATGCCATTCCTGCTCTCTGAGTCTGGATCTCTCAAGATCCAGTTCATTGACACCTCTTTCTAGCAAAAGCCTGATGTATTAGTTCATTTTCACACTGCTGATAAAGACATACCTGAAACTGGGAATAAAAAGAGGTTTAATTGGATTTACAGTTCCACATGGCTGAGGAGGCCTCAGAATCATGGCAAGAGTCAAAACGCACTTCTTACATGGCAGCGGCAAGAGAAAAATGAGGAAGAAGCAAAAGCAGAAGCCCCTGATAAATCCATCAGATCTCGTGAGACTTATTCACCAACACAAGAAGAACACAGGAAAGACCGTCCTCCATGATTCAATTACCTCCCCCCTGGTTCCCTCCCACAACACGTGGGAATTCTGGGAGATACAATTCAGGTTGAGATTTGGATGCGGACACAGCCAAATCGTATCACCTGCTAACCTCCAAGCTGAGTAAGGTTTCCCACAGCACCGCAAATCATGTCAGTGATCACACTGTGTTGCAATTCTTTAATCATCTGTCATCTTATTGGAGTTTGAGGCAAGGATGTTACCCATTATCTCTGTGCAGCATATGCAAGGCACATTATAAACATTTGCCAAACCAGTGAATTAGAAAATCAAAGATCTGTGAAGAAGACAGAGAAGGAGCTATGAGTGGAAGGATAAAGCTAGAAAAGAGTAGATGTATGGAATCCAAGAGGAGAAAATTCCAAAAAGAGGGAATGAACCATATAAAATGCTGCAACAAAGTGAAATAGAGCAAGAAGAGGCCATTGGAGCTAGGAATATGGAGTCTACAGACCTTCACAAGGATTATTTACATGGAGTCCTGCGGATGGGAGATTATAGTGGGACAAGAAAGGGCACTAGGGACAGGAGATCCTAATGAGCTAAGAAAGAAGTGGGAGATGATGAGGTGGCAGAAAACACTCTCTGTAACGGGGTGGAGGAAAAGAAGTAAAGAATAGCTGGAGGGAAGTCAATTAAGAGAAAGACATTTTTTCCTTGAGGACAAGAAAATATTTATCTATTTGTCAGGGTGGAAGAGCCAATGAAGAAGAGATAAAAAGGAAAGCAAGCAGAATGAGAAGACACAGATGGACCAAAAAATGAATGAGAATAAATATAATTGCAGTGGGGGGTGTGTGAAGACTTTAGAAAAGGCCTGTGGTAGACTCTATTGTCTATCATTCAGTAAAAAACCCACACCACAGGTGGAGTGTATTTTCCTGCCCCATTGACTCTGGCTCATGATTTGCTTTGACTGGCAGGATGCAGGAGAAAGTGCCAATGTGCCAGCTCCAAACAGAGGCCTTGAGAGGCCTGGTGTGGCCTTGCGTCCCCTACTATACCTCTGCCCTGAGAATAATAGGCCAGGTAGCTGTTGACAGTCTGACGGGACCCCTAAGGAGAGCTGTGGTTCAGACCTGAACCACACCTGCAGCCTGGAGCCCAGCCCAGCCCAGCCCTGCCAAGCCCAGGACCTTGACAGCAAAACGAAGCCTCTTCATTGCAAACACTAAGGTTTTGGGTTGTTTGTTACAGCAGCAAATGCTGACTCACATGAGGCAGAGAGGAGTAATGTGTCTCAGAAGGGTCCAGGGCCACTGCTTTCTCAGCAGCAGGAGGGAGGAAACAGAGATCTATGAATGGATGAAAATAGATCTGCTTGCAAGAGGAAGGAAGAGAAGTTGAGGAACTCTCCATACCTGGTGTGCTTTCGCTGTCTCAGCGCCACTCCCGGCAAGGTCACCTGCAGAGAGGGGGCAGATAGCACTGTGGGCTTGAGGAGAGGAACAAGTAGAGGAGAGCTGCCATGGGGCGTGGGGGCAGGGCCAACCTGGAGGCCTGAGAAGAACACCAAGGGTCACCAAGTAGCCACTGAGCGCAGGCTCCCAAGTTACACGCAGGAATGGAAGGGGAAGTGGCTTTAAAAGTAGAGAGAAGGCCAGGCACGGTGGCTCATGCTGGTAATCCCAGCAGTTTGGGAGGCGGAGGCAGGTGGATCACTTGAGGCCAGGCGTTCGAGACCAGCCTGGCCAACATGACAAAACCCCATCTCTGCTAAAAATACAAAAAATTAGCCAGGCGTCGTGGGGCATGCCTGTAATCTCAGCTACTCGGGAGGTTAAGGCAGAGAATTGCTTGAACCTAGGAGGCGGAGGCTGCAGTGACCAGAGATCACACCCCTGCACTCCAGCCTGGGCGACAGAGTGAGACTCCATCCCAAAATTAACTATAATAAATAATAAAATAAAATAAGAGTGGAGAGAAGCAAAATGCAGAAAATTCGAAGCAAAACTTTCAGTCTCCTTATTGGCTGTGTCAGGGACATGTCTCTGAGAGTGAGGCCAGTGTCCCAGGCCTCCTGATATTGGGTGGTATTGATGACAACCGAGAGGTGGAACTTGCAATGAATGGCAGCCTACCCTTCCTCCTCGCTTTCTGCAGTCTCTGCTATGGCTACAAGTCACCTTCATGGAACAGCCAGCTGAAGAGAAGAGAGAGCAGAGCACTGGTTCAGGGCCCCAGGCCTGCAGTTTCTGGGGTTTCTGCAGTTTCTGCAGTTTCCGTGTCCTACAGCTTCCCAGCTCTCTCTCCAATTTTTGCTGTCAAATTTCAAGACTCACAGCAGCATCTTTTAAGCTGATACCACAGCTCCTACACTACCAAAAGTGCCCAGATGTTCTAGAAACTTCAAAATGAACTGAGCATGGTGGCTCACACCTGTAATCCCAGCTATCTGGGAGATGCAGAAAGATCTTTTGAGGCCAGGAGTTTAAGATCAGCCTGGGTAACATAGCAAGACCCTGTCTCCAAAAAATTTTTTTATTTTTATTTTTTTGAGACTGAGTCTCACTCTGTCACCAGGCTGGAGTGCAGTGGCGTGATCTCGGCTCACTGCAACCTCCACCTCCCAGGTTCAAGTGATTCTCCTGCCTCAGCCTCCCAAGTAGCTGGGACTACAGGCACGCACCACCACACCCAGATAATTTTTGTATTTTTAGTAGAGACAGGGTTTCACCGTGTTGGCCAGGATGGTCTCGATCTCTTGACCTCGTGATTTGCCCGCCTCGGCCTCCCAAAGTGCTGGGATTACAGGCATGAGCCACCGTGCCCGGGCAAAATTTTTTTTAATAAACCAGGTGTGGTGGTGTACACCTGTAGTCCCAGCTACTCCAAAGGCTGAGGCAGGAGGATTGCTTGAGCCCAGGAGCTTGAGGCTACAGTAAATTATGATCATGCTACTGCATTCCAGCGTGGGTGACACAGCAAGATCCCACATCTAAAAAGAAAAAAAGAGGCTGGGCATGGTGGCTCAGGCCTGTAATCCCAGCACTCTGGGAGATGGAGGCGTGTGGATCACATGAGGTCAGGAATTCAAGACCAGCCTGGCCAACAGGGTGAAACCCTGTCTCTAATAAAAATACAAAAATTAGCCAAGCGTGGTGGTGCACACTTGTAATCCTAGCTACTTAGGAGGCTGAGGCAGGAGAATCTCTTGAACCCAGGAAGCAGAGGTTGCAATGAGCTGAGATCACACCATTGCACTCCAGCCTGGGTGACAGAGCAAAACTCTGTTTCAAAAAAGAGAGAAAGAAGGAGAAAGAAAGAAGAAGAAAGAAAGAAGAAGAAAGAAAGAAAGAAAGAAAGAAAGAAAGAAAGAAAGAAAGAAAGAAAGAAAGAAAGAAAGAGAAAGAAAGAAAGAAAGAAAGAAAGAAAGAAAGAAAGAAAGAAAGAAGGAAGGAAGGAAGGAAGGAAGGAAGGGAAGAAAGAAAGGAAAGAAAAGAAAGAAAGAAAGAAAGAAAGAAAGAAAGAAAGAAAGAAAGAGAAAGAGGAAGGAAAGAAGGAAGGAAGGAAGGAAAGAAGGAAGGAAGGAAGGAAGGAATAAAGGAAGGAAAGAAGAAAGATACTTCAAAATGGCTCAGTGGCAATAATATATTTTTTTAAAAAGAAAGGCCAGGTGCGGTGGCTCACACCTGTGATCCCAGCACTTTGAGAGGCCGAGGCAGATGGATCACCTGAGGTCAGGAGTTCGAAACCAGCCTGCCCAACATAGTGAAACCCTGTCTCTACTGAAAATACAAAAATTAGCCAGGCGTGGTGGCATGCGCCTGTAATCCTAGCTACTCTGGAGGCTGAAGCAGGAGAATCACTTGAACCCAGGAGGTGGAGGTTGCAGTAAGCCAAGATCATGCCATTGCACTCCAGCCTGGGTGACAGAGCAAGACTCTATCAAAAGAAAGAAAGAAAGAGAGAAAGAAAGAAAGAAAGAAAGAAGAAAGAAGAAAGAAAGAAAGAAAGAAAGAAAGAAAGAAAGAAAGAAAGAAAGAAAGAAAGAAAGAAAGAAAGAACGAAAGAACGAAAAGAAAGAAAGAAAGGAAGGGAAAGAAAGCAAATGGGCAAGGAAGGAAGGAGAGAGAGAAGAGAGAGGAAGGAAGAAAGGAAGGAAGGAAAGAAAAAAGGAAGGAAGGAAGGATGGGCAAGCTGGGTGTGGTGGCTCGCATCTGTAAGGGAGGTCAGGGTAGGGGCACTGCTTGAGGCCAGAAGTTTGAGACCAGCCTGGGCAAGATCCCCTCTCAAGGAAGGGAAGGGAAGGGGAGAGGAGGAGAGGGGAGGAGAGGGGAGAGAGAGAAAGAATGGAAGAAAGAAAGAAAATAAATTGAAGATTTTTATTTTTAATTTTTAATTTTTTTTGGCAGCAGTTAGTGTAGCTTGATGGCAAAAAGACATAAAGTAGAGATGGTCTCTGCTAGAGGCCAGGCAATATGGTAACTGAGAGCACAGACTCTGGGTTTGAATCCAGGATCTACCAACCTGTTTAACTTTGGGCAAATTGCATGATCACACTGTGCCTCACTTCTTACATTTGTATAATAGAGATAATAACAGTACCTATCTCATAGAAATTGTGGGCCGGGTGCAGTGGCTCACGCCTGTAATCCCAGCACTTTGGGAGGCCGAGGCAGGCGGATTACGAGGTCAGGAGATCGAGACCATCCTGGCTAACACGGTGAAACTCCGTCTCTACTAAAAATACAAAAAATTAGCCGGGCGCGACGGCAGGCACCTGTAGTTCCAGCTACTCGGGTGGCTGAAGCAAGAGAATGGCGTGAACCCAGGAGGCGGAGCTTGTGGTGAGCCGAGATCGCACCACTGCACTCCAGTCTGGGCAACAGAGCGAGACTCCATCTCAAAAAAAAAAAAAGAAAAGAAAAAAGAAATTGTGAAGGTTAATAGATTAAATCATGTAAAAGTTCCTGGAAGTAATCGGCACATTGAGTCTCTGCCTCTTAGCAGCTGTGGCCTTGGGGACTTATTTATCTTCTCTGTGCCTCGCTTTTCTCACCTGTATAACGTGGATAACAACAGTGCCCACTTCACAGGGTTGTTATGAGATATAAATGAGGTAAGTTGCCTGGCTCGTAGTAAGCATCATAAAAGTGATGGCTATTATTTCCCTTCTTTTTCTCCATGCACTTATCAAAAAATATCCATTCACTTTTCCCGGCAATTCTCCGCTATATGAAACCTAACAACTTCTTCAGATAACAAATATTTTTAGTCTCACCATACCATCCTGAGATATAACTCAGACAAAATAACCTACCTATATACATAATGTCAAAAATATATACAATGTACTCATCATATCAAAAGGATTTATAATTAAAATATATATATATTTCAATATCTAAATGCTTGAACACAACTAAATTAGAAGACATAATTAAGAAGTCAGATGCTTGCCCCTACTTAAACTAAGTTTGGATTTAACAGAAGATAAGAAGGCAGTCCACACAAGAAGTACAGTATGGTTAAGCAGCAGAGGTACAGGTGGATGCTAGAATAACATCTAGTGTTTAAAAAACGGTAACAGACAAGGCTTATGTGTATATTCTAAAAGAAAGAAAGAAATTACCCTAATTAGAGGAGAAAAAGCATGCCAAGACAAATTACAGACCCTCAAAGTGGAGAAAATGAGTTAGTACTGATATTCTTGCCAACAAATAGGGCCTAGTTTACAGGGAGGCATCGAATAATTACCCCTGTTATGACTGGAAGCAAGGTGGGGACAAAGTCTCATAGCAAACATGTCTCCTCTCGGGAAATCCCACTGCATATTAAAACTTACAGTCTGGCCGGATGCGGTGGCTCACACCTGTAATCCCAACACTTTGGGAGGCCAAGGCAGGTGAATCACCTGAGACTAGCCTGACCAACATGGAGAAACCCCGTCTCTACTAAAAATACAAAAAATTAGCCAGGCGTGGTGGCGCATGCCTGTAATCCCAGCTACTCGGGAGGCTGGCTTAGGAGAATCTCTTGAACCTGGGACGCAGAGGTGGCCATGATCCAAGATTGCACCACTGCACTGCAGCCTGGGCAACAAGAGCGAAACTCTGTCTAAAAAAGAATAATAATAAACTTACAGTCAGTGTCTGGAACTTAAGAATCCTCCAGGGAATAGAGAAGGGAATCAAAAGAGAAAATTAGTAAGACAGACTAGAAAAAGGTTATACAGGAGACTTCCAGAAACAGCGTCAGGGAAAGACTGAAAAAAGGAGAACCAACTCCTATAATTAGAAATAATTTTACCATGAAATTTTCACCATATAGATTTCTTTCTGACATCTGGCAACCAAAAAACACGTTTTAGACACACATCTGTAGTCCCAGTTACTCAGGAGGCTGAGGTGGGAGGATTGCTTGAGCCCAGGAGGTCAAGGCTACAGTGAGCCATGATTGTGCCACTGTACTCCAGCCTGGGTGACAGAGACCCTGTCTCTAAAAACAAAACAACAAAAATGTTTGAATATATAGCATGACAATAAAATGAAATATTTTAAAACTAAGCTATTCTTAAAATTCAATGCAATCCTTGAAATTAATGTGTCTCCAGTAGTTAATCATTTGGTTCTGGAAATCTTTTTTTTTTTTAAGACACAGTCTCGCTCTGTCGCCCAGGCTGGAGTGCAGTGGTGTGATCTTGGCTCACTGCAAACTCTGCCTCCCGGGTTCAAGAGATTCTCCTTGATTCTGCCTCCCCTGCTCAAGCGATCCTCCCACCTTAGCCTCCTGAGTAGCCGGGACCACAGGCACATTCCACCACACCCAGCTAATTTTTTTAATTTTTTGTAGAAACAGGGTTTCATCATGTTGCCTAGGCTGGTTTTAAACTCCTGAGCTCAAGCAATCCACCCATCTCGGCCTCCCAAAGTGCTGGGATCACAGGTGTGAGCCACCGCGCCCTGCCTGGTTCTAAGAATCTTTAAAGGAATCTCCAGTACTCATTTGCCGTGGGTTTTCCTTGCTTATGATGAAACTCTTTTCAACTAAAAATGCAGTTGGACATGTTAGACTACATTGAACAATAATGTTGAGGAAATGTCTTTATTTCATTTCACCTTTCCTCTCCATAACACCATCCTATAGTGTTGGGTATTCCTATAATAATTTTCTATGATTATTTAGTATTATTATGTATTAAATTACTACTGGTTTATATTTAATAACATTTAATTCACGAGGGTATTCCAAAGTAAAGCAGGATGCTGGACAATGCTACATTGTACTGATCTGTCCCACAAAGGCCAAGATGTCTAGCTTCCTCTGTCCCTGCCCACTAAATGCCGGCAGCTCCTCATCACTGTGACAACCAAAAAATGCGCCCACAAATTTCCAAAATGCCCTTTTTTGGAACGCTCCCTTATCTAATTCATTCAAGCTTCCACAGGAGATAGTGAGCACCTGTGTTGTACCAGGAAAAAAAAAATCTAGTTAGACTCTTACTAGACACTCTGCATACCAAAATAAAGAGAAATGTTAATTGTAAAAATAAAAATAAATTAAAAGTGAAACTAAAATTTTATTTTATATAGATATGTTTTTTAATTTGTTATTTATTTATTTTTTTGAGATCAAGATACTCTGTCACCCAGGCTGGAGTGCAATGGCACGATCTCGGCTCACTGCAACCTCTGCCTCATGGGTTCAAGTGATTCTCCTGTCTCAGCCTCCTGAGTAGCTTGGGCTACAGGCACCCGCCACCACGCCTGGCTAATTTTTGTATTTTTAGTAGGGACAGGGTCCCACCATGTTGGCCTGGCTGGTCTCGAACTCCTGACCTCAGGTGATCTGCCCGTCTCAGCCTCCCAAAGTGCTGGGATAACAGGCATGAGCCACCGCGCCCAGCCAAAAGTGAAACTAAAATTTTAGGAAAAAAATGTATGAGAATATTTATCTAATGTCAGGTGGGGAATCCTTTCGAAACCCAAAATTTAGAAATCACAAAGGTAATGAATTAACTACAACACAAGTTTTAAAAGAAAAAGAAAAATCAATAAAAATATTTGTTATAAATATTCGTAAAGTGCCTTATATAGAGAGGGATTTTGCAAACTGATTAAAAGGAAAAGAAGTACAATAATGTGGCTGGGTGTGGTGGCTCATGCCTGTAATCCCAGCACTTTGGGAGGGTGAGGCGGGAGGATCGCTTGAGCTCAAGAGTTAGAGACCAATCTGAGAGCTCAGGAGTTAGAGACCAGTCTGGGCAACATAGCAAGACCTACGAGAGTAAACTAGGGAGATTAAGGCTGCAGTGAGCTGTGATTGCGCCACTGCACTCCAACCTGAGACCCTGCCTCAAAAAAAAAAAAAAAAAAAAAAAGCACTAGGCACAGCAATGCAAATGTACTTAATGCCGTTAAACTCTATACTTGAAAAACATGGAAAATAAGACACTAGTAGAAAAATAGGTCAGGGAGTAACAGCAGAAAACAGAAAATTCACATGAGACAAACATAGTTCCATCAATACATGTCGCCTCATTAGTAACTTAAAGAATACAAATTTAAAGTTTTCATTTTTTAATTGATAAAATTAGCAAAAAGAAATAATTTGAAATGATGATGCCCAAGTCATCACTTGGGTCTGAGAAGACAGAAATTCTCAACGTTGGTTTAAGAGAGTAACTTGGTACAATCTTTCCACCACACAATCTGGTAACACAGTGTACGAAGAGCCTTCAGATGCTCTTTGACCCTTTGATCCAGTGAGGAGCTCAGCTCTGGGAATCTCTATCAGTCAGACCTGCTTCCATCACAAGGGACAAAACCTCATTCACAGTAGTGTTGGCATAAAGGAGAGTTTACCAGCTCACACAACAGATCCCGCTAGATCCAGGGGTGCAAATAGTGGCAGTGGGACTGTATCTCTCTCTCCCTATTGCTCAGTTCTGCATGCCTCTGCTTGGCTTCATTTACATCAGTTCTCTCCACAGGCAGAAAGATGGCACCAACAGCCCCAGGGGATTCCATCCTCACAACAACTCTCGCAGAGAAAAAAGCACAGCTCTTTCACCCCCGTAGCAATCCCATCAAAAGGCCTCTGGGTGGCCTGACTCTGGTCACCTTCTGTGAACAGGAGAATGAAGTCACTCTGAGTAGCCAGCCTAAGTGGTGTGAAGTCTAGAATCATGTGCCATGATTATACTAGAATCATGGGGTAGGGAGGAGGGTAGAAGAACAAAGAAAGATGCAAGACAAATACATAAGCAGATCTTGTATAGAATACCTCCAAGGGAAATCATCGGAGTCAGGATGGCAACCTCTAGTTTGTCCTGGTTTCAGAACAAGAGCCAATCAAAAATCGCCTTACAGAATTTTACTGAATAGTCATACATATAGCTCAAAATGTTTCCAAATTTCAAAAAGTCCAAAATGATTCTTTCTGAGTGGTGACATTATGGATGGGTTTTATTTTCTCCTTCATATTTTCAAGTATTTTTCATATTGTCTTCAAAAAGCATTTATCTTTTTAAAAATCAAAGATAATATATCTTCCAAAATGACAACTGAAAACTATGTCTATGATATGTATAATCCAGAAAGGGAACTATTTTTAATAAAATACACCTCTTTATTCCTTTTCTGTGTTTTCTACAGTGTGCACACAGCATTGAAATAATGTGGGGAAAAACACAACAAAATAAAATTCTTTTAAAGATCCATTCCTGACTCCAGCGACTTTATTCTGCTCCTGTGGCTTCTGGTTGGAGACTTATTGGCCAGTATCCAGGGAATCACTGTCATGTCTTCTTTTATAATTGCAAATTTTACCACCAAAACACATTCCTGAAGTGTGTTTTACTGGTTCAAATTTGTGACATATACAGTAAGCAATGAACCAAAAATTATTTACAGAGGCAAACAGTAAATAGTTTCCCTATTTGCTAAGGAAGGGAGAATAATTGAGATCGTTTGTGGATTAAGCAGAAGTGTTACAATTTCCTGATGAAATAGGAGAAGAGGGATGCTTTAAATGTTTCATTAGGAGCCCAAGAGCTGCAAATGACAGCAGGATGCAAAAAGCCCTCAGCTCAAGAATTGGCACAGGGTTCTCAGTATCTTGAGTTTCTCTCCTGTCCCTTTCAGATCCAAAATAGGTAGGCCATGACTTCAGGTGGCACAGATGCAAATTCTTGAATACTTCTAATTCAGAATTCATTGAAAAAGCACGGAATTTTGGAACTAGATCCCGATATTCAGAACTTGATGAGTCAAGAAAATATTTCCCTCAAGGGGCTCTTGTCTTTGCCTGGAATGCCCCAAAACCCTAGGTTTCTTCTAAGCAGATAAACTCCTATTTATCTTTCAGTCCTGATAGTTTTTCAAATAGAAAGCCCACACATCAGACAGTTTTCACTAGGTTATGTTGCAATAACAACAATAACAAAAAACCCAAATCCAATGACTTACAACAACAAAGGTTCATTTCTTTATCATGTTACAGTAGTTCTCCCTTATCTGCAGTTTTGCTTTCCAGTTTCACCTACCTGCAGCCAACCACTGTCCAAAAATATTAAAAGAAAAATCCAAAACATAATTTATAAGTTTTTAATTTTGTGCCCTTCTGAGTGGCATGATGAAATCTCTTAGTAGCCATCTGGGTTATCAGATCAACTGTCGTGGTATCACAATGCTTCTGTTTATAGCATATATTTTTAAAAAATAGAAATAGAAATATCAAAGTAAAGATAAATGTGCATATTTTAATGTAATTAAGGACACTGGAATCATGCTATTTTACTAAGAGAAAACTCAATGTGTTCCAAATTTAATTCCTAAATAAATAAATCAATGAATTCATTCATTCAAACAGCATATTCTTACCCCTGAATTTAAGCCCTTATTGAAATAAATAAATAAATAATTTAAAAAAAAAACACAGCATACATTGTTCCCCTCCCTTAATTAAGAAACAAGGTGCTGTAGAAAACAGAAAGATAAATAATCATTATTATCCTCAATGAGCATTAAAAAAAGAAATAAGTAACTTTAAGACAGTAAACTAAACACACCATAACAATTAAAACACTATCCAGATTCAGAAGACAGAAATCACAGTAGGTGGAAAGCATCAGATGCTTTGTAAAGAAAGTAATCAATACTCCAGCTGAGTCATTTAGAATGGAAGAGACTTCAACAGATGGATAAGGAGTAGATGCACTTTGCACTATTTAAACATAAAGCTTAGGGTTTAGAGAACCTTGAATGGTGCATTTTGATGAGACTGTAGCATACATCCTATGATGGAGCATCAGAGAAAAAGTCTAGGAAGGTAAATTGAGACCAAAGCACAAAGGGACTTGAATGTCAGTTTAAGAAATTTGGGTTTAATTCTGATGACAAAGCACATGCATTAAGCCTTCCTAGACGTTTGCTTTAACAATGTTACATGCCACTACTGTCAAGAATGTGATTGCAAGCACTGAGCAGACATTTAGAAATCATAATCCTGGATTACCACTCAATTGCCTAGAAAAGCATGTCAATTGTTCTGGGCTTTCTCTTCCTCATGTATTACGTCCTATTGTAGCAGCCTCAGTAGAGTCCTCATCATGTGTGTGTTCATCAGGAAAAATGAGAAACTTGCATGCTCATCTATATTCTCTGCCTAACTCTTACTGTGAACAGGAAGACACGACTGTGAAAAAATTCATCAACTTGAAACTACCTGTAAGTAAAGCCACAAAGTACAGTGGGGCAGAAGGAAAATGGGGGCTGAAATGCAGCCCAAGTTCTATGCAACCCATTGTGTGACCTGATGCGAGCTTAGTCAATGCAAAGTGCTCATATTCCTAATTAGCACAGTGTAAGCCTGTCCATTAAACCCAAGCCTGAAAGGCTATATGTACCCAAAGCGGGCAGCACCTTTTTCAGCATCACCCAAAGGTACCATATTTATAGCAGAGGCCCTGTTGCCCCATTTTAGGTTTTAAACAGGGACCATAGTCCCATTTACATGATTTCCTTTTGCATGCCTTCCTGCACTAGAAAAGGTTTTATTTTTCCACCGAAGGGGCTCAGCAACTGTTTTTTGATTGATGGAACTAGAGGCTAGACCAGTGTTAATGAGAGGATCATTTTGAAGAGAGTCATCAAAAACCTTCAGCAGAAATAGCATGGAACTCCTGGCAGCCTAATTTCATTTGTCCTGGGACCATGTTTCCTCACCAGTTTACCACGCCAAGCCATAATTTTTTGCATAGTGAAAACATCAACGCCTTTTATATATTCATTTAAAGTAACTTATTCATTATTATAAAAAGCTTTTTTTATTGCTTAGTTAATAATAAACGTGAATCACCAACAATGAGATAAGTATTCTCAAGAAACCACCAAGATACAGACTTGGTATTCAAGTACTTACACATTTTTTAATCACCCAATAAAAATGTAAGATGTTTATTATTATTAACATTCACAATTGGAAAGCTTGATAATGTCCTGTAGGCCAATAGCTCTTATTCTTCTAGATCCTAAAAGCAGGTGCCAGAGCAGAACTCACGGGGTTGGTGCTTGTTCCCTTGGCATTCTGCATATCTCAGCATACGAAAACTGCTAGTGCAATAATATTCTGCTTTAAAGCTATAGATAAAAAGAGTGACATGCAGTGCCGTGCTGTAATCCTCTCCAGGGCATCTAGGAACTGATCATTTTGTTTCATGAGGTCCACATTATTATCTAACTCATAAAATGACTTCTCGCATTCGAAATAAATTAATCTTGCTTGTTCCCCTCAATAACATATACTCGTATGAGTATAAACAGAGACAAGATTTGCTAAATTATTATTGATGGCTGTAGGCAAAAGAGCCATATCAGAAGCAGGCATATCCCAAGCTTTTACCATGATCAGGAGCTCATACTGTTTTACCTGTCAATATATCTGGTTTCTGTACTCTGGTTGCCAGAGAGCTCCAACTGTAGACCTGGATGAGTTGTCAGGCACCACTTCCTGTACTTCCAGCCAAGTGAGACAAATGAAACCTCTTCATCCTGTGCAGTTGAAGTGCAGGAAGTTGAACCATTTCTTCCAAGCTTAGCTCCCTTTGCTCTATTCTATTCCATGGACTCCTTCACCTCCTGAACAAGACAAGACCAGGAAACGTGCAGCAGCAATTCCAAAGTTCCAATTCCCAAAAGTAAGTGGCTGTGTAAGGGCATCCTCTAATGATCCCCCAAAACAGAAGTCACAGATCTTAAGAATCTGCTTTCAAGGATGCCCATAGTAGTTATCAGTTTCCCCCCTCCTCGGCTCTGTCGTAAGACCAATTCCACAGCAAAGGAAAACACTTAGAAACTGTTTAAAATGCTTAGTTCAGTTATTCTGGAAAGCAGTTTGGAGATTTCTCGAAGAACTTAAAATAGAGCTGCCATTCAACCCAGCAATCGCATTTCTGGGTATATACCCAAAGGAAAATAAATCATTCTGCCAAAAAGACACATGTACTTGCATGCTCATCACAACAGTATCCACAACAGTGAAGACCTAGGTGCCCATCCATGGTGGATTGGATAAAGAAAATGTACATATACACCATGAAATACTACGCAGCCATAAAAAAACAAAATCATGTGCTTTGCAGCAACATGGATGGAGCTGGAGGCCATTATCCTAAGGGAATTAATGTGGGAACAAAAAATCAAGTACCACGTGTTCTCACTTCTAAGTGGGAGCTGAACATTGAGTACACATGGACATAAAGATGTGAACAATAGACACTGCAGACTACTAGAGGCGGGAGGGGTGGAAGGGTATGGGTTGAAAAGCCACCTATGGGGCCCTATGCTCACTGCCTGGGTGAGAGGATCCATACTTCAAACCTCAGCACCACATAATATACCCATGGAACAAGCCTGCACATGTACTCCCTGAATCTAATATAAAAGTTGAAATTACATAAATAAGTAAATAAAATAATCTTCAAAATAACAACATTAAAAATGTAATAATTTGACCACTAAATTAGAATTATTTGGACAGAGGTACAGTATAAGACATCTAAAACACTAGCTGTTTCTTGAGAATACTTATCTCATTGCTGGTGATTCATGTTTATTATTAACTAAGCAATAAAAAAATTAAATGCTTTTTATTTATTTATTTATTTATTTATTTTTCCTTGGGACAGAGTTTCACTCTGTCGCCCAGACTGGAGTGCAGTGGCCCAATCTCGGCTCACTGCAACCTCCACCTCCCAGGTTCAAGAGATTCTCCTGCCTCAGCCTCCCGAGTACCTGGGTCTACAGGTGTATGCCACCACACCCAGCTAATTTTTGTATTTTTAGAAGAGACTGGGTTTCACCATGTTGGCCAGGCTGGCCTTGAACTCCTGACCTCAGTTGATCCTCCAGCCTCAGCCTCCCAAAGTGCTGGGATTACAGGCATGAGCCACCATGCCCAGCCTAAAAGCATTTTATAATAATCTTTGTATTTGCAAGATGAAGAGAATATGTTAGATGGTGCCCTTAGTTTGGGCTGTGATAACAAATACCACAGACTGAGTGGTTTAAACAAAAATGTATTTATCCTAGTTCTGGAGGCTGGAAGTTTGAGATCAGAATGCCAGCACGGTTGAGTTCTTGGTGAAAGACCTCCTCCTGGTTTATAGACAGCTTCTTCCTGCATCCTCACATGGAGGAAAGAGAAATCATCTCTCTCTGTCTCTTCTTATATGAACACTAATCCCATTCATGAGGCCTCCCTCCCTTATGACCTAGTTATCTCCCAAAGGCCTGACCTCAAATACTACCACATTGGGAATTAAGATTTCCACATGTGCATTTTGAGAGGACACAAACATTCAGTCCATAGCAGACAGCAATGTTTTAAATTTTGCCATAGGCAAGTCCAGGACAGAACCTTTGGAATTTCAAACCTCCCTACTCCTGCTACTAATAACCATTCCCTACAGGCCTTGAGCTAAAAATATCCTCCACATTGGGTAAGCTGGAAGAAAAATAAATATTTACCCACCATGAATGACTCCTTTGCCTAATAAACACTGTGTCAAACTTGGTTGCTTTGTCAAGAGGCAGTAAAAAATAGGACTCCAGGTGAGGTGGCTCCCCTACCTATAAACTCAGCTACTCGAGAGGCTGAGGATGGAGGATGCTTTGAGCCCAGAAGTTCAGAGACCAGCTGGACAACATAGTGAGACCCGGTATCTTAAAAAAAGAAAAAAAGAACATTCCAGAACATTTGAGCCATGAAGACACCAGCACAACAAATATTTAGTATCACCATGAAGTCAGTCATTTACAATTTAAAGCTATTCTGTCCTCAAGAGACAGGAAAATTGAAGCTAAAGGGATGCTAAAAGATGGCAGGGAATGTAAATATGCCACCTTAAAAGGGTGAGCTCTGCCGACCAAGGACCAAGAGATCAAACTGGGAGATGGTTCATTTGTCCCTAAAGCCAGTTTAATTTCAGCAATTAACAAAACAGTATTTCATAAAACGAACACAACAGTTTAGTATCAACAATTAATATCAACAATTAAAACCTAGATATCCTATTTCACAACCTTTAAAATTGGCAACTCAAGCTGAGAGCAGGGGCATGAGCCTGTAGCCTCAGCTGAGGCAAGAGGGTTGCTTGAGCCCAGGAGTTTGAGACCAGCCTGGGAAGCATAGTGAGACCCCACCTCTTAAAAAAAAAAATGGTAACTCAACTTCTGGCACATATTAACTAATAACTTTTCTAGTTTGGCCTTTGCCATGGTTTTTTTGTTTTTGTTTTTGTTTCTGTTTTTTGAGATGGAGTCTCGCTCTGTCACCCAGGCTGGAGTGCAGTGGTGCAGTCTCGGCTCACCGCAACCTCCACCTCCTGGGTTCAAGTGATTCTCCTGCCTCAGCCTCCCAAGTAGCTGGGACTACAGATGTGTGCCACCACGCCTGGCTAATTTTTTTGTATTTTTAGTAGAGACGGGGTTTCACCGTGTTAGCCAGGATGGTCTCGATCTCCTGACCTCGTGATCCGCCTGCCTCGGCCTCCTGAAGTGCTGGGATTACAGGCATGAGCCACTGCACCCGGCCTGCCATGTTTTTTTGTTTTTTTTTTTTGTTTTTTTTTTTTAGGGCTAAAGACTAAAACTGTTCCCATAAAGCCTTTTCTCTGTCAGAACCTGCAGTTCTACCATTCATTCAGCTGCTCAAGCCCCCGACCCATTGAGCTCAATGACACCAGCAAGTCCTGCAGCTTTTGTCTCCCAAACACCAAATTTCATCTAACAACAGGCCACGGATTGTTAGATGCACCATTGTCACTCGTATCTCTAAGAAAGAATCAGTATCACCAATTCTAAGCCTTATCCCCATTTTAGAGATAAAAACATGAAACATACTTACATTTCAGGATCAAGGTAATATGGTATATCTTGACTCTTAAGTCTTCCTCATCCAGTGTCACCACCCTGGTCCAGGCCCCCTTCATATCTCACCTGGACCTCAGCAACCATGGGCTGCTAACTAGTCTCCTTTACTCGTGACCCCTTCCAACCCATTCTCCATTCCACTGCCAAAATCACAATTTTTATAATACAAATCTTATCATACAATATGAATCTGGTCATTGTTGGTTTCAAAGTCTTCAGTGGCTTCCAATTGCTCTTGGCATGAAGATCTAACTCCTCAAGAGAGCCTGTAAGACCATGATTGATCTGACTTCTGTCGTCTCATCTCTCAGCAGCTTCTCAGGCAATATCTCACCTGCAACCATATCTGACCCCCTCCTGAGTTCTTCATACATCTCAACTGCCATACACTCGACTTCCTCTGCTAACTCATCCTCTCTCTTTACCTGGCTAACTCCTATCTGTCCACCTTGTCCATCTTGTCTGTCAAAGCTGGCCCTGGCCACTCTCTCATAAGAACAGGTGTGGTCCCTACTACTTGCTCCCATAGCACTCTGTACTTTGCCTGCACAGCACTTGGCACACCTGGAATGATTTGCTTAATTATTTACTTAACTGTGTGTTTTTCCAACTTAAAGTTCTATGACACTGGGATTGATTTTAATCAGAGCAGATTCACTTGTGTCTAGCACAGTATCTGGTACATGTACATGTAGGGTGCTCCATAATATGTGTGTGTGTGTGTGTGTGTGTGTGTGTGTTGTTTTTGGGTTTTGTGGGGTTTGGGTGTTTTTTTTTTGTTTTTTTTTTGAAACGAGGTCTTGCTCTGTCGCCTAGGCTGCAGTGCGATAACATGATCAGGGCTCACCGCAGCCTCAAACTCTTGGGCTCAAACAATCCTCCCACTTCAGCCTCCAGGGTAGCTGGGACTACAAGTTCATGCCACCATGCCCAGCTAATTATTCTGATACCATTTTTAACAGGTATTAGAATTCTTTCTCCTTTAACAGGATTAACTTTTAAATATATCCCACAATTGAGCTCTATATAGTTTTTATCCACACAAGTATCTAAGAGTGATCTCTCATAATCATATTAACCATAAAAATTCTAAAATCCCAGGACAGGAAAACAGTACTAGAATCGGTTTAAAAGGCTGATGATCAAGAATCGACAATGAGGAGGCAGGGCACGGAGGCTCACACCTGTAATCCTAACACATTAGGAGGCTGAGGCAGGTGGATCACCTGAGGTCAGGAGTTCAAGACCAGCCTGGCCAACATGGCAAAACTCCGTCTCTACTAAAAATACAAAAAATTAGCCGGGCGTGCTGGCACGCACCTGTAATCCCAACTACTGAGGAGGCTGAGGCAGGAGAATCACTTAAACCTGGGAGGCAGAGGTTGCAGTGAGCCAAGATGGTGCCACTGCACTCCAGCCTAGGTGACAGAGTGAGACTCTGTCTCCAGAAAAAAAAAAAAAAAAAAAAAAAGAATTGACAATGACAACTGCTATTGACTAAGTATGTTTTCTCCTTAAGTATAGGATAAAAATGTATTACCTGAAAATGCAATAGAAGAACCATATTTGATGTGTCTTTTAAAGTCTAAACCATAAAAAATACATAAACTAGCCACGTGAAGTGGTGCACACCTATAGTCCCAGCTACTCAGGAGGCTGAGGTAACACAATCACTTCAGCCCAGAATTTCGAGGCTAGCCTGGTCAACATATCAAGACCCTATCTCTAAAAAAATTACCAACTCAAATTTTATCAGGCCATTTGTAATAGAACAGGTGTTCTCCAGGCCAGGCATAGAGTGGAACCATTTCATGTAAAAGAATCCCAGCTGACCATCATGTTCCTAGCTGATTACATATTTGGAATTTGCAATGAATTACCCACAGACATCCTATCCCATGACATGGTCTTAGGAGTTCATACCAATTGTACTGTGGAATGCTATATTATGTGGTATGCTGTGGATTAATGGGCTTTATGAGTTCACTTTAGAACCTGGGGACATTTTCCAATACGGTTTTTGTGAGAAAATCAGTGCCAGGGCACAGGAAGCTCAGAAGCAATGAAAACCCAAGTCTCCATCCACCATCTCCCCTTCTCCACCCCTTCAACTTCAGCCAACCCTGCCCCAGCAGCAGCACGGCATGAGAAATGAAGCCCAAGGCACTGTGGAGATACTTCATTCCCTGTCTCCCTAAAACCCTCAGTGCCATTTGCAGCTGTGTCCCCCACCCCAGAGCCCAGGCAGCTAGAATCTCCTTTCACCTTTCACCCCTTACCAAAAACACTCATGAAACTGCTCCTCACCCTCCTCAGACCCTGGGAAATCTCACCTCTCCGTGGTCTCCCATCCTCAGGCTCCCGTCGGACTTCATTTGGCCACATCCTTCACTACTCTCCTTCCTTATGCTTTATTTAACACATTTCCACGAGACATGTGTTCCCATGACCTTCTTCCATGTCCACCTCCACAGTTTTGCTCAGGTTCTCGTTCCCTCTCCCAGGCCTCTCTCCACTCTATACTTTCAGGAATTCTACCCATGCAAAGCCCATCTCAGCTTCCACCTCACTCCTGACTTGACACCTCCTCATGCAGCCTGCCTGCCTGGCGCCTTGTCTAGATGCTCTCACCTCGTTCTGCCTTGGATTACTAAAACTTACTTTCTGTCTTGCTTTCTTTCCTTCTGGAGTTCTTGAGGGGGAGTGCAGCTTCTTTACAATGTCTAGATCCCTGTCCCATCCATGCACACTGCACAGATACACTACAGAGCGCCCAGCTCACAGCAGACACTAAATGGTGAAAGAATGCAAGAGGGTCCTGTGTCTCCCTAAGTCCAAAAGGAGACATAAGAATATTACAGGCCGATATTTGTAACCCATTAAGAAAAAAGGTGAAATAGTGTCAATATCTAAGCAAAATACCATGAGAATATAAATCAAAGTGTGAACAGGAGAATATTAAGACAGAAAGACAATGGTTCTCTTCTGGAACCATTAGCATTTAAATACAGAAAAGAAAATGCACCATTTTAACAGCTGCAGAAGATAATAACAGACACAATTATTTTTCCCTAACTAGATGCCATGCCCCATGTACAGTAGTTCCTAATCATCCCCTCATCTTAGTCTCATAACAACCCTATTATTGTCTCTATGTTACGTAGGAGGAAACTGAGGTACCGAGCAGTTAATTAACCTTCTCCATCATGCAACCAGCAAGGCAGAGCTAGGATTTGTATCCCAGTAGCACCTTTTCCAGATTCAAGCTCAACTCCTAAATTCTCCTGCGTCTTCACTGTATTGTTTTTACAACACATTTGCAGGTTGTGGGCTAAGTCACCGGCTACTGAGAGATAAAGAAGTAACACTCCTATGAATTTTACATTTCTGGCTGGGCACCGCAGCTCACACCTGTAATCCCAGCACTTTAGGAAGCTGAGGCAGGAGAATTGTGTGAGCCCAGAAGTTTGAGACCAGCCTGGGCAATATAGCCAGACCCCATCTCAAAAACAATTGTGCATTTCTAATACTCACTGAGCCCCTGCTATCCCCTGGCTCAGTGTACATTGCTCTATATCTCCTAGCAAACCCAGGAGCTATGTATGAACTGAAACCCTGGTTAAATAGCTTGGTCAAAGTCACACAGCTCAGGTGGGGGAGGCTGGGTTTAAAGGCAGGCTGCTGATGCTATGATCCATACTTGAGGCTACTGCTGGCCACAGGCTCCATCTGAGGCCCTGTAGGGGGTGAGGGGAGAAACCCGGCCCCAGAGACAGGGTCTGAACCCTCTGCTGCCAGCCAGTAGAGAAAACAGTCCCTCACCCACAACGTGGGGATAACACTGCCTACCACACCAGGCAGTGGAAAGAATTAAATTAATTTAAATAAAGGAGACAGTGCAGAGTACCTGACACGCAATAAGCACTCAATGAGAGCTATTATTAGAGGTAACTCTCCCTGCTTTCAGTCTAATGCCATGTTTCTTATCACTTAAGGTGATCACCTTGTTGCTCTTTAAAATATTATGTATGGTTTTCTCTAAGATACATGTAAGTGTAAAATGCAGAAGAAAAGCATGCGGGGACGGGGGCGGGGGGGAAGAAATTCCGTTTTCTTTATTGATCAGCCTTTCCCCCAAAATACTTTCTCAAGGAATTATTAAATACTCAACATGGCGCTGCACTACGTTATTTTAATTTAAAAAAAAAAACGCGTACCAAACAACGAAGCTCCTGCCCTTGGGAGTTTATACACAGGCTATGTTAATATTTGCAAAGGGCCCCGAGTGTCTAAGCGGCTAATGAACGTCTTGGGTCGGTTTCCTCAAAATCCAGCCCATTGTTTCCCCGGTGAGCACGATCCGAAGCCTTATCCCATAACGCACTGTAGCCCGAATCTTTCTGCCAACAACCGCTGAAACTACCAGAGGTTAAAGCAATTAACATGAGATGCAACCTCACCGTGGCGCAGCTCCGCGCGCCCCCGGCTGCTGCGACCCGGGAGGGGGGAGCCCCGGAGCGGCTGCGCCCGGCCCCGCACCCCCGGCAGAGCAGGTTAGCTCCCCCTGGGTGGCAAGCCTTTGCAAAACAAAACCGAAAATGAGCGTTCGCTCTCCTGACAGTCTTGCCTAAAAGAACCTCGTCTATACTGCAAAATCCCATTAGGTACACAAGTCCGGTCGGCATTGTCACTTTTAGCGTGACTTCAATTTACACATTCAAAGAATACCTGTCCGGAGCATGGGACCTGGTAGAAAGGTTAGGCTCTCTCCGAAGGAAGTTCAACTCAGGATTTCCCTCCCCCGGTGCTGCACACACCATCAACGGCAAAACCTCCCCTCCCAGTTGCAGATCTAGACTTGCTGAGAAAGGTGCTGGAGATGTTTCCAAGGTCATCCCCAGCACCGCGAGTCCAGCCTTCTGCACCACGCAGATTTTTAAGAGGAGATGCCTATCGCCCGTGGGGAGTCAAAATTAGAACCTCAGTTTCCTTTGTGCTGTCACCCTACTGGTAAGAATTCTTACACTGTAGATGCACTGGGTGCTCAGAATTTTATCGATGATCTTATTATGGAAAGCTATTAATAAGCTCCAAATCAGAGACCTGCTCTGGAACCACGGAGCAGGGAGCAAGGGAGAAACTGCTATCTTTTCTTCAAACGCTCGGACCTAGCACAAGTACAGAACGTAGTGGCTGCAGGCTCGGCCGTGCTCCTAACAGCGCTGACAGCTGGATTGGCGGACGCACTCCAGCATCACTGTCAGGAATTAACACGTTCCCAATTTTCACTGCACCCTTCCACTCTTGTGTGAAATGGAGTGGAATGTTCTTTTCAGCGTTCATCTCTAAAGGGAGAAGAACTATTTCTCACTATGTGAATACCTCACGGGGGATTCCCATTAAATAAAACTGCTTGATGATGACCTAATTTGTTCATTCAAGAGAAGAAACTCTTCCTATCCATACATTATTGTTGTTATGGTTTCCGTTGTTAAATTATACATAAAAAGCCTCAGCTGAACCAAGCCTATTTTAGAAATAAAAATGTTCTTGGGACATGAATCTTAATGAGATCCTTATTTTAAATTGCGCCTGAAAATATGCATTGTTTTCAGTGCTTCCTTATATTTTCACCAATTTGTTGTCCTAAATGCATTTTAAAAAAGTTATAAAATGCATTTTCTTATAATGTGTTCTAGGTTTGTCTGTTGCCTTTTTGGTCTTAGGTTACTTTTTAGTGACCAGAAAATAAAATGTGTAGTTAAAAGAGGTTTTCCAGGCTGGGCGCAGTGGTTCACGCCAGTAATCCCAGCACATTGAAAGGCCAAGAAGGGCAGATTGCCTGAGCCCAAGAGTTCTTTACAATGCAGCTTTTTTACAATGTCTAGATCCCTGTCCCATCCACGCACATATGCACAGACACACTACAGAGCGCCCAGCTCACAGCAGACACTAAATGGTGAGAGAATGCAAGAGGGGGTCAGTGGTCCTGTGTCTCCCTAAGTCCTGGGCAACAAGGCAAACACCTGTCTCTATAAAAAATTTAAAAAAAAAAAATTAGCCAGGCATGGTGGTGTACATGTCTGTAGTCCCAGCTACTGGGGTGGGGGGAAGGGAGTTGGGAGTGCTGAGGGGGTTGGCAGGTTGAGATGGGAGGATGGCTTGAGTCTGGGATGTTGAGGCTGCAATGAGCCACTGCACTCCAGCCTGGGCAACAGATTGAGATCCTCAAAAAAAAAAAAAAAAAAATCAGGTTTTCCAAAATGATATGCCAATTCATGCCGTTCGCCCTCCAAAATAAACCCCTTTACAGTCTTTTGCCTTCCCTGTGTCCACTTTTCCTCTGTACTAAATCTTTTCAAACACAAATGAATCTATAAACAAGTGTTTTCCCAAGATGCGGTTCTTAGAACACCAGTTCTGCAAGCTCCTCTCTGGGAAAGAAGCTGGCCAGTGTATCTGGGAAACCTGGCACATTCTCTCTCTGAGGATTACATCTCACATTAAGACTCTCAGTCAAGAAACTTGCTGAACTTGGCCCAGCCCAGCATTTTCCAAATTTATTTGGATGTGGAACCCTTTTCCAAGCAAGATTTATTAATACACTGTGGAATTTGTATTTCCAGGATTACACTTTAGGAATTGGTGATTTAAACCATCTAATATATGGAATAATTTTAGATCAAATAAAACTGAGATGTCAAGATCCACCATAAGAATTTTTTAAGAGAATTAAGAAGAAGCTGGCTCTAATTGCTATTTGTGAATTTTATAAAGTCATTTTGCTAAAAAAAAAAATAAAAATGTTTTAAATAACTGGAAGGGTAGACATCATGTCAGAATTCTGAAACTATACTAAATAAAAAGCTTCCAGAAATACCCCTTTTTCCCCCATGGGAGCTATAACCCAAAGTGTGGTACAGTTTATCTTGGTTGAGTCAGCTTCCCCATTAGCCCCAACACACCTGGAGTATTTAAAAGTAGTCCCCTAGGTATAGATTCCTGCAGCATTGGAAGTAGATTCAAGGCTCAGAAGAAAGGGCCACCCAGTCCAAACCTATTCTACTATTACTTGAGCCCCACCCTTGCCCCCCAAAAACAACCATGCACCCCAGCAGGCTCTAAGCTGCCAGAAGAACTGCATGTTTGACAAGCCTTATATGTGCTTTCTTTCCCTTGAGGCAGAGCTAACGGAGAAAAAGTACACACAAACATTACCCTTGAGAACAAGACAGTCAAGCTAGTAGTCTAAGGACTGTTCAAACTGTGACCCATCTGGACTAATTTTTATTTAACGAAAACATTTTATAAAAGGAACTCCAGGTATGTCAGGCACCTGGACTAATAGGAAGAGGGGGAATAGGCAAATGAAAAGGGCTGCATTTAGTCCTTCTCAATCGGAGAGGTTCTTCAGAAAGTGAGACAGAAGTGTTTATGTTTTTTTGTTTTTTTGTTTGAGATGGAGTCTCGCTCTGTCACCCATGCTGGAGTGTAATGGTGCAATCTCGGCTCACTGCAGCCTCCACCTCCCGGGTTCAAGTGATTCTCCTGTCTTAGCCTTCCGAGTAGCTGGGATTACAGGCACATGCCACCACGCCAGGCTAATTTGTGTATTTTTAGTAGAGACGGGGTTTCACCATGTTGGCCATGCTGGTCTCGAACTCCTGGCCTTAAGATATCAGCCCGCCTCAGCCTCCCAAAGTGCTGGGATTACAGGCGCGAGCCACTGCACCCGGCAGAAGTGTTTATGTTAAAACACCTAAAAAATTGCCGTTTGACACCCCTGCCTATCCATGGCTTCCTATAGCACACTTCCTTCTCCCTACCCCACATATGAAGGCACAGAAGGTAACATGGATGCAAGTATGAGATTATGCATTAAATTTCTCCCATATTCCTCACAACACTTAGCAGAGAACTAGATAATAAATAGATGTCCAAATAAGTAATAATTGATTGATTAATTAATTGATCAACTGATGGCCCTTCTAAAGTTACTAATTATCTGAGAGAAGCTGGACTCATAATGCAAACACTTTGTTCCTGTTTCACCCCAGGAGATTATCTTACATTTCAAGGGAACTTCACAGATTGAACTGGACTATGAAAAATGAACCAAAACAAGCTGGCAAATAGTTCTCAAATTGTATTCCACCCACAAAATTTGCATTGCTTCTGTTTGTCAAATGCCACCAGGCCCTTCATATCTATCATCTTCTCCCACATAGAATAGCCTGAAACTGTGAAGTTGTGTGTGCATACATGCTTTCTGTTACCTAATAATTATGAATTTTATGGAAACTTTCTAAAGGAATACAAATAATAGGCAAAATCTGTCTCATCTAAGCCCATCTAGTGATTGTTTTGTTTGTTTTTGAGACAGAGTCTCGCTGTCGCCCACGCTAAAGTGCAGTGCCATGATCTCAATTCACTGCAGCCTCCGGCTCCTGGGTTCAAGCAATTCTGCCTCAGCCTCCCGAGTAGCTGGGACTAAAGGCGTGTGCCACCACACTCTACTAATTTTTTGTATTTTCAGTAGAGACGGGATTTCACCGTGTTAGCCAGGATGGTCTCAATCCCCTGACCTTGTGATACACCTGCCTTGGCCTCCCAAAGTGCTGGGATATAGCCACAATGCCCAGCTATAATTATTTTAAAGTTGGATGTTTGACTTCTTTAAGATTTAAACACAGGCTTAATTTCATCACTAAGAATTACTAGCATCACATCATATACCCCATTAAACAAATGAGTCTATCCTGAGACATTTACAATCATAAACCATATTAAGACCTAGAGTCTGCTACTTAAAATTCTTTTTTTTCTTTTTTTTTTTTTTTTTGAGACAGAGTCTTGCTCTGTCGCCCAGGCTGGAGTGCAGTGGTGCGATCTTGGCTCACTACAACCTCCGCCTCCCGGGTTCAAGTGATTCTCCTGCCTCAGCCTCCCAAGTAGCTAAGACTGCAGGCATATACCACCACGCCTGGCTAATTTTTGTAATTTTATTAGAGATGGGGTTTCAACTTGTTGGCCAGGCTGGTCTCTAACTCCTGACTTCAAGTGATCTGCCCACCTCAACTCCCCAAAGTACTGGGATTACAGGTGTGAGCCACCGTGCCTGACCAGCTACGTAAAATTCTCATATTTGAATTGGCTAGACATGTTTAAAGAAGAAAAAAACTATCCAGTGTGCATAAAAATTGTAGCATGCCTCTGCATCCATGCTTCTCATACTTTCACAGGAAATGAAAGTGATACTTAATTATCAAAATAAAAATCCACAGAATCTACATGTGCAAAACAACTTCCTTTTTCTGTTATTCTCAGTCACCTAAGGACAAGAACTGAAAGAGATCTTTTGGCTGTTGGTTCCAAGAAACAAAAGTATTTTCCTATTCAGAATAAGTAATCTCTTAGGGTAACTTATATACTATTTAAACAATGATACTATGTAGTAAAATAAAATACTAATCGCCACTCAAGAAATTATATTTGATTTGATATGGAATATGTAAATGCCTCTGAGTCAACCAATAATCAAGCTCTGTGCTTTTCTCTCCATGGTGCTCAACTTCTAACAAAACGTTGTCTTTCAATTTTTGTGACCTCAAAGTCCAGGACTGCTGATTCAATCTCACGCTACTCCTCTACGAATATTTTAGGGCAGTTTGATGGGACATTATGTCCACAATCTATCCAAGCCAAATCAAGGTTATTGACAGGATCTCACATAGATAAATTTCACCTTTAAAAGTTTTCCACCGTCAGGAAAATGGGGCTGCTACAGGCTGGTGTTTATGCTGCCACCTCTCGGCCTTATAAGGAAATACATCTCAGGGAGAGGAAAGGAGAATTCTTGCTGCAAATTATATTCCTATTGTATTTATGTTAGGGCCCATGAATGCTTCTTAAATGGGGAAAGAGGAGCTCACAGCCTGCAGAATATTATGAAAGCCTGAATCCTCTCTCCAGAAAAAAAAAACACATACACAATAGTTTTTTGTAGATAAATTTGGACGTCTTGAAGCCCATCCATGTCCCACTTTCTATACTACAAATTCAGCAGAGCAACCTCATTTTTCGTGTTGTGACAAAAATTCTGTAAAATGGAAGAAACTGGACATTCTGGGAGGATGGTTAGAATATAAGATACCAATAGCATCTTATTCAGAAGAAAAATTTTGACATCAAATGATTTTTAGTTCAAAATTAGTAGTGTGTTGGGGGAAAAAAAAACCGATAAACTTTTCCCTGCAGCCAAGAATGTTTGGATTTTGTTTCAAAGTTAATCAATTGGAAAGGCTCTCTGGGAATTCTGGGTGGTATTTCCAACAGAAACATTATGCTTTTGACACCTCTATTGTTGATATGTTAAATCCTCTGGCAGTTGAGTTTTGGATCAAGTAACTCGGTGGGTCTGCTGCACGTGGTCTGTTTATTTGTTTAGCTTATAGAAATGTCTTCTGTGTTCCTATGAATATTTTTGCAGCACAGGTTACACAGAGCTGTCAGCTGCCTCCAAGTGTTTTAAGGACGGATGCTTGACTTGTTTAAGATTTAAGCACAGGCTTAATTTCATCACTAAGAATTACTAATGGCACATAATATATACCATTAAACAAATACATCTATCTTGAGACATTTTATTGTCATCAGCCATATTAAGACCCAGAATCTGTTTTGTGTGTGTGTGTGTGTTTTTTGTGTTTTTTTTTTTTTTGAGACAGAGTCTCACTCTGTAGCCCAGGCTGGAGTGCAGTGGCGTGATCTTGGCTCACTGCAACCTCTGCCTCTGGGGTCCCGGTTCAAGCAATTCTCCTGCCTCAGCCTCTTGAGTAGCTGTGATTACACGCATGCATGACCATGACCAGCTAATTTTTGTATTTTTAGTAGAGACGGGGTTTCACCATGTTGGCCAGGCTGGTCTTGAACTTCTGACCTCGTGATCTGCCTGCCTCAGCCTCCCAAAGTGCTGGGATTACAGGCGTGAGCCACTGTGCCTGGTCAAGACCCAGAATCTTAATATCTCTACTTAAAATGCTTATATTTGAACTGGCTAGGTTTGTTTAAAGGTATCAATGGGAGAGCATATCCCAGTGCTCTCCAAATCTGGAGGCCTCCTCATTCTCCCCAAAATGAAGTCATTCTTCCCATTTCCTACCTAGGGAAAAGTGTCTGGCTGAGTCGTTGGAGCATCTGAGAAACTGCTTGAACTAATCCATGCAGTCTTCCACTCTAATGGCATGATTGGCAGATACCTAAAGAGATATCGATTGGTCCAGTTCATCCAACACACTGTTCCTTTTGCCTGTCAGTGTGACCAAGGTATTAGCCCAGTAACACTTGAAACCCCTTACACTTCCCTTTCATAAAATTAGCACTCTCTTTATGAGTTCTCCCAAATATCTGCTGCATGTTAACAGAATAAACAATTTTTTTACATGTACAGTGACAGAACCTGGTCACTTGGTCTGCCTAGAGGAACAAGCAGTTCTCCCATCCTCCTTTTTGTCCTCATTAAGTTTCATTTTTATCTTTGCTGCTACTCTCATAACTCTCATATTATTCCATCAACATGCAATATTTTATCTTGGAAAGTAGATCATCATTATTTTATGGGAGAAAAAAGGTTTCTCAGTGCCCTGTGAGTGTTACTACCAGCTAAGAACAATTGAACAGACTCCTAACTGATGAAGCAGCGAGCCCTAATAGTGTTGCTGCTGCCCAGTCTGGGTTGCTTCAGGAGTTTTTACGTTTTATTAACATAATAAAATGTAGCTTCTAGAGTTATCTACAGTACGTAATTACAAATGCATATTATTGATATTATCCACGTGATGCTTGAGTTTGCTTTTCCATTAATAGAAACTCTGCATTTTATAAATTAATCATACAAAGAATGAATGATGGCTTATTCAAGTCTGTCTATAAATCGGTATTTTAGAAGCAGTTATACTCACAGTAGAGTAGCCGTTTCTTTAGTGACACAGTTTGTTCCAAAAGATGATTTTAAATGCATTTGTTCATAAACACAAAGTGGTACTATACAAGTAATAAAATGGGCCGGGCGTGGTAGCTCACACCCGTGATCCCAGCACTTTGGGAGGCCGAGGCGGTAGGATCACTTGAGGCCAGCCTCAGCAACATGGCGAGACCCTGTTCTCTACAAAAATTCACTAGGCATGGTAACACACACCTATAGTCCTGGTTACTCAAGAGACTGAGATGGGGCCAGGCACGGTGTCTCACGCCTGTAATCCCAGCACTTTGGGAGGCCAAGGTGGGCAGATCACCTGAGGTCAGGAGTTTGAGTCCAGCCTGGCCAATATGACGAAACCCTATCTCTACTAAAAATACAAAAATTGCCAGGCATGGTGGCTCACACCTGTAATCCCAGCACTTTGGGAGGCCGAGACAGACGGATCACCTGAGGTCAGGAGATCGAGACCAGCCTGACCCACATGGTGAAACCCCGTCTCTACTAAAAATGCAAAAAGAAATTAGCCAGGGGTGGTGTCAGGCACCTGTAATCCCAGCTACTCAGGAGCCTAAGAAGGAGAATCACTTGAACCCAGGGGGCGGAGTTTGCAGCAAGCCGAGATCGCACCACTGCACTCCAGCCTAGGTGACAGAGCAAGACTCCATCTCAAAAAAAAACAACTCCAAACTCTACTTGTCCAGAGTCAGAACAAAAACCACCAAGGTCTTTTGCCAGTGTCCCCATCACAGGAGATGGCACCACCATCATCCAGCCCCAGAAACCAACCCAGGGGCCATCTGCGTCTCCCCACATCTAACCCATCAACAAGCTTTGTGGATTTTGCATGCCACGTATCTCTTGGATTTGTCTATTTCTCCCCACCTCCACTGTCACCCTCTGGTTTGAACTCCATCATATCTCACCAGAGTTCATGCAGTTGGCCCATAGCCCAGCTCTCTGCATCCACCCCAGGTCTATCTCAAATCCATTTTCCATGTTGCAGCAAGAGGAGTGATGTGAAACCCAAACCATGCCACCCTTCCCACATCGAAAATATTTCAATTGCTTTCTATTGATCTTGAGACAAACAATAAATTCCTTTCCATAGCCCACAAACTCTTCCTACATGGTTTGACTTCGTGTAGCATTCATCTCTTCCTAGTATCAAAATGACCTTCTTTCAGTTCCTCAGCCTCAACTCTCCCTCTTGTCACAAGGGCTGTAAAGCACAAATTCTGCTCCCATTTAGTTGGTTAACTCTTACTCATCTTTCAGATCCCAGCTTCAGATACTATTTTCTCAAGGAAGTTTTTTCTTACTAGGCCCAATTTCTCTATTGTGAGCTTTCTTAGCACCTTGCACCTCTTGCTCATATTGAAATTTTATCATTACTGACGTTATTATTTGAATAATATCTATCTCTCTGATTTATCTATAAGTTTCATGAAGGTAGCATCTGCTTTTGGTCCCCACTCTTGCTCTGATGTCTTGCTGAGTAACTAGCATGTAGTACAAACTCAATAAATGTGTTGGTTGGTTAGTTGGTTGGTTGAATGAGTAAATGAGTAAATTACAAAACAATGCTTCATTCCAGGCTTCATAAGAATCATGGACTCTTACAACAGACTTCCTGATTTAGAATCTTAGTTCACTTACTGGATGACCACAGGCATGTTACACAAGTTCTCTGCACCTCAGTTTTCTCATCTATAATACGGGTAATAATATCTTACCTTATAGAGTTGTTATGAAGTTTAAATGAGTTTATATATATATAAATTACATCAAACAGTGCCTGGCACACAGTGAACACATATATGTAGTGTTACAATTATTATTATTGTCCTCTGACTTTAACAGTGATAAAGAAGATTCTCAAAGAAATTAAAGGCTTCGGCGGGGCACGGTGGCTCACATCTGTAATCCCAGGACTTTGGGAGGCCAAAGCGGGTGTATCACCTGAGGTCAAGAGGTCGAGACCAGCCTGGCTCACATGGTGAAACCCCGTCTCTACTAAAAATACAAAAACTAGCCAGGCATGGTGGCGTGCACCGTAATCCTAGCTACTTGGGAGGCTGAGGCAGGAGAATCGCTTGAGCCTGGGAGGTGGAGATTGCGGTAAGCTGAGATCGCAACACTGCACTCCAATCTGGGCAACAGAGTGAGACCCTGAAAAAAAAGAAAAAGAAAAGAAGAAAGGGAAAGAAATTAAAGGCTTCTAAAATAATGGTGATGTTAAATCTCTTGAGTTCGTATCCTGAACCTTGTGCTGCATTGAGCTTACGGCCCAAGTGAGGACTCATCCCTTAACCATGTGTGGCGTATGTCCTTGTTCATCGTTTTAGAAAAATACGCTACTTTTATTTTCACTGGTGTCATCTGCCTTCTCTTACTAGAACTTTTAACCCTCTCCCTGTTTCTGCACTTAGAGATCATCATGAGGTTAGTAACGTCCAAATGACACCTCAAAAGTAAGTCACAGCACGGCAAACATCCCACAGGCTATGGCTGAGATTAACCCCATGCACCCTGTAACTCCATCTGTTGCTGGCATGATGTATTGGCACTCTTGCCCTGGAGGGTGCCTCTCAGGACAGTGCTCCCCACAATAATTGGAACATCCTTCACAGCTCTCCTGGTCCTCATTCCTATCACAGAACGCTCACCTCCATCCTGCGTCTCAAAGATGGCAACTTCTCAATGGTCACTTCAATGTTTCTGCATAACCCTCCTGACCATATTCTTTTTCCTTTGCCACCAGGCTTAAACTTTTTGTAGGCATCTTTTTCTTCTTTACTAGATTTTAAATTACTTGAGAGCAAAGATCTTATTGCAACATATTGCTTCAGGAAACCTTCTTTTTCTATCAAATTGAATCTTTCGAGAATGACCAAATGCATAAACAAATAGATAAATGAATAAATAAACAAGAGCCCAAGTGAGAAACTTATTCATCTCATCTCCCATATTCTCTTGTAATATTAATCAATGTTAATTACAAAACCACAATGCAAATTATCTCTAAAATTCATTGACACTAGGTTCTAGTCTGGATTTCTTAAACCAAATAACTGGAGTAATTGAAACTAGAATAAGAATTTTTGGTTTAGTGAAGGTGAAAAAAACTTCTAGAATACTCCCTTTCACAAGAATAGAATGGACATCTTCAGGTTCATAAAATCTGAAAGAAGGAAGAGGTTGACATCCTCATTTCAGAATGAAGAGGGGAGAAAAGGCCACCAGTACTGATTGGATAGTTGCTGTGTGTTGGCAACCATGCTAGGCACTTTCAAGTAGTTTATTGAATTCACTTCCAGGGAAGCCACCTCAGTTTTATCTCCATTTTACAAATTAAAACTCTGACACTAAGAAGGTTTGCCAAAAGTATCACAGCTATGATCTGGCAGACCTGGTTCTTGAACCCCAGGCTGACATACAGAATGCCACTGTGAAAACTCTATCCCCTCACCTACTTCAAAATGGAATGCCTTCCAAGTCCCTTCCCTGTGTTATAATTACTGTTAATTTTCTACCAATACTTCCCTTCTCTCTTCTCTTCTCAAATGCCAAAATTTTATCTCACCTCCAATTCTGCTACCTTTCCCTACCCTTATGCACACTCCCTTCCTTGCCTAGCCTTGATCTCTTCTCAGAAATCTCCACTGGCCAAGAACGTGTTTCTTAGGACATGGCCACCCCCAGTCCTCTAAAAGTCTGTAGCACACTCTTTCACCCTCTCGAGATGTTCAGGGCCCTTCCTGGAGCTTGACACTTGACCAAAAAAAAAAAAAAAACATGAATAAAACACACATGTAAATTTGGCCTGGATCATTGATAATTATATAGTTATTTAACAACCTTCTATATTCAGGAGTCAAGCCTACACCGATCATGACAAATGACACCAACCTAATGACCACAGTAATTCATTGTCCTGTTTAAAGAGATTATTTAGCAAAGTCAAGGTTAAAACCATGTAACGGAACAAATTAAGGGGTGATATTACAGGACCTCCATCACACTTTTGGTATACACTTCAGCTAAGAAACATAGCTATATTTAATATTCCTCTAATTTTTAATTTTTTTCCCTTTGTACATTTTAAAATATCATAGGAGAGATTGTTTGAAATCTTGTAAGAAAATTTTTTTCCAGAAACTTTAGCCAATACAACCTTTGCTTTTTTCCATTTATTTTTTAAATTTCTTAATATGAAAAATTTAAGATTAAGACAATGGCTCTTTTCATGACTAAAAACAGCATTTCATAAGGGTCTGACCAAAGTTATAGCCCCATGCTATCATGTAATTCACATTTATTGGTGGAGAGCGGGGTGGGGGGTCAATTTCAATTTTTTAAAATGACACCAGGGTTAGAAGGCTCCCGTCAGTGAGCTTTGCCCCTATGGGCTGAGGGCCCCTGAACACACTGGAGAAAGCAAGGGCAGCCCAGTGACCTGTGCAGAGAATTTGTATCCTGTGTTTTAAAGGGAAAGAATATGAAGAAAGAAAAGTTCATTCTGAGATGAACAAGGAGTGTGGTTTAACCTGCCCCCTGTGTAATCACTCCGCATATGCAATGAAGGGAAGAAGGCACTGCATTTTTAAGAGCTCCACAATCTCCCATTTGGTGACATAGGATGTTTGCAAACTCCTGGAGGGAAGGGTTACTGTACTCAACCCACACTCCCTGTGGGCCATCAATGCCATTTATTTGTCATGATTTCAGCTGATTAATATGTAACCACAGAGGCAAAAGAAATAATTTCACAATCTGCACGTCGCAGCAATTTTCAAATTCCTTTAGGTTGAAAGCAATCACCAGCAAGGCTTTCTCCACTCTGACATATTTATTCTTCCTCTTCAGATTCAAACCATTCCAAAAAGTGAGCAAAAAATACAGCAAAAGCAGCCTGCTTGTCTACAGTATTTACATGCTTTACATACCCTAAAAATATATAGCTTATTAATGACTGATTTTCCAACCTCTTCAATAAGCTTTTTTATTAGTGTGACAATTTTTAACTTGTAAGTGTCAAGCCGTCTCTCACTGTGCGTGTCTCCTTTATGATATTTAATATAAAGATAGAAGAGTATTTATATCCCTCACAATAAGAGAACGAATTGTTTTAAGGTTATACAGCCTAGATGTGATAAAGAAAGAAGGAACCTTACAAAATGATAAATATTTTCATTAAAAAACTTTAAAACTAAAAGTTCAAAGATATGTTCTCCTCTCTTATTTCTTGTCAAAACATGACTTAAAACCCAAAACTAATCTACTTTCAATTTTATTCCATATTTCAGTGCTGTCATAGTACTCAGCAGAGAGTATTGGAATACGATCATTTTTTATTTTGGTGATGTTACCGACAGCTTTATTTCACAAAGCAATCTTATACTATGTCTACCAGTGGCAGGGCATAGAGGTCAAATAGTCTAGCCTTACAGGTAGAGAGCTTATTAAATGGCACGTCTATTAAACCCGATGGACAACATAAAGAAACATTACAGCAAAATACTTTTAACATAGTTCAATGAAGATATGGCTCAAAAGGGTAGTAAATAATTTAAACGGAGACCAATAGGGAATTTGTTATATTTTTTACTAGCATCTTCAAATTATATTTCAAGCAGAGTGGTTAGAATAGAGAAAAACACAAAAGCTTACAAACCTCATGTCGTGGGTATTTCCTACAGCAAATGTAAAAGGAACATCAACCCAAATCCAAATATTAATAAATCAACAATTCTATCACAGAGTTCATTTAAAACAATCTCAGCATAAATATTATATCACTGTGAACTAAGGAAACAGTTTTTTAAAAATTACCTTACTGTCTTTTTTATTTTTGTTTTGGAAGACAGTCAATTTTAAAATTCTACTTATGGTAGCACCAATTCATGACAAAACCTCACTTCTAAGAAAAACTGCACCAGAAGAATAGAATAGAAATAATATGGAAAATACGTGTTTACTTATTACATATTATTTGGTGTGAAAATCTAAATTAGAAAATAACATGTGTGAATTCATAGTTGGGAATTTCTTTTTTTTTCAGATATCCCTGGTAACTCTTTGGTTATCAAAAATCAAGCTGATTATCTTTTTAATCACAATGTTTTTCTCCTGTATATGTTCAACTATATTTAGGAAAACCAAAAGAAAAAGAAAAAGAAAAAGAACAGAATCCATGAAAGAGATCGCGACTTCTTATCCTTATATACAAGCTGTGATTTACGGCCAAAATAACTAACTGAATCTGTAACTTTTAATAAGTTTATCATAAATGCTATATCTCTTAATCCTGAAATTGGGTCTCTGGTCTCTTACCAGGAATATAAACTACTTGATCAAGGATTATCAGTGGATTCACCTAGTAGGATAATTAATAAGATACAGAAACATAAAACATGAGTTGTTAAAGTTTACAATTACCTTCCCTCACAGCATCGCTCTAAACGCACTGTCCTTGCTTCAGCACACAGTAAATCATCTACCTAAATGTATTTGCACCCAATCATTTTTTAAAGTCACAATCTTTGTAGTGTCAACTTGTCAAGGGTCAAAGGGAAGAACAGGCAAGATTCCCAAATCAATCTGCTTGTAGAAACTGTCTCATTTCATTTCAAATTACCTGCTGTGGTTGAAGCAGGCTATGGACAAACTGCCTCCTCCATAAACCATGACAGCACAGGTCGAACTTATGTGATCATTCATAAGGGGCAAGTCATGCCGGTTCTGTCATTAACTACTTTTAAACGGCTGTGCAGGGTTAAGTGATCTTGCAGGGCAGCCGCAGATATAAATACTGTTTGGACAGTTTAATGTCAAGAGACAACTCCTCTGGGATTAAAACTGTGTAACCCAATAGGATGGTTGTCGATACAAGGATTAAGGTACTTTGGTCCAGTTACTTGAAGTCATGCCTTTACATGTTTTGTCCAAGTGACCCTATAGGAGACCTCAAATGAGTGCCGTTCATCTACATCATGCAACTCCCAGACAGCATTCTGAGAATATTAAAAATAACTTCAGGCATTCAGAGGCTCACTCTCCCAGGTGTTCAAGAGTTTACGTTTGTCCTTGTGAGGCTGACCAGAAAATGAGAGCACATTGCTGTTGGGAGCAGGTGCCTTGCAGCAGCCTTACAGCCTTGGGCTTCCAGAGCTCATGATCAATGGGAATATCAAAGACCCACTGCTGTCCATAACATCAGGGAAGTTGGGTACAGTAAATTGTGCAAAAAAGAGCCATGATATAAGAAAAAGGACTGAAATGCCTATTCCATTGCTTTTCTAGTGCCCATCCCTTGAGATAAACCCTATAATGTCTAAAGATAACAACAGCTAGTATTTATTGAGTGCTTAGGATATGTTGGGCACTCACTGTACTAAGTGCTTTGTATGCATGACTCATTTGAATCTTACAATAACCAGTTGAGGAATCTATTATTGACCCCTGTTTATCATAGGTGAGAAAGCTACAGACCAGAGCAGGTAATCATTTGCCCCAAGTCAAAGAGCCAGTAGTGATGAAGAACAGGAACAAATACTGTGCCTGACTCCAGAACTCTCACTACAATGGTATGCCGCCTCCACTGTAATTATGACTCCTGTGAGAAATTCTACTTGCTTGACTTATAAAGTATTTATAATATACACTGGCTTAGCTTTCTTTAACATGCATTAGCTGCATGCAAAACTGTCTGAATCATTAAAAGAAAAGCGTTGCTAAGTTACTCAGAAACCAAAGAGAGCCAAATCAGGCTGATATGTGAGTATCTCTGTGGGTACACGAAGACTTTCCAGAGGGTACGTGGGCACAAATAGTTTTAAGGAAATGCATTTCAAAATCTTTTTCTAAAATTGATCCACCTGAGAAAATATAAACCTCCACTTCACCCAAAGCCTATGTACCAGGTCCCTGAAATTCCCTCCCCAATTCATCCCGTTAAGAGATGCATTTCAACCAAAAGATTTTTGTGTTTAAAACTCATCTATCAAATGTATCAAATAGGTTGTAATATATATATGGTGTTTTGATCAATTTCCAGTGCTACCTCAATACAGAGGAAAAATGTTAACATTTAGAACCTTATAGGATATTTGAAAAGAAATTTCAATTTATATACCTAGTTTTGTAGCAGAGAATTACGTGGTAGTTAATAAGGGCTTTCAAGCATAAGGATGAATTTCATCAAGGTAAAATTCTATGAGGGAAAGAGAATGGAAATACAGTTCCAAGGAAAAAAAGGAACAATGCTATGGAAGAGTCGTGTAATTTTTTTATTTTTTTATTTTTATTCTTATTTATTTATTTATTTATTTATTTTTGAGACAGTTTTGCCCTCATCGCCCCAGCTAAGGTGCAATGGCACGATCTCAGGTCACCGCAACCTTGGCCTCCCAAGTTCAAGCAATTCTTCTGCCTCAGCCTCCCGAATAGCTGGGATTACAGGCATGCACCACCACACCCGGTTAATTTTGTATTTTTAATAGAGATGGGGTTTCTCCATGTTGGTCAGGCTGGTCTCAAACTCCCAACCTCAGGTGATCCACCCGCCTCAGCCTCCCAAAGTTCTGGGAAGACAGACTTGAGCCACCATGCCCGGCCCCAGGTTATGTATTTTTTAAATTGGCCCTGATAAGTGCAAAATCCCATGATATTCATATTCCTCTGGACACATTTAAATCAGTTTCTTAGCCTCAGCACTGTTGACATTTGGGGCTGGATAATTTGTGTTATAGTTTGCTGTCTAGTGCATTATAGGATCTTGACCAGTATCCTTGATCTCTGCACGCAGATGCGCACACACACACACACACACACACACACAGCTGTGACCACAAGACTTTGCCTAATGTCTCCTGGGGAGCAAAATCACTCCTGGTTGAGAATCCTTAAACAAAAGATATTAAAGATTTATTATCGATTTTCAAAATCTGATATTTAAATTTATGAAAAATGTTAAATGTACACTAAAACTTGTGCAAAAGAGTACATTTTTCTTGAGACAGGGTCTCTCTCTGTCACCCAGGCAGGAGAGCAGTGGCACGGACACAGCTTACTACACTGTTGACCTCCTAGGCTCGAGCAATCCTCCCACTTCAGCCTTCTGAGTAGCTGGAACTACAAGCATGTGCCACCACGTCCAGCTACTTTTTGAACTTTTTATAGAGATGGGGTTTCACCATGTTGCCCAGGCTAGTCTCAAACTCCTAGGCTCAAGAAATCCTCCCTCCTCGATATCCCAAAGTGCTGGGATTACAGGTGTGAGCCAACTTGCCCGCTGCCCATAATCTTTAAAATTATCTCTAGAAGTGTATATGGGAAAAAACATTCCAAGACCATGGAATTAAATAGGAATAGTTGGTGACAAATATGGTGTGGGCAGAAGAAACCTCCACTGAAGCTGGGACCTCAGCTGAGACTTGCACTTTTCAGTCTCAACTGCTAGGATGATTCAGGTCCACAGAAGTCAAACAAAGCAGCCAAGCCATCATAAAAGGCAGTGTCAGTGTGATACTTGAACGTGTGACTCTGAATAATCACCAGAAAGAACAATGAGTAGGTGTTATTCCTCAGTAATTTTAAAAGCCCCACCTTTGGAAGAAAAAGCATAAACTGGGACAGGCCAAACTGAGGAGAACCTGAGAAACTCCCTAAAAACATTAAAGGTCACAGATCACATCTTCCTACTCTTGAATTTGTTGTAGTCCTGTGTAGCATTTATCCATGCTTAAAAGTGAACTTACAGTTGTGTTTAATTTTGATTATCTCTCTTGATACTAACAAGAGTCTGGAGAGGGGTAGAATCACAAGGACCTTAGTTTTTCACGGGCAAAACTGTCCAGGCCTGTTCTACCCCCAGCTGCATACCAGAAGCTAGGCTGGAGGAGAAACCAAACCTCCTTATCAGACTGTAACAGGTAAACTACAGTCCCTAAAAATCAGCAGTAATCATTCTCTCATATTAATTACACTGTCACTTAGATATATCAATTGTACAATATCAGATATTTGCCAAAATGACCCTGAAATGTCAACTAAAATATCAAAGCGTAAGTCACAACCTTTTCTTTTTTTATTTTATTTTATTTTAGAGACAGGGTCTTGCTCTGTCACCTAGGCTGGAGTGCATGGTGCAATTATAGCTCCCTGCAACCTCGAATTCATGGGCTCAAGCAATCCTCCCATCTCACCCTCCCAAGTAGCTAGAACTATAGGCGTGTGCCAACATGCCTGGCTAATTTAATTTTTATTTTTTGTAGAGATGGAATCTTGCTATGTTGCCCAAGGAACATAGCTCCTGGCTTCAAGTGATCCTCCTGCTTCAGCCTCCCAAAGCCTTGGGATTACAGGGATGAGCCACTGCACCCAGCCCACAGTCTTTCTACCGGGAATCTTAAATGACTTTTAGTAACTCAAGCAAAGTGGGAAAAAAGTTCATAATATCAAAATTAGGAAATACATATAGGCTAAACTGAGAAGAAAAAATCACCCATAATCTCACCACCAATAAGCTCTATAGATGATCCTTTTTAATTTAATGGTACACTACAAAAATGCCTTTAAAATAGTCTGTATCTTCTGACCTCACCAAGCTTTGGGTTACTGGAGCATACATTATCACCCTGGCTTTATAAATGAGGAAGGAAGTCCAGGCATGGTGGCTCACGCCTGTAATCCCAGCACTTTGGGAGGCCGAGGCAGGCAGATCACCTGAGGTCAGGAGTTCGAGACCAGCCTGACAAACATAGAGAAATCCCGTCTCTACTAAAAATACAAAATTAGACAAGCATGGTGGTGCATGCCTGTAATTCCAGCTACTTGGAAGGCTGAGGTAGGAGAATCGCTTGAACCCAGGAGGCAGAGGTCGCAGCAAGCCGAGATCACGCCATTGTACACCAGCCTGGGCAACAAGAGCAAAACTCTGTCTCAATAAATAAATAAATAAATAAATAAATAAATAAATAAATAAATAAATAAATAAAGAAGGAAGGAAGGAAGGAAGGAAGGAGAGCCCAAGAAGTTAAGTGACTCATGCCCCAAGTCCAGCTCTCTTTCTGCTGAAATATACAGCCTTCAAAAACAAAAGCAGGCAACGGTTGTTTTAAGCATGCCAAATATTCGTTTTTGGCTCAGCTGCCAGTGTGAAGACAGTTTCATACATTTGATCCTAGTTAAGACAGATTAGCTAGCCAAGTGTGCATTTGATATCTGAATGTTTAAAAGAAAAAAAAAGTCAGGATACTCCATCCTTGGATGTTCTAAAGAATCTTTTTCTGGAAAGTGCTTTCTGGGCTCCAACATGCTGGAGCTTAGTCCCCTGCATTAGTGAATACAAGGCAATCCTGGCCCGAGAATTCCCCGTCTAGCCAGGGGATTGGCAACACACAAACAAAGGCTTAAAGAGAAGAAGCAGCATACTAATGAGTGCAGTGTCCGACACTGCGGGCCAGATACTCAAATGCCCAACACACTGAACAAAAGAACCGTCATGGTGAGAAGAGACAGGAAGCATTCATGCAGTCAGCCAACACATACTTGGTGGGCGCCTGAGTGGTAGGCAGCGTTCTAGGCTCTGGGGATACAGGAGCGGTTCAGACAAAGCAGCCTGGGGTGGTGGAAGAGCCATCAAATGCAGCCAGGCTTATGGGAACATAAATTCTAGTGTACCTCTCACCAGCCAACAAGGCAAATTATGGAATCCCTGAGCCTCAGTTTCCTCCATTTATGATGGAAATATCTAGTCCATTGTATGAAATTAGCTAATACATTAATTTTATTTATTTGAAACAGGGTCCCACTCTGTCGCCCAGGCTGGAGTGCAGTGGCACGATTATGGCTCACTGCAGCCTTGACCTCCCAAGCTCAATGAATCTTCCCACCTCAGCCTCCCAAGTAGCTGGGACTACAGGCATGTGCCACAATACCTGCTAACTTTTGTATTTTTTGTAGAGATGAGGGGTCTTCCTATGTTGCCCAGGCTGGTCTCCAACTCCTGGGCTCAAGCAATCCTCCTGCTTCAACCTCCCAAAGTGCTGGAATTACAGGTGTGAGCCACTGCAACCGACCTAGGTAATGTGTTTAAAGTACACGATACATTACTATGTAGGGAGCTCAACAAATGTTATTCATGGTAACATGAGTAGTAATGATACACTACTCTGTATGGAGCTCAACAACTGTTCTTCATGGAAGCTAATTTTGACTGAGATTTTTACTATGTTCTGAGGACTGTGCTAGTCATATCACATATATTATCTCATTTAATCCTCACAATTTAGCATAATAATTTATGGATGATGAAATTAATCATAGTAACTCTGTCCAAGGACATAAAATTATCAAGGTAAGAGTCAATATTCAAATCCTAGTAGTTATCTCTAGAGCTTATGATTGTAAAGATTCAAACGCCAGGTGCGGTGGCTCATGCCTGTAATCCCAGCACTTTGGGAGGCTGAGGTGGGTGGATCATGAGGTCAGGAGATTGAGACCATCCTGGCTAACACGATGAAACCCCGTCTCTACTAAAAATACAAAAATTAGCTGGGCCTGTAGTCCCAGCTACTTGGGAGGCTGAGGCAGTAGAATCACTTGAATCTGGGAAGGGGAGGTTGCAGTGAGCCAAACTCATGCCACTGCACTCCAGCCTGGGAGACAGAGAGAGACTCCATCTCAAAAAAAAAAAAAAAAAAGATTCTAAATTATACCACCTCCCTCATCTTCCCCCATGGTCTCAATCCCACCCCAACTCTCCACCTTCCTTTCCTTTTCTTTGAAGGCAATTTTTAGTCCTTGTTCTAAACGAGAGGAAGGAAGCAAAAAGAGAGGACTCTGAAGTGTGCTGAGGCCTTTGCAGACCTACCACAGGATTCCTTGATCTCCACTTGCTATTTGTATCCTTCCTTTCATCTTTCATCTGTTGCTTCCAAGCAGGTCTCCAAATTCTAATTCCTCCAACTCATTTCTTATTTAAATTTCTTAACTTGCAGAACTAGAGTTCCTTGAGTGAACCAGTCATTTCATTAATAATTCAATGAATCCCTGCTGCTTCTAACCATGAAGTTCAAGATAGAGTGCTCATGTTAGAAGCATCTAAATTGCAAGTCAACACCTATAATTCTTTTATTAAGAATTTGGGTGCATATTCAGTTGGAATCCCTGCTTGTTCTGTACACAGTATCTTAATAACTGCGTACCGTGCATGTCTCTCTCAATCAGCAGTCACAGGGGTTCTTCCCCGTCTGCAGTTGTAGGGGATAACAGGCTGTCTCTTGGAAATGGAAATGGTCCTCTCTAAGGCTTTCCAAGTGAATCTGGAACACACTTCTGAGCTGGGGTAATCATATAATTTATTGTCCAAACTTGACACTTTAAAGAGTGAAAGGAAACACTAGTAATAATTATACTGGGACAACAGGTCTAAACTGGAGCTTTTCTGGGCAAATCAGAATTCACAGTTACCTTACTCAAAATCTATGCTTTAAGTCAAGCCATGCCAAATATGATCTCCAAATGTAGTGAAAATCCACTCAGACATTTAGCCTGACACAGTTACAGACAAACAGGTAGAATCTACTTTTTCTTTAGATTGTGATGCAATTCATAATATCAACCTCGGTCATATTACGTGCCATGCCCACTCATTTTGGCACTTGACTTTTTTTCTTTTAATATAAGTCATGTTTATGTGCCTGACACCATGTTAATCTTTACCTGAGTATGGCAAACACACAATATATATATTCAATTGGTTAGAGCAATGATTTCCAAAGTGTGACATGTCCATTACTCAAAAGCCAGGAATAGGGACTACCTCAGGTGGGCTCAATTTGGGACACAAATAATAACTCCAGAATCTACCTTCCAGCACCACTGTTTCTGAATCCTGGGTTCCCTTCCCAGCGTTCTCCCCTTCCTCTCCTGTGGAAGGGTGAGTCTGCTTTATTGATGTTTCAACACTTTATTTTCTGAGCACTTGAGTCACATGGGCCCCAGTTGGCTTGACCTTGGTGGTATGCCCAACCTTGATCCAATCACTGTGGCCAGAGAATGGAACATGGTGATTGGCTTAGCCAAGGTGAGAGGGATGGAGTCTGCTGGACCCGAAACATGGCATGAGAAGCAGACTGTTCCTTACTGTGGCAGATAGACTCATAATACTCATACGAGTGGCTGCCATGAGTCCACCTCCTGGCATTCATGCTCTTGTGCAATCCCTTCCACTTAAGAATGAACACAGCCTGTGTCTGGCTTCTAACCAAGAGAACACAGCAAAGGTGATGGGGTATACATAATTGTTTGAAAATATTGTAGAACCTGTCTTGCTGAAGTCTTTTTCTTTCCCTTGCTGACTTCATTAAGCAAGCAGCTCTGTTGAGGGCCTGTGTGGGAAGGGACTGAGCATGGCTTCTAGGACCTCAGGCTGGCCTCCAGACAATAGCCAGTAAGAAAATGAGGCCCTCATTGCAGTGGCCTGCAAGGAACTGAGTTCAGCCAAAGACCATGTTAGTTTGGAAGAAAATATTTCCCCAGTCAAGCCTCAGATGAGAACACAGCCATAGCCACCATGTCGTAGCCTTGGAGAGGACCCAGTGAAGCTACACCCAGACTCTTGACCTATGGACTGTGAGATGACAAATATATTGTTGAATCTGTGATAATATTATGACACAGCAACAGGTAACTAATGCACCGACAAAAGCAAAGACAGAGTGCTGCTGTCACAGAAACGGGGAATAGATGCTGCATGGCAAAAACAATGTCTACATGGCCAGGCATGGTGGCTCACGCCTGTAATCCCAACACTTTGGAAGGCTGAGGCAGGCGGATCACAAGGTCAGGAGTTCAAGACCAGCCTGGCCAGTATGGTGAAACCCCATCTCTACTAAAAATACAAAAATTAGCTGGGCGTGGTGGCAGGCACCTGTAGTCCCAGCTACTTAGGAGGCTGAGGCAGGAAATCACTTGAATCCGGGAGGCAGAGGTTGCAGTGAGCAGAGATCGTGCCACTGCACTCCAGCCTGGCGACAGAGAGAGATTCCATCTCAAAAAAAAAAAAAGTCTACCACAATGAGCAATCTGATTAAATATTTGCCATTCAATCCTGTTGTTTGCCTAAGTAGACTACAAATGGCAAATTGATTGATCAATAATCCAATTAATTGAATTATAGATTATCAGAAAATAAATTCACTTAACCATCATATTTAACCACCAAAAATACCTGTTTTAAAAAAATGTGGCCAGGCGCGGTGGCTCACGTGTGTAATCCCAGCGCTTTGGGAGGCCAAGGTGGGCGGATCACCTGAGGTTGAGAGTTCAAGACCAGCCTGACCAACATAGAGAAACCCCATCTCCACTAAAAATACAAAAATAGCCAGGTGTGTTGGTGCATGCCTGTAATCCCAGCTACTCGGGAGGCTGAGGCAGAAGAATCCCTTAAACTCGGGAGGCGGAGGCTGCGGTGAGCCGAGATCGCGCCATTGCACTCCAGCCTGGGAAACAAAGAGCAAAACTCTGTCTCAAAAAAAAAAAAAAAAAAAACAAAATGTAATCTTCGATTTTTGAACCATTTATACCAACAAAATTATACCAGCCACCTAATAATCATATTTAAAACTGACTGCAATCAGTATTTCATGGTCCAATAAGATGAAATCAAATCACAGAAAATGAAAAGGGAAATAAGCATAATAAATTCAAAACTAATTAAATAATGCTATTTATAAAATTTAACATAGTCCATATTACAGTCTATGCTGACTTGGAATCAGTCACAGTATTTTAAGAAATTATATTTTCAACATTTACATATAAAAATTCAGAAATTGGCTGGGGGTGGTGGCTCATGCCTGTAATGCCAGCACTTTGGGAGGCCGAGGCAGGCAGATCACAAATTCAGGAGATCGAGACCATCCTGGCTAACACAGTGAAACCCCGTCTCTACTAAAAATACAAAAAATTAGCCGGGTGTGGTGGCATGTACCTCTAGTCCCAGCTACTTGGAAGGCTGAGACAGGGAATCACTTGAACCCGGGAGGCGGAGGTTGCAGTGAGCTAAGATCGCACCACTGCACTCCAGTCTGGGCAACAGAGCAAGACTCTGTCAAAAAAAAAAAAAAAATTCAGAAACTATAAATATACTTGATGAATTTTTGAAGTTTGATGAACTTTTAAATGTAAAAATGCTCATATAACCACCACCCAGATTAAGATAGAGAACATTCTCAGTAACCCATCAGCTTCCTTCATGTCCCCTCCCAGTCCTTACTCCAACCATTAGTTTCACCCGCTTTTGAAATTTATCTCTAATTACAACACACAGCATGTGTGTTGCATCCCTCTTCTCTCACTCAGCATTATGTTTGTGAGATGCATCCATATTTTCGTGTGTAGCAGTAGCTCATTTTCTCTACCGAATAGTATTCAACTGCAGGACCATAGCAAATTTATTTATCAATTCTACCACTGATGGACATCTAGGTTGTTTCTAATCTTGGGTTATTTTTAGGAATAATGCTGCTGTACACATTCTTATATCATTTTTTAGTGTATTTACTCTTGGGCGTATATTTCAGAGTAGAATTACTGTCATTGGGTATATTTACAGTCAACACTGACAAAGAATTTTCGAAGTGTTTGTTCCTATTTACATTCCCACAAGCAGTGTCTGAGTGTTCCAGTTGCTCTGCATCTTCAATAACACCTGGTATTGACAGTTTAACATTTTTAACCATTCTAGGATATATACAGGGAGCTCAGGAACCTGAAGAAAAGGAAAGGCACAGTAGGGGTGTGGTGGAACTGGGCAGCACAGAAGTCCAGTAATCATAACCCCCAACCCAGGCTGGTTCAAGTGCTGGCGATGGTCAGCACGGTCACTAAACGGATGCAAATCCCCAAGGGAGAGCCTGGAGGAGTTCAGCTCTCTCCACCTCAGTGTCTGAGGACAGGGCAGGCTCTGAGCTTTTGGGGGAGAAATGGAAAGTTAATGCCAGAGAGTAGCCCCTCACCCCCTTCCCACATGGATGACTTATTCTGATAGGTGCTGCCTGCTTGCTTGCTTTCGTGTCCTTCCTTCCTTCCTTCCTTCCTTCCTTCCTTCCTTCCTTCCTTCCTTTCTCTTTCTCTTCCTTCCTTCCTTCTTTCCTTCCTTCTTTCTTTCTTTATTTGAGATGGAGTCTCACTCTGTCGCCCAGGCTGGAGTGCAACAGCGTGATCTCGGCTCATTGCAACCTCCGTCTCCCAGGTTCAAGCAATTCTCCTGTCTCAGCCTCCCGAGTAGCTGGAATTACAGACATCCACCACCAAGCCCAACTAATTTTTGTATTTTTCTTAGTAGAGATGGGGTTTTGCCATGTTGGCCAGGCTGGTCTCAAATTCCTGACCTCAGGTGATCCTCCTGCCTCTGCCTCCCAAAGTGCTGGGATTACAGGCGTGAGCCACCATGCCCAGCCAGGTGCTGCCTTCTTGACTCCTACCCATGGGCATCTGCACACTCCTGGAGAAGACACCCCCATCCCATGGATTTGGCTGCTAACTTCATGGTCCCCAATCTTAGCAAGATTTCCCCCAGCACAATTACTTCTCCCTCCTCCTCTCCACCTCCTTCAGTGGGTCCTCCCAACCTGCACTCTGTCTCCAAAGCCCCACCACTTTCTCAGGTGCCTTCAATAGAGGGTCTTGACTGCTCCTCTTTGAAAAGAGGCAAGTGCTCACTTGACCCTTCATCCCTCACCTACAGCACAGTCATCTGTACCTCCCTCACCTTCCAGCAAACAGGCACCATGCTGCACAGGGGCAAAGACACAAATATGACATGCTCCTGGTTTGCAAAACATTTGCTTTTCCTATTCCTTCCGCCAGTCCGAGGTGAAATGTTGGACCTGGCCTTCAGATCGTCCCCTCCCGTATCCTCCAGGACCTTGTTCCATTAATCATCTCCACCACCATGCACTTTTATTTCTAAGCTCTCCTTTTTAACTGGTTCTCCCCTTCATCATAAAAACAGGCTCAAGAATTTCCTCCCCTATTTATTTTTAAAGCGTTTTCTTAGTCCACAACCCCCTCTCTAGTAACCTTCCATGCTCACTTCTAACTCTTGAAATAACTAGTCTCCCATTCCCAGCTCCTTCCTTTGCAATCTGATCTCTACCCCACTATGGCTTTCAATGGTGGCCGCTTTGGAGAAGCTGTTAAACCTAAAGGACGCCCTCCAGGCCTATCTGAATTAAAGAAGATAGGGGAATACCTCTTTCTGTAGTACTAGACACTTTTCACCACTCTCTTTTCTTTGAAACACTTGTCCTTGGTCTCCATGTTACTTTCCAGGCTCATACCTTTTTTAGATTGCTTTTTGGGTTCCTCCTTCTCCAGCCCCATAAACATCCGTATTCACCAAGGCTCTGCCCAAGGCTGCGTCCTCTTACTCTTGACACACACTCCCCTTGGTGAACACATCCACACTCACAGCTTTAACTACTAAACTACATGCTGATTACTTTCCAAATGCATTCCCAGGCTAGAACTTTCTGGAGAACTGAGACCTTACAGTGAGTGGGGTCACATCATATCAGTATCTGACTTAAGTGAATTCAAATATACTCATTCAGTAATTTTCTTTTAAACAAGATAAATAAAACAATAGAAATAGCCCAGGTCATTCCACAAAATGAGGACTGTAGTGAATGTGGCTGTGATTTCCTAAATGCCTCGCATTTCCTAAATGCCTCTGGGACTTTGAGCACAAGTAAGTGGAGAGTTTCAAGAGACTCCTGGCCCCAAAACATAAGCCAACTACTTCACCTCATGCTCAACTGAAAAAAAAAAAAAAAGCCACAGTCTGTTCCAACGCTGGAGCAAAAGGTACCATTCTTACATATGAATTTCATGCTTCAACCCAGCACCATCATAAGAATTTTTGGTTCCGTTGGATCCCGGCAGCAGCTGCAGCAATTCTCCTCTTCTGGGGCTCTCCGTGCCATCCCCTTCTTACTTCCAGGAACACGGCATCAGGTGTGGCTTTCTGATGGCATCATCAAGGTGCTCAGTGAGGCCAGGTGTGGTGGCTCATGCCTGTAATCCTAGCATTTTGGGAGGCTGAGGTGGGTGGATCACCTGAGGTCAGGAGTTCGAGACGAGCCTGGCCAATATGGTGAAACCCCGTCTCTACTAAAAGTACAAAAATTAGCCGGGCATGATGGCACATGCCTGTAATCCCAGCTACTCAGGAGGCTGGAGGTGCTTGAACCTGGGAGGTGGAGGTTGCAGTGAGCCAAGAGCGTGCCATTGCACTCCAGCCTGGATGGCAGAGCAAGACTCAGTCTCAAAAAAAAAAAAAGAAAAAAGAAAAAAAAAGGTGTTCAATGACATGATGATAAGAAGGAGCACAAGTTTTCAACAGCAGAGGAGGTGAAGATGCATAAGAAGGTGGTGCTCTTCTGCCTGAGTGGGGACGAGAACATCATCGTTGAGGAGGGCAGGGGGACCCTGGCAGGTGAAGTGGGGCAGGCTGTTGACAACTCCTACACCGTGGTTGTCAAGGTCAAGATGCTGCCAGCCAAGGACTGCCACTATGTCCTCTGTGACGCAACCTATGAGACCAAAGGGAGCCAAGAGGAGGATCTAGTGTTTATCTTCTGAGCCCCTCAGTCTGCACCCCTAAGAGTAGAATGATCTATGGCAGCTCCAAGGATACCATCAAGAAGAAGCTGACAGGGATCCTGCATGAATTACCAGCAAATGGCTACAGGAGGTCAAGGACCTCTGCACCCAGGTGGACAAGCTAGGGGCAGCACTGTCATCTCCTGCAGGGCAACCCTTGGTGAGCCCCCTCCGGCCTCCTGCCTGGAGCACCTGGCAGCCCCAGACCTGCTCTTGGGGATTGCAGGCTGCCCCCTTCCTGCCAGATGGGAGGGGCTGGAGGGCTTCCAGCAGAGGGAGGGCAATCCCTTCACCGCAGTTAACCTAAGTTAGGAGTTAACCGAGTAAATGAGTTTGAGTAAGATTATTGTAGCTCCCACTACAGCAACAGACACCTTTTTTGTGCTCAATGAATGTTATTGAATTAAGTTGAAGCAATATACAGAAAGATTTCGAGGGATGGAAAAGCACACAGTTTGGCAGAAAATACCAAGAAACTTCAATATCATGGAGGTGTGAAATGTGAGGTGGGGATTAGGGAAGCAAGGGGGCAGGAAAGAGGTGGCTGAAGGTGGTCTGGACAGGTGAGCAGGGCCTGCTTACCACATATATCCCCATGCTGGGCTATGACATCTGTATCACCAGAATACAGGGCCTATGTGCTAAGCTAAGGACTGGAAATGTCATTCTAGAATTTCTGGGAAGATTTGCAGTGTTTCAAGAAAGAAGGTGACAAGATAAGATTTACACTTTAGAATGCCTGCCACTGGGTAGAGAAGAGATTAATATGGAAAGAGAATACGGACAAGGAGACCCTTTAGGAAGTTGATGAGAAGCGACCTCTACTTGGAGGAAAAATAAAGACACAGCTGTTAAATCCTTAAGGCAGTTTTAAGGAAAATAGCCTTAAATTAAAACCCTTAAATAACATGTCCAGTAAACTGAGGATTTGCTGCTTTGCCAAGATTAATATCATAAAGTATGTATTCCTTCAACTCCTCTTCATGTTACATTGTCGCCATATCTTAATACATTATTTTCTCCATTCATGTGTCTGAATAAATACCCTTTTCTCTTTCCCAAGCCCCAACCTCTCTGAGCTCTTCTCCCAGCCCTCCTGCTGATCCTGAGATAGGATTTCTGCAGTGAATTTTCTTTCTTTGATACCATCTTCCTCCCTCTTCCCTGACTTCCCTTTGTTTAAAAGCATGAATGTTCATATATACTCTGAGCTGAATTTTTTTCTTCTTGAGCCTTCTAGAGCCAGTGTTCAGCCGGCCTTGAGCCTGGTCCCTTACGCCTTTTCCTACCAGCCTTTCTTTCTTCCTGCCTAATCTCACAAAAGAGCAACTCACACATAGTGCCCACCACCCACTTCCTCCCTAATTAGCCATGTAATCTGGTCTTGACGCTCCAGGAATCTGTCCTCCCGAAGGCCCTTACATCCTAGCAGGATAAAGCATGTGCAAAACAACACGCCCCAAGGCAGTGGCGAAACAGTGCAAAGAAAGGCCGGAGAAAAAGGAGGCAGGAACACAAGAAGGAGTTGGCGTATGACCTGCGCCTTGGAAGAAGGGCCACCTGGTTCTCACAGGCGACAGAAAGCTAACTCAAATTAATTTAGGCAAAAAAGGGGAATGTATTGTCCCCAGCAGAAGAGAAATCCAAGGAGGTATCTCAGGGTTTCACTGATGCCTATCAGGGCACATTCCTGAAATCCCTTGACCCCTTGGCCCTGCTCCCGCGTTGAGTTTGCTCTCTGACAGGTTTTTGCCATGCTGTAGAATAAATGGTTGTGGCAGCTCCAGACTCACACAGCCTCAGAGCTGACGGTCACGGTCTCTCTCTAGGTGCCCACATCAACCCCGGAAAAAGGCTGGCTGCTCAGCTTAGCTCACATGCTTCCTCCACAGCTTCCAAAAAAAGGAGAGGGTGTGACACTGACGGAATAACCAGCAAGTACGATAGGATTTTAGCAAGAGAATACTTGGAGGGAATTGAGGGACACAGATGGTGATTGACAGGGTGTATTTGGGGGAGAATATGCATTCCCATGCATGGGGAGAAGGATACGAAGAGAAGTTGTTATTGAAAAAGACGTTGGGAATGAAACTGAGGCCTAGAATGTCATTCTAAAGTTATGTGTGTGATTTTTTTTTCCCTTGCCAGAAGTGGGGAGATTGTTTATTTTTAGGCATCGGACACACATTGATGGCTATTAAGCAGGACAATGACCAAGTGTAACTGAGGTTTAGAAAAAAGTTGATGGCAGTATCAAGTCAAATGGATAGAGGAAGAAATTCCTGAAAGAACAAGGAACCACAGGTCATGACAGTAACCTTCCTAGACTGCTATAGGTAGAAGGGTCATCTCTTACGGAGGCACAATGATGCCTTCTCAAATAGGAAAAGGGGTAACTACTTGTGGAAAGACAGTAGGGTAAGATAGCAGAATCCTGATCCTGAAGATTTATGGTTAAGGATGATGGGGAAAGATAGTTTCTAGTAATATAATCCTCCTAGCACATCAGTGCAGTCATACTGGCTGTGTAAACATTAAAATACTTCTGGGCCGGACGCGGTGGCTCACGCCTGTAATCCCAGCACTTTGGGAGGCCAAGGCAGGCGGTTCACCTGAGGCCAAGAGTTCAAGACCAGCCTGGCCAACATGGTGATACCTCATCTCTACTGAAAATACAAAAAGTTAGCCAGGCATGGTGGTGGGCAACTGTAATCCCAGCTACTTGGGAGGCTGAGGCATGAGAATCGCTTGAACCCAGGAGGCGGAGGTTGCAGTGAGCCGAGATTGTGCCATTGCACCCTAGCCTGGGCAACAAGCACAAAACTTCATCTTAAAAATAAATTAAATAAATAAATAGAAAATAAAATACTTCTATATCGGTTGGTAAATAGTCGATACCCTAACATGCCCTCCCATGGTCATTGCCTCCTTAACCTCAATCCCAGGACCAGGAGACTTCATGTTCCAGCAACGACAGCATTGAGCCTGATGGTGGGGAGTTGTGGTGGTGGGGTGGTGGGGTGGGGGATGGAATTCAGAACCTGCTGCATTATACCATGGCCCATGTCCTGTGCGCAGACTGGTTGATGCCTGCACCATATTGATTGTTCAATATTTGGGATCTAAGTCCTAGGTGAGAGCAGACCTCTTGTGGAGAAAAATTCCTAAACTATTTCCCAAAACCTGTAAAGTGTTAGGAAGGCTGGGCCACCAAAGAGTAGTTGATGGATGAGGAGCTACATATTCATGAATGGGCCACAGACCCTTGTGATGTGTGATTTATGTATGAAATATGTATTTGGTTCTTGTCCCAGTTTCCTGGCACACAGCTCCTAAAACTCTTGGAATCTCCAAAGGGATAAGTATTTTTGTATGCTAATGAGATGACTGATGGTTGGGGGCTCTGGTAGCCTCCCAAAGGGGGCTGGTTGCCAAGGGAACCAACCATGTGATTGGATGGTTGGAACTTCTATCTCCACCCCACCTTCACCTCCAGGGAGGGGGAGAGAGAGGGCTGATGGCTGAGTTATTCACTAATGGCCAATGATGTAATCAATTGTGTCTTTGTAGTGAAGCCTCTGTAAAAACTCAAAGGACAGGGCTAGGAGAGCTTCTGGGGTCCTGGATGTGTGGAGGTGTCTGGAGGGTGGTGCACCTGGTAGCACATGGAAGGAAACTCTGTGCTCCTCCCCACCTGCCTTGCCCTATGCATCTCCTCATCTGGCTGCTCATCTGCATCCTTTATTAATACAACAAACCAGTAAATGTGAGTAACTGTTTCCCTGAGTTGTGAGCCATCCTAGCTAATTAATGGAACCTGAGAAAGGGGTCCTGGTAACTTGATTTATAGCCGGTAGATTGGAAGCATAGGTGGGCCAGGCACAATGGCTCATACCTGTAATCCCAGCACTTTGGGAGGCCAAGGTGGGTGCTGAGTTCCGGGAGTTTGTGACCAGCCTGGGCAATGTAGCAAGACCCCCATCTATATAAAAAATAAAACATTAGCCAGGCATGGTGGCACGTACCTGTGGTCCTAGTTACTCAGGAGGCTGAGGTGGGAAGATCGCTTGAGCCCAGGAGATCGAGGCTGCAGTGAGCCAACGCTGCACTCATCCTGGGCAACAGAGTAAGACCCTGTCTCAAAAACACAAAAACAAACAAACGAACCCAGAAGTACAGGTGACAACATGCTATGGACTTGCAATTGGCATCTGAAATAGGAGCAGTCTGTGGGACTGAGCCCTTAACCTGCAGGATCTGACTCTAACTCCAGAATTAAATTGAATCATAGGACAGCCCATTGGTGTCCGCTGGAGAATTGCTTGGTTTGCAGGGGAAAAAAACCCACACATTTTGTTGACTGGGGAGCTCTGTGCTGTGGGGAGTGTGAGTAGGAAAACACTTCGGTTTTCACTAGCTCTTATACCCTTCTGTGGAGCTCACTGTCTGTGGCAGTCAGACTTCGCATTATTGTTCATTTTTAGCTGGGACTAGGATCCTCACCAGCCAATTTCATGCTGGGAAATTATCAGCATTATCTGTCATCATTCTATTTATCTTTTACCCTGCCCTAGGAAACCATGATATTTAAGCAAAAGTAAACATAAAAAAGGAAGATGAGCAGCTAACTCGGATTTGCCACTGGATTATTCTACATTTAACCAAATCACAAAAGAGATTAGAGAGCTTCCGTCTGACCCAGAAAAAGTACAAAACCAAAGTGGAGAGTGACAGTATCATCTATTTATAACCATCATCTTTAGAGATACTGAATTTTGTGAAAGGCCAAATGTTTTAGGAAAAAGCCAAGGATGGCAAGAAGCAAATGAATATAAGTGGCTTCCGCCTGCTTTGCCTGTTCATTTAGCCAAGTATTCTGAATGAATTTTGACCTCAAGGAAACATCTTAGGCTTATAATATTCAGTCCAGAAATATAAACATTCTTTAACCCAAGTCTCATAATTGATATTTTGTGGTGCATTTTTATTTTTAGAAAGGCTTTTAAAGGATAAGAGAAGCCAGGTATGGTGGCTCATGCCTATAGTCCCAACACTTTGGGAGGTCGAGATGGGAGAAGCGCTTGAGTCCAGAGGTTCGAGATCAGCCTGGGCAACAAAGTGAGACATTGTCTCTACAAAAAAATAAAAAATAAAAATTAGGCATGGTGTTGTGTGCCTATACTCCCAGCTACTCAGGAGGCTGAGGTGAGATGATTGCTTGAGCCCAGAGGTTGAGGATGCAGTGAGCTGTGATTGTGCTACTGCACTCCAGCCTGGGCAATGGAGTAAGACCACATCTCAAAAAAAAAAAAAAAAGATAAGAGAAAAACAGGTCAGTGGTGACTCACTAAGGTAAGCAGTATAGCCATGTGACTCACCATTTCCACTTCTAGATCTATACTCAAAAGAATTAAAAACAGGTCTTCAAATAAAAACGTATACATGAAACATTCATGGTAACACTATTCATAATTGCCAAAAGGTGGAAACAACTCAAATGTCCATCAACTGATGATGGGATAAACTAAAGGTAATATCCCCACAAAATGGAATATTATTCAGCCATAAAAAGGAATGAAATGCTGATATGTGCTACAATGTGGATGAACTGTGAAAACAGTATACTAAGTGAAAGAAGCCAGTCACAAAAGGCCACATATTGTTCAATTCCATTTGTTTGAAACTTCCAGAATAGGCGAATCCATGTAGAGAGCAAAGCTGGAGGGAGGAGAAAAACAGGGAGGACTGCTCAATAGGTGTGGGGTTTCCGTTTGGGGTGATAAAACTACTCTGTAATTAGATTGTGGTGATGATTGCACAGCATTGTGAATGTAGTAAATGCCACTGAATTGTACACTTTAACATGGTAAAATTGGTACATTTTATGTTTTATGTTGTACCACAATAAAAAAAAAAAAAAAATTGGCCAGGCGCGGCGCTCACACCTGTAATCCCAACATTTTGGGAGGCCGAGACAGGCAGATCATGAGGTCAGGAGTTCAAGACCAGCCTGACCAACATGGTGAAACTCCCTCTCTACTAAAAATATAAAATTATCTGGGCGTGGTGGCGCGCACCTGTAGTTCCAACTACTCAGGAGGCTGAGGCAGGAGAATCGCTTGAATCTGTGGGGTGGAGGTTGCAGCAAGCCGAGATTGCACCACTCTACTCCAGCCTGGGTGACAGAGCGAGACTCCGTCGCAAAAAAAAAAAAAAAAAGAAAAGAAAGAAAAAGAAAAGAAAAAAAAGAAAGAAAAGAAAAAAATTTAATTTTTATTTATTTTTATTTTATTTTGAAGCAGGGTCTCACTCTGTCGCCCAGGCTGGAGTGCAGTGGTGTGATCTTGGCTCACTGCAACCTCCACCTCCTGGGTTCAAGTGATTCTCCTGTCTCAGCCTCCTGAGTAGCTGGGACTACAGGCACCCACCACTATGCCCGGCTAACTTTTTTGTATTTTTAGGAGAGATGAGGTTTCACCATGTTGATCCGGCTGGTCTCGAACTTCTGACCTCAGGTGATCCACTTGCCTCGGCCTCCCCAAGTGCTGGGATTACAGGCATGAGCCACCGCTTCCGGCCTGCCTTTGCTTTTAAATGCAAGCTTATAACGAAGTACGAGCCAAAAATGCTTCATTTAAAATCATTTGACAGCCACAGATTATTACTTTAAACCTGCTGGAGTGACCAGTTCTCAGGACTGGAAGTTGTAGAAATGACCAAGTAAGGAGGATGGTTTTGTGTACATGTAGCTCATCACTGAAATCAACACAGAGTTTCCCTATGTTTAATGTCAGGTCACCTACACATGTGCATGTGGTAAATATATACATCATTATATTGAGCACTACCAGGAACAGAAACATCTAATTTCTTTTTGGTGGAAAATACAGAAAATTCTTTCACAAAAACAGAGAAAAGAAAAAGAAAAAACATACAATTTTGGGTTTCCTATGAATTTCTGAGTAGAAAAACAACATCTAAGGTTACTATTTTAAAATCAAATTAGATAACTTTTTATGACAGGAAACTATCCGAACAATGACACCTTACTTCCTGTAAACTATGAGTAAATTCCACACATTCCCATGTTTACATAACCACAGCCCAGGGCTACAATTCCCACATCTTAGTCACATAAATATGTGTTTCGTTTATCATTAGAAAATAAACATGCTTTATATTCTGAGGTCTAACTTAATGGTTTGAACAATATGTAAAAGACTAAACAAACTAAAATATGTGAAACATTAACACTTGAGAAAGGTTTACATGGTCCCAGTTTACTTCCACTTTTACTGAGACATCACTGCTGAATAATTGAAAGGCTCTCAAAAAACTCCAATCTAATTTTGTGTTATTAATCTGAACATCTTTCCTAACAAAGTTCTTTCATCACTGGAAATATGGCAACCCTTTTCCCTTCCTAGCCTAGAAGCAGCAATGAATTGACACAAGACACAGACTGCTCTGAAATCACAAACGTGTTTGGGATTTCTTAAGCTAAAAGGAAAAGGGAAAGGGAAAGGCTTAAAGCAGCATTGCCCAAAAGGAGTTCCCTGGAACACCCAGAACACCAGTCCCCTGAGATAGCCATTGACACATGGCCGAGGTCTGATAATTGCCATCCATAGTTTGTCCCTCTTGGAGGGTCACAGAAGTTCACACAGTTAAGATCCTGCTTACCCTTGTTTAACTCTACATCCCCATACTTATTTGACCCCTCCTTTTTTCTAGTAACATGATTAACATTCCACAGGCACCTCGGGCATTGCTGGTTGGGTCAGTTCTGTTAAATTTATGACCTGGTATTTTGGACAATCATTGAGTCGATCCTGAGAACCAACCTGGTTTGTCAGATGTCAAGATGTTTTGATGTTTTGTCAAGATGTTTGATCTTGCAAAGTCATGATAACCCCACACCAGCAGAAAGAACAAGTGTCAGTCTTTTTTGTCCCTCATCCAGTTTCTTTCCGGCCTGTTAGCACTTCCAAGTCCCTTTGGTAGTAAATGTTCTTTCTGAGATGCAGGGTGTCTGGTCTGACAGTGACTACCAATTTCCTCTTTGGTATCTACCTGAGGGAGTTGCCAAAACTGCCATTACAAAAAAAGGAAGGCACCCCTATTTTCCACCCACACTGCTTTCCTGTCATAGAATATGCAGATATGCCTGATCCGTCACCATACTTAAGAGCTCCATCTCTGGAGTCACACTGCCTGGGTTCAAATTCCAGGCTTCACTGCTTCACAGATGTTACACTGGGCAAATTGCTTTGCCCCTCTGAGCCACAGTTTTTTCATCTGTAACACAGGAGAACAATAAAAGTACCCACCTTTTAAAGAAAAGATTAAAAATGACAATGCTTGTGCTGGGCACCTAACAAATATTTACAGCTATTATTTCTCATTCCTCTGACCCCCTTCATAGCTAATGTAGTTTTAACAGCTAGGACAGAGGACAGAGGAAATGGAAACCATAGGGGAAGAGGAAGAAGGGTGTCTGCGGATGTTTTAGCTATATTTACACTGTGAGATGCAGAAGACAGAGAGACAAAAGCAGAGATCAGAGCTTCAAGGCCCAGAAAAGTAACAGGTGAGTCCCAGACTGAAAAAGAAAAACCTGATCTAAAAGAACAGGCCTCCATTTATGAGACCCTGCCTAGCGCTTCGATATTCATCATGCCAAAAGCTTGGGTTCAAGCCCCATGGGATGTATGTGGCTTCTTTCTATTCAACAGCCCCCATATGTCACCTTAACAAAGGTACGGAGCTGGTGGGTTAACACAAATTCAGTCACCATCACTGGGGCCACATTCCCCCGATTCCCTGACACACCTCCCCAACTATGGGAGGGCAAACAGAGCTGAGTCCCTTGATCTATTTGGTAGAAGAAGTGGATGCTCAATAAATATTTGTTGAATAAATAAGTGTCTGAATGAAAGACAATCAGGTAAGTACATGAATAACTGAGGGTGAATAGCAGAGTGATTATTAGTTTTCAAGCAATTTCTATTTATCTTTTAGGACAAGGATGGGCAAACTTTTTCTGTAAAGAGCCACATAGTGAATATTTTAAGCTTTGTGGTTCCTATGATCTCTGTTGCAATTACCCAACTCTGCACTGTAGTTTGAAAGCAGACATAGACAATATGTCAATGAATGGACACAGTTGTGTTTCATTAAAAGTTTACATACGTACACAGAAATCTGAAGTTTGCATAATTTTCATGTCATAAATTCTTCTTTTTTTTCCCTACCCGTTTAAGAATGTAAAAATCTTTTGGCTCACAAGTCATATAAAAACAGGTGACAGGCAGAGGTGACCCTTGAGCTATAGTTTGCGGGATCCTGTTTTAGAAAATAAGTAAGACTGGACGCGGTGGCTCACGCCTGTAATCCCAGCACTTTGGGAGGCCGAGGGAAGTGGATCATCTGAGGTCAGGAGTTCCAGACCAACCTAACCAACATGGAGAAACCCTCTCTCTACTAAAAATACAAAATTAGACGGGCATGGTGGCGCATGCCTGTAATCCTAGCTACTTGGGAGGCTGAGGCAGGAGAATCGCTTGAACTCAGGAGGCAGATGTTGCAGTGAGCCGAGATCACGCCATTGCACTCCAGCCTGGGCAACAAGAGCGAAACTCCGTCTCAAAAAAAAAAAAAAAAAGAAAATGATAAATAGATGAGGAGGTAGGGAGACAACAAAATATTTATTGAGCATCTACTGTGTGCCAATGACCGTGCTAAGTGCTGCTGAGAATGTAGCAGGGAAGACAAACAGGCCGAGTCCCTTCCCTTAGGAAGCACATGTTTTAAACAGGAGAACCTCATAGCAAACAAGGTAATTGCAGACTGGGTACTTGGTATAGAGGAAACAAACAGGATAATGAAATTGACCAGGGGAGGTCATTTTAGAGAGGCAAGAGGCTCAGTGCTTTCTCACACGTGACCATGTTTAACCCGCTGAACACCCTGTGGGGTATCATCCCCATCTTAGAGATGGGAAAGTGATGTCTGAAACCTCGCAAATGGTCACTAAAGAAGCCAGGCCGCAAACCTAGGGCCGGTCTGCGAGTGCTGTGCTCTGTGGGTGGTTGGAAAGGGGATTAGCTAGATAAGGGGTCAGGAGTCCCAGGTCCAAATCCTCACTCCATGCTTCACTCCTCAAAGCTTCGGTTCCAAAGATGGAAAAAGAAGATAATTGGGATGGTTGTGAACATTATGTAAGAACCTATGGGCCGGGAGTGGTGGCTCACGCCTGTAATCCTAGCACTTTGGGAGGCCAAAGTGGGCAGATTGCCTGAGCTCAGGAGTTTGAGACCAGCCTGGCCAACATGATGAAACCCTGTCTCTACTAAAAATACAACAATAACAAAAAAATTAGCCAGTGGTGGTGGCGTGCGCCTGTAATCCCAGCTACTCTGGAGGCTGAGACACGAGAATCGCTTGAACCCTGGAGGTGGAGGTCGCAGTGAGCTGAGATCGCACCACTGCACTCCAGCCTGGGAGACAGAGTGAGACTCTGTCTCAAAAAATAATAATAATAAAAATAAAAAAGGCTGGTGCGGTGTCTCACGCCTGTAATCCCAGCACTTTAGGAGGCTGAAGCAGGCGGATTACCTGAGGTCAGGAGTTCAAGACCAGCCTGGCCAACATGGTGAAACCCTGTCACTACTAAAAATATAAAACTTAGCCGGGCATGCTGGTGTGCACCTGTAATCCCAGCTACTCAGGAGGCTGAGGCAGGAGAATTGCTTGAACCTGGGAGGCAGAGGCTGCAGTGAGCTGAGATCATTCCACTATGCTCCAGCCTGGGCTACAGAGCGAGACTCTGTCTCAAAAAAAAAAAAAAATTAGCTGGGTATGGTTGCACATACCTTTAGCCCCAGCTACTCAGGAGGCTGCGACAGGAGGATTGCTTGAACCCAGGAGTTCAAGGCTGCAGTAAGCCATGACTGCACCACTGCACTCCAGCCTGGGCGACAGAACAAAACTCCATCTCTAAAATAAAAATAAAGAATAAAAAGTTGGGGCCCCGCTCTGCACTGATAATCAGAATTGTGGGCTCATGGCTATCTTGAGAGAGAAATATCAGGGAAGACAGCTTTCCACAGGCATTCAAAGGACACAGTATTTAATTACCAAACAAGTGACCGTGACACGTATACAAATACCTTAGGACAATATGTTGTTTCCTGAAATTCTTAGGAGGAAAAAAACATCATATGACTATAAGCTGAAATTTTTAAATTAATGCAATTATTTACCCATGATCAAGATGATACTTGTGGGCAAGAAGTGGAAGAAAAAAGAAAATATTAATAGATAAAGAATGTAATCACATCCTGAGAGTGATGAAAAATTAGAAAAAAAATTAAAAAATTAAAAATTTTTTTAAAAAAGAATATAATCATTTAGCAAATAGCATAAGATATGAGACTTAGGGAGATCTAAGAGAAAACACAAAGACATTGAATATTAATAGTAGTCCAAAGAGCTTTTGCTGAAAAATAATTGAGCATGAAAATGATACAACTACCCGACAGGTATTTATCTACAATACCAGCAATGCTGAATGTGAAACACTGTAGAAATGTCCAGAGACTCAAGGTTTTCTGTCCTTTCAAAGTGCATCACCAGTCAGAGTCCCCACAGAGAAGTAGATGGCATATTCAACTCTGCATAATTCCAAGAGGATTTAGTAAAGATGCTATTTGTAAATACAGATACGGTACAGAAAACCCCAAGGAAAAGTGCAGGTTCCTGGGGCTAGCAAGCAGTGCTGTCTACTCCAAGGCCTTAAGGATGCAAGAAAGGAGTGGTCATGGGGACCCTGACATGCATGTAGAGAGGACATGCTGAGAGAACCAGTGGCCTTCTACTTGAGGACACAGCCAAGCTCTCCACCTCCCCTCTACCTGCTGGGGTTCCCCACTGGCCAAACCCAACCGGAAGCCAGAGGATCCTTTGATGTGGTTCATAAGGGCCAGACTCCCCCAGGAGAGGGCAGGGTGGAGAAGTGTGGAGAGGGGAAACAGAGGGACAAAAGGAAGATTTCCAGTCTTTCCAGATCCAGTTATTGGACCTGTCTGAGATACATAAATGGAAAAAAAAACAACAGAGAAAGAATGCTTTTCTGGTGTGCTGGAAATCTTCTGTTTGTGTGTGTGTAAGTGTGTGTATCTATCTATATATGTGTGTGTGTGTGTGTATGTATATATGTGTGTGTGTATCTGTGTGTGTGTGTGTGTGCGTGTGTGTGTGTATATGTATATATACAAAACAGAGAAAGAATGCCTTTCTGGTGTGCTGGAAATCTTCTGTTTGTGTGTGTGTGTGTATATATATATATATATAGAGAGAGAGAGAGAGAGAGAGAAAGAGATATGGAGTCTTGCTCTGTCACCAAGGCTGGAGTTCAGTGGCACGATCTTGGCTCATTGCAACCTCTGTCTCCCGGGTTCAAGTGATTCTCTTGAACAAGTAGCTGGGATTACAGACTCCCACCATGAAGTCCAGTTTATTTTTGTATTTTTAGTAGAGACGGGGGTTTCACCATGTTGGTTGGGCTCGTCTTGAACTCCTGACCTCAAGTGATCCGCCCACCTCAACCTCCCAAAGTGCTAGGATTACAGGCGTGAGCCACCGAGCCTGGCCTCCATATTTTAAAAACAGAAAATTCCCTTGACCTTTGTATTGCTTCCCTGTGGCTGTAGTAAAAACTGAGTGGCTTAAAATAACATGCCTGTAATCCCTGCAGTTCGGGAGGCCAAGGCAGGCAGATCGCTTGAGCTCAGGAGTTCGAGACCAGCCTGTGCAACATGGTGTGAAACCTCATCTCTATAAAAAATACAAAAATTAGCTGGGTTTGGTGGCTGGTCTCCCAGCTACTCGAGAGACTGAGATGAGTTGGATTGCTTGGGACCAGGAGGTCAAGGCTGCAGTGAGCCGTGATCACACCCCTGCACTTCAACCTGGGTGACAGAGCAAGACCCTGACTCAAAAAAAAGAAAAAACAAACAAACAAACAAAAAACAGATGTTTATTCTTTCCTACTTCTAGAGACCAGAAGTCCCAAGTCCCAAATCCAGGTATTAGTATATACTCTTGGGCTCTTCCAGCTCCTGGTGGCTGTTGGTGCTCCTTGGCTTGTGACTACATCACTCCAATCGCTGCCTCTGTGGTCACATCACTTCCTTCCCTCCTTCGTGTCTTCTCTTCTCCTGTCTCAAATCTCCCTCTGCCAAGGACATTTGTCATTGGATTTAGGGCCCATTGGATAATCCAGGATAATCTCCTCATCTCAAGATTCTTAATTGAATTGTATCTGCAAAGACTCTTTTTCCAAATAAGGTAACATTCATAGGTTCAGATAATTCCTGAATTATCTTTATGTGGCTATAAGAAGTCATAGACTGCCAATTAATAAATGTAAAAGTGATGAAAGAATTGGAAAACCACAAGTCTGCAGCCACCACTGAAAACTGACTCAGCCCAGGATCATTTAAAATGCTGAAACCATTGGATGAAAGGTCACTGGAGAAAAGGATATTCACACACAAACTATCACCCAACATATTACTTATTAATTAGAAAAGGGATAGGTACCTTTACAATGAAAAAGTCTAGTGAAAGCTACCTAAACCAAATGATCAGGCCTCGTGCTGACATCATCGGATGTGATTCACTGAGAAGAACCCAACATCAACAAAAACGTATAATCTGGATCTACTTATGAGGAAACAGCAAAGCCAAATCAACAGACATTCTGCAGAATAACTGAGCTGGACTCTTCAAAAATAGCAGTATTAAGATATTCCCAAAACAGTGCAGGGAAGGCATTAAGATTAAAGCCATGATAACTGGATGCAATGCCTGATTTTCAACTGGATCCTGGAATCAAAAAAAAAAAAAAAGAGCTATGAAGAGCAAATATAGACTGTATGTTCGGTAACGGTATAATACCAAGGTTAAATTTCATTATGTAATAATTATATTATGGTTATGTAGGAAAATATTCCTATTCTTCACAGTTACTTAAATGCAAAGGCCACAGTGACTGCATCTTACTTTCAAATGGTTTAGAAAGGGGGTTGGGAGGAAGAGCCAGTGTTAATACAGCAAAATGTTAACTGGTGAACCTAGATAAAAACAATACAGGTGTTCATTGTACCTTTATTTCAACTTCTCTCTAGATTTAAAGTTTTCAAAACAAGTTGAGGTGGGAATAGAGTTACAGCATATGAATATTATTTCTTTATAAGGAAGCTTCTCATTGGCTTCAAAAACACACACTACTTTACTTAAATTCCTTTTCTGCATTACCTGCACTGCCATCTCCCACCTGCCAAAGCCACCCCATACCCCCACCCCAACTATCTTTTCCACCCCATGCAACAGACCAATCAAGCTGGATGCCCAGCTAGGTCTGCCAGTAAATTTCTCAAAAACATCTTCATACTGCCAACCATCTCAGTCACACAAACCATTGATTCTCAACCTCAGCTGAGCCTCAGAATCAGCTGGGGAGCTTTTTACAAATGCAGACACCCCAGAGCCAACCACAAAGATCCTGACTCACTTAATCTGGGGTAGAGCCTGTGCACCTGTATTCTATTTTTTAAAGCTCTGAAGTCTGATGAACAATCATGAATGTGAACCCCTGGAACAAACCTTTCCATGTGAGTTTCTGTTCATTTGTCTATTTCCTCTGGTTAAGAATTATCATTTTGGTGGGGCGCGGTGGCTCACACCTGTAATCCCAACACTTTGGGAGGCCAAGGTGGGTGTATCACCTGAGGTCAGGAGTTCAGGACCAGCCTGGCCAATATGGTGAAACCCTGTCTCTACTAAAAATACAAAAAATTAGCTGGGCATAGTGGCACACACCTGTAATCCCAGCTACTCAGGAGGCTGAGGCAGGAGAATCACTTGAACCCAGGAGTCGGAGGTTGCAGTGAGCCAAGATCGCACCACTGCACTCCAGCCTGGGCGAAAGAGCAAGACCCCTTCTCAAAAAAAAAAAAGAATTATCATTTTGACAGTAAGGAAATTCTAAAATTTTTAAACATTTCAGTAGGTGCTTACCACACTTGATTACCTATAATCTATACAAATTTAACTTGGATGTAAATCTTGATGTAATGAGGCAACAAAAATAAGTCAGATACGTATTTTATAAAAGGAATACCAGTTGGCCAGGCGTGGTGGCTCACACCTGTAATCCCAGAACTTTGGGAGACCAAGGTGGGTGGATCACTAGACATTAGGAGTTTGAGAGCAGCCTGACCAACATGGTGAAACCCAGTCTCTACTAAAAATACAAAAATTAGCCAGGCATGGTGGCAGGCACCTGTAATCCCAGCTACTCAGGAGGCTGAGGCAGGAGAATTGCTTTAACCTGGGAGGCAGAGATTGCAGTGAGCCAAGGTTGCACCACTGCACTCCAACCTCGGCCACAGAGTGAGACTCCATCTCAAAAAAAAAAGGAATACCAGTCATTTACAGAAGTCAATTATATGAAATATTAAATTGCCCATTAATTCTGGAAAAAATACTAAAGTATTTGAAAACAATTCCATATATAGTTCCATGTTTTCCTCTTTCAATTATTATTATTTCCTTTTTTTTTTTTTTTTTTTTTTAGAGATGGAGTTTTGCTCTTATTGCCTAGGCTGGAGCATAGTGGTGCAATCTCCACTCACTGCAACCTCCACTTCCCAGGTTCAAGCGATTCTCCTGCCTCAGCCTCCCAAGTAGCTGGGATTACAGGCACCCGCCACCACGCCCAGCTAACTTTGGTATTTTTAGTAGAAACGAGGTTTCACCATGTTGGCCAGGCTGGTCTCAAACTCCTGACCTCAGGTGATCCACCTGCCTCGGCCTCCCAAAGTGCTGGGATTACGGGCGTGAACCACTATGCCCGGCCTTCCTCTTTCAATTATTATAAGGTCATTTCAAAGTGCTATGGCAGATGAGGTCCAGTGTCTGAGAGTGCAAAGTACCTGTCTATGGCCTGACAACTGCTCTAAACCATGATATCCTTATCTTAAAAATGGGGATAATAAAATCTATCTTTGGCTATAATCAAAATCACAAATAACAAGTGTTAGGGAGAATGTGAAGAAACTGGAGCTCTCACACTGCTGATGGAATGTAAAATGGTGCATTTGCTTTGGAAAAGTTTGGCAGTTTCTCAAAAGAGGAAACAAAATTCTCATGTCGCCTAGGAATTCCTCTCCTAAGGGTTTACCCAAAGAAATGAAAACATATGTCCATATAAAAATTTGTACATGACTGTTCATAGCAGCATCTTTTTTTTTTTTTTTTTTTTTTTTGAGATGGAGTTTTGCTCTTGTTGCCCAGGCTGTAGTGCAACGGCACGATCTCGGCTCACTGCAACCTTTGCCTCCCGGGTTCAAGCGATTCTCCTGCCTCAGTCTCCCTAGTAGCTGGGATTACAGGCGGATGCCACAACGCCCAGCTAATTTTTGTATTTTTAGTAGAGACGGGGTTTCACCATGTTGGTCAAGGCTAGTTTCAAACTCTTGACCTCAGGTGATCCACCCCCGTCAGCCTCCCAAAAGTGCTGGGATTACAGGCGTGAGCCATCTCGCCCGGCCAGCAGCATCATTCTTATTCATATTGGGCAAATACTGGAAACAACCCAAATGAGAAATAGATAAACAAATTGTACTACATTTAATTCATGCAATGGAATACTATTCATCCATGAAAGAGAATGAAGAACTGACACATGCTATAACACGGATGAACCTTGAAAACATTATGCTATGTGAAAGAAGCCAGTCAGGCCAGGTGTGGTGGCTCACACCTGTAATCTCAGCACTTTGGGAGGCTGAGGTGGGTGGATCACTTGAGGTTGGGAGTTCAAGACCAGCCTGGCCAACATGGTGAAACCCCATCTCTACTAAAAGTACAAAAATTAGCTGGGTGTGGTGGTGGACACCTGTAATCCCAGCTACTTGGGAGGCGGAAGCAAGAGAATTGCTTGAATCCGGGAGGCAGAGGTTGCAGTGAGCCAAGATCGCGTCACTGCACTCCAGCCTGGGTGACATAGGGAGACTCCATCAAAAAGGAAACGGGAGGGGAAGGGAGAGGAAGGGAGGGGAGTGGGGGAGAAGGGAGTGGAGTGGAGGGGAGGGGAACGGAGGGGAGGGGAGCGGAGGGGAAGCGAGAAAGGAAGAAGCCAGTCACAAAAGACCACATATTATATGAAATGTCCAGGAGAGACAAATCTGGAGACAGAAAGTACATTAGTGGTTGCCTAGGACTGGACGAGTTGAGAAGATGTGGGGAGTGACTGGTAATAGGCACGAGGTTTCTTTGTGGAGCAATAAGAATGCCCTAAAATTGATTCTGGTGATGGTTGCACAATTCTGTGACTATATTTAAAACCACCGAATTTACACTTTAAGTGGGTGAATTACATTTATGTGAATCATATCTCAATAAAACTATTCTTTAAAACAATAAACCTAATCCCAGCACTTTGGGAGGTCGACGCGGGCGGATCATGAGGTCAGGAGATGGAGACCATCCTGGCTAACATGGTGAAACCACGTCTCTACTAAAAAAAAAAAAAAAATGCAAACAATTAGCCAGGCGTAGTGGCAGGCACCTGTAGTCCCAGCTACTCCGGAGGCTGAGGCAGGAGAATGGTGTGAGCTCGGGAGGTGGAGCTTGCAGTGAGCCGAGATCGCGCCGCTGCACTCCAGCGTGGGCGACAGAGTGAGACTCCATCTCAAAAAAAAAAAAAAACCAATAAACCTATCTTTCATCATTTTTTTTTCTTTTTGAGACAGAGTCTCACTCTGTCACCCAGGATGGAGTGCAGTGGCGCGATCTCGGCTCAGTGCAACCTCCGCCTCCGGGGTTCAAGCGATTCTCTGGCCTCGGCCTCTCTAGTAGCTGAGATTACAAGTGCCCGCCACCACGTCTGGCTAGTTTTTGTATTTTTAGTAGAGAGGGGGTCTCACCATGTTGGCCAAGCTGCTCTCAAACTCCTGACCTCAGGTGATCCACCCACCTCGGCCACCCAAAGTGCTGGGATTACAGGCGTGAGCCACCGCACCCGGCCACACTAACATTTTATAAAGCAATGGTTCTTAGAAGTACCTCTCAGTATCATTTGTGCCTTTCCAAAATACAGCCATCTGGTCCCCACTCCATACCCAATGAATGAGAATCTCCAGGGTTAATACCTGGGCAGATGTCCTTTATAAAAGTTCCAGAGTGACTTGCTATGTCATTACTAATATAAAAAACCAATGTTAGGCCAGGCGTGGTGGCTCATGCCTGTAATCCCACCACTTTGGGAGGCCAAGGCAGGTGGATCATCTGAGGTCAGGAGTTCGAGACCAGCCTGGCCAACAAGGAGAAACTCCGTCTCTACTAAAAATACAAAATTAGCCAGGAGTGGTGGCACATGCCTGTAATCCCAGCTACTTGGGAGGCTGAGGCAGGAGAATCGCTTGAACCCAGGAGGTGGAGGTTGTGGTGAGCCAAGATCAGGACATTGCACTCCAGCCTGGGCAACAAGAGCAAAACTCAATCTTAAAAAAAAAAAAAAAAAAAAAAAAAAAAAGCCAATGTTAAAAATCTGGCCCAGGCATGGGGGCTCACGCCTGTAATCCCAGCACTTTGGCAGGCTGAGGTGGAAGTCTCACTGGAGCCCAGGAGTTTGAGACCAGCCTGGGCAACGTAGGGAGAGTCTATCTCTCCAAACTTTAAAAATTAGGGCCGGGCACAGTGGCTCACACCTGTAATCCCAGAACTTTGAGAGGCTGAGGCAGGCGGATCATGAGGTCAAGAGTTCGCGACCAGCCTGGCCAACATGGTGAAACCCTGTCTTTATTAAAAATATAAAAATTAGCCGGGCGTGGTGGCGCATGCCTGTAATCCCAGCTACTTGGGAGGCTGAGGCAGGAGAATTGCTTGAGCCCGGGAGGCGGAGGTTGCAGTGAGCCGAGATCGTACCGCTACACTCCAGCCTGGGCAATAGAGTAACACTCTGTCTCGGAAAAAAAAAAAAAAATTAGACAGGCATGCTAATGCGCCTGTGGTTCCAGCTACTTGGGAGGCAGAGGTGAGAGGATCACCTGAGCCCAGGAGGTTGAGGCTGCTGTGAGCCTTGATTGCACCACTGTACTCCAGCCTGAGTGACAGAGAGAGATCTTGAAAAAAAAAAAAATCTAGGCTCTGTAGTATCATCTGCAAAATTTTACTAGCACTTATCTCTGGAACTGTACTTATGTATCTCTCTCCCTCACAAAGCATATGAGCTCCTGGAGGGAGAGGGTTTTGTCTGATTTTTCTCTGTATTACAATGCCTGGTGCATAAGTCATGTCCCATCACTGTTAGTCTGCATGTGTAGATATATGAGTGCAAGAATGGTAAACACCATTCACCATATTTCTGACACTGTTTTGTAACCCAGATATGGCTAGCTTACCTGTAAAATAATCCTGTATGCAGCTGGAATTGTAACCCAACTAATTCAACCATTTTGGAAATGTGAAATAATTCTAGAGAGTAGTCTAATTGGAAATGACAATGAGGCATAAAGATGTGAAGTGGTTTCATGCATAGGATACTTTTTAACATGCAAACCAAACCTCTTTGTAGCTTTTTGTTTCTATCATTCACTAGTCTAATAATATTTGGCTTAGGCTACTATCTTTATTTAATTCAACTGTACATTAAGTTCAGTATTCTTCAGTAACTCCCTTTTCTGAGGTATTGACATTAACATTTTGTTACTAGTTCTGCAATATTTAAGCTCCATATATCACTAATATAAGGATCCAAAAATAAGATAGGCTAGAAAAAAAAGACTCAGTTTTTCCTAGGCAGGCTTCAAGCCTATTTGCAAAATAAGTATGGTACATATATACATGTATATATATGGCCAATAATTTATCCAATAATCCAAATTTTTGTTAGCTGCCTGTATCTATCATATACTGTGGAATCAATGTATTCAATGACCAGGTGAGGTAGTTTACAAAAACCACCACAAGTTCTCCCTTCCACATCCCTGCAATGTGATGTTGCAGTTCTTCCCATCAGAAAGTTGAGTCTATTTCCTGCCCCTGCATTTTAGTTGGCCATGTGACTTGTGAAGCAAATGTACGCAAGCAGTGGCTTTAATTCACCTGTGCTCTGGGTTTACTCTCCTGCTTGCATTTGTATCCCTAAGACCACCATGTGAATAAGCCCGTGCTAGCCTGCTAGAGGAGTGGAAACATGGAGGAGCACCAAGGCTCTTAGCCAGTGGCCACACATAAGGGAAGCCTTCCTGGATCACCTGGCCACCATCTAACCCATTGGTTGGCTCCAGACATGGGGACAAGCCCAGAAGACATCAGCTACCCAGCTGAGCTGCCCAGACTAGAATCATCTGACCACAAAATCACAAGCTAAATATATGATTGTTTAAAGCCATGAAATTTTAGTGGTAGGGGGAATTGTTACTAGCAAAAACTAACTGATTTGGCCAGGCTCAGTGGCTCATGCCTGTAATCCCAGCACTTTTGGGAGGCTGAGGTGAGTGGATCACCTGAGGTCAGGAGTTTGAGGCCAATATGGTGAAACCCCATCCAATATGGTGACAGGGTGAAACCCCTTCTCTACTAAAAATACAAAAATTAGCTGGTCGTGGTGGCATGTGCCTGTAAGTACCAGCTACTCAGGAGGCTGAGACAGGATAATTCCTTAAACCTGGAAAGCAGAGGTTGCAGTGAGCTGAGATTGCACCACTGCACTCCAGCCTGGACATCAGAGTGAGACTCCATCTCAAAAAAAAAAAAAAACCTCCAGCCTGGCCAATATGGTGAAACTCTATCTCTACTAAAAATACAAAAATTAGCTGGTCTTGGTGGCATGCACCTGTAGTCCCAGCTACTCAGGAGGCTGAGACAGGAGAACTGTTTAAACCCGGGAACCAGAGGTTGCAGTGAACTGAGACTGTGCCACTGCACTCCAGCCTGGGCATCAGAGTGAGACTCCATCTCAAAAAAAAAAAAACAAACAAAAACCTCCAGCCTGGCCAATATGGTGAAACCCCGTCTCTACTAAAAATTCAAAAATTAGCTGGGTGTGGTGGCACGCAACTGCAGTCCCAGCTACTCATGAGGCTGAGGCAGAAGAATCGCTTGAACCCGGGAGGCGGAGGTTGCAGTGAGCCGAGATTGTGCCACTGCACTCCAGCCTAGGTGACAGAGCAAGACTCCATCTCAAAAAAAAAAAAAAAAAAAAAAGGCCAGTCGCCTGTAATCCTAGCACTTTGGGAGGCCAAGGTTGGTGGATCACCTGAGGTCAGCAGTTCAAGACCAGCCTGACTAACATGGTAAAACCCCATCTCTACTAAAACTATAAAAATTAGCTGGGTGTGGTGGTGCACACCTGTAGTCCTAGCTACTCGGGAGGCTGAGGCAGGAGAATCACTTGAACCCAGGAGGCGGAGGTTGCAGTGAGCAGAGGTCACACCACTGCACTCCAGCCTGGGCAACAAGAATGAAACTCCATCTCCAAAAAAACCAAACAAACAACAACAGAAAACTGTATATAATATATACATATTTTTGAGACAGCATCTTGCTGTGTCAGCCATGCTGGAGTGCAGTGGCATGATCACAGCTCACTCTCAAGTGATCCTCTTGCCTCAGCCTCCCAAGTAGCTGGGACTACAGGCATGCACCACCAAGCCCGGCTAATTTTTGTGTTTTTTGATAGAGATGGGGTTTTGCCATCTAATTAAAAATAAAAGGAACTGCAGAATATTTTACTGGGGAGAATAAAAAGAAGACTACTCACCTTGCTTACTCAGTATCACTCACAATATGACCCCTGCCTACCTTTCTATGGGTGTTTCTGAAGATTGCTCTTCATATAATCTATCCTCCAGCCAAACTGGGTTTCTCAGATTGCTTTGCATTTTTCTGCTTCCCTCCCCTCCTACCTTTCTCAGATGTGCCCTCTGCCTGGAATATTGCCTTCCAGAAATTAGTACCCTCCCAACTCAGTACACGTGTCTATCAAAACACTAACAGCCCCACCCATCTCACAGGATCCTCTGAATCTTTCTCTCTATTCAGTGACTATGGCTTTGTGCTGCCTTCAAGGCATTACTATTTCATTCTATGCCAAAAATACTCATCCAAAGGCCAATCCTACACACAAGTTCTGGGGGGTCTCTAAACACGCTAAAATCATTGCAAAATCATGTGAGCCCAAGCGCACACACACACGTGTGTGTGTGTGTGTGTGTGTGTGTGTGTACACACTATGTGCATTTTTTGGGGGAAAGAGGACACATATGTTTCCCCAGATTTTCAAATCTTCCACGACCCTAAAAAAGTAATTTAATTCTCATTTGGTCATTTTGTCCTTCCTGCTTCACAGTAACCTCCAGGATTTGTCCAGATCAGTGCCTCCTTAGTGCCTGGAAAAGAGCCTGGCACAAAACAGGCATTAGGTTGTTGAGTTCAACTGGATAGAGTCAACACACATGTTGGTGTTTACCAAGAAGAGAGGGGAAAGTTTTAAAAACAAAGAAGGAAAAGAAAACCCTTCATTCTTTCAAATTAAAGATTGTATCACAACCCAAACAAGAACAAAAGTGAAAGTGAAATTACTGTATTTTTTTTTAAAGCTTTCAGCCCAGCCTACTGGCAAGGCTAAGATTGTGGACCAGGAGGGATCTTTTGCAGTCCTCAGTCTGCCTCTGACTCCCTGGGATCTTGGGTAATAAGTATCTCAAACTCGCTATACCTCATTTCCTATTTATGCAACATGGAAAATAATTCTTGCCCCTTATCTACCAAGTAAGGAGACTGTAAGGAAAACAGATGACACACAAAATGCTTTTTGAACTCTTCATTAGGCAGAGTCTTTACAAATCTTTTCGTCAGAGAGTCTGTGGTTACAAAGGCCCACTCGGCTCTAGTGGTTGTTTTGATGTCCTGCCTTCTTTCAGGTCTAAAATACTTCCAAATGTGCTCAAATTTAGCATTGACATAAGAAAATCTTGGGCTGGAATGCTCTCTGACCACATGCTGGAGCAGCATTTCTCAACAATTTTTAACTCATATTCCCATTTGATAAGCATTAAAAATCTCACTCCTTTTTAAAATTTTGTTTTATGAAAACAAAGGTTGGTTTTTTTCCCCTTTTCAGAGTATATAATTCTATAATAAATACTGCTTGGCAAAAAAATTGGGAATGAACTGTTGATTTGCAACAGCATGAACAAATCTCAAATGCATTATGCCATGTGAAAGAAGCCAGACCAAAGAGAAGAGCACATGGTGTATGATTCCACTCATATAAAATTCTAGAAAGGCGGCCAGGCACAGTGGCTCATGCCTGTAATCCCAGCACTTTGGGAGGCCAAGGCGAGCGGATCACCTAAGGTTGGGAGTTTGAGACCAGCCTGGCCAACATGGTGAAACCCCATCTCTACTAAAAATACAAAAATTAGCCGGGCATGGTGGTGGACACCTGTAATCCCAGCTACTCGAGAGGCTGAGGCAGGAGAATCGCTTGAACCTGGGAGGCAGACATTGCAGTGAGCCGAGATCATGCCATTGCACTCCAGCCTGGGAGACAGAGTGAGACTCCGTGTCCAAAAAAAAAATTTCCTTTTTCAAACTATACCCCTCTCCACCCTGTCCCCATAAACATTGTTCTGAACAGTGAGCACACTGACCACCTAGGAGGTCCCTCATTCATTCTTGAGCCCCCAAGACTTAGCACAGTAAGCAAGCTCTGACTGTCAGTACCCGCCTTCCACATAGGCCATTTCCTGCCCTAAGATCTGTTCTGTTCTCTCCTGGGAATGACCTTTTCCTGCTTCTGTTTCTTCTTCATTCCAGATGCAGCTCAGGAATCTTCTCCATCAGCCTTCCCTGAATCTCTGCTCAAGCCTGTGCTCCACAGCTCCTGAGCATGTTTCTAGCTGCCACTCACCACTTTGTACTGATTTTATCTGTTGAAGCTTCTAGCCTTCCTCATGAGATAGTAAACAGAAAGGGGTTCTTAACCTTTTTTTGTGCCTCCTAAAGCCTTCTCAAAATATGGTAAAATAGACATAGGCATATGCAGAAAACTAATTATGAAATACAGTTATCAAACTATTCAAACATTTATTGGCTGTCATACCATATGTGCCTTGTTATTGATCTAGTGGTAAATCAAATGACTACCATTATTTCAAAGTAGTGATATGTATAAATGGGAATAGCTGTCACTCCTGTGGCTTGTCATTACCATTGATAACTGAAGGAAATACTGTATTGCAGTTAGAGGGTGATAAAACTGTAATCTTTTCCTATAAAAGTTCACAGGGCCCCTGAATTCCACCCAAGGACAAGGAGCCACAGGGCCCTAGAAAGGTTTTTAGAGGGGCTGTGTCCTCTTTATCTTTGGGTTCTCAATGCCCTCAGCACACAGCAGGGAACTTAATATCTCAGCTATAAAACAAGGTAAGAACAATAACAATATTAAGTATAAATTCAAAAAACTAAGATAGTTTTTCCTGCTAATACTTGTTACTATTACTACTAGTATGCTTACACCAAAGTGTGTCCTGGAAAATGGTTTACCGACTGCCAAAGACCTTGAAAATACATTTACCTGGAACCATAGCATTCCCTGGCCACCTCATAACATTCTTCAGTTCTTCAAAGTATTAGCATAAAACCATGGAAAGAAATATATAAAGATCAGGGGGATTTAGAGGAGGAAGTCAATTCCCTTAATGTGACCTCACCATGTACAATGTGACCTTCAAATGGAGCATGTAGCTCTCTAAATCCTTGAGAAATGGATGAAATTCCCTTTGCTCAGTCTTTTTCTTCTCATTGCAGTGGTGAATAACGCAAGATGTCTCATGCTAACCACGGCCCTCTCTTGATATTACTAAATACTTCCTTTCTTCTCTATTTGTTGTTGCAGTTATTGTTGAGAGCATTTCATAACAGTGTGAAAACAATGAAATGAGTTCAAGTAAACTGAAGTAACAATGAAGCACCTACAGAGAAAAAAAAGTCCTGTTCACAGTGAGCTTTCACATGACCTTCTTTTTTATTTTAATTGAGACAGGGTCTCTGTCGCCCAGGCTGGAGTGCAGTGGTGCAACCATGGCTCACACAGCCTCAACCTCCTGAGCTCAGGTGATTCTCCCAACTCAGCCTCCAGAGCAGCTGGGACTACAGGTGCGTGCCAACACACCCAGCTTTTCTGTATTTTTTGTAGAGATGGAGTTTCGCCATGTTGCACAGGCTGGTCTCAAACTCCTGCGCTCGAGTGATCCGCCCGCATTGGCCTCCCAAAATGTTGGGATTACATGCATGAGCCATCACGCCTGGCCAACCTTCTTTAGTCTTAACAGTACACATTGAACCACCCACTCCTGGGTCCGGGTGGTGTGTGCGAGCCCAGGTCTGTCTCCATTCTGCTGGCAGTATGGAAAAGGCTACTCCTCTGCCTACTACATCACACCCATTTCCTTGGTATTTGAGGTGAATTGGTTCCTTCCAGCATAATTCTAAAGAACTAAGGTGAGAAAAAAAAATACCGTAAAATCTTTTTTACTCCTACCCAAGAAATTCGGGAGCCACTCTTTTTTTTTTTTTTTTTTTTTTTTTTTTGAGACGGAGTCTCACTCTGTAGCCCAGGCTGGAATGCACTGGCGCGATCTCGGCTCACTACAAGCTCCGCCTCCCGGGTTCACTCCATTCTCCTGCCTCAGCCTCCCGAGTAGCTGGGACAACAGGCGCCCGCCACCATACCCGGCTAATTTTTTGTATTTTTAGTAGAGACGGGGTTTCACCATGTTAGCCAGGATGGTTTCGATCTTCTGACCTTGTGATCCGCCCGCCTCGGCCTCCCAAAGTGCTGGGATTACAGGCGTGAGCCACCGCGCCTGGCCCTGGGAGCCACTCTTACCCTAAATCAGTCACTTAACCCAAATTCAAAAGAATGTTGAGCTAGCCTGTTGGTCCATCCACACCCCCATCCCTGTTGTAGCACTAAACATTGGCAACATTGGAAATGAGCTCTGTAGAAACAAGCGGTTTTGGAAACTGAGTATCAAGATAGTGGCTCACTGCCTAGATAAGAGTTTGTAAAATTCCCGAGAAGTACTGAATAAAATTCCTAGCTCACCAGAAGAGAAAGGCCACAATTCTGAAGTAAGGGGGATGGCATCCCCTCTGGCTTCCCAGGGGTCACAGCCAAGGCTAGCTGATTTGCAGAACATTTTGCATACAACAGAAATGAGCATCCCTCCTCTCTCTCACTCACCAGCTTTTTACCTTTGGTTTATGTTCAAATCAATCTCGTTTTCAAAGTAGTAACAACTACCTTTACACCACTTCTCCCAAAAGTTACCAAACTACTGCCGTATTATTTCTGTTCTAACTTCTCAAGAAAGTAGTTCACAGTTGATGTCTTCACTTCCTCCCTCTGATTCTCGCCTCTAACCTCTCTGAACTCCTGTTCCCAGCCATCAGTCTCTGTGCTGGACTGCAATTAATTCACTGAAATGGGTGGTGCCAAAGTCAAAGACTTCATAATTGCCAATCACAGATGATTTTGAGTCCTGAGCTTCCACAATCCTGAGGGATGCTTGACACTACCCTCCAGCTGTAAACAGTCCTTCTGTGGTTCTAGTCCTACTTCTCCATTTCTCCTGCATTTTCTTTAGATGCTAGTATTCCTAATTTTCTCTCTTTCCTTTTTGTTTTTGTTTTGTTTTTGTTGTTTTTAAATGAGACTAGGTCAAAGTGATCCTCCTGCCTCAGCTCCTGCATACCTGAGACTACAGGTACACACCACCATGCCCAGCTAATTTTTGGATTTTTTGTAGAGACAGGGTTTTGCCACATCGGCTAGTCTGAAATTTTCCTTCTTTAGTCCTCTTTTCTCATTTAATCTAGCCATTCTCTTTAAGAGATTTAATTCTCTGGGCTTCAGGCTTTTTTGCTTAAGAATCTCCTAAAATAAAAACTACAGGGCTGCGCACGGTGGCTCACGCTTGTAATCCCAGCACTTTGGGAGGCCGAGGCAGGCGGTTTTGTGGCAGTAGGCCTGTGGTCCCAGACACCCAGGAGGCTGAGGTGGGAGAATCGCTTGAACCCAGGAGGTGGAGGCTGCAGTGAGCCGGGATCACACCACTACTCTCCAGCCTGAGTGACAGAGCGAGATCCTGTCTCAAAAAAACAAAACAAAACAGAAAACCCCACAAAAACAAAACTACATATTCCTATGCAATTTCTTTTTGTTTGTTTGTTTGTTTTGAGACAGAGTGTCCCCCTGTCACCAGGCTGGAGTGCAGTGGCGCGATCTTGGCTCATGCAACCTCCACTTCCCGGGTTCAAGCGATTCCCCTGCCTCGGCCTTCCGAGTAGCTGGGACTACAGGTGTGCACCACCACGCTCGACTAATTTTTTGTATTTTAGTAGAGACAGGGTTTCACCTTGTTGGCAAGACTGGTCTTGATCTCCTGACCTCATGATCTGCCCACCTGGGCCACCCAAAGTGCTGGGATTACAGGCGTGAGCCCGGCCCTCCTATGCAATTTCTGATTTGACATCCAAATTATTTATTTATTTATTTTATTATTTATTTACTTGACGGGGCTCACTCTTCATCCAAGCTAGAGTGCAGTGGGGCGATTATGGCTCACTGTAGTCTCAAACTTCTGAACTCAAGCAATCCAACTGCCTCAGCCTCCCAAGTAGCTATAATCCCAAATTTAAATGGTTGCAATGAATTGATAGTGTTTTGTAAATGTACAAGATCTTCTTTTATAGTCAGAATATTGTATCATTCTTATATCTGCTTTAACTTCTGTTTTCATTCACTTACTCCACAGAATTCTGGTGGGGGAGGAGGTTGGGGGAGACCAGGTCTTGTTTTGTTGCTCAGGCTGGAGTGCAGTGGTGCAATGGTAGCTCACGTGGCTTCAAACTCCTGGGCTCAAAAGATTCTCTGCCTCAGACTCTCAGGTAGCTGAGGCTACAGGTATGGGCCACCACATCCAGCTAACTTTTTACTTTTTCTTTTGTAGAGACTGGGTTCTCACTATGTTGCCCAAGCTTGTTTTGAACTCCTGGCCTCAAGTGATCCTCCTGCCTCGGCCTCCCAAACTGCTGGGATTAGGCTGGGTATGGTGGCTCACACCTGTAATCCCAGCACTTTGGGAGGCCGAGGCAGGCGGATCACGAGGTCAAGAGATCGAGACCATCCTGGCTAACACAGTGAAACCCCGTCTCTACTAAAAATACAAAAAATTAGCCAGGCATGGTGGCGCACTTCTGTAGTCCCAGCTACTTGGGAGGCTGAGGCAGGAGAATCGCTTGAACCCGGGAGGCGGAGGTTGCAGTAAGCCGGGATCACGCCACTGCACTCCAGCCTGTGCGACAAAACGGGACTCCATCTCAAAAAAAAAAAAAAGTGCTGGGATTACAGGCATAAGCCACTGTGCCCAACCTCCCACAGATATTTTAACAGCCTTATTGAGATATAAAACACATACTGGCTGTGCACAGTGTCTCATGCCTGTAATCTCAGCACTGTGGGAGGCTGAGGTGGGTGGATCATGAGGTCAGGAGTTCGAGACCAGTCTGGCCAGCATGATGAAACCCCATCTCTACTAAAAATACAAAACATTAGCCAGGCATGGTGGTGTGCACCTGTTATCCCAGCTACTGGGGAGGCTGAGGCAGGAGAATCACTTGAACCCAGGAGACAGAGGTTGCAGTGAGCTGAGACTGCGCCACTGCACTCCAACCTGGGTGATAGAGTGAGACTCTGTCTCAAAAACAAGACAAAACAAAACAAAACATATACCATATAATTTATCCATTTAAAGAATGCAACTTAATGGTTTTCAGCATATTTACAGCTGCAATCGTTGGTACAATCAGCCTTAAGACATCTTCATCACCCCAAAAATAAACCTAGTACCCATTAGCACTCATTCCTCATTGTCCCCTCCCCTACTACAGCCCTAAACAACCACTGATCTACTTTCTGTCTCCATAAATTTGCCTATTCTGAACATTTCATACAAATGGAATCATATAATATGTAATCTTTTGTGACTGGCTTCTTTTACTTAGCATAATATTTCAAGGTTCATCCATGTTGTGGAATGAATCAGTACTCATTCCTTTTACTGTCCAATAATATTCAATTGTATGGATATGCCACATTTTGTTTATCCATTCATCAGCTGGTGGACATTTGAATTGTTTCCACTTTTTGGTTATTATGAATAAGGCTGCTACAAACATTTGGATGCAAGTTTTTGTTTTACCCACCAATTATAAATGAAATTTGTTTTTATGCTTCAAAAGCTTTTATTGGCCAGGGACAGTGGCCCATGCCTGTAATCTCAGCACTTTGGGAAACTGAGGCCAGCGGATGACCTGAGGTCAGGAGTTCAAGACCAGCCTGGCCAACATGGGAAAACCCCATCTCTACTAAAAATACAAAAATTAGCTGGGCATGGTGGCGAGCATCTGTAATCCCAGCTACTCGGGAAGCTGAGGCACAAGAATCGCTTGAACCTGGAAGTTGGAGGTTGCAGTGAGCTGAGATCACGCTGCTGTACTCCAGCCTGGATGACAGAGTGAGACTCTGTCTCAAAAAAAAACCAAACAAACAAACAAACAAAAACCTTTTATTAATAACCCATTCATAGATCTCATCCACAAAACTATGGACATAAATTAAGATTTAAAATAGAAAAAAAAAATTGTGACCATAATCCTCTAGGTAGACAAAGAAAAATTCCTCTGGATTAAGTAGTAGTAAATTCCAGTTATTCATAGTACACAATTAATCAAAACATCATAAGTATATTATAAACTTTGACAATCATTCAATATAAAGTTTTATTGGAAATACATTCTTTAATGAGATTAATGCGATGAACTGGGTTTATTTTCCTATTATTAGTTAATGGGTTTGTGGATGACTTATTATTATAATGAAACCATTGGTATAATTATATCACTACTGTTCTTTTTATAGATACAATAACTGAGAAATTATTTTTAAATAAATAAAAGAATGGAAGTATTTTAGCTACAGCAATGTCACTCAAATCTTTGAAATCCTTGAAAGTCATAGCCCCAAATCACGTTGTAATCTATCCTTATGTTCAGCCAGGCACAGTGGTGTGCAACTGTAATCCCACACCCTTTGAGGCTGAGGTGGGAGGACCACTTGAAGTTCCAGGCTGTAGTGTACTATGATCACACCTGTGAACAGCCACTGCACTCCAGCCTGGGCAACATGGTAAGACCCTATCTCTAAAGAGTGTGTGTGTCTGTGTGTGTGTGTGTGTGTGTGTGTGTGTGTGTGTTTAGGTCTCCCTTCAAGTATGTTGAAAGCGAACAGCCAGACTCATCTGACTTGTAAAAGGAAGTGTCACTGGCCCTGAGTCATTCACATTCTCCTACATGCATTATATTTGAAATTGGACCTAGGTTTGGGTCCCGGAGGTTTTTTTTTACCTTCCCAAACACACCATAGGAAGATGATGGAAGTGCAAGAGGTGTGCATTTTCCCTGTTCTCTAAGGGATCCATTTGAGAAAAGTGTGTATATATGGACAGTGAATATCTGAAAATTGCTTCCCTCCCTCAGAACCACTGATTCTATTTGCAGCCACGTGACTCTCAAATCTAGCTCATCTCTTACTAAGACCCTGACCCTGCAGCCTGAAGCACACTGCTTCATCAGCCCTCAGGCCCCTCAATAGGTCTCACATTGAGCTAATCTTCCCCAAATAGATCTCCCTTACTAGCAGGCACCCTCATGCACTCTGTTCACCACACTGCTGCCAGATCAACATCCTACACAAGCAAATCCTGTCAAGTTGCTCCTCCACTTGAACTCCTTCACTGGTGCCCAGAATCTACCTTAACCCTTTGCAGGTAAAGCACCTCATCTGAGAAACAGTGAAGTCAGGTCCTCTATGGGGAAATGACACATGCTCTCAGGCTGACCCTCTGAGACCTGGTTAAGAAGTGCCAGACCTCAAGGAGACAGGACAGGTTAGTGGTTAAAAGGATGGACTCTGGAATGGAACTACCTGGGTTAAAGGCAGTTTACTCACTGATAACTTTGACCCCCTGAGCCCATTTCTTCATCTGCAGAGGATAATACTACTATCTTTCTTAAAGGGTAGGTGTAAAGATTAAGTGAGATAATGTATGTAATTTGCTTAGCACAGTGCTTGACACATGCTAGAATAATAAGTTAGAATAATACGTCAATGAGTCTTAGCTGCCATCAACTTCCTCATAATTATCAAGAAATTAACTCCCAAAGTCTTCCATTGAAGGTCCAAGTCCCTTACATGTCAAAGAAGCCCATCTTGCAGCCTCTACTCTACTCTTCCCCATACCACACCACTTACTATCTTCCCCGTCCCTCTCCCAGATCAGGCTTTTGTACCTCTGAGTCTGGGTACCCACCCTTCCCCTCACCTAGAATTCTTTCCCTACTCTCTGCCTGGTGAATGCCATCTTCAAGACAGCCTCATTTGTTGCTCCATTTCAAGTCCCCTCTGGGGCTCCCTCCTCTTTTTCTAGAACTCTCAGTTATTGTAGCACCTCAAAGCTCAGTCTGCTGATCCCTTCTCTTCTCTGTCAGTACTCCCTTTATGATCTCTTTGTCTCTGGGCTTTAAATATTTATATACTGGTAATTTCTAAAAGCGTATCACCAGACCAGACCCCTTTCTCTCCTCCATTTGATCTCCACTTGGATATCAAGTGGACATCTCACACTCAACATGGGCAAAAATGAACCCTTGGTGTTCCCCCCAAATCTGTTTCCTCTGCATATCCTTGCCACCCCAGGTATTGGCAATGCCATCCTTCCAGTTGCTCATGCCATAAGCCCTGGAATAAATCCTCACGTTCTCTTTTCCACTCACATTCCATATCCAACCCAGGGATAAATCCTGTTGGTTTTACCTTCAACATAGATCCAGAATCTGCCCACTTCTCACCCTCATACTGTTATGAACCCTGGTCAGACCCATCATCATCTCTTGTCTGGATTACTCAATGGCTCCTAACTGGTCTTTCTGCTTCAAACCCAGTCTATTCTGAATATAGCAATCAGAGCAATCGTTTTAGATTTTTGTTGTTGCTGTTGTTTTTGAGACAGGGTCTTGCTCTGTTGCCCAGGCTGGAGTACAGTGGCATGATCATGACTCAGTGCACCCTCAACTTCCCAGGCTCAAGTGATCCTCCCACCTCAGCCTCCTGAGTAGCTGGGACTACAGGTACGCAACCAGCATACCCAGCTTTATTTCTTTTTTAGTGGAGATGAGGTCAGGCTATGTTGTCCAGGCTGGTCTCAAACTCCTGGCCTCAAGTGATCCTCCTGCCTCGGCCTCCCAGAGTGCTGGGATTACAGGCATGAGCCATTGCACCTGGCTTAGAGCCATCTTTTTAAACTCTCAGTCACATGTCCTCCTCTGCTCAGAACTTTGCAATGGCTCCATGTTCCTCTCATAGTTAAAACTCAGAGTCCTTAAAATGATGCTGGCCAGTCTGACTCTCTTACTCCCCGACCTCACTTTCAACTACTTTACCCCTCACTCACTCTGTTTCAGCCACACTTACTTCCTTGCTGTTCCTACATCTTGCCAGAAGGCAATTTCCTGTTTCTCCTTAGTTGTTTCCTCTGCTTGGAAATCTCTTCTATTGAGATTCCCACATGGCTAACTCACTCAGCAACTTCAAATCTTTGTTCAAATGTCACCTTCTCAATGAAAACTGCCCTGACCTGAGCTAGATCTCAGACACAGGCACCTGACCCCACTCATCTACGTGTTCTCCCAGGAGGCTCGGCCTCTGAACTAGTTCTTCCTGGGCCTCTGAAAAAACCCTCCTTGCTGAGTGCCTTCTCTGACCCCATATTAGGCCCTGAGAAAAGGAACCATTCTAATGTTGTAGGGCTCAAATCAATTGTTCCAGATCCCAAGGCTTGTAAACAATTGAGACTGAAACCATGCCTGCTAGAAGCCTGTGCTGTCCCACTGTGCTGCTTGCTGGAGAGCTTCCATGCCCTTGTCCTGCCCAACACAGGCCATTGTTCTACCCGTAGTAACGAGCCCAATTCCATGTCTAATCAGGGAGTAGAATGATGAAAAGCAGTTAGTTTAGAATTTTGGGTTGTTGGGTTTTGTGGGTTTTCTTTCTTTCTTTTTTTTTAATTATCAAGTCATTATATTATGTCCATCAGTCAAAATTGAAAAAAAACACAAAGGATTTTTAATACACTTCATGTTTTCATCTGTGGATGTTAATTACAGAATAGCTGACAGCAGAAGAGTATTTTAGGTTAGAATCTTTCTCTGAGTCTCACTGGGCTCCCGGGTGATTATTTGCAGCCCTTCTGTCCCTTCTTCCAGGCCTTCCCTTTATCCCACCCCACCCCATCTCACCTCTGCGCCCTCTTAATTGTTCACGGAGAGAAAGCAAGAACACCAACCAACTGATGACATTCTTTCTGTACTTAGTGTTACTTGCCAGTGAGTAGTCATTTTTGTGAGCTGGGAGACATTCTCCACCATGGCTAATTACCAGGGAGTTCGAGTCATTCTGCCTGGGTTCAAATACCCCCTCTGCCACTAATGCTGTGGGAATGATTTGGCCTCTTTAAGGTATTGAAAATTAGCGTTCCTTCTGTATAGGGGGCTGTATAGTGAGCGAATTCAATTAAAGACCAGAGCCAGCCTCTGGCATAGAGGAAGTGAGCACTCAGAGTACAGTAGCTGTTGCTATTGATATTTCACAGGCTCTGATGCAGAGAAGCTTGTCCCCAGTGCTCCATCCACGAAGGGAGCAAGTTGCTCCCCATTCATGACTCAAAACACCCTGGAGGAAGATTATGTTTACTGGTTCTATAGTAAACTTCCACCTTGTGAAATGACTTCGGATGTTTGTTAATACTGGTAAGCTTTCCGACTTCCCTGTGAGTGGAGTGTTGGCATTCTCTTTAGCCCCAAATACTTACTTTAAAGAAAACCACTCTTATGTTACAAAAATACAATAGCAATTCTAAATAGAAGTTATTCCTACTTCAATCTTTATCTATAACCCTCATTTCCAGTGAGTTCTATAAACTTTCTTTCTGATTCTAAGGAAACTGTAGCTTCCTGCCACTTCCTCTATTAATACAGTTGTAGTAACATCTCCTCACTGTCTATTCAACTACATGATCAAAATAGGAAAACGGACTCCCTAAAAGTTGAACTTAAATTAGACATTAACTCTCAATATCTGGTTCATGATTGTATTTTTTTGTTATTAATTCTTTAAAATTAATTCAAGAATCTTAATTATGCAAAGCTTCAGTATAATAGCAAAGACTATTTTCTCCTTTTATTAAACATTGCAAGGCAACTGCTTTACCATTTATATTCATTTTCACTTTCTAGGAACACAAATAAATATTTAGAGAATTTCACACACAAAAAAGTCATCAATCAGAAAGAGGACTTAGCAGACTATTAGAAAAAAAAAAAAGGTTGTTTTAAGTATATGTAAGTTACTATGTATCTATGTACACAGTAACTTTCTCCTTTCCAGTCTTCCTATTTGTATTCAAATATTCAAATAACATACCAGCTAGCTGCTAATGGTGTGATTTTCTGCAGTACTTTTCCTGGATGCAAAATGTTTGACCCTGCAAAGACAAGGTGACTCAGCACATTCAAATTACAGAGCTCAGGTTTAGAGGATACACACATTGCAAGAACTGCTGAGAAGATATTAGGAGAGAATTTTTGTTAAGGTTTGAAAGGTCAAAGAATTTAAATGTATGCCCCTCTAGCCCTACCCCCACCCTGCCCCAAAAAAGGAAAAGTACGGACTGGAGAAATGAGAAATAAGATTGTGGTAAAAAACAATTCCATCTGATTGCTAAAAAGATTGTTGTACTTAACTATATTAGCATTTAAATGGCCCTGGTAGGACATGGAGGAAATACCTACACGCTAATGCAAAAAAGGTAGGGAAGCTGTCAGGTTTGCACCTTTTTTGTCTCATTGTTTAAGTGGAGCCAGTTTTTTTCCCAGGCTGGATAAACAGACTGCAGTGAAGGTGAAACAGACATTGAGAAAGCTAATATTGCTTACAAAAAAGCAAATAAAAATTTTTAATTACAAACACTGTAAAGCTGAGAAATTGAGAATGTTAATTACTATATGCTTTTCTACTGGTGTGTTTGGGAACTAGTGATTCCCAAACCTTGCAGACTATCAAAACCACAAGGGGAGGTTTTCATAAATGTAGATTTACAGTTCCCTTCCTGTCCCCATTCTGATTCAGTGGGTTTGGGGTAGAGCCCAGGAGTCTGTAAAACACTCATCCAAGTGATTCCGACACACAGGCTAGGCTGGGATCAGACACAGCTGATGAAATGCAAAGGTGAGGCAAAACAAACCGGGAGTCACATCTCTCCCAGCCCAACTGTAAAATGCATAGGTAAAATGTCAAAGAGTACTTTAACATTTAGGAGGATGTCTCTTCATATGTTAAAGCTAACAAATGAGGCCAGGCGCAGTGGCTCAAGCCTGTAATCCCAGCACTTTGGGAGGTCGAGGTGGGTGGATCACTTGAGGTCAGGAGTTCAAGACCAGCCTGAACAACACGGTGAACCCCAGTCTCTACTAAAAATACAAAAATTAGCCGGGCATGATGGCGGGTGCCTGTAATCCCAGCTACTCAAGAAGGCTGAGGAGGGAGAATCGCTTAAACCCGGGAGGCAGAGGCTGTAATGAGCTGAGATGGCGCCACTTCACTCCAGCCTGGGTAAAAGAGCAAGACTCTGTATCAAAAAAAAAAAAAAAAAAAGCTGACAAATATTAGTCATATTTTTAATTGTCTTACCTTTTAAAATTCCCAACAATATCCTAACTTTTAAAAGTTATTCTAGAACATGACCTTGCCTTCTAGTTCCTGTTTATAGTGATGAGCTACACATATCTTTGTGCCTGAAACAAAGACTTCTTTGCCAGACTCTGTGCCTGCTAATTTCCTTCAATTCATTCACAGAGTCTTCACTGCAACTCCCGTAAGTAGCTACTATTATCCCCATTTTACAGATGAAGAAGTGTGTCTATGAGAATTGTTCTAGTGATAAACCTGAGACTTAAACAGAGTCCTAATACTCATGCTGGATTGTCCATTGTTATAAAGAGCTGGGTTTGTTGGTTGGTTATTTGGAGAAATTTACACATGACATTTGGTTATGTTCAAAAGAATCTCAGGCCTGGCATAGTCTTCATACATTCAGCAAACAACAGTTAGGCATCGTGTCAGGTGTGGGCAAATACAAGGACCACCCACAGCTCTCTACCCTGGAAGTACCTTCCCCACCCCTCTACAGGGTAGCAGACAGACAAAGAGGAATCATCTCCAAGAGATACAAGGGCCACCCACAGCTCTCTACCCTGGAAGTACCTTCCCCACCCCTCTACAGGGTAGCAGACAGATAAAGAGGAATCATCTCCAAGAGTTTCTTCTGGACTTTGCTCTATTAACTGTCCCATTGCCTTCAGGGGCACATGCGTAACTGTCTGAACTGAAACATTTCCACTGCTGATTCAGAAATGTGTTCACCCTAATTATGGGCACAGAATGCTCTGAGGAACACAGGTGGGAGGGGCTGTCTCGGGCCCTCTGGATGCCTTCACAGAGAATATGGCTTATGAGCTGAAGGTTGAAGGATGAAAAATATGTCACAAAGCAAAGTGAAAGGGCCCAGGGCAGCATGTGCTGGGCCTGCCATGTCCAGCAGGGGACCCTGGGGCTGAAGTAAGGCCAGAGGTAGGAGCAACAGGGGGAATGGGGCAGGTGGGGAAGTGGGTTGTAGGCTGGGAAAAGACCCAGAAGGGGATTTTATGCTATGTGAGGAGTTTAGAATTCAAAAGATGCAAAAGGGAACAAACAATGGGGGGTTTTTTGTGTTTGTTTTTGTTATTTGGGTTTTGTTTGTTTTTCTGTTTGTTTTTGGCTAAAGAAGGAACAAAGATATCTGTAACTGGTTGTGATCAATTAGTTGTAAACACTGTTGCACTTGACCAGCCCCAGCCGTGGTTTTTATGCAGAGGAGTCATAGGACCAGATTGGTATTTTAGTAATGCTCGTGCCAGGGTAGAGAATGGGTTGCACAGAAGGCACAGGGCTTGACAGATCAGATCAAAGGCTGTTGCAACAATCCAGGTTGGATCCAGTCCAAACTAATGGTGTGATCCTGCCATTAAAAAAAAGGAACTCACTGGAGAAGTTTCTGAGGTTCGGGGCATGAGCTTTGGAGTCAGGTGGGCTGAATGCTGGTTCTCAACCTCTTCTTAGCCATGTCTGTAACGTCATCAAAACCTCACCTTGCTTATTTCATATGAGATGAAATCTGCTGTCTGGGTCATTTTGCAAATGAAATTGGGGTTCATGCTCAACTGCACAAGGTTCTCACTCCATCAGTGGTGACAGTGATGATGATGATGATGATGATAATGACAGACAATACTTTGGTGACTGATTGGCTTTAGGCTGAGGGTAAGTGACAGAAGAGTACAGGATACCTCCAAGGTTTCTAATTGGGTGAGTGAAGGCACACATTGTCAACCGGGCTGGGGGCACAGAAAGAGGACCTGGTTTAGAAAAAAAAAAAAAAAAGTAGTGCATTTGGTTTTGAACATGTTGTGCTAAGGACACCTACCAGAATTTGTTTTATGAACAGTTAGTTGGAAATACAGATTGAAAGAGGAGTCAGGGCCGGGCTTGGTGGCTCACACCTGTAATCCCAGAACTTTGGGAGGCCGAGGTGGTCGAATCATGAGGTCAGGAGTTCAAGACCAGCCTGGCCAACATGGTGAAACCCCATCACTACTAAAAATACAAAAAATTAGCTGGGCATAGTGGCGGGCGCCTGTAATCCCAGCTACTTGGGAGGCTGCGGCAGGAGAATTGCCTGAACCTGGGAGGCAGAGGTTGCAGTGAGCCAAGATCGCGCCACTGTACTCCAGCCCAGGCGACAGAGTGAGACTCTGTCTCAAAAAAAAAAGTAAAGAAAGAGGAGTCAGGGCTAGAAGTACAAATTCTTGAGCCATTTGGGATCATGTCTGAAGCTGTGGGAATGAAGTTTCAGGGAACACTAATACATATGGCATATTGAGAAGAAACCAGAGTAGCAACGATTTTGTTCAAAATGAAAGCTCTGATTCAGGATTTTCAGAAACAGAGAGCCGTTAAACAAATGTACATTGAGAGCAAACTACATGCCAGGCACTGTCCTGGAGCTGGAAACTGGAACATACAAGCCAACCCATGGAAAGCTCACATTGTCACAGAGGAGACAACCCTGTAATAAACCTGGTACCCCAAAAGAGGGAAAACACCATGAGGGAAGTAGGCAGGGTGCAGGCAGAGGGTGAAGATGTTGAATGCCTGGGGGAGGCCCAGGCTAGCTACAGGGGCCAGGTAAGGCCTCCCTAGGAGAGGACATTTGAGCTGAGACCTGAGACTAGGAGAGCATTAACTGAGGACTTATTAAGTACAAGGCTCTGTTCTAAGCCTTTTAAGTACATTATCCTATTTAATCCTTACAACAACCCAATGAGGTAGGTGCTGTTATTATCCTCATACTAAAAATAAGGAAACTTAACCACAGAAATGTTAAGTAACTTCCCCCACACAGCTAGCAAGCTGGCACAGAAGACCCTGACTCAGACAGTCTAGCTTCAGACAGCCCGTGCTCTTCCCCGCTGCACAAACTGCCTCTCACTGTCTGTGATAAATGCTCCTATTAATAGAAAATGAGTTCAAGAAGGAAAATGCGATCAACAGTGATCACAGTGGTTCAGAGCACAAAGGCTTCATCTAGAAATAATTTTAAGTGCTTGGTCTTTGCTATGTTACTACTTAAAGTGTGGAAGCTTCATAGAGAATTGGTCAGTAGCCCCAGATTCAAGTGTCAGCTTCGCTATTCTCTAATTTCGTAACCTGCGGACAGACAAGTAATGACCTCTACGAACCTTCATTCTTTTCACCAGTAAGGTAGGTCTAATACACAACTCCAAACTTACCATGAAGATAAAGAGATTCAATCCACATACATGACAATCTCTAGCAGACAATGTTATCTTCAGGAGATGGCTGATGCTGGGGAAAGTTTCCCAGTACAGATAGCACACCATGACGTCTTCGTAAAAAGATGAAGCTCAGAGCAGGTGCAGCACTGAAAACAGGACACTTTAGGTGACAGCCTACAGACTGCTATTCTGAGAAAAGATCTTCAAGGGGTAGAAAAAATCACTTTTAGAACTCCAACTGGTCTTATCAATTTTTAAGGAAAATTAAATTTGTCATATTTGCCATTGTGAAAATCAGCTCAAATATACAACAGGAAAGCTTATTTCACTGAAACTCAGTTCATTCCAGACTCAATAAAAAATGACAGGCTTCTTCTGTGTTCTACCTTTTCCTCCTCTACTTTCCTCTTTCCAGACAATAAAGTATTGTCCCTTGTGAGGTAGAAACAAAACAGCAACATGAAAACAAATTCTAATAGCTCATGGGAAGGACAGACATCATGATCCCAAAGTGCTATGTTAAATGCCTTAAGAGGCACCACTACTGTGCAATGGTGGTCCAGAAAGAGCGCGCCCAGCCAGCTGGATCAGGAATGATTATGAAGAGAGGATTTGATCACGGCTTTACAGGGCTTTAAAGGGCAAACTACGGTTTCCTGCAGTGGCTTTGGTAGAGAGCATCCACAAGGCCCTGAGAGGCATGGCTTTGCCTGCCTTTGTCTCCTACAGCATCCACCACTCTCCTAGCCCCAACTGCCAGCCACAAGGGCAGCTCTGCTCCTCTCAGGATCCTCTGAGGCCACCCCTACATGCAGGGATCTGCACTTGCTCAGGATCAGAAATACTTCTGGTCTGTGAATGAGCTTCACACTGCTGGTCTCAAGGGGAATATAACCTTCTCTGTAAAGCCTTCGCTGAGCACCTGCCCCTCTAAAGTTCCCACCTGGACATGCCCCACATCCACCCCCGTCACTCCTCCACACAAACTCATTAACATTCTATTTTACTTTCTTTATAGTACTTATAAAGTACTATGGAAAATTATCGTGCTCAATTTTTTTACTGGATTATTTTCTGCCCATCCCCATCCTCTGCTAAAAATTGTTAAGTCCCATAAATGCCTAGATATGGTCTTTCTTTTTCACCCTTATATTCCCAGCACCTGGCAGGAAGTAAAGAGCTCAATAAATATTTGTTGAATCAATACAGGAATGCAGAAGAGCATGATCAAGTTGCAGAGGCAGAAAAGTAAAAGCTGAGTTTGAGAAAGTGGTAAGTTGCACGTTCTGGTCCAGCTGGGCATGGATAGATGAGGTGGGACAGGTTGCTTGCAGAGGACTTGGGGCAGTTTGGACTGAGTAGATAGTGCAGAGCTTCTGAGAGTGTTTGACCAGGCAAGGCCCTGAGCAGTGCTGTCCTTAGAAAGGATTAGGCCAGCAACTATGAATAGGATGAACTGAAATAAAGCTAGAAAGCCCAGGGAAAACCATTTGTTACCCCTAAAATTGGCAAAGATTAAGAAGTCTGACAAGTGTTGGAAAGTATCTGGGGAAACAGTTTTCCAACAGTTGAAAATCAATTTGGTAATATCTCTTAAAAGTTAAATTGTGCATATTCAAAATGTAGCAATCCTGCATCTAGGAATCAAGACTAAGAAACTATTGCCTATATATTAGTGAAAAAAATATAAACAATCATATATTCACTAATAAATGGACTGATAAAATGTGGTATTATTTATGCCATGAAATGCTAGACAGCAAATAGCCGGGTGTGGTGGCTCATGCCTATAATCCCAGCACTTTGGGAGGCCAAGGCGGGCAGATCACCTGAGGTCGGGAGTTTGAGACCAGACTGGCCAATATGTTGAAACCCCGTCTCTACTAAAAATACAAAAATTAGCCGGGCTTGGTGGCAGGCGCCTGTAGTCCCAGCTACTTGGGAGGCTGAGGCAGAAGAATTGCTTGAACCCGGGAGGCAGAGGTTGCAGTGAGCTGAGATCGTGCCACTGCACTCCAGTCTGGGTGACAGAGCGAGAGTCTTTCTCAAAAAAAAAAAAAAGAAAAAGAAAGAAAAGAAATGCTAGACAGCAATTAAAAATAATGAATATATATATATAGATGGGTGTGTGTGTGTGTGCACGTGTGTGTGTGTCTGTACAAAAACATGGCTAGACCTTAAAAACAATGCTCAGAGAAAGTAAACAAATCATATAACAGTTGGCTGGGCATGGTGGTTCATACTTGTAATCCTAGCATTTTGGGAAGCAGAGGCGGGAGGATCTCTTGAGGCCAGGAGTTTGAGACCAGGCAACATTGTAAGATCCCATCTCTACAAAAAAAAAAAAAAAATTAGCCAAGCATAGTGGCACAAACCTGTAGTCCTAGCTACTTGAGAGGCTGGAGCAGGAGGATCACTTGAGCCCAGGAGGTCGAGGCTGCAGTGAGCTATGATCATGCACTCCAGCCTGGGTGACAGAATGAGATCCTCTCTCTCTAAAAAAGAAAACATTTATGTATATTTAAATCCATAAAACAATACTACATATTAACTATGGGTACATACAAATATATATAAAATATTAAAAAGTATACAAACTGAACATGGGCTCTGGGAAGTGAGGACAGAAGGAGGAAATGGACTTGGAATTAATATTCAAAGGCAACTTGATTTTATCATCAATGTTTTGTTTTATTTCTTTAAAAAAATTGAAGAAGATATGACAAAAATAATAACAGTTGTTAATTTTGAATGATGGGAATATAGTAGCGTTTACTGGGAATCAGAAGAGAGATGCTAGTCACAGATGGAAAAACTAACAGGATTTCAGGACTGGGTGGGTTAGTAGAGGGTATAAAGTTGCCAGAAAGAACGAAGAATAAAAATTATATTCTTTCTTTTCTTTAACAATGAGAGGCTAGCCACACCATTAAAAGAACTAAAAAACAATGAGCTCCACTTTAGAAAGGTTTGTCTTATTAATGAGACAGCCAAATCATGGCCAGCAAAAAGTCAGAATTCAAAAACCCAAGCTGGCACTGACAAGCTATCCTGCAAAAGTAAGGAATAAAATAGGTGCCTCATTCAATATCCTCAAAAAAAAATTTTTAAGACTTTTTTAAGGTCCATAGAGAGTTCACTTTGTGTATTTGGCTTGTTTACAACATATATAGAAACCCAACCACAGTGTCCTATACTCAACAATTGAAAGTGAGGTTACTAAATTTTAATACACATTTCTAGAAAGCCTGGGGGTCTGACTCTGAAAATAAGCCATTCTAGTAAGACAACTTGTTAAGAGTTTCCTTTCAGTAAGCAACATCGACTAACAGAGCAAACAATGATCCAAATTTACACTGTTCGAATTAAAATTTCAAGCATTAACCTCTATTTTGAAATCAATCTCCCTGTCTTTACATAAAGATTATCAACTTCCAATTATCAGAAGAATGCAGCTTATCTTTATTAAAATGTACCCCCCCAATATTTCATGATATTTACATGTTTGCATAGTACTTTCCTATCCTTTTGTAACATGTTTTGCAACTCCTGAAAAGTCAATAGTCTTAGCTCTTCTCTAAAGGGGGAAACACAAGAGACTGAGTGACTAGTTCAGGGTGACTCACAGGCAGAGTCAACATTGGAACTCGGAACACTGAGCCTGGCATTCCAAGTTCCCAAAACCTTGAGGCTCTTGCTAATCCCAGCAGAATTTTCTTCTTTACAGGGCTGTGCTTCTTTGAGGCCTCTGAGACTAGAATGTTAGTGTCCAAAGCTTTCTCTTTCAAAAGTAGTCAATAGTCAGAAATAAATGTTGGCCTGCAAGTTCAATCTTTTTCTTTTTTTTGAGACAGGGTCTCACTCAGTTGCCCAGGTTGGAGTGCAGTAGCACAATCATGGCTTACTGCAGCCTTGACCTCCTGGGCTCAAGCGATCCTCCTGCTTCAGCCTTCCAAATAGTTGGGACCACAGGCATACCCCACCACACCCAGCTAATTTTTAAAATTTTGTAGACATGATGGTCTCACTTTGTTGCCCAAGTTGGTCTCAAAGTCCTGAGTTCAAGGGATCCTCCCACCTTGGCCTCCCAAAGTGCTGAAATTACAGGTATGAGCCACCGCTTCTAGTCCATCTTCACTTTTTAAAAGGCATAGCTAAACTGCATTGATACAACCTAATGATCTCCCTAATTAATGTAACTTTGCTGGTAATTGTTTTTTTAGAGTCCTCTGTTTAAGATTGGGTTAAATTCAAATCAAATGGTACTGTTTAAACTGTTTGCTGTTTTTTGTGTTTGTTCCCCGTTAGTGCTATCTTGGACATGCTGAGCTTCTAACTGCCACAGGGCTGTTTTGCTACTACTGACCTTATAAAGCCAACAGTTAGTGACTGTGTATATAAGGATTTAAGAGATTATTTTACCAGAATAAGGTTGCTTTGTAGCCATCCGGTGTAAATGGTGTTTCTTTCCATTAACAAATTGAAGAGCTCTTAAGCACCTGAAATTAAATAACAGCTTAAAAAATAAATTAATATACAAAAAATTTAGGTTTACTGACAATATCAGATTATTTCCCATTAAAAAAAATCACCCAACTCTTTTTTCTGATGCCTTTCACGTGGGACTTCAAAAAGCTTTTCCAAATATTTTCACTATCTGTAGTTCTCATTCTAATTTTGTAAATTAAAAAAAAAAAAGAGCCAAATAACTGACCCAAAGTTATGCAGTCAGTTGGTAGTAAAAGCCAAATAAGAGCTCAAATTTAATCTAGTCGTTAGAATCTGCCACAGTGTCCTCTTCGCTAAGTTGTACTACTGCCTCATTTTATTTCCCTTAAAAAATAATTGTTTGCATATCAGTTAAACTGGTCACATTGAAATATAAAACACGCCAGTATTATCAAGAGGTCCTTTCTTAAAGCAACAAAATACAATCACCTTTGTGCTAAAAATAAGCTATAAAAATAATTGTGTACCTTATAAATTTATCTACAAGTTTTAGCCTTCATTATATTCATTAATTAAACTGCCATAAATCTTCCTTTCCTATTGCTAAGATATTCTTAAACTTGCATACAAAGCACCAAAATGCACATCAGCCACAACACACACAAATTCATCACTCAATCTCGGTCCATTACTCTTGCCAAGGTCAGTATAGAATATTCTTGAAATTTTCACTTGTAGAATGAATAGATGTTTTGTAAGGATTATCTATTCAGGCAGAAAAAAAGGGGGGAGGGGAAGAACACAAGAAACAATTAGCTATTCAACTGGTACTGAGCAAATTCCAAGTACGGAATCCTTTGTTTGTTTTTATCTTGTTTTTGTTTTTCTTACCTACCTTGGGACTCCAGTCCACGAGAAGAAATACATCTTGTGAGATTTTTGTACAGCCTTTCTACAAACCTCCGTAGAGAAGGAGACGTTGTTGTCAGTTTTGGCTTCCTTTTGCAGTCAGGGACTGGGACCCAGAGTTATCTATTTGCATTTCAACACCCTTCTTTTGTTTTCGGTCCCACAAGAGGCTCAACCAGTTCAAAAGCAGGTAAGGCAGTTAGATCATTGTAATGACCCTAGAAAACTCAAAGGAGAAAACTTTTGCAAACAATGTGGTTATTTTAGCAAAAAACTACTACTTATTTCATCAGTCAAGCCTACAGAGCTCAAGCTAGACCATCTTGTTAAAAATTTACCTTAGGTTGTTCTTAATTCTCTCTGTGCCCTAGAGAGAGAAGAATGATGGTGGAAAGCAGGGTTAGAGAACAGAGAGGAGGAGAGTTCTGCATCCAGAATCTCTTCTGAATAAACAAATATCGCTAAAATATCCAAATATTCACAGGAATTTACAGGTCACATTATTGCATTTGATTCTGAGAGCAACAGCCTCTGTCATTTCTGCTGAAGGAGCATTCCTATATAACTCTAACAAAATTAAGAGAAAAGAATACTTTCTAGGTGGAGAGAGTTGGAGAGGACGGGTAAAGGTGCAGCCATCCCAGTGTCTGAAGGACACTCAGACACAAATGCTGCTGGTGTATACTTCCTGTCACACCCACTCAGATGACTACATGGTCAAGATTCCAGAATGTGATCCCGACGACAGCTTTCTAAGCATTTAATATTCCAAGAGGCATCAGCAGATAAAAATGTGCAGAGTTGCAAATTTTTAATAGAAAAATCCCCCAGGGTCTATGTTGAAGGTCAGTGTTTGGGAAAAGGCTATATTATAATGGGGCTATGGAGTCACAGATTAGAGACGGAAGGGACCATAAGGTTCATTTCCTCAAGGTCCGTGGTTACACAGCTGGTTTGTGACAGGCTATGAGCTCTCTGGGGTCTCAATCTCACGCTCTTGAGCTTTTGGTTACCAAACCTGCTTAGATGAGATCCACAGTGAGGTTATATTGTAAAAATTCTAAGACTTGGCAAGTCAGCCTATAATGAAGATATATATGCATAGACTTCAAAGGACTGACCTTGTCATCACCTACAATAGCTCTGCCGCAAGATTACTGATTCAGGCATTCAGCTTTTGGATAAGCATCTTTCCTTCCAACTTGCATGACAACAACTCCAACTGCTCTTAGAAATATTGGGGCCTCCAGTCTATTGATCCATCTGCTTTCTCCCAATTCATTAGCCTTCAGCTGTTTTCACTTTCCTTCTTACTCAATTTTTATTCCATGGTCTGTTATTACTATATCCTTTTTGCCAATCCCTTAAACTCCCTTCCTCTCTGTTTTTTCTACAAACCTATCTAGGAAAACGACAGCCCTCATTGAACCCCGCCATCTCCTTTCTCTTTGCTTGCACGCAACAGTCAAACTCTGCTGGAGGTGATCAAAAGCGTAGATAGGTTCATCATCACCAACTTCTTATGGGCCCTCAATACTAACAACTACATTTTTGTTTTATTTTTAAGAAATGGAGTCTTGCTCTGTCGCTTAGGCTGGAGTGCAGTGGCATAAACACAGCTCAACGCAGCCTCCATCTCCTGGGCTCAAGAGATCCTCCTGCCTCAGGATCCCAAGTAGCTGGGACTATAGGCACAAGCAATCATGCCCTGCTCTAACAACTGTGTTACGTTTCTTTTTTCAACTTATTTTCCAAGAATTATTTGAAACTTTCTCCATCACCCGCAAGCTTCCAATACACCCATCTTTCTCTCTTTACTCCTTCATCTTCTGCTTAGATGAGGATTCTCTAGATCTTTTTCCACCCAGATCCCTGCTTTCCCTCCTGCTTCAAGGTGAGTGAGACTCCTCCACAACAAGGGAAATCCCTTCTCTTTGGCCTTGTATTCTCTTCTCTCATCATCACCCACAACCTTTTTGTCATTTTTTTCTCATATCACATCATTTTCATCAGAAAAGCCTATTGGTTCTGCCTTCAAAATATATCCAAAATCCAATAATTTATCATCATCATCACTCCTACCCCCTCATCGAAGACATGGTCATCTCTCATCTAGACTATTAATGGTCTATCAACTTTCACCATTGCCCCCTTACAGTCTATTCTCAACAGTGATCTTTCGAAATCATAAGTCAGAGCATGTTCCTCCTCTGCTTAAAACCCTCCAATGGCTTTCTATTTACTCAGAGTAAAAGCTGAAGTCCCTACAAAGACCTTTAATACCCTACCAGCACTGTCCAGTAGAACTTTCTGTGGCAATGGAAATGATCTACATCTCACTGTCCAATACAGTAGCCACTAGCTACATGTGGCTACTGTGCATTTGAAATGTGGCTAGTGCAATTGATAAAATGAATTTTTAATTTTTAAAATTTTAATTAATTTACATTTAAGTAGCCACTTGTGGCCAGAGGCCACCATATTGGAACACTCAGCTCTACAAGATCTATTCCCCATCCACCCTATCCACCTCTTGCCTGAGCCTATAAAAGCCCACAACACACTATAAAAACTCCTTTGAAGTCAGATGATGTCACTCCTCTGCTTAAAAATCTCTATAGTTTCCCATTTTACTCAAAAGCCAAAGAAAGTCCTTATCTTGATTTACAAGGCCTCATATGATCTGGCCACCTCACCCATCTCTCTGACCTCAGCCTCTAGCTTAATCTCTTCCTTGTTGACTCCACTCCAGGCACAACATTGCCCTCCTTAGTGGAACACATCAAGTATGCTATTGCCTCAGGGCCTTTGCTCATGCTGTTTTCACTGCCTGGAACATTCTTTTTCCCAATATTCATATGACAAACTCAGAGCTCCTTCACTTCCTTAGTAAGCACTCTGCTACAAGTGTCTTCTGATGAGAGGCTGATCTGACCTTACTTGATCTGAAAGTCCTATCCAAAACAATTCCCTCCCACTTGATCACTCTCTATCTCCATACTCTGTTTGTTGTTGTTGTTTTTAAGTAGAGAAGTAGTCTCACCATGTTGCCCAGGCTGGTCTTGAACTCCTAGGCTCAAGTGATCCTCTCACTTTGGGCTCCCAAAGTGCTAGGATTATAGGCATGAGCCAACATGCCTGCTCTCTGCTCTTTCTTTATAGCACAGATCTCCATCTATGTTTCTTTACTTATTACTTGTCTCCATCAGCAGGGGCAGCATCTCTGTTTTATTCACAGCAGTATCCCTAATACCTGAAACAGTACCTGGCTCAGAGTAGGGTCACAAACACGCACACACACACACACACACACACACACACACACACACACACGGCTGAATTTGATGAGTGAATACACATGGCCCTATGGTGCCAAAGACTATTTACAAGTCTCAACACTGGTCTACAACCCAGCACTCTCCTGCTGCTATTCCCTGGGGAGAGGTTGGGACTGGGTTCCTCTCTAAGTATAGTATCCTCACTTGCAAGAGGGCAGCTGGGTGCTTAAACTGTATCAGCTCTAATCTTCACCACAATCCATTTTACCAGTTTGGAAACAGACAGGTTAAGTAAACTACTCAAGCTCAGCTAGAGTGACCCTCACCCTGTTTCTTATGAAGGGGTTTCCACAGTCAATAGAAAACTCTTCTACAGGCAGCTACAAAGATATGCATTGAAGTGACCACATAGCTTCATTATAAATCTCTTTACTGATTCTATGCCTTCATAGGGAAAAATGAGAATAACTACTTTTATAACAGACTAAATGAAAATTAATTTCAGAGAGTTTATAGAAAATGGCCAGGTGCAGTGCCTCAAGCCGGTAATCCCAGCACTTTGGGAAGCTGAGGCAGGTGGATCACTTCAGGTCAGGAGTTTGAGTCCAGCCTGGCCAATATGGTGAAACCCCATCTCTACTAAAAACACAAAATTTAGCTGGGCATGGTGGCATACGCCTGTAATCCCAGCTACTCAGGAGGCTGAGGCAGGAGAATCATTTGAACCCAGGAGTCAGAGGTTGCATGAGCCAAGATCGCGCCACTGCACTCCAGCTTGGGCAACAGAATGAGACTGCCTCAAAAAAATAAAAATACAAAATACAAAAAGAAAATGAATGTTATTTCCACTTTCATTTTTACTCCTCCCCTAACTGGCCTAAGTTTTTCTTACCAAATTGCCATTAGATTTTCAAAATGCTATGCTAAATAAAATACTGTTGGCCTTCATGTTTGAAAATGATGTTGCTGAGAGTGCTATTTTTTAAGCTAGAATTTTTACAGTCAGCAAATAAAGTAATGGTCGGTAAATTCAAGACCAGTTCCACAGAATAGATTGACTTCCTTTTAACCTGCTGGGCAAGAGTGAATGCTATTTTTTTTTCTATGTTTAACATATTCATGAGGAGCAGGGATAGAGTAAGTACATTCAAGCCACAGGTAGTCAAAATAATTTTTTGCCATTGGTTTTAATTATATATGCCATGATATCTTCTGGTAGAAATGACAAACTATAAAGATAGGTTTGTGCTTCACATCCTATTCTTTTCCATTGTTGCCTGACAGAAGCCCCAATGAATAGGGAAATTACATCCTTGGCTACAAAAATGGGCATGCAATTAGAATCATCCAACGGACAAAGAACCTAAAAAATTTTAGGGATTTTGGCACTCCTGTTTCCAATATCTTTGCTTCTTAGAAGGAAAAAACTCAAGTCAAGCAATTTGCTGCAAAGCACAGACACTGTGACACATTCAGCAAGGACCAAGGTGTCCTAATTTCCCTGCAATCAGTGTTTTCTTTTTTTTTTTTTTTTTTTTTTTTTTTTTTTTTTTTTTTTTTTGAGATGGAGTCTTGCTCTGTCACCCAGGCTGGAGTGCAATGGCATGTCTCAGCTCACTGCAAGCTCCGCCTCCTGGGTTCAAGCGATTCTCCTGCCTTAGCCTCCTGAGTGGCTGGGATTACAGGTGGATGCCACAACACCTGGCTAATTTTTGTAATTTTAGTAGAGACAGGGTTTCACCATGTTACCCAGGCTGGTCTTGAACTCCCGACCTCAGGTGATCCGCCTGCCTCAGCCTCCCAAAAGTGCTGGGATTACAGGCATGAGCCACTGCACCCGGCCCAGTGTGTTTTCTTCGGAAACCAATGATTATCCTCCAATTGGTCTGGAAGAGAGAGAGAATCTCCACAGAAAACCTGCATATAACTCTTCTGGCACTGTTCACAGTTAAGAATTGCAAATTACTTTACAAAATTACTTCTCTCAAAATACCCAGACACCTGGCCACAGACTGCCAACCTAATACTAAAATAGGCACCTTGATCAGCTCACGCTGTGACTTTAACCATTCAGCTGCATTTGACCACAGCGACAGATATCTTTGCCAAAAGAAATATGAAAAACTCTGGGAGCTGATTGCAAAATTGGGATTGGTCCAAACTTTTCCAAAGTGATGGCTCTGTTGTCTGGAATGTCTCACAGCCAGGACATTTTTCTCAACACGTCAGCTCTATATAATGAAAGCAATAAGAAGAAAATCAGATGTGCACAGAGCTTTTCTCTCTCTGCCTAATATGGGAATAATAATTAACTGTCCAAAAATGTAAGCACTGGCTCATGGCTGATGATTCACCTTTAAAGTTGTGCAAAGAAAAAGGCCAAACCTTTTGCAAAGCATGTATCAGTCATAAAAATGTCTACTTCCTTTGACACAGTAATCTTATTGCTGGAAACTGATCCTAAGAAATGATCCAAAAGAAAAGATGTTCACTACAAAATATGAATCAACCTAAATGCCCAATAATCAGAAAAATGTTAGCTATAGTACATGTTTCTAATGAAATACTATATTATCATTAAAAATAAATTATGAAGACTGTCACAATATACAGAAAATAGAGGATGATATTAAATTGAAAAGCAGAATACAGATGATATATGTGCATTATGAATATAACCATGTTCAAATATATTTGCACAGAGGAAAAATGGAATAGCAGTATTATGGGTGTTTTTTCTCTTTTTAACATTTTGTAATGTTGATCTACTGTTTTATATGTAGAGAGAGAAAGGGTCTCACTCTGTTGCCCTGGCTGGAGTGCAGTGGTGCAATTATAGTTCATTGCAGTCTCGAACACCTGGGCTCAAGCAATTCTCTCACCTCAGCCTCCTCAGTAGCTAGGACTACAGGTGCCAGCCATTGTGCCAGGCTTGTTTTAATCTTTTTTTAAGTTATGTACAATATTTCATATTCCTTTCTATACAATAAACCAGCACATAAATAATTTTTAAATTATCTAAAATAGCTAGCTCATTTCAAATATTTGTCCTTTAAAAATTATGAGCAGGACACTTGCCCAACATTTGACAACCAGCAGAATATCCATGCCAGTTTTGCTTCAACCCCTCTGACCACTCCAAAGTCAACATAGATTCACCTAAGCCCAGAATATAGTCGGATCAGAAAGGCACATGGCTCTGCCCCTGAAAAACTCCTGGCTCAGGCCCTCCCCTAAAGAAACCAGCCAGGTGGTTCCATGGGGATCTGGGTCCCGAGCCTCTACTACTATTTCCAGGGAAGACCTGGTTTGTGAAAACCTCTGGGTCTACTTCCTGCAGCCACCCTTGTGCTCTGGAAGGCAAGTAAGCCATTTCAATATGGACTTTGGATCCTGGACCCAAAGGTAGAAAAATACACAGCTATGAGGCCTTTGTTTTGATGTTTGTTTCTCAAAAATGGATTTTTTCACACCCAGTACATGTGGGGAGCAGCTGTTTTGTAGACAACCCTACAGATCTCCACAGAAAGATGAAGAGGTGGGGGCTGCCCCACTTGCTTCTGGTCTGCTACCAAGAAGAGTTAATCATCTCCCCAAATAGTGCAGGGAATGAGTTTTAACCTTGAATATACAGGCTTTGCGCTCACAGATACTGGTCATTAATGTTTATGCATGAAAGGTGACAGTTTTTGTTTGGTATACAGAGCATTGAAAAGGAAAAAGGAACTACTAATTTCTACAGGTTTCATTGTCTTGAGATCAAATATTCATAGCAACTCAGAAATCTGTCTAGAGAAATGTAGCTATTGCTAAGCTAATGCTTAGTAAACTCAAATAGACCCCATTTTATTACTGATATATATGAATTATATTGTTTCAAATGCATGCTTTTATCAATAATTCTTCAAAGGAAAAATTTTTAATTTTACAGAATCTTTTTTTTTAATCTATCAAGCTTTTTCTAAACCATCATACCTATGTTGCTCAAAAATTGTTGAGACCCGGGGTCAAGGAGACATTCACATTGGCTTTCAACGGAAAATGTGCTTCTCTACACTAAAATGGCCACTTAAGCAAGACTGTGGAAATGATTTATCTCACAATGTTTAAAGTTGGATCCTGACTCCAGCTATGTCATGACTGCACAATCAGTCAGAGACAAGTAGTTACACGCTCCTAAATAAAGAAGAGCACTCTAATGGCCAAATGAGTTGAGCATCTAACATACTAAAATTACCTTAATAAAAGTTAAATTACCCACATCCAAAAGAATACAAAAATCACTCGCAATAATAATGTTTAAGTGTTAAGAACAGCAGAACATAAAATAGATCTATTTACGTCACATAAATGTTATCTTCGCAAATTGGTGTTAAGCAGTGATATTAGCAGTATATAAGTCAGAAAGTAAGAAAGTAGTATATAAGTCAGAAAGTAGCAGTATATGAGTCAGAAAGAAAAAGAAAAGGAATCAAGCGGTATAACCAGAGGCTATCACATGAGAGCATAGATTGCTGTTTATTGTTCACTGTAGTATCCCCAGGACCTAGTAAGTTCTGAATAAATATTTGTTGAATGAATGAATGTATGAATAAAGGAACAGAGCTCATCAAAACAAAAACGCAATTTGTGTTGTAGAATTATAGGCCCATGCATACTTGCTTTAACAAGTCAGAAAAGAGACTTCCCAAAAATAACATGTTTGCTACTGACTATAATTTAAAATTGGGCGTTAAAATTTATGTATGGATCCTACATTAAAATATGGCCAAGATTTTTTTTTTTTTTTTTTTTTTTTTTTTTGAGACAGAGTCTCACTCTGTCGCCCAGCCTGGAATGCAGTGGCTCGCTCGACTCACTGCAACCTCCGCCTCCCGGGTTCAAGCGATTCTCCTGCCTCAGGCTCCCAAATAGCTGAGAATACAGGTATGCACCACTACGTCCGGCTAATTTTTGTATTTTTTAAGTAGAGACAGGGTTTCACCATGTTGGTCAGGCTGGTCTCGAACTCCTGACCTCGTGATCCGCCCACCTGGGCCTCCCAAAGTGTTGGGATTACAGGCGTGACCCACCGTGCCCGGCTGGCCGAGATATTAATAGAAGCAATTGGGACCATCCTAAAAGACCCTTCAGATACTGTCTCTGTAGAGTCAATCATGTTACAGTTTCAGAAGTTTCTTGGTCAAATTGACTAACAGGTTTTGAGCACCCTCATTCCACCTGAATCTTTCCTAATTCACCATTTCAATTATGTGTACTAAATGGGCTCAGAGCCTGCTTCTAGGGGCATTAGAAAATGAGACACAGTCCAAGATGTGTTTTAACTCTTCCTGGAGCAGCAATCTAAAGTGCACCCACCTCCATTCTTCTCCAGCTCATTATCCTGTGTCTTTACTTTGCAGTGCTTAGCACAATCTAGTTATCTTGTTTGTTTGCTATTTTCTGTCTGTCTACTCCCACTAGAATGTTATTTCCAGGAGAGCAAGAACTTTGACTATCTTAGTTTATCACTGTATTCCAGCACCTGACACAGTGCCTGGTACCCCATACTCAAATTTTTAGGAATGAATGAACAAGTAAATGAGTGACTAGGATCTAAGGATGATGTAAATAGTTTATTGCTGGCTAGAGGAAAGTATAAGAAAAATGTTCTCATACTTCTACTCTAGGCTGCTATATGACAACATATAATTTTATTTTTAAATAAGATTTGGTAAAAGGCTTTCTAAGCAATTGATATATTATCCTTGGATGAATGATCCAAGTCCTCCCATTCCAACTAGATGCTTTTTTTTTTTTTTTTTTTTTTTTTTTTGACCGAGTCTTGCTCTGTCACCCAGGCTGGAGTGCAGTGGTGCGATCTCAGCTCACTACAACCTCCACCTCCTAGGGTTCAAGCGATTCTTCTGCCTCAGCCTCCCAAGTAGCTGGGATTACAGGCATGCGCCAGCATGCCCAGATAATTTTTGTATTTTTAGTAGAGACAGGGTTTCATCATGTTGGCCAGGCTGGTCTCTAGCTCCTGACCTCAGGTGATCCACCGCCTTGGCCTCCCAAAGTGCTGGGATTACAACTGTAAGCCACTGCACCTGACCCCAGATAGATTCTAAGACAGATTCTGACAGTTCAAAGTTCAAACTGCTCTCGAAATATAAGACTATATTTCTAAAAACAACTAAAAAAAATTAAAAACTTCAAGATTCCAACTACAGCACCATCTCTTAGTCCATTCACTTTAACAATTAACTCTTAAGTTTCCTGTCATACTTCTTAATTTTCACATTATAAAAATATTCAATTCACTAATTCAACAGTGAATATGTAGAAATTTAAAGCCATTTTAATTTCTTCATTTTGCCTTAATGTAGCAACTTTAATATACTCTGTATTTTTTTTTCCTTATATCTAGATTCTCAGGAAAAGGTTTTACTTAACAGGGCCTTCTTTCATCAGCAATAAGTATGAAATTAGATCTAGACCCCTTTAACTTTACTCCTGGTTCAATTCTAGCTTAACTAATTGTAGTACATTTGCTTTGCATTCCCTGAAATATTACATGGTTTTACAACAGTCAGGTTCTTTGGGTGCATCACACCTATGGCAAGAATCTACTTTGACTAATCTTGCGGATAAAAGATTGTGTTGACATTTATCCACACAATTTGTTGAATATGGGACCCCCAAAACCTAAATGAATACATACTAGATCAATCTCTTTTCAATATATTCAGACATAGTACACACCGATATTTCATAGTATTTCCATGGTAATTCAAAGCCTAGCTAATTTAGGCTAACAAAGTTTCAGTGTTCAATTTGAGCTGTTTACTTACTTTGGCCACCTTCTCCAAAAACTAGATTCAATCTAATAGATAAGATTTTTGCCCACACCAATAATCATTCCAAAACCAGGTATAGCAAGATGTATTAACTCAGTTGGTTTTGTTTTTGCCAAATATTACAGCAACATTACTGGAGATCAATATTTAAGAAAAAAGAAAATCACTCATAATGCCATTGTACTAAATCAAACACTTCATCTCTATGCATACATGAACATAATTTTATCAATCAATCTATCAATCTATCTATCTATCTAATCTGTCTATTTATTTATTGAGAGAGGATCTTGCTCTGTTGCCCAGATTGGAGTGCAGTGGTGCAGTCACAGCTACACTGCAGCCTCAACCTCCTGGGCTCAGCCTCCTGAGTAGCTGGGACCACAGGTGAGTGTACCACCACATCTGGCTTTTTTTTTTTGGTAGAGACGGGGTCTCCTTATGTTGCCCAGGCTGGTCTCTTAAGTGATCCTCCTGCCTTGGTCTCCCAAAGTGCCACAGCACCTGGCCCTGAACATTATTTTAGTTTAGTTGTTTGAGATGGAGTCTCACTTTGTCACCTAGGCTGGAATGCAGTGGCTTGATCTCAATTCACTGCAACCTCCACTTCCCGGGTTTAAACAATTCTCATGCCTCAGCCTCCCAAGTAGCTGGGATTACAGGCATGCACCACCACATCTGGCTACTTTTTGTCTTTTTAGTAGAGATAGGGTTTCGCCATGTTGGCCAGGCGGGTCTGGAAGTCCTGACCTCAAGTGATCTACCTGCCTCGGCCTCCCAAAGTGCTGGGATTATAGGCGTGAGCCACCGTGCCCGGCCTTAAAACAAATTCTTAAACCGGTATTACCAAGTCAAAGAATGAGCATTTTCACATCTCGATTAAATTTTAACCGAGATTTAAACATGTGTTTTCAGAGGTATGAGTAATATGAGTATTCCGGGAAATATAAAAATAAGTATTAAAATGCTGTGGTTTTTGTTTATATTAAAAAAAAAAAAAAAGCACTAAAGAGATAAGAGAGAAGCCACATCCAATTACTGGTAAGTCCTGCCCTGGACATTGTGGGAAGTTGTAGCTCCCTGTGACAGTGAAAGTTCAGATGTCTCACCAAAGCATCTTAGTTTTTCTTTGCACTATTTCAGAATAATTATTCATAAATTATCTAAATACATGTTCTTTTCAGAAACCAGATTTAAGGATGCCAGGTACGCATTCTGATAGCCAGGACCTTAACCATTTTGTTCACCACTGTTGCACAAGGACCTCAAACAGAGCCAAGCAGGTATTAGGTACCATTTGTTAATGAGTCTGTTTAATGAGTGCTATAAAGACCGAGGGAAGTTTGAACTGACTACACATGTGTAACCTGGGAAGAATTGCTTCTTTACTCATGGTATCTTAAACTTACTGATCTACATGCTATTTGACAAATCTCTTGGTCAGAAGCCATTTCACAGATGGAAAATAACTGCAGAGCATTAAGTACTGGGCCCCACTAGGGAAGGTGGGATTCAAATCCTAACTCCTCTCTGAAGTCCCAGCATTCTTGCCGCACTGACTTCATAATGTCTGTCCCTCACAGACTAGCACCCTGTAGACATCGACACTCTTTGCTGATTTTTTGTTTGTTTGTTTTTTTGTTTGTTTGTTTCTGGAGTGCAGTGGCGCTATCTCGGCTCACTACAGCCTCCTCCTCCCTGGTTCAAGCTATTCTCACACCTCAGCCTCCCAAGCAGCTGGGATTACAGGCGCACACCACCACACCTGGCTAATTTTTGTATTTTTAGTAGAAATGGGGTTTCACCATGTTGTCCAGGCTGGTCTCGAACTCCTGACCTCAGGTGATCTACCCTCCTCGGCCTCCCAAAGTGCTAGGATTACAGGCATGAGCCACCCTGCCCAGCCCTTGCTGATGTTTTGTATTTTTCTATTTCTTCACTTTTTACATATACATGTGTCACTATAGACAAATTATTATAGAAAATATAGCTAAGACTTAAAAGTAAACACCACAATCCTATTCCCCAGATATAATAATACATTGTTAACCCTTCCAGACTTTCTCTCCTATGCCTTTTTTTTTTTTTTTTTTTTTTAGACAGAGTTTCGCTTTTGTTGCCCAGGCTAGAGTGCAATGGCTCAGTCTTAGCTCACTGCAACCTCTGCCTCCCGGGTTCAAGTGATTCTCCTGCCTCAGTCTCCTGAATAGCTGGGATTACAGGTGCCCACACCACCCTAATGTTTGTATTTTCAGTAGAGATGGGATTTCACCATGTTGGCCAGGCTGGTCTCGAACCCCTGACCTCAGGTGATCTGCCCTCCTCGGCCTCCCAAAGTGTGGGGATTACAGGCACCAGCCACCGTGCCTGGCCTCCTACACATACATTTTTATAAAAAGAGAAAAGGGGACTGACACAGCGGCTCCTGCCTATAATTCCAACACTTTGGGATGCCAAGGCAGTTAGATCACTTGAGCTCAGAAGTTTGAGATCAGCCTGGGTAACATAGTGAGATCTCATCTCTACCAAAAATGAAAAAATGAAAAATTAGCTGGGCATGGTGGAGCATGCCTGTAGTCTCAGCTACTCAGGAGGCTGAGGTGGGAGGATTGATTGGGCCTGGGAATTTAAGGCTGCAGTGAGCTATAATCCTGCCACTGCACTCCAGCCTACAGAGCAAGACCCTGTCTTAAAAAAAAAAAAAAAAAAAAAAAAGTATATGCACAGGGAAAGCAAACAGGAAATACAACAAAATGTTAATTAAATGGTTGACTGAGTGCTGGATATTTTTTCTTTTTTCATATCTTCCAACTTCTTAACAATAAAAAACATGGTACACAAAAGAAACATAAAAATGTAGCAGTCACTGAACTTTGTTTTGCTAAGTACAGTAAAAATGCTACTAAAGCTTAAGTATTGGAGTTTTATCTTCAGCATGTTAGCTTATACTATACTGTTAGTGAAAACTGTTAATCAAGAGGACTATAGCTTTTTTTTTTTTTTTTTTTTGGATGAAGTCTCACTCTATCACCCAGGCTGGAGTGCAGTGGCATGATCTTGGCTCACTGCAACCTCCACTTCCCATGTTCAAGCACTTCTCCTGCCTCAGCCTCCTGAGTAGCTAGGATTACAGGCATGCGCCACCACACCCGGCTAATTTTTGTATTTTTGGTAGAGACGGGGTTTCACCATGTTGGCCAGACTGGTCTAGAACTCCCGACCTCGTGATCCGCCCGCCTCAGCCTCCCAAGGTGCTGAAATTACAGGCATGAGCCACCACACCCAGCCCAAAAGGACTGTAACTTAAAATATTTTTGCTTCTAAATGTTGTCCCATAGTTTCTGGATACTTCATGAAAATGTTAAAAATTTGCCTTTCTTTAGGATAATTTACATTAGCTTTTAACAGCACAGTAACTTTGAGAATGAAGGCCTACCTCAGCATGCCTAACAATAACATATGTTTCCCTCAAATAAAGACAATTAAGAGTGACAGAAGACAGATAAAAGCAAAATAAATTAGTCATTTATTTCATCATTTCATCACCTGCGCGACTATCTGACATTTGTAAACAGAGTAAGAAAAAGGAGATGGGACAGAGAGGCCTTTTGAATTATTTGTTTATTCATTCAAAAACAGCAAGAACTGGCCGGGCGTGGTGGCTCACGCCTGTAATCCCAGCACTTTGGGAGGCCAAGGCGGGTGGATCACGAGGTCAAGAGATTAAGACTATCCTGGCCAACATGGTGAAACCCCGTCTCTACTAAAAATACAAAAATTAGCTGGACGTAGTGGCACACGCCTGTAGCCCCAGTTACTCGGGAGGCTGAGACAGGAGAATCGCTTGAACCCAGGAGGCAGAGGTTCCAGTGAGCCAAGATCACACCATTGCACTCCAACCTAGTGACACAGCGGGACTCTGTCTCAAAAAAAAACAAAAAAACAACTAGAGTCACAAACTTTTTTTTCCCTTTCCCCTCTAGAAGGGACAAAATCAGAACAGACATGTATAAGCCCCTTCTCATTAAGAGGAAGTGATCCTCTCCATCTTGTAGAACAGTGTTTTTCAAGTTATAGATTTTTAGTGAGTCCCATCCAGCACTTTAAAAAAAATGAAATAGAATAAAATGCATCAAAGAGCAATAATTTTAAAAACAATATTTTGTGTGAAACTTTACATCAATACATGATTTATATTATAGGTGATATAAATGTATTTTTTATCATGGAGTCACAGAAAAAAATTTAAAGCTTCTATTCTAATGTAATGAGAATGAAATAACAAACTATTCTCCCCCATCTCCAATCAAAAATTAAATCCCCAAGTCAAGTATTCCTGGGAAGTATGGAAAAATAATTTGCAATTTAAGAAGTCTATGGTTATGCCCTAACTCAATCTAAAACCTTCTAAAGTTTTGAGTTATTCAAAATCGCATGAAAAATGTTGGCACTACAGCCACATTAATTACTGGTCGATTTCTTAACACTTAGTTTACTTGTTATAACATAATTATACAGCCTGTTATGACCGCAAACTCCTAAATTCTCTGTGCTTCCACTCTCCTGGCCACACTCCTCTTTTACATTTAAAGCCTTCCCTTGTATCCTGGGGAACTCATTTTCCATAATTAAACTCTCCTGCAACCTCAATCTCCTGGCATTAACTTGAAACTCCCTCTCCCCACAGTTCTCTCAAGAGAAGGCTGTTTTCTCACACATTTAACAAATATTAAGTACCTTTCAGGTACCAGGCAATGTGGAAGCACCACGTATATAGTAACAAATGCAATGTTCTGAGGTGGCACTGGGCTGGTCTTGCAGGAACAGAGAGGAAGCCCATGTGAGTAGCAGAGTAGCATGTAATCTGAGAAAAGTTAACAGGAGAGTGGCTCTGCAGGCCTCATAGAAAGTTTGCATTTTACTCTAAGAGTAGTAGGAAGACACTGAAGCAGGCTGAAGTTTAAAACAGCAGAGTGATATTGCATGAATGATTCTAGAGGGAAATGGGTTGTATGGGGACAAAAATGAAAATAGGGAGAAGAGCTGAGAAGTTAAAACAGTCTTAGAACAAGAGATAATGGTGGCTTGGACCTGAGTAGTGCAGTGGAAATTAAGAAAACAGAATGGAAATATTTTCTAGATGACGACCATAGAATTTGCCAATAGACTGAAATGTGGAGAATTAAGAAAGTCTAGAGTTTGGGGCTAGGTGGGGTCAGTGTCCTTCCCATCCCACATACCTCCTTTCTTTTATCCTCTTGTAAAACTAGTTTTTTGTTTGTTTGTTTTGAGACAGAGTCTCACTCTGTTGCCCAGGCTGGAGTGCAGTGGCGCGATCTCGGCTCACTGCAAGTTCTGTCTCCCGGGTTCATACCATTCTCCTGCCTCAGCTTCCTGAGTAGCTGGGACTACAGGCGCCTGCCACCACGCCCAGCTAATTTTTTGTATTTCTAGTAGAGACGGAGTTTCACCGTGTTAGCCAGGATAGTCTCGATCTCCCGATCTCGAGATCCGCCCGCCTCGGCCTCCCAAAGTGCTGGGATTACAGGGATGAACCACCATGCCCGGCCTTGTAAAACTACTTTTTTTAAGCCTCATGGCATTTGGCTATATCCCTCTCCACCACTTCTCTTGGCTGACATCCATTTACTGCCTGACCATTTCCTAAGAACACTAGAAATGGGCTCCTCTCCTCCCCACATCCTGCCATTTTTCTGAATATCCTCAAGATTTAAGTGGACCAGCCATCCATCATCATTCTGCTCCTCATTTTCTTGACCACCCTATCTCCAGCTTTATCCTGCCCTGTACCACGTCAGTCATATCTCTCACAGGTGCACCCTAGACCTTATCAGGGTCCAACCTGCTCTATCACTGAAATGAAATCTGACATTCCACTTTGAATGCAACTTTTCTCCTTGTAGCTTCCTCATCTATTCCCACCAGAGTTGTTTTCTAAATCTCTCAGGACTTTCCTTTTCCCCTGTCCTGTCCCCTCTATCTAGCTTAGATTCCACCCCTGTATTCAACACTCCATTTCCCACTGTTGTCCTGTCCCGCTGCCTGGCAAATCCACTCCAATTGGCACTGCGGACTATACAGTCATGGCCACTCTCAACTTGGCACGTTTTCTCTATGCTTATTCATTGCCTGCCTAACTCCTTCTCATCTTTTAAGTCTCAGTGATTCTTAAACTAGAATAAATTTCCAACTATACACATTCACAGCATCCTTACTTCTTTCTCCTCATTATACTCTGCTTCTGGCCCTTCTTTGTCATGGACTTTAATTAAGCTCCTTGAGGGAAGGGCCATATCTGATTCTTGATGCTATTCAGTAGCTACTAATGCCTGGCACTCAATAAATACTGTTAAGGGAGTGATGTCATATTTTAAAAGCTGAAACATTAAAAGTGGAGTTTTGTTTGTTTGTTTTTTTCTTTTGTGACTGAGTCTGGCTGTGTCACCCAGGCTGGAGTGCAGTGGTGTGATCTCAGCTCACTGCAAGCTCCGCCTCCCGGGTTCACGCCATTCTCCTGCCTCAGCCTCCCGAGTAGCTGGGACTACAGGAACCCACCACCACGCTTGGCTAATTTTTTGTATTTTTAGTAGAGATGGGGTTTCACCGTGTTAGCCAGGATGATCTCAATCTCCAGACCTCGTGATCTGCCCGCCTCGGCCTCCCAAAGTGCTGGGATTACAGGCATGAGCCACCACACCTGGCCAACAAAATTTTTATTTAAAAGGGCTAACACTGAAAATTACTCTTAAAAATTTATGCCAGTGCTTAATTTAGAATTTAAGAAGCAGAAAACCCGCTGGAAAACACTGATTAGTATACGTCAACATGTTAAAATGTGAGGTGTCAACAATGAAGCAAATCTGTTACATATATTAATCTTATACAAATTTTTTTTTGCTAAAAATCACCAAATGTACTAGTCAAGTTTAATCCTTAAAAATAAAAAAGTATGAGTTACATCTTAATGAGGTAATAATAAAGTATGTGCTTGCATTTAGAAGTGTCTGTACTCAAATTGTGTTTTTTGCTTGACATTCATGTACTTAAAATACGTAAGTCAAATCCCAAATACAAGCAACAAATTTTGTTTTCCTTGCTACTTATTATTTAGAAAAGGTTAAATGGGCTAACTAACCAATGAGAAGAAAACAGTCATTAGATTATAAACACTAGCAGTAGAAAATCATGAGGCAATTTTGTTAAGAAAAATTTCAAAATATTTTCAAATTCTCTTCAATTTCTCAGTTCATTCTGTAGGCAAGTCCTGTGTTAAACTGCTTCAGAAAATGTTCCTCAATCGGGTATGATTTCAAGATATAGTTACTATATCTTGTTAATATGTAAACACTAGAGTTGTTTATTCTTCAATCTATTGTTATATTTTAAATTTTTTCTCTAAAGTATTCTAAGAACAGAACAAATCAAACTGCATGGTATATAAACCACCCTGACTCCATTATAGAATGTCTATTTCTGATAAAATTGTATTTCCTTTTATCTACTTATTAATACATATTAAGCAAGAATAATGCTATGACAAGAAGAGTCAAGTGTTTCAATAAATTGTTATGTTTTGGGGAAACAAAATGAGGAAGGTGGTAATAGTAATTTCCTTATATTCATCTTTCCATTGGAAACTATAACAATAATCTGATCACAGAAATAGAAAATAATCTACCTTTTGATATTATAAAATTTGCATTCTGCAAAACACCCCAACTTTCCCAGTATGCAAATTCCAAACATTAGCATTACAAACTATACTCATTGAAAACTGCAAACAGCTGAGCCAACAGCATCAACACTGCTTAACTGAGGAATCACAAATAGGACATGAGAAGATTCCATTAAAAAAACAATGAGTAAAAATAGAAAACCTTCACTCCTAGACATTCAGTTAGCCCAGTTCTGCCAGTCGCCCTCTTTTATGTAACACAGGCAGGTTAGGATTCCTTGGGCTATAGATCTTTACCTAATACAGGGCATTTTCCTGTTCTCTGCTCAGCAGTCCTGAGAATGAGGCAGGCAAGTATTTTTTATATCCACTTTATGTTTATGAAAGAGGTGGCCAAGAAAGGTTTAGCAGTTTCTTCAGAATCATGTAGCTCCAAAGTCCTGGAGTCAGGACTAGAACTTAAACTGCGGGACCCCTGGGCTTGAGCTCTTTCGAGACCATGATGCTGAAACTTGGTGCCAGGCTGGATCTTGAACACAGTGGGAAGCCTCAGGGATCTCAAACCAATCCTACATTTGCATTCTAGCTCTATTATTTCCAGTGCTTCTCTGGTGGAATTTTCCTAACCCAATTTGTTCATCTGTAAAATGAGATTAATATTACCCTGCCTTTCAATTTGTCAGAATCAAATGAGGCAAAGCCCAAAAACACTCTGACGAAGTAGGTGTTCAACAAATGATAATATACAATTCCCACAAGCAGCCTGTGGAACGTTCATAAGCAATGCCAGGTTCCTCAGGAATTATGTTTTATATGTTAGTACATTCATTCCCATATTATAGGGCATACAACAATCAGGGGGCTCTGTTTATGCAGCTCCAAAACCCAGCATTCCAATCAATGGACTAGAGTTTCAACTTACATATAAACCACTTTTAACAATGGAACAGGGCTCCTCCCTCCTCCGCCTTTACCAGTAGTTCCTACTGATGTGAAGCAGTAATTGTTACTCATTCACTCTGCCACACTTGTATGCCACATAAAGATGTTACTCAGATAATGAATACAAAATAAGATCTGTCTTTCAGGAAGTCAGGGAGATTTCTTTTTCTTTCAAGACAGGGTCTCACTTTGTCCCCCAGGCTGGAGTGCAGTGACGCAATCTCAGCTAACTGCAACCTCTGCCTCCCAGGCTCAAGCGATCCTCCCACCTCTGCCTCTGGAGTAGCTGGGACCACAGGCGCGCACCACCACACCTGGTTAATTTTTGTATTTTTTGTGGAGACGGGGTTTTGCCAGGTTGCCCAGGCTAGTCTCGAACTCCTGGGCTCAAGAGATCCACCCGCCTCAGCCTCCCAAAGTGCTAGGATTACAGGCGTGAGCCATGGCACATGGCTGAGATTTTTTTTTTTTTTTTGAAACAGAGTCTGGTTCTGTCACCCAGGCTGTAGTGCAGGGGCGCAATCTCGGCTCACTGCAACCTCTGCCTGCCAGGTTCAAGCGATTCTCCCGCCTCAGCCTCCTGAGTAGCTAGGACTACAGGTGCCTGCCACCATGCCCAGCTAATTTTTGCATTTTTTATAGAGGCAGGGTTCCATCATGTTGGCCAGGCTGGTCTTGAACTCCTGACCTTGGATGATCCACCCACCTTGGCCTCCCAAAGTGCTGGGATTACAGGTGTGCGCCTGGCCGAGATTTCTGTTTTAAAGAAAAGAGAGTGCAGTGTCTCACGTCTGTAATCCCAGCACTTTGGGAGGCTGAGGCAGGAGGATCACTTGAGGCCCAGAGTTCGAGACCAGCCTGGTCAACATGGTGGAACACTGTCTCTACTAAAAATATAAAAATTAGCCATGTGTGGTGGTGCACATCTGTAATCCCATCTACCTGGAAGGCTGAGGTGGGAGAATCGCTTGAACCTGGGAGGTGGAAGTTACAATGTGTCAAGATCATGTCACTGCATTCCAGCCTGGGTGACAGAGACTCCGTCTCAAAAAAAAAAAAAAAAAAAAAAAAAAAAGAATACTGGAACAAAAGAGGGATTTGATGATTAGATACCCCTACCTTGACTATTATTTATTTAGAAATGGGGTCTCACTATGTTGCCCAGGTTGGAGTACAGTGGCTATTCATACAGGTGCAATTATAGTGCCTCAAGCTCCTGGACTCAAGGAATGTTCCCATCTCAGCCTCCAGAGTAGCTGAGACTACAGGTGTGTGCCACATCTGGCTGCATGACTAATTTAATTTTTAAATGTTAACTATAAATATGAAATTAACATAACTAAGGAGTTTTAGTTAACTGCAAATAGATTTGTCCTCATGAAGGAAATTAGGCGGATCTCAAACCCTAAATACCACATAGTAATCCTAAATCTGTCGTCATAATTAAGCCAGAAATTATCCAGTATATACCAGGTTTATTAGAGATTTGAGTAAAACCTACTGATGCTTCTAACACTCCATTAGTGAATTTTTTTTTTTTTTTGAGACGGAGTCTCTCTCTGTCGCCCAGGTTGGAGTGCAGTGGCACGATATCAGCTCACTGCAACCTCCGCCTCCCAGGTTCGGGCAATTCCCTGCCTCAGCCTCCCGAGTAGCTGGGATTACAGGCGCCCACCACCACGCCCGGCTAATTTTTGTATTTTTTTTAGTAGAGACAGGTTTCACCATCTTAGCCAGGCTGCTCTTGAACTCCTGACCATGTGATCCACCTGCCTCGGCCTCCCAAAGTGCTGGGATTACAGGCGTGAGCCACCACGCCCGGCCTCCATTAGTGAATTTTAACTTAGAATTTAAGAAGCAGTAGTAAATTCCTTAAATTAATGTACTTGTCAGATAAAAGAATAAAAAATAAAAGTGGGAATCCAGCAAGCTTAAATAATTGAATCAGATAGGCACAGTAAGTTTTTTTAAAAAAGCTTCTCACTAAAAATTGCCCATCTTTAATCACACCTAGCCTTGTATTTATTTCTTAGAGTGACTGGTCAGGTTACCTAAATATTCCAAAAGTGAGACCTCTATGTGTCCCCCAACTATTTCAATAGTGGCATATCTTTTAAAGCAGAGTTTCCCTACCTCGGCATTACTGACATTCTAGGCTGCATAGTTCTTTGTTTGTTCCTAAAAACAGAGGTTTTATTGCGTTTGGTCCACAGTTGGTATTTCACCTCATTTCACGGTGCAGGGCCCCTGGGTGGGGGTCCTTGTGCAGTACACTTGATGGGGTGTGTGGCTGGGGGAGACGGAGCAGTATAGCTGGTCAGGCCCAGGAGGGTAGGAGGGCTGGGGCTCCTTAAAACCTGATAAGCTGCATAATTCTTTGTGATGAGGGGCTGTTCTGGGCATTGTGGCATGGCTAGCAACATCCTTGGTCTCTCCCCATTAGATGCCAGTAGCACACAGTCTGGTTCCAAGTTGTGACAACAAAAATGTCTCCAGATACTGCTCAATGTACCCTGGGAGCAAAACTGCTCCCAGCTGAGAACCACTGATTTAGTTACTCGTGTGGTGTCTTTACCCGTACAAGACCCTTGTTAAAGTGCGCATGCATTCCCTGGAAAGGTTAAATACTGATCTGTTATGAGCCCTTGCTCCATGTGATGGGTGCTTACAAGCACTACTTTACAGATGAGGAAGTTCAGCTTCAGGAAAATGAAGTAATTTTACTTCTATTCAATGCCAAAGCCAAGATTTTAAATTAGGTCTAACTATAAAACTTTCTACATGGTTCTTTCTGTAAGGCCTCAAGACTTCTGAATAAAGAAGGCATAATGCAGTAGTAGTTTAAAAAAAAAAAAAACCCACAAGATTTGAAATCACTAAGGGGTTTCACCAATTTTACCGGTGGTATGTTAGGCAAGAGCAGATCTCTTCCCTTCCTGAGCCTGTTCTTCACCAGTGACATGAAAATACTCTCATTTATAGCACGCAAGGGACTTGTGAACTATGACATACAACAGTAATTATAGGCCAGACACAGTGGCTCACACCTATAATCCCAGCACTTTGGGAGGCTGAGGCTGGCAGATCACCTTAGGTCAGGAGTTTTGAGACCAGACTGGCCAACATGATGAAACCCCGTCTCTACTAAAAATACAAAAATTAGCTGGCCGTGGTGGCACACACCTGTAATCCCAGCTACTCTGGAGGCTGAGGCATGAGAATCGCTTGAACCTGGGAGGCGCAGGTTGTAGTGAGCCTAGATTGTGCCACTGCACTGCACTCCAGCCTGGGTGACAGAGAAAGACTCCATCTCAAAAAAAAAAAAAAAATGTAATGATAATAATTTTTTTAAAATACTCATGGTTGGATATCAGCACCCTAAAATCTCCTCCCCCAGATTCACTTTCCTATGTCCTTTGTGTCTTTGCTCTAATGTTACCCCTTCCAGGACTTCCCTATCTGAATAAGCACACATCTCGCTATCATTTTCTGGTCCCTTTTTCTGCCTAGCATTTAACCCTGACCCACATTATATGATGTATTTGTTCACTCAGCTCCTCCATTAGAATTTAAGGACATTCCATTTTGTTCTTTTCACCTTTATTACCTAGACTAATGCTGGCACATAATGGGCACCCAGGTATTTGCTCAGTGGATTAGTTTTTATAAAACTAAACCAGTGAATTTTGAATTAGGGTCCTATGGGAAGTGAATGGATTTTGATGAGAGAGGAGAAAGGAAGGCCAAGGAGAGTGTTGGAGCATAAGTGAAAGAGTTTTAACACAGTGCTTCTCAAATTCTAATGTATCCGGGGCATCTTGCTAAAATGAAGGTTCTCATTCAGAAGACCTAGGGTGAGGCTGAGACTGCATATTTAACATACTCCTAAGTGATGCTGGTCCACTTTCATAGCCAGGCCCTAGACAACCAAAGAGGGCATTCAGGTAGGACCTAAACAACTTTGCACTGAGATGCAAATCAGAGCAGCAGAGGACTAATGAGATGAATTGTTTGTTAATGAAAAGTGCATGCCATCTCTCTGTATTGCTTTTCTTTCAGCTTCTAAGGCTGATAAGATCCAAGGAATACTTTATGGAACGACGAATCTGAAAGTCCCAGTACTAAACAATCTTATATTCACATAGCACCTTTTTCATAATGTAACAGTCATCTATGTATATTTTAGCTTTGTTTTGGAGGTGATATACTGAAATAATATCAAAATATATATATTTAGCTTTATCTCTAATGGCCATATAATAAATACAATATACTAATGACTAATGTATCAGATTTCAATAGATTATGAAATGTTTTCTTTTCCACAGTCATTCTGCTTCAACAACACTTAATACTTAATGTAACACATACATAACTTCTGAATTTGATAGCTGGTAGATTAGGAGCAGTTGAAAATCATAAGATTGAAAGTAGCTAAATGGAAGAGAGAATACATTCCAAGTAAGTGCAAGACCAGGCAGCTGTCCATCAAGTTTCAATTTGGATAATAATGTAATTGGGACTAAAATCAAGAAGAGCCCTGAACGTCATTCATTTCCAAGTTATAAATTATGTTTACTTACCTCTGGTAACAGTAAAATGCTTAATTTATTTTTATTACAAAAGGCAATTCTTGGCCAGGCACGGTGGCTCACTCTTGAATCCCAGCACTTTGGGAGGCCGAGGCGGGAGGGTCACTTGAGGTCAGGAGTTCGAGACCAGCCTGGCCAACACAGAAAAACCCCACCTCCACTTAAAAAAAAAAAAAAAAAAAAGGACAGGCCGGGTGCGGTGGCTCACGCCTGTAATCCCAGCATTTTGGGAGGCCAAGGTGGGCAGATCACCTGAGGTGAGTTCAAGACCAGCCTGGCCAACATGGTGAAACCCCATCTCTACTAAAAAAATACAAAAATTAGTCAGGTGTGGTAGCCGGCGCCCGTAATCCCAGCTACTCAGGAGGCTGAGGCAGAAGAATTGCTTGAACCTGGGAGGCAGAGGTTGCAGCAAGTGGAGATCATGCCACTGCACTCCAACCTGGGCAATGAGCAAGGCTCCATCTCAGAAAAAAAAAAAAAAAAAGAAACCCACTTTTATTACAAAAGACAATTGTAAATCAAATCTGTAAAGTAAAACTGTAAAATTATCTAAACATCTTTTTCATCCCTAATTTAAAATCAAGTGATGCTGTATTTATAAAAGAAAATATGATTAAAACAGATTTATTTATAAACTCCAGCTCTTAATATGCTTCAGTTTTGTAGAACAAATGGTGGCAATATCAGAATTTTTAAGATATCCATTTCCAAAGTAAGAACCATTTAAAACATTTTTGTTCCACTCTATTAAAATAATACAGAGGTGATCATTTCTAAAATTCATTTCACATACTCACAATATACTTACTATCTTTAATGTAATTTCCACCTTTTAATAGATATTTCTAGAAATTATAATCTTACGAAATGAAAAAATTCAGTTTTCTCCAAACAACAGTTCTGACTTACATTTGAAAAACCCTAACAACTGCTCCTGTCCGACATTTGAGAGCCACCTAAAAGATGTGAAGTGGCTATTCTTGAAAACAGGGAGAAACTGGATATTCCTTATACATATGTGAACCAAGATTTCCAAACATATCTATTCCGTGAAGCCCAATTTTCTAAGAATGTTTTTAAGAAATGAGCTTTTTCAAAACTCAAGTCAGGTTCAGGCACTGGTGTGCTTCCTATTGATAGGCTAAACTTCTTGCCTTTCTCTTCACAATCTTAATAGCTCTAAACACATTAATCTTATTTATTGCAAAGCAATGTCCCCACCATCTGCTCTTGCTAGTATTCCTCTCAAAGTGTATTTTATATATTCAGCCACCAGTAATTTGTGTTCTGAACATTTTATTAAAACACAAATACATGTATACTTTATAAGCCATGCAGTTATTTAGATGATAAAGTTTATCTGTATTAAACTTGATCAGCCATGCAGTTATTTAGATGATCAAGTTTAGTACAGATAAACTTGATCATCTAAATAACTATACATGGCTTATAAACAAAATAACTGCCTTATGAAAGGCAATTCTATACATATATTGAATTTCTGCTCTCACATTCACCTGGCAAAATTCCAACTGATATTTCAGTACTGAACATTTTTAACAAATAGTACTTTCAGACCATTCAAAGTATTTTTGTATTCTAGTTCCAGATGGAGTATTGGTTCAGGTGAGTATATGACTGAATATAATCGGGTGATCATTTCTTATTAAATTATAAGATGCATGTTAGTTTTGGTTTGGAAATCAGAAAAATAGTTTCCATCATTAAATGTCATGGGAAGTCCTGAAATTACTTCATAATTACATAACTATTTCTGTAAAATTTTGCTTGCATTAAGACTTTATTTACATATATAGATGAATTGAAAGTTTAAAAGCAAAAAATGATTTCCATGACAATTCTTTTCTGCTACTTAATATTTAGCTATGAATGAAAATGTTACCATTTACTTTGTATTACAAGTCAGCTTAGTGGTTTTTTTCCAAATTAAGATACTCACCCATACTGAATTACAGTACTTCAAAATTTCAAGTTTCAAGAGAGAAACTTTCAATGTTATCATAAAAAAGCTACTAAGCAAGACACTCCTTTTTCTCTCATCTTTTCCTAAATACTACCTCTTCTCCTTTCTATAGGACACGTACACTAGCATTATTAGGAAAAATATCATTATATCCTTTACATACCCTTGTCTCTCCTTCTCAAATATCAATTTGTTTTAGAGGTTTAATAAAATCAAAGTGAACAAAATGAAAAACTGTAATGTTCTATTCTTTCTATCAGGCCACTCTGGAAAATCTTCCCAAATCACATTTTAGTTTTGCCTTCATATACATTCCTATAACTCACCGGCAGTACCCCATAGGAACCCATTATCAGTTGGCCATTGGTACCAGTCTTCCAAATCTAATTCAAATGTTTAAGGTCTTTAAGTATATGGCCACGGTAAACATTCCCATTAATATTAATCTCCTTAGAACCTTTTTCACTTTGTCCTTACACAACAGTCATTCCTTCCCTTCCAAAGACAAATCTGTCACAAGTTTTAATATTTTGTTTTTTACGGCATGTTCAACAATCATAGGTTTTTTTTTATACTTTTTCAACTAAACCTAGACAATCTATGTTAAGTGTTGTCATAACCTAATTTTTTACTTACTAAAAACAAGAGGCAATTTTAAAAGTTAGTGTAATAGTTTCTAATTACCCTTGCAAACTTTCTAAACTAAACCTTTAAGAGATCAAATTACCAACATAAACACTCATAAAAAGAAATACACAGCAAACTACTCCAAATGTGACTGAGTATAGAAATGTGTATGATATCTTAGTGGACATCATAAAAAAGAAATTAAACATTTGGACCTTCTACAGCTGTCCCCCCAAATCCAAAGGAATAAAATTCCTCAGTAATTTACCTTACAAACAACATAATCCTTAACATATTATAGTAACACAATTTTAATTTGCTCATTGTAAGGCTACTTACAACAAAAGTGAAAGCAGTACAAGATCAAGTTTTAAAGTGATTTAATGCATTTATGCAGTGCTACGAAATCTTGCTCAGTTTTCTAATGTGCTTGACTGAATAAAATGTACATATTAGAAAAAAGAAAAAGAAAAAAAGAATAAATCTGCCATGGCCTGGGGTATAAAAATAATAATAAATTTTTAAAAAGAAAATTTACATATTGGGTCTATTAAATGCAAATATTTTCACAATTTTTATCCCTATACCTTACCCACTTGCAAGATGAAAACTTCAGGTCTCATTTCAGTCAGCTTTCTAACCTATACTAGGCACTTTTACTGTTTTGGACCACAAAGTAAAAAACTGCAAGTCTTAGAAAAGCTCTTTCCAGTTCCACCACTAAACTGATGAAGGTCATGGGTTGTCTATTCATGGAGACCCACAATGATACCCATTTACAGTTCTCATTATCCTCCAAAAAGAAGGAACTCTCTTTCAAATGTTTGCACTTGGCTTCCTCGTAGGAAGAGCTTAGTTTATGCACAAACATAAAATAGTTACACTGCTGATCTTGTCATTCAATTTTGCAATCCACTCTTTAGAAATTAATCTAAAAAATGTCACTTCGACTTTAAAAACTGTATTTATTCCAAAACTCAGTATTTAAAACTTTAGCTCCCATTTAAAACTTTAACTTTCCAATAGATAATGCTTATAAGATTCTTATCTAACGTAGAATAAAGAAATGAACTAGTCACAAGTTAAAATTGCAAACATTTTTCAAAGCAAAACAAAAAAATAATTAAGGGTTTCCAACTTTTTATAACCACTCACACTTTTCCTTTGTCGTAACACAACATGCCTTTGTACACTGTATTTGTACATTTATTTTTTGGTGGGTAAAGAATGTGGATTCAGAGCTTTGGTCTTAATTCCTAAATTCTGTTCATATCCATTTGATCACATATAACAATTTTGACTGCCAATTGTTTTAGTAAGAAAAAAGTTATTTAAAATTCTTAACAACCGATGGAAACTGTGTGATTTTATGAGTTACCAAAGAAAAGATTTAATACATAAACACAAAGATTAGCCATCTTTTTCCTAGACTGGACATGTAAACAGAAATTCACCACAGTTGTCTGTTAAGAGTTATTTATTAATTGCTCCACAATAGTTCTAAAGTTCATAACAAACCAAAGTACTGAAATAAGTCTGAACTGAAAGAACAACAAAATCAGAACAGTTTTCCAACTAAAGATCCTCTTTACCCTTTTAACAGTTAATATTGGAGTAAATTTTATATTCCCTATTTTCCAAATGTGACTGAGTACGGAATGTGTATGCTATTTTCCTTCAAAATCTATTCCTTTTCTTCTCCATTCTAAGATATCCCTTAATTCCCTTTACATTCAACCCCTGCCCATTATTCTTCTATTCTCTATAAACACGGGAAATACATTTTCCCCTCTGGAGTACAAGCTCCAAATCATTACATTTTTCTCCAGCTATCTATCTACACTTCCAAAGATACTAATTTCAACATATAACTTGCTTTACAAGGCTTATCATGCACAGTACATTTCAACCTAGCTAGTCACACACACAGGCTATAATGAAGTATAGTCTGTTATTAAGAACTCAATATTATTCCTCCTAGGTAAAAAGATGTAGGTTGGTTGTAGGTTTTTTCACTTTTGCCAAAAGCTACTCTGTGCAACTGAAGAACCACAGTAGTTGACTGTAATTGTTATAAACACAACTCTGTTAACAGAAAATACTGAACTACTGTCAAGTCTACTACCTATACGGTAGTTATTATCAGATGAGAAGTGCAAAGAATTATAAAATCTATTCAACTAATTACTTGACCAGCTTATCATAAACCTCTATGGCTTTTTGTAAACTGCCTTCCATAAATGCTAAGTAGTTAAACTGCAGATAAATCAATTCAGAAGCACCCCTAATATTTGATGATTTTCTTAGGTTTTAACTTCCTACTTATCTATACAATAAAATTTCAATATTTAGGATGTCTTCTAAATTCTTAACCTAGGGTCCATAACTAAGAATTTATTTGAAAGTTGGAGGAGGTCTTGTGAGCATGTAGACTGGCTTGCACATTTTCATTTGTTGATATATCTCTGCTAACGTACAGGGGGCGGGGGGCCATCAATTTATATCGGGTGCCCAGAGTCTGTGACCCAAAAAAAATGTTACGCTGGACTTGTATAAGTAAGCCAAAGATTCATAAAGAATTTAAATATAGTCTATTTAAATTAGTCACACTCAAATACAGTCAAGCATAAGATAACAGAATTCTAAGATGCTGTGTTCATCCTAATGTTCATTTTAAATGTTACCAAGGATATAAAAAAATAACGAGAATACAATATTTTCCCTCACTATCAGTAACTGTTTATCATTTCATGGAGGGTACAAGCAGATTGGTAAACCACCACAGATCCCTCTTCTTAAATACCAGGAGGGATCCCATAACAAAATATTCATGGAACATTACCATCATAACCTCACGCAACATGATGCATGGATCCTATCATAGCACTAACAAAGGAGTCTTGCATCACATTTTAAAAATGAAATCCTATCAGTATGTATCATAGAAAACACAAAGACCATAAAACTCAGAAAATGATAGTCTTCAGGTATGTTTTACCCTAAAAGTAGAAGTTCAGAAACTATTTTTGGTGAGGGAAGTTCTTCTGCTTAACAAGAGCCTATGAATTTGGAAGGTAAAAATTCCATGTGACCTCATGAAGCCATATTGCTCAAACTGTCACCCAGTTCAGGCTTAAATGCTACTAATGGCAAGTAATTACAAAATGCCAGATGACAGGAATGAATACAAACTTTTGCCTCTCTCATCTGATGAGCATAATACGGAAAACTAAAGTAGAAATATTTGTATCAGTTTGCAACTTTTTAAAAACATGCTAAAAATTATAGATGTTTTTCCACTGTTCCCATTTTTAAATTACCTCAAAAATACTGACCAGCAATTGCTAAATTATGGTAGTCCTTATTCTGAATTTCCAGTAGCACAACAGAAATCCAAAAGCATTGTTTCCTACTTCATACCTTAACTTCTTAAAAGTAAAAAAAAACCTTAATTTTAAAATGATCATATTCAGAGACAGACATTCCACAGAAGAAATAAAGGCAGGTGGATGGGTTAAAAAAAAAAATCAATCTGTTAGGGCTAATCTAGAATAGAGAATAAGTCACCTGTGCAAAGAAATCAAAAATTGGATTTCAATATAGAATCAGAGATTCTGCTTAGCACTCTTGTTCAAGAAAAAGACCAAATCTAGGAAATACACTTGGGCAAAACAAACAAAAACTGACATTTCCTAATCACAGACTCGCCAGTACAGATAATCTCTACAGAGAAATCCATGCTTATACTTAATATCTTTATGATTTCCTGTAATACTATCATATACTAAAAAGAAAACAAAGCCTCAAAGACCTATTCTACCCTTTAATATATTTATTCCCAATTCCTCAACACTGTAGCCACTAAATTTCAAAACACAAATGTCTTATGATCTACTTTTTCCCTTCATACTTATAAGTTTACTAATATATTACATATTTACTAATTTTCAGTTTCTGCATCTCCATTATTTATAGGTTTAGCTCTTTCCTTCTAATACTTATACTCTCAACATTTTAAAACATTGCTGATTTAATAATACCTTCATCCTAACTAAAATGCTCAAGACTGTTGTAATCTAAATCATACTGTCACTTTATTACAACTTTTTAAGTAAAAAGTTTTTTTTCCCAAAACTGGTGCCACAGGATATTACAACATTTTTGAGGCAAAAAAGGATGCACCTAAAACCAGAAGATATTGGAATCTGATTTAAAATAAAGCCTCAATAAATAATTTCTCTGGAGTAATATTAGGATGGCTAACCCAATTTCAAGAAAACATTGATTTATATAATATTAAATTTCTATTCTTCCATATTATGCACCTAAAACATATTCAACGTTCATAAAGTATTCAATGTTCATAAAATGTTGAATGTTTTCATAATGTCATAAAACTGAATATTTTATGAACATTGAATATGTTTTAGGTGCATAGCAATATGGAAGAACAAAAATTTAGTATTATATAAATTTGAATCCTTTTTTTTTTTTTTGAAACGGAGTCTTGCTCTGTCGCCCAGGCTGGAGTGCAGTGGCACAATCTTGGCTCACTGCAACCTCCCCACCTTCTGGGTTCAAGCAATTATCCTGCCTCAGCCTCCTGAGTAGCTGGGACTACAGGCACACGCCGCCCCACCCAGCTGATTTTTTGTATTTTAGTAGAGACGGGGTTTCACTGTGTTACCCAGACTGGTCTCGAGCTCCTGAGCTCAGGCAATCCACCCGCCTTGGCCTCCCGAAGTGCTAGGATTACAGGCGTGAGCCACCACTCCCGGCCTTGAGTCCATTTTCAACTAAAATAAACCTAGAAACACAAAATACCTAAGTTAAAAAAATACAATTAAAATACAAGCCTCTAAACTGCAGGTTATACCACGGATGTGAATATTTTAGAAAATGTTAATAGAAAATTCTGAAAAACGTTACTGGATATTAAGTAATATCTCCTTTCTTCAATCTTGTGATTAACAGGACTTTTATTGGTAGTAAACTAGAGCAAACAATCAGAATAATACATATGCAGTATTCAGTACACACAATAAAAGTTAAAGAAATTCAAAACCTGTATAAAACAAACTGGAGAAAAATCATACAGCTTAAGAGATACAGTGGTAAAGGTCCTCTCCATCCTTTGATTACAGCTTGTACTCTGTACTCAATAGAACTTACCGCACTTACTGAAATAAGAAATAAACACTTTTTAGTACTCAGCGTATTTAAGATTAAGTACATTTTCTAAGAATCTTGCAATGACAAGTTGGTGACCCTTTAGCTGCTAAAGCTAAAGGGAGGAAAGTGGGAAAAGGAAATTAACTAATACTTTGTAACCATTTTTAATATTTCTTATTTTCCAAACACTGCTTTTATAACAGAAGTGTTTTACACTTGCACAATATTAATTACTTTATTATACATGGAAGCCTGCGGTAGGCTGATTACACAATAAGACTGCAAACAACCAGTGGTACTTTTCTGACGTCAGAAGAGTACATAAGACTGAAACATCACCAAAAGTACATAAAAAACTCATCAGCATAAACATCAAAGTACATTAAAAAATATAATCAGGAAAAAAATACAATTGCTAAAAAGCAGTTTTAGAGTAGAGCCACTGCCAATCAGTAGCTTCAAATGGCAATTAGAGTTCATAGCAAGTTTTGATGACTTTACAAGACCCCTGTACAATACTAATGCACCCTTTCATTAAAATGTACATTAAAGGCCGCAATTTCACAAAGAGGTTCTGATGTTATTACTATAAGCAGACACATTCTTATCCCTCACAGGAGTTATGTCACCAGTTGGAATTACAACCTTATTAATATCTATCCAAGAACACGGGGTTTTATTACATATGGAAATCTGTATGGGTTTTTTTTTTTTTAAAGGTGGGTTTTGGGGATGTTTACCCTATTGTTTTTTATTTGGATGCCCTAAGGCATATAAAGCGCATAGTGAATTACCTACTGGAATGTAAATGGTTCTAAAATTAAAACTGTTAAAATAGAAAGAGGGAAAAGGAAGGCCCAAGAACTCTTAAAGAGAGGCTGAGAACAAGAACAAAAAAACCCAGAAGTGTAGGTAATACGTAACAGCGCAGACAGAACCGTTGTAGGCCATGTATAATAAATAATGCATGCCCCAAATTTCAGTTAATCATATAATTTCAACTTGAGTTCTAATACTGGAACCAGCCAACCACTTGGGCTTCAACACTGTACTAGATGTCAGTAGAATCGCTTGATGGAATTACAGCCTTGTTACAGTTGAGATCAAGAGAGGGTGCTTTTTTTTTTTCCTTCTTTTATTAAAGCTATCATTCCAGGCTTTGATCAAAGATCCAAGAATATTTGTTCTACCAGGCTGGAATGAATGTGGTTTGGAAGTTCAGAGTACATTTAAAAGCTGCAACAAAATATAGGTAGCCAACAATCTCAGAATTTTGGATCAGCCCAGATGGAGATAGCAATTTGAAATGTCTTCGATCCCTTACTTAAATGACGAAATGTCTATCAGCCCAGATAGAGCAATTTGAAATGTTTTCGATCCCTTACTTAAATGATGAAATGTATATCATACTATCTGTAAATTGGATATTCCATTACAGTGATAACGTACAGAATTCCCATGCGTTATTACACTTTCCTGAGAGTAAAGCAATTAGAATAACCTTAATCCTAGCAACAAAGTTTTTTTTGTAGGTTTTTTTTTTTTGGTTTTTTTTTGTCTTTTTTTTTGCGTTTAAAACATTTGGGCTATTCCCTGACGATCTATACATGTAAATTTGATTGCTAAACATTGTCACTTTGAATGTCAAACTATTTTTAATCTATTGATTTTGATTAAAAATCATAATACAAACAGAGCTAAAATCACGCTAACAAAATAAACTAAATATGAAAAGTTGCATTGAAAGGGCATCACATTATTCTTAATAGGATCGTGTAGAAACATTCCAATGGCAGTGTTCTCAAAATAAAACAAAATTACATTAGAAGACCTCCAGCCTGGCCACTTTTGGGACCTTACCTGTAACTCTGGCTGGTGGGTGTCTTTACTCTTGTACTACATGGCTCACTTACATCAGACATCATATTTGTATACCCTGAGAAATCTGACACTGAAGTCCTTACTCTATGGTCCACTTCTCCATTAGAGTTAGTGATAAAGGTCATTGGCACCCTGCTGCCCGACTTAAACTGAGAACCAAACGCTTGTGCAAAGTTCTCAATCTGATACGTTGTTCTAGGCTCTATGTCTTTCTGAGGATCTATCTGGCTAGCTAACTCCTGAGATGGAATCTGAAAGCCTGTTGAAGACTCTAAGTTTTTCTGTTCCTTCTGGCTAGTCAATTTCTGAGATGAGGACTGGAAGGCTGATGAAGTCTCTAAGTTCTTCTGAGAATCTATCAGATCATCCAGCTCCTGGGAAGGTGTCAACTGCTGATGTGTAGCATCCAAAGCAGACAAATAAAGACCTGGCTGAGATCCAAACAACATCCCAAAAGGAGGCTTTGGCAATGAAGATGGCAACACTGAGGTAACAGATTGGCCGAAACCACACTCCAAAGGAGACGTAGTGTATATTTGTTTTTCTGGAAACAAAGTGTGGTTGTGGAGAGGTGAAGACAAACTGACAAATTGGAAACCGTGTCCAAGAGTAAAACTTGCATTAGTGGATTTTTCAAAAGCCTGTTGGAGGTATTTGGAGTATTCTTGCAACATACTTGCTTTATCATTTGAAGGTGTTTGGGTGCCTGGGCTCAAATTTTCTTCTTGAACCAATTCTGAGTGTTCTCCTGAGGTGTGTAAATCCACTCGTGGTTCTGCAATATTGAAAGGATCCTCTTTCTGGCTTTCTGATTTGTTGGAGTATTGATCCAAAATACTTTGTAAAACCTCATCAGGAATTCCAGACTTGTCATGACAAGATTTAATTTCAGCATTTAGAGCTGAGGAGTCAATAAGTGACAATGGTGCCTCATTGTCCAAAACACTGACACCTGCAGACTGAATGACAGACTGTTGGGAGACCATGTGTCCTACGTTTATAGAAAAGGCACTGTTGCTGCTGGCAGTTGGTAAATATCTTCTTTTCTTTGAAAACTGCATGGCATCATCATAATTACTACTTATCTGACCTTGTTTGCCACTTGTACTTTGGAGAAGACCAATGGTCTCCACACTATTATTTGATACTATGCCAAGTGAGCCACTTGGTTTTCCAGACAAGGATTTCTGTCCTACTATGTCTGGTAATGGTGACACAAAGTTAAGGTAGTTTTTATCTGTATTCTTTCTGCTTCCTTTCTTAAAGATCAATTTTGGCACCCTCTTCTGCAGTTCATCTATTCCAGTGCCAATTATGCCTCCACTGGAAGACACGGTAGGCATTTCTACTGAGTAACTCTGCATGTTTATATTATTTGAAATTTGCGATTCATTTGTTTTACCGGTCTTCTGTTCCTTATTTTCAATAGCTATGCTTTTTGACTTTGTTTTTCTCCTTGAAGAACTTGTATTTCCCTGAGACAACACAGCCAGATTACCCATATTGGTATGGTTTGATGACCCAGGTTCTGCACTAGTGGCTCCTTTAACTATGACTTCACCACATGTGCGCCTGTGCTTCAACAATCTATCAGTCCTTGAAAAATACTGTTGGCAAGTGTCACACTTATATGGCTTTTCTCCACTATGTGTCCTCTTGTGTCTCTCCATATGGTACTTCTGAATAAACTTCATGCTGCACTGATCACATCCAAATGGCTTCTCTCTACTATGAATTTTCTCATGTCTCTGTAGTAGGTATTTCTGAATGAAACCCATACTACACTGGCTGCACTGGAAAGGTCTTTCTCCTGTATGAATGAGGACATGTCTCCGCAGGTGATAGGAGCTTCGGAAAGCAGCACTACAGTGATCACAGATATGAGGTTTCTGACTTGGGGAGAGGATGGCACCTTCTCCATCTCCAACCAAAGAAGGTTTGGAAGATGCACTTGGCTTCCTCTTGGCTTTGATTCCCTGAGATTCTGGCTTTGGCCTTTTTGCCTTTTTGACATTAGTGTCCTGCTTTGGCTCCTCAGTGCCATGGTGGTCATCAGTCCTGCTACTGCTGCTGAGTAATACGTCACGGTGGTGCTGGGCTGGTTGCTGCTGGACATGCTGGTGGAGAATACTGAGGTCCTGGATGACGCCGTGACTCCCCCCTTCACCGCCTCCTAGGCCTGGAGACCTCTCTTCAGCTCCAGCGAACAGCCCCCCATAGTGGTGGTGGTGATGGTGGTGGTGGGACTGCTGCTCCTCAGGATCCGCGGGTTTCTCCTGTTTGATGCTAACCAAAGACTGCAAGAACCCCCAGGAGGTCCTCTGCGAGGGGAAGGCCGCGGCTGACGCCGCCGGCTCCTTCTTGAAAGTCATGTCCGGGGCTGGCGGAGGGGGGGGCTCAGCGGCCGGGGCTGCGGAGGTAGAGGAGGATAACACGCATTGCGGGGGAGGGGCGGCCGACCCCGCCGGCCGGGTGAAGCTGGTGACCGGGGGAAGACGGTGGTTGAACATAACCATACCCTGGGGAAAGGTGGGTTCCATCTCTGCCCTCCTGCCGCTGCTGCCGCCGCCGCCGCCGCCGCCACTACCACCGCCGCCGGAGCCGCTACCACCGCTACTGCCGGTACCTCCGCCGCCACTCAGGAACCCACTGCCGATTTTCATACCCCGGAGGAGGCCTGGCTGAAGAAAGGAGGAGGAAGAGGGAAGAGGGAGGAAAGGAGGTGGAACCGGGCCCCGGGCCGGGACCACCGCAGCGCTAAGGACCCCGCCGCGCCGCCGCCCAGACCGCAACGCGCCCAGCACTAATTCCCAGCCCAGTCGCCTCCGGCACCGGCACGCATGGTCCTGCGACTCTTCCCCAGGCCTCGCCCTCTCCCTCCTGGACCCACCGGCAATACTTACGGGTCCCGCCGCCGCCGCAGCCGCCGTCGCCTCCAGTTAATAAAAATAACGCCGTCCTCTCCACAATGGAATTAAAAGCCTCCCGTGTACTGCGCAGCCGCGGCGCAGTGTCTGCTGGGAACTCCTCGACCCGGCCAGAGGGGAGGGCTAAGGAGCCAGGGCGCCTGCGCCGCAGCTTCCGCCCGGCCTGCCTGTCAATCACTGGGGCCGTTGGGCGGAGGCGGGGGAGCAAGGGCAGGGGAGGCGGGGATTTGGAGCCCTGCTAAAAAGGGGCTTTCGAGGCGAACAGGCGTGATTGGTGGGCTGCACTGAAGGAGATGAAAGTGGTTGAGGGTTTCTGGGGGAAAGACGCTCAGGAGGTGGAACCCAAGGGGCGGGAAGTTACGGGGGACTGTACTACAGCGTGGCGTGGGAGATGCAGAGAAAGGGGCTGGAAGAGAAGGTGAGGGAAACTGAGGATTCAATGTTAGGGCTTTCTTCACTCTAGGTTTTGCAATCCAGGTCTTGAAATAAAATTCAAACCTAGAAGTGGATCATTGAGGGCACTTTTGATTCTATCAAGAAGCATTCAACTCCAAATGCTCAACATTTATTAAAACAGGTGCTTATGTTATCCCTTTGAATTTGGAAGCACTAATAATGGGCGCATATCCTTTGCATTTATGGGAGGAGCCTGCTTTGAAACCGCAATTAGTGGTACCGTTGCAACAAAAAAAAAAAAAAGAAAAAGAAAAAAACTTGTCTTACTGCCAACCTTCCTGAAGGCTACTGGAAGAGGAAACCGAGCGTAATCCAGGTGCAGCAGTCCTGTAAAACACGCCCACACACATACTTCATTATCATTACATCTTATTTAAATGCCCCCGTACCTTAGCCTGGCTAATCAGTCTGTTTGCCACGTTATGAATGCCTGGCCCTTTATATTGTTTATGAAAAATTAACCACCAGGCCATTCTAAGAGCTCTGCTAGGATCAACTCTTTCCTCGCCAGTACAGAATACCGAGAAACTCATTGCAAATTTAGAAATTTTTCTTGTAAGGGAAAATTATGAAGTAAAATCTTAAAATCAAAGTTATATCAACAAAATCAAACAACAAATATTTATTCAGTGTCTAATGTACACAAGGCACTCGATTTCATGTTAAGCATGCAGAAATCTAAACCAGACACTTTCCTAGCAAAGGATATTTATAAATGAGAAATTTTAAATAAAAGAACTAGAACTATGACAACAGCTTATTTACATAGTATGTTTTCTTAATGAAGTTACATGTACATCACAATGTTTCTAGCTAAATAACTTCTCATAATTAAATAATAAATTCTCTGGGAAATTTCACAATCGAAACCATAGGGATTATTTACTAATACTTATGGACCTCTCTCAGCCTGCCCTAAAAATTTTACAGACAATATTTAATGAGAATTTTGAGATAAGAAGAAATTGCTTTTTTTCTAATCCCATGAAACAACATGTAAGTATTCCACCACTTAAACTGACACTTTAATACTGTCAAGTATAGTTGTGATATTGTGAAATATATATTTGGACTTTGAACCGTTTTGTGGCATACAACTGCTAAAAATCCTTGGAATCTGCAAAGTAATAAATGTCTTTTTGTATGCTAATGAAGCGACTGATGATGGCTGGCAACCCCTAGGTAGCTTCAGGATGGGGGCTGGTCACCGGAAAGACCAAGGCAGGATTAGAGTTTGGGACTTTCAGTCCCACCCCCCGACCTCCGGGGAGGAGAGAGGGATTGAAGGTTAAGTTGATCTTCAATGGCCAATGATTTAATCAATCATGCCTGTGTAATGAAGCCTTCATAAAAACCTAAAAAAGGACGGGGTTTGGAGAGCTTCCTGTAAGCGAACCCGTGAAGGTTCCAGGAGGATGGCGCACCCGGAAAGGGCGTGGAAGCTCCGCGCCCCTTCCCACAGACTTTCCCCCATCCATCTCTTCATCTGGTGTTCATCGATAGCCTTTGTAATGTCCTTAATAGTAAACCGGAAAACGTAAGTGTTTGCCTGGGTTCTATGAGCTGCTCTAGCAAATTAATCAAGCCCAAGGAAGGGGTCATGGGAACCCCGATTTACAGCTGGTCAGTCAGAAGCACAGGTAAAACTACCTGGGGCTTGTGATTGGCATCTGAAATGCGGCCGGCCAGTCTTGTAGGCCTGGGCTCTTAATCTGGGGGATCTGATGCTGTCTCCAGGTAGGTAGTGTCAGAATTGAATTGGAGGACACCCCAGTGGTGTCTGCTGCAGAATTGATTGCTTGCTCGGTGTGTGGGGAGAAACCCCTACACATTTGGTCGCAGAAATCTTCTGTGTTGATTGTTGAGTGAGAGTATAGGAGAGGCTGAGTTGTTTTTTTGTTTTTGTTTTTGTTTTTTTCTACAATAGCTAAGTGTTAAAGACTGAAAGTTCAAAAACTTAAGGCAGTCGTAAAATATTAGTCAACGCCTGTGAGAAATGAGGCTGTCCCTTTATTCAGGGTGTCAGTGTTTAATGGTAAGCTGGGATGCATATAAGCTAGTCCAAGCATGAAGGGCAGTAGGACACTCATATGAAAAGCCAACTTTGTTCCTCAGTTATCAAGATAAGAAACCTGTCATTTCTCTCATTCACTCTGTCAGCCTTGAGATACTCCAAGCAGACTTACCTCTGTGTTGTACACCCCATATATCAGGAAGATGAAGAGACCCTGTAAAATAAAATGGAGGGGAAAAGCTGTTAACGCTAATCATTTCAGCAGTAGAAATACCTGAAATAAACTTTCCTGGGAACAGACAAAAGAAGACACACTTCATCAAGGTCAATTTATTTTCCTATTTTTCAACATTAGAAGGTGTACCTTGAGCATTTATATGATAACATAGCAAGCACATCACTTATAATGGTTGTGCTATTCAATTCTTTAGAAGTACAAAATAAAAATACCATCCCAAGTACAAAGAATATTAATTAGAAAAATCAATATACCAGTTCTGAAAGATAGCTGGGTAATGAAAAAATTAAACTCAGGAAATGTTATTAAAGTAATCATAGAAATAACACTAAGCATCAGTATTTCCAAGCACTGTTTTAGACTGTAGCAACTAGAATATATTTGTTACAATCTTCAACAGGGTTAAAATTAAAAAAAAAAAATTATAAAGCAGCTAAAAGAATAAACTTAAGGTAATAAGTATGAATAGGTTTTGAAATAATACTTGAAATACCAGCTCGAGATAAAATTTCACATTACCATCTGTTGTGAACTGCATACATTTTTATTGTAATCTATATATGTAACAAATATTCCAAAGATGTTGATTAGTCTTTAGCTTTAGAAAATGCTTAATTAATTAGAAAATATAAATTCACTTTTAACTCTAAAATCTTAACTTTTAAAAGAAAATAAAACTATATGCTTTAAACTTAGAGAAAACAGACAGCAAAAAATTTTCACTTCAGTGAGGAAATAAAAATCTACATTGTAGTATTCTTGTTAGGTACTAACAAGCCAAATATTAAATAGGAGTCTGTACTAAATCTAGAAATGGTTCAAATAGTTAAGTAATATGATTCTTTCAAAAGTAAAATATTAAAGGAATATTTTAATATTTGTTTATCTCTGAATGCTTAGATTTTACAGATAATGGAAACAATCCCAGAACAAAGAGATTGTATAAAACTAGTGATTCTTGTTTTTATTTAGTTTCTTTTTAAATAGACTTTGTTTTTTACAGCAATTTTAGTTTTACAGAAAAATTGATAAGATAGTACTCAGGCTGGGCACGGTGGCTCTTGCCAGTATTCCCAGCACTTTTGGAGGCCGAGGCGGGCAGATCACCTGAGGTCAGGAGTTCAAGACCAGCCTGGCCAACATGGTGAAACCTCGTCGTTACTAAAAATAAAAAATTTGCCGGGCGTGGTAGCACATGCCTGTAATCCCAGCTACTAGGAAGGCTGAGGCAGGAGAATCACTTGAACCCGGGAGGCGGAGGTTGCAGTGAGCAGAGATTGCACCACCGCATACCAGTCTGGGCCACAAGAGTGAAACTCCGTCTCAAAAAAAAAACAACAAAGAAAGATAGTACTAACAGTTTGCATATATCCGATACATCCCCAGTTTCCTCTATTTTTAACATTTTACATTAGTATGGTATATTCATTATAACAAATCTAATTCAATACTACTACCTTTATAATTTCTGAAACTAAAACTGTTGCAATACATACATTTGTTTTAATAAGAATGATTAATGAAGAGTTATGAACAATAAACAATTTCCATTTTGATAATAAACTTTTAAAAATTCAACTATAGCTACACTTTTTTTTACTGTGTATACACGATGTCCCAAAGTTCAATACCAACACTCACTTTCCTCCTTCCAGTAGCCTTGGTCAAGATCCATTTAGTGCAGACTAAATTCAAGCCACTCAGTACTTGAGTTTAGTACTCATTTTATAGGCTACTTGTTTGCTCCAATTCTGGATAATTCTAAATAGTTAAGAAAAAAAAATCTTTTTTCTGATTTATGTAAAAACTCTAAGATAATTAAGAGTCCCTCTTCCCTCAATAATTGTTAATTTTTTATTCCTTATTTTGCTGCATAAATAAAAATTTAAGAGTAAGTCATTCAAATTTTAATTCTATTTATGAGATAGGAATATTTTGCTTTGTACAATAGATGAGTTCCTGAACAAATAAAATTTCCTGAACAAATAAAATTTCCTGAACATTGAACAACATGCATTATTATTTCCGTATAAGAAACCCAGCTGTTTATGTGAAATCTATATGATGCTTTGAAAATCAAAGAGCTAACCAGGTGCAGTTGTTCACACCTGTAATCCCAACTCTTTGGGAGGCTGAGGCAGGAGGACTGCTTGAGGCTGGGAGTTTGAGACAAGCCTTGGCAACATAGCAAGACCCTGTCTCTACCAAAAATTTAAAAGTTAGCCGGGCGTGGTGCTGCATGCTTGTAGTCTCAGCTACTCAGGAGGTGAGAGGATCACTTGAGCCCAGAAGTTGGAGGCTGCAGTGAGCTATGATCGCACCACTGCTCTCCAGTCCATCCTGGCAACAGAGTGAGATCCTATCTCTAAAAAATAAATAAATAAAAAGAAAATCAAAGAGCACTTTAATAATGGTATAATCACCCTTGTAATTTATCTGTCTTGTAAGTTTTATTTTTTCCCCACGTTTTGGTAAACTGAGAAAGTAGAGTATGCTTCATATTTTTATTTACTACACTACCACGTTACTTATTATACATTTTTAATTTTAATACATTTAACCTTAAATGTAAAATGATCACAACAAAAATATTCCTTTTGAAAATAGGATTTAGAATTTAAAAGGATTTTAGATACAGGCAGCTTCCATCTCAAAAGCTTTTTTCTCTTTTTGCCTGTCCTCAACAGATGTACACCTAACAGCATGGTAAGGAAGCCCCAGAAGGATGTTTCTAAAGACCATGAGGGAGTCTGAAACCTGAAATCATGCCAAGGACTCTCTGCTTCTCTTTCACTTGGGGTGTCTATCTGATGCTGCCACAACCAGTTGAAACGTATAACATTAACAATAAAAATTAGTTTTTTTGTAACTAATTTTATGCCCCATAATTGTATGCCCCACACATGATGTCTTTTTTCTCCATTAATTTTACCAGGTATTCACAGTCATGATCATTTAGATCTAATGCCACAGAACTTCATAAACCCTTTACTACTAGAAAAACATCCTATTTTCTCAAAGGGAAGAATCACAACAGAAACAGCTAAACATAAACATCTTAAGCCATACTATGAGCCACTTTTAAATTCCTGCAGAGAGGATACCTTTAAAAACAGCTGGAAGGAACCAACTGCCAAACTTCAACTGGCACTGTGATTTCTGGAACTCCTTATAGCAACATTCTGTCCTACTAAAGAGTCAATACTGAAAGTATGTCACATTTCTGAATTGAATGATCTCTCATGTCTGTTAGGTGGTTTCTACTATTCCATTTATAGAACAGTTCATCTGTAATGTATTAATATATGAAGTATTTTCTATAGAGGTACCTATTTCTCAATGCTTTAGTCACAGTAAAAATAACATTAATTGGGCAGGAAGCATCCAAAGTGTAGCTGGATTCCTGTAGCATGCGTGTACTTTATGGGCAGGGGCCAGGAGTTGGGAAAGAACACCAGGATATTACATCTGATACTGTACAGAAGTTAAAAATAGAAACTAAGGGAAAGAGAAAAAAACATTCTTGATGATTTCATTCTCATTTATCTATGAAACATTGAAAACTGAGGCGACTTTGTAAATATTTACACTGTTCTAGAAGTCTTGAGCATTATCTGCAAATAGATTCAGTGGTTGACATCAAGTCTGTTGTTATATTGATCTGTACTTTTACAGTACACTTCATGATTGTTACAGAATCAATCTTTTTTAAGTGGTAATATTTTCTTTCTTGGCAACAGAAAGAACAGGACAGGTGCCCCATACATAGCACATTGCCTCCTCAGGAATAAGAATAGTATTAACAGTGCTAATATCTGGATAGCTCTCTCAAGCACTTTCATTTACATAAACCCATTTGTTCTTCACTACAACATTGCAAAGGAGGCAGTGTGAGTATTATTAGCTTTATTCTTATATATGGGGATTTTGAGGCTTGCTCAAAGTGCCACAATGCTGACAAGTTGGCAGAGCCAAGGATTACTGTTTGACTCCTAATAAATGCTCTTTCACACACATTGTCTTAAATAGACACCTTCATAACTCTTTTTTTTTTTTGAGACGCAGTCTTGCTCTGCCGCCCAGGCTGGAGTGCAGTGGTGTGATCTTGGCTCACTGCAAGCTCCGCCTCCTGGGTTCATGCCATTCTCCTGACTCAGCCTCCCGAGTAGCTGGGACTACAGGCGCCCACCACCATGCCCGGCTAGTTTTTTGTATTTTTAGTAGAGACGGGGTTTCACAGTATTAGCCAGGGTGGTCTGCCCGCCTCGGCCTCCCAAAGTGCTGGGATTACAGGCGTGGGCCACCGCCCCCAGCCAACAACTTCATAACTCTTAAGTCACTAGCTTCAAGATAATGCAATTGGTGAGACTTTTCAAAGCTCAAGTTTATTAAAAGCATATTGCAGTTTGATTAGCTCATAGGGTTAGGGACTCAGTATTTAGTAATAGGGCTTCAAGTAACCCTGGTCCTCCACCTAGCAAGTACAACAAGAAATGCAGTTGGTAACAATGATTTTCAGTAGCTATGGGCCAGTTTCTGCCTCTTGTACTTTCCTTATAGATTCTCATTCAATGACGTATACTTTCTGGTTGCTGGGAAACTTACCTTTTGCCATCAAAAAAAGGCTGCTAGGTAACCGTATTGTCAAATATTCTTATTGTCATCATTTACTGAACTTTTTTGAATGTATGTTACTATGCTGTGTACTTTTATGTATTTACAAATCCTGTTCCAATCTTTCTTTTTTTGTTTGTTTGTTTTGTTTGTTTGATTTTGGTTTTGTTTTGAGACAGAGTCTCACTTGTCACCCAGGCTGGAGTACAGTGGCATGATCTCGGCTCACTGCAACCTCCGCCTCCCAGGTGCAAGCAATTCTCCTGCCTCAGCCTCCCGAGTAGCTGGGACTACAGGAGCCTGCCACCACACCCAGCTAATTTTTTGTATTTTTAATAGAGGGGGTTTCACTGTGTTAGCCAGGATGGTCTCAATCTCCTGACCTCGTGATCTGCCTGCCTCAGCCTCCCAAAGTGGTGGGATTACAGGCGTGAGCCAGTGCACATGGCCCCAATCTACTTTCTATAAACAATTCCCGCTTTGGGGATTACATCCTATAGAAACAAAAGCGTTAGTGTGAAGGATATGTATTTTTGAGGTTGCTTGTTGCTGCATTGTGCACAGTGGCAAAGAACTAGAAACAACTTGAATGCCCTTCAGCACGAGAACAACTGAATAAATTGTGGTATCTTTATCCCTTAGGATATTAGGCAACTAAAAGAATGAGTTGGAGCTATATTAGTCTGGAGGGATGTCCTTGCATAGTTAAACAAAAAAAGCAAGAGGAAAGATGCATTATGTTATATATTCTTACTTTTGTAAAACAAATAGCAAAACTCTCCCTTCTTCTGCCCAAATGTAACTATTAATAATTACACAGGAGAAAGATGTGCAAGGATGCACACCAAACTGTTGTCGTCGTCACTGGTTTCCTAATGGGAAGGATAAGAGGAAGAGGAGGTAAGTCAGAAACAAGTGAGACAGGCTGGGCGCGTTGGCTCATGTCTGTAATCTCAACACTTTGGGAGGCCAAGGCGGGTGGATCACCAGAGTTCAGGAGTTGGAGACCAGGCTGGCCAACATGGTGAAACCCCGTCTCTACTAAAAATACAAAAATTAGCCTGGCATGGTGGCGAGCACCTATAATTGCAGCTACTTGGGAGGCTGAGGCAGGAGAATCACTTGAACCTTGGAGGCGGAGGTTGCCATGAGCCAAGATCGCGCCACTGCACTCTAGCCTGGGCAACAAGAGCGAAACTCCATCTCAAAAAACAAAAAGAAAAGGAGAAACAAGTGAGACAGAGCAAACTAGAAAAACATGCTGATGTTGTCAAGAAAAGAGGTGGAATATAAAATTCTATGTATCATGTTACTGTAAATATAGAAAACAATCTGCACGCGAATAAGGATCGAAATGTAAGACAGACAAATGAAATATTGATTTGATTTGGAGGTAAGATTAGATTTTTTTCCTAGATTCTTATTTTAATATAAGGGCTATAATAAATTTGAACAAAAAAGTGGGTTTATTTAAAGTGTGTTTATTTTTTAAGTGGCCTCATTTTTATTTTTATTTATTTAGTTTTCAAGAGGCAGTGCCTCTCTATTTTGCCCAGACTAGAGTGGAGTAGCAATTCATAGGCAGGATCATAGCAACTGCAGCCTCGAATTCCTAGGCTCAAGTGATCTTCCTGCCTCAACCTCCCTAGTAGCTAGACTACAGGTGCCCAGCTAAAATGAATTTATTATATGTACTATAATGAAATTCCTGGTAGAATTATTTTCTCTTTTTCTGGGCTTCTGATTTTTTTCAAATTTTACTTCTAACTATCCTATCATATATATATAAAATGTATATATACATAAGTCATATATAAATATAAATATTTTATTTCTATTCTCATAGATAGATTTTCATATATATAATATATACAGATATATGTTTAGTACATACATATAACTATACCTATCTATGTATATCACTGGGTAGTTGAAAATAAAATCTGTTTTTGTTTAGTTTAGTTTAGTTTTGTTTTTGAGATGGAGTTTCGCTCTTGGTGCCCAGGCTGGAGTGCAATGGCCCAAGCTTGGCTCACTGCAACCTCTGCCTCCTGGGTTCAATTGATTCTCCTGCTTCAGCCTCCCAAGTAGCTGGGATTACAGGCATGCACCACTACACCCAGCTAATTTTTGTATTTTTAGTAGAGGGGTTTCACCTTGTTGGTCAGGCTGGTCTCGAACTCCTGACCTCAAGTGATCCACCCGCCTCAGCCTCCCAAAGTGCTGGGATTACAGGCATGAACCACTGCGCCTGGCCAAAATCTGGGTTTTTTTTTTTGTTTTTGTGTTTTGTTTTGAGACAGAGCCTCACTCTGTTGCCCAGGCTGGAGTGAAATGGCACGATCTCAGCTCACCTCAACCCCTGCCTCCTGAGTTCAAGCAAATCCCCTGCCTCAGCCTCCCCAGTAGCTGGAACTACAGGAATGTGCCACCACGCCCAGCTAATTTTTGTTTTTTTAGTAGAGACAGGGTTTCACCATGTTGGCCAGGACTGGCCTTGAACTTCTGGCTTCAAGTGATCCACTGGCCTGGGCCTCCCAAAGTGTTGGGATTATAGGCGTGAGCCACCATACCTGGCCAAAAATAAAATCTGAAAGAAGCCAGAAGCCCAGGAAAAGATAAAATAATTCCAACAGGAATTTCACTTCACTCCAGGTGGCCAACCCAAGAAAGAGAACGTGATGGGTTACTACATGGTTCCCACTGTCTGATAATAAGATCTATTTTTCACAAAAAATATTTCCTAAGAGCAATACTGAGTGACATAAAGGAGAATATCTTTCCTTTCTTTCTTTCTTTTCTTTTTTTTTTTTTTTTTGAGACAGGGTCTCGCTCTGTTGCCCAGACTGGAGTGCAGTGGTGCGATCATGGCTCACTGCAGCCTTGACCCGAGCTCAATCAGTCCTCCCACCTCAGCCTCCCTAGTAGCGGTACTACAGACATGCACCACCACGCCCAGCTAATTTTTGTATTTTTGTAGAGACGGGGTTTCACCGTGTTTCCCAGGCTGATCTGGAACTCCTAGACTCAAGTGATCCACCCACCTCAGACTCCCAGAGTGCTGGGTGTGAGCCACTGTGCCTGGCTAAGGAGAATATTTTAGATGACAGTTTTGCAGAAGAACCAAACAGGATCCAAAGGGGCAGTCGAGGGTAAAGGTTAAAAGCTAAGGATTTGGGGCCGGGCATGGTGACTCACGCCTGTAATCCCCGCACTTTGGGAGGCCGAGGCAGGTGGATCTCTTGAGGTCAGGAGTTCGAGACCATCCTGGGCAACATGGTGAAACCCCGTCTCTACTAAAAATATGAAAATTAGCCACGCTTGGTGGTGGACACCTGTAATCCCAGCTACTCAGGAGGCTGAGGCAGGAGAATCGCCTGAATCCAGGAGGTGGACGTTGCAGTGAGCCGAGATCAGGCCATTGCACTCCAGCCTGGTGACAGTGAGACTCCATCTCAAAAAAAAAAAAAAAAAAGGTTTGGAGTCAAACAAACTTGGATGTACTCCGGTACTCCGAGCTCTACCACACACTAACCCTGTGACTTTGGGCAGTTTTCTTAACTTCTCTGAGGCTAACTTTCCTTATTCAGTAATAATAGTAATTGTACAGGGTTGTCACGATAAAGTAGGTAACATTTAACATGATGCCTAGCACATAATGAAAATTCAATGTGTGCTAGAATTCAATGTGTGCTAGACAAAAGTCTATTTCTTCTATCTACATACAATGGAAACTGAGTAATTAGTAATAATTCTTACATTATCCATTTACATTTATTGAGTACTCACTAGGTATCAGGCACTGTGTGACTCCAAGTAGGGTTAAGATGTGGATCTTAACCATCAAGAAGTCTAGTAGAGAAGTTATTTTTAAAAATAGACCAAAAGAAGCTTATAAGTAGAAAACTCAGTTTCACCAAGGGAAGACAGTGAGTTTTCAAAGGGAAGCCAAAATTCATGAAGTGACTGCCTCTTTTTTGTGTGAAGCATTTTGATTTGATATTTTTCTAAAGATCTGATTTTGTTTTGTTGTGTTTGAGATGGAGTCTTGCTTCGCTCGGCTCACTGCAACCTCCGTCACCCGGGTTCAAGCAATTCTTCTGCCTCAGCCTCCTGAGTAGCTGAGATTACAGGCATCTGCCACCACGCCCTGCTAATTTTTGTATTTTTAATAGAGATGGGTTTTCACCATGTTGGCCAACCTGGTCTTGAACTCTTGACCTCAGGTGATCCACCCACCTCGGCCTCCCAAAGTGCTAGGATTACAGGCATGAGCCACCGTGTCTGGCCATAAAGATCTGATCCTTGAAGGAGTAGAAGGAATGATCAGGGAGACGGCTGGGAAAGGACATTTCTGAGATAATTTGAAAAAGAGAGTTTTGAGAGCACCAACCAGGCCAGAGTTACCTCCAAGGAGTTCAGAATTGCTGGAGCAACTAGTTTTCAAGTGAGACAGGCAAGGTGACGAAACTGGAAAGGAAGAAAGGACCAGATCATGAAAGGTTTTGCATATCATGTCAAGGAGTTCAGCTATTCTCTAGGAAGAGGGGATTATTAAAGAATTTTAATGGGAAAAGTGATGTAATGAGTTTTTTCTTTTTTTTTCTTTTTTTTATTTTATTATTATTATACTTTAAGTTTTAGGGTACATGTGCACAATGTGCAGGTTAGTTACATATGTACATATGTGCCATGCTGGTGTGCTGCACCCATTAACTCATCATTTAGCATTAGGTATATCTCCTAAAGCTATCCCTCCCCCCTCCTCCTACCCCACAACAGTCCCCAGAGTGTGATGTTCCCCTTCCTGTGTCCATGTGTTCTCATTGTTCAATTCCCACCTTTTTTTTTTTCTTTAAATAACTCTAGTAGCAATGAAGGAGGTGGATTAAAGTGGCACAGATCAGAAGTAGGGCAACCAGTTAGGAAGGTAGTCAGGGAAAGAGAAACAGAAATGGGGAAATGGTTGTGAGAATGCAGAGGTGTTTAGGGGACACAGTTGATTGGATGTGGATGCTGGACATGGAAAGAAAAGGAGAGAGCTGAGTTCCAGATAATTTCAGGTTTCTGGCTTCAGTGACGGTATGGGTGGTGGTATCATTTCCCAGTGTAGAGAATTAAATGGAATAAATGCGCATTTATTGGGGAAACTAAGAAATTTATTTTACATATGTTGAGTGTGGTCCGGTGAACAACTGGACACAGAGATTTGAGCCTTACAAAGGATAACTGGGATACAGCTGTGGATTTGGGATTCATCAGAGTACAGGTGGAAATTGAAGTCATCAACTAGCAAACATGTAAAGTATGTAAAGACAATGGCCTTGGACAGAGTTCTGGAAAATGTCAACGTTACAGAGATGAGCAGAAAGAGAGGAACCAGAGGAGTCAGAGATGTAAAGAGGATGTTTTCATGGAAGCCAGTAGAAGAGAGTTTCAGTTAGGGAGAAATGATTAGCAGCAAACATAGGTTACAGGCAAAGACTCTAAAACCAGACTGCCCAGGTTCTAACTCTAGCTCTACCATTTACTAGCTGTGTGAGCTTGGAAACATTACTCAACTCCTCTGTTCTTCAGTTCCATCATTTATAAAATGCATACAATAATTGTACCTGTCTCATAGAATTGTTATGGGAATTAAATGAGTTAATATGGCACAAAATAATTGCTGTATGACCATTGATCAATTGTCACGGTACAATCAAGTAAGAAAGGACCTGAATATGCAATTGGAATTAGTAATTCATTTCACTTGTATTTGAATACCTACTATATGTCAGGCACTCAGGATGCAGTCTTGAACAAACCATTGACCTTGCCCTTGATGGAGCTCACATTTTGGTGAACAGTGGTTGTTGAATGTGTACTATGTGCACTGCTTTAATCCCAACAAGCTTTACCTCACTCACGCCTCTCAGTTATCCTAGGTTGTAGGTAACCATCATTATCCCCATTTTACAGAAAAGAACAATGAGTAGCACAAAGGAGTTAAGCAAAGTCCCCAAACCAGGAAGTGGCAAAAGCAGGATTCAAACAGAGCTGAACTGGCTCTGAAGAGCACCTTCTTAACATCTAAACCAGTGTTTGCTGTTGACCTTAGCGACGGCAGTTTTAGAAGCATGGTGGAGCAATATCCAGGCTGCAGTAAACTGAGCATTGAATGGGAGCGAGTTAATTAAGATAGAAATTGAAAGCATTTCCTCAGAGAGCCAAACCAACAAAGTCCAAGCATGTGGATTTGTGGTGATCTTAGTTTGTTTGAGGGATAGCGTTAAGAAATAGTAAAGGATTCAATACTAAGCATGTTCTCGGGTCACGTCTTTCTCAAATATCTGTTTCCACTATTCTTTTGCAAGAGCTGGATGGCGCTGGTTCAATATTAAGATCTTTAGTAAATGCCTGAAGGTGTTTACTTGGTATTGTTTATTAAAATAAGGTAAGTATAATTTAAATGTAAGATGAATATGTGGCAGAATCTCATTTTCTTATAAAAATCAAAGAAAATAAATTGTATTCTCTTTTTTTTTTTTTTTTGAGACGGAGTCTCACTCTGTCACCCAGGTTGGAGTGCAGTGGCACCACCTCAGCTCACTGCAACCTCTGCCCCCAGGGTTCTAGCGATTCTCCTGCCTCAGCCTCCTGAGTTTCTGGGATTACAGGCGCCTGCCACTGCGCCCAGCCTTAAATTGTATTCTCAACCAAAGTTAAGATTATTAAAGGGTACAGATGACAGATCAGACTTCTTTTTTTTGGTGAATGGAAAAAATCTAAAGAGTACTCTTAACCTTTTCTTGGTCTGATACAGATTAGTAGGTGCCAGGTATCTGCATTTTTAACAAACATCCCCGTTGTTCTGATGCATACCAAAGTTTTTGGGCTTTGGTGTGTTTTTTTGAGACCAGGGCCCCCAATCATGGCTCATTGCAGCCTCAGCTTCCTGGGGTCATTCCTCCTGCCTCAGCCTCCTAGGTAGCCAGGACTATAGATGCACGCCACCATGCCCGGCTAATTTTTTGGTTTTGGGGTTTTTGGTTTTTGGTTTTTACAGACAGGGTCTTGCTATGTTGTCCAGGCTGCTCTTAAACTCCTGGCCTCAAGTAATCTTCCTACCTTGGCTTCCCAAAGTCCGGGGATTACAGGCATGAGCCATTGCACCTGGCCTCATACTAAAGTTTAAGAATTAATACTGGCTGGATGTGGTGGCTCACGCCTATAATCCCAGCACTTTGGGAGGCTGAGGTGGGCAGACCACCTGAGGTCAGGAGTTCGAGACCAACCTGGGCAACATGGTGACACCCCATCTCTGCCTGTAATCCCAGCACTTTGGGAGGCCAAGGTGGGCAGATCACAAGGTCAGGAGTTTGAGACCAGCCTGGCCAACATTGTGAAATTCCATCTCTACTAAAAATACAAAAATTAGCCGGGCGCAGTGGCGGGCACCTGTAATCTCAGCTACTCGGGAGGCTGAGGCAGGAGAATTGTTTGAAGCCAGGAGGCGGAGGTTACCGCGAACAAGATTGTGCCACTGCATTCCAGCTTGGGTGACAGAGCAAGACTCCGTCTCGAAAAAAAAAAAAAAAAATTAGCCAGGCATAATGGTGCACGTCTGTAATCTCAGCTACTCAGGAGGCATGAGAATCACTTGAACCTGGGAGGTAGAGGTTGCAGTGAGCTGAGATCACTTCACTGTACTCCAGACTAAGTGACAAAGTGAGACTCTGTCTCAAAAAAAAAAAAAAGAGGAATTAATTCTAAGCCAGGTGTGGTGGCACGTGCCTATAGGCCCAGCTACTTGGGAGGCCAAGGTTGGGGAATCCCTTGAGCCCGGGAATTGGAGGCCATTCTGAGCAACATAGCAAGACTTCATCTCTAAAAAAAAAAAGAATTAATTCCAGTTCCACTATGGCATTTGTTATGTAAAATAAATAAACCACTATTTTAAGGGCTACTCAACAAATAAAAACTGTAAATTTAGGGGGGTTGGAGTTTGCCTTGTTTGAGATGAAATATATTATAACCCTAATCAGTTTTCAGGTGTTGTAACTGAAGGGCTGTAGAGAGTAAATAAACTAGAAAAACTTTCAGAACAGAATTCTTTTTTTTTTTTTTAGCAGAGGTCTCTTTGTTGCCCAGGCTGAAGTGCAGTGGCTAGACTCAGGTGACATCATAGTGCCCTGCCGCCTGGAACTCACCCTGGGCACAAGCAGTCTTCCTGCCTCAGCCTCCCGAGTAGCTGGGACTACAGGTGCACGCAACTGCACCTGGCTCAGAACAGAATTTAAAGGGATTGGCAACAAAAAATTTCTTCTACAGCTTTTTTTTTTTTTAAGTTAAGGTGATTGACCAGATATGAAATAGGGCATACTAGATATAGAAGTACCATTTTACAGATCTATGCCACAAGGATTTCAAAATACTGCTTAAATATTATACGATTTAGGACCTTCTTGTTTGCAAATGACAGAAACTCAACTCAAACCAGATGAAGCATATAAAAGGAGAGGAGATTTATTGAAAGGATGGGTGGGGGGAGCTATCGGGATTGAAGAAATAATTTTTTTTTTTTTGAGATGGAGTTTCACTTTGTGGCCCAGGCTGGACTGCAGTGGCCCGATCTTGGCTCATTGCAACCTCCGCCCCCTAGATTCAAGCGATTCTCATGTCTCAGCCTCCCGAGTAGCTGGGATTATAGGCGCACGCAATCACGCCCGGCTACTTTTTCTATTTTTAATAGAGACGGGGTTTTGTTATATTGCCCAGGCTGGTTTTGAACTCCTGACCTCAAGTGATCCACCCACGTCGGCCTCCCAAAGTGCTGGGATTACAGGCGTGAGCCACGGCGCCTGACCAGAACTTAATAAATAATTGAAAAATTAAATCTTGAATGGCAAGAAGAGGACTGAATAAAGGATTCTCTATTTGTTTCTCTGCTCAGACCAATTTTCTCTGGTGGAGGATGTGCTGCTAGCAGTTTTGGGCTCTCAGTCTTACAGTTCCTCTACAGGAAAAGGAATACCTTTTCCGTCATAACTCCTGAATGAAATTCTGGCCCCATTTAGGTCACATGTCCATCAGTGGACCAATGACTGTGGTGTAGGGAGTGAGCTTTTGCAATTGGCTCAGACTGGTTTACAAGCCTACCCCTTAACCAATCAAGTGGCTAGAAAAGCAAGGTCCCTTAAGATGGCCACTTCCATTCAGATAGCTTAGCTAGAGCCAGAGGAAGACAAGGGGTAGGACAGGGAGAGTCACCTGAGGAATCATCAGCTACTCCAGTTAGTGTTTACTACAGACATGGTCGCTAGTCTTGGGACTTACAACTTAGCGGGAGAGCAAAACAAATAATTTGTGTATAAGAAAGGCATACTAATGTGGATTTATGGTATTCAGAAAATACAAAGTTAAATATTAGCCGGACATGGTGGCGCACGCCTGTAGTCCCAGCTACTTGGGAGGCCGGGGCAGGAGAATCACTTGAACCCGGGAGGTGGAGATTGCAGTGAGCCGAGATCACACCACTGCACTCCACTGCACTCCAGCCTGGGCGACAGAGCAAGACTACGTCTCAAAAAAAAAAAAAAAAAGAAAGAAAAAGCCCTGACTAAATAAAGTTAACCAAATTGTGGTATCTCAAAGTTATATCATGTTATGCAGACATTAAATAATTTTTATGAAAAGTTTCAATCGTGGAAAACTGATTAAGACACATGAGTGAAGAAAAACAGTATACAAAAAGGATTATCTCAGTTATGTAAAAAAATGCATTTAAAGAGAATGGAAGGAAATATACCTAAGTTTTAATGATAATTATTATTATTCAGTTGTAGGATTGTGGATAATTTTTTATTTTCTCTATACTACTATATATTTTTCAAATTTTCTATTGCTTTTTTTGTTTTTTTGTTTTTTTTTTTTTGAGATAGGGTCTTCCTCTATCGCTCAGGCTGGAGTGCAGCAGTATGATCATGGCTCACTGCAGCCTTGACTTCCTGGGCTCAGATGATTCTCCCACCTCATCCTCCTGAGTAGCTGGGACTATATGCATGTGCCACCACACCCAGCTAATTTTTTTGTATTTTTTGTAGAGACAGGGTTTTGCCATGCTGCCCAGGCTGGTTTATTGCTTTTATTATCAGAAAAGTATGTTATAAAAATAGATTTTAAAAATGTTTAATAATGCAGGGCAATAAATATTCTAATCTGTTAAATAACAAAAATCAGCATACAAATTTCTATCACAATGTATTCACAACTACATAAAACATAAAAAGATCTCCATAAACATAAAAACTGAATAAATGTGAAATATCCAGAGTAGCTGCTCTGCTTATTATTTATGAACTATTATACCTGTTAAAATCTAGACTCACTTTCATTTAAAAAGATATCACTACACAAAAAGTATCTTAACATTTTAGCAGAAACTCACAATCTGTTGAGCTTCCTAGAATTTCCCAGAAGATCACAGCTAACAAGTTGCACGCTTCCTGTTGTATCTAGAAGATAATTACGTAAAGTAGACTGTGGAAGGAAAATAGGTGTGTTATGCTGTTTTGTCATCTGGTGACACAACATAAAGAAGGCAAGTGGATAAGAATTAAAAAGAGGCTGTAGGTGGGTGTGGTGTCTCACAGACTGTAATCCCAGCACTTTGGGAGGCCAAGGCGTGGCAGCAGGGGGATCGCTTGAGCCAAGGAGTTCAAGACCAGCCTAGGCAACATAGCACAACATAGCGAGACATCATCTCTACAGAAAATTAAAAAATTAGCTGGGTATGGTAGCACATGCCTGTAGTCCCAGCTACTGTAGAGCCTGAGGCAGGAGAATCACTTGAGCCCAGGGAGGTCAAGGCTGCAGTGAGCTGTGATCATGCCACTGCACTCCCACCTGGAGGACAGAATAAGACCGTGTCTCAAAAAAAAATTAGGCAAACAAATTCACTAATAATTGCCATGTGATCAGTTGAAAAATCCAAAAAAAGAAAGCATGAGAATTTTGGCATGTTGAACCAAGTTCTCTTTTGCCACAGTCGACTATAATTCATGGAACACATACAACTTTGAATTTGGACTACAGTTTGATAGAGTTCTCATCTAAGCTGGCCTGACATCCCCTTCAGGTTGAACTTCATCAGGACCCACATTCATTGAACACATATTGTTGAGCCTTTACTATGAACACAAATTGTTGGGTACTTAAATGGCCAGGGTATCTGACTTTCAGCATTCTAGTCTCCTGATTCATCAAACCCAGGGTTTCAACTATTATACATATATTATACATATACTGATTGGTGTAAAATTTGGTGTACTGTACATTACACCAAAAAAACTCTTTGAAATAAGAAATATGTATGAAACTTAAAAATCAACAATAAGATGGCAGAAGGCCAAAACGTTTGGAAATCCCCCTTAAATCTAGTCCTAGTCATAGTATTTATATGAGCCAGTACCTCGAAGGCTAGCTCTGTGCAAGTTCCCTTTTCCAGTGTGTGACATTTAATTTGTTCATTCATAAACATTTACATGATATTTTACACATTATAAGTGGTTTCTATGGAACATGATTTCATTTTAGCCTTACTATAACTCCATTTTTAAAAGGAAGAAAATAAATGACTTTCCCAGGATTGTAAAATAAAATAACAGAGTGAAGATAGAACCTACATTTTTGTGGCTTCTAGTTTGGCATTTGTTCATGATAGCACGCTTCTGTTTAACAAACAAAATGGCTTATTCATGTTGGCTTCTTATTTATAGGTATCATCTCTGCTCACTTCATATGTTAGGCCAAAAATTAATTGATGAGTTTCTTACAGAAGATAGTATATAAACACAAATTCCTTAGATGGATTTAAAGTCTTATCTAACCTATTTTTTAAAGGTGAAACTGGGCCAGGCACGGTGGCTCATGCCTATAATCCCAGCATTTTGGGAGGCTGAGGGAGGAGGATTGCTTGAACCCAGGTGTTTGAAACCAGCATGGGCAACATAGGGAGAGCCTGTGTCTACAAAAGTAAAAAAAATTAGCTGTGTGTGGTAGTGCATTCCTGTGGTCTCAGCTACTTGGGAGGCTGAGGTGGGAGGCTTGCTTGGGCCCAGGAGGTCAAGGTTGCAGTGACCTATGATTATGTCATTGCACCATTGCACTCCAGCCTCAGTGACAAAGCAAAACCCTGTCTCAAAAAAAGAAAAAAAAAGTAAACTGATTAAATACACTATTTCTGCCAAATATCTTGAATTTTTTTACTCGAAAAAATTTTGTGCTTAACCTAAAACCTATGTGAAGATTAAGCAGCTTTCAAGAGAAATGAGTCCACTCTACCTCATATTCTGTTTTTTTTTCCACTGTGAGTGGTTGATAATGTAGATCTTTGCAACATAACCAGAACTGGCTCCCTTGACTCCATAAATAGTAACTAAATTGTCCCTAAGTCCCGGGCTATTAGTCATTCTTTTTCAAAAATCGTGGTATATTACTGCTAACATCAGAGGAAAGAACTTTCAATCCTAAAAAGTATAAAATAAGGCTTTGCTGTATGTGCCTCTTTATTTTAATTTATAGTTAAATTAAATAACAGTTACTCTATGAACTGAATAAGCATTGGCCTCTTAGCTTATCAACTACAGTGTTCCCTTTCACCTGAGTGCTCACTTCAAAAGCAGCTAATCCTATTGGCTATTAGAGTCAGAAGCTTCAAACATATTGACAGCAAGAATGTTGTATTCAGTAGAACTTCTCAATCAGTTAAATAGACATAGAACAACTGCCCAATCAGATGACATTCAGGTACTTCGGTATGCCTTTGTGGCTAATATACTGAGGCTGGGTTAGAATGCATTACTGAGGTTAGAGTCCCTCAGGCCAAAATGATGTCTACTGTGTTACTGCTGTGAGATTCTGGGATTCTAGAGAGTTGTAAAAATGTTCAAAAACATACTTGCATGTATCCTACCTCACACATCTACCATCCACGTACAAGTGCGCTAACCCACAGTCTAGAAGAGTGCCAGTGGAACCTAGTATGGCACAAGACAAGGATGGTGCTGTCTTATCTCTGTCTTCTAAGGTTTATTGGAAGCCCTTCCATCAATGACACAGAACACCAGCTCTCCCCAGGGGTTCAAGCAACACTGACTTGCCCAAAGGCTTATTTGAAACACCTGATATTAATGAGAGATGGTATCTAGGGTATATGTCAACTATTCCTAGATTCTCTGAGTGCTATTTCTGTATAAAGTTAGATCATCAGAAAGCAGTATATTTGGATCACATTAGCATGGGTTCGTTGTAGAAATGCCTTCAGTGAGTGACATTCTCTACATTAACTTTTTTTTTTTTTTTTTTGAGACACAGTCTTGCTCTGTCGCCAGGCTGGAGTACAGTGGGGCGATCTTGGTTCACTGCAACCTCTGCCTCCCGGGTTCAAGCAATTCTCTTGCCTCAGCCTCCCGAATAACTGGGACTACAGGCACGTGTCACCACGCCACAGTCTTTTGTATGTTTAGTAGAGACCAGGTTTCATCATGTTGGCCAGGCTGGTCTCGAACTCCTGACCTCAGGTGATCCACCCGCCTGAGCCTCCCACAGGACTGAGATTACAGGCATGAACCACCTCGCCCGGCCTACATTAACTTTTTAATTTAATTTTTATCCTTATCACAGTTACACATGTACATGGGGTTTCTTTCATTATTATTATTATTTTTTATTTTTTATTTTATTTTTTTTTTTTTTGAGGCAGTCTCCCTCTATTGCCCAGGCTGGAGTGCGGTGGCACAAACTTGGTTCACTGCAACCTCCACCTCCTGCATTCAAGTGATCCTCCCACCTCAGCCTCCTGAGAAGCTGGGACTACAAGCACATGCCACCATGCCCAGCTAATTTTTGTCTTTTTTGTAGAGACGGAGTTTCGCCATGTTGCCCAAGCCGATCTCCAACTCCTGAGTTCAAGTGATCCACCCACCTCGGCCTCCCAAAGTGCTCAGATTACAGACAATGAGCCACCGCTCCTGGCCTTGTACATGGGGTTTAGAGTCAAATAGTTCTGCAAGACCTATGATTAAAAAAAAAAAAATTGACCTCCACCTTCAATTTCTCATTCCCCAGATGCAAATTTTCCACTCTTTTTCCCCCCTTTTATTTGAGACAGTCTGTCGCCCAGGATGATGCAGTGGTGCAATCTGCGGTCACTGCAACCTCCACCTCCTGGGTCCAAGTGATTCTCCTGCCTCAGCCGCCCAAGTAGCTGGGATTACAGGCATGTGCCACCACACCCAGCTAATTTTTGTATTTTTAGTAGAGACAGGGTTTCACTATGTTGGCCAGACTGGTCTCGAACTCCTGGGCTCAGGTGATCCACCCACCTCGGCCTCCCAAAGTGCTGGGATTACAGGCATGAGCCACGGCACCTGGCCAAATTTTCCACTCTTTTTAGCTGATTGTTTTCATACTTACCTCCACATATCTAAATAATATATTTATATTGCTACATCTTGATTTTCAGTATCTTGTTCTATCAGTTTTCCACAATGGAAAATGTAAATTTTGCTGACTGTATGATCAACCTCACTGACTGCTTGCTTTCCGTCCTCTGAGTTTATTTCTTTTTGGTGGAGCATATCCTTCAGTAGTTTCCTGAGAGAGGTAAATGGAAGGCAAAGTTGCTACCATGTATCTAAAAATGTCTTCATGCTGGACGGCGACTCATGCCCTGCACTTTGGGAAGCTGAGACAGGAGGATTGCTTGGACCCAGGAGTTTGAGACCAGCCTGGGCAACAAAGTAAGACCATGTCTGTACAAAAAAAAATCAAAAAATTAGATGGGTATGGTGGTGCACACCTGTATCCCCAGCTATTCAGGAGGCTGAGGCAGGAGGATTGGTTGAACCCTGGAGGTTGAGGCTGCTGTGAGCCATGATCATGCCACTGCACTCTAGCCTGGGTGACAGAGTGAGCCCCTGTCTCAAAATTAAAAATTAAAAAAATAAAAATGGGCTGGGTGTGGTGGCTCACGCTTGTAATCCTAGCACTTTGGGAGGCTGAAGTAGGCAGATTGTTTGAGCCCAGAAGTTCGAGACCAGCCTGGGCAACATGACAAAACTCTGTTTCTACAAAAGATACAAAAAATAAGCCAGACGTGGTGGTGCATACAAGCAGTCCCAGCTACTCGGGAGGCTGAAGTGGGAGGATCACCTGAACCCAGGAGGTGGTGGTTGCAATGAGCTGTGATCACACCACTGTGCTCCAGCCTAGGTGACAGAGTGAGACCCTGTCTTAAAAAAGTTAAAAAAGAGCCTTTATTCTTTCTTCATACACAGTTGATAGTACTGAATTCTACTTTAGAAATTATTTTCCCTCAGAATTATAAAGGCATTTATCAGTTATCGTCTACCATCTAGAACTGCTGTTGAGGAGTTGGATGTCATTCTCATACTTAATCCTTTTTGTGAAACCTACTTTTCTTGTCTGGAAGCCTGTTTCTCAGTATTTACAGTGTTTGATGATGTCATTGGTGTGGGTTAGTTTTCATTCATCATGCTGGAAATTTGATGTCCCTTTCTGCTGCAAATGCCTATTTTTTCTGTCTAAAATAAACTTTCTTAAAATGTTACTTTGATTATTTCTTTTCCTTCCCCTAATTTCCCTGATTTGTCCCCCCTCTTTTTGGAACACTCTATTACTTGAATGGTGGATATCCTGGATAGTGTCTCTACTATTTTCTTACTTCCTATCTCTTTATCTTTTTATTGTGCTTTCTGGAGGACTTCCTCGATTTTTTCTTCTTATCGTCTATTTAGTTTTTTATTTGTCATGCCATACTATTTTAACTTTCAAAAACTGTTTCCTGAGTTTTCCTTTTTTTCTTTTTAACAGTATTTGCACTTTATGGATACTATTGATATGAATATTAGTACTAATAATAGGATCTGTGTCTCTTTTAAAAGTTTTCTTTTACATATACTTAAGACTGGGACATGAAAAAACAATTTGCCTGGAAGCTCTGTGTTTGGGGTCAAAGGCCTGTCAACTGTGAGCTTCACCAGATGGTTATCTGAAGTGAGGTATTTTATTGGCTTAAAATATTATATCATGAGCATTTTGCTAGGTCATTAAAAATTTCTTAAAATAGGCCAGACACAGTGGCTCACACCTGTAATCCCAGCACTTGGGAGGCCAAGGTAGGAGGATCACTTGAGCTCAGGAGTTCAAGACCAGCCTGGGCAACATAGCAAGACCTCATCTCTACTAAAAACTAAAAGAAATTAGCCAGGGGTGGTAGCAGGTGCCTGTAGTCCCAGCTACTCAGGTGGTTGAGGTGGGAGAATCACTTGATCCCAGGAGATGGAGCCTGCAGTGAGGTATGATTTTGCCACTGCACTCTAGCCTGGGCAACAGAGCAAGACCCTGTCTCAAAAAAAAAAAAAAGAAATAAATAAAAAAGGAAAGAAAGAAAGGAAAAAGAAAGAAAGGAGAAAGGGAAAGGAAAGGAGAAGAAAAGAAAAAGAGAGAACTTGAGTACTTAACAAAAATGATAATCCATAAACTTCACTATTTGAGTTCACAGGAGTGGAGAATATGATTTTGCCCGATACTTTGAATTGTGTTCTAAATGGCATTCATCAATACACTTGACAAAAGCTGAGTCAACATTGCAAAGTCACATGAGTGAAGTTGATTCTAGGTAAATTGACCACTATCAACCCAAAGAAACACAAAATGTACCAATCCTGGAGCCCGTGGTGGGATACTGGGATCCCAATCCAGATGTAACCCGGATTATTCTGTATGTGACCACAGTCTCTTGAATGAGGTATTCAGGAATTTGGAAGTCAGAACTTTAAACTTGTGTTTTGTTTTGTTTTTTAATCATGTTTTTGTCCAGTTTATATCATTTTAATGTCTCATCTGACACAGGGGAAGGTGAGGAAAATGCAAAAGGATCTAGAGTATATCAAGTGTCTATGGTGTCTACTGGACATGTTACACACTTCATTACATTTATTCCCAAAATAACCCTTTTATATATAAGAAAAGAGGCTCTGAGAAGCCAACTATCTTGCCCAAGGTCACAAGTTAATAAGTGGCAGAGCAAGAAATTAAAACTGAGATCCAAGTGCATTTTCTTTCTCCTGAGACTGCACAGCCCTGTCATTGAAGTATATGGAAGAATCATGGGGTACAATGCATCTGTTGACAACTGTGGGGCAATTTTTTAAGAGTAGAGAATATGGCCGGGCGTGGTGGCTCATGCCTGTAATCCCAACACTTTGAGAGGCCAAGGCGGGTTGATCACTTGAGGTCAATATTTCAAGGCCAGCCTGGCCAACATGGTGAAACCCTGTCTCTACTACAAAAAAAAAAATACAAAAATTAGCCAGGCATGGTGGCGGGTGCCTGTAATCCCAGCTACTCGAGAGGCTGAGGCAGGAGAATCACTTGGACTCGGGAGGCAGAGGTTGCAGTGAGCCGAAGTCGGGCCACTGCACCCCAGCCTGGGCAACAGAGCCTGAGCAAGACTCTGTCTCAAAAAAAAAAAAAGTAGAGAATGTACTTGACATTCAAGAAAATTATACTTGGGGAGGAGAGCGCAAGACCCAGTGGCACTATATCCCAGTTATTTGTGGCAGTACTGATTTCTGCCTTACCTCATGAGCAGGAGCTCTGATTTTTGCTTCATACAATCTTGTCTGCATCGGTATATATTCTCATAAATAACAGAGTTAATGGGAAATGGTTCCTTTTTATAGCTCAGGACATTAAATTAGGATCAAAGGAGAGAACTCCTGTGTGAAAACACAAGGATTCTCTTCTGTGGTGCTCTGGATGAAGGACAGACATGTCCAGAAGTGACCAAGCTGCAGTCAGCTGTTCCCACAAAGAAGAGCTGCCATGTGGAAACCAAAAATGAGAGCAGAAACTACGCTGAGATTTAAGAGAATGAAAATAACCGTCCTTTAGAGTAGAAAGGTTTCCTCTAAAGGTCTCTCCTGTTGCGACTGTGCAAGTTTAAGACCTTTGATATCTAGACAGTTTTAGGAAAGATATCATCTGAAAAGAAAAGTCCCCAACACTTGAAGATAGGTTGCTATGCCAACAGCAGGCCACTGAGCCTTCAGTGCAATTCAATTTTGGGGATGTTAACTGGGCACCAATTATGTGCGAGGCAGTGTGCCAGGTCCTGGGATATAGTCATGCCAAAATTCAGTTCCTCCTTTCAAGGAGTTAACTCTCTGGAAGAAGAGAGGGAAAGACGAACAATAAAATACAGAGGTTGTCCAGCACTGGGGTGAGTCAGGGGTTTACTGGAAAAGACACCGGATACTCTGTTAAAGACACTGGACACTATCCTAAGTATTTTTCATAAGTTTCAAAGGATGAATAGGAGTTCCCCAGAGAGCTACATTCTTAATAAAACCTCACTTCTTTAAGATTCGTCTCTGGGAAGAGATTTACCCAGTAGAGATCAGAGCCGGACATTTTATTGTTTTCCAAGTTTGACCTTTTCATTTCAGGAGCATCAAGCATGAAGAGCCAATCCAGTTTAAGTGTGGGCATCTTGAGAGTAACACTGTGTCTTGTTCCTTCTTGTGTTCCTGCTATTGACTGCAATGCTCAGTAAATGTTTCAGGCATCCACGAATGAATGATTGAACAAATCAACAATTAATCAATTAATAAATGAAAGCTATCATCATCAGGTGGAAATAATGCTTTTAAGTAAGACTAAGGGCTTTTATCACTACAGAGCATAATAGAAAGGAAACAAGCCAATTAATAAGAAATAATTTTGCTTAAAAAATAATTTTTCAGGCCTGGCTCGGTGGCCTCACATCTGTAATTCCAGCACTTTGGGAGGCCAAGGCAGGAGGATCACTTGAGCCCAGGAGTCTGAGACCACCCTGGGCAACATGGTGAAACCCTATCTCTACAAAAAATACAAAAAATTAGCCGGGTGTGGTGGTGCGTGCCTGTAGTCCCAGCTACTCAGGAGGCTGAGGTGAGAGGATCACTTGAGCCCGGGAGGTCGAGGCTGCAATGAGCCATAGTCGCCACCGCATTCCAGCCTGGGTGACAGAGTGAGACCTTGCCTCGAAAAAAAAAAAATTCCCCCAGGAATTTCTAGATTTATTCCATCCTAGCTGATTGCTTGCCTCCATATGATGGGCACTATTTTAGCATCCTCCTTCACATCCTCCTTCATTTGACATCTTGACTTCCAGATTTTTGCACCTAAGAAGGGAAACCCAGAGAGAGATGAGAAATTATTCTTCTACCTCCCCAAGGCCTTCTGAGTTTAGTATTCCAAGGATTCCAAGGATTGCTGAGAATGATAATGAGCTCAGGCTCTGTCATGGAGAAGGAATCAAAGTATTGGATCTGGGCATGGTGTCATGTGCCTATACTCCCAGCTACTCAGGAGGCTGAGGCAAGAGGATCACTTGAGCCCAGGAGTTTGAGATTGCAGTGAGCTATGATTGCACCACTGAACTCCAGCATGGACAACAAGACCTAAAGTCAAAGCTATTTTTTTTAATTTAAAAAAAAAGGAATAAAGGGATTAGTAAGGTTTTGTGATGGGGCAAGATTCAGAGACAAGTAAAAATTTTGGGTAAGGATTAGAAATACGGTTCAGGGATGGCATAAGGGGTTAGAATGTCTCTTGCACAGAATACTTGGTCCAGATGATTGTATTTTAAAAGGTATGTTAAAATAACTTTGTACTGTGGCAGACATCAGTGGGTCATTTGGCATCAGTGTTAAAGTACCCTTGCCAAGAGAAGATGGCACAGTCAAAGCAGACCTACCATGAATAATTTTAATGGCCTTTGCATCATCAGTGGAAAGTAATTGAATGATCATTGCCAATTTCAGGTAGCACTACATATCTTTTATTAACAAAATTTTTCTTTATTGAGACAAATCCTGTAAGTGAAAAGACCTGAGGTTGCCCAGCAGGATTCATTTCCAAGTTTCTTTGGCCTGAGTTCATATCAAGAAATACCTCCTGGGGGTGATGAAATAATCTGCACACCAAACCCCTGCAACATCCAATTTGCTTATATAACAAATCTGCACATATATCCCTGGACCTAAATTAAAATAATAAATAAATTCAAAAGTTTCAAAAAAAAAAAAAAAAGAAATACCACCCTAAAATGCTGGCTTTTGAGCCACAGGCTTCTCCAACTAAGGATTATGGGATTGTGATTTTAAATGACTGATAAAATGAAGATATAGTCCCAAATGAACAGAACGTGGGGCCAATGAGGATGAATATTTATGAAGGAAAAAATTAACCATTGAACCTTAAAAGTGGGAGGAATCTTGTATGTCATTTGGAACAATTTTCTAGTACCGTAACTTCCTCATCAAGTGATTGCCTGCCCTCTCTGACCACTGAGAACAGTGGGCAACTTACTACTCTTACGGCCATTGTAGGGAGCCAGGTCTGTGGTCTGTTTTGGGGCAGCTTTAATTTATATTGTGAGATTGAGCTGAACTCTGCTTCTCTGTTAATTCCATTCCTTTGCCTCAGTTTTGCTCTTTGGGACAACACAGAAGACTTCTATGCTATTTCCATTGACGGCTCACAAAATATTTGAAGATATCAGACACGTGCCCACTTGTATCTTTTTTCCAAACTAATTGTGGGTTTTCTCAACATTGATCTATGACAGAGTTTCTGACCTTTCTCCTCTGGCTGAGCATACTGTAGATTTTAATGTGTCTTTTTATGGCAGTGCAAAACTGAAACTAAATCTACATGTGGTTGGACAAGCTCACAGTGCTACGAGTGGCATGTTAAAATTCTGTTAATGTAGCCTAAGATTGCATTAGAATTTTAGTATCTAAATTATACTATGAGATTATGCACAATGAGCTTGCAATTAGATGAATTAAAACTCCAGATTTTGTTCAAATAAACTGTCAAATTACCCTTCTGCTATCATGTATGCTTTCTTTGGAGGATATGAAATGAGAGCTTCACATTTATCTCTTTTTCATCTTGTTTTGGTATGTAGACTAGCTTTGTAAGATTAAAAGAAGAGTAAGTTGCTTTTTTTTAAAAAAAAAAAACTGCTCATTGTAAAAAATTCAAATAATAAAAGTATTAAGAATATATATTTATATATATATACCCATTATATATACCCATAATTTTACTACCTAGGAGTGATTACATTAAAAAGTTAACATACTGAGTAATTTTTATAATAATATCAAAGTAAACAAACATCATTTATAATAGTAACTTTATAGTTGCATTTGATAATTTATGTTTTGCAATTCTTAGTATAGAAAGAAATCCGGGCTGGGCACGGTGACTCACGCCTGTAATCTCAGTACTTTGGGAGGCCGAGACGGGTGGATCACCTGAGGTCAGGAGTTTGAGGCCAGCCTGGCCAACATGATGAAACCCTGTCTCTACAGAAAATACAAAAATTAGCTGGGCATGGTGGTGGGTGCCTGTAATCCCAGCTACTCGGGAGGCTGATGCAGGAGAATCACTTGAACCCGGGAGGCGGAGGTTGTGGTGAGCCAAGATCACGCCACTGCACTCCAGCCTGGGTGACAGAGTGAGACTCCATCTCAAAAAAAAAAAGGAAAGAAAGAAAGAAAGAAAGAAATCCATGACATAATACATGAAAAATGCAAGTTGCCAAACTGTAGAATCCCACCCTTGTAAAAGACAAGAATAATCCATGCACACTGACATTATTATGTGGTACTCTATTGTACATGTGAAGTACAATTTAATGAGCAAGTAATTTGTTTCCAAATTACACTCTTACAAGTAGAACCATCATATATGGTCTTGTTGCACTTGCACAATGATCTCCTTTGTATAAATGTTTAGAAGTATTGCTACCACAACTTATAAAAACATTCTTGAGTGTGTCATCTGTTATAGCTCTCCAAGTTTTGCATTCTCTGTAAATGTGATAAGTACACCTCTTTTCCAAATCCAAGTAATTGATAAAAATGTCAAACACAAAACTCAAATCGAGTGTTAACCTTTTCTACAAAGCCTTTGGCAATGGCTTCCCTTCTCCCACCTAGAATTAATTGCTCTTTTCTTAGTGTCCCCAGTGAACCCCATTCAGATTTGTATAGCAAAACATCTATAATACTCTATCATTCTTGTTTTCTTTTAATGTGCTTTCCCATGGAATCTATTAGATGGCAAAGAACGGTACTTCCAAGTTTCACTTAGCTGCTGCCACCCCACACAGTTTCTCGCACATAGTAGGTCATAATTATGATTGAAGTGAATGAATGAATAAGTGAATGATTGCAGAGTTCTATACAGAATCAAGGACAAATTCCCACAGCATGCCATGAAATGTTCATTTTTAGGCTGATTTAAACCTGATCATCTCAGAACTTTGGTTGCAGTTAAGTCATTGGTTCATTCACTTTGTCATTTATCCACCTATTTATTCTATACAGGAGTCATTTCTTTATTTGTTTCTTTGTAAAATTTATTGAGTACTTAAAATGCTGCAAAGTCACTGAGGTAAAGGCTATGGGGAAAGACAAAGGCCACGATGGAGGTATAGAAAAAATGCTTTCAGGATTCAGAGAAGCAAAATCATTTCCATAGCTCAGAGAGGATGATGGTGGTGGGAGTTAACATGGATGAGTGAAGGGGGTAGTAGTGGGCAAACGTTTTCCTTCTTTAATTTTAATTGGATCAATTAAATAAATAAATTTGATTTGGGCCTTGAGGCAGAAATAGATGGATATGCAAAGATGGCGGAAGGACATTATAATTACATGTGCAAAAGTGATAAGAGGATAAAGAAAGCACAGAGCAATGGGATAAAAACATAAGAAAAATAAAACCACTAGCATTCCAATATGTATTCAACAGCAAGCTAACAATATAACAGGAGAAAAGCGATAGCAAAAAAATGAGACAACATTCTGAAGAATTTCACATAAAAGAAGATTCGAATACCTGTAAAGATATGTGTCATGTAAAGAAACTTGCCTTATACTTCGACAGGAAGATTCATTGTAAAGACATTTATTCTCCCTAAATTAATTATTAATTTTAAAATGTAATGCAATCTTGGCTGGATGCGGTGACTAACACTTGTAATCCCAGCACTTTGGGAGGCCAAGGCGGGCTGATCACTTGAGGCCAGGAGTTCGTGCCCAGCCTGGCCAACATGGTAAAACCCCGTCTCTATTAAAAATACAAAAATTAGCTGGGCGTGATGGCGCACGCCTGCAGTCCCAGCTACTCGGGAGGCTGAGGCAGGAGAATCGCTTGAACCGGGGAAGCGGAAGTTGCAGTGAGCTGAGATTGAGCCACTGCACTCCAGCCTGGGTGACAGAACAAGACTCCATCTAAAAACAACAAAAACAACAAAAAAAAAAAAAAGAAAGAAAGTAAGTAAGTAATGTAATCCAATCCCAATCAAAATAACAATAGGAATTTGAAGGGGTGCAGGGCTTGACAGAAACACACTGAAATTCATCCAAGAAAATAAATGTGTCAGACAGCAATTCCCAGACTTTGCTGCATGTTCTAATCAGTAGGGGAACTTCTGAAATCGCATTGATTTCACTGGGTCACATTGAGAAGCATCCCAGGTGACACTGAGAGTATGCAAAACATTTCCGAAAAAAGAAAGATAATAAGGGGATTAGCTCTACCACCTACCAAAATATACTCTAAAACTATAGCAATTGAAACAATTTGGCACTGACATGGGAGATACAATAGACAGTGAGGTGAAATAGAGCCCAGAAATAGATCAATATACATGGAAATGTAAGATAGAAGTTAAAGTGGTCAAAAAATCTGGTGCAACTGGCTAACCATTTCAGAGAAAATTGAATCTCTTCCTTATCAGTTCTGAATGACTCTCCTCTCCCTACCTCTCCTCCTGTCCTCTGTGATCCAGCTTCCGTGCAACAGCCAGAGTAATCTTAAAATCCATGATCAGATCCTGCCTCTTGTAAACTGTTCAATGGCTTCTACTCACTTAGAAGGAAATCCCAACCCTTGATGGTGACTTCCAAGCCCGGCTCTAATTGGTCTAGGCCCTCTCTTCAGCCTCCTTTCTGCTTCTCTCCCTTTGGCTTCTTCTGCACCGATACACTATTCTGTGAGTCCCAGAACACCCCACGCCCTTTCCACGGCAGGGCTTCTGCGTTCTCCTTGCCCCTCCTGATCCTTATAAAACTAGCTTCCTCTTGCATTCAGGTCTCAGATTCAACGTCACCTTCACCGAGCGGCCTTTCCTGACCTATTTAAGACATTCTCCATCCACTACTCATAATTCTCCATCACTGCATCCATCTGGACACCCCACTTACTTCTTTACTAGCTCTTACCATAATCGATGATTATGATGAATATCTGTTTTTTTTTTCTCCAACTCTCTTAAGCTACATAAGAGAGGACCTTGTTAATATTGTCACTCCTATAGTCTCAGGATCTAGCACATAGTAGGTGCTCAATAAATATTTGTTACACGAGAGCTTTGTGTGAGGTAGAAGCTGAGCCTGAGGTCTAAGAGAGAAATTGTTCTTGTTCCACCAGTGGAACCCCGCAACTGCTTTGCATGACTGTAGTGGTACTCTGGGAGAGAGTTTTAAATCTCAGTCAAGGTGGGTTCCTTCCCCTCTTTAGGAGCTGTATCCCTAGGGTTAGAGTCAGAGTCCTAAGCTAAACTGTTTGCTGAAGCTCTGATGCCCAAACTGGGCATCAAATCCTTCTTAATCACTTTGTGCAGTATAAAGGCCATTCTCCTTGATGGGGGAAACATGGAAACAAAATAATAATAGGTTAGCAGCACAATTCTGATTTTTCTCTGTGACGTGAATAGAATCAGTTAAGATTGTCATAAAATGTTAATGCTAGAAAAATGCCTTGAATGTCATCTCCCAATGATTATAAAACAGTGCAGCCCTTTCATTTGACAGATGAAGTAAATCAGGCCCAGGCAGGTTCAGTGGTCTGCTCAGGCACACGGTGAATAGTGGCAATGAAGTCTGTATCTTACCCACATCTTGATGTGCAGTTGAGCACCTATGCTATAACAATATTCTCTTTGTTACATCTAAGAAAAATCATTTAAAACCACAGCTCATTTTGAAAACTTCATTATTATTCAGTAACTTTATACATCTTCTGCAAGCAGTATACCTAACTCTTTCTTATTCACTTGATTTTAGAAGCTTTAAAAATAATTAATTAATTTGGGGAATGGGCCTAAAGACCCCAAATGAGGACTGTCTACAGAATACAGAGATGGGAAGATGGAGCCACAAGGTGACAGACTTGGGCCTGACTGGTCTTCTCTCTTGCTGTTGTGAAAGAATCTATCCTGGTGTTAGAAAACACCCAAAACAGGCCACCCTGTGAGGAAGCCTCTAAGGATCTGAGCTGATCAAGGGCCTCTTACCAATGTCAAGTCAGCAGTAACAGCAGAAAACCTGGGCTGTTTGAATGGGATAAAATGGTCTTGGCTCATCACCTAGACACTTCTCCCTCCTTGCACTCCTTCTAACCAAAAAGATAATCCAAGAAGAGTTATCTATTTGTTGTAGTATCCAGAGCAAGATGATCTTTGAACTTTACCCTCTTTATGTTGTGGTTATTTTTGATGGAGGGAATATAAGTGCATGCCAACTCCACAGGCATTGCACAACAAAATAATATGAGCCACTGGAAATGCCAATGAGCACCTGCTTGCCAAGGTCTTATGTCAGACTTTTTTTTTTTTTTTTTGAGATGGAATCTCACTCTGTCGCCCAGGCTGGAGTACAGTGGCACGGTCTCAGCTCACTGCAACCTCCGCCTCCAAAGTTCAAGCTATTCTTGTGCCTCAGCCTCCCAAGTAGCTGGGATTACAGTTGCGTGCCACCACACCTAGCTAATTTTTTTTTTTTTTTTTTGTATTTTTAGTAGAGGCGGGGGTTTCACCATGTTGGCCAGGCTGGTCTTGAACTCCTGACCTCAGGTGATCCGCCTGCCTCAGCCTCCCAAAGTGCTGGGATTACACGCATGAGCCACTGTGACCAGCCGTGTCGGACTTTTACGATTGAGTAACAGTCTTTAAAAAAAGTTTATTAAGATACTGTGGCCTTAAGAAAACCAGAGCAGATATCACTATTTAAAAAATAATAATGTTATCTCAGTTTACTGTGATACTTGGGATCACTGCTAGTTTAATTGTTTGTTTGTTTTTGAGACAGGGTAGCCCAGGTTGGAGTGCAGTGGCGCAACCGTGGCTCACTGTAGCCTCAACCTCCTGGGCTTAATCGATTCTTCTACCTCAGCCTCCCGAGTAGCTGGGACTGCAGGTGCATGTCACCATACCCGCCTAATTTTTAAAATATTTTTTGTAGAGGCAGGGTCTCACCATGTTGCCCAGGCTGGTCTCAAGCTTCTGGGCTCAAGCAAGCCTCCCTCCTTGGCCTCCCAAAGTGCTGGGATTACAGGCATGAACCACGGCGCCCGGCCTTAGTTTAATTGTTAAAGTCTACTCTACATTATGAGCAATTATTCTGACTTGGCTAGGATCAGTGTGGCCATCTTATCTCTGTCTTCAATACTAGGCAATGCTTTAATCAAAAGACCTCAAAGCACTTTGAATAGAATATAATTAAACCTTCGGTTCCTGTGGAAGAGTTCTGTTTTGAATTGCCAAAGTATGCAAATTCATCTTTAATCATCATATAATTACATTTTAGGATCTTGCCAGAAAATGTAACCTTGAACTTACTGTACCCTGTTCTTATCGAAGCCCAGTTATGAAAAATGATACCTATGGGATGATTTCCAGAAAGATATACAGCCTGCCCCTTCCTACTTTTTCTCAATTTTGTCTGGAACCAAGCCAGACCATTAGAGGATCATATACTAGATTGCAATGTTTTTAACTGTCTTAGGATTGTTTTTTTATAATGCCTTTATTGAGACATAAACATATCACTCATTTGAAGTGTGCAATTGAATGGTATTAAGAATATTCACAGAGTTGTGCAAATGTCACCACAATTTTAGAAAAATTTTATCATTTCTAAAAAAAAAAAATCTGTGCCCTTTAATTATTACCTTTTCCCTAGTCTTTCTACTCCTCCCCCTGCCCCCAATCCTAAACAACCACTCATCTACTTTCAGTCTCTATAGGTTTGCCTATTCTGGAAACTATATAAATGGGATCATATTATATGCCATCTTTTGTGACTGGCTTCTTTCACTTTTTCATTGTTTAACATAATATTTTCAAAGTTCATCTGTGTTGTGGCATGTATCAGTACTTCATTCCATCTTTTTTTTTTTTTTAATTTAAAAGACAGGTTCTTTCTACGTTGCCCAAGCTGGAGTGCAGTGGCCATTCAACAGGTGGGATCATAGCACACCGCAGCCTCAAATTCCTGGGCTCCAGCGATCCTCCCATCTCAGCCTCCCAAGTAGCTGGGGCTATAGGCATGTGCCACCACACCCAGCTATTCCTTCTTATAGCCAAATAATATTCCATTGTATGGATCATTTTTTTTCTTTTCTTTTCTTTTTTTTCTGAGATGGAGTCTCACTCTGTTGCCCAGACGAGTGCAGTGGCACAATCTTGGCTCACTGCAACCTTCACCTCCTGGTTCAAGCAATTCTCCTGCCTCAGCCTCCCAAGTAAGTAACTGGGATTACAGGCACACCACCACACTCGGCTAATTTTGTATTTTTAGTAGAGATGGGGTTTCACCATGTTGGTCAGGCTGTTCTCAAACTCCTGACCTCAGGTGATCCACCCGCCACAGCCTCCCAAAGTGTTGGAATTACAGGCGTGAGCCACCGTGCCAGGCCCATTATATGGATCTTGCACATATTGTTTATTCATTCATCAGTTGATGGGCATTTGGGTTGTCTCCACCTTTGGGACATTATGAATAATGTGGCTATGAACATTCATATGCAGGTTTTGGGGTGGACATATGTCTTCATTTCTCTTGAATGTATACCTAGGACTGGAATTGCTGAATCAAATGGTACTTTCATGTTTAAATTTTTAAGGGACTGTCAGACTGTTTTCCACAGTGGTGTGTGAGGGTTCTGATTTCTCCAATCCTCTTGAACATTTGTCATTATCTGACTTTATTACAGCCATCCTACTCAGAGTGATGTGGTGTCTTGTGGTTTCGGCTTGCATTTCCCTGATGACTAATGAAGTGGAGCATCTTTCCATGTACCTATAGGGTCATTTGTATATTTTCTTAGGAGAATTGTCTATTCAGATCATTTGCCCATATTAGTTAAATTGAATTATTTGTCTTTTTCTTATTTAAGAGTTTTTTTAATATATTTTAAAAGAAGTCCCTTATCAGATCTATGATTTGCAAATATATTCTCCCATTCTGTGGGTTGTGTTTTTACTGTCTTTCTTTCTTTCTTTTTTCTTTTTTTTTTTGAGACGGGGACTGGTTCTGTCACCCACGCTAGAGTGCAGTGATGTGATCTCGGCTCACTGCAACCTCCGCCTCTTGGGCTCAAGCGATCCTCCCACCCCAGCCTCCCAAGCAGCTGGGACTACAGGCTCATGCCACCACACCTGGCTAATTTTTGTATTTTTTGTAGAGGCAGATTTCACCATATTGCCCAGGCTGGTCTTAAACTCCCAAGTTCAAGTGATCTGCCTGCCTTGGCCTCTCAAAGTGTTAGGATTACAGGTGTGAGCCACCATACCTGGCCCTGTTGTTACTTTCTTGATAGTGTTCTTTAAAGCACAAAAGCTTTTAATGTTGTTGAAGTTAAATTTATTTTTTATTGTTGATGTTTGTGCTTTTGGTGTCATGTCTAAGGGTCCATTGCCAAATCCAAGATCACAAAGATTTACCCCTATATTTTCTTCTAAAAGTTTCCTAATTATTGCTTACATTTAATGTTATTGCTTACATTTAGGTCTAATCTATTTTGAGTTCATTTTTGTATATGGTGTGAGGTAAGGTTCCAACTTCATTCTTTTGCATGCAGTGATCCTAGGATTGTTTTTCTCAAAGGCCAGTTAGGCATTCCAATAAACATCTCCATAGAACACAACTTTGTATGTTTTGAAGAGATGTGGTTGACAATAGTGTTCACTACATCACAGTGTTCATTACATCTTTTATGAAGATCTGCATAAGAAATTTGCTTCCAGGAAACCAGATTTGCTCAACTATTCACTCACTCACTAAATCACTCATTCATTCCCTCACTCACTCACTCAATCAATTCATTATTTAGTACATATACTTAAAATGCTTTTTAGGGGATTCACCTGAGGGCAGGGGACTTTGTTTCCAAGAAACTTTATCCGATAAATAAAATGAACTTGACACAGATTGGATACTTTAGCAACTGAGAAGCTCAGACTCAAACATGCTGCCCATCTCTATGAATACCTTATGCCAGTGGTCCCCAACCTTTTTGACACCAGGGACTGGTTTCATGGAAGACAATTTTTCCATGGATGTGGAGGTGGCACGGATGGTTTCAGGATGAAACTGTTCACCTCAGATTATCAGGCATTAGATTCTCACAAGGAATGCACAACCTAGATCTCTCATAGGCACAGTTCACAAGAGGGTTTGTGCTCCTATGAGAATCTAATGCTGCTACTGACCTGACAGGAGGCAGAGCTCAGGCGGTGATGCTTACTCGCTTGCACTCACTCCTGTCGTGTGGCCTGGTTCCTAATAGGCCACAGACTAGCACTGGTCAGTGGCCTGGTGGTTGAGGACCCCTGCCTTATGCTTAAGGTGAACATTTTGTGTATACTACTGACTGATTTGACCTTATTTTCCTGCCGTTATATTCCTCGGATTTCCTCATGTTTTATTTTGATTCTGCTGTATCACATGCATCCCTGGAGCCACCCCAAATTGTATTTTGGAACAAAATGAGGTAGAAATAAGTAAACAAAAACTCCCAAAGTATGTTGGTATTTTTGGGCATTTCTCGAATTTCGCCTCATTCTGTGGTTCCTTATTAACATGTCCAAATTCCATACTAGAATTTATGGGCAAATAATAAGTCTCATTAACCTTTGTATTCTGTGCTGCCCCTCTCCAGCCCCTAGGTGAATTCCCTAAAAAGTACTTAAAATGTATCTACTTAATGACTGATTGAGTGAATGAGTGAGGGAACGAATGAGTGATTTTGTGAAGGAGCGAATAGTTGGAAGAATAAATTTGGCCTTACTGAAGGCAGGTGAAGCGCTTCCTCCCTGATTCCATTTTAGGAGCCACTGGGAGAAGACCAACATTCAACACAATAATTCATCCTGCCCACTGGGTAGTGTTTATAATTCCACCCATCTGAGCTTCTTCCCATTATAATAGAAAGCATTTCTCTGTGTGGTCCTCTACATCAGAATCAGCTCAGTTACTTATTAATAATGTAGATTCCTAGGCCTCACCCAGGGGAAATAGAGAAGGAATTACATTTTAACAAGGACCCCAGTAGACTCTTTTGGACCTTAAAGTTCGAGAAATATTGCCTTGAAATGATAAGATTTGGAAAGGGTATCATTTTAAGTGGTTATTGGTGCTTTATGACCTGGTGTGAATGATTTTTGCGTAGAGAAAAGGAAAAATGTGTTAGGACCCCAAAAACATCAATGCAAGAATACGCCAAAACACTGTCTTTAAAAAATGTACCTATGGTTAGTTTTGTGGGGAAATGAACACAATCTAGTTAAAATTCCATAAACATGAAGATTCAGGTGAGATGGCTTAAATTATAAATTTCATGAATTTTGTTGGCTTATGATAAGGGACACCTATACTGTAAGAAATATGACACTAAAACAATAACTTTCATAAGCAAGGTTACTTTTAGCGATCCCTGTATACATAGATTTCAGATGGCTGGTTGGCTTTGAAAAGAGAATGGAAGGGTTATTTTGGCAACTTTGTACTTTCGTACTGATCCTGAACCGTGTCTTCCTGGAGGCCATTTTGAAGTGTGAAATTGAAGAGAAATACCAGGCAGGTGGCCAAAATTTTAGAGATTGGATGGAAAGTAATTCTTTTTTCTTTTGACTGGGACAGTGAAACCTAAAGATCTCTTCTGCATTTGAAGATGTATTTTTGGCCTACTTTTACAGTACTCGTAAATAACACTTTTTAACTGGAAAACCCCCAAAACTCTCATATAGAAACCAAACCTTGTAATTTTATTCTTTCCTTATGTCAGCATGGGTCATTCATGTTTTGAAAGCAGCTTCAGCAAAATCCCCTGGTTTCAATTTTATTAAGATAACTGTTTCATTCATTCTTTTTGATAATATTCTTCTAAGCCAAACTCATTACCCCAGTTCCTCTTGTGTATCCAGAGAAATCCATTGCCTTGGGCCCCAGCTGGATAGACAACCATCTCAGAACGCAAAATACTAAAAAAAAAGTACCTGAAATAACATCTTTCAGAACCTCTGTGGTGAAACTTGCTTGAACTTTCTAAAACGCATAAGAAAAAGATTGATTAACTTAGTAAAGTTGAATTTTATTTATTTCTTTGAGACAGGAGTCTTGCTTTGTCACCCAGGCTAGAGTACAGCAGCACGATCTAGGCTCACTGCAACCTCTGCCTCCTGGGTTCAAGTGATTCTCCTGCCTCTGCCTCCCAAGTAGCTGTGATTACAGGTGTCCACCACCACCCCCAGCTAATTTTTGTATTTTTAGTACAGACGGGGTTTCACCATGTTGGCCAGGCTGGTCTCGAAATTCTGACCTCATGTGATCTGCCCGCCTCGGCCTCCAAAAATGCTGGGATTACAGGCATGAGCCACTGCACCCAGCTGAATTTTAAATAACAATAAAATAAAAACATATGTGATGTACTGAAGAAAAAAACAAAAACAACTTAAAAGTTCAATAATGAAAACGTGGTTAAATAAATTAAATTTTATCCAAATGATAAACGATTATGCAGCCATTAATTTTTCAAAGAATTTTTAGCAACTAGAAACATTGCTTATGGTAGATACAATTTTAGGAAAGAAGAGTACAGAGTGTGTGATGTCAGTTATATAAATGTATTGAGATTTGCATAATGAAAAAGATGGAAAGGAAATAGCCAAAATAGTAACGGGGATTTTCTCTAGTTGTATAATTTTCTGTGATTCTCATTATCTAAATTTCCTAATTTTTTAAACAAAATAATTGCATTAAATTATGTCATTTTATTTCTTTGGTTTTTTTTTGTTTATTATTTTTAGATTTGTGCTGGCAAAACAAGCATTGTAAGTAAATTTTAAAGTCCGAGCTAGGAACATTAAATTATAGTATCTTTCCATTGTGATTTCCTGTTATAGCACTGATTCCCAATCTCTTGGCTGTCACCCTAATTTAGAAATTTTCCCACCTTAGTGTACAGAAGCTCACCTGGTATGCCCTGCCTCCACCCCGGGTTCCAGATTTGCTAAAGAAAGTCTGAGCACAGGCCCAGGAACCTGCATTTTTAACAGGCATATCTGGTGATCTGATGCAGGTGGTAAGTGGCCCACTTAACAGGCACTACTCTAAAATCTCCTAACCTCATCCCCTCATTTTCGTTTTCTCTCTTCTTATTGTGCCAATCAAATTCTCCTGGAGTAGGGAATAACTTTATACCAGCCTCTTATATCCATCTGGTAGTGGTATTAGAAATTCCTGATGGGAATATGGATCATGGCAGCCATGTGAGGAAGTCATGTGTCAGGGGATCAATTTTCCTGTCTATCCTCTTTATCCAACCTATAAACCCTTTCCATCAGTCTCACTCCATTTATGAAAAAGGTTCCTCTTTGAAAATTGTGTTTAAGGATTCCTTTTTAATCATTGAGCCACTGGTTGAAAGGCTGTAAGTAAGTTATGTAGTCTTGCTAACCCTAAATTTCCTCACCTAAAAAAGGAGAATACTGTAATATCACCTTGTATAGAGGTAGTAAGGATTAGAAATAATATAAGTAAAATACTACCACAAAGCGAGACTCAATCAAAGACAATATTATCATTATTTACAGGGATACAGTTTATTGAGAAGCAAAACAAATCAACCCAATTTATAGTGTAATGTTATTTTCTTGAGCCCACCTGAAAAAAAAGAGTGTCTGAATGTGCAAATAAGAATTACTCTGAGTATTAGACTTCCCATATCAAAAAACTTATAATTGTCACTTTATTTTTCAAAAATAAATGAGCTCTGTTGAGCTAAATCAAAATATATTTAAGAAATAATGTTCATGGCGGTGGAGTATAAAACATAATGGACAGCTTTTGCGGGTGATTAAACATCCAAGTGATGCTGAGACACATTGGATAACCACAAATGTAATGACTGTGAGTACCTGCCAATGCCAAAATCATTATTATTAATACATGACAAGGAAGAGCCAACAAACCACAACAGGAGAGGGGGAAAATAGTGTTTTTTTATCTCTATTACTGTAAGATATGGTTATGGTCCTACAGTCGCGCACATACACACCCACACACAAACACACACTCAAGTTACCTGTTACTTCAGCTGGATTCTGAAGGACATCTAAGTGTTTCATTGTCATGTTGGGTCATCATTTTGCTAAGTAAATTTGATTAATCGTATCATTGATACGATGGGTCTTTACAACAGAAGACTACTTTACCTAATCTGTCCAATATGGTCAACAGAATATGAAAGGCCTAATACCAATGTATATTTGAAAAGACAGATGTGAAAGACCTGGTACCAAAAATATACTCGAAAAGGTAAGGGAAGAGAAATTGACCAATTTAGGGGGAGACAAAAGCAGAAGGTGAAAGAAAGAATCAAAAAAAGAAAATGAATGAAAACATACTACTAATTAAATACAAAATCAATACTAATTAGAACTATAGTATGCATTCATTCAACAAACATCTACAGAATCTCTACTGCATGCCTGGTGATGTAAGAGTCTGAGAGATGAGGCTGCTAGAGCCCCTGCCCTACATTGGTTGTTGAGTTGGGGAGATAGGGTATATGACACCTAGTAGATGAGTTACTGGGAAGCTTTCATTTGTTCAGTCAACAATCATTTAACACCTCTGATAAGCCGGGCTTTATGCTAAGCAGTGATGCATATACAAAATGATGATGAGAATACAACAATTATTTGAGTTCAGAAGAGATAGAGCACTTATGGGATTAGATGTTGGATAACAATATTAGGATAAATAGATATGAGTGAATATTATAATGATGTTATTCAATAGTGACTCAAGCAAATACTGTATCTCTTGTGCAAATGCATTAAGTTAGATGCTTAATAAGTGTTAACTGGGGGCAGATAAATTTTATTTATTTATTTTTTTACTTGATTTTTCTGCTTTTTTTTTTTAATATACTTTAAGTTCTAGGGTACATGTGCACAACGTGCAGGCTCATTACACAGATATACACGTGCCATGCTGGCTCGCTGCACCCATCAACCCGTCATTTACATTAGGTATTACTCCCAATGCTATCCCTCCCCCTGCCCCCCACCCCACGACAGGCCCAGTGTGTGATGTCCCCCACCTTGTGTCCAAGTGTTCTCATTATTCAATTCCCACCTATGAGTGAGAACATGTGGTGTTTGGTTTTCTGTCCTTGTGATAGTGTGCTCAGAATGATGGTTTCCAGCTGCATCCATGTCCCTGCAAAGGACATGAACTCAGGGGGCAGATAAATTTTATTAAAAAACAAAAAGGGAAACATACTTTCTACCTCTTGGTGGTCGTCTTTGTAGTTGCCAACAGGCTAGACTTTTATTTGTTTTGTATTACAAGTGTCCAAATGTGTAATTCTTTCTAATTTATTGATCTACCTTGAATACTATGATGTACCTTGAATACCATCAAATAAGGTCAGTTTAGTTGGCAGGGCATGTCTTCAGAGGAGGGCAAACAGTCTCAGCAGTCTATAAATGCAAATGTACCAATCTGGGGCTTTCTTAGAGAACTAACTGGAGCATTAAATCAGGGAAATAGACAACTAAACTTAAATTTCACATTCAGGCGAGACACACATTCTGAAGTCCTACTTGCTTAAAAGAAAAATTTATAAATGACAATGTTGTTTATAAATATATCAATATCCATACATTTTAAAATATATTCACTCACAGGGCTAAGAAAGTTCTGTATGTTTTATATGTTCTTCATAATCAATAGCCTGTAAGATTTGTATTCAGATTTTAACCCTCACTTACTAAGGACTTAAGAAATAGTAGGGCTTTTGGCTGGATGTGGTGGCTCATGCCTATAATCCCAGCACTTTTGGAGGCCCAGGCGGGCAGATCACCTGAGGTCAGGAGTTCAAGACCAGCCTGGTTTTTAGTGAAACCCTGTCTCTACTAAAAATACAAAAATGAGCCGGGTGTGGTGGTGGGTGCCTGTAGTCCTAGCTACTCAGGAGGCTGAGGCAGGAGAATCACTTGATCCCAGGAGGCAGAGGTTGCAGTGAACTGAGATAGTGCCACTGCACTCCAACCTGGGCGACAGAGGAGACTCTGTCTGAAAAAAAAAAAAATAGTAGGGCTTTTTATCAATACAGTTCAACACACCCTTATTGAGTGTTTTGGAGCAAAAATTACTAAGAGTCCTTAACCTCTAACAGTTCACGATCTAATGGGAAAAAGTCACCCCTTTTTTAGACTATTTCACTTCTCTCCTTTTCCAGGTTAAAGGACACAGTCCTTGTTTCAAGAGCATCTACAGAGATTTCCAAACTCCCTTGCTCCTCCCTGCCCTCCTGCTACTTAGGACGGCTGTCTCTCCTCCCCTCACCACAGGTCCCATTCTCCCCTTCTTTCTTAGGAATGTTTTGCTCTCTCCATGCTTATCCCTTTTCTCTCTGGGAATTTCAATTCACTCTCTCAAAAGAGATTGAAACGTGCTCAGGATTATCTCATCTAAATAAAAACAAACAGCAAAAACCTCCCTAAGACCCTATATCCTTCTTCACCCTTATCGCTCTCTTCCTTTTTACAGTCAAGTTTCTAAAGCATTATGTGTACTTCCTGTGTATTTCCTTACTTCCCACTGGCTCCTCAACTCACTTTAATACAGCTTCCACCCCTTCCCCCCAAGACAGCTCCTACTATCAATTATCTCCCAAATGCCATGGGTACATTTGAGGCCATATCTCTGTCCACCTCCTTGAAATGCTTGGTTTCAGTGATACCGAGATCTCATGTTCTTCCCACGTAGTGACTGCCATGCTGGAGCAGCCTGGCAATAGTGGTCCTTCAATGTCATCCTCGGAAGAAACGAGAGGTGGCTACCATCTCCCCACTCTTCCTCTGCAGATGCTCTTCTACCCTAAAGCCCAGAGTCCAGGCTGTCCTTGAAGCAGAGCCTCTCCCCAGATGAAATGACTGGGGTTTTTTGTTTTGTTTTGCTTTGTTTTTTTGAGATAGGGTTTCACTCTGTCGCCCAGGCTGGAGAGCAGTGGCGCAATCAGGGCTCACTGCACCCTGATTGTTTCTATTTACAGAATTTTTATAGAGGAAACATGGTCAGGCTCCAGAAGATGGGGAAATTAAAAAAAAAAAAGAAAAAAGAAAAAGATGGGAGCAGAGGGAAGAGAGGTTTTCGGGCTGGGAATTGGACCAGGAAATCTTCCTTGCCTTTCCTCCTCTCCATTCTTGCCCCTACATCTTAAGGTGGCTCCCATCTACCTATTTACATAAGAAAAGGAAAAGGTGCTGAACTTCACTGTGACTTGGAAATGGGGATTAAAAGGTACATTGGAAGGGTTTTGGACAGGATAGAACTGTGGTGTAAATGCTTTATAAATCAACACATCATTGATCAGTTAAAAAATTTTAGAGCGTGTAACCATCTAGATTTGCCTCAAGACATAAATGACCCGGATTTCAGAGTTTTAGGAACATGAGATAATGTTGGAAAGTTTTTCTCTGTAAAAAAACAGTGTGATATACTGGAATACCAGAATTCAGAAAGCTGGAGTTGAAGTCAGGTCTCTACCTTTTTGGCCCCTCCTCAGCCTCATTCTTCCTTCCCCAAACTTTAAAGGCTAGAATTTCCCATGACTAGTCCCAAACACTGTACTTCTCTCACACCCAACCTCTCCTGAGGCCGTCTGTCTTAGCTGTGACCATAGCCTGGTGACACTCACATTTTTTTCCTTTTCTTTTCTTTTCTTTTTTTTTTTTTTACAGAAACAGTCTCACTATATTGCCCAGGCTGGTCTCAAACTCCTAGGCTCAAGCGATCCTCCCACCTCGGCCTCCCAAAGTGTTGGAATTACAGGCCTTAATTTTATCTCCAGGCCTGATCACTCACTTGAGCACCAGACACAAATGTCCAGCTGCCAGCTCGGCATCTCCACTTGCTTATCTCAGGCCACACATGGTTTTTCAGGGTTCCCTCTGTCAGGAATGACAATGCCATCCACCCAGTTCTGTGAACCAGAACATTTCCCCCAGTCCTGATGACTTTTCCTCCTGAACATAAGCTGGGTTTGTAAGCTTCTCCGCATCTTCACCATCCCCCCAGCTCACACCTCCATGGTTGTGCCACCAGGCCGCTCCAGTAGCATCCCAACAAGCTTCCTGCATCCAGGCAGGCCCTTCTCCAGTGTATTCTTCTCAAGTAACAGTAATGATCTTTATAAAACTCAAGCCACATTATATTGTATCAGCTGTTACTTAACGCTCTCTAAGAGATTCCCACTGCTCTTAGGGCAAATACTCAAATCCTGAACATGGTCTACTAAACCCTATCCAGCCTGACGCCCGTGTACCTTCCAGTCTCATCTTGCACAGTCCTTGCTTTCAGCTCTGGCCTTATTAAATGTCTTTTAGTTTCTTCAGTACATGACACTTCCTTCAGCCACAGGGCCTCTGCGCATGGTGTTTCCTCTCCCCAGAATACCCAGTCCCCACTAATGAACACTTACACTTTTCACCTTTCCACCTAGATATCATTTTCCTAATGCCCTAGGGCCTGCCTGCACTAGGTACGGTTCCCCTGGGGCATTCTCTGTCTTTTTTTTTTTTTTGAGATGGGGTCTTGCTCTGTCGCCTAGGTTGGAGTGCAGTGGTGCAATCTCGGCTCACTGCAGCCTCTGCTTCCTGGGTTCCAGTGATTCTCCTGCCTCAGCCTCTGGGTAGCTGGGATTACAGGCATGCGCCACCACGCCCAGCTAATTTTTGTATTTTTAGTAGAGACGGGCCAGGCTGGTCTCAAACTCCTGACAGGTGATCCGCCCACCTCGGCCTCCCAAAGTGCTGGTATTACAGGTGTGAGCCACGGCACCCGGCCTCCCTGGTGCATTCTCTTATACTGCCATGCATATCTTTCCTTTATAGATGTATCCAATGTAAACCCAGTTGGATCTAGTTTTAATTGTATGCTTCTTATGACTTACTTTATTTTGTGATTTACTAGTCTACAAACTCCATGAAAACAGGAATAAGGTCCGGTGCTGTTCACCCTGGTATTCCCAGTACCTATAACATTACCTAGCACATTTTTAGGCACTCCATTGAAGATTAACCACCAAAGTACATTAATTTGAATAACCATAAGTTATCTCACGATGACTTTAAATTTTAAGTCATATAGTTCCCCTTTCCCCTTTCATTTTTTCTCAAATCTTTCTTAAGCCTCTCCTACATTTTCTCACTCCCTTAACCTCTTTTAAACCTTCTCACCTTTGCCTCCTGTCCTCTGTTATCAGAGACCTTATTTGATAACATTTATTTTTGTTTATTTATTTATTTATTTTTCTCATTCTGTTGCCCAGGCTGGAGTGCAGTGGCACGATCTCAGCTCACTGCACCTCTGCCTCCCGGGTTCAAGCGATTCTACTGCCTTAGCCTCCCAGGTAGCTGGGATTACAGGTACCCGCCACTATGCCCAGCTAATTTTTGTATTTTTAGTAGAGACGGGGTTTTGCCATGTTGGCCAGGCTGGTCTCAAACTCCTGACCTCAGGTAATCCACCCGCCTCGGCCTCCCAAAGTGCTGGGATTACAGGTGTGAGCCACCATGCCCAGCCGATAACATTTAACAATATAAAGTTGATATAAGTTGTTCCCTGAGTATTCTTGAGCCTGTGGAAAAATAAAAAATCAAAGTTTTTACTTTCTTCCTTGTGTTTTTCCCTCCAACCCTTTGGCACTGGCTATTAGATTACCCATGAACAGTAGCCAGGGATGACTATGGGCCTGTAGGACTGTCACAGTAGACAGTCTCCTTCTAGGTATTGTTAAATACCTTTTAGAAGTTGGGTCTGGAAGATGATGGTGTCTCAGTTGTGACCTTGTGTCCAAAATACCTCGTCAACCAGCTTTCCATCCAGGGGGTCTAGCATGTGCCCTCTTAGCCTCCTGTACAGCTCCTTGGAAGTACTCCCCAAATTATAATTACTCACTTTGCAATTACATAGTTGTTTAATATCTGTTTCTCCCAGAATTAATCCCCACAGCTGGTTGTTGGCTGTGTCCACACTGCCTGGCACAAAGTAGAAGCTCAATAAATAACATTGAATGAATAAATATAATTAACCAAAGTAAAGATTTGGCAGACTTTCCCACTTGGTTATGCTTTTCTCTGGACAGCTAAATACTCTCATTAAAGGCTATCATTGCTGTACATTAAATACTATCATAAATATCAGTTATACTAACACTAGTAATTACACTGAAATTAAAACTATATAATTTAGAGCAACATTTAGAGAAATGCAAAAATGAGGGTACAGTTACTTTTCACATAAATCCTTACTCATTTGATAGCTACTTATCTTTTTCATGTTTTTTCCCTCAGGCTGAAGTAGAAAGTGTCATATTTAAGGTCTTTTCCATGTCTAGAAACTCAAATGGTTTCAAGAGCTATCATAAGCATCTTCCTTGAGATTCAAATGCAACAGTGATTTGAGTATTTTCTACACACCAGGCGCAATGTTAAATATTTCCCCTGTACTATTTTATTTTCTCCTTATTATATCTCTCTAGAGTGGGGATTATCTTTTTAAACCCAACTCAACTTTTCCTTGGTATGATTTGTGTAGTGTCTTCTTAAAATTTCCAAGCAGCTTTTTTTTGAGATGGAATCTCACTCTGTTGCCCAGGCTGGAGTGCAGTGGCTTGATCTTGGCTCACTGCAACTTCCACCTCCTGGGTTCAAGAGATTCTCCTGCCTCAACCTCCCGAGTAGCTGGGATTACAGGTGTGCAACACCATGCCCAGCTAATGTTTCTATTTTTAGTAGAGATGGCGTTTCACCATGTTGGCCAGGCTGGCCTCAAACTCCTGACCTCAAGTGATCTGCCCTCCTCTGCCTCCCAAAGTGCTGGGATTACAGGCATGAGCCACCGCACCTGGCTAAGCAGCTCTTTAAAACTGCAAGTCTCCTTATTGTGTGTGTATGCAGACAATTGAGGTTTAAAAGTTTCTTTAAACACCATCTGAATTAAAAGTTAAATGTTAAAGTATAGAAAAATCAGATGTACTTATTACCTCTTTGGAAAAATGATAATTTCCTAAGCTTTGAAAAAAAAAAAAGAAATCACAAAAGAACAGATTCCAGTCAAAGACAATAAAAATATTGCTGAAATGAGGGTGTTATAAGAAAAAAAAAAACACAATAAGTATTTAAAACACAAAAACTACTAAATAAGAGGAAGTTGGGAAACATATCTCAAATATTATACAGAGAGACTCTACTTACTGCTAATAAAATCCCTCATAGATGAATCACTTGAACTTGGGAGGCGGAGGTTGCAGTGAGCCGAGACCGGGCCACTGCGCTCCAGCCTGGGAGACAGAGCAAGACTCCGTCTCAAACAAACAAACAAAAATCCCTCATAGATGCTATGTTATTCCATCATATGGGGTGAGCTATTTGACATTGGGGTGATCCGAATCCTCCACCAGGGTAGACTTCACATCTTAGTTATCTTTCTCTTCCTGACATCTTCCAAAACATCTGAACAATTGTAGACATGCACGCATGTACATACATACAGGCACACATGCACATACAGGTGCACGTGTGTGCAATGCACATAATACATCTAATAAATAACCTGGCAAAAAGTAGACTTTCAACAATTTTATTAAACTAAACTAAATTGTCTTAATCATTATTTGTTGAAATTTTATTTATTCTTTTTTTTTTGAGACAGAGTCTCACTATTGCCCCAGCTGGAGTGCAGTGATGTGATCACGGCTCACTGCAGCTTCGACTTCCCAGGCTCAATTGATTCTCCTACCTCAGCCTCTCAAGCAGCTGGGACCACAGGCACACACCACCACACCTGGCTAATTTTTGTATATTTTTGTAGAGGTGGGGTTTCGCCATGTTGCCCGAGATGCTCTCAAACTCCTGAGCTCACCTCAGTCTCCCAAAGTACTGGAATTACAGGCATGAACCCCTGTGACTGGCCTATCTTCGTTTTGAATTTTAAAGGTACAGTCAGACATTTCACATGAAATACATTAGGAATCAATGAAAACGTTATATTTTATTTGTATAGGTGTGAAAATACTCAGCTGGATCTAGGGGTATGCTTTGGTTCATCCATCCAGTCGGTATTAAAGCTGATGTAAAAAGGCTCACTGCTATCGTTTGAATGTGTCCTCCGAAGTTCGTATGTGGGAAACTTAATCCCCAATGCATCAGTGTTTGGAGGCGGAGTCTAACAACAGGTGGCTAGGTCATGAGGGCTCTGCCTCATGAATAAATTAACGCCGTTATCGCGGGAGTGGGTTTGTTATATCAGGAGTGGGCTCCTTATGAAAGCGTGAGTTTACTCCCCTCCCTTCCCTCGCCCTCTCTTTACTCTTCCACTCATCTGTCATGTGAGGAACAGTGTTCTTCCCCCGCGCCCCCGTAGGATGCAGCATTCAAGAAGCCATCTTAGAAGTGGAAGCCAGGCCCGCAGCACACACCAAACCTGCCAGCACCTTGACCCTGGACTTTCTAGCCTCCAGAACTATGAGCCAATAAATTTCTGCTCATTATTTTTAAATTACACAGAACTTCCCAAACGGTTGGGGTTTTTGTTTTTGTTTTTACTAAATTGTGATTGTTATCACTAACACAAATATTTAAGTTTACTTCTATATCTTATAGTAATAGGAATATAAATATATTAGAAAATGGTTAGAAAATAAACTCAGAAAGGATTTGGGCATATTTTATCAGTCCTATTTTGCTATAGTTCTGTACTCTCTTGCTTCTAATATAAAATGTTCAATATTCTAGAAAGGAGATAACATGCCTTCACCCACAGTGAGGCTGGAAATGTGGGACCAGGTGGGTTCTCCTTCTATTCTCATTGTCTGCCTATTTCTCAACCTTAAGCAAAATATTCGACACATATTAGTCACAGTCATGTCCTTAGTTTTTTTTCTTTAATATTTCATCAGATAGAAATCATGTGGTATCTACACCTAGCAAGGACCTTCACAATGTTTTGTCTCAACAGAGGGCTGACCCCTGAGACCTGTGCTAATTCTAAGACAGCTGAGGCCCCAGGAAGGTATTTCATCTTCTACTTCCCTTGAATCCCTTTCTGTACTCAGCACAGTACTGCAAACATAGGAGGACCGTTTGAGGCAGAACTGTTGGGGGTTTTTTGTTTGTTTGTTTGTTTGTTCATTTGTTTGAGACAGAGTCTCACTCTATGGCCCAGGCTGGAGTGCAGTCGTGCAATCTTGGCTCACTGCAACCTCGCCTCCCTGGTTCAAGCAATTCTCATGTCTCACTCTTCCAAGTGGCTGGGACTATAGGCACGAGCCACCGCGCCCAGCTAATTTTTTGTATTTTTAATAGAGAAGGGGTTTCGCTGTGTTGGCCAGGCTGGTCTCAAACTCCTGACCCCAAATGATCTGCCCGCCTTGGCCTCCCAAAGTGCTGGGATTACAGGCATGAGCCACCACGCCTGGCCAGAACTGATGTTTTTGGTTTTGGTTTTGGTTTTTTTGGAAATAGGGTCTCTCTCTGTTGCCCAGGCTGGAATGCAGTGCCATGAACATGGCTCACTGCAGCCTAGACCTAATGGGATCAAGCGATCCTCCTGCCTCAGCCTCCAAAGCAGCTGGGACTACAGGAGTATGCCACCACACCCAGCTAATTTTTTAACAAAAATTTGTAGAGACAGGGTCTCACCATTATGCCCAGGCAGGTCTTGAACTCCTGGGCTCAAGCAATCGTCCTGCCTTGACCTCTCAAAGTGCTGGGATTACAGGTGTGAGCCACTGTACCTTGCCTTACTGCTGCTTTTTACTAAAGAATGTGTGGTAAAATGTACAATATGAAGAGTAGATAGTACACTCAGAATTTACCAAAAAGGAGAAAAACAGAATAACAGTAGGCTGCATTTGAAGTATAAAATTTGGTGATCTTTAAAATTAATTTCTTTTCTTTTTTTTTTTTTTGAGATGGAGTCTTGCTCCATCATCCAGGCTGGAGTGCAGTGGCATGATCCCGGCTCACTGCAACTTCTGCCTCCCAGGTTCAAGTTATTCTCCTGCCTCAGCCTCCCGAGTAGGTGGGATTACAGGCGCCTGCCACCACACCCGGCTAATTTTTGTATTTTTAGCAGAGATAGGGTTCCACCATGTTGGTCAGACTGGTCTCAAACTCCTGACCTCAGGTAATCCACCCTCCTCGGCCTCCCAAAGTCGTGAGATTACAGGCATGAGCCACCGTGCCCGGCCTAAAATTAATTTCATAAAAGAAAAACAAACCCAATACACCACTATTTTATAGTGCCTAAAACAGCTAGCTTTAGCTCTTATTTTTAAAGTAACCAACACCAAGAAAGTCCTAATAGTTTTATACATACCTACGTCAGACAATTTTTAAAAAGTGGCGGTAATTAAATTCAATGACAATTTGGGTGGCTTCTTGTTTAAGACATGAAACTAAAAGCCAAAAGGAGCTCAAAGATGAAGTCCACTTGTCATTGCCTTGAAAAAATTAAAGTATAATAAATAATGACATGGAAATAACTAATATAGAGCAAAATTTTAGACTTATAAGTGAGAGATCAGGTGATGGAATAGAAGGGGCAGACAGGAAGATTTTATGGAGGAAATAACCTTTCAACTGGACCTTGAAGAAATAGCAAGACTTTGACAGACAAAGAGGAGGATATTCCACGCACAAGGAACTAAATAACATCCATGAAAAAAATCAATAAAGCCCATGCCTATGTTGACATTTCTGTTCTCAACTGAACAGTCACTTCAGTTACCTGAAGACTGTCTCTCTTTCTTTGAGTTGTTAATCTAAAGTTGTGCTTCTGAGCAGAGCTATTTTTATTTCCAGAAGTACCACCTACCAAACTAGAGATCAGCCACTGTCACTAAGTTATAGCCCAACTACTTCACGTGGGCCTAGCCCTAGGCAAGTTGAAGGCCTACGGAGAATTTAAGGGTGTGTAAATTCCCAATAATTAAAAAATTTAGACAATCCAATCACGCTGAAAGAGAGTGGCCTATAGTAGCAAGTGTAAAGGCTCTAGAAGAGATGATTGGGACTTGGTTATCTACTAACATTGAACCTAGTTTCAATTCATTGTCCTTTTGGAGACTTTCATCAACTATTCTTAGTGCAATAGGTTCTGTCAGTGCCTGGTACATAGTAGGTGCACAATACATATTAGGTAAGATATAGAACTTTTTTTTTACATGGCTTTCTACCCTCTTTGTAATAAAAACTATTCACATATTATATTAAAAGTAACTGCTTTGGGCCAGGTGCAGTGGCTCACACCTGTAATCTCAACACTTTGGGAGGCCGAGGTGGGTGGATCACCTGAGGTCAGGAGTTCAAGACCAGCCTTACCAACATGGTGAAACCCCGTCTCTATTAAAAATGCAAAAATTAGCCAGGCATGGTGGTACATGCCTGTAATCCCAGCTACTTGGGAGGCTGAGGCAGGAGAATCACTTGAACCTAGGAGGTGAAGGTTGCATTGAGCCAGGATCGTGCCATTGTACTCCAGCCTGGGCGACAGAGTGAGACTCTGGAAAAAAAAAAAAAGTACCTGCTTTGAACACTCAATTCTACATTTATTTATAGCCTTTTATGTCCAAAATATTGATGCTTTGTGTACCTCTTCAGTTTGCAGGATGTTTTCTCTACAATATCTTATTGGATTCTCACAACAGTCTAGTGGGATCAGTAGGACAAATACCAGTATTGCTGTTTTACAGATGGAACTACTGAGATTCATGGAGGTCAGGAGACTTGTCCAAGGTCAGAAAACCCAAACCTAGATTTAGGCTTAGACATGTCGTCAGTCCTACTTTTCACAGTGTCACAGTTTCCAGACATTAGCAGCATTCCTTATTAGTCTTGCTTAATATTTCTGGCATCAACCATATTAATGTGACATGGTTTATGTAACAACTAATTATATGTCTATCTATCTTTCTATCTATAATCTATCAAGAGAGCAATATATGTAAACAGAAATGACAAAAGCATTTGTATTTTATTTTCAAGTATAAAAACATACTTTTCATTTAAAAATCCTAATGACAAAGCATTGGTTTAAGCTTAACATTATGGTAATGTTCATGAATAGATTACAGAACAGTTAGAAAAAATTTTAGCTAAATACCTTAACATTTTTCAGAAAATGCTTCTAGATTTTGCTAGAATTGGATCAATGAGTTATTTCTGAGCATAAATGACATGCGGTGCTAATTGTATTCCTGACATAAAATGTCCTCAAGTTTTCTTTGGCCAATGGACTAAGAACAAGGAGCCTGCCTTACATTTCACAGATCTAAATAATAATTTGATGGTTAGCTCATTACAGGGAATGTGGTAGTGTAAAACAGCCATAGTACATCTATCCCGGAATTTTAGGGTTCCTATAGAATCCCTCCATGATTTGTTTATGATGTAGAGATGATTGACTCTGTCAGTTACTAATAAATGGTAAATAAAAAAGTAACCTGTGATATTAAAGTACTACATTAGCTACATTGTGATTAAATTACAGTAACACCACCAGCTATAAAGCTTTATAGAATCTTCTCAACCATGCAGTAATTCTCCTAACTATACTATTATGTAGAGCACAAATATTTCTTTGTAAGTCCAAAGCAATACATCAGGGAAGCGTTTACTGCTGAAGCTAGATTGAGAGTAAATGCATCTTGGGTTGCTATGAATAAAAGCTCTAGCTTCTCATTACTTTATGACAAGACACAGAAATTCACTTTACTTTTCATTTAAGGTTTTCGGCTTCCGTTTATAGATGTATGCCTTCACGCTTTTATTCCCTTCTTGCTTCAGCCGTACGTAATAAATGATTATAAATTTTCACATTTGACCACCTCTCTGCTAGTCTCATGCTTAATGCACAAAGTTAGGAAGCTGCAGGTAAAATTTCACAAACACTTTTATTTATGATGTTGTCCTTGGTAACGGAAATTTCAATGTACTGAAATGAAAAGTATGATTAAAGGGATACGACGTCCTGACAAGGATAGTAGAGGGCAGCCTTCTATTTCCTACTGAAAATATATAATACCTTTTTGACATCAATTTCATAGAGAATAGACATGGGTTAGTCATGGAAAAAAGACACAAACATGTTTCCAACTTCAGTTTTCTTGAATGTTTGCTCTTATAACTTATATTAGAAGTATCTCCTCTGGATTGATGAGCTTGTGAATTGAAAAAAAATTTTTTATCCCAATTAAAATGTAATATGAAGGACTGAACAGAAATTGAGGAAAAATATAATTTGGAACACATGAGTTCTTTTTCTGGAAAGCAAAAGAAGTGGAAAAGTACTAGTTTTTTCAAACCATTTTAATCATTGCAATAACTGATTTTATTATTTTAAATCTCTATGTAGTGAGAAAGAAAGAATCAAGAAAGATTGGAAAAGTTAAAAACGTTCATAAACATAGTTGTTTAGTTTCTTGTGTATTTCCCAAAAATTGCCATTAAGCAAACAAAATGCAACCCTCGTGTGCTTCCTGTTTATAAAGTTAAATATCTTTGAGTATTTGAGGCTATATGATTTCCCCTTTTCCTATCATTTAGGGTGAAAAAGAAATTAAACAATTGGTAGGACTTCCCCTAGTAAAGTCACTTCTCAAATAAAATTCTGCTGCTACAAAGTACAGTTTCTGTGCCTGGAAATTAGAATTGCTTGAGACATACTAGTTTCACCCACAAGTCTTATTCTAGTCTCCTACCAGTTAATAAAATGTGTTATCAGGAGACTTGAGTTCAAGGATCATTATAATTCCTTCAGCCTTGTACTGCCACAGCAGGGCGTGAGAGCTATTTCCTACTCAATGGAAGAAGATATAACATCTTGATTTCAAATCTCTGAAAACAAGATATTGTGGAAACTTTAAAATATATATCCTCTTGATTTCATAGCTATGGAAATAAGAAACTGGAAACTTAGTTTAAATAGCTACAGATTTAGCCAGGATGTGACCAATCTCTGGCATTGATACCTGGATTATCTTTAGGATATTCTGTGTTCCTAGCTTCAATGTCATGAATTCACTCACAATGTATCTACTGAATTTCCACGTTGTGCTGAGCACCATGCCAAGCCCAGGAAGGAGAGAAGACGCACAAAATGCATCAAGCATAGTGCATGTTGCTCAGGAGCATACAGTCTGGCAAAGGAGATAAGACTTGCACACGAATAACTAAAATTACAAATCAGCAAATAATCAGAGCCAGATGAGGAGAGAGAGAAATTCCACGAAATTATGCCGCATGGAAAAGGCCCTGCACAACTGCCATGTGCTGGTTGCTGGGAGTTTGGGTGATCTATTCGTCGGTCTCAGTTCATGGCTTGGGCAGAGGTCAGTAAAGTCAGTAGATTTGAGCGCCGCCAGTTAAGGACCAGGAGCTAAAGCCCCTGCAGTGTCCTTGGTGCCACAGAGTGATCCAGAGCACAGATAGAACAGAAAAGACAGGAAGAAAGAGGAAGAGGGACGGGTCTAGAGAACAGGAGGTAAGACAGCATCAAATGCTCAGTAATGTGCGTGTGATGACACAGGGTGAGTTGAAAAGATCCTTGAAAGACACCATGCCGGTTTTGCATCAGTGAAAATAAGAGGATTTCAAAAGCCTAGGCAGAGGGCTTGCTGTATGCCACACGTCCACAGTCAATTACATTTTTAGGAAAGTATTCTACTCATGCATAGGCTAAAAAAATGTAGTCTGTGTAGCGTTTCAACAACCTCGCAGCTTTCTTCCATAACTGTTCCTACAAATACTTTCTGACAGCTTCCATTTGTTGCTTGGCTATTGCAGAACCCTGAAAAATATATTATGTCTCATGTCAGTTATAAAAATAACACCACAAATTATAACCAAAACAAAATTACCCAGTAATTATCATTTAGATGTCCATTTTAATCCTTTTCAGAGTTACCTTTACTTTAGGAGCCAGACAATTTAACACAAGGCAAGCTGGAGGGGTTTATTTAAATCTTTCTCTTTACCATGTGCTGTGATAATATCTGAAATCTACCTTTCTGAGCACTCTGTGACTGCCTTAATCTCAAGAGCACTTCTAAATACATTGAATACTAACAGCCTTAAATTTGACGAAAATAGGCATAGTAAACATGTGGTGTCAATTATGGGAAAACCCGAACAAAGGTTAGAGGAATAAGAACAGAGCTCACATTTTCTTTTAACTTGTTAATGTCTCTGACCCTTTTGTACAAAAATCACTTTAATCAACATTATATACATTTCATTGTGGCCTTACCATTTAACAGCCTGTAAAAAATGTTTGGCTATCAATTATACACATCAAGTTGATATGCTCCAGGACTGGGGGCCATTTATGCTTGCAATTAGATCTGAGGGGACTTGAGGAGACCCACATGGTTAGCCAGCCCTCCTTTCTCCACCAGACTCAGCTTTTTTGAAGCTTGCAGAGATGAGGAAGCTTAATTAAACTTATCGGAGATCTCTTTTTCCATCCTAGAAATTGGAGAGCCATGATCATAGGTATAGAGATGTTGAAATCTAGGTCCTTCTTTCTTCTCCTCTTATACCATCCCCTCTCCCATGTACTCACATAGCCACAGTCACATACACATGCAGATTTTAGTCAAACAAATTTGTTAAAAATAGATTCTTAGACCAGCCACGGTGGCTCACACCTGTAACCTCAGTACTTTGCAGGCGGATGGTGGAGATTACTTGAGGCCAGGAGTTTGAGACCAGCCTGGGCAAATAGGTAGACCACATCTCAGAAATAAATAAAAAGCAAAAAATAAAAATAAGTAGATTCTTGACTTGCTTTGGGTCTCATCAGAAGCCAAAACAATCATCCAAGTCTAAGTATGGCCACTGATGTCTGCAGTGCTGGTGTGAGAGATTGGGTCAGTGCACACCAATTCTCCACCCATAATCACAAATCAGAGGCCACACCATGGCTTCCAGCCTCCTAATCCTGTATAAAAGTTGATGGGGTGTGCAATCTAAAATGATAAGAAAAGATTCTCAATTAAGCGGTCTTGAACTGGTGCAGTTTCAGACCCAACTCAACAACCCCAGATCTTCTTTAGCAATCCACAGAGAAGAAGGATTAATGTTCAGCTGTGCTAACAAATATTTTAAATGGTGTTCTACATACATCTGAGGGCTACGAAGGTTAGCACTCCAAAGCAGGTAAATATTTGGCTTCTTTTATTTTACTTCATGGATTCTTCCTTTCCTTTCCTTCCCTGCAACCTCATACTCTGAGATAAGAGGACCCAGCCACTGGATCTCAAAGCAAATGTTAAAATACCACTCCCTCCACATTCATTCAGCCACTCAAATATTTAATTAGTGTCTATCATATCTAAGGCATTATGCTAGGTACTGTTTTCAATTTAGTACGAGTACTTTTTATAATACAATATTCCACAGACAGTGTGTTAGAGTCAAATTCATCTTTACATGATGTAGTACCAAATTCCAAAAAAAGAACTTCCCTTTTAGATTGGGCAGTCTGAGGAATTAGGGAAAAAAAAAAAAACATCTCCAAATATCAGTTCGGAGGAGCCATCCACTCTTCAACCTTACAGGAGGCGGGGAAGGTGGGATTTTGATGTTCACAAGCCCATTAAGACAATTTTCAAATGCCATGGCTTGGCTGATACATAGAACATTAAGAATATTTTGAGGCAGTCTGCTGTGTGCAAGGAGCATCTATTTTAATTGGTGCATTTTGATGGTAACAATGTTGTAGTCTATGGTCTCTTCCTCCGTGTGTTCACGTGTTAAAATAAATAGTGGTGTACATAGCAAGGGAAGGCGAGAAAACATATTGCCATATCTTTATTAATATTCTACTATTGTATGATCTTAGCACTTTTTGGCTTTGCTCCTGAAAGCATGTTTTCTTCTTGTGCTTGTTCCTGAGGCAGTGTTCAACATACTAGACTAATGAATAAGTCATTATTTATTGGAAGTCTTTGTATATATGAATCGGAAATACTACTTCCCATCTAAAGATCTAATTGTGTATCTCTTGTGGAGGTAAATACCCATATAGATCAATTTTTTATTAAAAATGGGTATATTTTGTTTAAGGGAGCATTTTAAAAATATCATTTCTATTTGTAGACCCAACTGTTAACTATTTATTAAAATGTCAACGTCTAAAAGTCTCACATAGGTATAGTCTCCTACTCATACCCTCCTGGGCTTAAAATAGGTCTATGCATCCCCAAAACTACCTAAGAAAATGGGAGACACTCGTTGAAAAATATTAGCATGTCTGCTTTCTGGTTTAATACTGGTTAGTTTTTGAAGTTCAGTAAAATTTTGATGTTCAGTAAAAATGCAGTAATCACATATTTGTTGATTAGATTTTATTATAAACAATACTTCATGGTTTTATGAAGTGTTACAAATTGCCTATAAATGAACTTGGACTATTTTAATTGGTTTAAGAAGAGCCAAAAGGAAGAAAGTTTGGATTCATTTTTAAAATCTGAAAATATGTGGTGATAGAAACAAGGAAGAAAAGGAAGTTTCTTGGTTCTTTTCTCCACTCCAGGAGAGATGAAGCATATGCATGAGTTATTACAATGCATTGATCTGACTCCAACCTGAAGTTACCAAGGTTTTATAAGGCTGCAATAAAGCTTTCTTTGCATTAACCAGCCAAGCACATAAACATTTTAATGAACTGTTTTTACATGGTTCATTGGGCAGCTACCAGGCTACTATAATACAAATCACCACTCCGCCACATCCAGCTTTCTCATGATGGCTGTACTTTTTTCAGCTTACCAAATGCAAATTGAATATCACAGCTATGGAGCTTAATCAAATATTTGACTATTCGAGCATAGGAAATTCTCAAGCCCAGAATTTACTGTATTCTAGGATAGTCTATTCAAAGAACTGAATCTTAGAGAATTTTTACTCTCGAGCTTCTAAACCAAAAGTGAAGTTTATTGTGATAATCATTTGAGACCACTAAAAAATAAGATCCTCAAAGTCACCACTCTGTGTTAAAATGGTTTTAGGCAATGAATGACAGTGTGGCTATGAGAAGCAAGTAGCTGAATCATCATTAGTCACAGAAGAGATGGTATCCCCAAACTGATATTTCTCTTAGTGACCTGAAGGCTTGAATGAATTATTGAACTCAATACCAATGCAGATCAAATCTCCTTGGAATAATTAAGGATCATTACTGACAAACATTTGTGTACGTTCTAGTCAACACTTAAAGTAACACTAAATTATAAAATATCATGTATTCTGAGAGCTTCATGACATTGTATTTTTAAGATTAAAGATTAGCCCAACACATAATTTAATAATGAATGCAAATTATAAATGAATATTTAACAAACCATACCACATTTTATGTCTTAACATCTGTTCTGCCAGTGGTATGACTGAATGAAAAATGGCTCCATGATGTATTGTCCTGCTGCCTAATGCTCCAGTGGAAACAAGGTGTTTTCACCTTGATGCGGCCTTTAAAATAAATTAATTTGTTAACATTTAAAAATGCAGTGTAACCGATGACATAAAACATTCATAAGACAGTTTATGACCCAACCAACCATGTTCTAATCCAATAATATTTATTAAAACATTTTATTTGACTAATCATTTCATGGCCAAGATTTGGAAATGTTTGTTTTTCAGGTTGAGTCAAAGATTTAAATGGTTCTAATGGCACCATAAAGATGTTATATGGTGTTAATATAACTTGAGTATTAAAAATATAATGAATTTGCTATTTATGAACCATTAAGTTTTGCCTCACCCCCAGCATAAATTTTATATCATTACAGACCTATTAATACATCTTCCCTAGGATATACACATTCACAAGCCAAATTTATAGATACATAAAGATATGTCAGAATTTTTTTTTTATTCTGGAAAGTGTGTTTGCATTGAACAGAGGATATAAAATGGTGCTTTTTTCACTTTAAGTTTTCTTCATAGTTATCACCTTAGTGTTTCTAAGCTAGGAATCACTCCATATATTAATAAAACATGGGTCAGATAAGCAACTTCATTCTAGTAGAAGTTTTTAACTCCTCTGCTAACTTAAAACCAGGCGAGAAAGCTTTCTTTCTTATTTCTTATTGAAAATTAAAGAATGTTAGATTTTTCCAGCTAAGCACACCATTTAAACTTAGCAATTCTGGGACTATAACATAGTTATTCTAGCTTTTAAAACATTTGTATATACAAACATATTTGCCAGTAAGACATTGGAGATATTCTCAAAATCCAGCTATGGAGTAACTCTGGACCATCTGCTAGATAGAATATTATGTAAACATTAAAAATCTTGTTTTTGAAAGTGAAATAAGCTAGGAACAGAAAGTTAAGCACCATGTATTCTCACTCATATATGGAAGCTTAAAAAAAAAAGTTGATCTCACTGAAGTAAAAAGTAGAAAAGAGGCTACTAGAGGCTGGGAAGGGGCGGGAGAAGGGCAGTATAGAAAGAGATTTGTTAAAGGACACAAAATTACAGCTAGATAGGAGGAATAAGTTCTAGTGTTCTCTAGCACTGTAGAATGACTATAGTTAATAATAATATATAGAATTCAAATATCTAGAAGGAGGATATTAAGTGTTCCCAATACAAACAGATGATGAATGTTTGAGATGCTGGATATGCTAATTATCCTGATTTGATCACTATACATCATGTATAATCACCTCCCTATGTACTCCATAAATATGCATGATTATTATGTGTCAATTAAAAAAAAATTTTTTTTGAGACGGAGTTTCACTCTTGTTGCCCAGGCTGGAGTGTCGTGGCACGATCTTGGCTCACTGCAACCTCCATCTCCTGGGTTCAAGCAATTCTCCTGCCTCAGCCTCCCAAGTAGCTGGGATTACAGGCACCCGCCACCATGCCCAGCTAATTTTTTGTATTTTTAGTAGAGATGGGGTTTTCACCATGTTGGCCAGGCTGGTCTCAAACTCCTGACCTCAGGTAATTCACCCGCCTCAGCCTCTCAAAGTGTTGGGGTTACAGGCATGAGCCACCACGCTGACCTAAAAAAATTTTTTAATCTTGTCTTTGAATTATACTTAAGACCATAGCAAATGCATATTCTAAGCTAATCATATTAATTCAAATTCAAACAGATATAACACTAGGGCCGAGTGAGGTGGCTCATGCCTGTAATCCCAACACTTTGGGAGGCTGAGGAGGGTGTATTGCTTGAGCCCAGGAGTTCGGGCCAGGTTTGGCAACATGGCCATCTCTATAAAAAATACAAACATTAACCAGGTGTGGTGGCATGGGCCTGTAGTCCCAGATACTTGGGAAGCTGAGGTAGGAAGATCACTTGAGCCCAGGAGATGTAAGTTGCAGTAAGTTGTGATCACACCACTGCACTCCTGCCTGGGTGACAGAGCAAGAGCCTGTCGCCAAAAAAAAAAAAAAAAAAAAAAAAGATATAGCACTAAAGAGAAAGAAAAAGTAGGGCAGGACATTGAATCTGGTGCTTGAGGAGAACTACGTAAAAGTAAAACAAAGTTCTAAAATAAGATGACAATAAAAAGAAAGTTTGAGTAGTTGCTATTATTATCAATGAGATCATATATGAAGTTGGTTTTTTTTTGTTTGTTTGTTTTGTTTCTTTTTTTGTTTGAGATAGGCTCTCACTCTGTTACCCAGCCTGGAGTACAGTGGCACAATCATGGCTCACTGCAGCCTCAACCAACTGGGCTCTGATATCCCACCTCAGCCTCCCGGGCAGCTGAGGCTACAGTCAGTCATACACCACCATGCCCAGTTAATTTTTTGTATTTTTTGTAGAGATGGGTTTTCACCATGTTGCTCAGGCTAGTCTCAAACTCCTGGGCTCAAGTGATCCAAACATCTCAGCCTCCCAAAGTGCTGGGATTACAGGCATGAGCCACTGTACCTGTCCCCATATATGTAGTTTATAAAATAATTAAAAACAAAATATTTTTAAAGATAAAGAGTTTGAATTAATACTGCTAGCTTAGAATATGCATTTTCTTCACTCTTCTGCTTTCCCTGCAGTGTATGGAGATAGTCTGAATTTAGACATGATGTTTACATATTATTGTTCTTAGGGTAACTCTTTCACTGGTATTATGTAAAATTGCATCTGTCCCAAAATGAAAGTGGAAAGTCACTGTAATAAAGAGAATGATAGGGTGACATCATCAGGCATCATAAAAAGGATCATCTTAATTGTCGTGCACTTGTTCATTTCAAGACCACATTTATCGGCCATTTGTTTTTCCTTTCCTACAGTCTCTCTCTGCTGCTGTTCTCCCTCCTCCAGATATTTTCATTTCTTCTGCAAAGTGGAGGACTAAAACTGCAGTTTTAGGTGATTTTCAACTTACATAATCTTTCTTCAAGGTTTTTCTCAGGTTTACCCTATACTTGCCTATGATAAAAGATTCCCTCAGTTCATAAGAGGATGGATGAAGTGGGGGCTGATGGGAGGGAAGGATCCAGGTATTTTTCAGATTTTCTTTAAACAGGAGAAGTAGAAACTTGCTGTGCTGATGAACATTTTAGCTTGGTTCCTATAAAGGCAACAGAGATCTCGTGGGATTCTTGGGAGAACTGAGGGAAGTTAATGCAGGTAAAGCACATGGAACCAGGCAAGCTTCCTGGTAAGTGCTCAGTAAATACTACCCAGCATCTTCTGCATAATCACCAATATCAGCAGTTGCTGCTTTTTTTTTCCTTGCCTGCAAGATCAAAAAGGAAATCACAGTCTCGCCCCCAAAACGCTAGAATTTTTCCCTGATTCTCTGTCATAAATTTATTTTCTCTCTAAAGCTCAAACCACTCTAACAATGAAATTCTGTGCTTTAAAAATTCAAGCGAATGAGCAGATTTTAACAATTACAATTGCAAAAAGTTGGATGCTTTTCCAGAAGTGCTTATAAAACTGGTAAGCAAAGGAGATAGATAAAATCAAAACAAAAGATCTGTTCTCATCACGTTTAGTAAGAGCAATGCTGGCTTTACTGATGACTTCAGTAGTCAGAAACCTGGATGACATTCATCTCCCTCTCCACTACCCCCACTCCCAAAAAGAGGAACACCCACCTGTATCAGAATATCACTGCATCCTGATCTTATTCTCATGCTTCAGTGCCATACCTGATCACACCAGAGCTGTTACTGCTTGTGATTACTCATCCAATATCTATTTTTCACCTTGCAATAGATCCATACAAGGGACAAGGGCAGGGTTTGGCGAGAGAATTTCCTACAAATCCTTAACCTAGGGAAAGCAATACTTTTCAGGTTTAAAGCCAGGGTAGGGTTTGGCCAGGTGCCGGTGGCTCACGCCTTTAATCCCAGCACTTTGGGAGGCTGAGGCGGGCGGATCACAAGGTCAAGAGATCGAAACCATTCTGGCCAACATTGTGAAACTCCGTCTCTACTGAAAATACAAAAATTAGCTGGGCGTGGTGGCACACGCCTGTAGTCCCAGCTACTCAGGAGGCTGAGGCAGGAGAATTGCCTGAACCTGAGAGATGGAGATTGTAGTTAGCCAAGATTGCGCCACTGCACTCCAGCCTGGGCAACAGAGTGAGACTGTCTCCAAAAAAAAGAAAAAAAAAAAAGTCATGGCAGAGTTTGACAGATGGGGCCGCCAATTTCTATCAAAGCTTATCAGCTGTGGGAGTCACAACAGGATGGTGTCAACCCCAGGATATCAGGTCCCAGATGAAACCCAACTTTCTTTGCTGTTTCAGAAGCCACCTAGAAAGTAGAAATGGGAAGCAAATTCACTAATTCCCCCTTGTCAGTTAGCAAACTTTCTAAATGCTTTTTGTGTGCCCTTGAATTTGGACATCCCCTTTTCTACAGTCAGCCTGGAACATTTATAAAGTGGAAGCCACTGAACTGTCTAAAGGCCTTTAGAAAATTGTCTAAGCATCTTTGCAATTGCCTCTTTTCTTCCAACCCTACCCCCACCTGACCCCTTGGATGTGGACCACACATACGATGCTATGCCATAAGCATCAAACATTTCCCACTTGTGATTTTATGCCAAATCATAACCATGATTCAGAACACTAAAGTGCTCTGTTTCATTCTAACCTAGTTTCCTGTAAACTACATACAGTGATAGTTTCTTTTTTGTTTTTCAGAGTGGAGGAAGAAGAGAATCACCACATATCGTATTTAGAGGTCCTGCAGAAAGGGCAGAGCGAGTTTCATGTTTGAGTGCAGCGGATGCATGGGCAAAGCATTACACAGCCGCTCCATGGAAGTGACAATGAGCCTTGTCTTTCACACGTAACTCCAGGAACCAGGGGAAACAAAACCAATTCCACCCAGAGGTACAGACAAAGAAGAGCACCCTCCCAAAGGAGCCCGCATGATAAGTGGCCACGGCGAACATCACTGTGATCAGTCAGAAAGGCAGGCGAGTTATTAGCTTAGCCCTGAACCTCCTACTTAATGTAGAACCAGTGGTGATGGTTAACAGACCCTGGCTGCAGTGACAAGCCTGGGACCTGCTCGAGGAAATCCAATTGAAAAGCAGCCAAGAGGAACAACAAGCTAGAAACAGATGTTCCAGCTACCAGGATGTGCACGCATTTAACCTGAACATGTAGTTGGGGTGGGATGGTAGCATTCGTTTCTAAATATAGTGATTTCACTTCTTCCCCCATATAGATATTGTCAAGTTTAATTATAGCCATCCACATTAGTTTTGTCAAATTTTCAGCAATTTCTTTAAAATAAGAAGATGTCAGAATGATAACTGCTATTAAGGGAATTCAGGGTGTTTGGTTTATCTACCCAGTCTTACTAAAACATTTCAGTTAAATCATCCACTCTTAAACTCCAGTCTCATAGCAATTAAAAATTATCTTTTAAAAAATTGCCCAAATGAAATTCCAACAGTTCATGTAATTATTTGATTTAATATTACCATGTTAGTAAAATATCTTTAAGATAGTTATATTTTCATGAGTCACTTTCTTAGTCACTTCTAGTTCCTAAATAGGGGAGTTTGGGTTGACAGAGGTGTGATAACCATGCGAACAGGGGCTAGAATATAAGCTTAACAGAATCAGTTAATTAGATTTGGAAGAGAGTTGAGTCTTGTGAACCACAGTGATATGTCATGTACATTAGGAAACATTCTCCTTTACGTCAACACAATTCTGGTTTTCTCTAATGGGCTTTATACGAGGAGAGAGACCATCTCACTGTGTTGATTTTTCTCAAGAAAAAAATCAATACTCTCAATGGATTTTAAGTAGATCTAATGTAGTACTGCACTATGCTCATAAGAAGATAAGCATATGTAAAAGATTTTAAAATGTGAATTAATGCATGCCACACTGAAACCAGATCATACCCCACACTCATGTTGTTATTATGTGTACCTAAAGCAAAGAACAGCTGCAGAGTATTTTCTCTGGTAACACTTCATTTTTTATTGGTAGGTTTTAATCCGATACATTTTTGGGGTCACTGAATTCTTATTTGCTTTAGAATGCCCGATTATATCATTCTGCAAAGGATAAAAGGGCTTGAGCCATCATCCTGTGCTGAAATTTATTGAAGGTATTTATGAAGAGGGTGATCTTGAGGAATGCAAGCTTTTAAAATCTAAGAACAGCAGCAAAAATAAATTAATCAGGAATCCATCACTAATTTATACATGAGTCACTTACGAGGAAGGTAAAACGGTTCAGTAAATTATGGATTTACAAATAAACTTGATTCTAGGGCCTTGGAAAATACTTCGATTGGAATATAGATCCATTTTTCCTCAAAACAATTTTCACTTCAACTTCAGATGTAGGGGACATAAAACCAAATCCCCTCTCTGAAAATTCAAGGGGAACTCTTTTCTGGTAACGTGAGGCATGAGTGGTGATGGTTCACAGGGATTCATCTGCTCTCCACAAACTCAGGGGTGGGACCCATCTATCGTTTTTCTAACTCATTCCCATGAATTCTAAATTGTCAACACCTAAGGTTAATGATACCTGTCTTTTTGCTGTCATAAACAGTTAGGGTGGTTTAGCAAGAGATAAATCATCTTTACACAGAGGATTGTGCTATTGTTCTCAGCAAACAAAGGACAAAGCTTATTTCTGTATAATGTTAAACACTGTTCTAATGAAATAGGCTTTTTTTTCTTTTATGCATTAATGAAATTATTAGCCTACAACACATTTCTTTCTTGATTTGGAACATCTGTTCTTCAAAAGTGTGTAGAGTAATAATGGAGAGTTTCTACACATCATGGCTCACTCTCATCTCAAAATATACACTGATTTTTAAGGAATGTGTAGAAGGAAAAGCCAACCATCCTTTTGATTATTGGATTAACCACCAGAGCTGCCTTCATCTGAAACATACTCCACTCGATTGAGGATGATACTTTTAGCTACTAAATAAATACACAGAGGAGGTGTGGAATAACAACTTTACCAAGAATAGCCAACAAGTTCATCTTACAACTACTATGAGCAAAAAGCGTTCATAAAAAATATCTTTTTTTTTTTTTTCTTGAGATGGAGTTTCACTCTTTTTGCCCAGGCTGGAGTGCAGTGGCATGATCCCAGCTCACTGCAACCTCTGCCTCCTGGCTTCAAGAGATTCTCCTGCCTCAGCCTCCAAGTAGCTGGGATTACAGGCACCCACCACCACACCTGGCTAATTTTGTATTTTTAGTAGAGACGGGGTTTTGCCATACTGATCTCGAACTCCTGACCTCATGTGATCCACCCACCTCTGCCTTCCAAAGTGCTGGGATTACAGGCATGACCCACCACGCCTGGCCCAAAAAAATATCAGAAAAAAAAATTGTTTTCACCCCTTTAAATATTAAATAATTGATTTTTTTCTGAAAATATTTCTTATACAATTCAATAAGCACACTAATTTTAGAATGGAGGGTCATTAATGCTGTAACAAAATTGGAAATATTTGCTATTATATGTTTTTAATACACACTAGGTACATATTAAATACTATATCTGTGTAATAGTTAAACATATTAGGTAGTTCATTAGGTTCATTTAAAATTGGCCAAGCTCAGTAGCTCACGCCTGTAATCCCAGCATTTTTGGAGGCTGAGGCAGGCAAATCACTTGAGGTCAGGAGTTCAAGACCTGCCTGGCCAACATGGTGAAACCCCGTCTCTACAGAAAATACAAAAATTAGCTGCGCATGGTGGCATGTGCCTGTGGTCCTAGCTACTTGGGAGGCTGAGGCAGGAGAACTGCTTGAATCCAGGAGGCAGAGGTTGCAGTGAGACGAGACTGTGCACTGCACTCCAGCCTGGGTGACAGAGTTAGACTCCGTCTCAAAAAAATAAAATAATATAATGTAAGGCCAAGGGCTCAGCAACAACGTAATGTAAGGTGCTTAGGTATAATTTTACAATTTTAAGAGAGAATGTGCTTGAGCTAGGAACCATTGAGAGAGAGTAGATGGTGGCAATAGTCAGTCAATTGTGCTACAAATACATTGCAATGGAAAATATACACTACAAAATTTTACAAAAGTAGCAAACAAAAAACTTTTTTTTTTTAATTTTTTTTGACCAAGTCTTGCTCTATCACGCAGGCTGGAGTGCAGTGGCATGATCTCAGCTCACTGCAACCTCTGCCTCCCAGCTTCAAACGATTCTCATGCCTCAGCCTTCCAAGTAGCTGGGACTATAAGCGTGCACCACCACACCCAGCTAATTTTTATATTTTTAGTAGAGACAGGGTTTCTCCATATTGGCCAGGCTGGTCTTGAACTCCTGGACTTGAGTGATCCACCCTCCTCAGCCTTCCAAAGTGCTAGGATTACAGACGTGAGCCACCGCGCCCAGCCGGCAAACAAAAATTTACCTATGATTCAATAAATGGTTTTCCCCTACCAGCCTTCCCCCACCACACATATACACTTTTTCTGATTCTGTTTTACCATAATGATGACACAGGTGCTTAACCAGCTCCGTGAGCTATTGGGGTGGCTCCTTGCCTTGATTTAGTCTTGTGCCCACACACTGACCCATGCAGACTTAGCCATGCATCCAGCACAAATTACGCTATTTTACATGTTTGGTTTAATGTATTCGTACCTGCTAGACATTGTAGCCAAAAGATTGTTTGCTGCCTAATCCTAGCCAGCTCTTAGGGTGACTGCCTAAGCCTGTATTGCTGGCTTCACAAGTTTTTTTGTTTCAGGTAAATAAAAATCAAAGAGCGTTCGAGGCAGCCGCATTGACTCACCTTGCAGACAAGCAAGCAGAGCCGCAGAGCAGTGACCCGTGCCCAGCGCCTCGCAGCTAGAGCTGGATTGGAATCCAGGGCTTTGCAGGCTTCCTGCTTCACTCAATCCTCTTTCTGTTGCCTCTGGCCTCAAGGTGTTGGCCTGGGAGGAAGTAGCAGATTAAATTCCATGGGCACGAAGTCCGTAGCTGACGAATACTTAATATGTTGCAGTTTCACAGTGAAAGTTGGCAAGTCCAGGGTGGGAACATGCCCCAAGCAGCTGAGTCTTCTGGATTTTACTTCTGTTCTTTGCCTCTCAATTTTTGATTTTGTTATATAAAAAGCAAATCAGTAACTATTGCATTATATTCTGCAGTGACTCAACAGCGACACTTAATTCAGCCAACCAAGGTTTACTGAACTGCTCGTGGTGCCGGGAACCGTGCTGGGATAGGATACAGGGACCAACCAGTCCTGATCATTAGCTTAGCCAGAGAGGTAAACTGACTGACAATCAATCTGCCAGGGATCAATTACTATGGAAGCTCATAGTGTGGGCCCCTAACCCAGACTGTGGGTCTGAGGAGGTCTCCTGGAGGTAGTGCTATCCTAACAGAGACCTGAAGGGTACTTGGAATCCAGCCACAGAATACTATTTACCATCTCATTTTACTCTCATGAGAATTCTCCCCACTGTAGGCAGGATGGGTGTTGATTTAAAAGAAAAAAAAAAAAGTAGCCTGGCGGGGTGGCTCACGCCTGTAATCCCAGCACTTTGAGAGGCCAAGGCGGGCAGATCATCTGAGGTCAGGAGTTCGAGACCAGCCTGACCAACATGGAGAAACCCCATCTCTACTAAAAATACAAAATTAGCCGGACATGGTGGTGCATGCCTGTAGTCCCAGCTACTTGGGAGGCTGAGGCAGGAGAATCGCTTGAACCCGGGAGGCAGAGGTTGCGGTGAGCCAAGATCATGCCATTGTACTCCAGCCTGGGCAACAAGAGCGAAACTCCGTCTCAAAAAAAAAGTAAACAGAATAACAAACTTAAGGGTGGCCAGCATTAGAGCTGGAATGGAACCCTGATGTCCAATGAGCTCCCTGTAGAGTGGACTTTGTACAGGACCATGTTCTCCTAAAGTGACTAGAGAGCAGGAGCCACCTGTCACTCAATGCAGCAGCATTGGACCCTCCCAGCCAAACCCCACTCCCACCTCCCATCCTACTGGAGTCTCTTTCCCTTCGTCTTGGTCTACTTGAGTAGATAGGGTCCTCGTTGGTGCAAACAATCTGTGATTTATGACCCAGATAGTCCTGCCAGGTCACAGAGAAGTGTACTCTGCACCCAGCAGTCCTCAAGACAGACTTAGGCTCTCGGTTCCTGCAAGGCACCCCTAGAGGACAGCCTCTCAGCAGTACCCAGCACCCTGCACAGGGCCACTTTTGTAGCCTCCACCTGCCTGCTCACTCCCTTTTTCTCTCCTTGGCCTTCTCCACCCTGAATGCTTGTGCAAGCATGCTCACTCTCCTTCCCCAGCCCCTCTGCACACACTGACACACACTCAGCTCCCAGCTTTCATCCTCTCTCCCACCTCTTGTGGTGAGTTCTGAGCCTCTCCATGGCCATCCTCCCAGCCCAGGCCATCCTCCCAACCCAGCCTCTCCATGGCCATCCTCCCAGCCCAGACCATCCTCCCAGCCCAGCCTCTCCAGCCCATGGCCAGCCTCCCAGCCCAGCCTTTCCATGGCCATCCTCCCAGCCCAGGCCATCCTCCCAGCCTAGCCTCTCCAGCCCGTGACCAGCCTCCCAGCCCAGCCTCTCCAGCCCAGGCCATCTTCCCAGCCCAGCCTCTCTAGCCCATGGCCATCCTCCCAGTCCAGCCTCTCCATGGCCATCTTCCCAGCCCAGCCCCACCTCTCCAGCCCATGGCCATCCCTCCCAGCCCAGGTCAGGCTCTGAGCCCAGGCTCTCCAGCCCATGGCTATACTTCCAGCCCAGCCTCTCCATGGCCATCCTCCCAGCCCAGGCCATTCTCCCAGCCCAGGAGTATTTCTGGAAATGCTCCCAGCCCAGCATTTCCAGAAAAGGAAAATACAGCCAATGCTGAGAGTCTCAAAGGTCACTCAGTTCAGACCTGCAGAAATGTTTTTGTTTTATTTTTTTACTTGGGATCTTTCAACCAGTCAGCCTGATGCTCTTGTTTGATTTCCATGTTTGTTGTAGTGAAATACTGATAATCAAAAAGTTATTCTACATGATGAGCTGTTCCTCCTACTTCTTTACAGTTTCTCCATTTTCCAAAATTTCTACAATCAAGATGTATTGCTTTTATAATCATAAAAAGTTAAAATGTTAACATATTCTGACAGAAATATAGGAATTATTAAGACTTTTTTCTAGGTGGTGGAATTATGGGTAACTGTTTTTTCTTTGTTCTGTATATTTCCAAATCATCTAAAATCAACATATATTGCATTTAGGTTTGTGTGTGAGGGGTTTTTTCCCCCATTTTTAAATTTGTGTGTGGTTTTTTGTTTGTTTGTTTGTTTGTTTTTTTCTTTTTTTCAGATGGGGGATCTTGCTATGTTGTCCAGGCTGGTCTCGAACTCCTAGGCTCAAGCAACCCTCCCATCTCAGCCTCCCAAGCACCTGGTGAGGTTTTTCTCTAAAAAGGAAAAACATGTGGAAGACAATCAGAGATGATTTTTGAGTAATGCAGAACAACTCCAAAAGAATAAGCAGAATGAATGCTCATAAGGTGAAAGCATTTCAGAAAACCTATTACAAGCAACAATGGAAGAAAATTGATTGAAACTGTGCCTACCTTCCCTAACACTCTCCACCTTCATCTGAGGTTTGTGATCCACAGACTCAAGCCATCATGGACCACGTCTTCATAGTCCCACACTATTGTCTGCATGATTTATACAAATGCAAAGCCTACCATTACTTAAATGGTAAAAGAAATACAGGAAGCAGAGACTGTGCTATATCAAAATGTATCTTTCTCTACTACCACTGTTTTGCTTCGTGCTGTGCAGAACTGCCACTAAGCATTTTCATAGTCGAGAGAGCCAGAGACACAGAAAGAGAGAAATTATGGTCAAATTATGGCACCATACCATTAACGTACGAGAGATTGGTGCCGCTAGTGTATGATTACTGCTTTTAATATGATTTTCGCTTTCTATCTTGTAAAATACTGTGAATTTACTGCTGAGCCTGTGTACTGCTACTCTCCCAAAGAGAAAATTACTTCTTCCAGAGGATCTGCTTGCACAAGCGTAAAATCTTTGCAGCTCTCTGAGCAGCAAGAGAACCACATCAGACTTGATATGCTGATTTGGCTCTTTTGAGTTACCTGTTCCAGAGAATTTTGGGCAAGGATTTTTCCAAGATGTCATTTTCTTTATATGTTATTTTCTTTATATTTGTATCCATTCACATCATCAAGTGTCTTATTGAGTACCTCCTAATTGCAAATGATCTTAGTGGCTGCTGTGAGAGACACATGGATTCTAATACAGGGTGCTTGGTTTAGAGAGACTTGTAAGCACCAACTGATATCGAGGGGGAAAACAAGCAGAGGGAACAGGAAGTGCAAAGGCCCTCAGGAAGAAATGAGCAAGGCCAACAGGGCTGGGAAGATGAAGGTAGAGGAGATGAGAATAAAGAGGTGGGTAGGGGTGCGGTCTTGTAACATTTGAGGAGCTGAATTATATTCTAAATGTGATAAGAAGCCATTTGAAAGCTTTGAGCAAGAGAATAAGGGCATCTGATTTTTTTTTTTATCCCTCTAGCTATGAGAATAGGCTATAGGGGACTAAAAGCAGAAGCGAGTAGGCCAGTTAGTAGGACGCAACTGCAGACATTTAGGCTGGAGAAGACAGTGACTTGGACGAGGGTGGTGGTGTGAAGGTCACTGAGGTGTGTGGAGACTGGAAGGCACAGAGTCAGAGGACTTGTCTTCTAACTCCATGATACTGCTCCAGATGATGAACAGGCACTCAGAAGGAACCCAATAAACATGTCTTCCTGAATGTATGGCTGAATGAAGAGTACCGACCCCCTCACTTATAAGTAGGAGCTAAGTTATGAGTATAAAAAGGCGTAAGAATGAGATAATGGGCTTTGGGGATTCAGGGGGAAAGGGGTGAGGGAGGTGAGGAATAAAAAACAACACACTGGGTACAGCATATACTGCTCAGGTGACAGGTGCAGCAAAATCTCAGAAATCACCACTAAAGAACTGATCCATGGAACAAAAAAATCACCTGTTCCCCAAAAACTATTGAAAATTAAAAAAAAAAATTAAGCAACCGAATAGGAATGCTCCACTGATTGTAGATATTTTCTTTCTTTCTTTCTTTTTTTTTTTTTTTTTTGAGATGGAGTTTCACTCTTGTCGCCCAGATTGGAATGCAGGGGCACGATCTCAGCTCACCACAACCTTCGCCTCCCAGGTTCAAGCGATTCTCCTGCCTCAGCCTCCCGAGTAGCTGGGATTACAGGCATGTGCCACTACGTCTGGCTAATTTTGTATTAGTAGAGATGGGGTTTCTCCATGTTGGTCAGGCTGGTGTCGAACTCCCGACCTCAGGTGATCCGCCCACCTCGGCCTCCCAAAAGTGCTGGGATTACAGGCACGAGCCACCGCGCACGGCCTTTTTTTTTTTTTTTTTTTTTTTTTTTTTTTTTTTTTTTGAGTTGGAGTTTCGATCTTGTTGCCCAGGCTGAAGTGCAATGGCGCGATCTCAGCTAACGGCAGCCTCCGCCTCCTGGGTTCAAGCAATTATCCAGCCTCAGCTTCCCGAGCAGCTAGGATTACAGGCACCTGCCACCACACCCAGCTAAAAAAAATTTTTTTAAGAGACGTGGTCTCGCTATGTTGCCCAGGTTGGTCTCAAACTCCTAGGCTCAAGCGATCCGCCCACCTCAGCCTCCAAAGTGCTGGGATTACAGCCATGAGCCACCGCGCCCAGCCTCTGTTTGTAGATATTTTAATTAGAGAAAAATATAAAATTTCAAGCCCATCAACCAGTTCTGCTCTATAATAATCAAAAACTATCTTTGCAATAAAAAAAGTTATAAAAAAAAAAGTACTTACCCCTAGAATCACTCTCAAATGTAAGATCAGGGAACTCCCTCTAGACTCAAGGGTGCCTGAGAGGCCACGTGGTTTTTAGACTCTCCTGGTTCAGCTTCACCACCTGATGCTCTTCCCTTCCACCTAGAGCTTTTCGCAGCCCACAAAAGATGTGCTCCATGATTCCAAAACAGAAAGGCTTCTGGTTAGGAGAGAACACTAAGGCAGCAAAGTAAGCCCTCAATCAAAATCCCTCATTCACTAGCACTCTTTAGAAGTAGAAATCATTGGGACGCCCAAATGCTTCTGAAAAAGTTCTGTGGTGCATCCAAAGATCATCCCAGTAGTTTGTTTGCCTTAAAAGTATTTGTTAAAACATAAAAACTGTATGTCTACGTAAGTGATTTTCAATCCTAGCTGCATATTAAAAATCCCTGAAGAGCCTTTAGAATAGGCCAGCCTTCAGGCTCCACCCCATTCCAAGTCCATCAGAATCTCTGGCATGAGGTCCTGGCATCGGTAGTATTTAAAAGCTCCCAGGTGATTCTTATGTGCGTCAGGGTGGAGGGGCACTGCTGTATGTGAAGTGAGTCATTTTCCTATCTGCCCTTCACCGCAGGACATGAGTAATCCTGTGAACCAGCCACAGCTGATGACAGTGTTCAGCATTCTACATGGAGCTCAAATCCCCCAACCCCTCCTTTTAAGCGCTTGAAAGAATTGCTCAGAAAACTTATACTACAAATATATTTTAAAATTTAGGGCTTAGGAGTGGACTGCCCCCAGTAGCTCAACGTTTTATTACTCCTGCCTTAGTCACCCATTTCTTCTTTCTCTCTGCCTTGCTCTTTCTCTTCTCCTCCCCCTGCTGTCCCTCCCACTCTCTTCCATCAACCTGCCCTTAGCACTGTAGGCAGGCTGCCCACCTGGAGGCTCCAGGCTGCAGAGATCAGCCCTTAGGAGAAGGTCTGGATAAAAAGTGGAACTTGTGGAAAGGGCATATCATTTATAAAATTTCTTGCTTTACTGCAAAAATGTGTGCTTCACTGCTTTGGAAAACAGTCTGGCAGTTCTTCAAAAGGTAAAACATGGAGCCAGGCATGGTGGCTTACGCCTACGATCCCAGCACTTTGGAAGGCTGAGGCAAGGGATTGCTTGGGAGTTGGGAGTTGCAGTGAGCTATGAGTTTGGGTGCAGTGGGTACAACGTATGCCTGCTCGGGGAACAGGTGCACTAAAACATCAGAAATCATCGCTAAAGAACATACCCACACAACAAAAAAATCACCTGCTCCCCAAAAACAATTGAAAACATAAAATAAAAAATATAGCAACCCAATAGGTATACTCCACTGATTGTTTGTAGATATTTTGTTTTTGTTTTTGTTTTTGTTTTTTTGAGATGGAGTCTCCCTCTGTCATCCAGGCTGGAGTGCAGTGGCATGATCTCGGCTCACTGCAACCTCTGCCTCCCAGGTTCAAGCGATTCTCCTGCCTCAGACTCCAGAATAGTTGGGACTACAGGCACGTGCCAACACGCCCGGCTAATTTTGTATTTTTAATAGAGACAGGGTTTCACCGTATTGGCCAAGCTGGTCTCAAAGTCCTAACCTCAAGTGATCCATCCACCTCTGCCTCCCAGGGCACCCAGCCTCTTTTTTTTGTTTGTTTGTTTTTTTAGAAACGTGGTCTGTCTATGTTGCCCAGGGTAGGTCTCCAAGTCCTGGGCTGAAGCAATCTGCCCACCTCCACCTCCCAAAGTGCTGGAATTAGGGAGGGAGTTTGAGGTTGCAGTGAGCTATGATTACATACTGCACTCCAACCTGGGTGACAAAGCAAGGCTCTGTCTCAAACAAAAATAAAGAAAAGAAAAGGTGAAACATGGAGGTATCATATGGTCCAGCAACTCTACTCCTTGATATATACCCAAGCTAAATAAAAACATATATCCACACAGAAATGTATACACCAATGTGCATAGCAGCATTATTCATAATATTCAAAAAGTGAAAACAATTCAAATGCTCATCAACTGATAACTGGATAAACAAAATGTGGTATATCCACACACTGGAATATTATTCATTGATAAAAAGCAACGAAGTACTGATACATGCTACAACTTGGATGAAACTTATAAAAATTATGCTAAGTGGGCCAGGCACAGTGGCTCACGCCTGTAATCCCAGCACTTTGGGAGGCCAAAGCAGGTAGATCACCAGGTCAGGAATTCAAGACCAGACTGGCCAACATAGTGAAACCCTGTCTCTATTAAAAATACAAAAAATTAGCTGAATGTGGTGGTGGGAACCTGTAATCCCAGCTACTCGGGAGGCTGAGGCAGGAGAATCACTCGAACCCAGGAGTGGGAGGTTGCAGTGAGCTGAGATCGCACCACTGCACTCCAGCCCGGGCAACAGTGTGAGACTCCATCTAAAAAACAAAAAAAAATTATGCTAAGTGAAAGAAGTCAGTCATAAAAGTTGACATATTGCTGAGCGTATGGTGTGCACCTGCAGTCCCAGCAACTTGGGAGGTGGAGGTGAGAGGTTCACTTGAGCCCTGGAGTTCCAGGTTGCAGTGCACTATGATTGTACCACTGCACTCCAGTCGGGGTGGCCAAGAAAGACCTTGCCTCAAAAAAAAAAAAAAAAAAGAAGTTGACAAATTCTATAATTCTACTTCTATAAAATGTCCAGAATAGGTAAATCTATAGAGACAGAAAGGAAATTAGTGATGGCCAGAGGCTGAGGGTAGAGAAGAATGGGGAGTGATTACTAATGGGTACAGTTCATTTGGGGTGATAAAAATGTTCTAAAATTGATTGGAGTGATGGTTGTACAACTAAAATACACCAAATACCATCAAACTGTACATTTTTAAGTGGACAGATTATATGGTAAGTGCGTTATATCTTACTAAAGCTGTTAAAAATAAAATATGTATTTCAACAGCAGAAAACTGTGAATGCTGAAATGATCGTATTTTTAAAAAATCATCCAGTCTCTAAAAGAGTGTGTTGACTGGACGATTATAGTCATAGCAGTAGGCATTATAACACAAAGAGATATGATCAATCACCTCTAGAAATATTTTCCTTAATTATAGAAAGTACAACAACCTTCGCATGCATTGTTTGAGCATTTTATAAATTCTTTTTCATCTTCGCACTTTAATAATGACTCTTCCTTTTCAATAACAAAGAGTTTTCTTTACTTGTCTCACTAATTTTCACAGCCTCCACTTCCAGGCACTCATGGAACCTTAACCCTTCTTACAAAGGAGATCAAGGGGTTCAGTGTTTTAAAGACCCTGCTCTGAGGCACAGGGCCAACTCCAGTCCCAAGTGACATCCTTACCCCAAATCTACCCACGTCCATTCACTTAGCCCCACACTAGGGCTACAAGGGATTCTGTGGGTCCCCCACTCAGTTCCACATTAAACTCCCAGCTTTGCAGGATTTCTCCCTTTAAATGTCTCCCCACTAACTTCCCCCTACGCTCCGTGCCTCTTCCAGGCCAGCTCCCCAGAGTTTTCCCAAATTGTTCCAGAAGCTCCATGATCCACTTCAGTCACCTCTCCTCAGAATACTCCTGGAGCTGAGAGTTTTGGAATCGCCCTCAGTTTCTTCACAGATTTCTCCTTTGCTGGACCCTCCACCGGCCCTCCCCACAGCCCATCTGAGAGGTTTTGAGCAACCTGTTCCTCTTCTAAGCACCTCACATAGATGACCTCAGTGACACTTCCCCACAGCCCTTTGAGGCACTTTATCTCATCATCATCTCTGTTTTATGAAGTGAAAACTGAGGGCACCTGGAGATGAAGTCATTTCCCAAGGTCACACATCTAGGAAAGATGGAGTCAGGACTTAGCCCTGATCGGTTTGGCTCAGAGCACACATTTTAACCCCACACCTCCTGTCATGAAATGCCCTGTGTGTTGAGAGTCTACTGGGTACCGGGTACTGTTCCAAGTTCTTTACATGTATTTACTCACAACACTCCTCTCAGATGCTTCCATCAGAAAATAGCAAAGTTTAAACGATGGACATCCTCATAAAGCCAAGCCGATTGTGCTTGGTCAGGAAGACCTGGAAATACTCACTTATTCAAAAAATATTTAATAGGCACTATGTTCCAGGCATTGCTCTAGGAAATGGGAAAACATCAATCAGTAAGATGAACAAAAATCTTTGCCTTCATAGAACTTACCTCCGTATGAGGTGAGACAGACAATAAATATAGAAAATAAGTGGCCGGGCATGGCGGCTCACCCCTGTAATCCCAGCACTTTGGGAGGCCGAGGCAGGCGGATCACGAGGTCAGGAGATCGAGACCATCCTGGCTAACACAGTGAAACCCCATTTCTACTAAAAATACAAAAAATCAGCCGGGCCTGATGGTAGGCACCTGTAGTCCCAGCTACTCAGGAGCCTGAGGCAGGAGAATGGCATGAACCTGGGAGGTGGAGCTTGCAGTGAGCCGAGGTCACGCCACGGCACTCCAGCCTGGGCGACAGAGCGACACTCCCTCTCAAAAAAAAAAAAAAAAAAAGGAAAAAAAGAGAAAATAAGTAGCCCGGGCAACACGGCAAAACCCCATCTCTACTAAAAATAGGAAAAATTAGCCAGGTGTGGTGGCATGAGCCTATAGCCCCAGCTACTCAGAAGGCTGAGGTGGGAGGATCACTTGAGCTCAAGAGGCACAGGCTGCAATAAGCCGTGATTGTGCCACTGCACTCCAGCCTGGGTGACTATACCTTGTCTCAAGAAGAGACAGAGAGAGAGAGAGACGGGGGGGGGGGGGGGGGGGGGGGGGGGAGGGAGAGAGAGAGAGAGAGGGAGAGAGAGAGAGAGAGAGAACAAAAAACAAAACAAAACAAAAAACAAGTTATACAGCATGTTAGATACAAGGTCTTAAGTGCTGCCTAAAATGGGGTAGTAGGGCCAGGCGCGGTGGCTCAGGCCTGTAATCCCAGCACTTTGGGAGGCTGAGGCGGGCGGATCACCTAAGGTCGGGAGTTCGAGACCAGGTTGACCAACATGCAGAAACCCCGTCTCTACTAAAAATACAAAATTAGCTGGGCATGGGGGCGCATGCCTGTAATCCTAGCTACTCGGGAAGCTGAGTTAGGATAATCGCTTGAACCTGGGAGGCGGAAGTTGCAGTGAGCCGAAATCGCACCGTTGCACTCCAGCCTGGGCAACAAGAGCAAAACTCTGTCTCTATAATAATAATAATAATAATAATAATAATAATAATAATAATAATAATAATAATAGGGGTAGCGGTAACTCATGCTAATGCATGTTGAGGCCGGGGCTGCAATTTTTGGAAGCACAGTCACAGTGGGTCTCATGGAAAAGGCAACATCTGACAAAGACTCAAAGGAGGGAGACTTGGGAGAATATCTTGGAAGAGAGCCCAGGTAGAGGGAACGGCCGGTGCAAAGGCCTGAAGTGGGAGTGCAGACGGCGTCTGTGGGGCTAGAGTGGCCTGAGGGATGGGGCGAGGAGTAGGAAAAAAGTGAGGGAGGGAAGAGGGCAAAGCAGGTTAACAGCGTCTCAACTTCACTCTAGGAGCCGGGAAGCCGCTGGAGGGTTTAGGTTGAAAAAGGCTAGTCCACAGAGATTCCTCTGGCTCCTATATGGAGGATAAGTTGCACAGCTGAAGTTAACAGAGCGTCTGAAGAACCTCATTTTAATCAGTAATTTCAGCCCTTAGAAGGGAAGGGAGTTGCTGAGGAGTTGTAAAGCTGCCTCCACCACCTTTATCTGTTTTTCTATACCTCAACACCCCCTGGTGGAGATAAATGGCCATGCGGAAGAAGCAGAAAAGGAATTTTCATAATGCCCGGACTGGAAAAGCCAGACTAGGACACTACAGTGCGACTAATTCCTAAGCTTTTCTTCTGTTTCCTCTCCTGAATTCTCTTTTGAGTATCTTACTCATTTGTTTAATCCCCCATGGTGCTGTACAGTTATTTCATAAATGCGGATGAGCGAATGAATTTGTTAATGAATGAAAGGTGGATGAATGAATGAAAGAATGAAATGTTGAATGAATGAATAAGTGCATGGGGGCATCCGTTACACTAAGGGAGAGAAGGGCATTGGTTTATAACAGTCATTGAAAGGTAGAATGAGTAGCACGTTTTAAAAAAAACTTTTAGGTTCAGGGGTACATGTGCAGGTTGTTATACTTTTTTCTTTCTTTCCTTTTCTTTTTTTTGTGGGGGGGTGGGTAGGGGAGACAAGGTCTCACTCCCATCACTCAGGCTGGAGTGCAGTGGCACAATCAAGGCTTACTGCAGCCTTGAACTCCTAGGCTCAAGCAATCCTCCCACCTCAGCCCCTGAAGTAGTTGGGACTACAGGCATGCACTATGATGCCTGCTTAAGTTTTTTGTATTTTAGTAGAGATGGGGTCTCACTATGTTACCCAGGCTGGTGTTGAACTCCTGGACTCAAGGGTCCTCTGCCTCAGCCTCCCAGCGTGCTGGAATTACAGATAGGAGCCATCAAGCCTGGCCTCAGTTTTGTTATGTAGGTAAATTACATGTCATGGTGGTTTGGTGTACAGACTATTTCATCACCCAGGTAATAAGCATAGTACCTGATGGGTAGTTTTGCGATCCTCACCCTCCTCTCACGCTCCACCCTTGCACTTCTTAACTAACCTACAAAAGTTCAGGATACTTTCTTGAAATGTTCCCTCGTTGGTGGCAGACTCCTGACCCAGGTAAGCTCTGATCAAATCAAGAAAGTGATAACACCATGGTTGATGTACAATATATAGTAATGCAAAAAAGTAAATATGTTTTCAAATTTATACTTCTACTGAGGAATGGCGTTAAAATTCATGTGAATGTATACTTTTATTGCAGAAATTTAGGGAGGAGTGTTCTTTATTTTAAAATATCTGTTTAAATATTAGTACATAGATTAGCCATTTATTAAACATACTCTGTTGATATCATTATCTGGAGCTGTTGTATACTTTATTTATATTTAAAGTTACCACATGCAAACTAGGGGGAAATTATATATTCAGAAAATTACCAAAATATGTTTCTAATACAGCATATATACCTACCTACATATATACTCATCTTCAAGCACATGTGTGACTATAAGAAATTGAAATGCATTTTTCTTGCAAATTACTGGTATGTTCAAAGTTCAAAGTTGATTGACACATGCTTTCACTTAATGAAGGTAATTACAAAGAATAACAATTCCAAACAGATCTGTTCAGTGTAACAATCTTGTCCTGCCATGTTCAGTGTAACAATCATGTCCTGCCATCTCATGATTACATTGAGAGCTGTCAGATATGCAGTTTTACCACCAATCATGTGTAAGCACATTTGTAAGACAAGAAACAGATTAATAAGCATCAACACTTTCCTCTAAACACTTGTTTAAAAGAATAAAAGCTGCTGGCACTGAAGGAAATGATACAACGGTGGAAGCTTTTTCTATCTAGCCTCCAAAAAATAACCCTGCAAGATTCACAGGAAGGACAAAAGTGCATGCTGGAGCCCTTGCAACAGCTCCTCTCTTGGAGGAAGGTAAAATCACACAGAGCTGCCTTTGCTGGTCTTACTTTGTCTAATAGATTGGGCATATATAACTCCTTTTACTGATAATCTCTGCTGAACGCTTTGGGGTAATAGACCAAAGTAATAGACCAAAGAGAAGGTTGGCTTCTCCTCCAGACAGTTAGCACTTGTTGAGTAACTAGTATTTGGTAAAGACTAGTCTAGCTAAAAATCAAGTGGTATTGGGGTGATTGATCATATATTTAGAGACAGATGGTTACCTAGACCTCATTTAGGAAACCCAAATACATATGGAAAATGTCTGTGATTACAATTACATTGCAAGGTAGGTTTAGTCCTAACTTCAAACACCGGGATTATAAAAGAAGTTTCCACTATATTTAGTTTTATCCGGCTAAGTATGTTGGGTAAATGAACATTGTACCTAAAATACCGAAGAGTGGATTTCCACTTTACTTTTTACTAACATGTATAATAGCAGGTAAAATGAAAATGGATGGGCAAAGAACATTGAAACAATCAAACTGTATATAACATTAGCTTTGTTACTATATCATAATTGTGGGGCCTTTTATTGCAAAGCTGGTAGGATTTAGGGTCATGTTTTTTTATAGCAAGGGGGCATAGAATTATAGCCAGTCAGTTATATGATCCCAGCCTAGTCATTAATGTAATGTGACTGTGTTTGCTTTTGTGTGACACGAGGCATTATGAAACACTGCTGACATATCAGATAATGGCAAAAAAAATAAATAGTAGAACTTTAAGACAAAAGCTCTTCGGTCAAGCTGCATTCAGGAATATGCATTTTACATTTAAAAATAAAGGGAAACATGTTTATTCCATGTTTGGAAATAGAGAAAAATGTATATTTAAAAATTAACTTTCTCCCATGGAAAATACATTTCTGTAATCTTGTTTTCAGAAGAGACTAGGCTTATGGGTCTCCCAACACCACTCAGAAAAATTACCTGCAGTGCTGTGTAGAACAGTGAATGAAGAAAGAGTAAGCTAGCCAACTTGCAAAGCCAAGTGCATCTTTAGTAGGGGAATGTTGGACATTATTTGGAGTGGTATGGTTGTTTGAGATATCTTTAGTCATGTCCCATTTTAGTAGTGTGAAATTCACCAAACAAGAGTTTCTTCAAAAATGTTTTAATGTATTAGTTGTGCTCATATCTCCGACACTGCTATAAAAGGGATCATAAGCTTTAAACTTAAGTGCTTATTGCATTATTCTCATTATTTACTTGGATACTACTTATTAAATCATATTTCAATGCAATGAAAACAAATAATGTAAAATAATCTCATTCCTTTTCTGACTTTAAAGCTACTACTCACCTTCTCAGAATGAACAAAGTCTACATTTGAGGATACAGCCTTTGAAACAATGCCAACCACCGCAGTCACCCAGGCCTGAAAAGCCAGGTTTTGTATTTCAGAATCATAGACTTACAGAGCACAAGAGCTGGAAGAGACTTTGTAGATTATGAAGTGTTGTCCTCTGTTTTTTAAAAAAGAAAAATGGGCTGCACGTGGTGGCTCACACCTGTAATCCCAGCACTTTGGGAGGCTGAGGCAGAAGGATCACTTGAGCCCAGGAGTTTGAGACCAGCCTGAGCAACATGGTGAGACCCCATCTCTACAAAAATAAAAGTACAAAATTATCCGGGCATGGTGATGTACACCTGTAGTCCCAGCTACTTGTGAGGCTGAGGCAGGGGGATCGCTTGAGCCTGAAAGGTTGAGGCTGCGATGAGCCTTGATTGTACCACTGCACTCCAGCCTGGGCAACAGAGTGAGACACTGTCTCAAAAAAAAAAAGTATTAATATGATGCCGTGTTATAGGGAGAAAACAGCATGAGGACTCAAAAGATCTGGGTCTTATTTCTAGCCTCAGTTTCTTCATGTGTAATATGGGAATAGCAACACCTGTTCAGCTAACATGATAAACACCTCATGTATTGCTGATATCTTTAGTGACCTTGAAACCTCACCCACGCATTGCACCTTGAGGTGAATTTGGAGGTCTGCTTATGTGGCTTACCTTTGGCTTCTCCCTCAGCCAGGCTAAAACCTTATTGAAGAGAGAATGGGGTGAGCCTTCTGAGACTGCTGAGCAAGCGTGTGTTGAAGGTGATCTGAGTGTCTGTTGCTATGTGATGGGCCACCTTAGTATAGGCGGGGATGAGAATGCATTGCTGCAATGGACGCGTTAACTCGGAAACCAAGTCTCACTTGACCATTCTATACGTGGGAGCCTCCAAAAGCACATGTGAGGCTCACCTGTCAGTCACCTCTGTAAAATATTTATTTTATTTTATTTTATTTTTATTTTTATTTTATTTTATTTTATTTGTTTTGAGACAGTCTCTCTATGTCACCCAGGCTGGAGTGCAGTGCCGCGATCTTGGCTCACGGCAACCTCCACCTCCCGGGTTCAAGCAATTCTTGTGTCTCAGCCTCCCACATAGCTGGGATCACAGGCATGCACCACCACACCCTGCTAATTTTTGTATTTTTAATAGAGACAGGATTTCACCATCTTGGCCAGGCCATGTAAAACATTTTAGAAAAAGAAATGTAAGGAAACAAAATATTTCTTTATAATGTTATACATTGTTTCTTTTAGAAAAAGAAACAATGTATAACATTCCACTACTAAGGATGCACTTGGCTTTGCAACTTGGCTAGCCTGCTCCCTCTCTCTCCAAAGTTAGCATGCATTTGTTCCCCCTCACTCCTGGGGAAGGCAGGAATGGGGAATTGCTAAGGTAATGTCCTAAACCGCAACAAATACGTGCATCTGACCAGATTCTCAGAGCCAGCTGCTTCTATGGCATCTTGGCGTCTGAGCAAATAATTTACAGAAATTCCACAGGAAAGGAGGTGCTTTAAAGCCTGCAAGAGAGAATAGGCACAGCTGTGACAGCTGGGAGCAGGAGCTGCCACTGATCTGTTTCCCTGCTTATCACAACACCATTAATCAATCCCAATCCCAGCAGGGCCCAACAAACCTTACTCCACTTCTCAGAGCCTGACGGTTCAACTGGAATCTCCTTGAAACCATGTCCTGAGAAGGACATCTCATTGATGCATTACACAATTTGCTTCATTAAAAATATTTAAACTGTGGGTGGGGAAATTTAAGGAAAGAAGAATACAACGTTAGCAGACCTTCCCTAAATTTCCATTACACATAATTTCTCTACTGTTTTATAAGGCATTTAAATGAGGTATTTGTTTGCACTTGAAACCTACTGTTGCTCAGTGAGGCCTGTTATGTGCTGCTCCTTATTTCTGGCAAGCTGAACTTGACCACAGAGGTCACCAGAAATATATTAAATAATCTGTAGCTAATGAAGCTCATCGTCTACAACATCAGATCACACTTACCTTATGCAGCTGGGGAGGAGAATGTACTGTCTCTGCTGCCATTGCAGACATAACAGCTTCTAATTGTACAGAGATTTGCTAAACAATAACTCAAGAAGCAACAGTGGTAATAGCCACCATTAATTAAGTGTGTACTGTGTGCCAGACACTTTAAAAAATTAGCTCACTTGACCCATATAATCACCCTGTGAAGTATTATTATTACTGTTTCTATGTATAGGTAACATTTTGTAGTGTATTTTTATTTCTGTCTCAAAAATTTTTTTGGATACAGGGTCTTGCTCTGTCGCCCAAGCTGGAATGCAGTGGCATTATTATGGCTCATTGCAGCCTCAACATCCCAGGCTCAAACAATCCTCCCAAGTAGCTGAGACTACAGGCACATGCCATCATGCCCAACTAATTTTTTGATTTTTTGTAGAAACGGGGTCTCTCTGTCTTGCTCAGGCTGGTATCAAACTCCTGGCCTCAAGTGATCCTCTTGCCTGAGCCTCCCAAAGTGCTGGGATTACAGGCGTGAGCCACCTTGCCCAGCTTGTAGTGTACTTTAAAATATAAGTCCAAGTTCCTGAAATTTCCCAATTTGACTAAAGTCTTGGGCTCAAGACTGCAAATGCAACAGCCATTGGAGGAGTAGGGGCATAAATAATTTTATAATTTTATCTGAAATTTATGTATGAATCAGTTCATCAGACTCTTTACCTAATAGGAAAATAGAAAAGGGAGGTAGGGCTGACTCTTAAAAAAAAAAAAAGAAAAGCAAAAAAAGCAGGAAATAAGTGGGGTCCAGAAATGGATACAGCTTGGAAACAATGAAGCAAGAGGAAGCTCCACGCATTTCATCCCACAGCCCCCAGGCCACCCAGCACTTCCTTCAATGCTCAGGGACTGAGGCAAGAATGGTGGCAGCAGCTCATGCTTCATGAACTCACCTCCTAGTGGAAAGGACACCCTAAAAGTTTAGAATATCGCAAACCATCTACTATTTTAGAGGAATTTTCAGAAAACTTGGGAGATAACTTTGACTATAAAGTAATTGCCATAAATAAGTGGCAACAACATTGTCTAAAGAAAACTCTTTTACATATTTTGACAATATCTGTATCTTCTAAAAGGTCATAAAGAGTGTGACTTATTTACATTTTGTATATAATGTAACCTCTGGCAGGTAGTAGGTGAAAAATCAAGTGATCACACAGACCTGCCTTGTTTTGAGCAGTTATGGGAGGAAAGGGAAAATTCTGGAAAGGATCTTAGTCTTTGCTGTCCATCAATTATATATTGAGGGACAATGAGAACCACCTTCTTTTAAAGCATGGAATCAAAAATCCCCATGATAGATTCAAAAAGCCTCTGATCTCATCTTGACCCTTGGGGTAGCTTATGCTGTCATATTAATGGTCCCAAAGAGAGATTATTAGCTAGAAATTTATAATTAAAACCTGACAAATATCATATTTCAACAAATTTAAGATGCCATGGTAAGACGTCTCATAATTTTGTGTGCCACCCAGAAAAAACAAAACCTGCAATTAAACTGGGTTGTATCATCAATTGCTTGATGCATTCTGATTCCAGATATGTTAAAATGTTGACACATGGATCTGAGAACAAAATATGGTATCTCTAAACCTGTAACACAAAAAAAAGATTAGTCTTCTGTCTTACTTTGGCGTTTGGAATTACTGTATGTGTATATCTTACTTGCCCAACTGTTTTTCATCAAACTCTGGCATCCTTGCCTCTTGAATGTATTTGTCTTCTGCCTTTTTAGTCTCTCAGTCACAAGCCCCCATGACTTCCCAGCTGTCTATGAAAACAGATTTCTAATTGTCTCTGTGCCCCCCAAATTTTAGTCCCTGTGCACATAACCCAGTCATCTGAGTACATCATACTGACCTTTCTAGAGGGTCTCCCTCCGCTAGCCCAACCCTTATCAGAATCCTTCTCATTGCCTACAACCATCCTCAAACTAGGGTAAGAGGGCTTCCAGGAATGTGTGGTGAAGCCCTCAAAACCACTGAATGAACAGAGCAAATTTTCCTGAAGCATTAATTTTATGCAATGGTAAGCAATTTAAGACATTAATTTTTTTTTAATGGAGTCTCACTCTGTCACCCAGGCTGGAGTGCAATGGCACAGTCTTGGCTCACTACAGCCTCTGCCTCCTGGGTTCAAGCCATTCTCCTGCCCCAGTCTCCCAAATAGTGGGATTACAGGTGCCCACCACCATACCCAGCTAATTTTTTTGTATTTCTTAGTAAAGTATTTTGTATTTTTAGTAAACACTTTTAGTAACATATTTTTGTATTTTTAGTAAAATTCTTTTTGTATTTTTAGATTTCACCATGTTGGCCAGGCTGATTTCCAACTTCTGACCTTAAGTGATTTGCCCGCCTTGGCGTCCCAAAGTGCTGGGATTACAGGCATGAGCCACTGTGCGTGGCTGACATTAATTGTTTATGCTAAAACAAACATTATGGAATAAAACGATAAATTGAGTTAACTTTTATGATAAAACAGTTTATAGAAATAGTATCATTTCAAGTTATCATTCCCCTCTGCTGTTGAAGTGGAGCATTTCCAGATGCTCTGGCCTACAGGATTAGCCTATTCTCCAGAATATCCCACCATCTTTTCAGTCTTATCACTCTCTGTCTATTCCCCAATGCAAATTATTTTCCTGCCAAATTATCTTCTTGACATTTCTCCCAATTACTCAGCTTTGCTTTGTTGCTCTTGATGGTCATCTGACTTCAACACCTGCTTTTCCTCCTCTCTGCTTTCCAAACCTGATCATGCCTTCAAGACCAGGACAACTCCACCTCCTACCACAATGCTGCCTGCCTAACCACAGGAGCCCAGATATCTTCTTGTTGTTTTTTCTATTTTTTAGAGATGGGGTCTCACTATGTTGTCCAGGCTGGTCTCAAACTCCTTGGCTCAAGCAGTCCTCCCACCTTGGCCTCTCAAGGTCCTGGGATTACAGATATGAGCCACTGAGCCCAGCCCAATTTATTCTTCTTATCCGAAAACACTTATTGAAATACCATGGACAGGGGTTGGCAAACCATAGCCTGGAGTCAAATGCTGCCTGCTGCCTGCTGGTGACTGACAGAGTTACAACAGAGACCATAGGGCCTGCAAAGTCTGACAGATTTACTATCTGGCCTTTTACAGAAAAAGTTTGCCAATACCTAGTCTAGGTCCTTATTATCTTTTCTAGCACTAAAATTCCATTATCTTTTAATATATTACCTTGTTGGCCGGGCATGGTGGCTCACACCTGTAATCTCAGCACTTTGGGAGGCCAAGGCGGGTCGATCATGAGGTCAGGAGTTCGAGACCAGAATGGCCAATATGGTGAAACCTGGTCTCTACTAAAACTACAAAAATTAGCTGGGCATGGTAGTACACGCCTGTAGTCCCAGCTACCCAGGAGGCTGAGACAAGAGAATCGCTTGAACCCAGGAGGTGGAAGTTGCAGTCAGCCAAAATCGTGCCATTGCACTCCAGCCTGGGCAACAGAGCAAGACTCCATCTCAAAACAAACAAACAAACAAAAAACAAAATTCTCTCTCTCTATATATATATATATATTATATATATATAAAACCTTAATTCACTTTTTATAGATGGCATTTTGCAAATGAGACCACAAGCTCTTTACAATCTTATTCATTCAGCTTCTATCCTAGGACCTAGGAAAGTTCTATCCTTGATGAACGTGCTCCGTGGCTTCCTCTGGTACATTACTAAATAACATATTATCATGGTGCAACTTTAAATATGAAATAAACCTGCTGCTTTCCTTTTTTTTTTTTTTTTTTTTTTTTTGCTTTTTTTTGAGATAGAATCTCACTCCATTTCCCAGGCTGGGGTGCAGTGGTGCAATCTCAGCTCAGTGCAACCTCTGCCTTCTGGGTTCAAGTGATTCTAGTGCCTCAGCCTCCTGAGTAGCTGGGATTACAGGCGTGTGCCACCACACCTGGCTAATTTTGGTATTTTTTTTTTTTTTTTTTTTTTTTTGTATAGACAGGGTTTCGCCATATTGGCCCATCTGGTCTCAAACTCCTGGCCTCAAGTGATCCACCTGCCTCGGCCTCCCAAAGTGTTTGGATTACAGGCATGAGCCACTGCGCCTGGCCTAAACCTGCTTTTCTAATGATGATGTAACTGACCGGTATATGGTATGTTTGTCAATCAACCAATCTTCAAATGCTTATTTAGTATTTTTGCTGTGCTAGGTTCCAAGCAGTGAGAGATGAGTCACATAAGAAAAACATAAGCTCTTCTTGCCCTCTCAGATTTGACCACCTCATTGAGACCAGACTAACACCTTTGAGTTGAACCAGTTGAGGTGAACCAGTTGTATGATGCCTCATGTTCCAGAGGAAGGAGAAATTGGTGCGGGCTGAAGGCTAAGAGGGGGCACTTAACCCCTATTCAATGAACATATCTTGTGGACACTAAGCAATAAAGTTTGGTAGATGGCATGCAAGAATTATAGGGCTAGGTGCAGTGGCTCACACCTATAATCCTAGTACTTGGGGAGTCTAAGGTGTGAGGATCACTTGAGGCCAGGAGCTCAAAATCAGCCTGGCCAACATAGGGAGATTCCATCTCTACTAAATAATTTTAAAGTTAGCAGGGCATGGTGGGGCATGTCTGTAGTCCCAGCTACTTGGGAGGCTGAAGTGGGAGGATAGTTTGAACACAGGAGTTGGAGTCTGTAGTGAGCTATAATCACACCATTACACTCCAGCCTGGGCAACAGAAGAAGACACTGTCTCAAAAGAGAATTATATAAAGCAGGTTCTACATTGCCAGAGACCTTTTAATTGCGGTTCTTGGTGCAATAAGCTAAATTCTTCTATGTGTACTCTACAGGTGATAGGAGGAAAATACTCCCTAGCTCACAACTATGTTCAATATTTGTACTGATTTGAATATTTGTAACTCATAACTATGTTTGATATTTGTACTGATTTGAATATTTGTAACTTACCTTTCTTGTTGAACCAAAAAAAATTTTGAAACAGCCTAAAACAAATTTATTCATTAATCATCCAACAAATATTTATCAAGTACCCATGGTGTCAATGTCTGTGTTTCCCCCAAATTTATACGTTGAAATCTTCAACTCCAAGGTGATGATATTAGGAGGTGGGGCCTTTGGGAGGTGATTAGATCCTGAGGGCCGAGCTCCCATGAATGGGATTAGTACCCTTATAAAACAGGTACCTTGCGGTGGCTCATACCTCTAATCCCAGCCTGGTGGCCAAGGTGGGCAGATCACAAGGTCAGGAGTTTGAGACCAGCCTGGCCAACGTGGCAAAACCCCATCTCTACTAAAAATACAAAAATTAACCAGGTGTGGTGGCAGGCGCCTTTAATCCCAGCTACTCGGGAGGCTGAGGCAGAAGAATTGCTTGAATCCAGGAGGCGGGAGGCTGAGGCAGAAGAATCACTTGAACCTGGGAGGAGGAGGTTGCAGTGAGCCGAGATTGCGCCACTGCACTCCAGCCTGGGCGACAGAGTGAGGCTCCATCTCCAAAAAAAAAAAAAAAAAAACCGATCACAGAGAGCTAGCTGGCTCCTTCCACCATGTGACAACACACTGAGAAGGCATCATCTATAAACCAGGAAACAGGCCCTCCCCAAACACCAAATCCACCAGTGCTTTGATCTTGGACTTCCCAGCCTCTAGAGCTGTGAGAAATAAATGTTTGTTGTTTAAGCCAACTGGTCTGTGGTATTCTGTTGTAGCAGCCCAAATGGACTAAGACAGCCTACTACCTGCCTCTTCTAAGCTCTAGGAATATAGAGATGAATAAGACTGACCAGGTCCTGAACTCCTTCAATGATGAGAGACAATCAGTAAGTAAATATGATCAATACAGACAGCAATAAGTGCTCTGAAGGAAATGAACATGGTGACCCAGGGCAAAGTAACTGGTGCTCAGTGGGAAGAGGTCAAGGAAAGTCTCTCTAAGGTCTTCCCCTGAGACCTGGTGAGAGAGAAGCAGCCAAGAAATGGGCTGAAACAGAAGTCCAGAAGCAGGCAGAATGACCACAAAAGCTGGAAGCAGTTCTAAGCTTGGTGTGTGTTTGTAGAAAGCCAGTCGTGGATGGAGTGAATGACAGGACAAGAGGCTGGGAAGCTGGTCAGGAGCTAAGCCATGGAGAGCCCTGCAGGGCATTGTTAGGACTTCAGCTTTGATTCTATGGGCAAAAGACATGGTAGAATAATAGAAACAAAATTAGAAAATCCAGGAAGAAAATATCCAGAGTCAAAAGATCTGCTACATCTAAGGACTCACAGCTGTAATAATTGAGCTTCAGATTTGCTCTTGGGTTTTCTACAACCAGAGCCAAAAAGGGCAATATAGATTACTGGCTCTAGTTATCTGAATGAGAAAGTGTAGCAGTTTCTTGGATGACCAATTTTGTCCTGGCACTCGGTTCTACAAGAAATGCTTCCTTTGAATCTTTCTTAGACACAGGACTTTGAGGAATATAATGGTCAATTTCCTAGAAAACAGTTTTCCAGCAAATCCGAACTGGTTTTCTCATGGCTGTCTCCAGTTCCTGTGGCTCAGTGGCTGAAACACAACTCAGTGAGGTTTGAACTCATCCATGGGCACCTGTCTCTGGCCTTAATGGTGTTCAAATATGAATCAAAAATTTCTAGAGTAGTATCTTAATTTTAGTTGCACAAAGATTGGTCCTGGGCAAAATGCGAGAAAGGTAAAGTTTATCCCTTACGTCTCTGCCTTCAATACTGCTCCTGCGTGACTGAGAGGGCCTTGATATGACCTCAGGTCCTTATTTCTGCCTGGTGGTCAGTGTTTTCAGGACCCTGAACTCCTCCATGGCTACTGGTCAGCAACAAGACAGCTTGTGTTCTTTGACACCAGACAAGTCTTACAGCGTGCAGCTGGTGACTTGTGGCAAGTTGCTTAACTTCTGAAAGCTTCCATTTCCCCATCTAGCAAGAGGACATGAAATAACACATGTAAAGTACCTGGCATTGAGTGGATGCCTCCCACCTTCAGTTAGTTATAGTGGATAGCAAATGAGTGTCAGTGAGGAATGTGGTAGCTTTTGCCCAGCTAAAATGTTTATATTTCTAAGAGACATTTTTAAAAATACAAATCTTATTAATTTTTAAAACGTACCTAAGTCGTATATGATAATTGAAAACATTTCTACCAATACCGAAATGTAGAAAATGAAAATGTGAAAATGTTCCCTCAATACCTCCTTGATCTCCCATTCTGCAGCATATAAAGAAACTGTAATTAAATACTCTTTGCTGTTGTTAACACACTCGATTTCTGTGGTCTGACTGGTAGCTTTCCAGACCTTTTTATAGCATAGTATGTCTGAGTGTATTTTATGCCTTATATATTAATATTGTTCCCCATGGGCTTCTGCATTTGCTAATACAGCCATCCTCTTCTGTTTGTGCACACACATTACCTAATTTATAATTGCCTTATAATATTCCATTTATCTGGCTGGGTGCGGTGGCTCATGCCTGTAGTCTCAGCACTTTGGGAGGCCAAGGCAGGTGGATCATCTGAGGTCAGGAGTTCAAGACCAGCCTGGCCAACATGGTGAAACCCCATCTCTACTAAAAATACAAAAAATTAGCAGGGAGTGATGGTGGGCGCCTGTAATCCCAGCTACTCAGGAGGCTGAGGCAGGAGAATCGCTTGAACCCAGGAGGTGGAGTGAGCCAAGATTGCGCCATTGCACTCCAGCTTAGGCAACAAGAGCAAAACTCCACCTCGAAAAAAAAATCATTTATCTATGCATTCATTTATTCATTTAACAAACATTTATCAAGTGCCTGAGATACACAGTTAGATTATCTATACTTTGTTACCTTTTTTTTTTTTTGAGACAGAGTTTTACTCCGTCACCCAGGCTGGAGTGCAGGCTGGAGTTATAGCTCACTGCAGCCTTGGACTCCTGGGCTCAAGTGATCCTCTCACCTCAGACTCCCAAGTAGCTAGGACCTCAGGTGCATGCCACCATGCCTGACTAATTTTTTGTATATTTTGTAGAGATGGGGTTTTGCCATGTTGCCTAGGCTGGTCTTGAACCCCTGGACTCAAGCGATTCACCCACCTCAGCCTGCCAAAGTGCTGGGATTACAGGCATGAGCCACCTTTTTTACTATAATAATAATAAATAAATATCTTTATACACATATTCTTGTATACTTGTGTGTGAATATTTCTAGAAAACCATTTCCTTTTTAAAAACGGAATTTCTGGGTCTACATATGCATGCACTTTAAATTTTGATAGGTGCTGACAAATTGCCCTCCAAAAAGGAGGTATCACTTCAGACTCCCATTAGCAGTTGATGCCAATGCCAGTTTCCCAATCCAATAAGTTAAAAACATTATCTTGTTCTAATTTGCCTTTCTTTGGTCACCGGGAGAAGTGAGCTTTTCTATATGTTTTTTAGCCACTTCCATTAATCCTACCAGTTTTCATGTCTTTGACCCATTTTCTACAAGGAATTTTGAGGGGCCCCTAACATTATCAGTTACAAGTTGTTTCAGAGGCATGTCAGGTAGTTTATCATTTCTCATTAATATCGTAATGATAACTCACAGTCATTGGGTCTCCTTAGTGAGTTTTCTCTGACCATACCATTTGAAAAATCACCCTCAGCACCCCACCCCCAACACTCCTGCTTCCTCCCCTGCTTTATTTTTCTCTACAGCACTTACCACCATGGGTATCTGTTCATATTTTACCAGTTTCCTTGCTTATTTCTGTCTCTCCCACTACAGTGAAAATGTATCTAATCAGTGAATAGAACTCTTAGTAATAGAACAGCTGCTTCTGCTTCCTCTTCCTCTTCGTCTTCTTCTTCTTCTTCTTTTGTTTGTTTGTTTTTTTGAGACAGGGTCTTGCTCTGTTGCCCAGTCTGGAGTGCAGTGGTGCAATCTCAGCTCACTGCAACCCCTGCAAGCCCTACCTCCCAGGCTCAAGCAATCCCTTCACCTCAGCCTCCCAAGTAGCTAGGACCACAGATGTGCACCACCACACCCAGCTAATTTTTGTATTTTTTGTAGAGATGAGGTTTTGCCATGTTGCCCAGGCTGCTCTTGAACTCCTGAGCTCAAGCAATACTCCCACCTCAGCCTCCCAAAGTGCTGGGATTACAGGCGTGAGCCACCGTGCCTGGCCACAAAAGAGCTTCTATGGGTATTACTCCATCTAATCTTTCCAACAACCTTGTGATGTAGGTACTGTATTATAATTACCTCATTTTACAGAAGTAGAAAATGAATCTAAAAGAAATGAAGGGATATGCTCAGGGTTGGTTAGCTGGCAAGTGGGAGGGTCTAAGAGCTTTATGCTGTGATGATGCTGCTTCTAATGATAAAATTGAAGGTTCCCGCAACCCCTTTTGGCATTCATATATCTACATACCTAATTCTGCATATTTAATGAGCACCCAGAAATGATGACTTAGATAGTGGTCTAGATGGGGAAAGGGGGCCGCTCAATCCATTGCCAATGATATGCCTTGCTAAATTACTGAGAGTGAAGAGATGTTTCAGTCCTTTTTGAGAGAGAGGTTCCAGAACAATTAGCTTTTTGTGGGCATTCGGCAAATATTTGAATTTCCAGTGGAATTGGCTACAGCAATTAAAACATTAATTTCTAAATAGAAAGTTTTCCCTTTGTACAGCTGAACTTTCACAGCAGTCAACCTTGATTGCACATTTCCTTGGAATCACCTAGGGTACTTTAAGAAATATTGATGTTGGCCGGGCGTGGTGGCTCACGTCTGTAATCCCAGCACTTTGGAAGGCTGACGCAGGTAAATCACCTGAGGTCAGGAGTTCGAGACCAGCCTGGCCAACAAGGCAAACCCCCATTTCTACTAAAAATACAAAAAAATTAGCCAGGCATGGTGGTGAGTGCCTCTAATCCCAGCTACTCAGGAGGCTGAGGCAAGAGAATCACTTGTACTCAGGAGGCAGAGGTTTCAGTGAGCTGAGCTCACACCACTGCACTCCAGCCTGGGACACAGAGGGGCACTCCTTCTCAAAAAAAAAAGAAAAGAAAAAGAAAGAAAGAAAAAGAAAAGAAAAAAAAGAAATACAAATGTCTGGGCCCCACACTCAGAGATTCAAATTGCCTGGGTCTGGGGTACAACCTGCCTATTGGGATTTTTAAAAGCTCCTTTGGTGATTCTAAAGAACCATCAGGGATGAGAAACACTGATTTATAGTTTCTTCAAATAAAGAGTTGTGTCCCTGTTGCAAAGTACCACTTATTACTATTGTGAAAAGTAACACTTATTACTATAGTGAAACTAATACTTATTTCCTATTGAAAAGTAACACTAGGAAATAATACTTGCCAAGCAGCATTCTTCAAGGAGGCAACCATCTACTCTGAAGAACCCCTTGGAGTAAAATTAGGTAGGACCTAGCTCAGAAGGGATCACTGTGAAATGGCACTCCCTGAAGATTAAAAAAAATTGCCTTTTGGAGACTCACATTTTGATAATTTAGTTGTGAACAAAGAAGCATCATTTTGTTTTTCTAGAATAGCACTCTACAAACTTTTTCTGTAAAGGGCCAGATGGTAAATATTTCAAGCTTTGCAAGCCAGACGCTCTCTGTGACAACTACTCAATTCTGCTGTGGAAGCACAGAAGTCATAGACAAGACAAAAGCGAACAAGTATGCCTGTATTCCCATCAAACTTTATTTTGGGACATTAAAATTTAAATTTCACATAATTTTCACATTAAAAAATATTATTATTTTGCTTGTTTTCAACCATTTAAAAATGTAAAAGCCACTCTTAGCCTTTGGGCAATGCAAAAACAGGTGGTGGGTCAGATTTGGCTCATAGGCCATTGTTTGCTGACCCTTGCTCTAGAAGGACTTTTTAAGAAACAATTAGGTCTTGATGGGTACCTGTAGTCCCAGCTACTTGGGAGGCTGTGATGGGAAGATCACTTGAGGCTGGGAGGTCAAGGCTGCAGTGATCCATGATTGCACCACTGCATTCCAACCCAGGTGACAGAGTGAGACCTTGTAAGAGAGAAAGAAAAAAGAAAGGAAGGAAAGAAAGAAAGGAAGGAAAGAAAGAAAGAAAGAAAGAAAGAAAGAAAGAAAGAAAGAAAGAAAGAAAGGAAAGAAAGAAGGAAAGAAAGAAGGAAAGAAAGAAAGAGAAGGAAGGAAAGAAAGAAAGAAAGAAAGAAAGAGAAGGAAGGAAGGAAAGAAAGAAAGAAAAAGAAAAAAGAAAGAAAGAAAGGAGGGAAGGAAGGAAGGAGGAAGAAAGCAAGAAGAAAAAGAAAGAAAGAACGAGAGAAAGAAGAAAGAAAGAAAGAAAGAAAGAGAAAGAGAGAAAGAGAAAGAAGAGAGAAAGGAAGGGAAGGGAGAGAGGAAGGAAGGAAGGAAGGAAGGAAGGAAGGAAAGAAAAAAGGAAGGAAGAAAAGAAAGAGAAGAGAGAGAAAGGAAGGAAAGTAAGGGAGGGAGGGAGGAAGGAAGGAAAAAAGGAAGGAAGAGAGTGAGAAAGAAAAGAAAGAAAGAAAGAAAAAGAAAGAAGAAATTAGAACTCTTAATAAATATATTGATATAGCAAAAGACATATTAGGGTATAATTTATTTCCTTCATCCCACACTTAATACATCTCATTCTTGCCATCATAAGAAACTCAGACTGGAATTATTTCTTGAACTGCAAGTGTACTTGAGATTCCAGGGTGTTTCAGATGGAGCTTGCTTGTCTTTTAGTTCTTTTCCTACTAGAGAAATTACAGGCTACAGGAGATGTGCAGTATGTCAGGACTGGGATGGATCTAACAAGAACTTAATAACTCAATCACAAAACGTGTGGTTGCCCTATGTGGAGGCTGCTTTTACTGTCCTTTGAGTCATAAAAAATACCAGCTCCCCATTCTCAAGTGAACGGTTTATAGGCATTGATTTACACAAACACTGGTCTATTAAATATGAGCCCAGAAGATTTGGGGAATTCAGAGACATGCAAACTGGAGATGGGAGGGGAAGCGAGTCTTACACCAAGAGGCAAGCGGGCAATTTCTCTACAAGCAATGCAAGTCGAGTCTCTGGCAAGTGAAGGGCACTTTGCTAAAAATCAGGAATGTGGAAGAGAGGAGAGATGCTCTTGTAAATGGAAATGTTTCCTTGCTTCATAAGCAAATCTTTTCTAGTTATCTATCAGTGCAAATGGCCATGCTTAGACATTACACACACTACTCAATCATGGAGACATTGAAATGCAAAATAAATTCTCCTGGTGAATTTTCCAGAATAAATTATTGAAGATCATGGATAAGAGAATTTGGCTTTGGTGGACAAAAGAGAGTGAGAGAGAAGACATTTGGCGATGGTTTCTTTTTGTCTTTGGTGAAGAAAAGATAAACAAGGCAGAAGGAGGTGAGGAGAGATGTGGAAGGAGAAAGACCTGCAGATTGGTATTTGGACACAAGGAGCTCGTTTTAGCGACACCAATATCCTTTTGGGAGTTTGCAATGGCGGCTCTCAGGCACAGCACAAAACTGCTCCTGTTGCCTGGATGCCGCCAGCCGCCACCCAGCTCTGCCACGGGAGGTGTCGTAAATGTGTTTTATGTGTTGTGTTGCTCGCTGCAGCCTCATCGTCCCCAGGCTGTTGTCATCTCCTAATTGTACAGAACAAAGACCAATGTCTGACCAGAGCGACGAGTGAAATTACCCACCTGACCCTCACCTCTCTGATGGGCTTCACTTTCAGAAGCTTGCCCAATCCCATAGGTTGGATCCGGAGACCATTTTTGTAGCGACATTGATGCCTTTTTCCAGTCTCACAGGGGAATTTTCCAATTACACACACAAAAATAAAACCCCCAAACCTGACAGCGGTAGGAGGAGGCTCCAGAACTATTGCTGAGACACCAAAAGCTGCTTCTCATTAAAGGTGAGATTTAGTGCACAAGTTTAAACTGGGAACTTGCAAGAGAAGGTAGGTGCTGCAAGCTCTGTCATACTTATTTCTACTTGAGACAAAGCAGCAGATGGGGCATTGGGGGTGGAAGGAGCATGAGTGACCCAACACCCTTCTTGCTGACTTAGTAAACTGTACCCATTCTAGGCCACCTATAGCAACCTGCCCTCCTGCACCACTCTGAGGCTTTCCTTCACACACTCCCTCCTCAAAACCCACTCTCTCTCTCTTTTTTATTTTATTTTATTTTTTTTAGAGACAGGATCTTACTCTGTCAGGCTGGAGTGGAAGGAAGAAAGGAAGGAAGTCATATTGCATATGACTATGCAGTAGTATAGTCATAGCTCACTGCAGTCTTGAACTCCTGGGCTCAAGTGATCCTCCCACCTCCGTCTCCAGAGTAGCTGGGACTGCAGGGATGCATCACCATGCCCAAAGGTCCACTCTCCTCTCTGAACTCTCAGAGCAGGGTTTTGGTTTCACCTACCAGATCCTCACCCCAGGCTGCCCTTTTTTTTTTTTTTTTTTTTTTTTTTTTTTTCTGAGACAGAGTTTCACTCCTGTTGGAGTGCAACAGCGTAATCTTGGCTCACCACAACATCCGCCTCCCAGGTTCAAGCAATTCTCCTGCCTCAGCCTCCCGAGTAGCTGGGATTACAGGCATGCGCCACCATGCCTGGCTAATTTTGTATTTTTAGTAGAGACAGGGTTTCTCCATGTTGGTCAGGCTGGTCTCGAACTCCCGACCTCAGGTGATCTGCCCAACTCGGCCTCCCAAAGTGCTGGGATTACAGGCGTGAGCTACAGTGCCTGGCCCAGGCTGTCCATCTTCATGCTGCTGTGTGCTGACTTCTCAGTCTACTGCAGCTCTTTTCGGGCAGCAATCCTGTCTTCCCAACATTGCTGATTTCAGCAATTTAAATTGTCTTGATTATGTTGATTTCTTAAGGGTTATTTTTAAATGCGATGAAATATTTTATCTTTACATGACTTTTTTATTTTATTTTATTTTATTTTATTTTATTTTCATAGAGACAGGGTCTTGCTATGTTGCCCAGGCTGCTCTCAAACTCCTGGGCTCAAGTGATCTGCCTGCCTTGGCCTCCCAAAGTGCTGGGACTACAGGCGTGAGCCACCACACTCAAACTTTTACAGGACTTCATATAAGTAAATGAACAAATCAATAAAAACCATCTTCTAGAAACACATGACTATTTTTATCCTGAAAACATGATCACTATACATTTCTTCCTTTGACAAATCATTCTTGATACCTGCTGGGTATCTGACACATCTGGAAATGATGAACAAAATAGATACATCATCACTGCCCTGGTGGAGTTCACAGTCTAGGCAGGGAGACAATCCAATAAGAAAACAAACATGACAGCTGCCCGCAGTGGCTCATGCCTGTAATCCCAGCACTTTGGGAGGCCGAGGCGGGCAGATCACGAGGTCAGGAGATCGAGACCATCCTGGCCAACATGGTGAAACCCCGTCTCTAATATAACACAAAAAATTAGCCAGGCGTGGTGGCGGGCGCCCGTAGTCCCAGCTACTTGGGAGACTGAGGCAGAGAAATCGCTTGAACCCGGGAGGTGGAGGTTGCAATGAGCCGAGATTGCACCACTACACTCCAGCCTGGCAAGAGAGAGAGACTCCGTCTCAAAAAAAGAAAAGAAAAGAAATATGACATATTAAAAAAGAAAAACAAGGGCTTCGGTTTTTAAAATTGGCTTTGGAGCCAGATAAACCCATGCTCAAATTTTGAATCTACTGTTTACTAGCCCTGTGACCTTGAACACGTTGCTTAACCTCTCTCTCTCTCGGTTTCCTTGCTTGTAAAGTAACAATAACAATAGTATTTTTCATACCTGGCTGGAGTGAGGATTAGATGACATAATATATGCAAAGCCTTTAGAACAGTGCCTGACATATAGTGATATCTCAGTAAACAATAACTTCTGTGATTATTATTATTAATAAAGCTCTCTTTTAAGGCATCATCTCCAACCACGTCTAATGAATTGCCACTCAGTATTTGGTTCTCTGAAAAAGAAAACACATAGCTATGAATTAAAACTAAGCAACAAACAAAACATTACCTAACTTCCATTCTAGGCTGGACAGTCTTATGAGCACTTCAAGGATAAACACTGCTAGAAATTCTCCCATTAGCTTTCAGTATCTCTGGATGTCTCTGAGTGAATGAGTGAATGTCTCATTCTTTTTTTTTTTTTTTTTTTTGAGACGGAGTCTCGCTCTGTCGCTCAGGCTGGAGTGCAGTGGCACGATCTCAGCTCACTGCAACCTCTGCCCTCTGGGTTCAAGCAATTCTGCCTCAGGCTCCCAAGTAGCTGGGACTACAGGCGCCCGCCATGACGCCCGGCTAATTTTTGCATTTTTAGTAGAGACAGGTTTTCACCATGTTGGCCTGGTTTGTCTCGAAGTCCTGGCCTCAAGCCATCCGCCCACTATGGCCTCCTAAATTGCTGGGATTACAGGCGTGAGCCACCATGCCTGGCGTTTTTGTGTTTCGTTTTCTTTTGTTTGTTTGTTTTAGACAGTCTTACACTGTCGCCCAGGCTGGTGTGCAGTGGCGCGATCTCGGCTCATTGCAACCTCTGCGTCCCGGGTTCAAGTGATTCTCCTGCCTCAGCCTTCCAAGTAGCTAGGATTGCAGGCACCCGCCACCACGCCCACCTATTTTTTTTTTTTTTTTTTTTTTTTTGTATTTTTAATAGAGACGGGGTTTCACTATGTTGGCCAGGCTGGTCTCAAAGTCCTCACCTCGTGAGCCGCCTGCCTCAGCCTCCCAAAGTGCTGGGATTACAGGCGTGAGCCACCGCGCCCAGCCTTTTTTTTTTTTTAACCAGGAAAAAAATGAGAATTTTATCAGCAGCTTCAATCAAGACCAGCTCCCAAATGTGCATGGAAAACCAAGAATAGAAATCAAGCTCAAAGGGCACTCAGAAACTGACTCAGAAAACTCCAAGAGCCTCGTGCACACACAGTCAGTGTTCATAAACTTTAATAACTGCATTATTTCTATTGGCCTCAAGGTATAAAAATGGATATAAAATGTCACAAGAGAACATTTTGAGAGTGTTTAGAGATATTTCTTTTCACAAGTTTAAGAACAAAAAAATTAATATTTTTATGCTGCTTCTTTCATCTCTCTTTAGTTTGTTTTGAAGTTAAGACTTGAAGTCCAAGAGCAAATACCCATTAGTGCCCCAGAGTGGGTCATCATATTCCTGTGAGACACTGCCATCTAGTGGCCAATGTGAACACAACAGTGGATGGCTAGACCTCTTTGTCCCTCAAACTCGAGGTTTTATTGTGCAAACCTATGCGATTCCTTTCGCTGGTACTCCCACTGATTATACTGCCAATAGCTTCTAGGCTTTCAAATGAATGTTTTTCTTTTCTCAATATGAAGGGCACAAATGGGCTATAATAAAAACCATAAACTACTTGGGTTGAAGAATTAAGTATTTTTTGTATTTGGAAAAATGGTGTTTGGATAGAAGGAAAACCCGGCTAATTTGTAAACAGTGAAAGTGATAGCACAAATCTACTATTTTGAGATTTGAGGGGAAAGCAAGCATTGTGTGAATTCTGTGTCTTAACAGTAATAGCAAATAATATTGAAAACATATGATCAATGCAGAATAGGTCATTTACATGTATGTAAACATGATAGGGGCTTCATATATATTATTTCATGCAGCCCTCACAATGGCACTGCAAGCTCCATTCATCCCTACCTAGCAGCTCAAACAGATGAAACTTACACAGCTAGTAGGTGAGGATTCAAGACCAAGACTGTATTTTCCTGAAGGCAGATACTCTGAAGTCCTATCTTCTTAGCTAGTATCTGGCACATAATGACTGTTCAGTAAGTATTTATGAATGAATGAGTGCATGAAGAAATGAATGAGTCCTGCCCAGGCACGGTGGCTCACGCCTGTAATCCCAGCACTTTGGGAGGCTGAGGCGGGAGAATGACTTGAGGTCAGGATTTCAAGACTAGCCTGGCCAACATGGTAAAACACTGTCTCTACTGAAAATACAAAAATTAGCCAGGTGTGGTGGCAGGTGCCTGTAATCCCAGCTACTCAGGAGGCTAAGGCAGGAGAATCACTTGAACTCGAGAAGTGGAGGTTGCAGTGCGCCAAGACCGTGCCATTGCACTCCAGCCTGGGTGACAAGAGTGAAACTCCATCTCAAAAAAAAAAAAAGAAAAAGAAAAAGAAAGAAAGAAATGAGTCCTATGGCAGAAACCACTAGTAATCACCAACATCTGTGCTCCTCACTTCTTCCTGGGCACACTGCTAGACTGCATTTTCCAGTCTCCTTTGAGGTTAGGTGTGGACAAGGGACTAAATTCTACCCATTGGAAACATTACGTCCAGACCTGGCCTATTAAAACATTCTACATGGGATGCTCCTTTTCTTTTCCCATCTGCTGGCTGGAAGGAGAAGATCCAAGAACCTAAAGGAGGGTGGAGCCACAAGGTAGAGTTGGATCCCTGCATGACTGCATGGAGTAGAGTGCCCCATTGACCCACATTAAAATGTGACATGAGTGAGAAATAAAGTTTTATTGTGTTAAGCTGCTCAGTGTAAGGGTTGTTTGTTAGAGCAATCAGCTTGCCCAGACTACTAAAACTCCCAGATAGTCCTTTTGAAATTGTGAATATTGGCCGGGCGCAGTGGCTCACGCCTATAATCCCAGCACTTTGGGAGGCCAAGGTGGGCGGATCACAAGGTCAGGAGATCGAGACCGTCCTGGCTAACATGGTGAAACCCCATCTCTATTAAAAATACAAAAAATTATCTGGGCGTGGGGGTGGGCGCCTGTAGTCCCAGCTACTCGGGAGGCTGAGGCAGGAGAATGGCGAGAATCCGGGAGGCAGAGCTTGCAGTGAGCCGAAATCGTGCCACTGCACTACAGCCTGGGCAAGAGTGCGAGACTCTGTCTCAAAAAAAAAAAAAAAGAAAAGAAAAGAAAAAAGAAATTGTGAATATTGCCTTCTCTATACCAGAAAGATATCCAACATTGTTACTACTTTAACTTAAACCCTGTGCAAGTGAATAAAGATCTTTAGATTTACTTTTATAAGTAGCTCACACAATCACTGGACAGTCTTTATAAAATCAGGGAACTTCTCTCCCTCTTTCTTTTTCTTAGATTTCCACTGAAGCTGAGTTAGACCAAAGGAGAAAGAATTTTTGCTCAGTCGGCTTAAAATGCTAAAGTTTCCGTCAGGGTTTAGTATGCAGCCTGTGAGACTCCATGTTTCATGAAATAAAGCTAAGTCTGCTCTCCAACACATCTATTTTTAAGATCCCTAGCATCTGATCCTGACTCAGCTAAGCGAATCATGCTTAACTCTGTTGGTCACACATCAACCCACAGAATGAAGGGGTGTAGGGCACAAAACACAGTGCAGCTGGGTTTATACTGACACAAGCTCTTTACTACCTGCACAGAGAGCATTCCAAATTATGAAGGAAACACAGTTGTGGCCATTCTCTTGAATGTGTACAATCTATTTACAATTAAAGCCATTTTGACTTTTTTTACATACATGTGCATATAATTCTACTTCTGCAATTGCCCACTTAACTTTCTAGTAGGTTTTAAGGCATCTACTAATTTTTTTTCCTTGCTAATTGTTCTGACAAGGAAATACATAATGTTCAATACTAGTCACCCAAGAGAGCTATTATCTGCCTCTAATTTTCCTTTCTGTCGTCTGCCGGGGACTTTTAAGAGGCTTTCTCCTGTTGGATTAGAATTAGCAAGACACCTGAGAAAAGAGGCAGGCACATTCATGGGAGAACGCTTTATTTCAATTGGTGCATAGGCTTATAAAATTCAAAATTTTTTAAATTTGACAAAATCATTTTAGCATATATCTGAAATAATAGACAGTTGAGAATAGTTAGAAAATTCTGACAGAGAAGAACGGTAAGGAAGGATCTGCCTTACCGGATATTAAAGCAAATTGAAAGGCACATTCACTGAAACAATGTGGTAGTGACACGAGAATAAGTCAATAGATCAATGAAGTACAAAAGATGGTTCTAAAACGGACCCTAAAATATTTAAGCTATTAGGATATGGTATGGTATGGTATTTTTAAAATCACAAATCAACGAGGAAAGGATAGAGTGTGAAATAAATACAGTTTTTACAAATGGTTAATTACTTGGGGAAAAATCCTTTTTAGAACTCATCACGCAGCAAAACAAGCCCCAAATACATTAAAGAATTTAATGTGGGATGAGCCCGGTGGCTCATGCCTGTGATCTCAGCATTTTAGGAGGCTGAGGTGGGAGGATCACCTGAGCCCAGGAGTTCATAAAAGAAAAAATATAAGTGGTTGCTGGACGAGGTGGCTCATGCCTGTAATCCCAGCACTTTGGGAGGCTGAGGCAGGCAGATCACCTGAGGTCATGAGTTAGAGACCAGCCTGACCAACATGAAGAAACCCCGTCTCTACTAAAAATATAAAATTAGCCAGGCGTGGTTGAGCATGCCTGTAATCCCAGCTACTCGGGAGGCTGAGGCAGGAGAATCGCTTGAACCCAGGAGGCAGAGGTTGCAGTGAGCCAAGATCATGTCATTGCACTCCATCATGGGCGACAGAGAGAGACTTCATCTCAAAAAATAAAAAAGAAAAAGAAAAAATATAAGTGGTCAATTAACACATGGAAAAAATGTGTAACTTCATTGATAACTGAAGCATGAAAGTGAACCAAAAGTAAGATGTAATTTTTCACCTATCAAACAGCTTAAAATTTTTAAAAATGATAATACTTATTGTTGATAAGGCTATGTTGAGACTGATGTTTTCATATAATGGTGATGGAAGGATAAATGTATTAATGTATATTAAACTCCTTTGCAAATTTCCTATCTAGCCAGGCACAGTGGCTCAAACCTGTAATCCCAGCACTTTAGGAGGCTCAAGCAAGAAGACTGCTTGAGGCCAGCAGTTCGAGACCAGCCTGGGCAACATGGCAAGACCCCATCTCTACAAAAAAAATGTAAAATTTAGCTGGCATAGTGGTGCTTGCCTGTAATTGGGAAAGCTACCCAGGAAGCTGAAGTGGGAGGATTGCTTGAGCCCGGGAGGTTGAGGCTGCAGTGAGCCATGATTGTGCCACTGCACTCCAGCCTGAATGACATAGCAAGACCCTGTTTCAAGACAAAACAACAACAACAACAAATTCCATACCCTTGGATATTATAATCCCACTTCTATGGATATATCCTCAGGAAATAATCAGAGATGTAAGTATTTATGTACCAAAATGCTTGCTGAAGCATTATCTGTAGTAGTGACGAATTGGAAACAACACAAATCTCCCAAGCTAGAAGAATGGTTAAATAAATGATGGTGTATTCACAGAAATGGATTTATGCCATCAGTAAAAATCATGCTTTAAAGGAATATTGAATGCTATGAGAGAATGCTGATAATAAGTAAAGAAAAGCAGGGTACACATTACATATATATGTACATGTATTTGCACATATATATTACATTCGAGACCTAAACAGATATAAAAAGATTCCTAAATGTTAACATAATTTCCCTGGGAAGTAAAATTGTGGATGATTATTCTGTTCTTTTTGCTTTTCTGCCTTTCTAAATTTTCCTACAGCAGGACTTAATTATTTTTAAAAAATTTACATTTTTAAAAAACAATTGGTGTGGCTATTGTTCCTTCAACATTAGATTGAAATGATCTTTAATATATTTGGGAAGTGGAGGACACATTTCTTGGGATTCTTTTTCAGATGATTCTTACTCAAAAAATATCCAAATGACATTTTCAGAAAAATTATTCCCATTGTTTATGATGTGGTATCTGGAGTCCACATGGGAATTTTTTTTTTTTAAGAGACAGGGTCTCGCTCTGTCACCCAGGCACTGGAGTACAGTGGTGGGGTCACAGCTTGCTGTAACCTCAAACTCCTGAGCTCAAGTGATCCTCTTGCCTCAGCCTCTGGAGTATCTAGGACCATAGGCGTGTGCCACCTCCCCTGGCTAATTTTTTTATTTTTTGTAGAGATGGGGTCTCCCTATGTTGCCCAGGCTTGTCTTGAACTCCTGGCCTCAAATATTCCTCCAGCCTTGGCCCCTCAGAGTGCTGGAATTATAAGTTTGAGTCACTGAGCACTGCCCCACATGGGAATTTTTTTTTTTTTAGACCAAGTCTTGTTCTGTCGCCCAGGCTGCAATAGCAGTCAATCTAGAGTATAGGCAGGACATCATTCCAGCTCTGACCTCTTCCCCTGCAACTGCTCACACAACCTCTGGTCCCAGTATCTCGAAGACCTGTAATCTGACCCCAAACCACCCTTCCCAATCTTGCCTGCTCCTCTCTCCAGCATTGCTGTGATATTCTCTGTGTCTGGGGAGCACACCTCCCCCTTGCCCTCATTTGTTCTGTTCCATCCACCCACAGGGAACAATGCCTGGGATCCCCCAACCGCAATTCTGCCCATGAGGTCTTCTCCAAGCCCACCTCCCTCCAGGAAGTGTCCTCCAAACTACACAACCATAATGGCAGCCCTCTCTTCTTCTCCGATTAGTAGCAAGATCCTTTAGAGCAGGGATTTTGGCACAGAGCTTGCATAGGACAGGCACTCAGTAAAGGCGGGTTACTTGGTGGTATGGAAGGAAAAAAGGAAGAGAGGGAAGGAAGCAGGGAAGGGGAAAGAAGGGAGGAAGGAAAAGGGAGGGAATAGAGCTCACTGACAGCTGGAGGCTCAGGTTCCTTTTGAAGCTAAAGGCAGAGGACTGGTAGCACTCCAGTGTTTAGAGTGTTTGATACCTATTCTTGATTCTTTAAAAATACAAGAAAATGGGATTGAATAAAGAGAAAGGATAAAATAAAAAGTCTTGGAGAATGCAAGTACCTCAGATTGACTGCTTTGTATCTCTCTAAGTTGATCAGATAGCAAAGAGCTAAGCACTGAAATTCAGTAATGCCTATGCTATGCTATGCTATTTACCCTATTAGACACTCACCTGGGCAGGCTAATTTTGTTTTGTTTTGTTAAAAAAGAGCTGAACACTGCCTTCCTCCTCATTTCAACATGAAATGACATTTGCCTCAATTCATCCCATGCCTTTCAAACTTCCAGATCCATGTAGTGAGAGGCCAAAGCATATATTATTCCCTCATACATATAAAACAATGAATTATACTGTTATTCATTGAAGCATTTTAATGATAAAAGATGGAAAAATCTAAATGTCAATTAATGAGGGGTGAGGCCAGGTTTGGTGGCTTATGCCTGTAATCCTGGCACTTTGGGAGGCCAAGGCTAGAGGATCACTTGAAGCCAGGAGTTTGAGACAAGCCTGGGCAACATGGCAAAACCCTGTCTCTACAAAAAATACAAAAATTAGCCAGGCATGGTGGTGTGTGCCTGTGTTCCCAGCTACTCCAGAGGTTGAGGCAGAAGTATTGCTTGAGCCCAGGAAGTCGAGGTTGCAGTGAGCTATGATCCTGCCACTGCACTCCAACCTGGGCAACAGAGTGAGAATCTGTCTCAAAATAATAATAATAATAGAATAATAAGGGATGGATTGACTACATTATGGCCTAGACAATTGAATACTAGGCAGCTGTGAAATAGAATGGGAAGCTCTTTATGAACTGCTTTTGAGATGATTTCTAAGACATTGCTATGGGAACCAAGCAAGGTAGAGAACAGTATGCACAGAACACACTATTTGATTTAAAAGGTGAAAATTATATATATTTGCTTATAAATGCATAAATATCTATGGAACAACACATAAAAAACTGGTAAAACTAGATGGCTGGGGAGGGAAGAAGGCTTTTTTTTGCCACCCTTTTGTGCCTTTTGGATTTATTTTTATTTTTATTTTTTGGGATGGAGTTTTGCTCTGTCGCCCAGGCTGGGGTACAATGGCACAATCTCGGCTCACTGCAACCTCCGCTTCCCCAGTTCAAGCGATTCTCCTGCCTCATCCTCCCAAGTAGCTGGGATTACAGGTGTGCGTCACTACCCCCAGCTAATTTATGTATTTTTACTAGTGACAGGGTTTCACCATGTTGGCCAGGCTGGTCTCGAACTCCTGACCTCAGGTGATCCGCCCACCTTGGCCTCCCAAAGTGCTGGGATTACAGGCGTGAGCCACTGCACCTGGCTGCCTTTTGGATTTTTGAACCAGATGAATGCATTAACTCTTAAGGAAATGAATAAATAAAGCCTCTTATCAGGGACATTTGTGGATGGGTTTTGGCTGGGTACTGTACACAGTGATTTACACAGATATGGCCTCTGCCTGCCAGGAGCTTGGGACAGAATCAAACCTTAGGGAGAGGAGAGGCCCAAACAAGAGCCCCACTAAGAGAAGCCAGTGATGGGCAGCCGGAGGGCTGGAAGTGCCCTCCCACCCAGAACCGAGCTCTGCCCTGCTGTGCTTCCCACTCCGGGCTCTCAGACGTTCGTGTGTTGTGAATCATTTTAGGTTTGTTTTCTTTGCGTTACAACTTGACCTGTTCTAATTTGTTCTTCTAAAAGAAATGCAGTATACGGGTTTGTACTTACGGATCCGATGAGTCTCACAGAAATAAGAACAGAACTGTCAGAGGAGATGCCTCAGAGCAGACCTGTGGTACAAAACTTCATGTCTGATGTCCCTGGAGTGTAGCAGCACAAATCAGGGAACCCAAGCTGGAAGATTCTGTGAATTTATCATGACCGCCAACAAAGCATTATCATGGTCTTTACTTTATTTATTTATTTTATTTTATTTATTTATTTTGTTTTTGAGATGAAGTCTCTCTCTGTCACCCAGGCTGGAGTGCAGTGGCGCGATCTTGGCTCACTGCAACTTCCGCCTCCTGGCTTAAAGCAATTCTCCCACCTCAGCTAGCTGAGTAGCTGGGACTACAGGTGCGCACCACCATGCCCAGCTAATTTTTGTATTTTTAGTAGAGACAGGGTTTCACCACATTGGCCAGGCTGGTCTTGAACTCCTGATCTCAGGTGATCCACCTGCCTCAGCCTCCCAAAGTGCTGGGATTACAGGCATGAGACCCTCGCCTGGCCTATTTATTTATTTTAGAGAAAGAGTCTCACTCTATTGCCCAAGCTGGAATGTAGTGGTGCGATCATAGCTCACTACAGCCTCGAACTCCTGGGCCCAAGTGATCCTCCTGTCCCAGCCTCCCAAGTAGCTGGGACTACAGGCATGCGCCACCACACCTGGCTGATTTTTAAATTTTTTGTTGCGACAAGGTCTCACTATGTTGCCCAGGCCAGTCTCAAACTCCTGGGCTCAAGTGATCCTCCCACCTCAGCCTCCCAAAGTGCTAGGATTACAGGCATGAGCCACTGCACCTGGCTTATGGTGGGCTTTATTAATGTAATTGCTGGCTTCTTGCCCAGTGTACTCTCAATTTTACTATCTTCAAGCCTCAGGAAAAATCTAAATTGACTAGGATTTTTATTTTCTTCTGGTAATGGGGAGAAACTCATTATTATGAGAAATATTTTATTAAGTGGTATATTAAAATACACTTAAGTTTTAGTGTGAGTTCTGCTGACACTTCATTTTCAGCCAGGTCACCTAGCCCTGTGACATCATCAGTGGAAATTAATGTTCTGGAATAATGACAGTGCACACAGCCTAAGTTACCAAGGAAAGATCTGCTTGTGCATGCCCATATAAGGACATTTAAATCATATTCTGAGAAATATTTGATGACACAGGAAAGTGTGCATGAAATATAAAATGTTAAATGAGAAAGGCAAGATGCAGCATGCCAAACATCTTTTGTGTGTGCGTGAGAAAGACTGGAAGGAAATTAAAATTTTAAAGCTGTTATTATTTCTGTGCAGTAAAAACTATTGGTGATATTTATTTTCTTCTTTTTCTTATCTACATTTTTACAAATGAGCTAATGAGCTTTTTTTTTTTTTTCTTTTTTTTTTTTTTGGAGACAGAGTCTTGCTCTGTTGCCCAGGCTGGAGTGCAGTGTTGCAATCTCAGCTCACTGCAACCTCCGCCTCCAGGGTTCAAAGCAATTCTCCTGCCTCAGCCTCCTGAGTAGCTGGGATTACAGGTGCGCACTACCACATCCGGCTAATTTTTGTGTTTTTAGTAGAGATGGGATTTCACCATGTTGGCCAGGCTGGTCTCGAACTCCTGACCTCAGGTGATCTGCCTGCCTCTGCCTCCCAAAGTGCTAGGATTACAGGCATGAGCCACCACGCCCGACCTAATATTTTCATAATTAGACACAAAGTCTAATTTTTAGAAAGATTTCAGCCTGGGCAACATAACAAAACCCCATCTCAAACAAAATACAAAAATTTGCTAGGCGTGGTGGCATAGGCGTGGTGGCATACACCTATAGTCCCAGCTACTTGGGTGGCTGATGTGGAAGGATCACCTGACCCCAGGAGATTGAGGCTGCAGTGAGCTGTGATCATGCCACTGTACCCCAGCCTGGGTGACAGAGTGAGACCCTGTCTCAAAAAAAAAGAAAAAAGAAAAAGAAAGAAAAATTTATTTGTATTTAGTGTACTCTACTAGCTAGGAGCAATAAATTTGAGCAAGATATCCAGCAACTCTGAAGTGCTGAAACAAAAATACTCAATTTGCTAAACCATTGCTCTCCCCTACTCACCGATGAATTGAGGGTTCCTGTGCTTTGAACAACATTTCTGTGATGAACAGAGTTTGCTGCAGGGATCATAAGCACCTGGGGTCAGCTGCTCACCTGAACACATCCTATCCTGTGGAAATGTGTGGGTGGTGGCCAAGCCTCTCACCAACAAAGGAGGTTGTGTGGCATTTCTTGCAACCTGATGCGTCTCGATTGATTCAGACCTGTTAGTGGGGACCATTAGGAGGATAAAGTTAATAAATAATAAATAGCATATTTACACAACCCTCGCGATCCCCAAAGACCTTAAAGTGCTTTATAAAAGAATAGATAAATTATATATTGGGGACACATTCTCTGCTACTGAAACGCAGCCTCTTCTGGGGGGAAAAGTGGCAGTTGTTAAATGGTGCACAGTCCAGATGGACAGGAAGCCCAGAGGTTCTTTTTTTTTTTTTGAGAAGAGGTTTGCTCTGTAGTCCGGGCTGGAGTACAGTGGCATGATCTCAGCTCACTGCAACCTCCACCTCCAGAGTTCAAGAGATTCTCCTGCCTCAGCCTCTCTAGCTGGGATTACAGGCGTGTGCAACCATGCCTAACTAATTTTTTGTATTTTTAGTAGAGACAGAGTTTCACGATGTTGGTCAGGCTGGTCTCGATCTCCTGACCTCAAATGATCCACCCACCTCGGCCTCCCAAAGCGCTGGAATTACAGGCATGAGCCACCGCGCCCAGCCTCAGAGCTTCTTTTAAAGTTAATTTTACCATTAGCCGGGCGTGGTGGTGCTCACCTGTAGTCCCAGCTACTCGAGAGGCTGAGGCATGAGAATCGCTGTAACCCAGAAGGCAGAGGTTGTAGTGAGCTGATATGGGACCACTGCACTCCAGCCTGGGTGACAGAGTGAGACCCTGTTTCAAAAAAAGAAAAACAGAGGTTAATTTTACCAGAGGAATGCAGATTTAAAAAAACAACCAGTCACTGGACAATCAAGGAAAAAGGTAGAGGCACCCAGCCCTTAGCAAATGGAAGGAGTAGAAAGAATGAACCCACATCTGTCCAGAAGAACCAGAATCCCACCTCGGCCTGCTCTATCATCTCTTCAGAGGCTGCGGCCAACGAATGCATCTTCCTGGTCAATTGACAAGCATTAGCTGTTGCTGGGGAAATCACCTGAATTGCACAAGCCTCGGTTTCCTCATCTGTAAAATGAGGATGTTAATAATACAACTGAGGCTACAGCCATGCTGCAAGGATTAAATCAGATAAAACAGGAACAGTGCCTGTCTGAGAGAGGTGGTAAAGGGACAAAGTTTCTTTCCTTTTTTTTTCTTTTTTTTTTTTGAGACAGAATCTTGCTCTGTCGCCAGGTTGGAGTGCAGTGGCGCTATCTCAGCTCACCGCAACCTCCGCCTCCCAGGTTCAAGCGATTCCCCTGCCTCAGCCTCCCGAGTAGCTGGGACCACAGGCACGCACCACCATGCCCAGCTAATTTTTTGTATTTTAGTAGAGACAGGGTTTCACCATGTTGGCCAAGACAGTCTCGATCTCCTGACCTCGTGATCCACCCGCCTCGGCCTCCCAAAGTGCTGGGATTACAGGCATGAGCCACAGCGCCGGGCCTTTTTTTTTTTTTTTTTTTTTTTTGAGACAGAGTTTCGCTCTTGTTGCCCAGGCTGGAGTGCAATGGCACCATCTCGGCTCACTGCAACCTCCACCTCCCGGGTTCAAGCGATTCTCCTGCCTCAGCCTCACAAGTAGCTGGGATTACAGGCATGGGCCACCACGCCTGGCTAATTTTGTATTTTTAAAAGAGATGGGGTTTCTCCATGTTGGCCAGGCTGGTCTCGAACTCCTGACCTCAGATGATCCACCCACCTCAGCCTCCCAAAGTGCTGGGATTACAGGCGTGAGCCACTGTGTCCAGCCAACAAAGTTCCTTTCTACTTTACCCATGACAACATTTTTGCATGCCTGTCAGGTTCAATGTAAATATGGAATTTTACTTTTAAAAATGATAATTGTGTGGGATCTGGATTTTAACTTTTAAAAAATGATTAAAGGTGAGTTAGGAAAATACCTCATACCTCAGACTTTGTTGAGGCCCTTGAGGTTACTGGGTTCTGCACGTATTCATTATTCTGTGTCAGACTAGAAGAAGCCACATCTTCCCGAGCAATGTTGACTGGACTACGGAAGATTGAACACAAAATTAACACTGAGTCCTGTCTCAACAGATCTCCAAGTAGGTACCTTGTCTAACCTGGAAAACTGTCACATCTCCTCTGAAGGTGGCATAAGATTTATTCCAAGCTCAGGCCTCACAGAAATCTAGATTTGATACATCTTAACCCATTCAAAGACAGAGATAATGGCAAGGGATAAAGAAAAAACCCTTCCTTCTAGAAATATAATCATGAAAGTTCTCACTCTCAAGGGGTTGTCCAAGGGGTGTTCAGGAAAAAGGGCTCGTGCTATAAATTTTCCTCAGCACTGCAATTTTTTTTTTTTTTTTCAGACAGGGTCTCACTGTGTCACACAGGCTGGAGTGCAGTGGTGCCATCAGAGCTCACTGCAGCCTCAATCTCTCTGGGCTCAGGTGATCCTCCCACCTCAGCTTCCCAAGTTGCTGGGACTACAGGTACACACCACCACACCCGGCTAATTTTGAATTTTTTTGTAGAGACAGAGTTTCACCATGTTGCCCAGGATGGTCTTGAACTCCTGGGCTCAAGCAATCCACGTGCCTGGACCTCCCAAAGTGCTAGGATTACAGGCATGAGCCACTGTGCCCAGCCAGGACTACAAAATATTCTATCACCCAGATTAGTGGTGGAGGTGGGAGGTTAATCCTAAAGCAATTCTCTAGATCAAAATAAGAGCAAAGCTATTCTGGATATTACTGGTAATGATAGCCACCACCTCTGGAACACTTACAATGTGTCTAGCCTGTGATAAACCTTTGAGATAATCCTGGCGGCTCACAGTGTGATACATAGACCAGCGGCATTGCCATCACCTGGGAGCTTGTTAGAAAGGCGGACTCAGGCCTTGTCCCAGACCCACTGAGTCAGATCTGAGTTTAACAAGACCCCCAGGTGATTCGTGAGCACACTATGGAGTGAGAAGCACCAAACTGCAGATCTCATAGGCAGCCTTTCAGAACACTTTGCAACTTCATCCCATGTGGTCCTTGCAACTCTGCAATGTGGAGTTTCGAGTAACCACAAGGAAATGTTATTTGCCCAAGATGGCACAGAAAGATACAGAGCTGGGCCAGGAGCAGTGGCTCACACCTGTAATCCCAGCACTTTGGGAGGCCAAGGCGGGTGGATCACCTGAGGTCAGGAGTTCAAGACCAACCTGGCCAATATGGTGAAACCCCGTCTCTACTAAAAATACAAAAATTAGCCGGGCGTGGTGGTAGATGCCTATAACCCCATATACTTGGGAGGCTGAGGCAGAAGAATTGCTTGAACCTGGGAGGTGGAGATTTCAGTGAGCTAAGATCGTGCCACTGCACCCCAGCCTAGGCAACAGAACAAGACTCCATATCAAAAAAAAAAAAAAAAAAAAAGAGGCCCGGCACGGTGGGTCACTCCTGTAATCCCAGCACTTTGGGAGGCCAAGGCGGGTGGATTACCTGAGGTCAGGAGTTCAAGACCAGTCTGGCCAACATGGTGAAACCCCCATCTCTACTAAAAATACAAAAAAAATTAGCCAGGCATGGTGGCATGTGCCTATAATCCCAGCTACTCAGGAGGCTGAGGCAGGGGAATTGCTTGAACTGGGGAAGTGGAGTTTGCAGTGAGTCAAGATCGCGCCACTGCACTCTAGCCTGAGTGACAGAGCAAAACTCTTTCTCAAAAAAAAAAAAAAAAAGATACAGAGCTGGAACCTAAGCTCAGGTCACTGATTCTCTTTCTTATGCTGTTTTTAGATTAAAGTTGTCCTAACCTTGTTTTCCTTTTTTTTTTTTCCTTTTTGAGACAGGATCTCACTCTGTCACCCAGGATAGAGTGCAGTAGCGTGATCACCACTCACTGCAGCCGCAACCTCCTGGGCCCCAGTGATCCTCCCACCTCAGCCTCCTGAGTAGCTGGGACTACAGGTGTGCACCACCATGCCTGAATGGGTTTTTTTTTGTTTGTTTGTTTTGTTTTGTTTTGTTTTTTGTTTGTTTGTTTGTAGAGATGGAGGTCTTACTATGTTGCCCAGGCTGGTCTTGGGTTCCTGGGCTCAAAGGATCCTCCCACCTCAATCTCCCAAAGTGCTGGGATTACAGGAATGAGCCACCACTCCAATGGCTATAACATGGAGGGTAGAATGGGGTACGATGGCGACTCAGGTGACCCTGGCACCCAGTGTCCCCTTGCTGGGCATGTCTGAAAGGTCAAGCCACTGCTTCCCTTCCTGACGTGAGTAAGTTTAGCCAGACTTTTCTTCCTTGAAACTGCAGTTTCTACTCAGCACCATGTCACTGCCTATCCAGATTGGAGTACTGCAGCTGAGTGAGTAAACAACTGCTAATTCACAAATGCCTCCCAGTGCCTCCTCTACTCCTAACTGCTCCCTGATATTCTGTAGCAGCAGGTGGGCTCCAGGTCTCTGGAGGAAGGAAAACAGGTGAAGAGCTCAGAGGAGATTTTCAGAGCTTGCTGGCTGTGAGGGAGGCCCTATACTAGGTGCCGTGGGGTGGTTGGGAAGTGGTTACCTCTAAAAAGCAAGAATTTGAGAAAGGGAGATAAGGAAAGAACAGGAAAAAAAATGAAAACAGCTTTGACTTTTCTCCAGACTTTGAAATCTACCGATTTAGCCTTTAATTTTGTACCGAGTTCCACAATTTAGAAAGATACTTGGGCCAGGCATGATCGCTCATGCCTATAATTCCAGCACTTTGGGAGGCTGAGGCGGGCGGATCACTTGGGGTCAAGAGTTCAAGACCAGCCTGGCCAACATGGTAAAACCCTGTCTCTACTAAAAATACAAAAATTAGCCGGGTGTGGTGGCTTATGCCTGTAGTCCCAGCTACTCAGAAGGCTGAGGCTGGAGAATTGCTTGGACCTGGGAGGTGGAGGTTGCAGTGAGCCAAGATTGTGCATTGCGCCACCACACTCTAGTCTGGGCAACAGAGTGAGACTCTGTCTCAAAAAATAAAAATTAAAAAATTAGAAAAAAGATCTTTGATCCTCAAAAACTAAAATAAATGAAAATAAAAGTAAAATAAAACCCCATCCTGGATGCAGGAATCTTTTCACTTCCACACCCCACCTGCCACAACCTCTAGTAGGGACCTAAATTCTGACACAAAGTCATGACTAATGGTGGAAATCCTAGCACCGGAGAAGGCCACTTAGATATTTGGGGGGCAGAGCGAGAGATCTTTCCAATCCCCTAGCGATCACATCACATGGAAAACAGTCTCTCTTTGTAAGCCAGCATCCAGCTGCAGAAGGCTGCATCAGCCAAGAGCCTGTCATGTTTGAACTTGGGAACCTGGAGGTGAGGATTTTTGAAGAACACCTTCAGGAGCAGTGAAGTGACTCCAGGAGAGACAAGAGGATTTGACGGAGAAGAGGCTAAGTGAGCATTCCAGGCCTCACCAAGAACAGCATTGGTTGCCTATAAATCATGCCTCATTAACTAGTGCCCTGCCTTTTCTCTTCACAAATCTATTCTGAAGTTAGCTGAATAGACAAAAAAGAAAAGAAAAACCTTTGGAGTTCTCTGGTTCCCATCGTGTGCTCTTTTAAGTAAAGGGCTTCTCTACATTGCCAAAAATCCCTGCAAAGATGACTTCCCCAGACTTCTTCCCCAAATGCCTTTTTAATACTGTGTGATTATTGCTCAAGGGACATCCAGGAGCCAAGTCTCTCTGCATAAATCACTAGGAACTTTAAAGGAGACCCATTCTTACTCTGAGGATTTAGAAAATACGTAGTGAGTAAAAAATCTATTACATCACAATGTGTGCATTTTCCAACAATGATTACCAGGGTTATATTCTGCGGCTGGTAGATTAAAACGTGTCACCGCCAATACTTCTATTTCTTCTAAAGAATAAGGCAGGGAAACCAGCCACTGAGAAGACAGCATTGTAACTGCTGAGTCAACTTCATTAATGTTGTTGGGGTTATTCTAATTCTTAAAAAAAGAAAAAAAGAAAAAAGAAGAACTACGGAAACATGAACTGTTACTGTTCTAGAAACCACTGAACTTTCTGACAATTGCATGTCTACTTCAGAGGCAATGAGGGTAAACTGGAAAATTCTAAGCACAGATAAAATAGGGCAGGAGCCTCTGGGAAGCACTCGTGTATTTGTTACTAACCCAGTTGACTAATCCCAGGACCAACAAGGTCCAAATTGATCTAGGTTTCACCAGAAACATGATAGCTTCACTTACAGTGTTTCCTGAATTTTTTTTTTTTTTTTTTTTTGAGATGGAGTCTCTCTGTCGCCAGGCTGGAGTGCAGTGGTGCAATCTCGGCTCACTGCAACCTCCACCTCCTGGGTTCAAGCAATTCTCCTGCCTCATTCTCCAGAGTAGCTGGGACTGCAGGCGTGTGCCACCACGCCTGGCTAATTTTTGTAGTTTTAGTAGAGATGGTGTTTCCCCAAGTTGGTCAGGATGGTCTCGATCTCTTGACCTCGTGATCTGCCTGCCACAGTCTCCCGAAGTGCTGGGATTACAGGCTGTGGGCCCCTCCCTGAGCCACCATGCCGATCCTAGTGGAAATATTGATATAACCTTCAATCAAATTTGACATTTTGCAAGTGTTTCCCAACAGTGTTTTCTGAGTATTGGGCCATGGGTATCAAATATATGAAATTTCAACCATTCTTCAATGCCAAAGTAGCAATGCACTTACAAGAGTCATCTGATCCAGGTTTTAGACCTTCATGGAAGGGTTATCCTATAAATATCAGAACATCCTTACAATGATGTAAAGTGAATAAGTGAAAAAGCATTCCTTTTGACAGTAGGTTACAGAATACCCAGCCCCACTGTAGGACAATGATAAAGTGCTAAGAAGCACATTTACACCTGCAGCAGATGCCAAGGGTAACAGTTGAAGGTGTGTTTTGCAACAGAAAGGGCAATCACTAGAAACACTCCTCAGGGCCACACAAAGCTTGACAAATTGGGCTGTGCTTGTTCCAACAGCTGGCTAACTACCCATCTGCCGGTCCCCCATGGGGAGCTGAGAACTGGTGCACCTGTGAAATCAACCTGGGAGCCTGGGGAAGCATTGCACCCCTGCAGCTCTGACACCCGCACCTCCACTCCACTCTGAAAGCCAAGCTCCGAGAAGTCAAGGCCTGTATGTCTTCCTGGGTTCCCCCAAGGGACCAGAGGTCAGAAGAAGCCTCATCTTTCCTTAGACAAGCTGCCAGTAGAGTTGTACTGCTTTCTGTCTCCATACCAGCCACCATGCTGTTTCCTGGAAAAGCTGAAGATACTTGCTCCAGCCCATAGCTCTGTCTTTCCTGGGATAAAAAAGGCTTTTCAGGCAATAGGTGACCAGGTCCAGAGAGGGGCCCACCGCCTGCCAGGCCCCCATGCTGGGGGCTTCTGGGCCTGACTGTGGGCAGAAATGGGCTGTCTGGACTCTTTCCTGTCATGGAACTGCTTGCCTCTTTGCCCGGTCTGATGACCACACCTACCAGTTGAGCCCCTTCAGCAACCTTTCCCCAACCCCCAGATGTTAGCACTGTTTTGGTTATTAGTCATGGAAACTTAATTGCCTCATGTAACCCAAAAGTCCAGAAGAGCAAATCCTCTCTTCAGACACAGCTGGATCCAGGAAGTCAATTGACATCCTTAGGCCTCTGTTTCTTTTTCCCTCTCCTTGGTCAGGCCTAGGCCACATGACCATGGCCAAGGATGGAACACTGCAATTGGAATCAGGTTCACATGATTTAGAATAAGGAAAAAGCAGTTCACCAAATGCATGAGGGATGCTAGACAGAAAAAAAAAAATCACTGTTCAGTACAAGACACTCGGGAGCTTCTCAGACTGGGGATTCTACTCTCAGCTACCGTGGCCATCCATCCTCAATCTCTAAGGAAAAATGTGCCCCACCATACTCCAGATGACAGAGACACTCAGAGCCCTTTCATTAGGCACGCCACAGATATTTGGCTGGCTGTCAATCATGTCTTATTAAGCCCATCCTCCTGAGGCTCAGCTGTTTTACACGATGCCTTTCTACTGCCCCTCCTGAAGGCATTTTTGTGATTTCTTATGCTACTTCCTAGAGACACAACATTTATAGCCAATCACACAAGAATTCTACTGTGCCTGCTGGACTGCCAACTGGCCATGTGACTTTGGGTACTTTAAAATAAAGAAGTGGCCGAGTGCAGTGGCTCATGCCAGTAATCCCAGCACTTTTGGAGGCTGAGGCAGGAGGATCGCTTGAGCTCAGGAGTTTGAGACCAGCCTGGACAACATAGTGAGACCTCATCTCTACTAAAATTCAAAAAAAATTTAGCCGGGCGTGGTGGTACACACCTGTAGTCCCAGTTACTCAGTGGCAGGCGTATGTGGGTGGGGGGTTGAGGTGGGAGGATTGTTTGAGCTGGGGAGGTTGAAGCTTCAGTGAGCCCTGATTGTGCCACTGCACTCTAGCCTGGAGAGCAGAGCAAGACCCTATCTCAAAAAATAATAATAATAAAATAAAATAGGCCAGGCACATTGGCTCACACCTGTAATCTCACCACTTTGGGAGGCCGAGGTAGGGGGATCACCTGAGGTCAGGAGTTCGAGACCAGTCTGGCCAACATGGTGAAACCCTGTCTCTACTAAAAATACAAAAATCCCAGCTACTTGGGAGGCTGAGGCAGGAGAATTGCCTGAACCCGGGAGGCGGAGGTTGCAGTGAGCCGAGATTGCACCACTGCACTCCAGCCTGGGCGACAGAGCAAAAATCCGTCTCAATAAATAAATAAATAAATACATAAATAAATAAAGATAAAATAAAATAAAATAAAATAAACAAAGAGGTGTAGCGCATGACTTTCGTGTTCTTTGTATCTCCGCTGTTCTGTGATTCATTGGTCCTAGACGTCATGTGGTCTTTGCTAAGGGAACTAGGATGATGCTATCATTGAATTCTGTTTAGTAACTCTCTGTTCAAACTGCACTTATGCTTTAAAGAGTTGGGAAGTTAACTCTATCATTATTTTAGTGTGGGATCAGTTACCTTATTCTGGGATTGTCTCCACAAAAGCTGGCTGGTTGCCCTCCAGGTATCCTTATCGAAGCCGGGTCTACTCAAATGAAAATCACCGCCACTGGGCCATGCCCAGCTTGGACTGAGCACATGAATCATGTGGCTGTGAGTGATTGTCCCAGCCCAGGACAGTCCCCTGCTTTGTCCTTGCCCATGGGAACTAAGGAGCATCATTCAAAGAATAAAGACCAAGCCCAGAGCTGACAACTAGCTGCCTGGTTTTTCCATCCATGGCTCAAACTCAAAAGAAGAGAAGTGTAAAGCCACTTTAAGAAATAGTAAGTGTCAGCAGAAAATCAGGTTTAAAAAAAAAAACAAAAAACTGCATAACTGAAAACACCACGAGTGACTCTGTGAAGCTCTCCCATTAACATAAGGTCTCAAAGAGGCTGCAAGAGGGGAACAGGACCCCTCAGTTGTAATTAGAGCCACTAACATAAAGCAAGCCAGATTTACTGGAGTTTTTGTTTGTTCTGAAAGCTCAGAAAGGTGAGGTGGCCTGATTTCCTGGGTATTATACAGCTGGGGGGAAACCTAACAGTTATAAAACTGGTTCAAAGCTGCCTGCATGATTTCATATTTTAAAAGTGAAGTGTGAAAAATCTTTTTAAATTTTACTTGCATTAGATCACCTTCTAAGGTTACTAAAGCTCCTAATTAGAGGGCAGGATTCATTTAGAATGAAAAGTGGTTACCATTTTAACCAGTGATAAAAGCTGGCAGACCCCTAAATGACTAACAAGAATGGAAGGTAATCAGGAAGCACTTCTGTTTTACTAAACTGTAGCACCTTTTGCAAATATTGCTAAGTGGTCACCTCCAGCAGCGAGGTAGGATGTTTGAAGGTGAGACCTCTCACCAGAGTGCACTAGGTTCAAATCTCAGCCCTGGCCCTTGTTAGCTGTGTGAATTTTAACCTCTTCTCCGTGTATAAAATGGTGAGCTTAAGGGGCTCCTGTAAAGATTAATGAACAATGTCAGGCAGTATGTGAGTGTGTGGGCATCTCTTTAAATGTGCTTATCCACCAGGTATGGTGGTTCACACCTGTAATCCCAACACTTTGGGAAGCTGAGGCAGGCAGATCACTTGAAGTCAGGAGTTCGAGACCAGCCTGGCCAATATGGTAAAACCCCGTCTCTACTAAAAATACAAAAATTAGCTGGGCGTGGTGGTGCACACCTGTAATCCCAGCTACTCAGGAGGCTGAGGCAGGAGAATCACTTGAAGCCGGGGGGCAGAGGTTGCAGCGAGCCAAGATCGTGCCACTGCACTCCAGCCGGGGCAACAAAGTGAGACTCTGTCTCAAAAAATAAATAAATAAAATAAATGTGTTTATCATATTTCCGGAATGGTTAAGCATATACACTCTCATTTTTGTGGATTGCATTGGTTGGCTCTGTGCTCTATGTCATTTTTCTGCCTCTCCTAGAGGCTTTGGTGTTTGCAACAGGAATTTCAGTCTTCTTGACTTGATAGGGAAAAAAAATGTGGGGGCTAAAGGGCCACCCTGTAAACCCGACCCCATTAGGTGACTGCAAACCTTACAGAAATAAATGAACATGTCAGTGCTGGTTTATGTGTGAAGTGAGGTGTGTTCCCTAACCTGTCAGCAAGCCATATTTTATTTGGATAAAGACCCTAAAATCAAGCACATTTACAGGCTGTTGCAGCCACTCCCATTCTGCTCAGCTAAGCAGCTGCACCCCCCACTTCCCCACAGTGCAGCTGTGATCCTTCCTCGGGGCCCTGGGCTCCTGCATTCAAGCTAGTTCAAAGCATCGAGGCCACACCACCACATCCTCTGCACTCCATAGAGGTGCAGTGGAACTGAGCCCACATTAAGCCAAAACCTCCAAAGAAGCAAAATTTTGCATTTTGTAATGGCTGGTGAGATCGGCATCTATGCTGCCTTACCATGCCCTATCCCGGGGAGATCTCAGAGAGGACACTACTAAAGTCTCCCACACCTCGCCCATGTCACTTACCTGAGTATGATGTCAGGTGAGAGTATGGTCCTATAGCAGAAGACAGGTATTTGTAGTAGAATCTGCTTGTGCCTGCATGTGTGTGTGTGTGTGTGAGAGAGAGAGAGAGAGGAGAGAGAAGAAAGAAAGCCACAGTTAACACTTATTTGGCACTAACTTTGCACCTGGGCACAGTGCTAAGTCACTTTCACACAGTCTCCCTCCTCCTGCAACAGACAAAAGGGCCTTTTCCCTTTATGCCCTCTCTTTCTGAAGACCTGTCTCCTTCCGCTCTCTGCAGACTTTCTTTCCCCCAGAAGTGAACAGGTTTCACGGGTATTGCATGTTTTCACAGCCTCTGGTGGGAGGGTGGGCCCCAGCCTCCCTCTCTGTTTCGCTGCTGGGTAGAGGAGATGGAGCAGCTTCTAGTCCCAAGAGGGAGGGGAAAGGGGCAGGGAAGAAATGATGTGGGGTGATTCCTTTTCTCCTTGTTGCAGTTTGGTAGATTCCCTCCCCTCCATTTGTTTTTCTTTGATTATCACTTAGGAAAAGGGAAAGTCAATCCTATTAATAAGCCTCATCAAGTCTTCATTCAAGATCAACTCCTCTATTAACATGACTTTGACTTTATTACGTGAATGAAACATTTGTCCCCTATCCCACCTAGCGTTCCTTACAAAGTCCTATTCCATTAATTTCACACTGGAAGGCAGGCACTATGCCCAATCTCTCTATCCTAATTCTTTTTTTTCTTTTTTCTTTTTTTTTTTTTTTTTTGAGATGGAGATTTTACTCTTGTTGCTCAGGCTGGAGTGCAGTGGCACGATCTCAGCTCACTGCAACCTCCGCCTCCCAGGTTCAAGCAATTCTCCTGCCTCAGCCTCCCAAATAGCTGGGATTACAGGCATCCGCCACCACGCCTGGCTAATTTTTATATTTTTAATAGAGACAGGGTTTCACCATGTTGGCCAGGCTAATCTCAAACTCCTGACCTCAAGTGATCTGCCCGCCTCAGCCTCCCAAAGTGCTGGGATTACAGGCGTGAGCCACCATGCCTGGCCTCTCTATCCTAATTCTTGAATTCCCCCTCCAATGGGGGAAGAGACTGGGAAGGGCATTTCCTCCACACTCCCAATAGGACCTTGAAATTGCTTGCTTTTCTGGGTCTAAACTAAATCCTCTTCCACTTGGCTGTATGCTGGGGAGGCTGAACCATATGGCCCATTCCAGGGGGTTCCCTTGCCTTGTCTGGCTTCTTGTTGGATTTGGCCCCAGGGGGAGTCTGGAGGGAGGCAGGAGAGTGAGGACTAGGCAGTCATTTCCCCTGCTCCCTCCCTCACTATGGGATCACATCAGGCCAGTTAGGTCCCTGACCAAATGGACTCTCAGGTAGCACACTCCACAAAGCCCACTCGACTTTGTTGTTCTTGTCATCTAATTAACAACAGTTAATCAATTCTTCCTGTGTGGGTTTATCATACTGAAGACACTTTTTTTTTTGAGACAGAGTTTCACTCTGTCACCCAGGCTGGAGTGCAGTGGTGCAATATCAGCTCACTGCAACCTCCACCTTTCAGGTTCAAGGGATTCTCCTGCCTCAGCCTCCCAAGTAGCTGGGATTACAGGTGCCCACCACCACGCCCGGCTAATTTTTGTATTTTTAGTAGAGATGGGGTTTCACCATGTTGGCCAGGCAGGTCTCAAACTCCTGGTCTCAAGGATCCACCCGCCTCGGCCTCCCACAGTGCTGGGATTACAGGCGTGAGCCACCATACTCAAGACTTTTAATCCATGGTCACGTTGACACCAATATGGATAACTTGTTCCTGCTTTACAAAACACAGCCAATTGTCCCAAACTTTGTGGATCCCACACTGCTCCCTAGTTGGATCTTGGTACTGGTTTCTAATATTTCGTGGTTGTTTAATAAGCTTAGACTTCAACAGAGCCTCAAGGGAAGACTTCCTGACCCCCAGATATGTATGTGAACTATTTCAAGTGCTGGGATAACATCCTTGCCAAAGGTTCATTTTTATGAACTCTGTAAGTTTGGTCCTGTGTGACTGGAGAATAGTCTATTGGAGTTTGTGGGAGGACAACACTTGATGACCACCACTGTCTCCTCTTGTATATCTACTGACTTCTGGTCTTAGCCCCAACAGTCTATTCCCCATACAGCAGAAAGAGTGAATCTTCTGAAAAAAAAAAAAAAAAAAAAAAAATGGCAGATCTGTCATTCCTCTACTTACAACCCTCCAGTGGTTCTCTACTCGGAGTCAAATCCAAAGTCCTGGCCAGGCATAGTGGCTCATGCCTATAATCCTAGCACTTTGGGAGGCTGAGGCAGGCAGTTCCCTTGAGCCCAGGAGTTCGAAACCAGCCTGGGCAAAATCAGCAAGGCCCTGTCTCTACAAAACAAACAACAACAGAAAAACCAAAGTCCTTACAAATGTCTATGAGGCCCCTCTGTGCTCTGTCCTCTCCCCTTACTAATCGAACTCTCATCTGCTGCCACTCCTGCATGTACTCAGCTTGAGCGCCTAGGACCCCATGCTGTCTCAAGCCTTGGGATTTGCTGTTTCCTCTGCCTCCAATGCTCTTCCCTGGTATCCACATGACTAGCTTCATCATTTCTTGCAGGTCTCTGCTCTTACATCTTATCAGTGAGGTCTTCCTTGACCACCCTAAATAAAATAGCAACCCCTACTCATATGACCCTAGCACACTTTCTTCCTTTTTTTTTTTTTTTTTTTTGAGACGGAGTCTCACTGTGTCACCCAGGCTGGAGTGCAATGGTGAGGTCTCGGCTCACTGCAACCTCCACCTCCCGGGTTCAAGCGATTCTCCTGCCTCAGCCTCCCAAGTAGCTGGGATTACAGGGGCCTGCCACCACGCCCTGCTAATTTTTGTATTTTTAGTAGAGACAGGGTTTCATCATGTGGGCCAAGCTGGTCTTGAACTCTTGACCTCAGGTGATCCACCCGCCTTGGCCTCCCAAAGTGCTGGGATTACAGGTGTGAGCCACCGCACAAGGCTACCCTAGCACTTTCTATCCCTTGCAGTCTTTTTTTTCTCCATAGCACTTATCACTATCGGATATAGTGTAACTATTATATATAATGCATATCAGAACAGTTATGAAATTAAGATTTTTGTGGGCATCTTAGATTTTTTCAATTATTTGTATATTTGATACACGGTCTCATTCAGTAGCCCAGGCTACAGTACAGTGTTATGATCATGGCTCACTAGAGCTTTACCCTCCCGTGCTCAGTTGATCCTCCCACCTCAGCCTCCCAAGTAGCTGGCACTACAGGCACATGCCACCATGCCTGGCTAATTTTTTTGTATTTCTTGTAGAGATGAAGTGTTGCTATGTTGCTCAGGCTGGTCTTGAACTCCTGGGCTCAAGTGATGTGCCCACCTCAGCTTCTCAAAGTGCTGGGATTACAGGTGTCATCAATTATATTTTAAAAGGTTATCTGTTTCAGTTCCCAAAATTATATATGCATATTTTATAGCCTCATTCAGCATTTAGATGTTAATAGGGTTTAAAGCTTTGGGCTAAAATCAAATGTTGCACAGAAAGATCTACACTCTGTATTAGCATCGAAAAGCTTAATGGTCAGTTTCAGGTAATTTCACCTGGTTATATTGCATAAGAAACATTAATATACTGTTCAAAGAATTTGTAATATTAAGATGTTAATTTGTATCTGCATTCTGTCCTCATTACATAGAAAACCCTTGAAGAATGACCATGTTTCCTGATTTTTGTTGCAAATGCCAAATGGATGTGTGAATGAGTTGGGTTTGTGCCATTTTCCATTTGGCCTGCAGTGTAGATTGGAGTTGTCAGGCAGTGAGAACTAGAACGAGGCAGCATTGAGATTCCCCACACAGGGGCTAGGCACGGTGGCTCACGCCTGTAATCCCAGCACTTTGGGAGGCCGAGGCGGGCGGATCACGAGGTCAGGAGATAGAGACCATCCTGGCTAACATGGTGAAACCCCATCTCTACTAAAAATTTAAAAAATCAGCTGGGTGTGGTGGCACGCACCTGTAGTCCCAGCTACTCGGGAGGGCAAGACAGGAGAATCGCTTGAACCTGGGAGGCGGAGGTTGTAGTGAGCCGAGATCGCGCCACTGCACTCCAGCTTGGGAAACAGCGCGAGACTCGGTCTCAAAAAAAAAAAAAAAAAAAAAAAAAAGATTCCCCACACAGGGGCGAGTGGGCACACCCACGGGAAGGGAGCCCCTATAAAAATGGCACGTGGTTCTGTCTCAGCTGCCTGAAATGACAGAACACAAGCTCTATCACGACTGATATGAACTATGTAAGGCATCTCCACTGGAACAAAATACTCATTGCCTTTGAGATAAGCAGAAATTTCTAAAATCTTTCCAAAAATTGGTGTTAAATTTAAAAGTACTTTTACTTTTAAAGTCTTTCTACTTTTTTTTTTTTTTTTTTTTTTGAGGTGGAGTCTCACTCTGTTGCCCAGGCTGAGTGCAGTTGTGCAATCTTGACTCACGGCAACCTCTGCCTCCAGGGTTTTTTTTTCTTTTAAGCAGTTCTCCTGCCTCAGCCTCCCAACTAGCTGGGATTACAGGCGCCCACCACCATGCCCAGCTAATTTTTGTATTTTTAGTAGAGACAGGGTTTCACCATGTTGGCCAGGCTGGTCTCGAACTCCTGACATCAAATGATCCTCCTGCCTTGTCCTCTCAAGGTGCTGGAATTACAGGGCATAAGCCACCATGCCCAGCCCACTTTCTACTTTTAAAAGGGGCCCATGACTTATATTAGGCCCTGTGAGGCAGCTGGCATCTGATGTCTAAGCTAGGCAACGCATAGTAATCTGCAGTTGTTTACTTTGCCTCTGGGTGTTGCCATTGAGCCAATGAGTGACTCACTACCCAGGTGGCACTGCCTCGCACTTGCTGATTGGAAAGTGACTTCTGCCCTTTTCAGGTGTATTTGCATTAAAATATTATAATAAAAATAAGTACCATTTATTGACAGATATCGAGTTATTTCTCATTTTGCCTGCACAATAGAAAATAAGCTGCAAAAACCTATGTATAGGTCATTCCTACCCCAGACCAATTATAAATCAAAATCTCTGAGAGTCAGGGTTGTTTTTTTTTTTTTTGAGACGGAGTCTCACTCTGTCCCCAGGCTGGAGTGCAGTGGCGCGATCTCAGCTCACTGCAACCTCCATCTCCCAAGTTCAAGTGATTCTCATGCCTCAGCCTCCCTAGTAGCTGGGGTTACAGGCACCAGCCATCACACCCAGCTAATTTTTTGTACTTTTAGTATAGATGGGGTTTCACCATGTTGGCCAGGCTGGTCTCGAACTCCTGACCTCAAGTGATCCTCCCACCTCAGCCTCCCAAAGCGCTGGGATTATAGGCGTGAGCCACTGCACCTAGTCAGGTGTTAGTATTTTTAAAAAGCTACCCAGTGCTGGAAGCAGTGTCTCATGCCTGTAATCCCAACACTTTAGGAGGCTGAAGCTGGAGGATTGCTTGAGCTGGGAAGTGGAGGTTGCTGTGAGCCAAGATTGCGACTACTGCATTCCAGCCTGGGAGACAAAGCAAGACTCTGTCTCAGAAAAAAAAAAAAAAAAAAAAGCTACCCAGGTGATACTGATGTGCAGCTAGGTTTGGGGCTCTGCTCTTGGTGGCTAACAGCAGAAAGTCTGGATCCAGATTACCTGGCTTCATCCCATCTTCATCATTTACCTGTAGCAGCTGTGTGACATAGGGCAAGTCCCTCAACTCTTCTGTGCTTCACTCTTCTGAACTTTCAGAGACAGCTAATAGGTCCTAACTCATAAGGCTGTTGTGAGCATTAAGTGAATCAATGGATAATTATTTAGTAAGTGTTTGCTACCATTGTTTTTATAGCTAATGAAGTTGTGGGTAACTCTTGAGAGTCTCCAGAAAATTCTTTCCATGTCTCATCAGAAGCTGTCAGTTATGCATATGGTTGTTATGCCTATGGTACAGAACAGAGCTGCTTCTGTCCTGAGCAACAAATGTAGCTATGTGCCCCTGATGTGGGGCCTAATTTATTTGAACCACCCATTGGGGTCTGGTCATTGTACTTTCTGTATTCCCTTGTTCCTCTGCCTAAACGCTACAATTCTTCTGATCTCTGGAGTCTTGCAGAAACTGATAACAATTTATGCATTGTAACTGCTGTGCTGCTTTGTTACATAAACATTAGGTCAAGAGCAAGACCCTGAGAATGCAGCTTTGACCAACTGAAACAGATGGTAACTGAGCCTTCCAAAGGCCACACTCCCCTCATATTTATTTACCTGGCAGGCAGCAGAATGAGCCCGTTTTGCTTTATGTGCAAAACTTTCCTCCCAGGCCAATTTTCTGGTGCCCCCCGTGACATATCGCAAAATGAAATAAAAGTATCAAGAACAGTAATTTATTCCTGAAACACATCTTCCAAGAGTTACAGATATCTACCATGTCGACCTCTCTTAGCCCGAACCTGAGCTGTCACCCACGTTAAATTACTTTCTAAATCAGAGGTAAACTTTATATCATAAAATACCATTCATAGCCACATCAATCCAACCTGAAATCTGCATTACTCTCTTGACCCGAACTCCTAGATATCTACAATTCACAGATCGACCAGCTTTGCTCTATCAGTATGCCTTACCCTAGTGGTGTATTACACTAATAGATTCCTGGAGCCGCAGCTCACTTTGTTGATGTATAAGAGCAATACGTTAAGAGAGCCCCAGCTCACTTGGATGATGTATAGTTGAAGTGGTCATCTGGGGGAAGCATGCTGGTGATGTATGGCCCTGACAAGGGCACCAACTGGGAGAGAACAAGTTCAAAGTGGGTTTGGTTTAGCTTGTAGAGGCAAAGAGAAACAACTTAGATCCCACCAGGCCATGTTCCCACTGGCCTCCCAAGGCCTTCTATTTGCAGGAAAGTAAGCAGCTGCACACACCGTTAAAGAGTGAGGTCTTAACCACTTTTGCCATAGAAATTATTGTTTGCAATTACTGTAAATCTCTCCAGAGGCTTAGATGAAAACAAAGACACATAGATGTTACTTTTACTTTTTGGATATATATTTCATAATAAAATTAATAAAGGAAATTGCATAAGGACATGTTATTAATTTTTACATTCTTGAGCAATGGGGAAAACTGTAGATGTGTGCACCAAAAGATATGTACCAGAATGTTCATATCAACATTACTGTAATTACCAAAAACAGAGAATGACACCAAGGTCCATCAACTGTAGAATGGAGTGTCAATTAACTATGGCCACACAAATCCCCATGGCATACAGCAATGGCATATTTTTTAGCTCATGCTTCTATGGCTGGCTCATCTAGGCTGGGTTCTGGAGGGTTCAGGGGAGGCACTGCTTTACACATCTCTCATCCTGCTCCTAGGACCAGCTTGCACCTCTTTGTCTCATGGCAACAGCAGAGAGACAAGAGCTAGCAAAACAAATCTTCAGAGCATTTTTTTCAAGATGGCATAACTTCTGCTAATATCCTTGTAACCAAAGCAAATCACATGGTCAAACCCATGCAGGGAATTGCACCGTGCCCACAGTGGGAAGGCATTGAAGAGTTACATGACAAAGGGTATGGATATAGGAAGGATGGTCAATGATGCAGTTTATCGGCCAGGCATGGTGGCTTATGCCTGTAATTCCAGCACCTTGGGAGGCTAAGGCAGGTGCATCACCTGAGGTAAGGAGTTTGAGACCAGCCTGGCCAACATTGTGAAACCCCATCTCTACTAAAATTACAAAAATTAGCCAGGCATGGTGGTGTGCGCCTGTAGTCCCAGATACTTGGGAGGCCAAAGCAGGAGAATTGCTTGAACCTGGGAGGTGGAGGTTGCAGTGAGCCGAGATCACGCCACTGCACTCCAGCCTGGGCAACAGAGTGAGATCCAAAAAAAAAAAAGCAAGCAATTTATCACCATTTATTATTAATGCAATAATAAGTCTAATTTATTATTAGATGAATAAACTGTGACAGTCATACAATGGAATACTATACAGCAAGGAAAATGAACTACCACTATACATAACAACCTAAATCTCACAGAGATAATATTAAGCAAAAGAGGTTAAACACAGGAGTTCATAGGTATGATTCTACTTATAGAAACCTCAAAAACAGGCACAAGTAATGATGGTGTTAAAAGTCAGGGTGGGGGTTACCTTTGGGATCAATGACTAGGAGCAGGCATCAGAAGGGCTTCCAGTGTTTGTGATACTCTGTTTCTTTATCTAAGTAGCAACTACACTGATGCATTCACAGAGTGGAAATTCTTGTAGGACACATATAGTTTCTGTATTTTATATATTTGGTATGCTTCAATTAAAAAGTTTATTTGAAGAAAACTGAGCATGCAAAGCAGCATGACAAGCCTGGGGCAGATTAAAAAATGAGATATTTAAAACAGGAATGCTTTAAAGCTCTTGAAAAGCACATTCATGGCTTCATGACGGTATAGAGAGTGACAGCAGGACAGATAATCAGAGGGGCAAAGAAAGGAAGGGGCTTCCCTCTGGGAGTTGGTTTAGTCTTACCCACCTACAGTTAAAAACAAACAGGCCAGGCACAGTGGATCATGCCTGTAATCCCTGCACTTTGAGAGGCCGAGGTGGGAGGATAGCTTGAGCCCAGGAATTCAAAACCAGCCTGGCCAACATGGAGAAACCCCGTCTCTACAAAAAGTACAAAAAATTAGCTGGGCGTGGTGGCAGGCACCTGTAGTCCCAGCTACCCAGGAGGCTGAGGTGGGAGGATCACCTGAATTTGGGAGGTTGAGGCTGCAGTGAGCTGTGATCAGCCACTGCACTCCAATCTGGGCAACAGAGTGAGACCCTGTCTCAAAACAAACAAACAAACATAAAAAAATGCTTGCTAACTAATTACATGCTCAAACGAAACCAGAGAGGATTTGAGTCTGGGAGTGGTATCTATACTTTCAGAATACTGCATTAATTAGCAGAGAGGATCAAAATTCTCCAACAAACCTGAGTTGTAATCTGGGCCCTACCAACTTCCTCACCCTGTAACCTAGAAGAATTACTGCTCCAAGTCTCAGTTTCTCTAACTAGGCTGGTAAAGTTAACAATAGTACCTCCTTCATAGAGTTGTTTGTTGATTATATGAGCAGTTGCACATACACTGCTTAGCTTAGTAGTAGTAAGTGTTGCCTAATAGTAAGTGTTCAACAAATGCAAGCTCTTGTTATTATCTATCTATCCATCCACACATCCTCCACCCACCCACCCATCCATCCACCCATTCACCCATTTATCTATTCACCCTCCCATCCATCCACCCATCTAGCCATCAGTTCACTCATCCATCCATCCATTCATCCACCCATTCATCCATGTACCCACCCATCCATTCATCTACCCACCCATCTACCCATCCACCCGTTCACCCAACCATCTACCCATCCACTCATCCACCTGTCCATTCATCCACCCATCTATCCATCCACCCATCCACCCATCCATCTACCCACCCATCCATCCATTCACCCATCCACCCATCTACTCATCCATCCATCCAACCATCCATCCATCCATCCATCCACCCATCCACCCATTCATCCATCCATCCACCCAACCAACCATCCACCTTTTCATCTATCCACCCACTTGTCCACCCACCCATTCCTCCATTCATCATTCAACCCTCTCTTCCTACCATCACTGTTTCATCCATGAAGATTTATAAAGAAGTGTAACATTTGGAGTTTATAAACCAGTATTTGAGACCTAATTCTAATTCTTTCCGCCTGTGCAATCTTGGACAAATAGTTAAAATTATCTACATTTTTTGTTTATTCTTTGGTAAAATGGGAGAGAGTGCTTATCTTTACATTATGAAACTACTATGAGAAGTAGATGATTCAGCTGGTTGGGTGTGGTGGCTCATGCCTGTAATCCCAGCAATTTGGGAGGCCAAGGCGGGCTGATCACCTGAGGCCAGGAGTTCAAGACCAGCCTGGCAAACATAGTGAAACACCGTCTCTACTAAAAAAAAATACAAAAATTAGCTAGGCATGGTGGCAGACACCTGTAATCCCGGCTACTTGGGAGGCTGAGGCAGGGAGAACTGCTTGAACCTGGGAAGTGGAGGTTGCAGTGAGCCGAGATCGAGCCACGGCACTCCAACCTGGGCAATAGAGCAAGACTCTGTCTCAAAAAAAAAAAAAAAAAAAGAGAGCGAGAGAGAGAAGTAGATGATTCATTAAACTCCCCTGAGGCAAAGTATCCACTTATCAGAGTGACAAGGTTTGTATGACAAAAGGAGAGCTATGCCACAGTACGGGAATATAAAAGACCTACAAAGCAGCCCCCTTCACACATATTCTCACCTTCCAGGGCATATCACACCATGGCGGTGCCAAGATCCCTTACATCAACAAATCTAAAACTAGGTTTATTATGTCTCCTCTTATGAGTTGAATTGTATTCTCCTCAAAATTCATATGTCGAAGTCCTAATCCCCAGTACTTCAGAATGTGATCTGATTTGAAGACAGGGTCTTTACAGAGGTAATCGAGTTAAAACGAGGTCATTAGGGTGGATGCTAATCCAATATGACTGTGTCCTTATAAAAAGGGGAAATTGGAAGACAGACATACAGAGAGGGATGATGATGTGAAGGCACAAGGAAAAGACAGCCATTTGCAAAACAAAAAGAGAGGCCTGGCTGGGCACGGTGGCTCTCACCTGTACTCCCAACACTTTGGGGGGGCCTAGTTGGGAGGATCGCTTGAACCCGGGAGTTCAAGACCAAACTGGGCAACATAGGAAGACACTGTCTCCACACACACATACAAAATGAGATGTGGTGGCATGTGCCTGTAATCCCAGCTACTCAGAGGGCTGAGGCAGGAGGATTGCTTGAGCCTGGGAAGTTGAGATTGCAGTGAACCATGTTCACGCCACTGCACCCCAGCCTGGGAGACAGAGCAAGACCCTGTCTCAAAAAAAATAAATAAATAAAAAATAAAAAAAGCAGGGAGAAGGAACAATTGGGAGACAGGCATGCATAGAGGGATGACAATGTAATGAGACAGGGAAAAGATGGCCACCTACAAACAAAAAGAGAGGCCTTGCTGGGCACGGTGGCTCATGCCTGTAATTCCAGTGCTTTGGGAGGTTGAGGTGGGAAGATTGCTTGAGGCCAGTTCAAGACCAGCCTGGGCAACATTGTAAGATCCCATCTCTACATAAAAAAATTAACTGGACAAGGTGGCATATGCCTGTAATTCCAGCTACTACTCGGGAGGCTTGGGTAGGAGGATTGCTTGAGCCCAGATGTGGGATGATTGCTTGAGCCCAGGAGTTCAAAGCCACAGTGAGTCATAATCATGCCGCTGCACTCCAGCCCAGGTGAAAGAGGGAGACCTTATCTCAAAAAAGAGAGAGAGAGGACTGGAACCTTCTACCTTTCCTCACAGCCATTGTATTCTCAGAGTCTCAGTGGCAGGCAGGGCACACCACAGGCATTCCATGCATATTTGATTGAAAGATTTTCATAAAGGAGGTAGAATTTGAGGGATGGCTAGGACTGGATAAGATGGAGAGGAGGGGAGATGTCCTGGAGCAGATGAGGGAATAATTAAGGATGCCATGTTGCAGAAAGACCAAGGAGTATCAGAAGCTCCAGAGATGATTCGTTTTTCTTGTGAAGACCCTTCTGAAAGTACCGCTCTGCAAATAACTCAGAAACTCATTGCTGATTTGCACATGGGTTAGTAGGAACTTGGGTTGCTGTTCTGGAAATTTCCCTTAGTGTCTAATACATTTTATTTTACTTCAGAAGGGATTTCCCATAATCTAATCTGTGTGAATATCACTTGAGTGCTTATGCTTGTGATAAGTTTCTGGTCAAGTATTCTGGGCCAACGTGAACTTACTTGGCAATGGGGACACATTCTTCACATTTCTTTTCTTTTTTTTTTTTTGAGACAGAGTCTTGCTCTGTCACCCAGGCTGGAGTGCAGTGGCGCCATCTCGGCTCCCTGCAAGCTCCACCTCCTGGGTTCACGCCATTATCCTGCCTCAGTCTCCCGAGTAGCTGAGACTACAGGCGTCCGTCAACAGACCCGGTTAATTTTTTGTATTTTTTAGTAGAGACGGGGTTTCACCGAGATCGAGAGCCAGGATGGTCTCCATCTCCCGACCTCAGATTATCCGCCCACCTCAGCCTCCCAAAGTGCTGGGATTACAGGCGTGAGCCACTGCGCCCGGCCCATTCTTCACATTTCTTAATCACTTAGCCTCAGGATAATGTGACAACCTATTGGTTAGGGAGGATATGGAAACTGAGAGAAATGCAAAAAGAAAGAAAGATCTCTATATACGCAAAAATTTCAGACTAGCACTAAGGTTTTGTGTCATTCTAAGCATTCTGCAAACTGTATTCTTCCCTCTAAAAGTAATTGAAATGGGAGTTGGGGGGCAGGAGCCAGACTTGAACATAAATACAATACAGGCGCAGTGGCTCACGCTTATAATCCCAGCACTTTGGGAGGTTGAGGCAGGTGGATCACAAGGTCAGGAGTTCAAGACCAGCCTGGCCAACATGGTGAAACACCATCTCTACTAAAAATACAAAAATAAGCCAGGTGTGATGGTGCATGCCTGTAATCCCAGCTACTCAGGAGGCTGAGGCAGGAGAATCACTTGAACCTGGGAGGAGGAGGTTGCAGTGAGCAGAGATCATGCCACTGCACTCCAGCCTGGGCAACAGAGCAAGACTCCGTCTCAAAATAATAATAATAATAATAATAATAATAATAATAATAATAATAATAACAACTTAGGCTGGGCACGGTGGCTCATGCCTGTAATCCCAGCACTTTGGGAGGCTGAGGTGGGTGGATCACCTGAGGTCAGGAGTTCGAGACCAGCCTGGCCAACATGGTGAAACCCTGTCTCTACTATAAATACAAAAATTAGCCTGGCATGGTGGTGCATGCCTATAATCCCAGCTACTGGGGAGGCTGAAGCACAAGAATTGCTTGAACCCAGGAGGTGCAGGTTGCAATGAGCTGAGATCGCACCACTGCACTCCAGCCTGGGCAACAGAGTAAGACTCTGTCTCAAAAATAATAATATTAATTTAAAAACAACTATGGATCCAGAAAGTTCCTCTTAGATGGTAATTTTTTAATCACACAAACAGTAACTAGGGTTTTTTCTTTTCTTTACAATTTGTTTTGTTCGTTCGCTTCATTTATTTATTCAACAGGTATTTACTGGCGCCTACCACGTGCTGGGTGTTGTTAGGTGCTAGAGATACAACAGTGTGCACAACAGATGAAAAATTCCTGCTCCCACAGAGCTTACCTTCTAGTGAAAGGAGATAAACAGTAAATAAGAAAAATAGGCCTGGCGCGGTGGCTCACGCCGGTAATCCCAGCACTTTGGGAGACCAAGGCAGGCAGATCAGGAGGTCAGGAGTTCGAGACCAGCCTCACCAGCATGGTGAAAACCTATCTCTACTAAAAATACAAAAAATTAGCCGGGCGTGGTGGTACACACCTGCAATCCCAGCTACTCCCGAGGCTGAGGCAGGAGAATCACTTGAACCCAGGAGGCGGAGGTTGCAGTGAGCAGAGATTACACCATTGCACTCTAGCCCAGGAGACAGAACAAGATTCCGTCTCAAAGAAACGGAAAAATAAGGAAAAGTTATGGCATAGTATCTAGCTGGTAAAAGAGCCAAGAAGACATTAAATCAGGGAAAGAGGACAGAGGGTTGTGAGGAAGGGGAGGGAGGGAGGCCTCGTGGAGATGACACTTGAGTTAAAACCTATAGGAAGTGAGATGGAGCCACGGGGATTCCTGGAGGAAGAGCGTTCCCCGCAGAGGCAGCAGCAAGTGTGCTGCTTAATTAGCTTCCAACAGGAACTTATTTTAGAAGAAAGGGATATAGAGCATGGACTTTGGCCCAGGAATTCTGGTTCTGAGATTCTGTACTGCAAAGCCAAGAGGCCTCATTTTCCTCATCTGCGAAATGGGGATCATAATGGCACTCACCTTCTGGGGTTATTGTGAGGATCAGGTGTGGTCAAATAGATAATAAGCCTAGGATTTTTGGTCTGGGTGACTTTGTGGATGGTGGCGTTTTCAGCTAAGATAAGGAATACAGGAAGAATTAGATTTAAAAAGTATAGGGTTGGGAGGCTGAGGCAGGAGAATCGCTTGAACCCAGGAGGCAGAGGTTGCAGTGAGCTGAGATAGCACCACTGCACTCCAGACTGGGCAACAGAGTGAGACTCTGTCTCAAAAATAAAGAAAAAGGAAAAGATATAGAGTATGAGTTAACTCTTTAGATACCTTTAGATTTAAGGTGCTTGTATTATGGCCAAGTAGACAATTGAATAAGAGAGCTCAAAAGAAAGAAATGTGCATTTGGGAGTATCAGCTTATAAACAGTGGTTACATCACTCAAGGAGATAAAATTAATAATCATGGCCACCATTTCTTGAGTTATCATGCATCGGGTTTTCTGTGCTAAGTGCTTGTGTCTGTGAGGTGTCGTGTCACTTAGCCCTCAAAGCCATGACCCTCAAGGTACCAGTTTAGAAATAAGAAAACAGAAGTTCTAAGAGTTAAGGAAGTGAGCAGAGAGGTAGGGAGTAAGAAGCAGAACCTCTAGAATCCACGCCCTCAACAGCTTCACTATGCATTGATCTCTAGGGAAAGTAAGGAGACTGCAAGGAAAAGGTCACACTGGGCACCAAATTTTCTTTCTTTCTTATCTCTTCTTTCTTTCTTTCTTTCTTTATTTATTTATTTCTTTTCTTTCTTTCTTTCTTTCTTTTCTTTCTTTCTCCCTTCCTTCCTTCCTTCCTTTCTTTTCTTTCTTTTTCTTTCTTTCTTTCTTTCTTTCTTTCTTTCTTTCTTTCGTTCTGTCGTTCTTTCGTTCTTTCTTTCTTTCTTTTTGAGATGGAGTCTCGCTCTGTTGCCCAGGCTGGAGTGCAGTGTGCAGTGGCACAATCTCAGCTCACTGCAACCTCTGCCTCCCGGGTTCAAGTGATTCTCCTGCCTCAGCCTCCCAAGTAGCTGGGATTACAGGTGCACACCACCACGCCCAGCTAATTTTTGTATTTTTAATAGAGACAGGGTTTCACCATGTTTGCCAGGATGGTCTCAATCTGTTGACCTCAAGTGATCCACCCGCCTCGGCCTCCCAAAGTGCTGGGATTACAGACGTGAGCCACCACTCCCGGCCTGGGCACCGAATTTTTCTGTACGAATTTATGGAGTACAGATGACATTTTGTTACATGTATATAATGCGTAGTGACAAGTAACTTAGGGTACTCAGGGTATCCATCTCTCAAGTACAATACATTTTTGTTCAACCAACACACAGAATTCTAATATTTAAAAGACCTGGTGGAGAATAAGAAGCTCATGAAAGAGATGAAAAAAGAACAATCAGAAAACTCAGGCATATTCTACTGTGGAGACATGAGAGGAAAGAATTTCCAAAGAAAGGGAGCAATTAAGTGAGATTAAGACTGAAAAATCCCTTTGGCTTTTGTAATTAAAAGTTAACTGATGACCTAGGTGAGAGCAGTTTCAGCTGGGGGAGTTGAGGCAGAGGGCAGTGGGGTGACTGGGGAGAGAAGGAGGGGAAAATGGTGATCACCCATCACAGCACCCAAAACAGGAGGCTGGAGAGACAAAAAGGGAGAAGAAAATGGGCAAATATCTGGCATCGCAATTTGTGCTCATCATCACTAATCATCAGGGAAGTGCAAACCAAAACCACAATGAGATTTCATCTCACACCTGTTAAGATGGCTGTGATCAAAAAGACAAGAGGTAAATGTTGGCAAGGATGTAGAAAATAGGGGACCCGGCCGGGCAAGGTGGCTCACGCCTGTAATCCCAGCACTTTGGGGGGCTGAGAAGGGCGGATCACAAGGTCAGGAGATTGAGACCAGCCTGGCCAATATGGTGAAACTCCGTCTCTACTAAAAATACAAAAATTAGCCAGGCGTGGTGGCACGCACCTGTAACCCCAGATACTCAAGAGGCTGAGGCAGGAGAATCGCTTGAACCCGGGAGACAGAAGTTGCAGTGAGCTGAGATCATGCCACTGCACTCCACCCTGGGTGACAGAGTGAGACTCTGTCTCAAAAAAAAAAAAAAGAAAGAAAAAAAGAAATTAGGGGGCCCTTGTACACTGTTGGTGGGAATGTAAACTGGTATAGCCATTATAGAAAAAGGTATGGAGATTCCTCAAAAACTAAAAATAGAACTACCATATGACTGAGCCATCCCTCTTCTGGGTATATACCCAGAGAAAATGAAATTAGCACCCTGTAGAGATAGCTGCATTCCCATGTTCATTGCAGCAATATTCACAATAGCTAAGATCTGGAAACGACCTAACTGTCCATCTGTCCATTGATGGATGAATGGATAAAGAAAATGTTACACACACACACACACGTACGCACACACACACACGTACACACACACACACAAACAGGAATATTCTGCCTTAAAAAAGGAAATTTTGCCACTTGTCACAACGTGGAGGAAGCTTGAGGAAGTTGTGCTAAGTGAAATAGCAGACACAGGAAGACAAATACTGTATGATCTCACTTGTGTGAGGATTCTTAAAAAGTCAAATTCATAGAAGCAGAGAGGTGAAGGCTGTTTGCCAGGGGTTGGGGGTAGGGTGAGGAGAATGGAGAGATGCTGATCAAATTATACAAACTTTCATTTATCAGAAGAATGAATTCTGGGAGTCTAATGTATAGCAAGGTGTATAATAATACTGTATATAGTAGGCCAGGCGCGGTGGCTCATGCCTGTAATCCCAGCACTTTGGGAGGCCGAGGAAGGCGGATCACGAGGTCAGGAGTTCGAGACCAGCCTGATCAACATGGTAAAACCCTGTCTCTACTAAAAAATACAAAAATTATCCGGGAATTGTGGTGGGCACCTGTAATCTCAGCTACTCAGGAGGCTGAGGCAGGAGAATCACTTGAACCCAGGAAGTGGAGATTGCAGTGAGCCGAGGTCCTGCCCCTCCACTCCAGCCTGGGTGACAGAGTGAGGCTCCATCTAAAAAATAAATTAAAAAAAAAATAATGCTGTATAGTATACTTGAAATTTGCTAAGAGTAAATTTTAGGTGTCCTTACCCCCTACACGCACATTCACAAATAGTAACTACATATGGTGATATGGTGATGAATGTGTTGATTGTAGTAATGATTTCACAATGTGTTTGTATATCAAACCATCACATTGCACACCTTGAATATACACAATTTATTTGTTAATTACACCTCAATAAAACTGGGGAAAAAGCTTTATTTTTTTTTTTTTGAGACGGAGTTTTGCTCTTGTCACCCAGGCTGTAGTGCAATGGTGCCATCTCGGCTCACCACAACCTCTACCTCCCAAGTTCAAGTGATTCTCCTGCCTCAGCCTTCCGAGTAGCTGAGATTACAGGCATGTGCCACCACGCCCGGCTAATTTTGTATTTTTAGTAGAGATGGGGTTTCACCATATTGATCAGGCTGGTCTTGAACTCCCGACCTCAGTTGATCTGCCTACCTCGGCCTCCCAAAGTGCTGGGATTACAGGCATGAGCCATCATGCCTGCTCTTTTTTTGTTTGTTTTTTAAATAAAGACCAGGTCTCATTATGTGGGCCAGGCTGGTCTCGAATGCCTGGGCTCAAGTGATCCTCCCATCTTGGCCTCCAGAAGTGCTGGGATTATAGGTGTGAGCCACCGTGCTTGGCCCGTAAACACACACACACACACACACACACACACACACACACACATATATATATATATATATATTTTTTTTTTTTTTTGAGACAGAGTCTTGCTCTGTCGCCAGGCTGGAGTGCCATGGTGCAATCTCGGCTCACTGCAACCTCTGCCTACCGGGTTCAAGTGATTCTCCTGCCTCAGCCTCCCGAGTAGCTGTGACTACAGGCGAAGCTAATTTTTGTGTTTTTTGGTAGAGTCAGGGTTTCACCATGTTGGCCAGGATGGTCTAGATCTCTTAGCCTCGTGATCCATCCATCTCAGCCTCCCAAAGTGCTGGGGTTATAGACGTGAGCCACCATTTTAAAAAGAGGGGGATGTAGGGCCATAGAAAGCGATATCCATTTTCCAAATTTCAGAGATTCTCCATCTTCTTAGTGGACAGCACAATCTGCTCTTCGTGAAAATGAGGCCCCCTAATGGGCAGATGCTCGCTCTTTAGACAAATTCAGAGGTTTTCACTGAATATTAGCCAGAGAAACGAAAGCCTGTGACTTACCACAAAATCGCTCTTAAATTCTTTTTTTTTTTTTTTTTTTGAGATGGAGTTTCACTCTTGTCGCCCAGGCTGGAGTGCAATGTGGCCATCTCAGCTCACTGCAACCTCCGCCTCCCGGGTTCAAGCGATTCTCTTGCCTACGCCTCCTGAGTAGCTGGGATTACAGGCGCGTGCCACCACGCTTGGTTAATTTTTGTATTTTTAGTAGAGACGGGGTTTCACCTTGTTGGTCAGGCTTGTCTCGAATTTCTGACCTCAGGTGATCCACCCACCCCCGGCCTCCTAAAGCGCTGGGATTACAGGCGTGAGCCACCGTGCTCGGCTAAATTCTTTAAAAAACCTATGATTCTCTGAGTTTAGGACCATTCAGCAACAGGAAATATGCAGTTTCCAGTTGCCATTTGCTTAATCAAAAGTTTACCCCTGAATTCTGTCTTGAATAAGTCAGCGATTCTCTGGTGGTTCTCCTGTATGTTCGAGTGTAGTGTGTGTTTTTTGTTTGGTTTTTTGTTTGTTTGACAGTCTCCCTTGGTCTCCCAGGCTGGAGTGCAGTGGCGCAATCTTGGCTCACTGCAACCTCTGCCTCCCAGGTTCAAGCAATTCTCATGCCTCAGCCTCCCGAATAGCTGGGATTATAGGCATGCACTGCCATGCCTGTTTATTATTGTTTTTTTTAGACAGAGTCTCGCTCTATCACCCAGGCTGGAGTACAGTGGCGTGATCTAGGCTCACTGCAACCTCTACCTCCTGGGTTCAAGCCATTCTCCTGCCTCAGCCTCCTGTGTAGCTAGGATTACAGGCGTGCCATGCGCCACCATGCCGGCTAACTTTTGTGTTTTTAATAGTGTTGGGGTTTCACCACGTTGGCCGGGCTGGTCTCAAATTCCTGGCCTCAAGTGATTCACCCTCCTCAGCCTCCCAAAGTGTTGGGATTACAGGCATAAGCCACTGCACCCGACTTGAGTTTAGTGTGTTTAGAGGTCTTTGGCATCGAGAAAATATAATGTTATGAACAACTGGGATCCAACAAGTTGGGCCTTTCAAAAGTCCATGAGGCAATCTAATCTTTTTCAGGTTGCTATGGCTTAACACCAACAGCATACCTAGCATTAAGTAAATAATTATTAGAATGAATGAATGAACCTAGCTATCAGATACTAAAACAAACTAAATGGCCATGCTCCACATCTAAAAATCCCATAAACTAATATTGGCTAAAGGAAGAAAGATGGAAAAGCTCAGTCTTGATTATATCATGCAATGACTGTAACTTGCAAAATCCAGAGCACAAACTTACCTGATGAATCATGCACAGGAAGCTGGGCACATAAGCTTTTTTTTAACTGAACCAAACTACTGATACCTTTTCCCCTCACCTGTGATTAATTCTTACTTTCCATATTTAGGGAAAACCTTGAAATGCTTATTGGCACATAGTTAGGCTCTGTAAACTCAAGTATGCTAGTTAGCTAACTAGACAAAACAGCCTTTTGCTAAAACTTTCAGATGGACTGACTCCATGGAGGACACATAGCACATTATACCTTAAGAGCAGTAAGATAATGTTTAGTTATCTTTATTGTCCATTTATTATCATGGAACAAAATGACGGCAGATATATTTTCAGGTATGCCATAAAGGACTGCAATACAATTTGGCACATTGGCAGAATGTTATAAATGGCATATGCCTGCACCAAGTGTGATCTTATATACATAACAAGGGTTTTGTAGCTGGTAATGAAAAGGACAGAAAATAAATTCACTAACAGTCTACTACTTGCCAGCAGTTATTCCCACATTTTTCTCACTAAGTGCTCATAGATAGATAGTCCATGAGGTGGGTATTACTTTTCTTTCTGCAGATGAAGGAATGGGAGTGAAGACAGTAACATGTCTAAGGTCATGTAGTTACTAAGCAGTCCAGCTGGGATTCACACTCCAAACGTGTGAAAAATATGTCAAACTCCAAAGCTCATGCTCTTTACACATACCACATGGTGATAAATCTATTCCAGGCATAATCAACTAAAGAGAGGCAGAACAATGTTAAAAAAAAATAGTTGTTATGGCAATATTAATATTTGTTTAGTGTTTCCTAATTATTAACTTGATTTGCAACACTAGCCTAGCTATTATCAAGGCAGAGCTATTCTGAATGAAGAGTAAAATAAACAAAGAAAATCAGTAAAATAAAAAAGCATAGACCACGAAGCAATTCTAATGCTGAAAAGATTTATTAAAGGCATTCTCTTTATAACATTTCTTGTCAGTGCACATAATTCCAATAGCAAATATTTTTTCACCATTCATTCAAATACAGTATCACAATGTGTTTAGTATAAATATGTATACAAAATTTTATAAAGACACTAAAAAGTTTCTGACCAATTAAGTCATGAGTTTACAAAGCACAAACTGAAGATTAAATACTGAATATTAAGATGAAAACTACTATACAGGTACTTTAGGAAGTTCTTCAAAGAAGTGCACCTCCCGGGAAATCCTCATATGTACATCTACACTCCAGCAAACTGCACAGGCAAAGTGCTACTTGCCAGATTATTGACTAATAAAAACACATATAGAGCTTCAGAAAGAATACAAGGTCAAATGCCAAAAATAAAAAAAGAAATGAAAGCAAATGTGCTACATTGTACCATTTTAAAGAGCTTGAAAACACCACACAAGGTTCACTAATACTGTTCTGACTGCAATGACTGTATTTACTTACAATCTCTTCCTAACAAGGAAACTATCAGATTTATTCATGGTACGAATGGCCAATTTCAACTAGTTATGCCAAATGTACAAGTAGTATCTGTAAATTCGAAAAGGGCAAATGAAAGGATCAGGTTATTTAAATGAATTCTTCTTTTTTTTTCTTCTTTTTTTTTAAATGAATTATTCTTTAGGAACTGCTCAATATCACCCAAGCATAGTTACAAAGTATCTCTTCAAATTATACATACTCTTGAGGTCAAAAACGTCAAACTATTTCCGTAATGTAAGATCCCACAAGTAGAATATTATCTTTATTACTTGATCATAAATAAAGGTTTTTTTTTAAAGCTGTGGAAAATAAGGGTCTTTAATCTTCATCAAATCATATACAAATTATTTCATTATACCTTTAACAAAACAAGCATTATCAAGAGAAGGTCCAGCCTCTGATCTCCTAATCTCATCCAACAGTTTAGTATAATTCTGGCAACATTTTATTAGTTTTAAATAATATTCATACAGCCCCCATTATGAAACACAGATAACAGGGTAAACTACTGTGCCAGCAAGCCATATTATTAATATATAATTATACTATATTTAGGTAGCTACTTATAATTTGGAAAGAAACAGGAAGCTACACCCTTGAACATACTATTCAAAATGGCAACCAGTTAACCCTTTGAGAAAAGAATTTTTGATTAACAATGCAAGTTAAGTTGTCTTAGTTAAACTTGTACAGGCCATTTCACCATAAACATCCCAGCTGTCTGAGGAGAGAGAAGGCATAGGCACAAAGGTAACTGATTGTTCAGGTTTCCACTCATGAGAAAATAACCCTTTATAAACGACTAATGAACCAACTACAGACAGTATACCAATGTTAAACACTTTAAAGATAAAAATATATTTTATTTATTTATTTATTTATTTATTTATTTATTTATTTATTTATTTTGACTAAGTCTCGTTCTGTTGCTCAGACTGGAGTAAAGTGGCATGATCTTGGCTCACTGCAACCTCTGCCTCTCAGGTTCAAGCGATCCTCCTGCCTCAGCCCCCCTAGTAGCTGGGATTACAGGCACGCGCCACCATGCCCAGCAAATTTTTGTATTTTTAGTAGAGACGGGGTTTCGCCATGTTGGCCAGGCCGGTCTCAAACTCCTGACCTTGTGATCTGCCCGCCTCCCAAAGTGCTGGGATTACAGGCGTGAGCCACTGTGTCTGGCCTTTGATAAATAGATATTTTAAAGATAAAAAGACATGGACTTTTTTGAAATATCTGTGCTGATTTCTCTTAAACTCTCCTGCATAAAGAAAATTACCGAGCAAGTGTTCTTTTTCTTTCATGGGTGGTCATAAAAGTGCCTACACATCAGTATTCACACCCACTGAATCCTACTGGGTGTGCATTCCTCTGAGCTCACTGCTGGGGATGAGCCATGGAGCTCATAGACACGCTTTGGTACACCTTTATTCTTACTGCCGTCAATCCCGCTTGATTTAGATTGTTGGTGTTCTTCTTTGGTATTTTGATTATAAGTTTCCCAGGGTTTCAACAAATCAGGGCTTTCTTCAGATTCAAAACAAAAGAGGAGAGACTTAGCTAGAGATTCTAGTTCCTGGTGGACAATGTGAGTTACTCTACTCTCATAGCTGCCAACAGAAGTAGAAGGCACACTGAAGTCACTGTAAAAATCACTGGCCAAGTTGCGAATACTTTCAACACAAGTCTGGAGAAGATTTATATCACTATGGCATCCTATATGCAAGAGAGGAGGGAAAAGTTAATTAGCCTTTTCAGTTTTCATCAGGTATTTATGACTTTTATAGACTCTAGATATCTTTTAAGTCAAAGTGACCCTATCAAAACAATTCCAAACTACTTAAGATTAGTCAACTAAAGTGTTTATTTGCTAGATGAGCACTTGGTTTTTCAGGATCTAATTATTTAGGTAGAAGTACTGATACATACATTAAGTGGGAATTTAATTATAAATACAAGTTCCTATATGGGTAACTAATATCAGTGAAGTAGCATTGGGTAGGCTTCAGTTAATGACTAAAATAATGAAAAGGTTAGAAATAAAAAGGAAAGATGTCAGCCGGGGACTGTGGCTCATGCCTGTAATCCCAGCACTTTGGGAGGCCAAGGTGGGTGAATTGTTTGAGGTCAGGAGTTCGAGACCAGCCTGGCCAACATGGTGAAACCCCATCTCTACTAAAAATACAAAAATTATCCAGGCATGGTGGCATATGCCTGTAATCCCAGCTACTTGGGAGGCTGAGGCAGGAGAATCGCTTGAACCCAGGAGTCGGAGGTTGCAGTGAGCTGAAATCGAGCCACTGCACTCCAGCCTGAGTGACAGAGCGAGACTCCATCTCAAAAAAAAAAAGGAAAGATGTCTAAGGTTCCTTAAAATATAAAATTCTGATTATAAACTCCATTTGGAGAATCATACCTTTCAGTGCAGAAATAATAATTTCAATAGCTTTCTCTAAGCAATGTTTTAACTTTAAGAATTCTGGAGCACGATTAACCATCCTCTTGAAATCTTGGTATTCAAAGTTTTCTTCTTGTACTTGCCTTCTGAAACTTTTCTGTATAAATAAAGTTAATATTTAAAATAATACATTAACAGGCTCAATGGCAGTAAGGCTCAGTCAATATGATTTTAATTGCCAGAATCTTCTCTTTAAGAAAGAGAGTTTAATTTCCTCACCAGTGCTTAACTCTATTTCTATAAGCAAGACCAAAATACAATAGTAATTACTGTTTTCAAAAGAAATCAGAATTTTCAATTAATTTTCAAAGTCTGTCATCCTATTACATGAGAATGGAATAAAGTAACAGTGCCATTTATTATTCAATACTTTAAAAGATACATTTATTTCATTTTTAAGAGCTCAACTTTATAATAGTTCTCATTTATTTAAATAAAAATTTTCAAGCCATAGCAATTACTCTCCTTTTTAACACATTGATCATATACTTAATTTTTCTCTTTACCTGTGACATGGGAATAATCTATCTAATTCAACTGTATTTTAAAATCTTTGAGCACAATGATTATTAAACACAATTTTTTAGCCTATAATGACCCATCCAAGCAAAAGCTGACAGTTATTAAACCAGTAGCAATAAGAAACAGACATATTAATAAATTTCTATACAATCCTTTATCCACTACTAGAACTAGTAAGTTATGACACACATAAAAAAGACAAAGAGCTATCTTACATGCTACAATTAGACATATACAAAAGAGTTGTCTCTGGCTAAGGATAAACACTGAAATAAAAATATCTACATTTGAACCAAGTGAAATGATAAAAAATAAGCAAAATTAAAATCAATTTAAAGCTTCTCTTACAATTTTCGATTCAGCAAAGATGTTTTCAAGAGATCTAATCAATCCCATGGCATTAGTTTTCATTTCTTTGGTAACCTATAGAGAATGTTAAAATATTTTATTATACTTTATTATTCAGAAGTACAAAAATCATAGAATTGCATGGGACCAGACTTTTAAAAAATTCTAGTCTAGAAGCCCAAAGATTGGAGCTCTATTTCTGGGATTGCAATTAAATAGCTTGAGAGTACTTAAATCATACATGTGAAATTTCTTCAAAAATAAATTGCACATTGACTTCTTTCCAAATAAGTTTATTTCACTTTTAAGAGTTCAACTTTATAATCTCTCTCATTTATTTTATTTACATAAAAAATTTCAAGCTATAGCAATTACTCTCCTTTTAAACACATTGATCATATACTTAGTCTGTATTTTCTATTTACCTGTGACATGGGAAAATAATCAGTCTAATTCACCTGTATTCATTAATAATTTCTTTCAAAATAAATTGCACATTGATTTCTATATTAAATATGGACACCCTCTAATATTTGTTATAACAAATTTTGTGTTATACTTAAATATTTATAGATACAAAATTTCTAAATTTCCCTTGGAAGGGGGTAAGTAACATATCAAGCAAATACTATACTCTAAAAACTTTACAAATGTTTTGTTATTTGATTCTCCATTATAGTCCTATGCTGCCCATTGTATACCTCATTTTATAGGTAAGGAAACAGACCTTGGTTCCTAACTCCTAAGACTGAGAACTAGAGTGGGAGCCCACATCTAAATTCTAAGCCTTTGCTTTTATTCTATCCAATGCTGCCCCCTAAGGTGCTTTCCTGCTCAATTTCTGCCAGGGGATTCTTTTTCAGTGTTTAATTGGCTTTACTCACAGAGAGCTTCCCTAGCCCTAATTCAGATTTGCTCTATGTGGTTTAAAAAAAAACAAAATTCCAAAAGAATATCCAAATTATTTTTCCTTCCTGACTCCAGCTTTAAAATTGTAGCTCCATGCCTTTTATGTTTCAGCTCATTTTCTATTTCTTTGGATATTTTATTCTTCTATAGGTTCTTAAAGGAGTTTTAACTTACAAGAATAGATAAACTAAAACCCTACCATGAACAACAAAGTACAGGTTTGTCATACTATAGAAAGAAAATGAGAGAAAGGAGGGTATGCAGATAGGGTCAATTGTATACAGGATGGGCCTGGCCCTTTTGCTGCTTATTTCCTCAAAACAATACCAAGGCTAACACCTGCACCTACTTCAACAGCTTACTAAACACATTCCCACATATTATTTCATCTATATTTTTCATTAATTTATTCTATACCCTTCTGCACTTATTGCCAGCAGAAATTCTTTGCAATAGTGATAGACTGCAAAAGTGGTATCACTTTGCAAATATGGTGAAGTGTTTTAGTGATAAATGGTGCTGCTGCTGAGCAAAACCAAATTTGAGACGTCAGTGGTGGTCTGAATGAGCCTTTGACAGCCCAATATATCCCTTTCTTCAAAGTTGCACTATGGAACTGAAATCAGCCTCATGCCTATTTGAGCGCAAGCTTGATTTAGTGACAATATGAGCTCCTAAATTTAGTAACAATGTGTTTTTACTTTTATTTTTTATTTATTTATTTATTTATTTTTGAGACAGAGTCTTGCTCTGTTGCCAGGCTGGAGTGCAGTGGCACGATCTTGGCTCACTGCAACATCCACCTCCCAGGTTCAAGCGATTCTCCTGCCTCAGCCTCCTGAGTAGCTGGGACTACAGATGTGCACCACCACGCTCAGCTAATTTTTGTATTTTTAGTAGACACGGGGTTTCACCAAGTTGGCCAGGATGGTCTCGATCTCTTGATCTCGTGATCCGCCCACCTTGGCCTCCCAAAGTGCTGGGATGACAGGCATGAGCCACCGCGCCCAGCCGTGTTTTTATTTTTTAAAACAAAAAAACACAAAGTGAGAGAGGCAGACATATGTTGAGAAAAAGAGAACACGTGCAAGTAAGATGAATGACTTAAGATTTGCCAGGCACTATATTTTTAGCATTTTCGTATACGTTGTTTCTTCATCTCATATGATCCTCAGAACAATTTTATGAAATAAGTATGATCATCCTCATTTAAAAATGGAACGACTGAGGCTCAGGTAAGTTGTTCAAGGCTACATAGGAAGTAGGAGAGCAGCTTAATGTTCCATGTCTTTCCCCTGTTCTGAGATGGAGTTTTTCTGGGCAGAGAGAAATCTGTATAACCCTGTAGTATGAGCAAAGGGATGGAGAATCTCTGTGGCTTACACAGTTTCACCTCAGATTCTAAGATGAGCTAGAAGTACATTAATACCAAAGTTTTTCTAAACAACAACAACAAAAAAACTAACTTATTCCATGCCTTCCCAGAAACAACCACCCAGAGGGACAGAAGCCAATAGTCCTCCACATGATCTACTTTTCTAGATCAATCAGTATATACATAAATGAGGAGACATCCTAGTAGCTAAGATCTCAGGAACCTAAATGTCCCCAGGTAGCACTGCCCCAGCCACCTGACTCCAACAAGAGCAATGGAATGGACAGGGGTGGTTTTTGTTTGTTTGTTTGAGACAAGGTCTTGCTCTGTCGCCCAGGCTGATATGCAGTGGTGCAATCACAGCTCACTGCAGACTCAAACTCCTGGGCTCAAGTGATACTCCTGCCTCAGCCTCCGGAGTAGCTGGTACTACAGATGCATGCCACCATGTCTGGCTAATTTCTGTATTTTTTGTAGAGACAAGGTCTCACTATGATTCCCAGGCTGGTTTCATATTCTGGGCTCAAGCTGTCTTCCTGCCTTGGCCTTCCAAAGTGCTGGGATTACAGGCATGAGCTACCATCCCTGGCCAAGGATGGTTTTAATATGTTGTTACAAGACTCTAAAACAGACAAGTCTCTGAAATTCAGTCTCATAAGAATTTGAATTTGTATCTTCCTAATCCCCACTTCACTAACAGTAATTGTCAATAAAGAAAATTAATGCATGAACAATAGTTTTAAAAACTTATTTATGTAGCATGTTGAGTTTTGGAGTCAGGCAGAATATAAAATCCTGGCTCAGGGCTTAATAGTTGGGTAATTAGGCAAAATACTCTAATTCAATGAAATGAAGAATATAAATTCCTACCTTGAAAAATGATATGAATATGAAATATGATATTCATAGGGCTTTTTCTTACTGACAAAGTACAAACCCATTATAGAAATGGCTAAGATTTACCACTGTTACATGTAAAGCACCTAGTCCAGTAACTGTCAGAGGAAATTAATCAGTAAATAGTTTACAGCCTGTGATGTAGGTATGCTTACATGACAGGGTCAGAGCATTAAGTGACTTGCTAAATGATAAGTGGAAAGTGATAGAACCAGGTTTCAAATACATGTCTTCTAATATTAAAACCCAGATCTTTCCTAAGGTACTAAGTAATGTTAGCTGGAGGATGGGAGGACACATATTTTAGGAAATCACTGAAATGCTTATTGGTTCTGTATCTTGATATGAAATATCTTATGTGAATGCCCCAGAAAAATATTTAGTTCAAGATACTGAATCAATAAATGTTACTAATAGTTTCCATTCTTAGAAGAGGAGAAGACTAAACAAAGCTAAGGAAGAAAATGACAACCAGAAAGCGAACACTAGGTGTCACTACCACACTCCACTCTCTGCTTAGGAGTTTACAGACTGAATTCTTGAAAATAGCTGCAACAGGACCAAGCAAAATATTAACAATAGAGGCTGCAGTGACTCAAGAATAACTTGGGAAAATATCACCATAAGATCATGATGTCAGCCTCTTCAGTGAAAAATAACTCGAAACAAATTAAAACATATGAATTTATAGAAATCTAATTTGTTGACTGAAAAAATCAACTTTATATATTATTTAGTACTGTACAGAATATTCTTTTATTCATCTTACCTCATTTTTTGTACACTGCCTAAAGAGTTCATGCTGAAGTTCTTTTGCTTTTTCCAGTCCAGAATCTAATAAAATCTTCATTCCTAAGCCTACACCATCACAAACAGCATCCATGAATTCCTCCTAGAAAAAGAATTTAAGCATTAACTAGAAAATTTAGGTTTTATGTATTTTAATTTATTTAAATTTAGGTTTTATATATTTTAAATTATCAAGTAATTAAGTTATATTTTCTGCTTACTTTAGGACTATAATACATCCCAAGTTTATTAAGTTCAACTAAAGCTAGAATAAGAACTAACAGTCTGTGGTCTGTAAAGAAATAAAATTAGCAAATCTGTAATTTAGTATCCCATATATAACATATTGCAAAGAATGTTTATCATCTTTTAAGCAGGGCTCTATATTGCTAGAACACAGTAACATTCTTTTTTTTTTTTTTGAAATGGAGTTTCGCTCATGTTGCCCAGGCTGGAGTGAAATAGCACGATCTTGGCTCACTGCAACCTCCACCTTCCTGGTTCAAGTTATTCTCCTATCTCAGCCTCCTGAGTAGCTGGGATTACAGGCACCTGCCACCACACTCAGCTAATTTTTATATCTTTAGTAGAGACGGGGTTTCGCCATGTTGGCCAAGCTGGTCTTGAACTGCTGACCTCAGGTGATCCACCAGCCTTGGCCTCCCAAAGTGTTGGGATTACAGGTGTGAGCCACCGCCCCCAGCCAGAACACAGCAACATTCTAATATAATACAATGTTTTCAATAGCATAACTAGTGAAAGCAAGCAGATACAAATTATCTGGTATTACAACGTTTTTTCATGTGTTGATTGGCTGAGAAAACCCTCCACGGTGGATGACTAGCATCAAATTAAGGATCTGAAAGGTAAAATAAGGTTTGCAAAATAATCCAATATATTTAAAAGTTTTTTGGTTGTTTGGTTTTGTTGGGTTTTTTTTGAGATGGAGCCTTACTCTGTCACCCAGGCTGGAGTGCACTGGCGCAATCTCAGCTCAACGCAACCTCTGTCTCCTGGGTTCAAGTGATTCTCCTGCCTCAGCCTCCTGAGTAGCTGGGATTACAGGCGTGGGCCACCATGACTGGCTAACTTTTGTATTTTCAGTAGAGACGGGTGTTTCGCCTATTGGCCAGGCTGATCTCGAACTCCTGACCTCAAGTGATCCACCTGCCTCGGCCTCCCAAAGTGCTGGGATTACAGGCATAAGCCACCACACCCGGCCCAAACAGTTTTAAATCTTATTGCAAAACTACTAAAAGTACAAGCTATTTTGAAAACTTAAAAAGAACTTGCCATGTTTAGTACTGTACTATTATCAAAAGTCTAATGTTCCCTCAGATGAAGTCTGTCTGAACTAACATTGCTAAATTACCTGGACACTGGCAGCTTTATTGTTACCGTTTTCTAGAAAATGTAGCTTGCTCCCTTTCAGAACTGCTAACTGCCCCACATACTTTACAGCTTGTTGTACAATTTGGATTGCATTCTTTTGAGCCTCTTTTATCATTGATGAAATATCCAAACAGCATCCCTGTAAGATAAAAATGGACAAGTGTATCAGATACATGAGATTATAACAGGTGGTAAAGAAAAGATAAGGGCCGGGCACAGCGGCTCACGCCTGTAATTCCAGCAGTTTGGGAGGCCGAGGCGGGTGGATCGCCTGAGGTCAGGAGTTCAAGATCAGCCTGGCCAACATGGTAAAACCCTATCTCTACTAAAAATACAAAAATTAGTCAGGCATAGTGGCACACGCCTATATCCTAGCTACTCAGTAGGCTGAAGCATGAGAATTGCTTGAACCCAGGAGGCAGAGGTTGCAGTGAGCTGAGATCGTGCTACTGCACTCCAGCCGGGGTGACAGAGTAAGACTCCATCTTAAAAAAAAAAAAAAAGAAAAAGAAAAATGTCCCGGACACGGTGGCTCATGCCTGTAATCTCAGCACTTTCGGAGGCCGAGGCAGGCAGATCACAAGGTCAGGAGTTTGAGGCCAGCCTGGTCAATATGGTGAAACCCCATCTCTACTAAAAACACAAAAATTAGCCAGGCGTGGTGGCGGGCGCCTGTAGTCCCAGCTGCTCAGGAGGCTGAGGCAGGAGAATCACTTGAACCTGGGAGGTGGAGATTGCAGTGAGCCGAGATCGCACCACTGCACTCCAGCCTGGGTGACAGAGCGAGAGACTCTGTCTCACTGATTTTCAAAAGAAAAGAGAAGAAAAAAAAAAAAAAGAAAAGAAAAATCATCTGGAGAAAATAAATTCTGCATTTATTGATATAGTGATCTCACTTCATAAATGTCTCAGTCAGAACCAGAAAACATCTGTGGCTGCTAAAGGTGATAAAATGAGTAAGATATAGTCTCCACCCTCAAAGACCTTACACACTAATAGGAGACATAAGTAAGTACAAAATTAACTACATATAAGACAGAATTAATAAGTAAAAGCCAAAAGAAAGAAAAAGAAGGGTGGCTCTTTTGCATCTGAACTTTTCCTGTTCTGATAACCATCTGACAGTTAATAAAGATATGATTTTCTCAAGGAAAAAGAAATCGAGAGGGAGAGGAAGGGGAAGCAAAAGGGATGGAAAAAACCCCAAACACCTTCAAACAAAAGACTTCCCACATGCACTCAGAGTACACATATAAAAAAGGAATGAGGAAGCTTCTCTTGAGCTTTTCTTCTTTCTGTTACCTGCCCCCTGTAGTGTCTCTTCAAAATATTTCTCCTGGCCTGCTTTGGGGAATATGCTAATTGTATTGCTACAAGAAAAGGATTCTCAAACCATACTTAGTAGAAAGTGTAGTCACTAAATTCAGGTTTGCTAGCTTAACACAAGTCTGTCCTGAGCTTAATCTAACTTCCCCTCCAAGTCGCCTGGTCTCTCCATCCTTGATTCCTTGTATAAGATTTCCCACAGGGCTATGAGTTGAAACCCACAAGTTCAGTTCAAAGTGTTCTTCTCAGAAAATGAAAAGAAGGAAAGAAACTACACACCAGTTACTCTAAGAGAGACATTCTTATAACATTAATTCATCTGATCCTCACAGCAATCCTGCCCAGTAGGCATTTCCAGCTTTATTTTCCTGTGAGAAACAGGAGACTCAAAAATTTAAGCAGTTTGCCCAAGGACGCACAACTAATTTAGCATGGGTTCAAACATCAGTTTTTCAAGTGCCAGTAGTGAGTTTTTGTTTTGTGTGTGTTCTCCCACTATTCTAGTACTGCCTCTAAAATCTGAGAGCCAACTAAGCACTGACCATCCTTCAACAAGCTTCCTTTTCTAGGCTCAAACTTAAGTCAGACCCTTCGCTTCTGGCTCTCTAGCTTTGCTCTCTGGCCAATCCTACCTTTCATTTTCATGATTCTATGCTGTCAGAAATTCTCCTTCATCTACTATTTCATCCACACCTGTTTGCAGTCCACCCACCCCGCCACCCCTTGTTTTAGTCATCCTATTTCCTCATTACCTATATCCAAAGTCATCCTTCATCCCATATGAATTTATAATTAATTCAATAACAAGTATCCAACCAAACATCTATCACATAATGGTGCCTTGTGAAAAAAGACACCCACTGTCCTCTACCTTCTTAGAGCTAACTGTCCATTGAGATGTACAGGCTTATAAATAGTATGTTATATTAAAAGTCATAACGGGTGAAGTTTAGGGTTATCAGAGAAGCAAATAAGACAGGTGCCTAACCAAGTCTTGGGGAGACCTAGAAAATCCTCCTGAGGGAGAACAACGGACATTAAAAACAATCATCTGATTTCAAGTTTACTAGTTAGATCAGTTAAAGATTTCCAAATCCCAGCTAGTAAATAGCCCATTCAGGAAGTATTTGACACAACAAAAATTCTACTGCAATAATAGAATGTGGAAAGTCTTTCGGTGGGCACTATAACATAAAATTTGTTCAATTGTTCTATAACATTTTATTACATGGTCTAATTATCCTTTTTTAAAAGTGAAATCTAACCCTCTTAGTATTTTCTTTTTTTAAATAGTTTACTTTTTGTTATTATTATTGAGACATGGTCTCACTCTGTCATCCAGGCTGGAATGCAGTGGTGCAATCATGGCTCACTGTAGCTTCGAACTCCTGGGCTCAAGCAATCCTCCCACCTCAGCCTCCCAAGTAGCTGGGACCACAGGTACATGCCACCAAAAAATCAGCTGGCTGATTTTTTTTATGTTTTTAGAGACAAAGTATCTAACAAGTTGGATATTTGTTATTATTCACTATGTTGCCCAGGCTGGTCTCAAAGTCCCAGGCTTAACTGATCCTCCTGCCTCAGCCTCCCAAAGTCCTAGTATTATAGGCATGAGCCACTGTACTCGGCCATTAATTTCTTATCTGCTCCTTTTGCATATCAAGGAATTTTTAAGAAGGAATTTGTTAATATGGTAGATGACTAAGTATTCTCCAATATCAATTTTCCACTTCTTCCACAGATCCCTTGATTTCTGGCTTGGCACATAGGTGTCCAGAATTTTTTTAAAAAATACATTTCCTCATGATACTTGCAGCTAGATGTAGTCAAATGATAAAATTCTAGCCAGATATATAAATAGATGTGGCATATGGTGATTTCCAGAAACCTCCCTTAAAAGAAGGCAAACTTCAGCCGGGCGCAGTGGCTCATGCCTGTAATCCCAGCACTTTGGGAAGCTGAGGGGGGCGGATCACCTGAGGTCAGGAGTTCGAGACTAGCCTGGCCAACATGGTGAAACCCCATCTCTACTAAAAATACAAAAATTAGCCGAGCATGGTGGTGAGTGCCTGTAATCCTAGCTACTCGAGAGGCTGAGGCAGGAGAATCGCTTGAACCCAGGAGCAGAGGGGCAGTGAGCCAAGATCACGCCACTGCACTCCAACCTGGGTGACAAGAGTGAGACTCCAGCTCAAAAAAAAAAAAAAAAAAAGGCAAACTTTGCCCTATCCTTCTCACCACTCCTTCCACCCTGCTGTGCTGAGCTCAGATGGGGCTCCTCCATAGTGGGTCATGAAATCAGGGGCTACACTTTGGGCATGGCGGATGGGACCAATGGGAGGAGCCTGGATCCTGAGGACTCTGTGGATCAGAGCCACTGTGTCTACATCTAGATTTTATGTGAGAGAGAATAAGCTTTCATCTTACTTCTTCTTACAGCCAAACCTAATCTTATCTGATACAAGATAAGCAGGAAAACAAAATTATTTCCTTGTCTCTATGTCAGCAGAATTGTGGCCAATTCAGTCTGAGTTGAAATCCAATCCCATACCCAGAGAAAGACTCTGTCTCTCTTCCCAGTATCCCTTATTGAGGGCCAGCATGGTATAATGGCAGAGCATGAACTGGGCCCAAGACTGCCTGGGTCCAAATCCAACTCAGTCATTTACTAGTTAGGTAACATTGGATGGTATATTTATTTTCCCTGTGCCTCCATTTCCTCATCTACAAGATGGTGATAACAACAGTGCCCACTGCTGGGGTTGTTATAAGGATTAAATGAGTTAATATTTGTAAATCACTTAGAACTACTCATACATAGAGAGCCATGTAAGTCTTTGTTTAACAAATCAATTACAGACAACCACAGTCTCAGAACTTCAAAACAGAATGTACTTTTGAAAATCATACAGAGCTAATTTTGGGGAAGATATAGACAGTAGAAAGCCAATAAATAATTATTAAATGAATCCTTCAAATGATAATAAGCAAATCAATTTACCTGCAAAAATAACTGTAAGTAGCCTCCCAGTTTTTTAACTTCTTGTCTCAACTCATCCTCAAGTCTTGCTATGTTGGTACAAGGCAGTAAATCACTCAGCCAGTGTTTCATTAGCACTACTAGCTGCTCAAAAGCACATGCAGTCTGAATAGTAAGTGACTGGATTGCTCGATCAGAAGAAAACACTTTGAAAGAAGAAGAAAAATTACTGAATGAAATATTATCCAAATAAAAGAACTCATATATGATCATCATTAAAACATTTAACACAGTTAAAAGATGCATGCCAGATGTGCCAAATAATCACTCAAAACAAAGTGCAATGTGCAGAAAATAATCATTTATGTGAGTTAACAAAAGCAGTGAGATTGCTTACAGTTATCTTGACTTTCTTCATCTTGTTCTTCATGAGCCTTGGAAATGGCAAATAGCCCATTATAAATTTTAAGAAAACTATTAATTAGGCTGTCTGCTATAGTTCTTTCTTCATCATAACTCTGTCCAAAAAAATCTAACGAAGAACCAATCAATTCTTTGCAAATTCCAGGAAGAAAGGACTCTGCTGAATTTGAGTAAATAGTGCTTGATTTGTCCATTAAACCTACATCAACAGAAAATAGCCATTTTAAGCTTGTTTTCAGGAATAATACTTTCTTTTTTAAAAAAAGGGATCCTTACTTTATGTACTTCTGCATTACTGAAATGTATTACAACAACAAAGCATTTTTGTGTTCACTGTGGAATTAGAAAAACAAAACTATTAGTATATATAACATCGTATGCTATGTTGTACTTGTAAGTATATCTTCCATGCTATACTTGTGTATGTTGATTTCCAGGGTGCTCCATAATGCTAATTCTGCAGAAACTACCCCTCTGCTGCTTGCAAATATTACTCGTATACTATTGCTCTTCCAAAAATGTTCAGGCATAATACTTTCAAACAAATGTTTTATTGCAAGCATATTATAGGATCACTGATCAATAAATTCAAAGTAGGCTATACTTATTTCAATTCAGCCTCATTTCTATATGCTAAAGTGAAAACACAATTCCATTCACGGATCAATTAACCTCTCAACCGCATCAATCCATAGATTTAGTAGCTCCCTGACTATACTATGAGACAATAGAGAATCCAAATATCCCACGTAACCACTGGGTTAATCTCTTTCTTTACTCTATGGTAGGAATTAATTTTCTTTTCTTTCTTTCTTTTTTTTTTTTTAAGAGACAGGGTTGGGCCAGGCACGGTGGCTCATGCCTGTAATCCCAGCACTTTGGGAGGCCGAGGCAGGCAGATCACGAGGTCAGGAGATCGGGACCATCCTGGCTAACGTGGTGAAACCCCATCTCTATTAAAAATACAAAAAAATTAGCTGGGCGTGGTGGCACACGCCTGTAGTTCCAGCTACCCGGGAGGCTGAGGCAGGAGAATTGCTTGAAGCCAGGAGGCGGAGGTTACAGTGAGCCGATATGGCACCACTGCACTCCAGCCTGGGCAACAGAACAAGACTCTGTCTCAAAAAAAAAAAAGAGAGACAGACAGGGTCTTGCTCTGTTGCCCAGGCTGGAATGCAGTGGTTACTCACAAGCGTGATCATAGCACACTGAGCCTCAAACTCCTGGGCTCAAGCAATCCCTTGGCCTCAGCGTCCACAGTAGGTGGGACAACAAGCATGTACCACTATGTCTGGTGGGATTAATTTTCCCTAAAGAACTGTAATTGATGAAAACAATGACAGTTACATAAAATTAGAAGTATAATTGGATTCATAAACTGGAAAAGTAGGCAATGATAAACTACATTAAAAGTAGTGTCTCAGCCGGGCACAGTGGCTCATGCCTGTAATCCCAGCACTTTGGGAGGCCAAGGTGGGTGGATCACCTGAGGCCAGGAGTTCAAGACCAGCCTGGCCAACACGGTGAAACCCCGTCTCTACTAAAAATGAAAAATCAGCCAGGCATGGTGGTGGGCGCCTGTAATTCCAGCTACCTGGGACGCTGAGGCAGGAGAATCACTTGAACCTGGGAGGAGGTTGCAGTGAGCCGAGATCGCGCCATTGCACTCCAGCCTGGGCAAAAAGAGCGAAACTCTGTCCTCAAAAAAAAAAAAACCATAATGTCTCAGTACTTCTACCTTACAATAGTTTCTCCTTGAGGTATACTACAATCAAGATAGGCTAAAACCGGCCGGGCACGGTGGCTCACGCCTATAATCCCAGCATTTTGGGAGGCTGAGGCAGGTGGATCACGAGGTCAGGAGATCGAGACCATCCTGGCTAACACAGTGAAACCCCGTCTCTACTAAAAATATTTTTAAAAAATTAGCCGGGCCTGGTGGCAGGCGCCTGTAGCCCCAGCTACTCGGGAGGTTGAGGCAGGAGAATGGCGTGAACCCGGGAGGCGCAGCTGAGATTGCGCCACTGCACTCCAGCCTGGGAGACAGAGCGAGACTCCGTCTAAAAAAAAAAAAAAAAGGCTAAAACCAACTGATTATCTACAGTTAATACAGCACATCTGTGAGGGATGGATTTTCTAAGCACTGTCTAAACCAGAAATAAATGAGAAGCTTGACTCATTCAGAGCCTCTGGAAATAACTTTATCCTGGAGTCCTAATATATTGAGTATAATTATTCTTATTTAATAGACAAGATTAAGTTTTCTGGTCTACTTCATAGGTGCTTAAAAGCAGCAAACTAAAAGGAGGTAGAATAAAGGCATAGGATGAGGAATATTAAAAAACTAGAACAAAGGTAAGAGTTTGGTTTGTAAAGAGAAAAAAAAAAAGCTACAAAACCCAAAGCTACAGTAGGGTAACGATGACTCAATATCATTATGATGATAATGACTATAGTAGAGTCATCGAGAAGAGTTAACTATATATTCTCTATTTAAGAAGATAATTGTATTAATGCATTCTAAAATCCAACAGAAACATTTTAGAAAGACCTGCAAAAATACAGTAAAATATATGGCCCTGAATTTTAGAAGTTAAGATACTTGCTCAACTTCCCAAAGCTAGAAAGTGCTAGACACTGGGGTACAGCCCCTCACCCCCAGGCCTGGTCCCCCTTCCACCACTCACAGCTGCCCAGACGGGGTCCTACTAAGTTCACACGTGGGTTTCCATTACTGTCTTTGAAAACCACAAATAAGCAAAGACCTTTTCTATCTCTGACTTCCCTTAAAATTATTTTTGTAAAATATCTTACTCAGATAATACCGAATAAATAAGTTGCTACCACAGATACATATCTTTTTATTTTGCTGATAAATAAAAAACCCACAGCATATTTTAATCTACCTTAGATTAAATAAGTAGTAGGATCATAATTATCTTCCTAAAAGAAACCCTAATTTCTAAAATTTAAAGTCAAGATGAGATATAATACCTTTTATGGCTACTCATATTCCATTAGAACTTTTATCAAATAGATTGTTACATAATTATTTTAAAATTTTTGTTTACTAAGTATAATATGTGTACTGTAAAGTGCATATATCTTAAGTGTACAGCTGATTTATATATGTGTAAATCTGTAAACCCCACTTAGCTCAATGTATACAAAATTTCCACCATCCCATCCCAACAGGTTTCCTCTTCCCGGTTACTAACTCCCAACAGAGGTAACCACTATTCAGTTCTAACCTACTCTGGCTTTTGTCACCATAGTTTAGTTTGCCTGTCCTTAAACTTCATATAAAAGGAATCATGTAGTATATATACTCTTTTGGATCTGGCTTCTTTCACTCAACATTATGTTTCTGGAATTCATCCAGGTTATTGTGTGAATCAGTCATTCCTTCTTTTTTATTGCTGCATAGTAGTCTATTGTTAGCAGGTAGTAATTTTTTTTTTTTTTTTTTTTTGAGATGGAGTTTCACTCTTGTTGCCCAGGTTGGAGTGCAATGGTGCTATCTCAGCTCACCACAACCTCTGCCTCCCAGGTTCAAGCGATTCTCCCGCCTCAGCCTCTCGAGTAGCTGGGATGACAGGCATGCGCCACCACACCCAGCTAATTTTGTATTTTTAGTAGAGACAGGGTTTCTCCATGTTGTTCAGGCTGGTCTTGAACTCCCGACCTCAGGTGATTCACCCACCTCAGCCTCCCAAAGTGCTAGGATTACAGACGTGAGCTACTGTGCCCAGCCTAGCAGGCAGTAATTCTTAAATTGTAATTATTACAGGTAGTTACACATATAAAATTTACAGTGTATCCTCTCCTCCTACATTTTAAAATAACATTATAATAAATATTGGTAAAAAATAATTATTCAGAGGAATAATTCCTTTTTTAAAAAAATTGAAATAATTTTGGGATAGATGATACACAGATCATTATGCAAAATTCAGAAGAAACCAAAGGGGATGCAGTGAAAAGGGTGCCTTCCTTCCTGTCCTGTCTCCATCCCCAAGCTCCCATGTACAACCAGCACTTTGGGGTTTCGGTGTAGTTCTCCAGAGAGATCTTATTCATTTACAAGCATCTATGTCCACATCTTCTTTTTTCTCCTCCTCACACAAATGACAGAATAAAATACATAATCCACTGCACTTTGCTTCCTTTCACTTGTAAGGAAGTAATATTCTCATACATTTTGGAACATACACATCTTCCACATTTGAATTAGTTACTCTACTAAAAGGCTTTGAAATAAATCACAGAGCACAGAATTTTTGAAGCGGAAGGGGTCATTGATCCAACCTCCTCATTTTACAGAGGAATCAGAAGCTTCCAGGAAATGAAATGATTTGCACACGGATAAGAAAAAATGTAATGGTAGAACCAGGACTCAATGCTTTTCTCGCCATAGAGAAAATGTGAAGAAAAAAATACCTGATGAATGTGAAGAATGCAAATTCTTAATTGGATGGACTTGTATGTCATGTAAACAACCAGAAATTCTTCTGTTCTTCATCAAACTCCTACTCCTGAAAAAAGACAAACCATAAGATTAGCAGTTCTATACCACATGGAATAATATTATTAAGAATATTTATAAGTTCTCTAAAGAAAATGGACATTCATGTGTGTGTTTTTCATTAAAAATTTTCATCAAAGGAAAAATTCATTTGGTTAATTGAGCAAGAATTTTACTATTTACAGGCACTGTTCTAGGCAGATAGTTAATTAAATAAGTATTGATTAAGCACTACTATTTGCAGGCTCTGGATATTGTGGTAAAATGTGGCAAACATGGTTTCTGGGCTCACTAGGCTTAAAGTCCAGAACAAAAGAGATAAATTAGGCAAATAATTACAGTAAAGTGATGAATGTGATGAAGGCATAGAGTGTTGTGGTAGATTGTATAAAAGAACTTGACCTGGCCCAAGAAGTCAGGGGGGCCTCCTTGGAGCAGTAACCCTCAAGGATAAGTAAAACTTAGCCAAACAGAGGGCAGGCTTGGGAAGCAGGGAATAGTGTCTCAGACACAAGCAACAGGAAGACCTGATAAATGAAAGTAGTGTACATGCGAAGAACCAAACGAGGTTCAGAAGGACTGTGGCCTATGATGTAAGAGAGAGAGTAGCAAGGGATTAAGCTGGGAGGTGCACAGGGGCCAGCTTGAGGTGGTCTTTGCATGTCAATAAAGCTTAGATTTTATCCTGAGCAAATTATCCAGGGAAGGATTTTATCTTATTTTTTTAAGTGGCCGAGTTGGGATTTATTTATTTTCTTTCAACTTTGATTTTAGGTTCAAGGGGTACATGTGCAGGTTTGTTACATGGGTAAATTTCATGCTGTGGGGGTTTGGTCTACAGATAATTTTGTCACACAGGTAACAGGCATAATACCTGATGGTATTAAAGAGTTTTTCAATCCTCACCTTCCTCCCACCCACCATCCTCAAATAGGCCCCAGTGTCTATTATTCACTTCTTTGTGTCCATGTGTACTCAATGTTTCAAGGAAAGATTTTAAACAGGGAAGTGATTTAGGTAAATAAACATTTAAGTAGGTATCTGCTACACTGTGTACAAAGCATAATACCTGTGAAGTGCAGCAGTGGTACAAATGGAAGAAATGTTTCTATCTCCAATTGCTCTTTTTGCTGACCTCTTTTTCCTCAGCCTATAAAAATGCCCCAATTTCTAGCCGGGCGTGGTGGCAGCTGTCTGTAGTCCCAGCTACTCGGGAGGCTGAGGCAGAAGAATGGCGTAAACCTGGGAGGGGGAGCTTATAATGAGCGGAGATCATGCCACTGCACTCCAGCCTGGGCGACAGAGCAAGACTCCATCTCAAAAAGAAAAAAAAAAAAAAAAGCCCCAATTTCTGCTTTGAGTTTGCTTGGCTGCCTAAGCTGTTATTTTCTTTCTTTCTGTTTGCTTCTTAAAAATGGAGGCTACCCTTTCTGCTACTGGAGAAAGCAGCCTATCTCCATATTGCCGTTCATCTATAAATTTTCTAAACCCAAACTCCAATTCCTATGTCAATGAAACTAACAGAGCAGTGATCTAGATCTAAATTTAGTGGATCCTTTGAAGTATTTTTCCTAACAGAACTCTCTATTACAGTTGGCCACTCAAAGAAAAATACTATTTGTCGAAAAGATTATTAAGCCAAAGCATTCTATCACTAGTAGCCTAGATGTTTCAAATATAAAATTTCCCCCATGAACTCCTACAAGAAAAACACAGAAATAGGACTGATAAAAGGGAAAGGAAATATCAATTCTCAAATATTACAGTTCTTCTACTTAGGGGTGAAAAAAAGTATATTATTACAGCAAGTCTAAACTAGGAAAACAGTTATTCTTGCAACAATATCATAGTTAAACAACGTTTAAACCCAAGTAAAATGCTTGTCATATTCCTTTCAAAGAGTTTTTACTTAACCTCAGAGGGAAATTTACTTTTAATTGTCAACAGTATGTATCAAAATTTAAAGGCAGCCAAACCAGTCTATTTTATTGCAGAACGACTGTGGCATATCATTGCCCAGTAGAAGTTCTATAATTAAGAATCTGTCAGTGTTTCCATTACCTGCAGGCATTCTCAGAGTTTGGAATTCTGTCATAAACATTGTTACAAGGCTGAAACTTCGTATACAAGGTCTCAGACTAAGAGCAATTCATTTTTTAAAAATATGATACTTTTAAATTATAGAAGTACCCAAAAATCTCTGTGAAATGAAAATATCCAATTTCGAAATCTTAGAAAACATTGAGATGTTTTGATTTTTGGTAACATTTTAAATTTCTGCTGATTCCCTAATTATTAACTTAAAAGTCAACAGAAAATAAGATGTAAATTACCAACATCTAGGAGGCTAAAAGTCTTTTTTTTTAAGAGACGGAGGCTCGCTCTATCGCCCAGGCTGGAGTGCAGTGGCGCGATCTTGGCTCACTGCAAGCTCTGCCTCCTGGGTTCATACCATTCTCCTGCCTCAGCCTCCCGAGTAGCTGGGATTACAGGCGCCCAACACCACGCCCAGCTAATTTTTGTATTTTTAGTAGAGACGGGGTTTCACCGTGTTAGCCAGGATGGTCTCAATCTCCTGACCTTGTGATCCGCCCACCTTGGCCTCCCAAAGTGCTGGGATTACAAGCATGAGCCACTGCACCCAGCCCCGGTAGGCTAAACGTTTAATGCTCATTATTAATGGTCATATTGTGATTTACAATTCTAAATATACAAAGTTTAAATCTGTTTATAATAAAAATAATACAAACCTAGTAATCCTAAAATCCAAAGATATTCATAAATCATTCTCTGATGAATTTATTGGTCTGGTTTAAATTTTTGGGTTACTCTAGGTTGGCTTAAATATCTCAAGCTCTATCTACCCAATTTCACCTAAGGACCATATTTAGCTCACTTCAGTGCCAAAGGCCAACTCTGTCAAGTCCTCAAGACAAATCACTTGAAGATATTACCATCTGTTACTGGTACTGGACAGAAATCATAGCTTCTCTGTATTCTAAGATTTAATCTTATTCAATATATATTAAGCATCCAGTAATAATCAGAGCTGCCATTTATTGAATGCCCACCCACCGTAATAGGAGCTTTATATGCACTATCTCTAATCCTCGTAACAACTCTGCAACATAACCATCATCAGCCCGATGTTGTCAATCATGGTGGTCATAGTAGAAGCAGCAGGAGCAGCAGCTGCTCTGTACATAGGACCTCACTTAATCTTAATAGTAAATCCCTGTAAAGTAGGTATATATTACTGTCTTCATTTTATAGATGAGAAAATTGAAGCCTAGGGATGTAATGTCACTTGTACATGACTACACTGAGCATGGATTAGAACCCAGGATGCTGATATCAGACTTTGTGACCTTTTTGCTATGCTATATTGTAGGGGGATACAGACACGTTCCCTACACTCAAGGAGCTCATTTCTTTTTTTTTTTTTTTTTTTTTTTTGAGACGGAGTCCCGCTGTTTAGCCCAGGCCGGATTGCAGTGGCGCAATCTCGGCTCACTGCAAGCTCCTCCGCCTCCCGGGTTCACGCCATTCTCCTGCCTCAGCCTCCCGAGTAGCTGGGACTACAGGCGCCCGCCACCGCGCCCGGCAAGGAGCTCATTTCTGTGTAAAAGATATGCTTTGTATTTCATTCAGGATAATGCTTGCTATGTATTAGCAATTTCTTACCATAGCTTAGAGGTTACCATGTGACCAATAAAGCAGAAATAATGGGGGAAAGTTGCTATAAAATAGTTTCATCTCTTTGAGGAAAATCATAAATGAGTTTAAAATAAGCCAAGTCAAAAACAAGGCTATAGGCCTAAAATGATTTAGAAACCTAAATGGATTTTGATCTGCAGCTGAAGGCAATGAAGTTTAAGAAAACAAAAAACAATTAGCTTAAACAGAAGGATGCTACCCTTTCATATACAATGGAGAGGCGATACGGCATAGCAGTTAAGAAAATCAGGAGCTTTGGAGTCACCCAAACTTGGATTTGAGTAATGGCTCTTCCTCGTAACAGCTCTGTGACTTTGGACAAGTCACTTAACCTCTCTAAATCTCAGTTTCTTCATCTGTAAAATGAGGGTAATGACAATATCTACTTCATAGGTTTGTGGTGTGTACTAGGTAAGATAAGGCTTAGTAAGCATTTAATAAATGCTCTTAATAACAATGATGCTTCTGCTGACAGATAAATACTATTGACCCTTACATCCTGAAAATCCCCAGCTCCATCCACCAAAGTTCTAAACCCAAATATACACCTGGATGTCCCCTGAGAATCTCAAATTCTTCATGTTCAAAATTAAACTCCTCTTAAATGCTCCATCTCAGGCAACACGACTTTCCCCTAGTCAGTCACCCAATTTAAAACCAGGAGTCATCCTTGCACCCTTCACACCTTCAGTCCCACAACCAGTCTCTGCATCCTATTGATTCTGCATCCTGAGTATGTATAAAACTCGACTTTCCTCTTCACTGCATTTAAAATCCTTCTGTCTAGCCTCAGTTCAGGTTTTTATCAACTGCTCCTGCCTCTACTTTCCTCAATTCCTGGTCTTTCAGGACAGAGCATACTTTGTATTCATCTTTGCTTCCTCAGGGCATAGCAGACAGTAGTCATCAAAGAAATACTTGCTTAAAAACCAAACCAAACTATGAGGCTAAATTGGCTCCAAAGCCTTTCCATAATACCATTTTGCCTCTCTATAATCTAAGCATCTGAGGTCTAAGCAGAACTAGGTTTCCCTTGAAAAGCATCTATTATTCACTATGGAGGTCTTTTATGTTTTGAGTTAACAAGCAACATTTGTCATATATAGAAGTTGTCTATCACTATGATTTATTATTTTGTGGAGTTCATACTAGCTTTACTGCATTTAAAATTCTGTAACTTACAAGAAAATATCATAGAATATGTCAAGTTCTTGAGAAAGGGTAATTTTTTTTTTTTTTTTTTTTTTTGAGACGGAATCTCGCTCTGTCGCCCAGGCTGGAGTGCAGCGGCTGGAGTGCAGTGGAGCGATCTCAGCTCACTGCAAGTTTCGCCTCCCAGGTTCATGCCATTCTCCTGCCTAAGCCTCCCGAGTAGCTGGGAGTACAAGTGCCTGCTCCCACACCGGGCTAATTTTTTGTATTTTTGGTAGAGACGGGGTTTCACCGTGTTAGCCAGGATGGTCTCGATCTCCTGACCTCGTGATCCACCCACCTCGGCCTCCCAAAGTGCTGGGATTACAGGCATGAGCCACCACACCTGGCCAGAGAAAATAATTTAAAAGTAATAAATACTGTTCATTTTTACGGAAAATTTAATTTATGCTACTCTAAGTTGCTCTTAAGACTTATATGATGGAACACTGAAAAACTGGTTTCTCTTCTAACTGACTAATAAACAATTTAATGCCCTAAGTGCTGTAATTTGACCAATAACATATTATTCCTCTTACAGTTCTGGGTTTCCTGTCCAGACATCTATCATGACAACGGTTCTTTTAAAATAGGAAATAATATATATGATATACAATTTACACACACACACACACACACACATGCACACACAAAGTGCAAGAAAACTAGTAACAAAATTGTCTTTACCTCCTTCTAGAAAGTGAAGAAACTGGTGCATCTGTAATGTCGGGTTCCCATTCATCTTCAGGATCACAAAAGGCATCTTCACCCCTGTTACTACCATTACTCTAAGAAAAATATAATATATAGTTTCAGTAAATTTGGGGTGAAAAAATGTTTAGCAACTAAGAAAAAAAAGATTAAATCCTTTGTTACATTTAAACCATAAAATTAGCAGATTATATATTATCTGATAAGTCTAAAAAATCATTCCTGATCAAATTAAAAGTCAATCACACGATGACAGGGATGATATTAAAAGACATCTACTTTTAATAAAAACAATAGAAATCATTAAATAATTCAGGAATAATAAATGAGATTTATAATAATAGTAAAAACATAAACAATAAAATCCTCAGGAGAGACATAAAAGAATAATCTGACAAAGTTAAGATGTAGTCACTTCCTGGTCGAATATATTGATCAGGATTACAGTCTATATTTTACATATTTAACGTAATAACAATTACAGTTCTAGCAAAATGCTACATAGAACTTGATTCAGAGATAGTACAATTATACAGAAAAATAAGTTAAAAACTGCAATGAATGGTTAAAAGTAGGAGGTAAGGCCGGGCGCGGTGGCTCACGCCTGTAATCCCAGCACTTTGGGAGGCCGAGGCGGGCGGATCACGAGGTCAGGAGATCGAGACCATCCTGGCTAACACGGTGAAACCCCGTCTCTACTAAAAATACAAAAAATTAGCCGGGCGTGGTAGCGGGCGCCTGTAGTCCCAGCTACTCGGGAGGCTGAGGCAAGAGAATGGCGTGAACCCGGGAGGCGGAGCTTGCAGTGAGCCGAGATCGCGCCACTGCACTCCAGCCTGGGCGACAGAGCGAGACTCCGTCTCAAAAAAAAAAAAAAAAAAAGTAGGAGGTAAGTTAAACCTAGGGTAATTCAACCACTAGGTTTTAAAGTATATATCAAGGCAAGAATAATCAAATGACCTCCATACTACTTTTGTTGTTCTAAAAATACAAGCAATTCATATTAATTGTAGAAAATTTGGAAATTATTAATACATATAAACACAAACAAAAAAGTTAAAACCACTCATAAACCCATCATTTTCACATAAACATTGTCAATGCTTTGGTATGATTGCTTTCAGCCTTTTTGGATTTTCTATTATGAATATACTTCACGTTTATGACATAAACCCTACTTCTTCATGGTGTAAGAATTCTCTTTTTTTCTTTTGTAGAGAGAAGGCTGGTATCGAACTCCTGGGCTCAAGTGATCCTCTCATCTCAGCCTCCCAAAGTGCTGGGATTATAGGGCAACCTTGACCTTCCAGACTCAGGTAATCCTCTCACCGCAGCCTTCCAAGCAGCTGGGACTCCAGGCACGCAACACCACATCTGTCTAATTTTCAGATTTTTGGTAAAAGAGACAGGGTCGGCTGGGTGTGGTGGCTCATGTCTGTAATCTCAGCATTTTGAGAGGCTGAGGCAGGCAGATCACCTGAGGTCAGGAGTTTGAGATCAGCATGGCCAACATGGTAAAATCCCGACTCTACTAAAAATACAAAAAAAAAAAAAAAAAAATTAGCTGGGCATGGTGGCACATGCCTGTAATCCCAGATATTCAGAAAGCCAAGGAACAAGAATCACTTGAACCTGGGAGGTGAAGGTTGCAGTGAGCCAAGATTGTGCCACTGCACTCCAGCCTGGGCAACAGAGCAAGACTGTCTCAAAACAAACAAACAAATAAGCAAACAAACAAAAATCATGTTACCCAGGCGGTTCTTGAACTCCTGGGCTCAAGTGATCCTCCAGCCTTGGCCTCCCAAAGTGTTGAGATTAAAAGCGTGAGCCACCGTGCCCAGCCCTGCTAACATTTCCTTTAGGATTTTTATAGCTGTGTTGATATTAAGATTGGTTGGTAGGCCAGGCACAGTGGCTCACGCCTGTAATCCCAGCACTTTGGGAGGCCGAGGCGAGTGGATCACAAGGTCAGGAGATTGAGACCGCTGACGCAGGAGAATCGCTTGAACCCGGGAGACGGAGGTTGCAGTGAGCCGAAATCGCACCACTGCACTCCAGCCTGGCAACGGAGTGAGACTCCGTCTCAAAAAAAGAAAAAAAGAAAAAAAAAAAAGAAGATTGGTTGGTAATTCTCTTCTGAGCTATCTTTTCAGTTATTGTGGTTTTTGTTTGTTTGTTTTTAATCAGTTATTCTAGCATAAGATAAACTGTGACACTTTCTATGTATTGCTATGTTCTAGAATAGTTTAAACAGAATAAGATTTATCTGTTCTTTGGCAGTTTAAAAGAGCTTACCCATAAGAATGTCTGAGATTAGCACCTTCTTTTCCTACACTTTGTTGTTTTTTTTTTTTCGAGGCCAGTTTGTTGATGAACGTTTCAAATTATTGCATGGTTATTCACCTATGAAGTCAACTTTCATAATTTATCTTTTTCTAAAAAGTCTTTTATTTGTAGGAAATTGTTAAATTTATTAGCATAAAGTTTTATAGGTAACATACTTTTTAAATGTTCTCTTTATGTTTACTTAAATGCCACTTCTCATTTCTAAAATCACATTTATCCTTTCAAAGAACAAGAGCTTATATTTATTAATTTCTAATTCATTATTGCTTTTATCTCATAATGATTCCTTTCATTGCTTTCCTTTGTTTTATTTTGTTTTTATTTTCATTTTTCCATTAAACAATTCAAGTGTTAGGCTACAATTTGGCAGCATCCTCTAAGTTTTTCCATATGATACCTTCATTACTACAATGATCTAAGTAGTATATAGTTCCATATGGAGTCAAATTATTTAAAGGTAGTATATTTTACAAATAGTAGCAATGCAACAATACATGTTGCAACTATTTTAGGGATAATTTATGGATAATTAGATAATATGAACTTTAAACTTTAAATTCATACCTCTCACAAAACACCATAATAAATTCTATGTGATTCAAAGATGTGAACTTTTTTTTTTTTAATTAAAAGAAAATGCAGGGGTTGTACAATGTTTAAGTAAGATCTCTGGAATAATAGATGGATTCAAATTTGCCAAATTAAAAATGCCTGTATAACAAAATGAAACCAACAAAAAGATGATATAATCAGGAAAAAAGGTATATGATAAATATAAAGGCTTATCAAAATATGTAAATAACTTTTATAGCTATATTAATTTCCTACATTTCATTTAACAAAAAATTCAGCCAGGCGTGGTGGCTCACACCTGTAATCCCAGCACTTTGGGAGGCCAAGGCGGGTGGATCACAAGGTCTGGAGATCGAGACCATCCTGGCTAACATGGTGAAACCCCGTCTCTACTAAAAACACAAAAAATTAACCGGGCATGGTGGTGGGCACCTGTAGTCCCAGCTACTCAGGCGGCTGAGGCAGGAGAATGGCGTGAACTCAGGAGGTGGAGTTGCAGTGAGCCGAGATTGTGCCACTGCACTCCAGCCTGGGCAACAGAGTGAGATTCCGTCTCAAAAAAAACAAAAAGAAAATTCAAAGGAAATGAACACATACTTTACCCATAAAGAAACAACAGTGAAATCCCTAGATTTACTAGTTATTACAGTACAGGTTGCACACAATGGCTCACGCCTGTAATCCCAACACTTTGGGAGGCTAAGGTGAGAGGACTGCTTGAGGCCAGGAGTTCAAGACCAGCCTGGGCAACACAGCAAGACTCTGTCTCTATTAAAAAAGAGTAATAATAAGCCCAGGCATGGTGGCTCATGCCTGTAATCCCAGCACTTTGGGAAGCCAAGGCGGGTGGATCACCCGAGGTCAGGAGTTCGAGACCAGCCTGGCCAACGTGGTGAAAACTCGTCTTTTTTAAAAAAATACAAAAATTAGCTGGGGCTGGTGGCAGGCACCTGTAATCCCAGCTATTCAGGAGGCTGAGGCAAGAGAATCGCTTGAACCCGGGAGGCGGAGGTTGCAGTGAGCTGAGATTGCACCACTGCACTCCAGCCTGGGCAACAAGAGTGAAATTCCATTTCAAAAAAATATATATATATATATTTGTAAAATGCAAACTGGTAACATTGGTAAAATGGCAATATTTCTGGCAAGCAATTTGTCGGTGAGCATCAAAGTGTAATAAAAAGCTCATATGTTTAGTTTCATTTTGGAAAATAAAAGATGACAAAATAAGATATTAAAAACTAATATGTGCAGAGATTTTTCAGTTGTGACTATAACAGGCAGCAGGCAGTTGGAAGCACTCAAAGCACAGCAACGGAGAAATGTAAATATGCAAAAAGGTACATTAGGCATAGGAAGATCATTTCAAATGATGTAATATGATTTATGTCTATCAAATTTCTTCTTTCCTTAAGCTTAAATGTAAAAATTTTAAAAATATACAATTATGACAATAGATTCCACCCTTAAATTTCTCTATTATACCTATAACTGTATTAAAACAATCCAATAAAACTCCATTTAAATGTAAAAATAAATATATATAATTGTTAATACTGGTTGGTTTAGGTAATTGATAGATTGCCTTTTATTTTCCAAATTTTCTATATGGAGAATATGTCACTTTTATATATATACTTTTTTCACCAAAAGCAGGTACTTGAACTTTTATACTTTTTTATTTTAAAAAATTTATAGAGATTTTAATAATATTCCAAACCTCATAAAGTTCTTTCATTGCTGCAAGTTTAGATTCAAACTTTTCCAGACTCCAGAATGTTGAGATTCCTAGTTTCAGGTTACGAACCCGAATAGAAGTGTCAGAACTACTTTTATCTGATATATCATGTCTGAAAGAAAAATAAACAAAAAAAAGCTTATCCTGAAACATACACATCCATTTATACTAAGAGTTTTCTGGGGTAGAATAATTTCCCTAAAAATTCCATCCACTGATTAAGTCTTTCCACAGTTAAGTATTTTTATTATAGTAATAATCATATAAGTATAAAACATATAAAAATAACAAAAATTTTTTAAAATCAAAAATTTCTAATAAGGTATGTTCCTTTTGAACAATGAAATACTGATACATTTTCAACTCAAAAGAAAATTAGCAAATTCCTAAAACAACTAAAATTATTTTATTTATAAATATACTAGTATGTTAATTGTTGAAATCTCTCTTAATCCAGAATGACCTCTGAAAGGATAAAGTCTCACTGGGGATTCTGGGGATTCTGATACCAGCTCTTTCCTATAGCTGTAGAATGGACTTTAGAGAAACTAAATGATAGCCGGGCGCAGTGGCTCACACCTGTAATCCCAGCACTTTGAGAGGCCAAGTCAGGCGGATCACTAGGTCAAGAGTTTGAAACCAGCCTGGCCAACGTGGTGAAACCCCATCTCTAACTAAAAATACAGAAATTAGCTGGGTGTGGTGGCGCACACCACCCAGTAATCCCAGTTACTCAGGAGGCTGAGGCAGGAGAATTGCTTGAACCCGGGAGGTGGAGGTTGCAGTGAGCCCAGATTGCGCCACTGCACTCCAGCCTGGGCAACAGAGCAAGACTCTGTCTCAGAAAAAAAAAAAAAAAAAAGAGAAACTAAATGATATAAAGGCCAACTTGTTTAAAACATTTAAAATCAGGATAATTAATTACTCACCTGCCAAAAACATAGTATGTTTTCAATTTGCTGCTGATAGCATTGGCTTCCTGAATCATCATTGAGAGTTTCATAGAGCTCCAAGTTGTCTGCACTAATACAAAGCACACAGAAAAGATTCAAAATACATACATGGACACTAACATATACCATTAGGCAAAACAATTCCTAAAAAAAAAATCACTGATTTTAAATGAATGGTTTTAACTCTATATTGCAGAAGGATAAGTGATATTTGAGTAATTTGGTGAAATAAAACATTTTTCCTATAAAATGAGGTTTTTGCCTGTGGGAAGATGTAAGAAAATGGAAGTTGATATAAAAAAGATAAGCCAAAGACAATGCTTTACTTTCTAATATCTAGAAAAAAATTTTTTTTCTAATGTCTTTTTTCTTTCTTCCTCATTTCTAAATTATTTCAAGTATTGAGTATTCTATAGTCTTACTTATGTAGAAACATGTCCTTTTGTATTTTGCCTAAAAATTTTAAAAAATGTATATATATATGTCAGGACATTAAAATAAAAAAGGAAAATAATTTAGTACACAATTTCACTTTCCTTTTTTTTTTTTTTTTTTTTTTTGAGTCAGGGTCTCACTAGGTTGCCTAGGCTATATAGTACAGTGGCTCAAGCATGGCTCACTGCAGCCTTGACCTCCCCAGGCTCAAGTGATCCTCCCATCTCAGCCTTCCAAGTAGCTGGAACTACAGGTGCATGCCACCACACCCAGCTAACTTTCTTATATTTTGTAGAGAGGAGGTTTTGCCATGTTGCTCAGGCTGGTCTTGAACTCCTGGGCTTAAGCAATCTACCTGCCTCAGCCTTCCAAAATGCTGGGATTACAGACATGAGCCACCACACCCAGCTCCTAATTTGAATTTAAGATTATGACTGGGCACAGTAGCTCATGTCTATAATCCCCATATTTTGGGAGGCTGAGGCAGGAGGATCACTTGAAGGCCAGAATTTCAAGGCTTGCCTGGGCAATATAGTGGCACCCTATCTCTAGAAAATAAAATAAATTAGCCAAGCAAGGAAGCATGCACCTGTAGTCCTAGCTACTGGAGAGCCTGAGACAAGAGGATCACTTGAGCCCAGGAGTTTGAGGTTGCAGTCAGCTATGATGGCACTCTGCACCCCAGCCTGTGTGACAGAGCAAGACTTTGTCTCAAAAAAAAAAAATTTATCATAAATATTTTCTATATTGTTCAGACAAACTTATAACCAGTAATCTACTAAAAATAGCTTTTTGGAAGGATAAACTCATTCACATGAATTAAAAAATCAAGTAATCATTGTAAGGCACTGTCTAGGCCCTCAGAAGAATAAAAGTATTGCCTCCTGGCAATAGATACAAAGAGTATTGGCTGGGTGAAGTGGCACACAGCTGTAATCCCAGCACTTTGGGAGACCAAGGCCGGTGGATCACCTGAGGTCAGGAGTTTGAAACTAGCCTGGCCATCATGGTGAAACACTGTTTCTACTAAAAATACAAAAATTAGTCAGGCGTGGTAGCGGATGCCTGTAGTCCCAGCTACTCGGGAGGCTGAGGCAGGAGAATTGCTTGAAAGCGGGAGACAGAAGTTGCAGTGAGCTGAGATTGCGCTACTGCACTCCAATGCACTCCAACCTGGGTGACAGAGCAAGACTCTGTCTCAGAAAAAAAAAAAAAGAGTATTAATATTTTAAAAGTTATTTTAAAGAAGTTACAGAAAGTACACAACATACCTACCAAGTATTCTTGCTAAAAAACTGAACCTGAATTTGATAGGCCTGAAGATCTAACTACCACTTTCTAGGGAATACTGGAACAGAGGAGCCTGTTAAGTAACACCAGGCAGACACAATCAGCAAAATCCAGAATCCAAAAAAACTCTACAGGACAAATCATCTGATTTCTTCAGCAAATTACTAGATGAAAGAGAAGAGTGAATTTACAGATTAAAAGAGACTTAAAAGGCACATCTACCAAACGCAATGTGTAGATGATGTTGGTATCCTGATTCAAACAAATCAAGTTTTTTTTTTAAAAAAAGGATGAAACAATCCAGGAAATACGAATATGGAGTAAATATGTGATGTGTAAGAAATTATTATTAATATAGTTATGGCAATGCTTAAAAGAGTGACAGAGAAAGAGAGAGAGGGAGAGCAAAAAGAGAGTCCTTATCTAATTTAGAGATACACAGTGAAGTGTGTACACCTTAAATGATATGGTGTCTGGGATTTGCTTCAAACTAGTCCAGGGAAGCAGTGAGCTTGAGGATAGCGGCAACAAGATTGAACATGTGTTGATAATCATTGAAGTTGGATAAATATATAAAGGCTTACTGCAGCAATCTCTACTTTTATAGTTTGTTTAAAATTTTCCATAATAAAAAAGTTTATATTAAAAATATGCTGTGTTTTACATAGAAATGTACCAAAAAAAGTGCAATCAAAAGTCTCCCAGGACTTGGCTAGGCATGGTGGCTCACACCTGTAATCCCAGCACTTTGGGAAGCCGAGGCAGGCAGATCACCTGAGGTCAGAAGTTTGATACCAGCCTGGCCAACATGGTGAAACCCTGTCTCTACTAAAAATACAAAACTTAGCTGGGCATGGTGGTGCATGCCTGTAATCCCAGCTACTCAGGAAGCTGAAGCAGGAGAATCGCTTGAGCCTGGGAGGCAGAGGCTGCAGTGAGCCAAGATCACACCACTGCATTCCAGCCTGGGCAACAACAACAAAAAGACTTTAAAAAAAAAAAAAATAGTCGGGCCGGGCCCCGGTGGCTCACAACTGTAAACCCAGCACTTTGGGAGGCTGAGGTGGGTGGATCACGAGGTCAGGAGGTAGAGACCATCCTGGCCAACATGGTGAAACCCCATCGCTACTAAAAATACAAAAACTGTACTCCCAGCTACTTGGGAAGCTGAGGCAGGAGAATCACTTGAACCCGGGAGGCGGAGGTTGCAGTAAGCTGAGATCGTGCCACCATACTCCAGCCTGCCAACACATAAGACTCTGTTTCAAAAAAAAAAAAAAAAGGTCTCACAGGACTTAATGGCTTCACTGGTGAAGTCTACCGAACAATTAAAGAAGAATTAATGCTAACCCTTTTCAAACTCTTCCAAAAAGCTGAAGAGGAGGGAACATTTCCAATTCCTTTTGCAAGGCCAGCATTACCCTGATACTAAAGCCAGACAAAGACACTACAAGAAAAGAAAACTACAGGCCAATATCCCTGATGAACATAGATCCAAAAATCTTCAACAAAATACTAGCAAACCAAATTCAACAGCACATTAAAAGGATCATACACCATGATCAAGTGGGGTTTATCACTGGGATGCAAGGATGGTTTAACATATACAAATCAATAAATGTGATATACCACATTAACAGAATAAGGATAAAAATCATATGATCATTTCAATAGGTGCAAAAAACCTTTGACAAACTACAACATCCTTTTATGATAAAGACTCTCAACAAATTAGATATAGAAGAATGTACCTCAACATAATAAAGGCTATATATGACAAGCCCATACCTAACATCTTCAATGGCAAATAGCTGAAAGCTTTTCCTTTAAGATCAGGCACATGACAAGGATGCCTACTCTCACCACTTCTATTGAACATAGTACTGGAAGTCCTAACAAAACCAGCTGGGCAAGAAAAAGAGATAAAAGGTATCCAAACTGAGAAGGAAGAAGTAAAATTGTTAGTTTATAGACGACATGATCTTATATATAGAAAACTCTAATAACACCACCAAAAGTGAAATAAGCCAGACATAGAAAGATAAATACTATATGATCTCACTTATATGTGGAATCTAAAAATGTTAAACTCATAGGCACAGAGAGTAGAATGATGGTTACCAGGAAATACAGGATAGGGGAATGGGAAGATGTTGGTCAAAGGGTACAAAGTTTCAGTTATGCAGGATGAATACACTCTGGAGGTCTAATGAACAGAAAGTTGCCTATAATTAATAATACTGTATTGTATACTTGAAATAAGAGAGTATATCCTAAGTGTCCTCATGACAAAAAAAAAAAAAAGAACTAGGTGAGGTGATAAATATGTTAACTAGCTTGATTATGGTAATCATTTTGCAATATATGTAAAAACATCATGTTGTACATCTTAAATATACATAATTTTTATTTGTTAATTACATCTCAGTAAAGCTAGAAAAAAAATCTCTTAAGAAAAAAATGTCTAAGTGAAAAAGAAAACAACGTAATCCATGACTAAGCACAACTATTAACAGATATAAAACAAAGATTAAGAATTAGAATAAGATATATTTTTTAAAAACATGCTGCACATTGAAATTTGGCTTACTATTTGCTCAGTTGCAGTACTATTAACAAATTGCCAGACTGGGTGGCTTATAAACAACAGCAATTTATTGCTCACAGTTCAGGAGGCTGGAACTCTGAGATCAGGGTTCCAGCGTCGGTCAGGTTCTGGTGAGGGCCCTGTTCTGGGTTGCAGACTACCATCTTCATGCTATGTCCTCACTTGGTGGAAGAGGTGAGGGGACTCTCTGCAATTTCTTTCACAGGGGCACTAATTCTATCTATGAGGGCTCTACCCTCATGACTTACTCACCTGCCAAAGACCTCCACTTCCTAACACTGCTGCCTTGGAGGTTATGAATTCAATATATTAATTTTGGGGGAACACAAACATTCAGTCTAAAGCATTGATATAATAAATATTCTAAAAGCTGAATATTCAAAAACAACCATTCATACAAATTTATTTAGATCCAGAAAAGTCAACAACTAGAATAAAGTATTTTGAATATGTAAAGGCAACTAATGCTAATATTTTAGTAATTATATTACATATAACATGCATAATTTTAGAAAATGTTTGCTAAAATCAGCACACACTTACCTGTAAAAGTTTTATCCCTATTATTCCGATTCTGCTGTAGAATTTGTACTTCTTTAGCAATTTTTTGCTTTTCAGTTTCTAAAGCTTCCAGAATTCTTGCATGGCGGATGCTATGGTCTTCTAAAGCCTAATTGATATTCATTCATACAGACCCACATGTGAGAATATGCAAAGAGAGAAACTATAACACCACATTGAGATGATGGATATGTTAATTTGCTTCACTACAGTAACCATTTTACAATTTATATACCCCATAACATTGTATAACTTAAATATACACAATAAAACCTATTTTAAAAAAACAGATTGATAATGATAACACACTACAGTAAACCTCATTTTACAGTACGTTTTATTAAGCCTATATAGTTAACATGTTTTATGTGCTGTATTAAACATGAAAAGCTTTTAAAAATGATTTATAAAATTTCCTTACAAAATAATTTTTCCCCACAACAATATTATTAGGAATTTTTGATGACATAAATTAATCTTTTTTCTTCCCATTGATAGAAGTTAAAAAAAAAACTAGAAAAAAAGAGGAAAAGAAGTCATTGTATCAAAAAGACTCCTGCATGTGTATGCTTATCACAGCACAATTCACAATTGCAAAGATATGGAATCAACCTAAGTGTCCATCAACCAATGAATGGATAAAGAAAATATGGTGTATATATATATACATACATATATATATATATATATATATATATACACCATGAAATACTACCCAGCAATAAAAAAGAAAATATCTTTTGCAGCAACTTGAATGGAACTGGAGGCAATAATTCTAAGTGAAGTAACTCAGGAATTGAAAACCAAATATCAGCATGGTCTCACTTATAAGTGACAGCTAAGCTATGGGTATGCAAAAGCATATAGAGTGGTATAATGCAGCGGTCCCCAACCTTTTGGCACCAGGGACTGGTTTCGTGGAAGACAATTTTTCCACGGACAGGGGCTCAGGGGTTGGTTTCAGGATGAAACGGTTCCACCTCAGATCATCAGATATTAGATTCTCATAAGGAGCGTGCAACCTAAATTGTGAACTGTGTGCACTCCTGGTACAATGGACATTGAAGACTCAGGGAGAGTGGGAGAGGGCAAGAAATGAAAAACTACCTATTGGGTACAATGTAAGCTACTCAGGTGACAGGTGCACTAAATCCTAGACTTCACCACTATATAATTCATCCACGAAACCAAAAGCAATTTGTACTTCTAAAGCTATTGAAATAAAAATAAATTAAAAATAAGAAAACCCCAAAAAGGCAGAAAAAAAAGAAGAAAAAAGGACAAACTGTTAAAAAAAAAAAGGCCATATCCAAGAACACTTGTTGACTAAATAAAGAAGTTAAATTTAAAAGATACAAGAAATCTAGTTTAGTACAAATAAGCATTATAAGCCCAATAATAATAATTGTTTTGGGGCCGGGTGCGGTGGCTCATGCCTATAATCCCAGCACTTTGGGAGGCCAAGGCGGGAGAATCATGAGGTCAAGAGTTCAAGACCAGCTTGGCCAACATGGTGAAACCCCGTCTCTACTAAAAATACAAAAAAAATTAGCCGGGCGTAGTGGCAGACACCTGTAATCCCAGCTACTCGGGAGGCTGAGGCAGCAGAATCTCTGGAAGGCGGAGGTTGCAGTGAGCCCAGATCACGCCACTGCACTCCAGCCTGGGCAACAAGAATGAAACTCCGTCTCAAAATAAAACAAAACCAAAAATGGTAACAATCATAATTGTTTTTCAAGATTTAAACAGTTCTATGTTTTTCTCCTAAAACTCTCTGAGGTGGTTCACTAGCCACTTTGTGTCCAGGAGTTGACTAGTAGATGTATAATAACTGTATTATGGTACCAATACTTTGCAATTACTAGGAGTATTTTATTCCACCCCCAACTCCCACCCTGGTTTCCCTGACCCCACAAACTTGGAAAAAAGAGAAATAAAATTGCCATTTGAGAGAGTAAAACCTTAAGATTAAGATATAAGGAATCAAAACAGTGGCTTGCAAACTTTAGTGTTCATCAGAACATCCCACAGGGCTTCTTAAAATAGGTTCTGTGCCCCATTCTCAGTTTCTGCTTCAGTAGTTCTGGAGTGCGGCCTAAAAATTTGCTTTTTGTTTGTTTGTTTGTTTTGTTTTTTTTTTTTTGACAGAGTCTTGCTCTGTCACCAGGCTGGAGTGCAGTGGCATAATCTCAGCTCACTGCAACCTCTGACTCTCGGGTTCAAGAGATTCTCCTACCTCAGCCTCCTGAGTAGCTGGGACTACAGGTGTGTGCCACCATGCCCAGCTAATTTTTGTATTTTTAGTAGAGACAGGGTTTCACTATGTTGGCCAGGATGGCATCGATCTCTTAACGTCGTAATCCACCCGCCTCAGCCTCCCAAAGTCCTGGGATTACAGGTGTAAGCCACCATGCCCGGCCTAAATATTTGCATTTCTAACATGTTCCCAAGGTGATGTTGATGTTGCTGGTCTAGGGACCACCCTTCAAGAACCGCTAATAGAAAGAATGGCCCAAAATACTGACAGTAAGGTGCTTGAAGGTATTAACATTCTGGTTTTATCCCTTAGGCTTGTGAAATTGATTAGTTGAGGTGGCCCATGAAAGATGCCTCTATCCTCAATGACATGATAAAAGCAGGCAGGTGCCTGAGCTCATAAGACTGAGGTAATGAATGCCCTACTGTGAGTTCTGGAAACAGGATGCTTGCTGCTCTCTCCACAGGCAGATGTTTCATTGTGACATCAGGATGTGACCCAGTGTAAGAGCTGTGCCTTTTTTCCTTCCTCATATGTGACCTAGTGCTATTTCACTTATTTAAATTACTTGGCATGACTGATGACCAGATAGTTGTAGATGCATAAAAAGAGAACACTGGAGTGGAACTAGATGGAAATAACTCTGTCACTTTCAAAATCTCTGTGTGATCTGTGAGCAGTACCAGGATATAAGCTTTCAGGCAAGAAGTACTTTTCTCATCTACACATCTACAAACCTGGATTTGGCTCTCTTCTGTCAACATACCATAAGCCACTTCTTTGAAAAAAAAAATCCAGCTTTTTCTCAGAATAGAGTTAACTGGTTACACAATAAAATTACCTGTTTTGTAGCCAATGTTTCCATTTCTAATCGCTTTTTGTTGACATATATTTCCTGTTCAAGATGCTGCTTTGCCTTTTCTAATTCCTCAATTTTGTGATTAGCCTTCTGGTTATTTATTTCCTGCATTTTTTTCCTTTGAGACTCTTCTCTCTTTAAAGAACAATAATAAAAAATATCTCAGGCAAAAACCGTAGCAAAAAAGTACAAAAGTCCCTTTCTTTAACCAATGTACAAGAAATTACTCACTAATAGAAAAGTTGCCCTATTAAAGCTTCTCCACTTCATTCAGGTTAACTAAAAATACTTAAGAGTATTATCTAAAATGGGCTTCTGGGAACCCAAGATTTCCAATAAACCATGGAGACAGCCATGACTCAAGCGGCTAGAGGACAGAAGTTTCTCTTTATTTTTATTCCAGTAGCCATTGTCTATTATCGCCACCAACTTTTTTCTTTTTTTTTTTTTTTTTTTTTTTTTTGAGACAGAGTCTCACTCTGTCAAGGTTCACTGCAGCCTTGACCTCCCTGGGCTAGATGATCCTCCTAGCTCAGCCTTCTGAGTAGCTGGGACTACAGGCGCATGCTACCACACCCAGCTAATGTTTTAAACTTTTTGGAGAGACCGGTTTCCCTACATTGCCCCTGGCTGGTCTTGAACTCCTGGGCTCAAGTAATCTGCCCGCCTTGGCCTCCTAAAGAGCTGGGATTACGGGCATGAGCCACCATGCTCAGCCCTGACTTATTTCTTAAAGTAAAATTAAAGAGGGCCAAGACTCACTGTGGCTTTGATTCACTAATCTCTGATCTCTCCCAGTTCCCTTATAGGGACATAATCAACTTTATAGGCAACACATCACTTGGGGTACACTGTCGGAAAAAAAAAATAAAACTAATTCTGCCTTTTACCAGTTCTGCTTCCAGTGCTTTTATTTTGCTTTCATATGCAGCTTTTTGAGAAGAAAGCTCTTGCTGAGCCATTTCTTTTGCAATCTGGATTCCTTGCATCATTTCTTCCTTTGCCTTCAACTGAGCCTCTTTTATTTCTGCTTCAAGTCTACAATGTAGCAAGATGTTTATAGGGTACATGTTAAGAATTCTTTATACATCATAATAGTTCTTAATCCTACTGAAAAGTTTTCCATTGAATGAAAGTTTCAATCTTAAAACTTGATTTCTGACATTCTATCAACAGTGTTTTTAAAATTTTCACTGGCTCTACAATTGTTTACACTCAAAATTTAAACACGCAGGACGAAAAATTGCTTATTTCTAACTTAGTTACTATTGCAGATGCCTGACATTTAAATAAAATCAGTGCTTTAGTAACTACATTATACAGAAATTTCCATTCCCAATTTTACTGAAAAAAAGAATAAGAGTATAAAAAAGAAGGTTAGTGGATATCACAGCTAGGGAGAGAGGAGAATGGCTATTGTTTAACAAATACAGAGTTTCAGTTTGGAATAATAAAACATTTCTGGAGATGGATGATGGTGATGGTTGCACAACAACGTGAAGGCACTAGGGTGGGCACAGTGACTCACGCCTGTAATCCCAGCACTTTGGGAGGCCAAGGCAGGTGGACTGCTTGAGCTCAGGAGTTCGAGACCAGCCTGGGCAACATGGTGAAACCCCATCTCTACAAAAAAATTCAAAAATTAGCCAGGCGTGGTGGTGTGCGCCTATAGTCTCACATGCTCGGGAGGCTAAGGTGGGAGGATGGCTTGAGGCCAGGAGGTGGAAGTTGCAATGAACCCAGATCATGCCAACTGTACTCCAGCCTAGACGACAGAGCCAGACTCCATCTCAAAAAAAAACCAAAAAACAAACAAAAAAAAAACCACAAAACAATGTGAAGGTACTTAATGCCTTTGGACTATACAATTAAAAATGGCTAACATGGTAAATTTTGTGCTATTTATATTGTATTCAATTAAAAAAATTCTTTTTAAAGGGCAAAAGCAGGTTGAGGCTTCTTAAAAGGTGACAAAGCAGTTAGTCTAGCCTATAACCAGTTCTTGATTCCTCCTCCTTTCATCCTCTTTAGTCACCAGGCCTTGTCAATCTTATCTCCTTTATGTTTCCTTCCTACCTAATCACACTATATTTACCTTACTTCAATAGTCTCTTAGCTGCATTTGCAGGTTTTAAGCTTGCTCTATCTCTAATGCATTCTCCAGATTTGAGTGCCAGTGATCTCTCTAAAAATGTAATTCTGATTATGAGTGTCTCACGTCTGCTCAAAATTCTTTAATGTTTCCCTTATCCTTTAAGATAAAGTCCAAACTCTTTAGCATTTTATTTGTATATACTTTACCATTTAGCTTACAAGGATACTACTTATGCCAGAAATCCTACGATACTGCATGAACTAAAACTGGGGCACAAGAAGAAAAGAAAAACAAAAGTACACTCTCCCAGTCTTCCTCTGGCTAAATTCTAATCGTCTATTGGGATTCTCCTCTATGGGACGTCTTCTCATCTTCTAGAAACCTTCCCTGATAACCGGTCAGGGCCAGGTGTCACCCCGTGAGCTTCCACACCACACAGTTCGGGACTCTTGTCAGAGAACTGTGTCATAGCACTGTTATAACTGTCAGCCCCTCGAGATGATGAATTCTTTCAGCACATGAGCTAAATTTCAATCCTTATTCTTTATATCTCCAGCATTTGGTACAGTGACAGACACATAATAGATGGTCAATATATATTTGGTGAACTAATGAATGTACTAAGAGAAAAAATTATATCACTAGAAACCAGCACCCAAAGAGTTAATTACTAGAGACTGGCACAATGTGATTAACTCTGTTGTAGATCTCTCTCATACACTTACTATTTCATATCAACAGCATACTTACTGTGATCTCTGTGCCATGAGCAACTCATTTTTTGCAAATTCAAAGTCTTTTGGACCCTCACTTATAGGAGTATCTCTTCCAGATGGCCTTTTTCCTTTCTGGACTTCTACTGGATGATTAAATCTAAAATAATGATCTCCACCAAGAATCACTCGATCACCCTAAAGCACACAAAAAAATGTACTACTTGAGGTGAGTCTCAACCAAAAAATTAAATGAGAAAATTTATTTTGCCCAACAATTCAATATAGTCTAGTATTAATGATAAACATAAACATCATAGCAACTAACATTTATTACTTTTTTTTTCTTTTGGCACAGAGTCTCACTATGTCACCCAGGCTGGAGTGCAATGGCACAATCTCAGCTCACTGCAACCTCGGCCTCACGGGTTCAAGCAATTCTCCTGCCTCAGCCTCCCGAGCTGCTGGGATTACAGGCGTGTGCCACCACACCCAGCTAATTTTTGCATTTTTAGTAGAGATGGGGTTTCACCATGTTGGCTAGGCTGGTCTCGAACTCCTGACCTCATGATCCACCCACCTTGGCCTCCCAACGTTTATTACTTTGTATATACCAAACACTGCATTAAGCACATTACACATATAGTCATATGTCTCTTAACAACAGGGATATGTTCTGAGAAGTACACTGTTAGGTGATTTCATAGTTGTGTGAATATCATGGAATGTACTTACACAAACCTGGATGGTATAGCCTACTACACACTTAGGCTATATGGCATAGCCTATTGCTCCTAGGTTACAAACCTGTACAGCATGTTACTGTACTGAATACCATAGGCAACTATAACACAATGGTAAATAATTGTATATCTAAACAGAAAAAAATACAGTAAAAATACAGTATTATAATCTTATGGGACCACTGTTACATATGTGGTCCCTCATTGCCCAAAACATCATTATGAAGTGCAAGACTTTATGTTATCTCATTTACGATTCACAACAACTCAGTGAGATACATATAATCATCCCAATTTTAGGAATGAGGAAACTAAACAGCACAAAGCTTAATAATAACAAGAGACATTCATTGAGAGCTTACTATTTGCAGATACTATTCTAAGAACTATATACACAAATTATTATTTCAGTTAATCCTTCACTATCTCTGAAAGGCAGGATATATAGAGTCACAATAGGTCTGGGTTTGCCTGTAACACACTGCTGATGTTTGTTCTCTTGATGTAATTATTAATAATGATCTCAAAAGTGTCCTGACTTGGGTGACATTGTTTAATCATCTAGTTAAATAACTTGCCAGACGTCACAGAGCAAATGGCAAAGCCAGGATTTCAACCCTGTCTGTCTGATTCTAAAGCCTAGCTCTTTATAGGACACATAATGATGCTATTAGTGGTCAGCTCTTCAGGTACTGATTCATATAAATGTAACTTTTGTCTTTGCACAAGAAAGCAATTAATAGGAAAAAGAATTTTTGAAATGAAAAAGTCCTTAATCTGCTTCAACACCCTTATCTTATAGAGAAAACCAGAACTCAAAGAAATTAAATGACTTATCCAAAGTCGAACAGTTTCTTATATTATAGCACCCATCCACTTACATGACGTAATACTGTGATTTCCAAAATATGTTTTCCATTTACATATGTCTTTGCTTCCCCAACTGGGATAATACTCACTGTCCCACCAAAATTTTTGATAGTACTGTTAAAATAAGAAGCACATAGTTAACAATTATAGAACACACTAAAAAGTAAGAAAAAGGCAATATGGGATAATTCTGCTTGGGCTATTCCTTTGGTGTTAAGATTCATACCAATATGTAACAATAATTTAAAATTATTTTATTTTCCTCCAACTAGTTTTTTTTTTTTTTTTTTTTTGAGACGGAGTCTTGCTCTGTCGCCCAGGCTGGAGTGTAGTGATACAATCTCAGCTCACTGCAAGCTCCACCTCCTGGGTTCAAGCAATTCTCCTGCCTCAGCTGCCTGAGTAGCTAGGATTACAGGCACCCACCACCATGCCCTGCCCAGCTAATGTTTGCATTTTAGTAGAGATGGGGTTTTGCCATGTTCGCCAGGCTGGTCTCTAATTCCTGACCTCAAGTGATCCACCTGCCTCGGCCTCCCAAAATGCTGGGATTACAGGCATGAGCCACTGCATCGAGCCTCCAATTAGATTTTGAAGTTTGGTGAAAAAAGCCTGGCCTCTAGCAATCCGATCCACCTGTGGTGGGAACATTCTTCATTGGGTGTATTTTTATTATAACTTCTTTGAAAACAAAAACCTTCCCCCAAAAATTCAAAAAAAAAAAAAAAAAAAAAAAAACTAGCAAAAAACATTAACATACTGCCAGTGATTTCTTATGAATAAAACAGTTTTAAGTGTTTTTTTAATTTTCTAAGCTTCTGGTTTTACATATGAGCTTTAATAACAGAAAGAACAAATATTTCTCCCCTTTTGAAAAGTAGGGTACTACAGAGGAAGGAAAAACATGGAGATCAAAGTGTACCCCTTAAGACATCTAATTTACTGGATGATAAGGTGATACTGTGGAAAATCAGCTATAAGTGCTACATATTTGAGTCTTTTTATTCAGAGAATAGGAAAGAAACTCCAAAGTCCAATTCATCTTTGGATTAACGGGATAGAAAGAAAAACTGCAACAAAAGCTGAGTCCTAACCAAAGATCTTTTTAGCTGTGGATTAGGCTCCAAGATCTGTGATTAGAGAATAATAGTTTAATTAAAGCATCTAGAGAAAAGTACATGGAAACAATAGTTCACCCTTAGGCACTACATCCCTCCTACCAGTCTAGTGTCTTATCCAGGTGAAGGTTTATACAATGTGTACTTGTTCTGATCCCTTTCCTCTCCTAATTCTATCTACTCTGCTCTCAAAATTCCATGGCCTACCATTCTGGACGCCCCACAATCTGGCTTCAACCACCAACCTCCCTCATCTGCCACTATTTTCCCATAAGAACCCCATTTCACACTTAATCAACCATATGAATACTCTGAATTTGCCTTAATGTCAGCTTTCCTCCTTTCCTTGAGTCATTCCTTCCAGATAGGACATCCTCTCCCTTCTTGCAACCATTCTTGAAGGCCCAATTTAGAGTCCTCTAAGAAGCTGTTCTTTAGGGTTTAAGTTAGAAGTCAACTCTTCCTTCTCTTCACTTCTAAGCAGTAAGTATGCAGTACTCATAACACTTAATATGCATTAATAGATACTGAAGTTCTTTTTTTCTCTTTCACATGACCAGCCTCAGCCATGAAGTTCTTTTATTCATTAAGCCTCCAAGAGCCAGTTATGTGTCAGCAATGAAGACAGACATGAAATCAGCTTTCATAAAGTTCATGGTCTAGTGAACAAGATAAACTGAGGAAGGTACGAAAAATGGAAGTAGAGAGTTAGAGGCAAGCAAGAGGCTTCCAAGTTCCTTACTGGACTCTTAACTCTTTGGGAGCATGTTCTGTATCTTTGCCACAGATGTTAATAATACTGTATTTATTTGTTAAAGAAAATAATTAATTAATAAAAGAGCAAAAGAACCTAAAGAACAAAAGGATATGCCCTAACAGATATAAAGATTCATGGCCAGGTGCAGTGGCTCACGTCTGTAATCCCAGTACTTTGGGAGGCCAAGGTGGGTGGATCACCTGAGGTCAGGAGTTCAAGACGAGCCTGGCCAACATGATGAAATCGTCTCTACTAAAAATACAAAAAACTAGCTGGGCATGGTGGCTGCTACTCAGGAGGCTGAGGCACGAGAATCGCTTGAACCCAGAAGGTGGAGGTTACGGTGAGCCAAGATCACACTACTGCACTCCAGCCTGGGTGATAGAGTGAGACTCCATCTCCAAAAAAAAAAAAAAAAAAAAAGATATAAAGATTCATTACAGGCCGGTCGTGGTAGCTCACACCTGTAATCCCAGCACTTTGGGAGGTCAAGGTGGGCGGATCACCTGAGGTGGGAGTTTGAGACCAGCCTGGCCAACATGGTGAAACCCCATCTCTACTAAAAATACAACAATTAGCCAGGCGTGGTAACAGACATCTGCAATCCCAGCTACTCAGGAGGCTGAAGCAGGAGAATTGCTCGACTCCAGGAGGTTGCAGTGAGCTGAGATGGTGCCACTACACTCCAGCCTGGGCAACAGAGCAAAACTCTGAAATCAAAAAATAAATAAATAAAGATTCATTACAAAGCTCAAGTAATTACGACCATGGGGTATTAGTAGGAAGAAACAGATTCTGATATTTTTAGAAATTTTTTGTAGGAGCACTACAGATTCCAAAAGAAGCAATAAACTATTTAATATTTGGTACTGGGAGAAATGGCTATTCATGTGGAAAATAAATGAATTTAGATCCCTAATTCACACCAAATAAAAAATTCCAGACATTCAATAACTTAAATGTGAAAGCAAAACTTCAAAACATCTAGAAGAAAATTTAGAACATCTCTATGACCTCAATGTACAACAGTCTTTTTTTTTTTTTTTTTTTTTGAGTTAGAGTCTCACTCTATTGCCTAGGGTGGAGTATAGCAGAGTCATCTTGGCTCACTGTAGCTTCCACCTCCCAGGTTCAAGTGATTCTTATGCCTCAGCCTCCCAAGTAGCTGAGACTATAGGTGCCCACCACCATGCCGGGCTAATTTTTGTATTTTCAGTAGAGATGAGGTTTCACCATGTTGGCCAGGCTGATGTTGAACTCCTGGTCTCAAGTAATCTGCCGCCTCAGCCTCCCAAACTGTTAGGATTATAGGCGTGAGCCACCGCACCTGGCCAGAACACTCTATCTCTCTCTCTCTCTTTTTTTTTTTTTTTTTTTTTTTTTGAGACATAGTCTCGCTCTGTCACTCAGGCTGAAGTACAGTGGCATGATGATCTCGGCACACTGCAACATCCACCTCCTAGGTTCAAGCGATTCTCATGCCTCAGCCTCCTGAGTAGCTGGGATTACAGGCAGGTACCACCACGCCCAGAAAATTTTTTGTATTTTTAGTAGAGACAGGGTTTCACCATGTTGCCCAGGCTGGACTCAAACTCCTGAGCCCACACACCTGTGCTAGGATTACAGGCATAAGCCACCACGCCCAGCCAGAACATTCTTTCTTTAAGACATAAAAACTGACAATCATAAAGGAAAAGACTGATGCCAGGTACTACAATAAAATTAAGAACTTCAATCAATCAAAGGCACCAGAGAGAGTAAAAAGATGTTACACGTTAGAAAAAAAGATATTTATACCAAAAAGCTCACGAAAGATTGGCAACTCCTACAAATTATTAAGAAATAAGCAAATCAGTTGAAAAATCAACAAAAGATATGAAGAGGCAAGTTACAATAGTAAACAAAAATGGCCAATCAACACATGAAAAGATGTTCAACCTTATTATTAATCAAAGAAATGTAAAATGAATCCATAATGATATACTATTTAGTGTTCATCAGATTGGCATAAAGTCTGACAGTACTAAGTATTGGCAACGATGTGGAGTAACAGGTATTCTCAAGGCCAATGGGAGTAAAAATTCATTTTGGAAAATAATTTGAAATTAGCTACTAAAGTTGAATATGCACATATTCTACAACCTAGTATCTCTACTCTCAGACATACAATTTAAAAGCACTTCCTAAACTTTATAAGAGATAAACTCATACAATGGAATACTTCATAGCAGTGAAAATAAAACAGGAACCAATGTACACAAATCTTGGAAACACAATGCAGAGTCAAAAAAGTTTACATACGCTATCATTCCAACAATATATACAAGTATTCCATTCATATGAACAAAATTCACATAAAGTAACATTTTTAAATTGGTCAATCCAACCAAAAATTCTGTTATGTAAGATAGATAGTTTACTTGCATGTGCATCATTATAATTGCAAGAAAATAAATTATTCTTCAATCAACAGATCAAGTATGCCAAAACAAAAACAGAGAGAGCATTACACTGTACTTTATATTGAGAGTAACTGACCTATCATCCTTATAACACACTCAGAATGTATGTTTTTCCTGACTAAACAATGGGTTTGAAGAATTCTACCAAACGATCAGTATCAACGAATATGCCATATGAAGGAAACCACATGTTATCAAGATATAGAACAGGTGCCTTTTCTTTTTTTTTAGAGGATTAACATACCAATGATCATCAGCAATCAGCACCCCAGATAACTGAATATCATGGCTTGAGTTTGGTTTATACTTTCCAACTGTAGTTGTTCCTTCTTTTATCATATATAGCAGCATCTCAGATAGTTGTGGATCTTCATTCAGATTAACAAGGTTTGGTAAATGATTGTCCATTTGAAACATAATTCCTGCTTTCTGGTAGAAGTCAGAAAAAGAAATTAATCTTAATCACAGTATGAAATTGTTAAATTCACCTAAAACAAATGGTCTATATTAAACATTAAAACAATTCTATATGAAGTCTCACTAAATTAAAGGTTATTTATTTATTTTTTTATTTTTATTTTTTTGAGACAGAGTCTCGCTGTGTCACCCAGGCTGGAGTGCAGTGGCACGATCTCGGCTCACTGCAACCTCTGCCTCCTGGGTTCAAACGATTCTCCTGCTTCAGCCTCCCAAGTAGCTGAGACTACAGGCGCATGCCACCACGCCCGGCTAATTTTTGTATTTTTAGTAGAGATAGGGTTTCGTCATGTTGATCAGGCTGGTCTCGAACTCCTGACCTCAGGTGATCCACCCGCCTCAGCCTCCCAAAGTGCTGGAATTACAGGCGTGAGCCACCGTGCCCGGCCATAAAGGTTTTTTAGACTCTCTCCTCCTTCCTTAGAATCTCTCCTTTGTGACCTCCCTACCTTCTTTGTCCTTCACCATCCTCAGTCTACTCATACATCAATCTATCATCACCAAATTGTGTCTTCTTATTGACTGACCGTCTTTAGAATAGATCAGTTTGTTTTGTTGCATCTTCATTGCCTTCACCACAGGCCCCTGTCAACTCACACCAAAACTACTGAAGCAGCCTCTTGATCACCGTCAACAGCTTCTGTTTTCAATCCATCTTATATCCTATGCCAGGTTAATTCTCTCGAAAGGGTGCTCTCAAAATGTAAATTCCCTGGTCACTTTTTAACAGCTTCTCACTTCCTACAGGATAAAACTTAATTTCCTTGGCCTGGAAATCAAGTCCTTCATAAACTAATCATAACATATCTTTCCAATTGTATCTCCTTATGATCTCATATAAACTGCTTCCAGTAAAACTGATCTACGTACCCTTTCTAAAGACAACTCAAACTTTTCTACCTTTACTTTCAGAGAATTTTCTCTTCCAAGAATGTGCTCTTCCTTTTCTCTTCCTATTAAAATCTTACCCAAACTTCAAAGCCCATCTCAAATGCCACCTCTTTTATGAGATTGGATTGGCCATGCGCAAGGAATTTTCCCTTCTTCTCCTGAATTCTTATAGTACTCCCCCACTACCAATCACTTGAAATACTTTTCATTACATTAGGTTCAACCATATGAAACTGCCAGTGTTCAACCATGCTTTACCTACAAAAATGGCAATTGCTTATGGCTCAATCTACTGAAATCACATTGCATTTCAGTCTTCTATTTACGTTTTGTAAATCTCTCTCTGGATCACAAGCTCTCTGAGGGATGAAACTGTGTTTAATCACCTTGGCTTCCCCTGTTCCTGAAAAGCATAGACATTTAATATATATTTGTAGAACCAAAGTAAATATAACAAGATGGTTTATTCATACTTTAACTTTCCAACTAGTTTATGGGCTGGCTCTAAGCAACCAGTCTTGATCTTAACATTTCTTTATATTAATTTTCCTTACGGTATTGCTTTGTACAGAGTCAGTATATAGTAAGTATTTGAAACATTAAATTTACATGCATTGGCATATTGGCAATATTTATTTCTTGGCATATTTCTTTTATTTTCTAATCAGTTTAGAAAGTTGAAATAATACCTGTAACTCTTTTGTTTCTTGAAGTTTTCTTTTTTCAGCTTGTTCAAACTTTTCTTTCCACACTCTTTCCAAAGACAAAGAAAATAACAGAGTTAAAAACATCCAGATGTATAAGATTGAGAGTCAAGAGACAATCAATGAAAATTAGGCAACTACCTAGTAATATTTAAAATATGATAATCTGGGAGTGGGCTGCTCTATTCATAAGGAAGGTCGGAAAAATACTCAGTATCCTCTTGAGGTCCCTGCCATTCCTATGATTCCAGAGCAACACACTTAACATTTAGAGTACTGACTGTACTCTACCTTTGCATTTCTGCCATGTCTCTCTCCTGTTGATGCAGTTTCATTCTTAAGGATGTTATTTCTTGCCGACAGAGCCTGTATCGTTCAGGGTCAATATTCCGACTGTTTCTCTGAGCAGCTTTTAGCTTTGCAATTTCTGCCTTCAATTCTGAAGATTTATACAAAGATGCATTAATAATAACATTTAATATATAACAATTTCCACAGTAAGCATAATCCTCCAATCTTCTATTTCATTTGAAGTTTTAAATACAGTATTACTAAATAAAATAGAATATTGGAGAAATCAGCTCTACTTTATATAACCTATAAATCTTTACTTAGTCTTAACCTGAAATATGCTCCCATATTAATGAACTTTCCCTGTTCATAAGTAGGAAAGCTGTATAATGTACTGACCAAAGTGGAACACTTTTGAGAGGCAAAAGGGTAATTGTTAAAGTGAAAGTTTATTTAAAAAGTAAAGAAATAAAAGAATGGCTATTCACTAGGCAGAACAGCCAAGATCAAAGATTTTTCAAGCTGGAATTCAGAATATTTATTTATTTATTTATTTAGACAGAGTCTCACTGTCTAGAGTGCAGTGGTACGATCTCGGCTCATTGCAACCTCCGCCTCCTGGGCTCAAGCAATTCTCCTGCCTCAGCTTCCCGAGTAGCCAGGATTACAGGTGCCCACCACTGTGTCTGGCTAATTTTTGTATTTTTAGTAGAGACAGGGTTTCCCCATGTTGGCCAGGCTGGTCTCGAACTCCTGACCTTAAGTAGTCCGCCTGCGTTAGCCTCTCAAAGTGCTGGGATTATAGGCATGAGCCACCATGCCCGGCCCAGAATACTTATTTTTAATGAAAACAGTCCCACTTGTGAAACAGAAGGGATCCAAAAGGGAAAGGATGGACCAGGATAGACAAATCAGATTCTTCTCTGGCTCATACATCTGAAGTGTCTATCACCTTCTGCTGCTAAAAAGGGCCAGAGGACAAAGGGGCATGAAAAGATGATAGTTCTACATCAGCAAAGATAAAACTGTACAAATCAAGATTTCTTGCAGGCATTAAAGTCTATCCTAAATTGATGATTACCTAGAGATAAATAGAAAGCAGTATTTAGCATAAATGAAGTTCAGCCTATACTAGAAACTCGAGCTCCAATTGCCTTTGGATCAATGAACTAAGCATGAGCAGAGCTAGTACATAAAACGTCAATGGAAGAGAGGTCATAAGAGAAAAATAGTAAATAGTTTTATTGGCATTTTGCTGCACACGTCTATGACTGTGTAAATTTATTGTTTAATGCTTACTGTTTCCCCCTTACTCACACTCTGTTTTCTATGTTCTTTTCCTAATTGTTTTTCTCCTTATTACTTATTATCTGTCCTTCTACCTATCATCCTCCATCACTATAGGCTGATGACTAGAATCTATTAAAATAGGTATAGAAAAACACCTTTGATGTTCATAAATTACATATTTTAAGACTGCAACTAATATCTGGGACTAAACTGTGGCAAAACAATTTTTAAATTCTGAGAAAATATTCACCTCTAATTAACTTAGCGTTCATATCTTCATTTACTTTAGCAATGTTGACTATTAAACGGGCTTGGTTAGCATATCTAAGTGTGCTTAATGTTTCTTCTATGTTGCTGGCAGCGGGACTAATCGTAGCAATCATTGCAGTTTTTGAATTTCCACCCAGACTTTCTTTTAACAGCCTACAAGAAAAAAAGTCATAAGACTTTGCTTCTACAACAACTTAATAACAGTAATTATCTAGAAAGCACAAAACAAACTAATAGGGTATATAATACAGTATTATTATACTCTACTCAAATACCATTTAAAACTTTTCTGGTATTTGTAACTATTTCTAGATCTCATAAACACTTTTTCTCTCTTACACTTTTTATATTGTTTCAAGAGGCAATAATCTGTGCAGAGATTCTAAAATGTGGTGGATCATCAAGTATTTCATGACTGTGAGCTACCATAGGGAAGGGACTATGTGTCTTGGTCATCTTTGTATTTCCAGTGCTACCACAACCTTTTGAAGCAGGTGCTCAATAAATGTTGAAAATGATGAACATTGAAACAAAAATTCTATATTGTACTAAAAGCAAAATCTTTATTTTAGAGAAAAAGAGTATGAGACTTAAAACATATATTAGTGCAGAATGAATGTCACTATTTTTAACTTTCATAAGACATGAAAAAAATCAGATTTTCCCTTATAGGTTTCAAGGTGGCAATCACATTGTAATAAACCAATTATAAAGACACATTACCCTCAAGTAAAGATGCAGTCCTTATTGTAACTGTATATTAATGCCTATCACAACTGAATATTAAATCCATACAGATGTAATCTGAATGTAACATATTGAAAATTAAATATACATTCACTAATGAAAACATTTATTGAGCACCCATGTATTAGTCACTGTGTAGTAAGCAAACAAAATTATTCAACTTCTCTTTATACAACTAGCAATATGTTTGGTAGTACCATATATGTTCAAACATCAGCCACAAATAATAGTTAAGTACAAGAACAGTTATTTACACTCATATAGTACATATTATGTATTAAGAATTGTACACTAATAATCTAATTCTCACTTACCCCTAAAAGGTATTGATTTTATTCCTATTTTACAGATGAGGAAACGGGCTAGAATATTAAGTAATTTGCCCAAAGTCACAGAGCTTATAAGATGCTGAGCTGAGATTCAAATCCAGGTAGTTTGGCTCTAGAATTCATAATGCTTACCACCTTTCTCCATCCCAAAGTTAATGAAGTCAGTCTATCATTCTTTTCCCCATAGTATTCACTATATTTTATACAATTCTTTATACTTCAAAAGATACTTGCCATGTAAGAACAGATTCACGATAAGGAATAAAAACACTCCTTTGGTTTGCTTGTTCCGAAAGTGCAGATATAACTTTTCCCAAAGTTAGCAAGGACTTATTAATACTCACACCTTCCTGCATGCAAGAAAAAAAAAATTTTTAACTTAAAATACTTCTCAGCAAGAAATTTATTTCACAAAATATATTTCTCCCCTCATATAATTACTGAGTAAATACTTTTTTACTTTCTTTTTTTTTGAGACAGAGTCTCACTCTGTTGCCCAGGCTGGAGTGCAGTGGCATAAACATGGCTCACTGTAGCCTCGACCATCCAGGCTCAAGCAATCCTCCCACCTGAACCAAGTAGCTGGGACTACAGACACATGCCACAATGCCTGTCTATAAATACTTTTTTCTATAAACTACCAACTTTCTTATGACTCAAACGTATTTTCTTTAAAAATTAATCATAACCAAAAAGTACGTATCTCTTTTTCAACCACAGCAATGCAGTCTATAAACTGCAGATAAAGATATATTTGGGGAGGTTAAGTGTATTCAGTTTGTATTCTCCTTAAAATAATGACCTCAGGAATAAATTTCATCAAAAGGAGAAAAAGCATTCCATTTACCTTTAGTCGATCTCCATTAGTGTGAGCCGTAGAGCAGCGCTCACTGCCTGCCAGATCTATTAGGTTAATTCGACTTGTTATTCTGTGATCGTGTTCTTCCCCTTCCACAAATTCTGTCTACAGCAAAATGATATTAAATTAAATTAAGTTCTATTACTTCCAATCAATATAGGTTTTTTTAAAGGGAAAGCTGTAAAAGATTACACATCACTCTTTTATTTTTTAAATAGTCTCTTCTTTTTTTTTGAGACAGGGTCTCACTCTGTTGCCCAGGCTGGAGTACAGTGGCATCATCACGGCTCACTGCAGCCTTGATCTCCTGCGTTCAAGCAATTGTCCCACCTCAGGCTCCCAAGTAGCTGGGACTACAAGCACATGCTGCTACACCTGCTACTTTTTTTTATTTTTTAGTACAGACAAGGTCTCGCTATGTTGCTCAGACTAGTCTCAAACTCCTGAGCTCAAGTGATCCTCCTGCCTCGGCCTCCTAAAGTGCTGGGATTACAGGCGTGAGCCACTGCACCTGGCCTAAGATCATCCCTTCATGAATCTGTGATAATTTATAACACAAAAATATTCACACGGTCTACTGAAAAGAATATATTGAGCAGTGGATAGATTATGCCAAAATTAAATAAATTACTTCAAAGAGATTAAAATCCATAACCACTCAGTTATATTAAGGAAATAACAATAAATAAAGAAAAAGTTTAATGCACAAAGATGTTGCTTATCCCAGCATTATAATAGCAAAACATTTAAAAATAATATAAATGTCCAACAGTAGAGAAAAACTTGAGGAACTGTAATAGTTAATGGAATATTATATAGCTATTAAAAATTATTTTATAAAAATTTTAATAACATAAAATTGTTACAGATTTTAACAGTGTGATTTTAAGTGAATTTAATTGTGATGGTAAAAAAATTGAAAGACTATATACCAAAATGTTTAGAGGGGTTTATCTGAATGGTGGAACCTATGGCTAAATTTTAAAAAATCTTTTACTTTCTGATGTTTTTCTAAATACTCTGCATAATTACTATATATGAAAATATACTATCATATATTGATATGATCATATCAATGTTATCATGATAACAAGCATCTATTATTGATTTAAAAATCTGGTAAACGGTATACTGCCATAAGTCATTTGGTCATTGACCAAAAGTCATTGAAACTAAGGCATATTTCCTACAATCAAATTAAGTTTATATATTTATATGACTGTACTTTTACCTTTTGATTTAAAGAAGACAATAAGAAAAACATGAAACTTAAATGTATTTACTATCTTGCCTGTGGAAAAAAAATACCTTGGTCTGGGTGATCACCAGGGTGAAAACTGAATGAGATCGGGAACTTTTTAAAAAAATACCTTGGTCTGGGTTATCACCAGGGTGAAAACTGAAAGAGATCGGGAACTTTTAAAAAAAATACCTTGGTCTGGGTCATCACCAGGGTGAAAACTGAATGAGATCGGGAACTTTTATCATTCATACCAGTAGCAGCAGTAGCTCTTTGTTTATTTCCCAATTCTAGCCAACTCTTATAAGAAAAAAGGAAGGAAGATCAGATCAGCAGACTGTAACTCAATGATATAAAAATTAAGAGAGACAACATATACACATTTGTAATTCAGATCAGCAGACTGTAACTCAATGATATAAAAATTAAGAGAGATAACATATACACATTTGTAATTAATTTATAAAATGAAATGAGTAAATATTTATCTTTTAATAATTTGTATTCCCATTGCCTTTTTTTCTGTCATAGAAATCTGAGGCAGGAAATAATAACTTTAAAAGGCTGTTTCCATAACTCTAAGCTTACATGAAGGTCAACATTTTTAATAAAGAAGAGCAATTATTTTGATTAAAACTTAACAAAATCGGTTTGTGATAAATTAAGGAAACTAACCTTTTATTTGTAAAACAGCAATTAAGAAAAAATATTCTTATAAATATTTAGGATTATGCTCTTTCTATCTAGTGAAAAGAAAACAAAATCAATCTTACCTGGATATCAGCGTAAGAACTGACAATGTTCCTATTTTTAAGAAGTGAAAAGACAAAATCAATTTTACTGATGATTATACTCTTGTTCTCATAAAACAATAACATTTCAATTACATATTTACGCTGAAGATCACAATGGACTAATTCATGAATATTATTTTATTGATTCTCCCAGAATCTTTTATTTTCCCCATTCTTGAAGGACAGGAAATAAAATAATGCTTTAATTTTAACAAAAAGTATGATTTTTCTTAATACAATGAAGCACCTTAGCATCTTAATATTCAAGTCTAAGTCACAATACCAAAAGATATACTTTAACACATATGTATATGCATAGGTATATTTATATGTGGGTGTATATGGGTCCCAATACAATCCCAGATGTATTAAATGCAGCTGAGTTAATACTTAATAACTTTTCCTTTCCTTTAAGAAAGCATTTGCAGTGTTGGAAAAAAAAGTAAATGACTCCTAGCATGCATCAAACTCTTAACTCTTCTTAGTACCCTCTTCCCTGTCTAGCTTAGAGTCATAGGTATAAAAAGCAGGTTGAGAGGGAAGATTAAATTAATAGTGAAAGGAAGGGGTAAAAGAAAGAAAAAGCAAATATTTACTTCATAGTATAATGAATACTCCATGGCAGACACTTTACAGGTACTATGAAAGACACATGCAAGTATTAAAACAAGTAACTAACACTCTATGGAAAGAGAGGGAAAACCTAATTGGACAATATCAAGGGTAGAAGGCTAAATAAATAGTTACCCAGGGTTTCAAAGTTAGGAAGGCCAATGAGAATACAATAAAGATTATGGGAGAGTAACATTCACTCTATTCATTTGTTTTATCCTCTTTGCCCTTGCTGAGCCAAATACTTACATTGACAGTGCTTCAACATATGGTCCATAAACAGGATGTTCCCTCACTCTCAGCTAGAAGAAGCAAATACATGCATCATTAGGAGTATGACAAATATTTCATGTAACTTGAAATGATCACTTTTTCTACATCTTGAGTTTAAGGTAAGAGATTTGTCTTTATTTTATCCAGGAAAAAAAAAAACCACAAAAACTCTCACAAAAACAAATCTGTAAGGCATTAGGAAACAGCTTCAATATAAAAAACTGTTCATAGTAGCACAATATGCAACAATATATTGTAGCATCAAGTCTTACTAGTTTTTTTATTCTTAAAAAACTGCTATTAGAATTGTCTAATAGACAATAATTAGAACAATATATTTTAGCATCAGATGTCTTACTAGTTTTTTGTTTGTTTGTTTGTCTGTTTTGAGACAGAGTCCTGCTCTGTGGCCCAGGCTGGAGTACAGTGGTGCAATCTTGGCTCAGTGCAACCTCTGCCTCCTGGGTTCAAGCGATTCTCCTACCTCGGCCTTCTGAGTAGCTGAGATTACAAGACAGTGCCACCACACCAGCTAACTTTTGTATTTTCAGTAGAGAAGGAGTTTCACCATGTTGGCTAGGCTGGTCGGGAACTCCTGACCTCAAGTGATCCGCCCACCTCAGCCTCCCAAAGTACTGGGATTGCAGGCGTCAGCCACCGTACCCAGCTTGTCTTCCTAGTTTTTCAGTAAGACATTTGAATGTTAAATCTTGCAGTAGCTATGATTTATATACTTTTAAATGCTCTCTAAAACATATTCGTTAAATTTCAGACATTAAAATTTTTCTTTATTGTTACATTATACATTTTCAACTTTGTGACCAGAAGCTTTAAACATATAGAAATCATAGAAGCAAATGTCAAGTTTTGTTTAAGTTTCTTGATGTTGCCAATAGTAAACTGCACAAACATGGGCAAGTGAAGAAGACAGCTGACTTCCTTTTTTTTCTTGAAATGGAGTCTTGCTCTGTCGCCAGGCTGGAGTGCGGTGGTGAAATCTCGGCTCACTGAAACCTCTGCCCCCGGGTTCAAGCGATTCTCCTGCATCAGCCTCCTGAGTAGCTGGGACTACAGGCACGCGCCACCATGCCAAGCTAATTTTTGTATTTTTAGTAGAGACAGGGTTTCACCATGTTGGCCAGGATGGTCTCCATCTCTTGACCTAGTGATCCACCTGCCTTGACCTCCCAAAGTGCTGTGATTACAGGTGTGAGCCAACACGCCCAGCCGTCTTCTTTAGATTTTTGTTTATTGTGCTCCAAGGTCCATTGCAAAATTAAAAATTTTAAATTTGAATAGCAGTTTTTAAAAAAGATTATATAATTGTGAAACTTTCTATTTCACAGATTATCTACAAGGTATGAATTTGCTAAATAATCCACTGAAATACATATTCTATAATAAAAATATAATTTTAAAAAGTTTTACTATGTTTTGGCTTATAGACTATTAGGGATCTGGTGTTCAACTTACATGGTCCAACTAAATCTCAGAACAAATATTTTATCTTTAGTTTTATACAATTCTTCATTAAAATAAAGAGGTTAAATCTGATAACTAATTTAATTTCTACTAGTGATAATGTTCCGCTTCTTTTCTTTTTTTTTTTTTTGGAGACGAAGTCTCACTCTGTCGCCCAGGCTGGAGTACAGTGGCTTGATCTCGGCTCACTGCAACCTGCCTCCCAGGTTCAAGCAATTCTCCTGCCTCAGCCTCTGGAGAAGCTGGGACTATAGGTGCAATCCGCCACACCCGGCTAATTTTTTGTATTTTAGTAGAGACAGGGTTTCACTGTGTTGTCCAGGCTGGTCTTGAACTCCTGAGCTCTGGCAGTCTGCCCCCCTCAGCCTCCCAAAGTGCTGGGATTACAGGAGTGAGCCACCATGCCCGGCCAGTGCTCTGCTTATTTTCTAAATAATCTAATTGGACTGTAGATCCAAGCATTTGCTTTCATATAATTCTAGTAAAACTTTAAGCTATACCATCCAGAGAACTCAAATAATTAGATACATTTATAAGAACAGAAATTCAAAACAAATAATAAATTGTTTTAATCTTACTGGTTGCTTTCTCTGCCCATTTTCATCTTTACAAACCAGAAGGTCGTGAATTTTTTCATTATATACTTCAAAGAAGCTCATTTCAATGTGATAGCTGACCTAGTAGGAATAGAAACACAGCATATAATTTATTTTGATGTTTTGCAAATCATATCTGTGGTTAGGAACTAGTATCCAAAATATATAAATATATAAAAATATCCTACAACTCAACAACATAAAGACAAACAGCCCAATTTTAAAATGCACAAAGGACTTGAATAGACATTTCTCCAAAGAAGAACGTACAAATGGCAAACAAGCACATGAAAAGATGCTCAACATCATTTCTCAGTAGGGAAATGCAAATCAAAATCACAATGAAAAACAACTTCACACCCACTAGGATGGCAGTAATAATAAGAAGTGAAAACCAACCAGTGTGGGTGAGGATGTGGAGAAACTGGAACCCTCCTCCATTGCTAGTGGATGTAAAATGGTGCGGCCAATGTGGAAAATAGTTGACAGTTCCTTGAAAGGTTAAAAATAGAATTACCGGGCCGGGCACAGTGGCTCACACCTGTAATCCCAGCACTTTGGGAGGCCGAGGTGGGAGGATCATTTGAGGTCAGGAGTTCAAGAACAGCCTGGCCAACATGGTGAAACCACACCTCTACTAAAAATACAAAAATTAGCTGGGCATGGTGCCGGGCGCCTGTAATCCCAGGTACTCGGGAGGCTGAGGCAGGAGAATCGCTTGAACCTGGGAGGTGGAGGTTGCAGTGAGCTGAGATTGTGCTACTGCACTCCAGCCTAGGCGACAGAGTGAGACTCCATCTCAAAAAAGAAAAAGAATCACCATAGAAATTTGGAAATTCCACTCCTATACATCCAAAACAATTGAGAACAGGTATTCAAACAAAAACATGCACCAGTGTTCACAGAAGGACTATTCACAATAGCCAAAAGGTATAAACAACAACCCAAATGTCCATCAACTGATGAATGGATAAACAAAACTGGCAATATCTGTACAATGAAATATTAGTCAACCATTAAAAGGAATGAAGTACTGTATGTGCTACAATGTAGATGAACCTCAACACATTATGCTAAGTGAAAGAAGCCAGACACAAAATACCACATATTGCATGATTCCATTTATATGAAATTTCCAGAACAGGTAAATTCATAGAACAAAAGCAAACTAGTAGTTGCCAGGGATTGGGAAGAAGGGGGAATGGATTGTGACTGCTTAATGGGTAGAGGGTCCCCTTTGATGGCAATGAAAATTTTTTGGCACTAGAAGTAACAGTTGTACATTATAAATGTACTGAATGCCACTGAATTATATACTTTAAAGTGGTTAATTTGATGTTATGTGAATTTGATCTCAATAAAAAAAATTTTGGCTGGGCGCGGTGGCTCACGCCTGTAATCCTAGCACTCTGGGAGGCCAAGGCAGGTGGATTACGAGGTCAGGGGATCGAGACCATCCTGGCTAACACGGTGAAACTAAAATACAAAAATACAAAATACAAAATACAAAAAATTAGCCGGGCGTGGTGGCGGGTATCTGTAGTCCCAGCTACTCAGGAGGCTGAGGCAGAAGAATGGCATGAACCCGGGAGGCAGAGCTTGCAGTGAGCCAAGATCGCGCCACTGCACTCCAGCCTGGGTGACAGAGCGAGACTTCCTCTCAAAAAAAAAAAAAAAAAAAAATTTAATATGAATAACAACAAAAGTCCTTGCATTTCTTCTTAACTTCTGCATAAGGTTCAATTCAATCCAATAAGCATTTCTTAAGTACCTACCTACTGCATGTTTGGCTTTAGGTTATTGTCAGGACATAAAGAAGTATAAGACAAGATTCTTGCTCATGAGGCTAAGATCTCAGAGACATATAACATACCTTCCAATAGATAAAACACAGCAATAGAAAATTAATTAAGAATCAAAATGAGATGACTATAAATATGACTAATCAGAAAAGGGAAAATTTAGGATGGCCAGAGAAAAGGGAAGGAGTAAATAGAATGTGAGGCATGAGAGACAGAGTAGATTGAACCAGAAAGAGGGGGTAGGGCATTCTCGGGCAAGGACAGCAGCATCTGTGCATCACATGTGCTCAGAATAGGAAAGACACCCTGTAGGTTGACATTTGATCTGGTAAGATGGAACCTTAAATCAACAATTCTTCCTGATTGGGAGAGAAAGCAATCATTAGATTAAGTGGGCTGAGCTTCTCCTCCTTTTGACTCTGAAAGATACAGTGTAGAGGCCAAAAACGGGAAACTTTGCTTCCAAACAGCTCTTCTGACAGTTAGGGCATGGTTTCCTTATTAGAGAAATAAATTTCATCCACTGACCCAGAAGTGAGTCAGCAAGCATCTAACAGAATTGGAAGCTTCAAGGGAGTGTCAAAGAGATTTAAGTTCAATTCACCAAATATTTATTGTGCCCTACTAGGTACAAAGCACTCTTCTAGGAGCTGTGGGAAAATATGAGATGAACTGGACATAGTTTTTATCCTGAAAAAACTCAGAAGCTAATTGGAGATGCAATACAGTACATGAGTAATACAAGGCAGAATATAGCTGGTGTCATGAGAGAGAAACAAAACACTTCCAAAGAGACCAGGTATAAGGGAACACCAAGTAATTATAAGGTCATTGACAAATGCTATGAACAGGGATGGGGGCTGTCAGAATTCAATAAACACGTAATAATGCTTATTTTATGTAAAATAGTATTTTATGTTATAGAGGCTCCAGGAGGACTTAGAAATGAAAATGTAGTGTGGGAAACAAATTGGAAAAGGTAGCTGGGGCCACACTGGAGAGGTCCTACTTTTTTCTTCTCCTCTGAGGCTCCTGCCATCATGCTCGCTATACCACCTTCTATTACCCCCATCCACATACTATTATTCTCTACCATCCTGGCTAATTCCAAAGTTGATATAACCACATTTAGTTGGGCTCACTATGTGCCAGGCACTCTTCAAAACCTTTTGTATAGATCAACTCATTTAATGCTCACAACAAACCTATGAGAAAGACATTGTCAATATAATCTCTATTTTCTGTTCTGAAACACAGAAAGACATTAAGTAAATTGTTCAAGATCACATTTCTACTGCAGTGATGAAGCTGAGATTCAAATTCAAATAATGTATCTCCAAAGTCCATGCTCTTTTTTTTTTTCTTTTTTTTGAGACAGAGTCTTGCTCTGTCGCCCAGGCTGGAGTACAGTGGCATGATCTCAGCTCAGTGCAATGTCCGCCTCCAGGGTTCAAGCGATTCTCCTACCTCAGCCTCCCGAATAGCTAGGATTACAGGCGCCCACCACCACACCTGGCTAATTTTTGTATTCTTAGTAGAGACAGGGATTCACCATGTTGGCCAGGCTGGTCTCAAACTCCTGACCTCAGGTGATCCGCCTGCCTTGGCCTCCCAAAGTGCTGGGATTACAGGCGTGAGCCACCATGCCTGGCCAACCAGGCTCTTAAGCATTCATTACACTATGTTATTCAATGACATAGTCATTCCACGCAAAATCTGAGCCTCCTAGTCCTTTGAAATCATTCCAAAGACCTTTGCCTCCACTACACTTATCTATGTCTTCCTGGCTTTACCTTCAAATTACTATCCCTCTAAAATCTGGAGAGCCAATAGAGAACTCTGCCCCACAAGCCCACAGCTTTCTCTTATGCCCACTAAACTTGGACTTGAATCATATTTCATCTCATAGTCTCAATACCACCATATTTCTATTGATCCCCATACTCCTCCTATTTTCAATTTAATTACTGGGAATGAGAGGTTGAGGGTAGAAGAAGACAGAGGAGAGGCAGTATATCCACAGAAGAGACAGAACTCATCAATTACTCAAATCTACTTTTCCTCTTGTGATCTCAAAAAATGACATCGATATCTAATCTGGTTGTCCAACCAGAAACATTGATTTCTCTCTCCCTCATCCTCCATTTCCAATAATCAGCAAGTCTTACCAGTTATCCTTACTAAGACAGTCCTTCATGAGCCAAGTTCTGCAGGCCTTTCTAGTTTATTCTCTTTTTTTTTTTTTTTTTTTTTTTTGAGATGGAGTCATGCTCTGTCACCCAGGCTGGAGTGCAGTGGCGCGATCTCGGCTCACTGCAACCTCCATCTCCCTGGTTCAAGCGATTCTCCTGCCTCAGCCTCCCAAGTAGATGGGATTACAGGCATGTGCCACCACACCTGGCTAATTTTTGTATTTTTAGTAGAGACAGGATTTCACCATGTTGGCCAGGCTGGTCTCGAACTCCTGACCTCAGGTGATCTGCCCGCTTCGGCCTCCCAAAGTACTGGGATTACAGGCATGAGCCACCGCACCCAGCCTCTAGTTTCTTCTCTTATCACTTTCCACCCTCAAATTCCATGCTCAAAACACAGTGAACAATTTATAGATTCCCAAAGGCTCCCTACTTTTTTGCTTTCAAATCTTGGTACATGCTGCTCCCTCTCCCTGGAATATCCTTCTCCCCTTCTTTACCAAGCTAATAATGCTATGTATCCTTCAAAAATAAGCTCAGCTGCTCCTTCCTCTGAGAGAATGTCTCCCTCCAACTTTATATGTCCTCACTTACATGTTCTATTAGAGCATCTACTTTAGTTTGTTTAGCATTTAATTGATTGTACTTGGCTGTTAACTTATTTCTCCCACTACACTCCTTTGAATACAGGGACTGGGTCTTTTAACTCCACACCCCTAATCTAGCACAATTTTCCCAATTTCCTTTATCATAAAAAATACTGGAGGAAAAGCATGAAAATTATAAAATCCCAAGCTCTACACCAGACCAACTGACTCAGAACCCCCAGAAGAGATTTTTAGCAAGTGTGTACATACACATACACATGCACATATATGTCCCTGCCAAGAATCCCCGGTGATTCTTATGACCAAGAAAATTTGAGAAAAAAAAAAACTGATCTAACAAGCTGCCTGGCAACAGCAGAATGCTCAGTAAAAGGTAGCTGAATGTGTAAATGAATAAGTGAAATAGGAAGCCAGTACAGCCTATTCAGGTGTAGTAGAGTGGAAAAAGCATGGCTTTTGAAGTCAACTCTGGGTTCAAATCCCAATTTCACTACTCTTTCTGATTCACGTTGTCCAAAAGGTTATGCCTGCTGTCCTTAGTTAAACTGTACACCTATCTGACTACAAACACACGTATAACAGCACATAGCTACCATGTTTGTGAGCCTCTACGTATACACAAAAGTAAAGCAAAAACAAGGGAGAAAAGACAGAAGAGATGACTTCACTATCACTGCCCACTAGGTGAAACTGATTCTGAATTTAGAATTTCCACCCTCCCTCTCCATACCACTGTTCCAAAGAAGAGTGATCTACAAATTAGAACTGATCTTCCATTAAGTATTTCCTTAGTGGCCATGACTGATTTGAACTTGATTTGACTATTTTCTACTCTGAAAAGAAGCTTGCAGGTATTATAAGAACATACCTCTTGGGTTTGTTTTCTGGCTACTTGAGAAAAAAGATCTTCACAAAATCTTGGAATTATTCCTGGTTCTTCACTAAATCCCATCATCCTGAAAAATACATTATGAATAAGGGGGAAATAAAACTAATTCTTTCTTTAAAATTCTTTTTGGGGAAATAGGCTGGGAAGGGAGTAGGAAGCAAGTTCACTGAATCTCATAATTAAGAATCTGGACTCTGGAGTCAAATCTGCCTGAGTCCAAATCTTGACTCCAAGATATTTAACCTCACTAAACTTCAATTTCCTCTACTGTAAAACAGGAATAATACAACTATCTAATTCAGAGAATTGTTGTGAAAGAATATAAGCAAAGTCTTTAGCACAGTGTCTGGAATATAGTAAGAACTCAAATGTTGGGCAACCCGCTTGGGACCCCTCCACGCTGTGGACTGTGGAAGCTCTGTTCTTTCGCTCTTCACAACAAACCTTGCTACAAAAAAAAAAAAAAAAAAAAAAAAAAAAGAACTCAAATGTTAGCTACTGTTAAAATGCTGAGTATTTCTTTCTAGGACAGGTATTATTATCATAGCTACCATTTATCAGATGCCCCTCCACCCTTTTTTCTTAAGAGATGGGGACTAAGTTGCCCAGGCTGGACTCGAACTCCTGCACTTAAGCAATCCTCCTACCTCAGCTTCCCAAGTAGCTGAGACTACAGGTGTGTGCCATCACATCTAGCTTAGATGCCTTACTTTTAATTCTCACCAAAATACTTAAAAGATAACCTCTCTAGGCCTTAGTTTATGTAAAATATATAAAGTACAGTAAAATGGGGCCAATGATAATTACAAGATGAATTGTATCAAGGTAAATGTATAAACTGAAGCCCAGAGGCTAAGTAAATTGCCCAAGTTTGCAGAACTGGTATATAAAATGGATGAGATTTGGGCCAAGATCTGTGTGATTTCAAAACTATATTCTTTCTATCACCCCTATGCCACTTCTCACAAAAGTATATTTAAACACTTCTGGATAATTGCATTTCCAATACAACTTACGTATATGATTTTCCAGAGCCAGTCTGACCATAAGCAAAAAGACAGGTATTGAAGCCTTCGAAGGCTCTTTCTAGGAGTGGTGCTGCTAGCTTCTCATAGACAGTTGTCTGGCTAGCGTAGTGAGGATGACATTCATCAAAAGACCAGAATGAAACATCATAAATAAAATTATAAACTTGTTTCGTGTCAGGGTGTTCCACAGTTATTTCTTTCCCACTCATGAAGACTACCTGGGATGCTTTTTCAATCTTCTCTCTTGAAAGAAGCACAAAGAAAAAAATCAAGTAACTAAAATGATCAAGGGTATTATTCTCACAGAACATAATAAATACCTCAAAACTATTTAAACAATCTTCCAAGGCAAGATAATTCTGTAGTTTTATGTGGAAAATGCAGATAAGCAAACATAATTCTAGTGGGTTTCCAAAATATATTTCCTGAGGCTCCAGTGCCACCAAAGGGAAAATCCCAGATTCCTCCAGAAAACCTATCCTACTTTTACAAGATTTTTTCCTCTTTTTTTTTTCTCTTGAACTATACCTTTTCCCATCCCACCTACTATAATCTACCTATACTCTTCATCCAAATCTACATCTTTATTATACAAATTTGGGGGGGTACCAATCTAAATAAAGCTGGCATAAAATACAAATATCTAATTTTAACAAACTCAGTTGACTGTAAGTTTCAATCATAAGTCTCTCTTGGCTACTAAAGATCTCTCCTCCTTCCTCTAGATTCTCTCCCTTAAAATCATGAATCTTTCTGTATATCCTTTTTCCCTTTGAGACTTAGGTGGAAATCTTTCATTTACTTTAGATCTACAGAAAAACATCATCACTCTTTGTCTGGCTCCAGATATACACTCCCTCCCCGCTCCATCCCTGACTCTGAGACTGCTTTAAATCAGAATTTATTCTGGAAAAAACACCTGCCTCATCAATTTGACAAGTACTCTACCCTGGCCCTGCTTTCAAGGCTTGTCTGATGAGTTTGGAATCAGGCACTTGGTCCCTTACTAAGTTCAGTATAGTCATCCATCTTGCATTTTGTCCCTACCAGCTCTTTCTATTGTTTCTCTTCCTATCATGGTTCTTGAGGCTCTATTAGACATTCCAATTCTCTCAAACCAACTCACCCTCAGTTCTCCCTCTTAATACTAACCCATTTGCACGAAAAAGATTCTACAGTACTGTATAACTTGCCTTTAACTACTGACCCCTTAGGTTCAAACTGGAGGTTCCTGCCCTGATGCAGTGGTCACCAAATCCTCTTCTAACTTGCTTAGATACACAGCTTCAAGTTAAACACTACTAACTCTGTGAAGTTTTTCACTGTCCCTTAAAATATTTTAAACAACTACATTAAAATATTTTAAAACAATTACATTTTGTCACATTCACATTTTGTCATGTCCATCTTTTCCAACCTTATCTTTAATCTGTGTCTTCCCCACCCACAACCACTTTTAGAGAGAGATTTTTTGCCATCAAAATCAAATCTAATGTATCACTGCATTTATAACTACTATATAGTAATCGGAGACAATGATGATGATAATCACCACTCTGGAAAGGGTTTTGAAAGGACCTCTTTAGGGAACCAGTAATTTGTTATGGCTCTTCTTTTTTTTGAGACAGTCTCGTTCTGTCGCCCAGGCTGGAGTGCAGTGGCCTGATGTCAGCTCAATGCAGCCTCTGCCTCCCGGGTTCAAGTGATTCTCCTGCCTCAGCCTCCCGAGTAGCTGGGATTACAGGTGTGCAACACCATGCCCAGCTAATTTTTGTATTTTTAGTAGAGACAGGGTATCACCATATTGGCCAGGCTGGTCTCAAACCCCTGGCCTCAAGTGATCTGCCTGCCTTGACCTCCCAAAGCAATGGGATTACAGGCGTGACCCACCACACCTGGCCTGTTATGGCTCTTTTTAAGGGATAGGTATAACATTCCAGCATATATTGCAGATCTGAAAGCAGATTTCATTAGAGACCTAAGTGACTTATTCAGACTTTTTAAAAGCAATATATCTAGAGAAACTTCAATATACAAAATATGGTGATTCAATTTTTTAATTTTATAGTCAGTGATCAAAAATTATCAACACACACTACAACTAGACCTAAAAGTTCTTTCTATATAAAAGTATTGCCAACAAGTTTGAAGATGCACGAATACACTGACCTTCCAAAGGCAGAGAGGAATTAAAGGTACCTTACATGTAACTGCTTGGCTTTAGATTTTAAAAGGCATCACATACCTCTTGGTGAAAGGTCTTACGCGTACTGCCACTGTCACTTGACTATTCTCTACTTTTAAGGGGTCTTTTCCTGCAGAGGTGTTCTGAACTACAGTTTCTTCTTCGGGAAGAATTGTATTTTCTGCGGATCTTTCCTGTTTATTTGCAAGAAAGGAACTTTTTGGTCTTTGTTTAACTTGAAGGTTAGACATTCTATTCTTCAGTATTGATGGAGCTGGGCTCTTAAGCTGAGGCAGGCTGCACTTTGTTGTCAGTTTGTGTTCTGTTGTACATTTTGTAGGTGTTCTTTTTTCTAAGCTCCCAAATTTATTTGAAGTTTTTGCAATTTCCTTCCCAATACTTCTATGATACAAGTTTCCTGTTCCCAACACTTTGATATCCAACTTGCTCTGAGTAGGTTTCGTTGTCAAGTGTCCTGATCTAACAACTTCAGTCTGACTCAGGGAAGCAATGGGTGGTCTATTACTTGAGTACTTAAGTGCAACATTTTCATTTGCTCTACTGGGGGCAGAAAATGTTTCTTTGTATTTCTTATCAGCCATCATTTCAATGACCTGTGGATCTTCATCTAAAGGTACAGAAGAGGCAACAAAAGAGTTTTTAGCATTATTTACAATCCTTACATTTGTTCTACTTTCCTTAGAAACACCATTATTTTCTGTTTCACCTCCCACATTCAGTGTCATTTTGACAGAATCTATTTCAGCTGTTTTCCACTTTTCTGCAGAATCTGTTTTAGCACGACGTTGTAATGTAAGACGTGTTTCTGCTGTTTTTTCAGTTGTGTCTTCCAACTCACTAACAAGCAAAGATGATTCTTTGTTCCTTGTAGTTCTCCTCTGAAGTGCCAATCTACCTACAGGATTAGGGGTAAGGGGCATGTCTGCTGTTTTTCTACTGGCAGAAATAACATAAGTTCTATTTATGTCTCTGACTTTACCTGCAGATCTCAATAATGGATCATCATTTTCACATTCTGACATATCCGACTTCAAATGCAGCTTAAGTCGGCTACTGTGGGTGAGGGCATTCAGTGATGAACTATTTTGGGAAGAAGGAATATCAAGAATATCACCGCTGTTATTTCTATTATGAGTACTGTGTAATGACATTTTGGCAGACAGTTATTTTAAAAAAGAATGTTACTAAGACCCTAAGCTCTTCTTTGGACATTCATTTGATTTCCAGCCATTTCTTATGTATCCATTTCTGAAAGTATCTGCTAAACTAAAAGAAAAAAAAAAGATTTAGATCACACAGACTACAAACAAGCTTTAAAAATATAGAGAGAACATCCCATTGTGTAAGTAAATTCCCAGAGGCATACATTACAATAGATCACAATCTGCAGCTCAGATACTGCTTCCAAGCAACTTCAGGCAAGTCTCTCAGAGAACTTACCATCATTATTCAACAAATATTGACTAAGTTTCCATTAGTGCCAGGCCCTCTGATAGATACTGTAGACTTCAAAGACAAGAATACAATTCCCATTTCTTTAGTCTAGAAGAAATATACTGATAAGCCATATATCAGGCCAAATGTGTCAAGTGACTTAGAAGATGTAAAAAGTGCATGCCAACATAGATTTTCAAGTACTTCCAGTGTGGGGAATGGGAAGGACTAAAGGAAACCCTAGCACCTAAATCAGAGTGTGGAGCAAAGTATTTTTATAAATACCTGCTACACGTATTTTTTTTTTTTGCCAATGTTCCATAAGAAGGTTTATTTTATTTTATTTTTATAAAAATATTTTTTTTGAGATGGAGTCTTGCTCTGTCACCAGGCTGGAGTGCAGTGGCACGACCTTGGCTTGCTGCAACCTCCTCCTCCTGTATTCAAGCAAATCTCCTGCCTTAGCCTCCCAAGTAGCTGGGACTACAGGCGCCCACCACCATGCCCAGCTAATTTTTGTATTTTTAGTAGAGACGGGGTTTCACCATGTTGGCCAGGATGGTCTCGATATCTTGACCTTGTGATCCGCCCGCCTCGGCCTCCCAAAGTGCTGGGATTACAGGCGTGAGCCACCGCGTCCGGCCCATGTATGTTGAATACAGGAATGCCTATAGAGAAGATTGAATTGATTGGTGTCACGAGGCAGATTATTCCCAAGTACCACAGGCAGTAAGTACGATAAGTACTGTAAATTAATTGTGTTGAGAAAAACCATGCAAGATTAGATAAACAGACAACCTGCCCTTTAGCAGTAAGACAACAAATTAGACAGAGGTGTATGTAAATATACAGCAACAATATCTATCAGGTATTAACGTTTTAAAGAAAGGGAACAGCAGTGACAGCTAAGAGACCTGGCTTTTAGTCAGCTTTGTATCCAACTCCTTACAAGGATGTAAACAAGACTTTAAATTTGCATGCCGGGTTCTAACCTGTAAAATGACACTGGTTCAAACTATTGCAAAGATTATTGCTAGCGAGGAACAAATTAATGGAAGTTCATTTTTAAATGAGGCTTTTAAATTTTTACATAAATAACAGTCATTACAAAAAAAATTCGTCAGCTTATAAGCATCTCCCATCAACGTTTCAACTCAAAATACAGAATTTTCCTGTTATGAAATGAATTTAAAGGCAAAAAGAAGATTCTGGAAATTCTCTTGCAACTAAAAACCATTTGCGATTTGCACAAATCAATACGGTTTCTGTTTGAGGAGTTTCGCCATCAGATTTTAAAGAGGACTGGAAGGAATACAAGGAAAATAAGCACAATCCAAACCAAAACATCCGGTGATTCTGTTCTTTCTCTGCTAGTCATTACCAGGGGCTATGACTAAGAATTACCTCTTAATGCCAACCGACTCGGGGAGACTCGGGGAGAAGCCCACGGGCCGAGAGGCCCTGAAGTCCGGCTTCCCGGTCCCAGCAGAGACGCTGCCTTGCGCCCTTCGTTCGGGGACCCCTTCGCCGCCGACCTGGAATGCTGAGGAACTGAATGGGGGACTGGAGCTAAGACCACCCGCCCGCAGAGCAGTGGTCGCCTGTAGGGAAAGCGTCCGCACGCCCTCCCCAGTGCCGAAACTTCGCCCCTCCGCAGGGTCCGGCACCTTGGGGACCCCCTCGACACAGTCCCCACGCCACTCACCACCTCCAGCGCCGGCTCCCCAGAAGGCCGCAATTTGAATGGGCGCCCCGCCTTCTGATTGGCTGCTGGGCGTCGCGTCGGGTGCCGCGCCTTTGCTTCCACCCGCCCCCCGGAAGTGCCGGTGGTTGGGCTCCGGTAGCCGTCTCTGAATGCTGGACTCGCCCCACCCTCATCTCCCAGGCAACGCTCCCTCCCCTCCTCGGGTTCTGCTAAAGCGTGGAGCTTGGCCCCCTTTAAATCCGACCAGAGGAAGGGGCGGCGGTCGCGGGCGCAGCGGGCCCCTCGTTGAAGTGGGTGTCAAACGAAAAGCATGACAGTGACACTCTTGTCGGTCTTTAATCTAAAAGAAGCCATTACATCGAAGACTTCACATTGTAAATGGATATTTGCCCCCAAGTTAATCATAATAATTAACTTTTCTAGTGTTTCCTATGCAAGGCGTTCACGTAGGAAATATGCTAAATGTCTTATATGAATTTTTAAACAGTCCTGAAAATCTTGTGAGATAAATATTAATGTTATCCCTCGTTTACAGATGAGGAACTGAGGTTTAGAGTTAAACTTGTGAAAGATCAGACAATTAGCAGTGGCATAACTAGAACTTGAAGGTTCTTGCCGCCGTACAATGTAACTCCGTTTCAGTAAAAGTTCCCTTTTTTTAATTTTTTTTTTCTTTTTTGAGACGGAGTCTCGCTCTGCAGCCCAGGCTGGAGTGCAGTGGCCCCTGCAACCTCCGCCTCCCTGGTTCAAGCGATTCTCCTGCCTCAGCCTCTGGAGTAGCTGGGATTACAGGCGCGCACCACCACGCCCAGCTAATTTTTGTATTTTTAGTAGAGACGGGGTTTCACCATATTGGCCAGGCTGGTCTCGAATTCCTGACCTTGTAAGCTGCCAGGCGTGAGCCACTGCGCCGCCCAGCCCCCATAAGATTTTGAAATCTGAAAAAATATTACAAATACATTCTGAAAAATAACCAAATAAATGAGAAAGACTAGATAAATAGATATTGTAAAGCAACAATGTTTTTTAAACAGGCAAAAAGTACAGAGATATTGAAGAAGTATTCACTGAGATAGAGACCATAAGTAGCTCCAATTATATAGACCAACCAAACAGATGATAAAGTACTCATTCTAAATCTTACTCTAAAAATCATTCTAAAACTCAATTAAAATTAAGGTATAAGGAAACTATCAGAAAATAGAATATAATATTTATCAGGGCCAGGTGCGGTGGCTCACGCCTGTAATCTTAGCACTTTGGGAGACCAAGGCAGGCGGATCACTTGCAGTCAGGAGTTTAAAACCAGCCTGGCTAACATGGTGAAACCCCGTCTCTCCTAAAAATACAAAAATTAGGCAGCCGTGGTGGCGGGCCCCTGTAATCCCCGTTACTCAGGAGGCTGAGGCAGGAGAATCACGTGAACCGGGTAGGCGGAGGTTGCAGTGAGCCGAGATCGCGCCATTGCACTCCAGCCTGGGGGACAAGAGAGAAACTCCGTCTCAAGAAAAAAAAAAAAAAAAGTTATCACATCTATGGGAAAATGATCATTCAATTTAGAAACAAAGCAAGATATGTCAAAGAAAAGACAGACAAACTCAAATACATAAAAATTTTAAACATATGTATAATTCAAAATAATAAAAATAAAATGTAACTGGAAATATATATTAAACATGACAGAAGACATAAAGACCTTTTTCAATTTTAAAAGGAAAATAAGCTCATAAATAGAATAAAGCAAGTATTTTTTTAAATCCACCAGAGGGAGACAAACAGAAAGAAAACGTGGAAAGAGTCGAAGTAAAACTGGCACGTTTGAAGCTTTCTGGATTATGTAAGATTTAAAGAAAAATGATTAACTCATGCTAATTAATGATCTCTTAAGATTAAATTTTTTTTTTTTGAGACGGAGTTTCGCTCTAGTTGCCCAGGCTGGAGTGCAATGGCTTGATCTTGGCTCACCGCAACGTCCGTCTCCCAGGTTCAAGCGATTCTCCTGCCTCAGCCTCCCGAGTAGATGGGATTACAGGCGTGCACCACAACCCCAGCTAATTTTGTATTTTTAGTAGAGAAGGGGTTTCTCCATGTTGGTCAAGCTGGTCTCGAACTCTCGACCTTAGGTGATCCACCTACCTCAGCCCCCCAAAGTGCTGGGATTACAGGCGTGAGCCACTGCGCCCGGCCTAAGATTAAATCTATTACAATTTAGCAAATTTCACAATTTTTAAATTATTAAAATGTGGTATGTATTTTCCTGGTGTTTGTATCTAGTTGCACTTGGGGTCTATAACGAAAAGGTGCAATAGGAAATTAATAATTTTAAAATGCAAAGGACAAAGCAAAAGTTGTGGAAAAGTGGTAAGAGCACTTTGGATTCTAGCTGAGGATCTGTCTCAACCTAATGGTGAGACCAGAGATAAGTCTCCTTACTGTAGATCCCTCGCTTGTGAAACGAAAGTGCTGGATTAAATCATCATAACCAGCAAGGATTGAGTCCTTTCTTTGTGCAAGATAAATAACCTAACTCCATAACCTTATAAGATAGGTATTATGATTATCGCTGTTTTACACATGAGGGAAAGTGGGTTTCCAAGGAGTTAAATAGCTTGCCTGACATTATACAACTACTGGGTCACAGAGTTAGGTTCAGAACTCAGGAAATTAAACACCATTTCCTGTGCTCTGTACCACTACCCTGTACAACAGTTTTTACAGATTCTTTCTGGATCTCAAATGTCTATGGCTTTATAATAAGGACAAGAGTTAAACAAACTGCATGAACCTAAAGGTATTTTAAAATCTGTCATATTTTGTATTTTCCTTCTAATTTTCTTTTTTTTATTTTTATTATTATTATTATTATTATTTTGAGACGGAGTCTTGCTCTGTCGCCCAGGCTAGAGTGCAGTGGCGCCATCTTGGCTCACAGCAAGCTCTGCCTCCCGGGTTCACGCCATTCTCCTGCCTCAGCCTCCTGAGCAGCTGGGACTATAGGCATGCGCCACCACGCCTGGCTAATTTTTTGTATTTTTAGTAGAGACAGGGTTTCACCATGTTAGCCAGGATGATCTCGATCTCCTGACCTCGTGATCCACCCGCCTCGGCCTCCCAAAGTGTTGGGATTACAGGCGTGAGCCACCGCGCCCGGCCCTAATTTTCTTTTTCTTTCTTTTCTTTTTTCTTTTTTTTTTTTTTTTTTTGAGACAGGGTCTCAATCTGTTGTCCAGGCTGGAGGGCAGTGTCATGACCATGGCTCACAGCAGCCTCAACTTCCCTGGGCTCAGGTGATTCCCCCGGCTCAGGTGATTCCCCTCACCTCAGCCTCCAGAGTAGCTGGGACTACAGGTGCATGCCACCACGCCCAGTTAATTTTTGCATTTTTTTGTGGTGACGGGATTTCACCATGTTGCCCAGGCTGGTCTCTAACTCCTGAGCTCAAGCGATCCACCTGCCTTGGCTTCCCAAAGCTTTGGGATTACCGGCGGGAGCCCCTGTGCCTGGGCTCCTTCTGCTTTCTAATACATGTTAGACCAAGAGTCTTGGAAGTATCCACTATAATATGCTTACATTTTTTTTTATCAGGTCTTGTTGATGAATCTTTATGAATTCAGTTGTTGTCACTTGGTGAAAAAATCTAAATACATTCAGCAATACTGCCAATAATTTTAAAAGAACAATTATGCAAGTAATCCCTATTATTATTATTATTATTATCATTAATATTATTTTGAGACAGAGTTTCACTCTTGTTGCCCAGGCTGGAGTGCAGTGGTGCGATCTTGGCTCTGCCTCCCGAGTTCAAGCAATTCTCCTGCCGCAGCCTCCTGAGTAGCTGGGATTACAGGCATGCGCCACCACGCCTGGCTAATTTTGTATTTTTAGTAGAGACAGGGTTTCTCCATGTTGGTTAGGCTGGTCTCGAACTCAGGTGATCCACTCCCCTCGGCCTCCCAAAGTGCTGGGATTACAGGCGTGAGCCACCACACCCAGCCTAGTAATCCTTTTTAATATATAAAGAAAAGAACTCAGGGATTAGAAAATATTATAGACTCTCTTTTTCTCTTTGAGTCATGCTGGTTTCATTCCAGGGAAGATTAGCAAGATTTAAAAACCATTGTCAGCCCCAAAGCCTAGTGAGTATCCTATTTTTACATAAAGGAAGCTTGGGTCTTACATAAAGTTTCATTTAGGAAGAACAATTTTTTTTAAGGCCTAGTTTGACCTTCAATTGGTTGTCTTCTTCCCATTGTGCTTTGCCAACATAGCCCAAGGTCATTCTGACATCCTGTTGAAAATGCTGGGGATTCCTCCAAGTAGACTTGTAGGTATTTTCCTAAAATGGATAATGAAAAGCTTCAAGTCACTTACTTTTCAACAAATTTACAGAGAGGTATTAGGTGATCTCAATAAGAATGTTGAGTATGTACAAATCACTCAGCTGTCTGTACTAACCCCAAAATAGTTCATAATCTCATTTCTTTTCGGTGGTACATGTCAATACTAGCAGTGTCTAGGCTGCCTAGAATTGCCTAGAATGACACATGTTTAGTTGTTTTTATAATCAATTTTTAGTTTGTGTATTCACATAAATCAATTTTCTAATTTAAAAAACAGCATAAAAAAGATTGTGTCAAGTAATTGCTTCTCATGTTCGTGGGTATAAAAGGGCAACTGTCAAGTAAGAAGCCACCTGGATTGCAAGAATTATACATCATCTCAGTCTTTCTAGAGGGGAGAGAGGGGAGTTTTTCTTCAGTGTTGTAGCTTCATGAATAATTCCACACCCATCCACATGTCTTTACCCGTTTACATAAGGTTTTTTTTTTTTTTTTTTTTTTTTTTTTTGGTTTAGACCACAGGCTGTTCTCTGATTCACTCAGGGGAAAAAAACATCTACCATCAGAAAGAGTTCTGCTCTTTTTTTTTTTTTTTTCTTTTTCAGATACAACAGTCTGGGGTACAACAGAGAGTTGAGTGTTCTATTTGGACTAACATTTTCTCAGTTTCCTCTAGCATACAAAGATGAATAAATGATGGCATTTTTCTGTCTTCTGTGATAAACAGTGTTTCTGCAAGCCATGGTGTAGGTTTATGTGGACTTTATGGGTTTCATTTAATTCACATGAAATTATGCCAAAGAATGAGCCCATTCACTGTGTCCTGTATTTCTCCCAGCTGTATTTCTTTAAATATTATTAATAAGTTTCTGTACTACAAGCATTCATTAAACCCAAACATCCACTCCAACTGACAGCAATTGGGCCTGAGCAATTTGATATTATATTCCTGAAAAAAGAAAATGAAAACAAACTCTCATTTTATCAGTTTTCTCCCTTATCCCAGAAATTTAACAAGGGCAATGCAAACTGCTATCCTATAATTTATTCCACTGTCTGGAAGTCTAAAGCAGGACTGTGCAAGATAGTGTGAGCTACATGTGAATTTTAAACCTTCTAGTACCCACTTTAAGAAAAGTAGAAAGAGAAGGGACAATTTATTTTATTTAATTAATCTTTTTTTTTTTATAGAGATGTGGATCTCCCTATGTTGTCCAGGCTGGTCTCGAACTCCTGGGCTTAAGCAATCCTCCTGACTTGGCCTCCTAAAGTGCTGGGGTTACAGGAGTGTGACACTGCACCTGGCTGATTTTAATAATTTATTTAACCCAATACATCAGAAATATTATCATTTCAATACATAATCAACATTAAAAAAATGTTCATGGCCGGGCACGGTGGCTCATGCCTGTAGTCCTAGCACTTTGGGAGGCCGAGGCGGGTGGATCACGAGGTCAGGAGTTCGAGACCAGCCTGGTCAACATGGTGAAACCTGTCTCTACTAAAAATACAAAAATTAGCCGGGGGTGATGGTGTGCATCTGTAATCCCAGCTACTCAGGAGGCTGAGGCACGAGATTGCTTGAACCCAGGAGGCGGAGGTTGCAGTGAGCCGAGATAGCACCATTGCACTCCAGCCTGGGCAACAGAGCAAGACTGTCTCGGGAAAAAAAAAATTCAGATATTTTACATTCTTTCAGGCATTCAGTTAAATTTTTACACTTCACAGCATTTACAAGACCAGCCACATTTTAAGTGCCTGATAGCCACAATATTGGATGGCACAGGTCTAAGGGGTCTCTCTCTCTCCCTTTCTCTCATTGCATACAGGAAAGAGATAGCAGGGTCTTAGGATGTGGATTCAAAATGTATTAAATATCATAAGAGAATTGCATTCTAACTGGATGAAAAGGGCTGGAATCCCCACATCTCCTGATGTCTCTCTGGCCACAAACTCCATGGCCTTTCTGGCCTTTGATCTGGTCTTTTGTTGATCTCTGCTGGCAAAGGGCTGTGGTTTGAAGCGTTTCTGATTTCATGAAGTTGGAACTTATCCTGAACTGATGGTTCTACAATAACCTGATTTTATATGTACCTGATGTACTGAAATTAATGCTAACTTCAAAATTATTCCACTTCCTTTCTCTCAGCTTAAAACCCCCCACTCTCTCCCTATAATTTGAAGTCTTACCTCAAAAGTATATGCCCGTGAAAAGTGCCAAGTCAGCAAAAGGGTGAGGCCAAAGACATAAAAAGAATTGTGTGGGCCAGGCACAGTAGCTCAAGCCTGTAATCCCCAAGACTTTGGGAGGCTGAGGCAGAAGGATCGCTTGAGGCCAGGAAGTGGAAGCTGCAGTGACATATGATCACACCACTGCACTCTAGCCTGGGCAACAGAGCATGATCCCATCTGTAAATAAATTAATACATAGATAGATAAAATAATTGCGGGGACCCTTATTTGATACTCATGACCGCTGAACCACAGTTTAAGGAATGATTTTTTTTTTGTACTCAGCTCGAGAAGAGGTTAAAAAAATGCCTTTAAAAAATATTATATAGCATGTTCCTGAGTCCCAGACCAACCTTTCCTTTTTTCTCTTTTGTTCCCTTTTTAACACAATTCTCAGTTTCTGGGTAGCTACAAGCCCAGGATTGCACCCAGGATTCTAAATGAGATGTGAGAAACCATTTACAGAGAGGAACTATTACTTTGCTCTACAAGGAAATCCCCTGTTTGCAACTAGACTGTTGATGATATTATTATCTAGCCCTAGGGCTCTTTCCTCATTATTTTCTGCAATTCTACCTATTAGGGCTCCATTTAAATGTCTCATGGATACTACTTTGATGCATGACCTTCCAGCTTTGTGAGAGTGAATTTCATTAGCCTCATTTCTGCCCATTTCCCTAAACTGTTTAAATCTTTAGTAATCTGGTCCATTCCTAGAATGTAGCAACTGATACTCCTTCATCACAGATTCATCTGTAAACTTAGCTTCCTACCTCAGGACACAGTAAACTCCATGCTCCCTTTGTTTTAAAGGTACATAGTGTGGAGTAATTAGAATGGCACACTGAGGACAGAGGTCCTGCTTTTCTGGGGTGGTAGGTGTGCACCTGAATGCAGGCTGCCTGATCCTGGCTCCTCTGAGCTAAGCTCCCTCGCTGTCTCTACTCAGTGCCTTGGAGTTGTAAAGAGGGGACTCTTTCATATTCTGTCTATGTCATATTCATAGACAGAGTTTTCTCCTAATTCAGGTCTTCCTGCCCTGCTATAACCCTTAGCTCTGGCTAAAGTTTCATTTCTGCTTCTACTTCTAGGGAGGGGTGACGTTTTCATTGAGAAGTGCAATAGGCAGCGGATGTGGGGATTCCCTTTCTCCCCACCATCCCGCCCACCCCCTCCATGTGGCCGTCTTTCTCCCCACTCCCGACTGTGCTCACAACAAAGATAAGACTGCTGGGTTTCATAACTCACATGTCTCTCAGTACTGATTTTGACTTATTGAGGTTGCTACTTTGGCCCAATGCTGTAGGTTGATGCCTCTGTCCCGTTCAGTGATGCGAGCTGAGCTTTTAAACATCTGTGGTCTCACCTCACCTGTTTTTGTGTTTAACCACAATGGCTGAGTCTCTTCAGTGACAGAATGGTAAATCAGGATTTGAATCCAGGCCTTTGTACCCTAGGTTTGCATTCAAGGTAAAAGCTAGGCTTTGAGGAACATCAGCAGACAGTTGTGCATGGTTATGAGAAATAGAGAGGGGTGGGGAAAGAGACACAGGCAGGGAGGTCAGAGAAGGTACTGGGACAAGTGTGAGGTAATGAGCAACCTGACTGGCATCAGGGCAGAAACAAGGCAATTGCTGTGACAGACATTTTGAGGTTGAGGATCAATATAATTTGGCATAGTGATTTTATGGTGGGGGTGGGGAAGAGGAAGGTGACTGGCTGGCACTTTCAGGTCACAGAACAAGTGTCAGGAGACCCAGTCAAATCAGTTAAACTTCTTTGATTCTATTTCTTCATGTGGGAACTGATGGGGTTGAACAAAATAATGTCAGGTACATTCTAGAACCAGGGTTCCTTGGCTTTCATCATTGTCTGTACTCATTCTCCTCAAGTAGACAGCGTTAGGCAATGTTCATCACTTAGGATTTGATCTCAGGACTTTGGTCAGGCTTTGGATGGCACAGTGTCACCCAAGAGATATGGTCTGTGGGCTGCCATGAAAACACTCACACCAGAAATATCTCTTGCCTCTTTCACGTAGATGTTAAGGGTGAGGCTCCAGGGCACATTGCCTGGGCTTGAATTCCAGCTTCACCGCTTATTAGCTGCATGGCTTTTGGCAACTGAATTAACTTCTCTGTGCCTCAGTTTCCTCATCTGTAAAACTGACCTAATAATAGTGCCTATCTCACTGCATTGTTATGAGGATTCAATGAGATAGTACATTTGCCTGACACATAGTATTATACATTTAGCCATTATCATTTCATATTTCTTGGTTCCTGAAATCCCACCATTTATGATTTATCCAAATAGGACATTTAATTGTTCCTTCAAGAAAAAAAACAAAAACAAGAAAAAAAATAAAGGAAGCCATTTTGCCAAAGTCGCAGTATGAATGAACTCATCAGAGACATTCTGATGGGAGTGAGAGCAAACTTTAGTCATGAGGAATCGGAGGACATGGTATGGGGCACTGGGGCTGATGAGGAAAGCAGGCCTGGAGGAGGGGCCTGGGTTTGGGCAGTCAGACCACAGCAGGAGAGCGCCAGCCTCCAGGTGGAGGAGAGGATGGCACTGCACGAAGGGAGATGGGCACGGAACAAGGAGGGGAAGGTGCCAAGGTTATTTTGGCTCTCCATCCACTGCCAAGGTGTGAAGAGCTATGAGGCAAAATGGTCACAGTCCTTGGAAAGCCAGGGTCCCTGCTGCCCCATCTTTCTCTTTTTTTACCCGCCCCGTAGGACTGGACAGCAAGGAATGCAAACAGACCTGTTCTCTCACTGCCTCTGAAAAGAGTGAAAAAGATCTGCAGTGGCAGCTGAGGGAAAACTGAAGAAAGGGCCCCTTGGGGTCAGCATCTCCCGTAGCTTGCGCACTTTGCCTTCCACTATCACCCTCCACCAAAAATAAACGGGAGCAGCTTGAAGAGCAACCCAATATGCTTCAACCTACTTCTGGGCTTCCCAGTGAAACTTTAAGTCTTTTGAGGGCAGAAACCATATGTCACAGACTTTGTCTACCACAGCATCTGGGTCATTTGCTGAGCCGGTTCTGACCCGAGGCCTGTCTGGATGAACAAAAGCATGAGTAACTCTCAAGACAAGTAGGTACAGTTTGTCACAAGAATTACAGAATAGAATAAACCCTCTGTTTCTTGTTGCTAGAAACTTGAAAACAGCCCTTCCAGGTTTATTTGGTTTTTAATAATGCCCACGAAGAAACATTTTAACTCCTCAGATATAGCTACTGGTGTCTGAATTCTAATAGCTTGTTCCAATTGCAACGAGTCTCTATTCTTATAATGTTTAACATTGAACATGTAGAATCAAATGTTTCATCTTCTCTTTGGTGTTATTTTCCTTTTAAATATTTTATTATTGTTGGAATAATAATACTGATTTGTGTATTATTTTAAATAAGTTTTATTTTATTTTATTTTATTTTTATTTATTTATTTATTTATTTTTTGAGACGGAGTCTCGCTTTATCGCCAGGCTGGAGTGCAGTGGCGCAATCTCAGCTCACTGCAACCTCCGCCTCCCAGGTTCAAGAGATTCTCCTGCCTCAGCCTCCTGACTGAGTAGCTGTGATTACGGATGCGCACCACCATACCAGGCTAATTTTTGTATTTTCAGTAGAGACAGGGTTTCACTGTGTTGGCCAGGCTGATCTCGAACTCCTGACCTCGTGATCTGCCCGCTTCGGCCTCCCAAAGTGCTGGGATTACAGGCATGAGCCATGGCTCCCGGCCATAATTTTTATTTCAAAAATTCTTGTTTTATACCTGGGATTCAAAGAATCATGTAGGGCCAGGCATGGTGGCTCATGCCTGTAATCCCAGCACTAAAGCTAAAAGTGGGGGATCGCTTGAGGCAAGGAGTTTGAGACCAGCCTGGGCAACATAGTCAGACCCTGTTTTTACAAAAAATAAAAATAAAAAACTTAGCCAGGTGTGGTACTATGCACCTGTAGTTCAAGCTACTCAGGTGGCTGAGGTGGGAGGATCGCTTGAGCCTGGGAGGTGGAGGCTGCAGTGAGCCATAATCAGACTACTGCACTCCAGCCTGGGCAACAGAGTGAAACTCTGTCTCAAAAAATAATAATAATATAATAAAACAAAGAATCATGCAAACTTATATGAGGTAGTAGTGGGAAAAAGGCACAAGTTTTATAATTATATAGACTTGGACTTAAATCCATGTTTTACTATGCCTGGAATGCAATCTTGGGCAAGTTACTTAACCCCTCTGTGCCTCAGTCTTCTCATCTGTAAAATGGGATAGTAATAGTTCCTACTACATGATGTTGTTGTAAGGATTATGTGGGTTAATGAATATAAACCAGTTGGCACATGTAAGTTGTTAGTAAACGTGACTTCCTTTTTCTACCACTATAAAGATTTCCATGGTAGTCCAGTTTCTGCTGCAATAATGCTGCATAACAAACACCTCCAAAATTTCAATGGCTTCCAATAAGCATTCACTTCCTTGGTCATAGGTCCGATAGTTGGCTGGGGTGGCTCTATTTCAGGCTGCTTGTGAGGTTCAGGTCGACTTCATGTGTCTTTCTGGGATCAGATTGAAGGGGCAGTGGCTACATGGAGCAAGATCATTTAAAACCTCTGCTCTTAACACATTTGCTTTCATTCCATTGGCCAAGCCCAAAGTCAGTGGAGCAAGAAGGTGCAGGAAAAAGGAAATGGCTATTTGCTGAGTAGTAATCTAATTTGTCACAACCGAGAGTTTAATATTTATAAATTTCTGAATTATATATCAACAAAGAGAATGAGAAAACCTAGATCAAGTGTCCATAACTATTATCTTCCTAATATTTTAGGGGAAAAAAATCAATCAATCCAGTATTCAATTTTTGGCCAGGCGCGGTGGCTCACGCCTGTAATCCCAGGACTTTAGGAGGCCTAGGCAGGTGGATCACTTGAGGTGAGGAGTTCGAGACCAGACTGGCCAACATGGCAAAACTCTGTCTCTACTAAAAACAAAAAATTAGCCAGGTGTGGTGGTGTGGCGTGTGCCTGTAATCCCAGCTACTCGGGAGGCTGAGGCAGGAGAATCGCTTGAACCTGGCAGGCAGAGGTTGCAGTGAGCTGAGATCATGCCACTGCACTCCAGCCTGGGGAATAAGAGTGAAAACTCCATCTAAAAAAAAAAAAAAATTTTGAATTCAGTTTTAAGGATGCTTTTTATATATTGCCAAGTATTACAGAATTTCGCTTTCTTTTTAATGACTATAAATCTAAAAATTTAAAAATGAAACACTATGTTATTTATAGTGTTTTATTATGTTACTTTATATAAATTTTAATAATATATAAATGTTCTAAATAGGTTTTATTTTTATTGTGTTATATACTATATAAATAGTTCTCTAAGCAGTTACTGAGAGCCTAGCACAGATATGTTCTAGGGATTCTGAGGACTAACAAAGTAGGCAGAATAATGTCATGGAAGATGTCCAAAGGCTTGGGCTCTGGTCCTAGCCCGCCAATGGGTCTGTGGGCTGCCAATGGCTCATGCACATTCATACTTTCCCTCTCTAGGGAAAAGTGGCCAGGTGATCTGTCTGGCCCCAGATGTTTTGTTTTTGGACAGAGGATACAGTGCCTGCTTTCAGAAGAAATGGGAATACCCAAAATACAGAGGAAGGAATGTATATGTTGTCCTATCTCTACCAAAACTCAGCACAGGGAAGTGGTTCTGTATACAGGTGCAAAGGCCAGACTGCCTAAGTCTGAATCCTGGCTCTGCCACTTACCTTGGGCACCTTAGGTAACCCCTCTGAAATCTGTAAAATGATGATTTAAAATTGTACCTACTTCATAGAGCTTTTGTCAGAATTAAACAAATTACTCATCAATAGTAGTCAGAACAGGCCAGGCGCAGTGGCTCACACCTGTAATCCCAGCAATTTGGGAGGCTGAGGCAGGTGGATCACATGAGGTCAGGAGTTTGAGACCAGCCTGGCCAACATGGCAAAACCCCGTCTCTACTGAAAATACAAAAGATAGCTGGGCATGGTGGCATGCGCCTGTAGTCCCAGCTACTTGGGAGGCTGAGGCAGGAGAATCGCCTGAATCTGGGAGGCAGAGGTTGCAGTGAATGGAGATTGTGCCACTGCACTCCAGCCTGGGTGACAGAGAAAGCCTCCATCTCAAAAATTAAAAAATTTAAAAAAAAGGAGTTAGAACACTGTCTGATACCCAGGAAATGTTACAGCAGTGTTATTCATTACCTTTGTTAAACAGTTTAAAAGTTTGAGCTATTATCTTGCTCCTTAAAGAATCACTAAATGATTTCTGATCTACAATAGCTCCTTTTCATTTGTCAGAGAAACTGTGTCTATTAACTAGTAAGAAAGGAATTCTAAGTCTATTGTCTTAGAAGTAATTTAATCATTAGCTTCTCCAGTAGCTTTAAATTGTGGATAATAACCAGAGACTATTTAAGAGAGTGCAATTACTTCAACCTTCATCAGTCCATTGCAGCTCCATCTAACCATATATTTTTGTTTTTCCCTAACTATTAGTGTTAGTAAAAAAACTAATCAAAAAGAGTATCAGTCATCCTCATTTAGTTTGGTTCATTGCTTTATGGTCTTACCTTCTTTGATCTTTGATTGTTTCTTTACTCACCTTCTACTTTCATTGACTACATTATTTTAAAAATAATTATATTGTTATTTTCATTTCATATTGTTAAAAGCATAGGAACTGGTCCCCTAAATACTTAACTGATGATTATTTGCTATTATTAACAGTTTTATGAAATTCACAGTTTCATTTTCATAATTACCATTTTACTATTTAGCATACTTATTTTAAATGAAATAATAAAATAGTGCTCCTCCAACAAAGCATAAAACTTTATGGTAACTGGCTACTTTGTTGCTCTTTCAACCAAATAAAAATTTTTATATTTATTTATGAGATTTTGCTTCCTTTTGTGAAATAAAGACCTAATGAGCACAAAAATGAAGTCTTGATGCTCATGAAATCGTGATAAATATCATCACTTTTTCCCTTACTTATTGCCAAATGTCTGCCCTTCCATGCACACCCACACTCACCACCAACTACAGGGACTCACCAGTGTTCTGTGCTATGTTCAGCAGGCCAGGATGCACTATGAATATAAATGGTGAGGGGATACAGGGCTGTAACCAAGGAGCTCAGAGAGGCCAGGAGGAAGCCAAGCACCAAATCCTAGCTGTCCTAGCTTCTAGTCATTGCATTGCTGCCAAAGATGCCAAATGCTGTGGGGGGTTAACTACGATCACAACATTCACCTCTTTGCATTCTCACAAACACCCCAAAACTTGCAGACACCTCATTGCACAACTCCAGGGGGCACTGTTCACATACTGCCCAGCAGCTCTGTGAACTTGCTCTCATGTGTCCAACCTTTATCTCTAACTCTAGCCCTACCTCTTCTACCTTCTCCTGGTTAGCTTTTGTAGAGACTAAAAAATTAAATGCAGTTAATCAGAATACTCTGGTGACTAGCATTTTCTTGAGATTAGAAAAGATGAGAATGAAAGCTCAAGCAAGCTGCAGAGACATGGACTCTGCTTTCAAAAGCTGTCTGAAACTTTCAGATCTATAAAGAAATTTGACTTTTTGTAAAAGACCTTTGCATATGTTAATCATGGTCACTAAGGATCATAAGGTCTGAATATCAGAAGATGTCACCATCATAGCCTATCTACACAAGTCCTATGCAGCAATAATATGGCCTGGATTTTTGGCAATCTACTACATATATAACTGATATGATTGATTTTAAACCTGTGAAAGACTAATCATATAAATGCACTTATCTATCAGGAAAAACAAATCTTCTGTAAGATTATGTCCATATTTTGGTATTGGAATAAGTGGTCATTATAGGTATACATCTAACTGATGCAGGTATCTCCTTTATTTATTTATTTATTTAAGACCAAGTCTCACTCTGTCACCCAGGCTGGAGTGCAGTGGCATGATCTCAGCTCACTGCAGCCTCAACTTCCCAGGCTCAGGTGATCCTCTCACCTCAGCTTCCTGAGTAGCTGGGACTACAGGTGTGTGCCACCATGCCTGGCTAATTTTTGTATTTTTTGTAGAGATGGGGTTTCACCATGTTGCTCAGGCTGGTCTTGAACTCCTGAGCTCAAGCAATCTGCCCACTGCTTTGGCCTTCCAAAATGCTGGGATTACAGGTGTGAGCCACCATGCCCGGCTGATGTCTGTATTTTTTTTTGGTTTTTTTTTTGAGGCGGAGTCTCGCCCTGTCACCCAGGCTGGAGTGCAGTGGCTCGATCTCAGCTCACTGCAACCTCCACCTCCCAGGTTCAAATGATTCTCCTGCCTCAGCCTCCCGAGTAGCTGGGATTACAGGCGCCCGCCACCATGCCCAGCTAATTTTTGTATTTTTAGTAGAGACAGGGTTTCACCATGTTGGCCAGGCTGGTCTCCAACTGTGACCTCGTGATCCACCTGCCTTGGCCTCCCAAAGTGCTAGGATTACAGGCATGAGCCACTGCACCCGGCCATCTGTATTTTCTTTTTTTTAAAAAAACAAATCTATTGAGTTCACTGGTCTCACAAAGGCTATCTAGGCTTTTGGTTACTAACTTAAACAGGAAAAACCAATGTTTTTGCAAAACAAAATGGAGATCAACAACTTAATTAGTTATTTGAAAGTACTATGTATCCAAGATTAAAACCATACTCAAAGATTAATCAAGAAAAGCTATGGAAGCTTCAATTACACATACAGGAAATTGAAATCCAGAGAATCCTACTTTACAGATTTTCTTAAAAGGAAGCATACAGCTCAGTCAGAACCTATTATCTTCAGTACACACTGAATGCTAGGAGAGGATGGCAGGAGAAATCTGAGCTATCAGACCTTCTTCACCTTGGAGCCACTACTGATTCCTCAGTTCCTGGATTGATGTGCCCAGGACACCTTTAGTCTGGGTCTTTCTTTAAACCTCATATGAATCCTTGAATCATTTACAATGATCTCTCATTTTTAAAAAAAAGTCAGAAATGCATCATCACCCAATACCTCTCCAACAACATTAAGGTAAATCATTTTAATTTTCTTTTTCTTTTCTTTTTTTTTTTTTTTTTGAGCCAGAGTCTTGCTTGGTTGCCCAGGCTGGAGTGCAGTGGTGAGATCTTGGCTCTGCCTCCTGAGTTCAAGCAATTCTCCTGCCGCAGCCTCCTGAGTAGCTGGGATTACAGGCAGGCGCCACCAGGCCCAGCTGATTTTTGTATTTTTAGTAGAGACAGGGTTTCACCATGTTGGCCAGGCTGGTCTCGAACTCCTGACATCAGGTGATCCACCTGCCTCGGCCTCCCAAAGTGCTGGGATTACAGGCATGAGCCACCGCGCCCAGCCAATTATTTAATTTTCTAGAGGTTTGAATGATTTATAATTTTACATGTACTATTTAATATCTATTAATGAAAGTTCAAGTATACAAACTAATTTTTCTTTTTCTTTCTCTTTCTTTCTTTCTTTTCTCTCTCTCTCCCTCTATCTCTCCCTTTCTTTCTTTCCTTCCTTCCCTCCCTTCCTCCCTTCCTTCCTTTCTTCCTTCCTTCCTTCCTTTCTCTCTTTCTCTCTCTTTTTCCTTTTTTTGTGATAGGGTCCTGCTCTATCACCCAGGCTGGGGTGCAATTGTTCAAACAGCTCACTGCAGCCTTGACCTCCTGGGCTCAAGCGATCCTCCCAACCTCAACCTGCTGAGTGGCTAGGACTATAGGTACATTCCACCACACCCAGCTGATTTTTTAATTTTTTGTAAAGACAGGGTCTCGCTATGTTGCTCAGGCTACAAACTAATTTCTTAACACAATGCTATCTTTCTCCATAAATAAAATTAAAGTATAACTACTTATACTAAAACACACACACAAACTTCCACACTTTTTCTTCACCCTCAAATCCAAAAGAATTTAAAGGAAATTGAATATTTATTTATCCATAAGTAAATGAATATGAAATCTGCTCATTATTTTAAAAGGACATATAGTGAACATCTCCCAGCTGTCTCCTCTCCATAGGCTACCACATTTGCCTTTTTACTATCCTTCCAAAGATAATTTCTGTGTGTTAGTGTGTATGTAGACGCATACACGCACATTTATATAAAATGCTATTTCAATTAGGAATTTTCTGTATTTATATTTTTGCATTCATGAAAGTCATAAACTACTTAATTGTGTAAAATGTCATAAAAATCATGACACTTTGGCTGGGAGTGGTGGCTTACGCCTATAATCCCAGCACTTTGGGAGGCCGAGGCTGGTGGCTCACTAAGGTCAAGAGTCCGAGACCAGCCTGGCCAACATGGTGAAACCCCATCTCTACTAAAAATACAAAAATTAGCTGAGTGTGGTGGCACCCACCTGTAATTCCAGCTACTTGGTAGGCTGAGGCAGGAGAATCGCTTCAACCCGGGAGGCAGAGGTTGCAGTGAGTGAAGATCATGCCATTGCACTCCAGCCTGGGAGACAGAGAGAGACTCAGTCTCAAAAAAAAAACAAAAACAAAAACAAAAATCATGACACTTGTTTATAAATGCCCTAATGTCCTTTCTGTGAAGCACTACATTTAATTGAATGCACTCGGTTGCCTAACTCTTATGCCATAGCAGCTTTGTCAGTTCTAAAATGCTGCCCTGGCTTCAGGATTCATTTTACTATTATCTCCTGACTCCCAGCCCTTAAAATTCTCTGTAATTCCAATGTAAATATCACAGGATTCCAAATAGAAAAAAAAAAGTTAAAAACAGTCCCTCCCTAGTTAAAATCGCCCTTCTCTTAGCAGACTCTTTGCTTTCCTTTAGATATGTTGGATTTTTGAGAACTTGTCAGAGACATATCAGTCCCTGATCGCCAGTAGTTAATTATCTGTACTGTGAATGTGTTCACGGAAGTTCTGGTGAACTATCCAATCCTTCAGTGATGGTATTGGGCGGAGAAAGCCATGGCAGATGCTGCCACCTGGGGAGCACAGGGAAGAGTTGTAAAATGCACTGAGAAGGAGGGATTCGAACACCAGCCAGAAGAACTCAGATTTGATGAGGCTGTTAGCCGGGAGCAGTTGAAGGTTTCTGAGTAAGGAAACATCAGAGAAGGACAGCAGGTCCTCGAATAACATCATTTTGCTCAATGCCATTTCGTTATAATGTTTTGTTTTTTAAACAGATTCTCACTGTTACCCAGGCTGGAGAGAAGCAGCATGATCACAGCTCACTGAAACCTCGGCCTCCCCAGGCTCAGGCGAGTAGCTAGGACCATAGGCACATGCCACCAGGGCTGGCTAATTTTTGCATTTTTTTTTTTTTGTAGAGAAGAGGGTCTCACTATGTTGCCCAGGCTGTTCTCAAACTCCTGGGCTCAAGCGATCTGTCCACCTCGGCCTCCCAAAGTGCTGGGATTATAGGCTTGTGCCACCATGCCTGGCCGCGTTATAATGTTGATGAGAAAAACATGGATTCCCGGCTGGGGCCACTGTCTGTGTGGAGTTCGTATGTTCTCCCTATGTCGGCATGGGTTATCTTTGGGTGCTGTGGTTTCCTCCCACATCCCAAAGGTGTGCACGTAAGGTCATTGGCATGTCTACATGGTCCCAATGTGAGTGTGGGTGAGTGGGTGCTCCCTGCATAGGAGTGGAGTGCGGGTGAGTGAATGCTCCCTGCATGTGAGTGGAGTGTGGGTGAGTGCTCCCTGCGTGGGAGTGGACTGTGGGTGTGAGTGCTCCCTGCAAAGGGATGGTAGTCTGTCCAGGGTGGGTTCCCACCTGGCCCCCTGGGCTGCTGGGATGAGCTTTCAATGTTTTTTTGTTTTGTTTTATTTTTTGAGACAGAGTTTCGCTCTCGTTGCTCAGGCTGGAGTGCAATGGCACGATTTCGGCTCACAGCATCCTCCGCTTCCCAGGTTCAAGCGATTCTCCCGCCTCAGCCTCTGAGTAGCTGGGATTACAGGCCTGTGCCACCACGCCTGGCTAATTTTTGTATTTTTTAGTACAGATGGGGTTTCTCCATGTTGGTCAGGCTGGTCTCAAACTCTCGACCTCAGGTGATCCGCCCGCCTTGGCCTCCCAAAGTGCTGGGATTACAGGCATGAGCCACCACGCCCGGCCAGAACTTTCAATGTTTTGTTTGTGTGTTTTCTTGTAGTCTTGCTCTGTCGCCCAGGCTGGAGTGCAGTGGCGTGATCTCGACTCACTGCAACCTCTGCCTCCCGGGTTCACGACATTCTCCTGCCTCAGCCTCCCGAGTAGCTGGGACTACAGGCGCCCGCCACCACGCCCGGTTAATTTTTTGTATTTTTAGTAGAGACGGGGTTTCACTGTGTTAGCCAGGGTGGTCTCGATCTCTTCACCTCGTGATCTGCCCACCTCAGCCTCCCAAAGTGCTGTGATTACAGGCGTGAGCCACCGCGCCCGGCCATCGAGCTTTCAATGTTTACTATCAGAAGTGCTTTGGTCTGTATTTAAAAGTTCGGTGATATTTTTGTGACCAGGAATATGCCATGGGAACTTCACTCTTGTTTATATCAATTAACCTGTGGTAGAATTGGTTTTGCTATGTGTCGTTTCACTTAAAGTCACAGTTTCCAAGAATTTATCAACGACATGAAGTGAGTACTTACTGTAGTGATATTTTACTTGGAAAATATTCTCCTCCTGTGGATTCCTGTGGATTAGAGGAATATTGAGGGGAAAGGGCTAATATTTTGAAGTGATGAAGTCTTGGGCTTCAGTACCAGCATGAAAATGTGGACATTTTGAAAAAATACAGATAGGACTTCGTGACTAAGCAGATATGGAGATTAGGAAGAGAAATGAGTCAGTGATGACAGCAGGGCTTTGACTGAGCAGGACTGGGGGCGTGGTAGCACCATAGGCAATAGGGAAGTCAGAAAGGAGGAACTAGGCTTTCTGTAGGGAAGATGATAAATTTGGCTTTGGAAATGCCGATTTTGAGGCAAAAAGTTCAGTGAAAAGTTGAAGATATATATCTTCAACTATAGCTAGCTAGCTAGCTAGCTAGATAGAAAGGAGCCAGGGCACAAGCAAAAGGATGGGATTGGAGATTGTATGTGTATATATGTTTTTATCATGTAATATTTCAAATACATCAAATGTAAATCAAATAGTAATGAACTTTCATGGCCTATCACCTGACTTTAATAATGATAAACTCTTGGCCAAACTTCATCCACAGTCCTCACCTTGTATTATTCTGAAGCAAATTCTAGACATGGAGATAGGGATTTAAAAGTATGAAGCACAGAAAATATAGATTTGGGGAAAACCTCAGAGAACCTTAAAGCAAACTTTCTCATTTTACAGTTGAGCAAAGCTAAAGATTAGAGAAGTAATTAATTTGCCCTATTAAAAAAACAAAACTGGTAGAGCTGTAAACGGAATCCAGTTATTTGCAAACAGCTTTGCCAAGGGGTCTTCTTTCTGCGATGAAATGAGGAAAGTAAAGCTGATGTGCAAATTTTTCAAAGCTAAAATTTATTTGTAAGTTACTATTTGTAAACATTACAAAAATAAACACTCGTCTTATGCTTTATTTGTAATTTTGTCCTATATCATCACACGTGCAACACATTATAAAATATAAAATAGGTTCTCACACTAACAGTAGAACAAGAGAACTGTGTTTACTTAATTATCCATTGGTTGGTTTTCACACTGTGGCCCTAGAGCCTCTGAGGTCATTGTAAGTATGCCTTGGCGGCAACAAAAGAGTCCTATCTGTCCGGAGTCAGTTTACTGGTGGCTGCCAGGAAAGTCACCTTGGATGACACGTTACCTCTTGTACCATACCTCTGTTTATGGAGTAAACTTCATATTGATTGTGGTGAGTAGACTGTATAACAAGGCAATAAGAGATGCGTTGATATTAATTCCAGAGAAGGGCACAACCCAAATAATATTCAGCTGCCAGAAGAAAATAGTGTAGTTTTACTGGAAAATATGACAGGTCGTGGATCCAGCTTAGATTTATTAAATTAATCAGTGAGTCACAGTTTAAATATGTGGCAATGATCTTTGTAAAGATGTTATGAAACCAAAAAAACTAAAAAAAAAAAAAAGAACCCACTTTGACTTGTTGAATAAAAAGGTGATTTAAAAAACGTGCTTGGGCCTGGGCGTGGTGGCTCCCAGCACTTTGGGAGGCCAAGATGGGCAGATCACCTGAGGCCTGGAGTTTGAGACCAGCCTGACCAACATGGTGAAACCTTGTCTCTACTAAAAATACAAAAATTAGGCTGGGTGTGGTGGCTCACGCCTGTAATCCCAGCACCATGGGAGGCCAAGGTGGGCGGATCACCTGAGGTCCAGAGTTTGAGACCAGCCTGGCCAACATGGTGAAACCTCATTTCTACTAAAAATACAAAAATTAGGCTGTGTGTGGTGGCTCAGGCCTGTAATCCCAGCACTTTGGGAGGTCGAGGTGGGTGGATCACTAGGTCAAGAGATGGAGACCATCCTGGCCAACATGGTGAAACCCAGTCTCTACTAAAAATACAAAAATTAGCTGGGCGTGGTGGTGTACAGCTGTAGTCCCAGCTACTCAGGAGGCTGAGGCAGGAGAATCACTTGAACCTGGGAGGTGGAGGTTGCAGTGAGCCAAGATAACGCTGCTGCACTCCAGCCTGGACAGCAGAGTGAGACTCCATCTCAAAATAATAATAAAAAAATAAATAAAATAAAAATGTGCTTGGTATTAGAAATACTAATAGAATGGCATTAAAAGTATCTTATAAAGTGGCACTGAATATTCTAGAATCTAAAAGCCACCCCTTAAGGTGTTTGCCATATAAAAGATGTTTGCTTCAATCTGGCAATAAAGCAACCAATTCAGTATTTTTATAATATAGTTACTGTAAAACAAATGTCTGAGAGTGTATGTGATTATTAGTTTTTTTAGCTAATTAAAAATTTAAACTGTATGGTAATTCTCACAAAAATCTATTATTTAAAATTTTATAATATAGTACATTAGTGTCCTTTCTGGGGAAGGATGGTCTCTTATTCAGAGAGTAAGTCCTTCTCTCTTGTTTAGTACTACATGTTTTTTCTTTCATGAACTAATGATAGGTGGTAGCTTTTTAAAAAGAAGATCTTTAATTGGGAAAAAAATACTGGCAACACTGGGACCAAATTTTTTTAAAAGTCTAATGTTCTGGTCTCTAAAATACATAATTGAGGAAACCACTGCATTGCTGCACCCCAGACAACAGAAGAGCAGACATGTGAGACAAGGAAGTTGCCAAAGGAAAGATCTTAAGGAATGAGAAGCAGAAGTCAAGATTCAGAGAGGCAGGAAGAACCAGTAACAGGAGTCTGAAAATTGTGTGGCGAGAGGGAAGTAAAGGGAAGGGCGCTGATAGCCGGCTTCTCCCCTATTGGGTATTTGACATATGCAACTGCGCTTAACTCTCATAATAAGCCTGTGAGTTAGGGGCTCTTTCCTCCACCTCTAACTCATCACCTGGCCTTAAGAAAGTGTGGGTTTCAAGAAGGGTGGCCCACAATGACCGACGCAATAAAAAAGTTTAAAGTGAGAGCTGGCAGAACATGTGGTTTAAGAAGGTCAACAGAGACCACGGGAAGATCATGTATGTACAGTGGTGGGAAGAAGCCAGACTGCCAGCAAATTAAGTAAACCAGTGGGGTTATACTATAGCTAATATTTTTTTGCATTACTACAGTCTCTCAAATAATATTATTTTTGTTAAAATAATAGTTTCCTTTCCAGAACTTTGGCAGGCAGAGGCAGGAGGATCATTTGAGGCCAGGAGTTTGAGACCAGCCTGAGCAACATAGTGAGACAACGCCTGTGGTCCCAGCTACTTGGGAGGCTGAGGTGGGAGGATTGTTGGAGCCTGGGAGGTTAAGGCTGTAGTGAGCCATGATCATGCCACTGCACTCCAGTATAGGGTGACAGGGTGAGATGCTATCTCAAAAAAACAAAACAAAACTACATATCCTGTAAATGCTGTTTTTCTGGCCATGCCACTTTTATTTATAAACAAGTAGGCCAGGCGTGGTGGCTCATGCCTGTAATCCCAGCACTTTAGGAGGCCGAGGCAGGCGGATCACAAAGTCAGGAGATTGAGACCATCCTGGCTAACACAGTGAAACCCCATCTCTACTAAAAATACAAAAAATTAGCCGGGCGTGGTGGCAGGCGCCTGTAGTTCCAGCTACTTGGGAGGCTGAGGAAAGGGAATGGCATGAACCCAGGAGGCAGAGCTTGCAGTGAGCCGAGATCGTGCCACTGCACTCCAGCCTGGGCGACAGAGCGAGACTCTGTCTCAAAACAAAAACAAAAACAAAAACAAACAAAAAACCTATTAATTGAATTAGCAGGGCAACATTCATTCAATAACACAATGACATTATTTTGATAAGTAGCCTATCTTATTTTTAAAACAGCATTAACCAAGCAGAAGGTAAAACAACTGAGAATGAAAGTAGACATTTCATATTTATCTTTCAAAAGTGGTTCTGAAAATTTCTTCCAGTTTCTATCATTTACATTTTTCCTAATTCTCATTTATTCAACAGTAATTTAAGTGCCAATGTGCTTGTGGAACTGTGGGGGAACCAAGTAAAACAATCACTGATCCGAGTCAGAGTCTTTGTGGAGGTTTCTGGTTCTGACAGTAGCTCTGAGGACTGTTTATTTTAAAAAGAAAAAAGAAACTTCATCCAGAAAAGAAAACACTGTCTTTTATTTAATAATTCATTTTCTGATGTTTTTAATTTATAAGAATTAAGGGAAATAAATACAATATAGTTATATAAATTTTATTAAATTAAAAATATCTTAAAATTTTTAAAATTCATGTACATTTCCATTTATGCAAACCATAATTTTTTGCTGACTATATACAATAAAAAAAAATATTCAAGTGGCAGAGAAAATCATTTCTGAGAATTACTTTTATCATGTTTTCTGATAATATCCATAAGATTAGCTCCTGTAACCAGATCATTCTGTGTCTGTTTATCTTTCTGTTGTTCCTTTCTCTTCTGGTCATGAAGGTATGGGGAATTTAATAACTGAGGGGGAAGAATGGATCCTGTGGGCTTTACTCGTTTTGCAATATCCCAGAAGAGTCTTTTTGAATTATTATTGATGAAAGTAATCGCTGTTCCATTTTGACCTAATCTTCCTACTCTTCCAATCTGAAATAAAATGCAAAGAACATTTTCAAGATGTCCATGTAAAATCTTAGTGTCTTTTGAAAGAAAATGAATAATATTACTTAAAGTAGCATTACTGGCTGGGTGCAGTGGCTCACGCCTGTAACCCCAGCACTTTGGGAGCTGAGGCAGGTGGATCACCTGAGGTCAGGAGTTTGAGACCAGCCTGGCCAACGTGGCAAAATCCTGTCTCTACTAAAAACACAAAAATTAGCCAGGCATGGTGGCAAACACCTGTAAATTCTAGCTACTTGGGAGGCTGAGGCAAAAGAATCGCTTGAACCCAGGAGGCGGAGCTTGCAATGAGCTGAGATCGTGCCACTGCACTCCAGCCTGGGTGGCAGAAAAAGACTCCATCTCAAAAAAAAAAAAAAAAAAAAAAGGAGCTTTACTAAGATTAACCTTCATCCAGACAGCATTTTTTGAATTATGCATCTCAATATATCTGTGAAATCAATTTAGTAGGCCTCCACCAGCATATTTTTAATGGAACAGACCAAACAGAAAATAAGAGAGTGATCACATAAAATAAAAGTAAGTATCATTTGTGAAACTTGTGTTTTAGTTATACCTGTATGGGTGGTGTTGGGGGTAATGACATAAAGATGTTTCTTATTGTGGGTGGGTTAAGGTCAAAAAATTCTGAAAGCCCCTGCATTAAGAGCAAGAGGACTATTTACTTCCAAGGCTACTTAAGAGGCCTTGAAATGTGAGATTTATACTAAATCATCTTTGCATAAAGTTATTTGTCTTTTTTTTTTGAGGCGGAGTCTCACTCTGTTGCCCAGGCTGGAGCGCAATGGTGCAATGTCGGCTCACTGCAACCTCCGCCTCCTGGGTTCAAGCAATTCTCTGCCTCAGCTTCCCAAGTAGCTGGGATTACAGGCACCCGCCACCATATCTGGATAATTTTTTGTATTTTTAGTAGAGATGGGGTTTCACCATCTTGACCAGGCTGGTCTTAAACTCCTGACCTTGTGATCTACCTGCCTCAGCCTCCCAAAGTGCTAGGATTACAGGCCCGGCTAGTTATTTCTCATGTTGAGAGAATTAAATGGACACAAATTTATGGAGTATCAATAAGGCACAAAACCTACTTGTCTCCAAATAGATAATGAAAATATACTAAGAAACTCTTCAAAAGAGGGGGAAAATACACAATCATGGTCAATTTCTGCTCCTTAACTGAAATGTAAAACTTAAAGTCTATATTCAGAAATATTTAAATGAGTAGACAGTTTCTGCTAATACAGAGGGCATTTTTAACACTGTAAAAGAAACTTCTAAAAAAGTTAAGAAGGGAAGCCTCTAGGGAATGAGACAGAGGAGAAGAGAGGCAAGCAAATATTGTTTTTCAGTAACAGCTTTTATTTATACCTGACTTAATTAAATTACTGAATTGTTCCAATAAAAATAAAAATAAAAAAGTAGTTATTTCTCTATAAAAGTCCACAGAAAAACAAGTAGAAATAAAAAAATTCAAAAAGACAAAGAAAAGATTATACAAAGTAGCTTCAGGCTGGACATGGCGGCTCATGCCTATAATCCCAGCATTTTGAGAGGCTGAGGCAGGAGGATCACTTGAGGCCAGGGTTCAAGACCAGCCAGGGCAACATAGCAATACCCCATCTCTACAAAAAACAGAAAAATTAGCCAGGTGTGGTGGCATGTACTTGTAGTCCCAGCTACTCAGGAGGCTGAGATGGAAGAATCGCCTGAGTCCATGCATTCAAGGTTACAGTGAGCTATGACTGTGCCACTGTACTCCAGCCCGGGCAACAGAAGGAGACCCCGTCTCTTAAAAAAACAAACAAACAAAAAAAAAACTTGCAAATCATGTTTTTGGCAAGTCTTCTAGAGTATACAAAGAACTTTCACAACTCAAAAATAAAAACCCAATTTAAAAATGGACAACAAATTTGAATAGACATTTCTCCAAAGAAGTTACAAAAATGATCAATAAGTACATGACATAATGTTCAACATCATTAGTCATTAAAGAAATGCAAGTCAAAATATAAGGAGGTTTAACTTCATACCCACTAGCATAGCTATAATAAAAAAGATAAGTGTTGATGAGGATGTGGGGAAACTGGAACCTTAATAAGCCGCAGGCGAGAATGTAAAATGGTGACGCCATGTTGGAAAACAATCTGGCAGTTCCTCAAAATGCTAAACACAGAGTTACTATATGACTCAGTAATTCTATTCATAGGCATATGTCCAATAGAAATGAAAACATGTCCACACAAAAACTTGTACATGAATGTCCACAGCAGCCTGATTCATAGGAGCCAAAATGTAGAAACAACCTAAATGTCTAGCAACTAATGAATAAACAAAGGTGGTATATCTACACGATAAATTTTTTTGGCAATTTAAAAAAATGAAGTACCGATACGTTCTATGATATGGATGAACCTTAAAAACATTATGCTAAGTAAAACAATCAACCCCCGTGGAATACTTAATTCCCTGATGTGCAGGTAAATGTGGTGGTACCAAAATAAATAAAAAGAGAAGTAGTACTGTATTAAGTAAAAATAAAAGCAACTGCACTGAAGGCACTAACGGCGTTTCAGTGGGTGATTCCAGTAAATGTGGCATTCAGAGGTGATGTTAAGAACACTACAGACAGGCTTTACTTGAAGAGTTTGTAAGGGAAGCCGGAGAGGGAAGACAGGTAGCAGTCAGTGAGATAATGCAGCGCTAAGAGAAGGCTCTATTTCTGCTAGAGAGAGAAGCTATTGTTACCTTTGGCAGCAAAGAAAAGAAAGAAAACTTTCAAAAGTGAAAGACTAGAACAAATAAGGATATGAAGAGGAGATGAAGACAAGATTCCTTAAAAAAATACTTTAAAGGATCAATTTTATTTTGGCCAGACATATCAACTTAAAACGATCTTTTTAAACAAAACTTTTTGATTATAAAATCTCACTGATTATATGTTCACTGAAGAAAATAAGAGAAAGAAACAAAAACAAACCAAAAATTTACTACTTAAAATTTTTTTAATTAACATTTTTGGTTACTTCTAGTTTTTTTTTTTTTCTAAGGCACTTTAGGCATACTTTTAAAAACAAAATTTAGTTTTTATACATACTTACCTTTCAAAAACAAAATTTAGTTTATATACATATATATCTTAAAAGCAGGCCAGGCGTGGTGGCTCACGCCTGTAATTCCAGCACTTTGGGAGGCCAAGGCGGGAGGATCACTTGAGGTCAGGAGTTTGAGACCAGCCTAGCCAACATGGTGAAACCCCGTCTCTACTAAAAATACAAAAAAATTAGCCAGGTGTGGTGGTGGGCACCTGTAATCCAAGTTACTTGGGAGGCTGAGGCACAAGGATCCCTTGAACCTGGGAGGCGCAGGTTGCAGTGAGCCGAGATCATGCCACTGCACTCCAGCTTGGGTAACAGAGTGAGACTGTCTCAAAAAAAAAAAAAATCTTAAAAGCAAAAATACATACAGTTTTATACACTGCTTTTTTTTGGGGGGGGGGAGGGGGGAATGAAGTCTCTGTCACCCAGGCTAGAGTGCAGTGGCGTGATCTCGGCTCACTGCAACCCCCTCCTGCCGAGTTCAAGCGATTTTCCTGCCTCAGCCTCCTGAGTAGTTGGGACTACAAGCGCCTGCCACCATACCAGGCTAAATTTTTTTTGTATTTTTAGTAGAGATGGGTTTTTGCCATGTTGGCCAGGTTGGTCTGTGAACCCCTAACTTCATGTGATCCATCCATTTCGAGTGATCTGCCCGCGATGGCCTTCCAAAGTGCTGGGATTACAGGTGTGAGCCACTGTCCTGGCCGATACTGCTTTCTTAAACTTGGTTATCACATTGACAATGCCTTTCCCAATAAAACTCGTGAACAAAATAGTGGTAACATATAAAGCTCCTTACCTGATGGACATACTCATCCATACTTGAAGGCATATCAAAATTGACAACCAGCCTGACACTGATCAAGTCTAGGCCTCGTCCCAAGACTCCTGTGCTCACTACAACTTCATAGTCTCCTTCAAGTAATCCCTTTCCAAAAAAGCAACAAAATTTATTATTCAGAATTTATTTTGTGTGGTTTTGTGTAATTCTGATAGCTTTTCTTTTTATAATGCTTACTTCAATATTTTTATTGCAATATTTTTTCAATAAGTAAAGGTCATAGTATACCTGAAAAATGTATGCAGCTAAAATTCTCCCCAATCCCCATGGAATTTATTTTATTAATTTATTCAGGCAAACCTTTTCCAAAGGTGAATTACTGCCCTGCTCTAGTCCAAACTGACCTGATTTCAGAAATGGTAAGTTTTGAATTAGTAATCTATTTAGTATATATTCCCTAGAGAACAGGCTATTGCTCCCCAAACAAAAAGCCTGAGCAAGAGAACATTAACTTCATGGTAACCGCTTGTTTGATGGTCTTGTAGTCATTAAAAGAGGATCTGTTATAAAAACCAGCTGTAATATGGTTATCTCTTGAAAATGAGGCAGAACAGATTTATAGAAAACAGAATATAGAATATTGGGTGTCAAACCTTCAATATGTTTTTCCTTTCTATTTGCGACTTCTCTGAATGTATAGATATGCTTTTCAGCCCTGTGATTTTCTGAACGGCTTCACTCAAAAGATCTGCTCCTAGTTTGCAGTCCACAAATACTAACACTGGAGGCTTAAAGAGTTTCTTATCCTGAAAAATTAAAAACATATATCAAAAATTATTCATATAAAATAATTTACAATGGGAAGTTTTTCTGAAAGATTATCACAAGCTAGTTATCAATAGATTTATAAATATTGTTAAGAAGGAGGCTGGGCGCGGTGGCTCACACCTGTAATCTCAGCACTTTGGGAGACCGAGGTGGGCAAATCACAAGGTTAGGAGTTCGAGACCAGCCTGGCCAACACAGTGAAACCCCGTCTCTACTAAAAATACAAGAAAATTAGCCACGCATGGTGGCAGGCGCCTGTAACCCCAGCTACTCGGGAGGCTGAGGCAGGAGAATCGCTTGAACCTGAGAGGTAGAGGTTGCAGTGAGCTGAGACCATGCCATAGCACTCCAGCCTGGGCAACAGAGTGAGATTCCGTCACAAAAAAAAAAAAAAACACAAAACACAAAATGAAAAAAAAGGCATATTGTTAAAATAAGTGTTTTATTTAAAATATGCACAAACAGAAGCCAGTCTATTGCCCCTCTTAATTTTCCATCACTTAATACTCCAAGAGTAATTCAAACATTTTAAGTGCGATTAATGTAGCTCTACATGCTGCTACCAAGTCAATACCAACCATATTTAACTTAATACTTTTTTTTTTTTTTTTTGAGACAGAGTCTCGCTCTGTCACCCAGGCTGGAGTGCAGTGGCGCAATCTCAGCTCACTACAAGCCCTGCCTCCCAGATTCACACCATTCTCCTGCCTCAGCCTCCCGAGTGGCTGGGACTACAGGCCTGTGCCACCACGCCTGGCTAATTTTTTTTGTATTTTTAGTAGAGACGGGGTTTCACCATGTTAGCCAGGATGGTCTCAATCTCCTGACCTCGTGATCTGCCCGCCTCGGCCTCCTAAAGTGCTGGGATTACAGGCTTGAGCCACCGCACCCAGCCCTTCTAAAATATTTTCAAAGGAGAACATATTCCTTAGGAATAATCTTGATATTTAAATATAATTCTATAAGGAAAAGAAAACCCAACCCTGTATCTATCCAACATGTTTTCCCAAATAGCTATTTATTTGATTCTCATAGAATTCTAGGGTAGGTAAAGCAATTTATTAGTAAATACCTATATCAAATTCCCTGAAAGTTCAATCTCAAAATCATTCTCTTAAGAGCTGTGAAAAATGCAAACACAATCCATAAAACATAGTTAACTGCTTTACTACTCACATTTAAAATTTCAAATAATTTTTTCTTTTTGGCTGGGTCTTCTACCCACAAAATAATCTGACGTACATTGGCACAAGGTAGGTTCTTTTCTCCAGTGATAATTCTCACAGGATTATGCAGAAGCTGGCTTGCTAGCTGTTCTATGCTAGTTGGAATTGTGGCTGAAACCAAAATGGTCTGACAATCATTAGGAATGTTTTCCAAAATGTCAAGCACTTGTTGTTGAAAACCCATCTTTAACATGGTATCAGCCTAAAATAAAATTGTATTAAAGTTAGTCTTGTTTGACATTAAAACCCAGAACCACCCCCAAAAAAGACTGATATAATTAACAATATAAAAATTAAAAATTCCTAAATAGAAAACTATACCACAATGTCAAGAGAACTGGAAAAATATGTTTATACTAAATTATAAACTGTGCAACTAAATGTTTACAATGATATACAAAGATTGTTATTATTGGCATTATTAATAGTAGCAAAAAGCTATATACATTCTAAATATTCATCAGTAGGGGATTTGCTAAATTATGGTAGATCCATATGACACTATGCTGTCAAGAAAAATGATCAGAAAGCCCTTTATTAAATAATGAATGATTGCTAGGTTAAAAAAAAGCAAATTACAGAATATTATGTGTAACAAGATACCTATTTATGCTACAAAAATATTATATGTATATACACTCAAGAAACTGCTAAATTGCTAATACCAGGGAGAAGCCTGGAGGGCTTTAAGGGAGGCAATTCTACTTTTAGTTTTTTGCAAAGTTTGTTTTTTTTTTAAACCATGAACACAGATTACATTTATAATAAAATATTATTTTAAATAAAAGTTAATGTTAGGGGCTGCTATGGTCTGAACTGTGGTGATCCCCCCTAAATTCATATGTTGAAATCTAACCCACAATGTACGGGTAATAAGAGGGGAAGCCTTTAGGGGGTGATTAAGTTATGAAGGCTCCACCCTTATGAATGGAATTAGTGCCCTTCTAAAAGAGGCTGGATGGAGCTCTGTGTGAGGATGCAGGAAGAGGGTGCTGATGCCATCTTTGAAGTAGAGAGCAGGCCCTCACCAGACACTGAATCAAGGCTACAGCTTTGATCCCCGACTTCCCAGCTTCAAGAACTGTGGGAAAAAGTTTCTGCTGTTTATAAATTACCCAGTCTAAGGTATTTTGTTATAGCACCAGGAGTGGACTAAGACAGGGGCTTTCACTTATATTTTTCTATACTGTTGGTTTGTTACAACCATGAATTACCAAGCAAACAAAAACATTTTTTTAAAGTTAGTGCTGCCAGCCGGGCACGGTGGCTCACACCTGTAATCCCAGCACTTTGGGAGGCCAAAGTGGGTGGATCACGAGGTCAGGAGATCGAGACCATCCTGGCTAACACGGTGAAACCCTGTCTCTACTAAAAATACAAAAAATTAGCCGGGCATGGTGGCGGGTGCCTATAGTTCCAGCTACTCGGGAGGCTGAGGCAGGAGGATGGCGTGAACCCGAGAGGCGGAGCTTGCAGTGAGCCGAGATCGTGCCAGTGCACTCCAGCCTGGGCTATAGAGTGAGCCTCCGTCTCAAAAAAAAAAAAAAAAAAAAAGATTAAGGCTATCTTCAGTTGCAAATACAATCCAGGTGTCTATAATTTGGGAACAATGAGGTATTTAATTCTTTTTTTTCCCCCTTCTGGGCCCTGATTCAGGATAATTCTTTTAAACTATTACGGCATGGGGGTGTTTGTTTTGAGACAGGGTCTTGCTGTCGCACAGGCTGTAGTGTAGTGGCATGATTCTAGCTTGCTGGAACCTTAAACTCCTGGGCTCAAGAGATCCTCCAGCTTCAGCCTTCTAAGCAGCTGGGACTATAGGTACAAGCCAGGGCACCCAGCTCAGCATTGTATTTTTAAGGGCCCACTAATGTGCTGTCATCCATATTAAAATTTGAATATTCATTTTAATATTATTCAGTGGAAAAAAGAATTGTCACCCAGGTTGGAGTGCAGTGGTGCCACCTTGGCTTACTGTGCAACCTCCTGGGCTCAAGCCAACCTCCCACCTCAGTTTTCCAAATAGCTAGGACTACAGGCACATGCCACCACACCCATCTAATTTTGTATTTTTAGTAGAGATGGGGTTTTGCTATGTTGCCCAGGCTCCACCCCCACTTTCTAACATGTCTTTAATGTGCACAAATTATTCAACAGATGTTATTCAAAATGCAGAGTGGGCCATAAAAAGCATTTTTTTTTTTTTTTTTTTTGAGACAGGGTCTTGCTCTGTCGCCAGGCTGGAGTGCAGGGGTGCAATCATGGCTCACTGCAACTTCTGCCTCCTGGGCTCAAGTGATCCTCCTGCCTCAGCCTCCTGAGTAGCTGGGACCACAGGTGTGACCACAGGCATGTGCCACCGTGCCCGGCTAATTTTTGGTATTTTTTTTTGCAGAGACTGGGTTTCCCCATGTTGCCCAGGCTGGTCTTGAACTACTGGCCTCAAGCAATCCTCTTGCCTTGACCTCCCAAAGTGCTGGGATTACAGGCGTGGGCCCCTGCACCCAGACATCTCCTCTCCTGATTTTTCTCCTCCCTCACTAGCTACTCTGAGCCTCCTTTCTCTTCTCTCAATCTCTATACATTGGGGAGCCCCATGGGCTGGGTCACAGGCTTCTTCTTTCCTCATCTGTGCTCTCTCCTCAGATAAGATCAACAAATTCCACGGCTCTGAATATCATGCATGCATCAAAGACTCTCAAAATCATATCTCAGGCCACAACTGCTTCCCCGAACTCAAGTGGTAGAAACTATCTGCCGACTTAACATCTCCACTTGGTTCCAACAGGCCCCTCAAATTCAACACATTCAAAACAGAAGTTTCTATTTCCTTTCTGCCAAACCCACTCCTGTCCCAGAACACATCTCAGGAAACAGCGCCATCAGAAACTCTTATTTCATCTGTTCTCTTTACCACTTGACACTGACTCCATTAATCATCCTGTCAACCCACTAGCATACCTCAGAGCTGGTCGCTTCTCCCAACTCATATTTGCAAGACTGCTCGCAATCCCGTCACCCCCATCCCATAACCAATTCTCAAGCAACCAGATAGATTCTTCTAAAATATAAATCAGATCTTCATCCTCCTCTGCTTAAACCCTCCAATGGTTTCCCATCACACTTAGAATAAAATCCAACTTCTAACCATGACCAAAAAGTCTTACAAGTTCTCATCTTTGTCCACTTCTCTGACTTCATCTCCAAGCACTCTCCCCTCACTGCTCGTGACTCTGCCACACCAGCCTTCCTTCTGTTCCCAAATACCTCATGCTTGCTTCCTTGTTGGCACCTGGCTGAAAGTCTTCCCTCCAGATGGATCTCCGCATGACCAGCTCCTTCTCATTCATATCTTAGCATAAATGTCATCTTCTCAGAGAGCTCTCCCTGACTACCAATCCAAGGTAACCCCCCTCCCCTCGTTGCCACTGCCGTATCGCCTTGTGTACATTTATCACAGCTACACGAGACAGTTTGTGTGTCTCATCTTCCACTGTATTCTCAAAACCAACAAGTGTGAGCACATGAAAAGCCCTAATGATATATTTTGTAAATAAATGAACACTAATTCTAAGCACTGAATAAGCACCTTCCTATGTCAGGCAACTTACTAGTCAGTGTGGCCCAAACCTCTCTGAAGATAAGAATCACCTGAAGGGCCGGGCGTGGTGGCTCAAGCCTGTAATCCCAGCACTTTGGGAGGCCGAGGCGGGCGGATCACGAGGTCAGGAGATCGAGACTATCCTGGCTAACACGGTGAAATCTCATCTCTACTAAAAATACAAAAAATTAGCCAGGCATGGTGGTGGGCGCCTGTAGTCCCAGCTACTCGGGAGGCTGAGGCAGGAGAATGGCATGAACCCAGGAGGCGGAGCTTGCAGTAAGCAGAGATTGCGCCACTGCACTCCAGCCTGGCGGGGAAAAAAAAAAAGAATTGCCTGAGGGGAAAAAAAACAAAAGGATCACCTGGAATGAGTTTGTAGAGATTCCTGGCTCCAACTCACACCTACTGAATCAGAATATCCAAGTGAGAGGTCTGGTCTCGTCTGATGGTCACTAAGCAAGCCAGGTGACTCCTATTATTAAGGAAACTTGGGCAAACACTGTGCTAAGAAAAAAATTTAAAAATCTATGCACAGTTCAACAGAGCAGAGAGAAACAAAGGCCTAAAATCTGACAGGGGGAGTGAGGGATTTCAGAGTTACTAAAAGATAAAGAAGGAAGAGCAGGTAGAAAGGATGGGAGAGAATTCCAGGCCAAAGGACAGGTATGACAGAAGACACGGAGGGTCGCAAAGCAGATCATTTCAAAGGAATTATCTGAGTTTTCACCTCTGACTATTTGCATCTTCATCCTCCTCTTGAAACAATGGTTCTCTCTTCTTCAAGGATATTATTCATTCTCAGTTCCTCTCTGGTGTCTCAAGCAGCTTTTTTACTGACTCATCTTCAGACTCCACAAGCCAGGCCCTTAGCCCTAGCCCCTGCCTCTGTTTCTGCTCATTTCTAACTTGCCTCCCTTAGAGAAACCATACGTTTCATGGATTCCGATGCCTATTTTATTTTTTAAAATTTTATCGGCAACCTCCTGAGCCAGAAAAGGCTCAGAGGGACTCCCCAATGCCTATTTTAGATCTTCAGAATACTACCCCTTAGTTCATCATTTGCAGGTAATTCACCATGTCTAAAGCCAAACTCAAACATTACTACCAAGACCCAGATTTGCTCATTTGTCCTTTTTAAAATTAAAGGCACAACTATAATTGATGGAGTCACCTCTCTTGCCTTCTTCTTCCTCTCTCATCCTCAGGCATCAGAAGACTCACAAGGGACTCCTCCGCTGCAACTCTCAGATTTGGCCTGTGACTCCTACTGCCTCCACCGTGTGACCCCTTACCCCTGTCTGGATTGCTGGCTGCTCTTAGATTCTTTCATTTCTCCTGTATCACGCAGCAGGGTAACCTCTTAAACCACTACTCAATAATTTAGAAAGCCTCACTGACTCCCACATCAAATCCAAATTCCTCTGCCTTCCTGTGCAGGCCCTCTATAATTTGGCCCCACCCTAACAACCCAATTTTACCTCCTATTATTTCTCAGGAAGAATTCTTCAAGCTGGTGGTCTCTTCTCTGCCCCCTGCACACATGCACTTGGACTTTCTGACTCTGCTTATGTTGGTCCCTTCACTTTGAAGAACTGATACATCCTCTAGTTTTCTCAATCTTTTTCCATCTTTTGAAGCCCAGGTCAAATCCCATTACCTCTAAGAAGCCATTTTTTGCAGTGCTAATATATTTACTCTCTCATTTCTCCTTCTGACCTTATTTCTTCTGAAAAATTGGCATCATATACAGTCCAATTTTTTTTTTTTTTGAGACGGAGTTTCACTCTTGTTGCCCAGGCTGGAGTGCAATGGCACGATCTTGGCTCACCGCAACCTCCACCTCCCGGGTTCAAGCGATTCTCTTGCCTCAGCCTCCTGAGTAGCTGGGATTACAGGCACGCGCCACCACGCCCAGCTAATTTTGTATTTTTAGTAAAGATGGGGTTTCTCCATGTTGGTCAGGCTGGTCTTGCACTCCTGACCTCAGGTGATCCGCCCACCTCGGCCTCCCAAAGTACTGGGATTACAGGCGTGAGCCAACGTGCCTGGCCATACAGTTCAATTTTTTCACTAGTATCTTCTATCAGCCATTGGCAAACTACAGCTCTGGGGACAAATTTAGACCTTTACCTGTTTTTGTAAATAATGTTTTATGGGAACCCCGTCACACCCATTCATCTTCATACCATCTACATTGGCCCCCAAAGCCTAAGATATTTACCATCTGGTCCTTTACAGAAAGTGTTTGCCAACCCCTGGCCTACATCATGTTAGTACTTTTGTATCTCTGTACATATGATAACGTTCTCGCCTTTACTTCAGTATATGTATCTTTTCTCTCTAACAAGATTTCAGCACCTTGTAGGCTTGAATGCTATTCAGAACTTCTCTGTGATGCCATCCAAACTTATCCAGAATTGGTCAATTTGTACCTAAATAATACTTCTGTACTGACTGCAGTTTCAGTATATAACTGATTATGTTTACCAGCTCATTTCCCCTCTAGATCACCCAGAAACCATATTCCTTAAATGCCAAGGAGCTGGGACACAGGCTGCACATACAGGCACTTGATAAATGTTTGCTGAATGAATACTTCCCTTGTACCATAATGGTGAGCACAGCACGAAAGTGTCCCATGAAGCCTTGTTAGTGGAAGAAAATGAAAATGCTGTAAAGAGAAGTGAGGATGAGGCCAAGTGCAGTGGCTCACGCCTGTAATCCCAACACTTTGGGAGGCCAAGGCAGGAGGATCACTTGAGCCCAGGAATTCAAGACCAGCCTGGGCAACATAGCAAGACCCCGTCTCTAAACAAATTTTAAAAACAAAGAGAGAAATGAGGATGAATGGAAACTAACCTTAAAATCCATATTAAGAATTACTTCTCAGGCCGGGTGCGGTGGCTCACACCTGTAATCCTACCACTTTGGGAGGCTAAGGTGAGCAGATCACTTGAGGCCAGGAATTTGAGACCAGCCTGGCCAACATGGTAAAACTCTGTCTCAACTAAAAATACAAAAATTAGCCAGGCTTGGTGGCACATGCCTGTAATCCCAGCTACTTGGGAGGCTGAGGCACAAAAATCACTTTGAGCCCAGATGGTAGAGGTGGCAGTGAGCCAAGATCGTGCCATTGTACTCCAGTCTGGGTGACAGAGGGAAACTGTCTACAAAAAAAAAAAAAAAAAAAAAAAATTACTTCTCTAGCTCATAAGATGGGGAGAATTTAAGAACATGGGGCTTATCAACAAAGGGAAGCCCAGTCATGTTCAGGGTGACAGTATTGTCTAATGATAATCAGATTTAGCAATGTCAGTTCTACCAAATGGCCACGCCAGAAAAATGCTGACTTTGCAGTAGCAGGACTCTTCAGTCTATAAGACATTTTTGGGCGGGTGCAGTGGCTCACACCTGTAATCCCAGCACCTTGGGAGGCCGAGATGGGCAGATCACAAGGTCAGGAGATTGAGACCATCCTGGCTAACACAGTGAAACCCCGTCTCTACTAAAAATACAAAAAATTAGCTGGGTATGGAGGCGGGCGCCTGTAGTCCCAGCTACTCGGGAGGCTGAGGCAGGAGAATGGCACAAACCTGGGAGGTGGAGCTTGCAGTGAGCCGAGATCACGCCACTGCACTCCAGCCTGGATGACAGAGCAAGACTCTGTCTCAAAAAAAAAAAAAAAAAAATTAGCTGGGCATGGTGGCAGGTGCCTGTAATCCCAGCTACTCAGGAGGCTGAGGCAGGAGAACCACTTGAACGCAGGAGGTGGAGGTTGCAGTGAGCTGAGATCACACCATTGCACTCCAGCCTAGGCAACAGGAGCTAAACACTGTCTCAAGAAAAAAAAAAGCCATTTTCACCATCATTCTTCATCCTTGCCATAGCTCTAGAAGATTAACCAGCTTGCCTAAGCTCTCATGGGAGGTGGAGTAAATGTTCAAATCTTGGTCTTGCGGGTACTGGCTATGTGTTCTATCCTACTGCTACTTACTGGGGCCCATGGAAGGCAGGCTAAGACACTATCCTGGTCAGCACCCAGCACCACGCATTTGTGATCACTGCTGGGTAACGCCAGGCCTCTGCTCTGTCACTGCTGGTGAGACATGTGGGAAGATGCATGTGCCCCGCAGGCAGAAATGGCACATGCCCAGGGTGGGCTGGCACATGGTCCTATGTTCCCATGGCAGAATATCACTGAGAAACAACACTTTTACTTCATCTTATTAAGTAGGCCAAAAGTATAAAAATGCCTCTATAGTATATGTAACATAGAAAATCAGGATCACAGATGCCTATGTCCACATAGAAAAAAAAAAAATTTAAAGGCCATCCTCTGGGCATGGTGGTTCATGCCTATAATCCCAGTACTTTGGGAGGCCAAGGCAGGAGGATCCCTTGAGCCCAGGAGTTCAAGACTAATCAGCCTGGGCAATATAGTGAGACCTATCTCTACAAAAACCAAATTAGCCAGGCATGGTGATGTGTGTGCCTGTAGTCCCAGCTACTCAGGAGGCTGAGGTGGGTGGATCACTTGAGTGTGGGAGGTTGAGGCTGCAGTGAGCTGTGTTTCCGTCACTGCACTCCAGCCTGGGTGACCTAAGCAACAGAGCAAGACCCTGTCTCATTACTTGACACTGACTATTTTTGTAAACAAATAATAGTAAGCATCAAATGCTTAAAAAAAAACAACTTACCATTGAGAATAGAGTACATATTGAATTTGTGTTTTCTGTCAATTAGGAAAAGACAGCTCTGGTTTAATTTTAGTGTAGTACACATTATGTTAGCTTCAGTGCTACACAGGAACCTGCTGCAATGCTTTAAAAGTCCCTGAGGTTTTTTTTGAGAGAGAGAAAAGGTACTGAACATACAATGAAATTATATAACTATACTTTCCATAAATTGTGTAAAATCATGTAACTGTTTTTTAAATACCACTACTTACTTCATCTACTACCACAATCTTTACACCACAGAGTTCTACAGAGCTCTGCTTTATTATATCCAGAAGTCGCCCAGGGGTTGCTATGATAACCTAAATAAAAGAGAAAAAGCAAATTAAAAAAATCAGTAATAGCTATTTTCATTCATTCATTCCATATTGATTGAGCAACTAATATGTACCAGACACTGTGTTAAGCACCCAGAATTCAGTGATGAATAAGCCAGACATAGTCTCTGCTCTCATGAAACTTGTAATACAAAGGAAGAAACAGATAAAACCAGAAAGTACTCATGAGATAAATACACTAAGCCATAACTGGAGGGACCTATCCAGTCCTACCCAACACACAGGTCAAACCTAAAGGATGAGTGGGCATGAGCAAGGTGAGGAGTGATTAAGGAGAAAAGTATCTGTGACATTCCTGAGGCTGGGAGGCCAGTGAAGTTTCTAAATGGTAAGGAATGGGGAGAATGGGGCAGGCTGAGGCAGGCACCAAGGCACCAGGAAGGACCTTGTAGGCAGTTTGATTGCTATGGTTCTATAAACAAGTGAAAATTCCGTAACATCTTTGGGCTTTTTATTTCATTTTTAAATTAAGAGGTTGGGCAAAGTGATTTCTAAGGTTGCTTAAGGCTCTTAATAATTTTATAACATGTTAGTGGCTAACAATGGGGGCTTTTTGTTGTTGTTGTTGATATAATCTCGCTCTGTCACCCAGCAGGGAGTGCGTGGCTCACTGTAGCCTCAACTTCCCCAGCTCCAGGGGTCTTCCTGCCTCAGCCTCCCATGTAACTAGGATTACAGGCATGCCACCACACCTGGCTAATTTTTTGTTTTTTTGCAGAGACAAGGTCTCTATGCTACCCAGGCTGGTCTCAAACTCCTGGGCTCAAGTAATCCTCCCGCCTTGGCCTCCCAAAGTGCTGGGATTACAAGTGTAAGCTACTGCATTCAGCTTATTTTTACCTTTTTTTAAACAAGAAGGAAAAATGCTTTAATACCAATCACATCTCCCCTGTGCTTCTAAGCTACTGTTGGCCAGTATTTAACTTCTATTGTATTTTGAAACCTACAGGTTGTTCATTATGATTACTGTTTCATTCAATGTTTCCTGAGATTTACCCACATGCTTACTATTTTCCTTGGCCACCATTATTTCTTCCATCCCACACCCTCCTTTCTGGCACAATCTTCTTTATCTGTAGACTACCTTAGTTTTAAAGTTCTCTTACATGGTGTACTGGTATTAACTTTCTCAGTTTTGTTTATCTGAAAAGCTTTTTATGTTGTCCTTGCTCTTGGAGGGCAACTTTGCTGAACAGAGGTTTTGGTTATGTTTTCTCAGAGGGCACCTGGGAGAGAGCTCAGGCTGGTGAGAGGGGTGGGAGTGACAGGTGGGCAAGCAGGAGCCTCCACAGAAAGGCGGCCCTGCATGGGGTGCTGCAGCCTGAGGGGCTGAGGAGAGTGCAGGGTGGAGTCTGGTGAGGAGGGCATCGCTGTGGGCAGGGCGGTGCTGATGGCGGGAGGTAGGCTACATAGAGGAGGATTGGTCAAATAAATAAACAAATACATAAATGAAAATGAGTGGCAGGTTTCTGTCAGTTACAAACATGAATGAATCCTGTTGCATTGAATTGGAATTGGAAGTATCAACATGAACTCATAGTCTCATGGTTTCTAATAAATATAGATACAGAAAAACACACACTTAGATATACAGCTGACCCTTGAACAACATGGATTTCAACTGTGTGAGTCCACTGAAACATACCAATTTCAACCAAACACGGACCAACAATACTCGAGTTCAGCAGGGCCAACTGCAAGATTCAAGTCTGCAAAGATTTTGGTACATACGCAGGGGATCCTGGAACCAATCCCTGGCAGACGCCCAGCGATGACTGTATTCCCTAGCTCTATCCACTGGGAAGTCCTAGAAGCAGTGATAGTCCAATAGCAATCAACGCACATAGCCCAGATCTTTCTTTTTAAATACTATCCTCTAGTAAAATAAACCAGGGCTCCTTGGAGAAGGCATGATTCCAGGGCTGGGGCAGGGAAAGAAAAATGTAAGTATGGAACATCTTCTTTAGATAGAAGGTAAGGAAGACTCAAAGAATGATGGAGATCTGAACAAAGGACATAGAAACCAACTTGAAGGTGCTTCCACTGGCCAGATAGAGATCAACTGGAGTATCAAAACAAATAATGATAATAGATTGTAAACCTTTGAATAACAGGAAGCTGTGAGTCCATACAGATATAAATAAATATATAAATAAATTCAAAGTGTGGTGAAGAATGAGAAATTTACATTTCAAAGTACACCTCAAAGTACTCTCCCCAAAATATTTACTAAACTCAAAGGGGAAAAAAATAAACTTGACAATTACTTTACAGATCCTATCACTAGGAAAAGGACATACTGATACTCTGTGCAACCTAAAAGGATGCAATGAAAAAAACAAAGCATCTCTTCTGTGATATTCCTGTCAAAGACATGTAACTTGAATCTAATCAAATGAGGGATGTTCTTCAAAGTAAGTGGCTTGTAAACCTTAAAAGGGCCAAGATTATGAGGAAAAAAGGAAAGATGGAAGAGCTGTTTCAAATTGAAGGAGATGACAAAGACACAACAACTAAATGCAACATGTGATTCTGAACTGGATTCTTGTGCTATAAAAAGTGATGGAACAATTATAAAAATGTGAATGGGGACTGAGGAGTAGATGATACCAATATTAATTCCTGATGTAATCTACTCTATCAACGTGATACTGTTTGGATCTGTGTCCCCACCCAAATTGCATGTCGAACTGTAATCCCCAATGTTGGAGGTGGGATCTGGAGGGAGGTGATTGGATCATGGGGGCTATTTCTCATGGTTTAACACCCTTCCCCTTGGTGCTGTCATCATGATAGTTCTTGTGAGATCTAGTTGTTTAAAAGTGTGTAGCACCTCCCCACTCTCTTTCTTCCTCCTGCTCTGGCCACGTGAAGCTCCTCGCACCCCCTCTGCCTTCTGCCATGATTGGAAGCTTCCTGAGGCCTCCTTAGAGGCAGAAGCCACTATGCTTCCTGTACAGCCTGCAGAACCATGAGCCAATTAAAGTTCTTTTCTTTATAAATTAGTCTCAGGTATTTCTTTATAGCAGTGCAAGCATGGACTAATACACAATGTTAATTTCCTGATTCCATAATTGTATTACAGTTATGTAAGATAATGTCCTTGTTTGTAGCAATCATACTGTAAAGTATATGGGGGTGATAGGGCATCAAGTCAGCAAGTTACTTCCAGAAGGTTTGGGAGGAAAAAAAAGTTCCATTTACTGTACTTACCACCTTTCTTTAAGTTTGAGATTGTTTTTTTAAAAAATGTGTGCTTTGGGAGGCCGAGGCAGGTGGATCACCTGAGCTCAGGAGTTTGAGACCAGCCTGGCCAACATGGTGAAATCCCATCTCTACTAAAAATACAAAAACTTAGCTGGGCATGGTGGTGGGCGCCTGTAGTCCCAGCTACTCTGGAGGCTGAGGCAGAAGAATCGCTTGAACCTGGGAGACGGAGGTTGCAGTGAGCAGAGGTTGCACCACTGCACTCCAGCCTGGGCAACTAGAGACTAACACCAATACATTAACATATATTTTTTTAAGAATTGGAATGCAAGCTTAGTTTAAAAGCTGTTAGAAGTTTGCAGCTACTTATGCGTTTGAATTATAATGTTATCCATTCGTTGCAATGAAAATAAATTTAAGGCAGAGGTTGATATGAGACTGCAGTTAAACTCCATTAACCCAACTTCAAATTTGATGCCCATCAAAAGTACTTGTATTGTTTACTTTATAAATATATACTGCTGAACTTATAATTTGGCATTAATATCACCTTTGTCTGTTTTATATACTGGAGGTCCACCTTAAAAAATCACTGATCCAATATCCCATTAATTATCAACCTGTAATTTCTTAAAACAACATTTTACAGGCTTTAAATCTGTCAGATAAATCTGATTTGACCTTCAAAAGATTCCAACATGAAAGGCTGATATTCACCCATAGAAGCTGTCGAATACTGCAGGAGCTTCATCCCAGCTGGTACTGCTGCCCCAGCCCCCTGAGTGCCCTTCCCCAACTCCCTGCCAACCCAGCTTGTCCCCTGGGTCGCCAGGGCCGCCCTACCACCCTAGTTAACTAAACAGTTAATGCCCAGAACACCAAGGGGCCCCGAGGACCCAGCTCCTGCACCAAAGCTGCAGTCTATTTTGATTGGTCAGCATCTGTGCCAAACCTTCCATTAAACATTTTTATTTTAAAGGCAGGTATCTTCAGCCACCCATTCAAACTCAAGAAAACTGAAGCCCACAGAAGTGAAGTAACTTATCTATGGCCATACAGCTACCAAGTTTCAAAGCTAGAATCAGACCACATTGCTTTTACATACTTTTACATACCAGAAAATACAGACTACGCATAACAGCATGGCTAAGGAAGGAGGAAAGACAGGTAAATTAAGGGTCAATTTTGGCAACTATTATTTATTAGCTATAGATCCTTAGATAAACTCCACCTTTCTGAGATTCAACTTCTCAACTATAAAAGATGGACTAAGGATTATGCCAACCCACCTTCAGAAGTAAATGTGATGCTTAAATGAGATAATGCATGTCAGAACATTCAACAGCCTTTGGCATATAATGGGCACTCAATAAATTGTGCTTCTTTCCCTTCCTATATAAAACAAACTAAAAAAAAAAAAAAAACCTAAGGCTTACTTGGTAAGAATTTAAAGGCTCTCTAAAATCATACTTTTAAAAATTCTTCAAGGGGAAAAAAAACACTAGTTCCTGTATTGCTTACAAAACTTTTCAAAGACATTGTATCAAATCAGTGCTTACCTTAACATGTTGTTGCAGACGATAAAGCTGTGGGGGTAAGGGTAAGCCCCCTACAAGAAGCACAGTTTTCATGCGTGGCAGGCCACTCATCAATTCTTTAGCTTGTCTCTCTATCTGAATGGCTAACTCTCTGGTTGGTGTAAGAATGAGCGCAGATGGAGTTTTGCTCTGCAAAGATGTGAAAAACAAGTTTAAAAACACCAGCAATTAATTCCTGCTGATATGAACTAAATCTTCACAAGGATTCCAGGAACATGGCCCCTTTAAAGTGTTCCCAACTGGGTATGAGTCCTCCTGCCTTCTGCTTACTGCAGACTTTTTTCCTCCAAAACCATCATAAATTAAACCCATTTCTTACATAACACAGAATACAATGAAAGATCAAAATGGGGCTGGGGAGAGGTGTCCACAGTAACCAAGGTGAGAAAACTGAAGGTTTGCTCCTAGTTTATTGGACCCTGTAATCTACAGTCATCCTCCCCTGAAGAGAGAACCCAATAGTCACCATGCAGATCTGGTCAAAGCTGGCATGCTACCCTTGGTCTTTCCCTCTTAGCTCTCTTGTGGATTCACTTCTTTCTTTGTCCATATAACTTACATATATACCCATATCCTATTTCGGGCTTTATGGCTCTATTTTGGTCTTCCAGCATGCGTGACCTATATTTTAAACAATCTAGCACTTTTTTTTTCTCACACTATCTTCTACTACTCTTTAGTTTTCCAATTTTTTCTCCTTTATCTTTCCTCTCTTTGCCCACTTTTTTTTTTTTGAAAACGGAATTTCACTCTTATTGCCCAGGCTGGAGTGCAATGGCACAATCTCGGCTCACCGCAACCTCCGCCTCCTGGGTTCAAGTGATTCTCCTGCCTCAGCCTCCCGAGTAGCTGGGATTACAGGCATGCGCCATCATGCCCGGCTAATTTTGTATTTTTAGTAGAGATGGGGTTTCTCCGTGTTGACCAGGCCGGTCTTGAACTCTAGATCTCAGGTGATCTGCCCACCTCGCCCTCCCAAAGTGCTGGGATTACAGGCGTGAGCCACTGTGCCCCGCCTTCCCCACATTTTTTACTCACTTCCCTTCCTGCCATACTTCATACTTCACAAGTTCATCAGTACTTGGGAAATAGTAATTACTCAAAATGTTTGTTAAACTATTTGTGAAAGTGCTCTACACACTATAAACTAACAAGTAAGGTATGGTAGTGATTATTTTAAGATGAACCATAGATCACATTTAAGAGTATATTTTGAGGCTAGGTGCGGTGGCTCATGCCTGCAATCCCAGCACTGTGTGAAGCTGAGGCGGTTGGATTACCTAAGGTCAGGAGTTCGAGACCAGCCTGACCAATAAGGAGAAACACTGTCTCTACTAAAAATACAAAATTAGCGAGGCATGGTGGCGTATGCCTATAATCCCAGCTTCTCAGGAGGCTGAGGCAGGAGAATCACTTGAACCTGAACCTGGGAGACGGATCACTTGAACCTGGGAGGCAGAGGTTGCAGTGAGCCGAGATTGTGCCATTGCACTCCAGCCTGGGCGACAAGAGTGAAACTCGGTCCCAAAAAAAGAAAAAGAAAAAGAAAAAAAAAGTATATTTTGAAACTCTATGTGTTCCAACTTCAGTATAAATCAGTTTCTTCAAAACACAAAATCCAAGGAGACAAAACTGACACACAAACTGTAGCTCGTCTGGTCAGCTGGATCTTTTCCCCCTCAAATCCAAAGCTCATTCTGTTAATAGAAAAACTGTTAAAAAGAAAATGTTTTGTAAGGAAGCAAGTTTTTAGATCGTCAATAAAGAGATCTCTGGTTCAATATAATACAAGAAAAATTCCCTGAAATTATGTTTTCATACAAACTACTATCAGAAGCAAAATCACTACAGGCACTAGTGACTAAAATTCCAAATATTTAGTTTTAGTCTGCAATTTTAATATAGTTAAAAATGAAACTTGGTAAATACCTCACTTGTTTCCAAGAATAATACATGTGAACTCTATTATTAACACTTACCTCGAATAAAGCTCGCATGATAACAGGAAGAAGAAAAGCAGCTGTTTTTCCTGAGCCAGTATCTGCACTGGCCAGAATGTCTCTTCCCAGAAGTCCCACAGGAATCATCTGCATTTGAATGGGAGTTGGCACCTCATAGCCTGATTTCTTCAAGTTGTGATTTAAGACCTCAGGGAGACTACAATGTTCAAAGTCAATAATGGGCCTGGTGACTTCTTGCCCTTGAACTAAAATTCCCAGCTGCTGTTTAAGATTTTCAATCTGGTCTTCCTGAAGGTTCAAAATAAAGGGGTGCTCTTTGTAGACATAGGAAGCATTCAGTGGAGACTCTGGCTCAGAATCAGCCTTCTGTGGATTGCTGAGTTTTGATTTCTCTTCCTTTTCCTTAACTTGTAGAAGATGTTTCGCTTTACACTCCAAACTACACACATCTTCATCTGTCTTATCACAGATATACTCTCCATAACGACCACAGACAACACAGATGGGTTCCCCTGGTTCTGCCCAGCGCTGTGTTTTGGAAAATGACTTAACGGGCTCTTCAGAAGGATGGCTGTCCTTCGCACCCTGCTCGGGACTTACTGAATGAACCTCTGCCAACTGGCCACCTGGGCTGGGGAAAGGGCATGATTCGCTGATGTGCCTGTCTATTGTGGCTGCTTCTGTAGCTACAGCATCAACGGGAACATCTCTGCTTTTGTCCAACTGAAGGTCTTCTGGGTCTGGTTTAATTATCTTAGCCACACAACTTTTGCCATCATCATTAGCATTCCTCTTGATTTTTAGAGATCTTGGAACAAACATCCTTCAATATTCTGTTAAGGAAATTATATAATGAGATTTATTGTACCATTAATAAAGTTCACATATAAAGTACCATATGATTAAGGACAAGGTGCGGTGGCTCACCCCTGTAATCCCAGCACTTTGGGAGGCCGAGGCAGGCAGATCACTTGAGGTCAGGAGTTTGAGACCAGCCTGGCCAACATGCTGAAACCCCATCTCTCCAAAAAATACAAAAATTAACTGGGCATGGTGGCATGTGCCTGTAATCCCACCTATTCGGGAGGCTGAGGCAGGAGAATCACTTGATCCCGGGGGGCAGAGATTGCAGTGAGCCGAGATCGTGCCACTGCCCTCCAGCCTGGGTGACAGTGAGATTCTGTCTCAAAAAAATTTTTAAAAAGGCCAGGCGTGGTGGCTCACACCTGTAATCCCAGCACTTTGGGAGGCCGAGGCGGGCAGATCACGAGGTCAGGAGTTTGAGACCAGCCTGGCCAATATGGTGAAACCCCCGTCTCTACTAATACAAAAATTAGCTGGGCATGGTGGCGCACACCTGTATTCCCAGCTACTCGGGAGGCTGAGGGAGAAGAATCTCTTGAACCCAGGAGGCGGAGGTTGCGGTGAGCCTAAGACCTCACCATTGCACTCCAACCTGGGCAACACAGTGAGTGTCCTGGGGTTATGCCTGAAAGGAATAGTGAGGACATCATGACACTCTTTATATCAAGCTTTTCTTCCATTCGCCAGCTTCCACTGATGAAGAGATGGAGTCCTCTTCCTCACACATAGCAGTGTTGTAACACTGCACACTGCTCAACATAGCCTTGTACACATGGTCTATTTCCGTTTACTGATTATTTGCACTTTGAAGTATCAGATATTATAGAAATTCTGGGGTAAATCCTTCTATTATAGCATCAAAAAAGAAAACAGGAGAAATACTTCACAATTAGAATCTTTAAAATCAAAGCCACAAATCATAGAGAAAATGCTATTTTCATAAGTAACACTTAGTGTTTATTATATGCCAAGCACAGTGCTTCACCTAATCTTCACAACCATGTAAAGCAGTTAGCATTGCCTAATATATATATATACAGATATTTTTTCATTATGCTATACTAGGTATATTACATAGAGTAATATACACAAGACTAATATACATAGTATAGCATAATGAAAAAATAATATAGTAATATACATAACATAGCATAATGAAAAAACGTGTGTGTGTGTATAAAACACATTATATACACTCAGAAGAAACTGAGCCACTTAGAAATTAAGTGGTTTGGGCTGGGCGCAGTGGCTCACGCCTGTAATCCTAGCACTTTGGGAGGCCGAGGCGGGCGGATCACGAGGTCAGGAGATCAAGACCATCCTGGCTAACACGGTGAAACCCCGTCTCTATTAAAACAAAACAAAACAAAAAAAATTAGCCGGGCGTTGGCGGCAGGCGCCTGTAGTCCCAGCTACTCGGGAGGCTGAGGCAGGAGAATGGCGTGAACCCGGGAAGCGGAGCTTGCAGTGAGCCCAGATCGCGCCACTGCACTCCAGCCTGGGCAACAGAGCAAGACTCCGTCTCAAAAAAAAAAAAAAAGAAAAGAAATTAAGTGGTTTGTCCAAGCTCACACAATTCTTAAGTGTTACAACCCTGGCACTGTGGATCCAGAGCACAAGCTCTCAACCATACGAGGACTAAGCTCTAATTTTTTATCTTACCCAAATTCCTTTCTAAGGGGTCTGGAGAGTCATGCCCTACAAACCATAAATTCTCATCAGATGGGTTTTATTTAACCCTGTATATCGTGACTTACTTTCCAATCTGACTCTGGCCTAACAAGGAAGAAAATAAAAATGTTTTACCCCAAAATATATTTCCTTGTCGTACCTTAAAACTCCCCTGCAAAGTCTCTTGCAGGAAAAATCTGCATTTGGTGAGAATTCCCATCTCCCCTTGTTTTCCCTCCTTCCTTCCCAGATCCAGGAGATAATCAACTAAGAGCCAGGCACCCTTTTAAGTCCAATATAAAACAATTTACAACCTGCTCTCTCTAAAGTCTATCTAAGAGCTTCCTCTGCACAATAAAACTTGGTCTCCACAATCCTTTATCTCTAGCCTGAACATTCCTTTTTATGGATCCCAGGTCTTTAGATAACCTCAACCAGATAACGTTTACATTTACCGATTGAGTTGCCCCGCCTTTCTAAACTAAACCAATGTATTTCTTAAATGTATTTGATGTCTCACGCCTTCCTAAAATAGATAAAACCAAGCTGTACCCCAATTTCCTTGGGCACATGTTCTCAGGACCTCCTGAGGACTGTCACTGGCCATGGTCACTTGAATCTGGCTCAAAATAAATCTCTTCAAATATTTTTCAGAGTTTGATTCTTTTCATCAACCCATATCTATACCTTTTTACACCAAAAACATGTCTTTGCAAAATTACAGTTATTGGGAATAAGGCTTTTAACCTAATCTGGGGACTATCAAATATACTAATAAATATTTTTCTTAAAAAAATTCTTTGTTTAAACTGCCAGATTCCAACTTCCAGAAAAATTCCAACAGAAATGCAACCGAGGGTCTAGAATTACTATCCTAAATCTCCGAAAATGTACAGGGGGTGGCGGGCGGGGCAGGGACGGCTCTAGGTGAGCAGGAAAAAGCTTGGAACTCAGTCTTCCAATGGCGAAAGGGAACGTGCTCCTGCTGGGCGGGACGGCGGACGGCTGGCGGCGGCGCGGCCTCCAATTCTCGCCAACGCGCCCCGCACCCCCGTGCACTGGCGGGCCCTCCCCTCGGGCGTTGCCTCCCACCCACGCCCGGCGGCACCGCACCCCGAGGCGCTTCACGTCACGGAGCTGCTAGGAGACGGGCGGGGCTCCGGTTCCGGGTAGAGGCCTGGGACACGGGGAACTGTAAGGATGGGAGGAAGGCCGCGCAGGGGCACCAGTTCTGCCGCCGCGGCCTAGCGCCCCAGGTCCCGGAGAAGGGGCACCAGGGCGGCCAGGGGCCCAAGCTTCCGGGGCACGCTCACCCGCGCAGGACTGAGGCCGCGTCCGCTCCCGCTCCCGCTCGGGCCGTCTCCCCCTTCCAGGCTCCAGGCCAGGCTTCCGCCCGACAAGCCCTGACCCGCTCGTCAGGACTGCGGCCCGGGGTTGGTGGTGCGGAGCGGAGCGGAGCGGAGCGTAGAGTAGAATCCACTTCCCCGGGTTTTGGGAGGGGGCCGCAGCCCGCTTTCCGGGCGGCGGGGAGGCGGGGCCACCGCGGGGGCGGAGCTCGGCTGGGAGCCGGCAGTGGCTTGGGAGGGAGGGAGGGAGAAGGAGAGGGGCGGGAAGGCTCCTCGCGTTTTCCACGCCCCCGCCCAGCTCTGGGCTGGTGGTAAATCTCGGAACTGGTCCGGGCTGGGCGAGTTCTGGACGGAGGGGCACGTTTGGGAATCCTCTTGGAAGAATTTACGTAATCGAATGGGCTGGGACTGGTGGAAAAGAGTTGGACCGTCCGGAAAGAAGCAGGAGGGCGGCGCGGGGGCCTGGCACCCTTAGAAAGTGGGAAGTGTGAGTGTAAAAGGGAGGGGCACTTCTGCCCGTTGGGCCCAAAAACCCTTTTCTGGCTTTAGCTAGTAGAGCCACTCAAAATTTAAACGGAGTCAGCTTGATGTGGCATATATGATAAGCTGGATAATATTTCCTGCACCACCGCACCCCTCCCCCCACCCCAACACCAACAAGAAAATAACACAAGTCACGGTTCTTGTTCCTTGTGGGCTGACATTTCCCTGTTTTGCCAACCTCTGGAGCCACGTGTCCCAAGCAGCTTGTAGTTGAGAAGTGATGGGGGAGAGGAGACAGCACGGGAGAGGAAGGAGGGAAGCCAGCTTATATTCAGGTGCCTTAAGTATTTAAAAATATTTTCAGTGTAATAGTCGATGCATTCAAAAGAGCATATTTACCAAATATGTAAAATTTAAAGTATGCTAATGAAACTATCACTCCACCACGTTATCAGTATTTAGCATGTATCTATGCATCTCCAGGATTCTACTCCTGGCCTCTTAGCTCACCACCACTATCTTCAGTTTTGTCCCTCTTTGCCATTTTTAGTGGTTTTATCATATTTGGATGCATTCCTGTGTATTGGTGTATTTTTCTTCTTTTTGAGCTTTATAAAAATACATATAGCCTGGAATTCGCTTTTTATCACTCAACATTTGTTTTTTTGGTTCATCCAAGTTGTTACGTGTAGTAACAGAACATTTATTTCTTACTGCCTAGTCAAAAGGAAGTTTTCTCCTGTCAGGAATGTATTCAATACTGTAGCGGATAGGATTATAAATGCACTTTAAGTATTTTCTTTATTGATGGGAACCACACAGACTAAATGTATCAGACTTCCCAAGTTCGTAGGTCACATACCTATAACAGAACTCTTTTCCTGGGTTTTGTGACATTTCTAATTGTTGTAATTTCTTTTGCCATTATAAAAATTAGTCACTTTTGAACCTAATTTGTATTCATCATTCTGAATCTTTTTCTTTAAAAGCCTCCTCTTTTCCAATTATATAAGCTCATACCCCATAAAACCTGAATCTGCCCCTAGTAATTACTAATAAGGCTAGTAGGAGCATTCTTGTTCACCTTCTGTGCATGCGCTGGACTCTAATTTGAACCTAGGATTAGCACTGCGGCATCAGAGGCTATGGGGGCTGTTCAGCTTTCAAAGATAAAGCAGAAATGTTTTCAAAGTGGTTGTACCAATCTATACTGCCACCAGTACCGACCACAATTCTCTCTAAATCCTCGTTATTTTCACACTTCTTACTTTTTGCTAGTCTACCCAGAATAAATACCATGTTTTTGTCTTAATTTGCATTCCGTAATTACTGATAAGGCTGAGCACTTTGAAATATGTTATTCATTCATGTTTTCTCTTCCTCTTCTAAGGATGTGTGTGTGTGTACATATATAAATGTATATATAATGTATATATGTATATATAATGAAACATTCTTTTGTTAATTGTAGGTGTTGCAGATATCTTCTCCCTGTTTATAGTGTGTTTTCAAATAAAAAAATTTTTTGACTTATTTTGAAAAAATCAACCTTATCAAAAAGTTTCAGAATTAATGAACTCCTGTATACCCTTCACATAAGTTCACAGTTTGCTATATTTGCTATATTAGTGTGTAGGAGAGATTATATATATAAAATATGTATACTATAGATATATATTTTTTTCTGAACCATTTAGGAGTAAGTTGTAGCATGTGTCTCCAAAGACAATGATATTCTCTTTTATACTCACAGAAAAATGTTCCAGTTGAGGTTGTTTGTTTTTTGAGACAAGGTCTCACTCTGTTACCCAGGCTGGAGTGCAGTGGTGCGATCTCGGCTCATTGCAACCACCTCCCGGGCTCAAGTGAGGCTCCCACCTCAGCATCCCGAGTAGCTAGGACTACAGGCACACCCCACCTGTTAGAGAGAATTTTTTTGTTGTTAGAGATGGGGTTTTGCCATGTTGCCCACGGTGGTCTCCAACTGCTAGGCTCAAGCTATCCACTTGCCTTGGCCTCCGAAAGTGCTGGGATTACAGGTATGAGCCACTGGGCCTGGCTCAAATTTAGGTAGTTTAACATTGATGAAGTAAGAGTAGCTAGGACTACAGGCACACCCCACCTGTTAGAGAGAATTTTTTTGTTGTTAGAGATGGGGTTTTGCCATGTTGCCCACGGGGGTCTCCAACTGCTAGGCTCAAGCTATCCACCTGCCTTGGCCTCCGAAAGTGCTGGGATTACAGGTATGAGCCACTGGGCCTGGCTCAAATTTAGGTAGTTTAACATTGATGAAGTACGAGTAGCTAACATGCAGTCCTTATTGAAAATTTACTAGTTGTTCCATTAAGGTGTTTTAGAGCTATTTTTTTCCCCTAATCCAGGATTCAGTCCAAGATCTTTTCATTTTCTTTATGAAGTGTTTTTTTTTCTCTGTTTTTTTTTTTTTTTTTTTTTGAGACGGAGTCTCTCTCTGTCGCCCAGGCTGGAGTGCAGTGGGGCGATCTCGGCTCACTGCAAGCTCCGCCTCCCGGGTTCACACCATTCTCCTGCCTCAGCCTCCTGCGTAGCTGGGAGTACAGGCGCCCGCCACCACGCCCAGCTAATTTTTTATATTTTTTAGTAGAGAAGGGGTTTCACTGTGTTAGCCAGGATGGTCTCGATCTCCTGACCTCGTGATCCGCCCGCCTCGGCCTCCCAAAGTGCTGGGATTACAGGCGTGAGCCACCGCGCCCGGCCTTTTTTTTTTTTAAAGAGACAGGGTCTTCCCTCTGTCACTCAGGCTGGAGTGCAGTAGCCCGATAATGCTCTATGGCTAGTCTATGGTCAATTTTCATATATTTTTAAAACCAGAGAAGAATGTTTATTCACCATTAGATAGATACATGATACTTGCAAATAAATCAAGCTTGGTATTTCAGATATTCTATATCTTTACTAATGTTCATGTTCAGATTTCCCCATCAGTATTTCCCCGTCAGTATTTCTCTTACCTGTTAGTAGATAAAATAGATCAAGCAATCAGTCTCCCATTATAAAGGTAGATGTGTTCATTTTTCCCTGTAGTCCAGCAATTTTAGTTTTGTGTATTTTGGGGGCCATTTTATTTTAGAATCAATATTTGTAAAGCAATTCAAGCATTAATGTGTCATGGAATCTTAGGTTTGAATGCATTCATCAGAGTCCAATCACCACCCCTTGCTACTCTCCATACCCTTGTAGGAGGAATTATTTTATAGCACCCTGCTACAGGACCAACTGGCTTGTTGAATGCTTTTAGAGACAGGGCGCTTCCCACCTTACAGGGCAGTCCAGTTCTTCACTGGAGAGCTCCATGATTATACTTACTATTTAATTAGACTCTCTATGGCTAGGCATTGTGCAAAGCATTTTAGAAACATTGTCATATTTAATTCTCACTGTAATCTTATAAAGTAGGCATTTTATCCCCATCGTACTAATGAAGAAACAGGTTTAGGTAATTAAGCATCTTGCCCAAGGTCACACAGCTAGGTAGTGGCACAGCAGGAATTGAAGCCCAGGTCTGTCTCCTAAATCCACTAGACTACACTGCCTTCAAGCTTTTCTTTATGTAAGTATAAAACCATATCCCTTTAACTTTCAATCAGGAAACCTGGTTCCAAAACCATTTTTAGTGTTCCTAAACTTCCTAATCTGTTGGAAACCTTAGACATAACTCACATTCATGTGTTCCATTACTGTGCCCAACTTTCCTTAGTTTTCTTATGGAAGCTTTAGACCTTTGCTATATGTTTGTATTATTGTTACTTTTGGAAAAGTAGCCAATCTTGATGAGCAGGATGATTCATTCTGAATGAATGAATGAATGAATGAATGAAGCCTAGTGAGTAGCAACTCATTTCTACATATGAGTTAGGATGCTGGATGAAACCTAATTTTTAACATCAAGTTCTTCACCTTTCAAGGTTAATAAGTCAAACCTCAGAGCCACTCAGGTCTCACTTGTGGCTCTTTCCTACTCTTTTCTTTAATCAAAAAGCTCAGAATCAGGTTTCCTCTTAGGTTGCACCAGAGCACAGTATAATTAATCTAAACTCCCATTTCTGTTTTCTTCACAAAAGATCTTCACGGAAATGGTTTTATGATGGTCTTTTAATTGTGGGGCCACAGAAAACATTATTTATAGTAGGTCACATGGAAATCACAGATGGCGTTACTAATTCAATTTTAATATGCTTTATGGCAGGGAGGGATGGGAAAGTATACAAAGGTGACTCAATTAGACAAGAGTTGTGGAATGCATACATCCTACATAACCATTCTAAGAGTTTGCCTTAAGCTGTGTCTTAGAACAGGAAATGCTGCAATAATGTGAGCTGACCTGTATGTTATTCTCATGTGCTGTTGAAACATGTATAGAAATAATAATGCCTAGCATTCTTTCATCTTGGGAAACTTCAGTCTCACACGTATTAGTTTATAGCTACTCCTTACTCTTTAATATGTGAGGCTTGGAAAGCCCGTATAAATTCTGATCAAGGTGGATACAGGAAAGCACAGTTTAATAGTATTTAACTGCCATTGATTTTTTTTTTCCACTTGTATCATCACAATGAATCAGATCAGAACTTGGACCTCAGTACTTTTTCTGCCTTTGGCATCTTTTCCTGATAAGTAGTATGACCAAGTATTCAAATTCTAAGAATTGAACTATTTACTCATTCAACAGATTTACGACATTTGCCATGTGCCTAGAACTGGGAATATAATGATGAAATAGGAAGTCATAGTCTTTGCCCTCACCAAGCTTCCAGCAGGCAGGTGGAGGAGGGAGACAGACAATTCCACAGTAAGTGCGGATAAGGGAATTACAGGGTTTCATAGGAATGTAAGGATGGGTACATAAGCCAGACCTGCTGAATCAGGGAAAGCTTCCCAGAGGAAATGGCATCTAAACTGAGATCTAAAAGCTGAAGAGGAATTGGGACAATTAAAATAGGAAAAAGAAGAGGAAGGAAAGGCCCAAAGTGAGATATAGCACATCCAAGGAACTGAAATAAGTTAGATATTAGTCTTCTTAGATCAAGTTATACTGCAGCAACAAATGACCCCAAAATGTCAGTAGCATTTAACAGCGAAGATTTATTTCTTTATGCTGCAATATGGAGAAATGATAGTGGGGGATGCTAAAATATGGAGAGAAGAATGTAGAGGGTAAAACCGAGGTAGGAACCTGAGGCAATATTTCAGCCTGAAGAGGAGCGTGGCCTGAACTTTAGGGTAGCCTGAATTAGTGGCAGTGGAGAAAAAGAGAAGTAGACAGAATCAAGAGATAAAGAGAAAGTTAGGTCAATAGTTCTTCTTGATAGATAGGACGTGGAGGGTGAAGGAGATAGAGTCATGGTTGACACTCAAGTTCAATAGGTCAATAGTTCTTCTTGATAGATAGGACGTGGAGGGTGAAGGAGATAGAGTCATGTTTGACACAAGTTCAATACGCACTACATAGCTTTATAGTAACCACAAAACATGATGATGAAAACTTTTATAGAGAGGAATTTAATACTTACGATAACATGATAAACATTTTAATGTAATAATTTTAGAAATGTCATCCTACTAATCTCATATACATCATAGAGTTTGTGATCTCAGTGATCAGTATTATTTTTTCTGCTCAAACTCCTGGTACAGATACATTCACAGAAGTACGTAATTCTTGTCAGCAAAGCTTCTGGGATGACAATTTAGGAGATGCCGAATTAAAATGAGGTCTATTTTACCACTCTACATTCATCCTAAAACTTGAACTTAGAAAGATGTCATTGAATGTTTAGAAAAATAGACCGCTGCTGAGCTATAAAATCTACCTTTGTAAACTTTAGCAAAGGAAGGCTCAGGCAGGTTTCACTAGATTCAATATTGCAAGGCTGTCATACTCTGAGGACATCATATATGAGCTATGACCATTAGCATACTTAGAAACCTGCTGCCAATATGACCAGGCGTGGTGGCTCATGCCTGTAATCCCAGCACTTTGGGAGGCCGAGGCGGGTGGATCATCTGAGGTCAGGAGTTCGAGACCAGCCTGGCCAACATGGTGAAACCCCATCTCTACTAAAAAATACAAAAATTAGCTGGTCGTGGTGGCAGGCACCTTAATCCCAGCTACTTGGGAGGCAGAGGCAGGAGAATCGTTTGAACCCAGGAGGCGGAAGTTGCAGTGAGCCAAGATAAAGCCATTGCACTCAAACATGGGGACAAGAGCGAGACTTCTCTCAAAAAAAAAAAAAAAAAGAAACCTGCTGCCAATATGCGTTAATTTTCCAGAGGAAAAAGTATTGTGCTGGATTCTCCCTTTCAAGATTAGGCATGTTCATGGGACATTAAACTTTCAAAAAATGAAGAGAAGAGCATCTTAGGTTTTCCCAAGGCAACTCTAAATTTCTCAGCAGGGGACAAATCAAGAGCACCAATTTGGATATTCTTTTATCTGGTAACAACCTCCTTTTCTTCCAGCTTTACTTTGTTCAACTTCTCCCGTCATGATCATTTTCAATCACACTGGGACCATTAGTCTATTAATTTCTCTCCCAACATGTCTGTCATCTTCTGTCTTCCTTTTGCATCTTATCCCACTTATATTGTGTACTTTCAGGATTTATTTCAGCACTGCAACGAGCCTTAGATATTTTACTGAAATCAGAAATGTTCCAGCACTGCACAGATGGCTGTACTGATTAAGAGTGTTGTTTTGTAACCATGGGCTAAGGAGTTGATCCTCTGGCATCTTCCAAAGGTGACCTATGAGCGTGTGTGTTTTTTTTTTTCCTTAATCACTATGGACTCAAGGATTTTTTTTTTCTTTTTTTTGAGACAGAGTTTCACTCTGTCACCCAGGCTGGAGTGCAATGGCACGATCTCGGCCCACTGCAGCCTCTGCCTCCCGGGTTCAAGCGGTTCTCCCCCCTCAGCCTCCTGAGTAGCTGGGATTACAGGCATCTGCCATCATGCCCAGCTAATTTTTGTATTTTTATAGAGATGGAGTTTCAGCATGTTGGCCAGGCTGGTCTTGAACTCCTGACCTCAGGTGATTCGCCCGTCTCAGCCTCCCAAATTGCTGGAATTACAGACGTGAGCCACCGCGCCTGGCAGACTCAAGGATTTATTTTATTTAATTTATTTTTTGAGACAGGATCTTGCTCTGTTGTCCAGCTGGAATGCCGTGGCATGACTTAGGGTCACTGCAGACTTGACCTCCCTGACTCAAGCGATCCTCCTGAGTAGCTGGGACTATAGGCACAGTACCATGCCCAGCTAATTTTTTAAAAAATTTTTTGTGGAGATGTGTTTCTCACTATGTTGCCCAGGCTGGTCTCCATCTCCTAGACTCAAGTGATCTTCCTGCCTGTGCCTCCCGAAGTGCTGAGATTACAGGTGTGAGTTACTGTGTGAGGCCAGACTCAAGAATGTTTAACATATTTGATGCATTTCAGTTAATTGCACTTACTATTCTTTGTGAAGCTTAAATTGTCCCATCTTTGACAGTGGGAACCTCTTCAAGGTGGCTTTAGGGTCTTTTTGACACATAAAACCCAGTAGTCTTTGAAAGTTTCCTTGCTTTCTGGTGTGATGGAGCTTGTTCCCAGCTCATCTTACTTTTTTTTTTGAGTTGGAGTCTCGCTCTGTCGCCCAGGCTGGAGTGCAGTGGTGGGATCTTGGCTCATTGCAACCTCCACTTCCCAGGTTGAAGCGATTCTCCTGCCTCAGCCTCCTGAGTAGCTGGGACTACAGGCACATGCCACCATGCCCGGCTAATTTTTGTATTTTTAGTAGAGACGGTATTTCGACGTGTTGGCCAGGCTGGTCTCGAACTCCTGACCTCACATAATCCACCCACCTCGGCCTCCCAAAGTGCTGGGATTACAGGCGTGAGCCACCACGCCTGGCCCATCTTACATATTTTTGTCCCAGACTGAGAATCAGCCATTTCTATCAGGAGCCTGGGTTTCTGATTCCCTTTGACAGAAAATGGTATTTATAGGCCACAGCCTAGGCATGAGAGATGCTAATTGCTACTAAATTGGTTATGGTTTCTAAGCCTTTTTAGTGGACAGAGCTCAGACATTCTTTTTTTTTTTTTTTTAGGAGAAAAAAATCGTAAGTTCATTTTATTCAAATTTAGGATTACAAGGTTTTTATTTAACTTTAAAAAGTTAAAAGGTTTTTAATTAAAAAGTTTTAAATTTTATTTTGATATCACTTTTACACTGAAAATTTTAGTTTCTAAGTATATTAATGGCCAGGAGTGGTGGCTCACACCTGTAATCCCAGCACTTTGGGAGGCGGAGGTGGATGGATCACCTGAGATCAGAAGTTCGAGACCAGCCTGGCCAACATGTCGAAACCCCATCTCTACTAAAAATACAAAAATTAGCCAGGCGTGGTGGTGCATGCCTATAGTCCCAGCTACTCAGGAGGCTGAGGCAGGAGAATCACTTGAACCCAGGAGGTGGATGTTGCAGTGAGCCGAGATCACACCAGTGCACTCTAGCCTGGGCAACAGAGCAAGACTCCATCTCAAAATAAATAAATAAATAAATTTTAAAAATTTAATATAATTTTATTTGTTACATATAAAATGGCTTCAGAATAATAATACCAAAATTATTACTAACCATATAATTACTGAAAATAGTTTAAAATGTCTTTGACTTTTTAAAAATTCCAGATATATTCTAGTAAGGATACATAGTCAAATTATTGTGTTTTAAAACCATGTGAAATAATCCTTTCTGTATGGTTAAGCCACTAAGTCAATTCAAAGGGTGGATCTATTTGTTTCCTTTTGCTTTTGCTTTTCATGAATTGATTTTCTTTTCCATTTTGATTTAACATTGTTTTATAATTTTATAAACCTGTCTCAGATACTTGGGAGGCTGAGTCGGGAGAATCACTGAAGCCCCGGAGTGTGACGCTACAGGGTGCTATGATCATACCTGTGAATGATCTGCACTCCTGTTTGGGCAACATACCTAGTCCTATCTCTAAAAAAACAAAAACAAAAACACAATACATTTACAGGGTTTGAAATCAAATCTACAAAACTATGTATATTCTGAAAACTTTAGCTTTTATTCCTTCCACCCTATTCCTTCCCTCTCCCATAGGTTACTTAATTTTTTTAATTCAAAAATTGTTTTGTCTATCCTTCCAGTTTTGAAAATATAAGCAAGTATTTTATATCTGTGCATATATATATACACCTTTTAGATAAACAGAAGCATACTGTAGACACTTTTTCCACCTTCTTTTCAGCTGACAACATATCCTGGAGATTGATTGCTTCATGGCAGTGTATAAAAATATTCTTCATTCCTTTCCACTTCTCCATTGGGTGCACTATAGCTCCAGTCTCTCGCAGATAACCATTTGAGCTGTTTCCAGTTATTTGCTATTACAAGTGCTGCAGTGTATAGCCTTCCAGATACTTAATTAAGATTTTATAAGTATGATCATATTTTATGGAATCTGAAACCCCATTGATTATAAGTGACACCATTACTCTATATAACACTAAAAAAGAAAAACACCCTGCCAATTAACTGTAAAATGCCATTGATTGTAAAATGAATCTCAATTTCAGAGCTGTAAAATGTAAAAAAGTGTACATCTTAGCATTTAGGAAATTAAAATTTCGTGTAATCCTCATAACAATCTAAAAGGAAGGTACATATAACTATTGTGAGCTCCATGAAGGAACAAAGTTTTTCTTGTTTTTGGCTCTAATATGTTTTTTAAAAAATACTTTTTAACATTTTAAAAATAGAGATGTGAGGTTCTCACTAAGTTGGCAAGGCTGGTTTCGAACTCCTGGCCTCAAGCAATTCTCCTGCCTCGGCCTCCCAAAATGCTGGGATTATAGGCATGAGCCATCATATCTGGCCATTTGGCTCTAATCTCAGCCCCAAGAACTATGCTTTCAAGGAGAAGTGTGTCTAATAGTGCACAGTAGACACTTAAATATTTGTTGAATAAATGAAAGAGCCCCCATTTTACAAATGAGGAAACTCTGAGGTACAAACTTTAAGAAACCTGCCTGAGAGCAGTCATTTCCTGGCAGAGCCTGGATTTGAACCAAGAAAGTTACAACTCATATCTGCTGCATTCTCGCCTATAAATTCATGGATACCTGGCTGGGCACGGTGGCTCACACCTGTAATCCCAGCCAGCACTTTGGGAGGCAGGCAGATCGCCTGAGCTCAGGGGATCAGCTTGGGTAACATTATGAAACCCCATCTCTATCAAAAATACCAAAAAAAAAAAAAATCAGCTGGGCATAGTGTCGTGCTCCTGTGGTCCCAGCTACGTGGGGCTGAGGTGGGAGGAGAATTCCTTGAGCCTAGGAGGCGGAGGTTGCAGTGAACCAAGATCCAATCTCGCCACTGCACTCCAACCTGGGTGACACAGTGAGACCCCGTCTCAAGTAATAATAATAATAATAATAAAAATTCATGATTACCAGTCACAAAGGGGCCCTCAACAATCCTATTGCTTTTCTCTGGTCAACTTGCTCTTCCATTGCAGCAACAATTATTGTAAACCATCACTCCCTCCAAGCCTCAAAAATCCCCTCTCCCAGCTTCCCTGGACCCACTCCCTGACTGATGAGCGAACCTTGCCTCCTATTTCATAGACAACACGAAGCCATGACATAAGAACCCTCTCAGCTTCTCACCAAACATGCAAATCTTCCTGCATTATCAGTAATTCTCTGTGCTTCCTTTCCTCTGTGCTACATAGGATGTGCCCTTTGTCCTATCAAAGGCTGATTCCTCCACTGGGGCTGGGGATTCTGTCCCTCCTGCCTTCCTTAACACTAGTAGTTACCCCTTTTTGCCCTGTAAATTCAACCTGTCCCTCTGTATGAGTTAGGATTCAGCTTGGCTGCATATAAGAAAAAAATCAAATTAATTGTGGCCTAAATGAGAGAGATGTTTTTCGCTCTCACGTATTTATTTACATTTTAATTGGTCTGAGTATGTGATGCTTATACATTGTATAAAAAGTAAAAGGTATGAACTGTACTCCTACCCTTACCGCAGTCACCTAGCTCCTCAACCACTCTTTTAAGTTTAAAAATAGCATGTAAAGCGACAGGAGTGGAAATGGTCACTTGACTTGAGAGTATGCATAAACGGAGAGAAGGGAAGCAGGGACAGAGCCTTTGGCACTCCTGCTTTTAAAGACTGAGTCGAAGAAGAACTGGCAAGTGATCTAAGAATAAATGTCATTGAAGAAGGAGGGAAACCCAGAGATTGTTTTGCCCTAGAAGCAAAAGAAGAAAGTATTTCAAGGAGAAGTGTTTCTAATACCTCTCAGAGATTCAAGTAAAATAAAAACAGAGAAGTGACTGTTATATCTGGCAGAATGGAAGCCATTAGTGACTTGGACAAGAGGAATCTCAGGGGAAATGGACTGAGGAGAAAATGTGGGGTAAAAAGCTAATCAGCGATTATGGCCAACTCAAGAAGTTTTGTTATGAAGGGGAGCAGAGAAACTTGCCTGGGGCTGGAGAGAGATATGTGGTCAAGATATGTTTTTTCTCTCTTAAGATAGGAGCTATTATGGCGTATTGTTTGCTGGTGGAAATAAACCATGGGAAAGGGAGAAATTGATTATACAGGTGAGAGAGGGAATAATTTCCAGAGCAAAGTCCTTGAAGATGCAAGATTTGCATGGGCTGCAGAACACAAACAGAAGGGCTGGCCTTTGAAATGCAAGGACACTTGATCCATGGAACTAGGAGGTAACTCAAAATGGGTACATACAAAAGCACACTGTAGTTTGAGTGGTCCTTTTCTGCTTTGATTTTTTTTTTTTTTTTGAGATGGAGTCTCGCTCTGTTGCCCAGACTGAAGTGCAGTGGTGCAATCTCAGCTCACTGCAACCTCCGCCTCCCAGACTCAAGCGATTCTCCTGCCTCAGCCTCCTGAGTAGCTGGAATTACAGGCACGTGCCACCACATCTGGCTAATTTTTTATATTTTTGTAAAGATGGGGTTTCACCATGTTGGCCAGGCTGGACTCAAACTCCTGACCTCAAGTGATTCAACCACCTCAGCCTCCCAAAGTGTTGGGATTATTGGTGTGAGCCACCGCTCCTGGCTGTCTGCTTTGATTTATTCATTTTTTGTTAAAGCTGTGGGTAAGAGTGGGGCTACAGCTGGGGTTGTGGGGAGGTGGTATCATTTAGAAGCTTTGAAAAGACGGAAGATGTGAACTAGTCTTTTTGAAGAGTGGGAAAGAGAACATTTCAAGAAATATAGTAGGATTGTCAAGTATGCTAAGCACCCAACTGAGATTTTGGGCCATGAATTTAAAGAAAACTAATGGATATGGTGAATAAGATCAGCTGAGCACTATTTGGCTGCTCTCATGCAGGCCCAGAGTGAGCAGATTGTTGGGTATAAGCAGAGTTTCAGGCTTTCCTAATTGAATACAACAGGGTAAGCTCAGGGAGAGAAGGGCAAAGGTTTTAAGGGTGTTTGCAAGGGAGTCATTATAAACATGAGCTGTGGCTTTTAGGCTAGCTAAAGAAAAAGACGTGAGGACATGGATAGCTGATTATAGTTGAGAAAATGATAGAGTCTAAGAATGAGAGTTCTTCATGAAGTTGAAGAATTGCTGAAGCAGGAGTTCTTGAGAATCCAGAAGGATGGGGGATGCTGGTCAGAGAATGGGACTCTGGAAGTTACAGTGTCAGAAGTGTGCAGTGATTGTCATGAGAAAAAGAATGCCATGGTCATCTGAGGGGGCATGGAGGATTAGATTATCAGATGCCAAAAAGGCTGAGGAACTGAGAGGCCAAGATGTCAGATGGAATATCCACATGAATAGTGAAATCACTTTAAAATTTAAAAAATCACTTTAAAATTTAAAAAGAGAGAGAGGGAGAAATGAAAAGGAGAGCAATGAGTCAGGTGGGGTGAGGACTATTTATGTCTTCAATCAAGGCAGGCCTGGGCTTCACATTTTTTGGCTTTCTGAGGGGAGGATATTTCCAAGAAAAAAAAGAAGAAAGGCACAAAGCAAAATGAAAGAAAAAAGCCAAGAGAGTTTGTCCCAGCCCAGTGTTCTAGTGTGGTTGCCTGATTGTGAACTGCACATGCATTTTACTCTTAACTCAGGACTGCTCAAGTCTGAGCATTTGAGTAGGGCCATAGTGGACATAAGAGCACAGTTCTTAGCCCATTCTCCATATGTACATATGGGCTTTTTTATCTGCTGGAAGTATCCACAGAATTCATTAGACTCTCAAAGTGAGCATGACTCCAAAAGGTCCAGAGCCACCTCAAAGATCAGAGTGGGTTCCCTATAAAGGGGAGATGAGCAAAATCTCAGTCAATTGCACTATAATATTAATGATAATAACGATAATGATAATGGCTGATATTTATTGAGTACTTTCTTTCTTTTTTTTTTTTTTTTATGAGACGAGGTCTCACTCTGTTGCCTAGTCTGTAGTGCAGTGGCACAATCATAGCTCACTGTAGCCTTGAACTCCTGGGCTCCAGCAGTCCTCTTGCCTCAGCCTCCTAGGTACCTGAGACTACAGGGACTACAGGCACAAGCCATCATGGCTGGCTAATTTTTTTTTTAATTTTTAATTTTGTAGAGACAGAGGTCTCACTTTGCTGCCCAGGCTGGTCTCGAACTTCTGGCTTCAAGCAGTCCTCCTGCCTTAGCCTCCCAAAGTGTTGGCATTATAAGCCTGAGCCACTGTGCCTGGCTTTTATTGAGTATTTTCTATGTGCCAGGTCTCATGCAAGAGAAAACATGCCCTGAGCAAACATTTTGAGCAATCTGGTCTGTGTCAGTGAGGTGCCTCACAAGAAATGAGTAAGAAGGCATTCCACTTTAAATATCAGTCTTCGGTGAGTTGGTTACCGTGAGTCCTTTCATCAGAGACCAATCAACTCTCTGAATCACTGATCAAATTTACTTTCAGAACTTACATAGCTAACTTCACTTTGGTGACCACATCGATGTAAAGTAACCGTGTGAGGCCTTGCTGGAGTAGTCACCCTGTCTCTGTAAATCTATATCTTATTGATTGCTTCATTAGGTCACTTTCTTCAAAGTGTTTTCTTTCAATGGCAATTTACTCTGTGAGGCAAAATAAGGCAGTACTACATATAGAAAATAAAAATAACATTAAAATTTGAGATTTTTGTTTGAGTGTCGTGGCTCATGCCTATAATCCCAGCATTTTGGGAGGCTGATGCAGGAGGATCCCTTGAGCCTAGGAGTTCAAGATCAGCCTG